>NC_000007.14:80006779-82506779 GCF_000001405.40 Homo sapiens
GGTAGAAGAAGAGAGCTCGAATAGGGTCAGACTGCTTGAAATTGATATTATAGATGAACTGTGTTAAACTCCTGAAAATATCACCAGCAATCTATTAATAAGGCAAAAACAGGCTTATTAGAATTCACTGCAGTAAGGATGAACACCACCATGACTCTTAGCCATGTTTCAAAAGGAGAAAATCAGGAAAGGCTATCTATAGTGGCAGGACTCTGGCAACAAATTTCAAAGTTTTTGTTTTGTTTTGTTTAGGTCTGGGAACTAGGAACCGGGTAAAATTTGTGACATAGCAAGATTTAATGTGTAATTGTGTCAGAGAGCTTTTTTGCCCAGGGGAACTGACTTAGGTAAAGGCCCTCAGTAAACTGATTTGCAGGAATTTTCTGAAGCAAATAATAAATGCATTTATTGGCTCATAGTTTTTGTCTTATCTTTCCTTGGAAAAGTTTTTCTGAAAAAAACAGCTCAGTCATGCTAACACAGGTAGCCTCAGATCCAAGCCATAAAAGCTGTCATCTTAACTGAAGTGATTGCAGATCTAATTTAGTTACTATAAATGTCAAGGACAAGGTTTTATGACAAAGTATCTAAGTGCTTGACGAAGAATTGAGGATTTGATCATTGGAGAAGTGGATTCAAGGAAACAAATGAATATTGAGGTGACAAAGAACTAAGTCAGGAATAGTATTGAAGTCATAGTGAGCCAGTAGTCATAATTATCAAGAAATGAAGAAATGACTAGAGAATGGTAGACAATACAACAATAAGAGATACAGAGGAGTATGGCATGCCAACATGAGATTCAAAATTAGGAAGTTTAGAAAGGAGGGAGGATAAATATCCTGAAAAAGACACATAAGAGCAAAGAGTCCTTCTAGAGCAACTTCTAGGCTGCATGGTACTAGAAGTTTAGGAAAGCATAGTTTCTTAGCCGTTTATGAAACAGATAGCCAAGCAAAGCCCTAAAGGCAGCTGAGCAAGGCCGAGCCCTATACCAAGCAACTGAAATAGGGATCAGTTAGAACTGGCAACAGTGGGAGTATGAAGTGAGGAAGATGATGGAGAAGCCCAAGTGTCAGGAATGAGAACAAAGGATAAAGATGATCTGAATCAGGAAGAAAATAATAATTAGCTGAAGATACAGTGAAAGTTTGGAAATATTTTATTTCAATTCCTTTTTCCCAGTATGGGCTTTTAAAAATTTATTGTTTTTAATAGACTTTAGAAGATATTTTAAAAGAAAGGTTAAAAATTCTTGAATTTATATCTTAATAATCAGAGCCAACTCTGACTATGAAGTAAAAAGCTCAAGCATCTTAGAAATAATTCTAGATGTCAGTGAACAACTTGCCTATAGCTGAAACTCTTTTTATTTAATGTTTCATGTGACTAAGTAGAGGATGTGCTATCCATTTCCACTGAGATCTACTAAGCTATTATTTGCCAAATGGAAAAGCACTCAGAGCAAATGATTAATAGTTGTGATGAGTGGTGGACAATGGGGGATTCTCATAGCCATTATTATCTTCACGAATGTGTAATACAAATGAAACATCTAAAGGTTTTCCTTTTGCATTCATAACCAGGTTTCCCTACTCTGATTTTTAAAACAAAGAATGTGATCTCAAAAGAGAATCTTTTCTTTTCTCAAATGGTTGTGAGCAAAACTACTTATCTCTCATCAAGAAAAGAAATTGCATTTACATCAATTTTAATAGTAAACATCTGATGGTCTTATCATTGTAAAGAGTACTAAAAGCATTGCTTGATAATTTACAGTGTAAAAATACATAGTAAACCAATACTCATTCATGATAAAAGTAGCAAAGTAGAATAAAATGGTAACTTCCTCAACTTAACAAAAAAACTACAGCTAACATCATTCTTAAAAGTGAAAAACTAGTTTTTCCACTAAAAAAGGAACAAGGCAAGGATGCTCTCAACAGTCATTTTCATCATCATACTGGAAGTGCTAGTTAATAAAATAAGAGATGAAAATAAAATGTGTACAAAATGAAAAAGAATAAATGAAATTGTCTTTGTCTGCAGATGGTATTTTTGTCTATAATGAAATAGAAAATCCAAAAGAATCAGTGAAAAAACTCCTGGAACTACTAAGTGATTATAGCAAGTTTGCAGAAAATAACAGTAATATACAACACTCCATTGTTTCTCTATATGCCAGCAAGGAACAATTGTAATTTGAAATTAAAAACACAATAACATTTAAATTATCAAAAATATAAATATTTAAGCATAAATCTAACAAAAAAAAATATCTATAGAAGTAAAACTACAAAACCCTGACACAAATCAAAGAAATACTAAATGAATAGAGAGATATTTTAGATTCATGGAAAAAGAAAGACTCAACGTTGTTAAGAAGTACTTCCAAACTTAATCTGTAGATTCAATGTGATCCCAATAAAAATTCCAGAAACTTATTTTATGGATATTGACAAACTAATTCTAAAGTTTATGTGGACAGTCAAGAGATGTAGAATAGACAACACAATACTGAAGAAGAACAAAGACAGAGGACTGACACTGGCCCACTTCAAGACTTACAATTACCTTACAGTAATCAAGTATGGTAATCATAAAAGAAAGGCCAAATAGATCAAGGGAACACAATAGAGAGCTCATTATTACATTTGTGAGACATATATATACATATATATGTTGGTAGAGGTATAGGTCATTTATTTTCATAGCTGTCAAATAATATTCTAGTTTATAAAGATATCATATTTTTCCTCTATTTTACTGTAAAATGGATATTTGGGCTGTTTCCAGTTTTAGAAATTTTTTTCTGTATACTGATTTTTTTACTCCATGTATTAGTCAACAAAGATGTGTTAAAATTGTGCATAAAGTTTATAATTATAAATGTATCAATTTTCCCATGATTAAAAAAAAAGAAGACACAAAATACAATCACTATCAGGAAGCCAAAAAGAAATAAAAGAGAAAATACATGGGAGAAAATATTTGCCATTTTGAGAACGTCTGTTCAGCTCCTTTGCCCATTTTTAAATCATGTTATTTGTTTTCTTGTCATTGAGTTCTTTGAGTTTCTTATAAATTTCGGATTTTAGCCCCTTATCAGATGTACAGTTTGCAAATATTTTCTCCAAGTCATGGCCTCTCGGCACCCTGTTACTTTTTTCTTTTGCAGTGGAGAAGCTTTTTACTTTGATGCAATCCCATCTTCCTAATTTTGCTTTTGTTGCCTGTGTTTTTGAAGTTCTTACCAAAAAAATTATTTCATAGACCAATATTATGGAGCTGTTCCTCTGTTTTCTTCTAGTAGCTTTACAGGTTTAGTCATTTAAGTCTTCTATCCATTTTGAGATGACTTTTGTATATGGTGTGAGATAAACATCCAAATTGATTCTTCAGCATGTAGATATCATTATTCCAGTACAATTTATTGAAGTGCCTATTCTTTCCCCATTCTGTGTTCTTGCCACCTTTGTCAAAAATAAACTGACTGTAAATTTTGGGGTTTATTTCTGGGCTGTCTATATTGCTGTGTTGGTCTATATGTCTCTTTTTATTTTGGTATCATGCTGTTTTGATTACAATAGTTCAATAGATCAAAATATTATATCAAAATAAAATCAGATAATGTGATGCCTCCAGCTTTGTCCTTTTGCTCAAGATTGTTTTGGCTAGTTCAGGTCTTTTCTGGTTTCATATACATTTTAGGATTTTTCTATTTCTGTGTAAAATGACATGAGAATTTTGATAGGAATTGCATTGAATCTCTAGATTGCTTGGGGAAGTATGGACATTTTCACAATATTAACTCTTCCACCCATAAACATGGGTTACCTTCCCATTTATCTATGCCTTCAATTTATTTTATCAATGTTTTATGGTTTTCAGTTTATAGATCTTTTACCTACTTTTTCTAAATTTTCTCTAAGTATTTGTTAATGCTATTGTAAATTTGGTTGTTTTCTTAATTTCCTTTTCAGATAGTTTATTGTTAGTGTCCAGAAACACTACTGATTTTTGTATATTGATTTTGTAACGTGCAACTTTATTGAGTTTGTTTACCAGGTGTAATATATTTTTTGGTGAAGTCGTTAGGGTTTTCTGTATATAAGACCATGTCATCAGCAAACAGAGACAATTTCACTTTTTCCTTTCCTATGTAGATACCTTGTATCTTTCACTTGCCTAATTGGTTTGACTAGAACTTCTAGTGCTATGCTGAATAGAAGTAGCCAGGCTGGGCATCTTTGTCTGAATCCTGGTCTTAGAGGAAAATCTTTCAAATTTTCACCATTGAGAATCATGTTAGCATGGGAACACATAGACATGTGGAAAGGGTGGAGAGTGGGAGTGGGGAGAGGATCAGGAAAAATAGCTAGTGCTGGGCTTAATACCTGGGTGATGGGATGATCTGTGCGGCAAACCACCATAGCACACATTTACCTATGTAACAAAGCTGCACATTCTGCACATATACCCCATATGTTAGCTGTGGACTTGTCATATATGGCCTTTGTTGTTTTGGGGTAGGTTCCTTTTACACCTAGTTTGTTGAGAGTTTTCACTATAAAAAAATGTCTAATTTTGTCCAGTGTTTTTTCTGCATCCATTGAAATGGTTGTGTGATTTTTGTCCTTCATTTTGTTTCTGTGGTAGATAACAATGACTGATTTACGTATGTTGAACCATCCTTGCACCTGAGGATGAATCCTGTTTGGTCACAGTGAATGATCTTTTTATTGTGCAGTTGAATTTTGTTTGCTAGTATTTTGTTGAGGACTTCTGCATTTATGTACATCAGGAATATTGGCCTGTCATTTTCTTTTTTTGTTATAGTTTCCTTGTCAGGGTAATTCTAGCTTTATAAAATGAGTTTGAAATTAGTCCCCCCTTTTTCAATCTTTTGGAAGAGGTTAGGAAGGAGATTGGTATTTGTTCTTCTTTAAATGCTTGGTAGAATTCATGAGAGATTATTTATTAGTAAATCTTCTTACTCATTTTTGATCTGTTCAGACATTCTATTTCTTCTGATTTAGCATTGAAATGTTGCATGTTTCTAGCAATTAATTAATTTATTTATTTTAAGCTATCCAATTTGTTGGTGTTTACAGGTGGTCCCTGACTAACTATGATTTGATTTACAATTTTTCAACTTTAGAATGGTGCAAAAGTGATACTCATTCAGTAGAAATTGTACTTCAAATTTTAAATCTTTTCCTGGACTAGTAACAACTGGTATGATACTCTCTCACAATGCTGGACAGTGTCAGAAAGCTGAAGTTCCCAGTCAGCCACACCATTCTGATGGTAAACCATAGATACTTTATAGTGTACTGTGTTACCAGATAATTTTGCCCAATTGTAAGCTAATGTAAGTGTTCTGAGCATGTTTACAGTAGGCTGGGCTGAGCTAGGATATTTGAAAGGTTAGGTGTGTTAAATGCATTTTCAACTTATGATAATTCTAACTTATAATGAATTTATTGAGACATGACTCTCTTATAAGTCAAGGAGCATCTGTAGTTGTTCATAGTGGTCTCATGACCCTTTGTATTTCTGTGGCATCAGTTGTAATGTCTCCTCTTACATTTCTAATTTTGAGTCTTCTCTCCTTTTTTCTTTGTTAGTCTAGCTAAAGTTTTGTTGATTTATCTTTTCAAAAAATCAAATTTTAGTTTTGTTGTTTTTTTCTGTTGTTTTCCTAGTCTCTATTTTGTTTACTTTTCCTCTGATCTTTAGTTCCTTTCTTCTGCTAATTCTGACTTTACTTTTTCTTTCTTAGTTCCTTGAGGTATAACGTTCGGGTGTTTATTTAAAATCTTTAATCTTTTCTGGTATAGATATTTATTGCTATAAACTTCTCTTAGAAGTGTTTTGGCTGGGCACAGTGGCTCATGCCTGCAATCCCAGCACTTTGGGAGGCCGAAATGGGCGGATCACTTGAGGTCAAGTGTTCGGGACCATCCTGACCAACATGGTGAAACCCTGTCTCCACTAAAACTATAAAAAATTAGCTGGGCATGGTGACGGGTGCCTGTAATCCCAGATACTCAGGAGGCTGAGGCAGGAGAATCGCTTGAACCTGGGAGACAGAGGTGACAGTGAGCCAAGATCACACCATGCATTCCAGCCTGGGTAACAGAGCAAGACTCTAGCTCCAAAAAAAAAAAAAACCGTTTACTGCACACCATAGATTTTGGTATGTTGCATTCCAATTTTTGTTTGACTCAGTATATGTTTTAATTTCCTTTTTATTTTTTTTAAACCCATTGGATGTTTAGGAGCATGTTGTTTAATTTTCATGTATTTATGAGTTTTTCATGATTTTTCTATTACTGATTTCTAGTTTCATGTTATTGTGGTCAGAAAAGATATTCAATATGGTTTCAGTAATCCTCAATTTGGTAAGGCTTGTTTTGTGGCCTAACAGTCTATTTTGGAGAATGTGCTGTGTGTACTCAAGAAAAACATGTACTCTGTTGCTGTTTGATAAAGTGTTCTGTAAATCTCTGTTAGGTCCATTTGGTGTAAAATGTAGTTCAAATCCAATGTTTTTTAATTGATCCTTTTTCTGGATGATCTGTTCATTTTTGAGAGTGGGCTAGTAAAGTATCCTCCTAGTATTATGTTGCAGTCTATCCTTATATTTAGCTCTATCAATTTTTGCTTAATGTATTTTGGTGCTCCAATGTTGAGTGCATATATATTTACATTGTTATAACTTTTTGATAAATTGACCCCTCTATCATTATAAAATAACATTCTTTGCCTCTTTTTACAATTTTTAAAGTCTATTTTGTCTAAGTATAGATACTTTTGCTTCTTTTGTTTTCCATTTGTATAGAATATCTGTCCATTCTTTCGATTTCAGTTTGTGTCCTTAGAGGTGAACTGAGCTCCTTGTAGGCAGCATATAGTTGGGTCTTTCTATTTTTATCAGTTCAGCCACTTGATGTCTTTTGATTACAAAATTTAATCAATTTACATTCAGATGAATTATTTAGGTAAAGACTTATTGTTTCCATTGTGTTAACTGTTTTCTAATTAATTTGTAGATTATTTGTTCTTCTCTTCTTCTTTTGCTGTCTTTCTTTCTGGTTTGATGATTTTCCATAGTGGTGTGCCTTGAATCCTCTCTTTTTATCTTCTATGTACCTACTAAGAGTTTTTACTTTGTGCTTACATGAAACACATAAAATATATTACACTATTAACAGACTATTTTAAGCTGATAACAACTTTACTTTTATTTGCACAAACTCTACACCTTTACTTCCCCCAACATACAATTTGTTTTTGTATCTTTTAAAGTCTGTGTTTCTTAACAAATTATTTGTTTGATTATGTGGTTACTTTTACCAGTGAGTTTTATATTTTCGTATTGCTACTAAGTGGCATTTTCCTTCAGTTTCCAGAACTCTTTTTAGCATTTTTTGTAAGGCAGGTCTAGCAGTGATAAATTTCCTCAGCTTTTGTTTGTCTGAGGAAGTGTTTATTCTTCACTTTTGAAGAGCAAGATTGCTGAGTGTAGTGTTCTTGGTTAACAGGTTTCTTTTTCTTTCAGCTTTTGAAACATATCATTGAATTCCTTCTGGCCTACTAGGTTTCTGTTGAAAAATGTTGATAGTCTCTTGGAGAGTTCTCCATGTACATAACAATACACTTTTCCCTTGCAGGTTTCAATATTCTCTATTTTTCCTTAATTTTTGAAAATTTGATTTCTGGTGAGATCCATCCACTTGATCAAAACATGGTGGAGAAAGCTAAAGGAGAAGCAGACATGTGCAAAGCGGCAAAACCTAATGGGCATCCTGCTTTGTAACAACTCACTTTTGCAGTAACAAATCCATTTCTGCGGAAGCTCATCTAGTCTTATGAGAGCAAGAACTGACTCACTGCCAGGGAAAATGAAACTAAAGCTTTTATAAGGGATCAGCCCACAAGACTCAAAGACCTCCCACTAGGTACCACCTCCTAATGCTCTCACATTGAGGATCAAATTTCAACATGAGTTTTAGTGAGAACAAAGTATATCCAAATCACAGCATGCTATAAATATTTTTAAATATTTTATCTCATTGGAGTTTTTAGGGAAAAACCAGAAGGAAATAAACATTACCAAAATGTACTTTACTCATACTATTTCGTTTGTTTCATATTTACTTTCAAATTTCAGTAGTTAAAAACTTTTTACTGGCAAAAGTACCACATAACAAAAAGCAAAGTTATTACACTGCACTAGTTGTTATTTACGTTTAGTAAGAGATAGCTCAGGTGAATAAGGTTCTGCTAAAATAGTGAGGAGACTTTAAGATAATTCAAAACTATTCATGTTATTGGTTGTGCTCTCTAAGCAAAGCAAATAAATCTCATTCTAAACTTAGAAAAGCAATATTACAATTCCCTTTATCTTTTTGCCTTTTCCCTATCAAATTTCAGCATTACAGTTCTCATAAATACTTCTGAAGTCTTTCTTTTATTTACTGTGTTTAACACAGGAAAAGAGAATTTAAAATCACTAATAAGCTTTTCTGTGTGTTCCTAAGTAATTTTTAATCTCTTTGGTATTTTCTTTCATTTGATGATTTAAACTAACCTATTGATAAAGGCTACCATTTGTAGTATGTGTTTATGTGTATAAGAATATTATGAACCTTTAAAATTTTTCTATTTCTAATCATCAAACATATAATAACTCTTTTTTTTCTTTTTTGAGACGGAGTCTTGCTCTGTCACCCAGGCTGGAGTGCACTGGCGCGACCTATGCTTACTGTAACCTCTACCTTCTGGGTTCAAGCAATTCTCCCTGCCTCAGCCTCCTGAGTAGCTGAGATTTCAAGCACCCGCCACCATCCTCAGCTAAGTTTTGTATTTTTAGTAGAGATGGGGTTTCGCCATGTTGGCCAGGCTGGTCTCAAACTCTTGGCCTTAGGTGATTTGCCACCTTGGCCTCCCGAAGTGCTGGAATAACAGGTGTGAGCCACCATGCCTGGCCATAATAAGTTTTGCCCAGGGTTTAACTTCAATATAAAACCCGTTTCCTTACCAAATTGTTTTCAGAAATAGATTCAAGATAATAATACACCTTCATGAGCAACGTTTAATTTAAGACTAAGACTGATTTGGGGGGCAGCATTGAATTGTTGATAAGGGAAAGTGGTGATGGAATTGGAAGAGCAGCATGGGAGATTTGTTGGGAAGGGCCTTTTTTTGGCTTACCCAGAATATGCCAGAATGACAGTTTCTACGACCATTGAAAAGAGAATATTGAAACCAACCAAGAAACTCTGAAGATCTCAATGCTTATATTACAATGTCAGCCCTGACACTCACTGACATATTGTTAGCATTCAGGATATCTAGCAAAGATGTGCTAACTTTTCATCCCAGTCTATTCTAAGGATCCGTAAGTAGCTAGTAAATATAATGCTTTAAGAGCATTTTTCCCAAGGAATATCCCACAGTATCTTCATAAATATTCACTTGGTATTCCTTCAAAATTAGTTTCTCAGCAAGATTTCTGCTTCCTTTTTAGCAAATATATTTTTTATGAATGTTTTTAAGAGGAGAGTTATAGTGTCACTAATTCAGAAGTTGCCTATTATAAAGGAAGGAGAGAGAAAAAGTCAGCCTCAGAAAACTTTTGTCTTTTGCTTACAGTAAGTGATATTCATACTCCTCCAATTTTGAAAAAATAATCTAACAATGATTGTCTATCCTAGGCTGCTTTTGGATATACTGTTAGTTTCTAAAGCATCTCTGTTTTTTGTTTGTTTGTTTGTTTTTTGTTCTTTGAGACGGAGTCTCGCTCTTTCGCCCAGGCTGGAGTGCAGTGGCGCGATCTCAGCTCACTGCAAGCTCCGCCTCCCGGGTTCACGCCATTCTCCTGCCTCAGCCTCCCGAGTAGCTGGGACTATAGGCGCCCACCACGGCGCCCGGCTAATTTTTTGTATTTTTAGTAGAGACCGGGTTTCACCATGTTAGCCAGGGTGGTCTCGATCTCCTGACCTCCTGATCCACCCGCCTCGGCTTCCCAAAGTGCTGGGATTACAGGCATGAGCCACCGCGTCCGGCCGCATCTTTGGTTTTTAAAAATCATTTTTTCTGCGTTTATATCCAAGAGTAACGTTCCTTCTTCTTCTACGTATCTCATTACTGAATGAGGTCTAGCTTAGGAGTATAGAAAACCCAGAGGAAAAACTGGCAATTAAAAATCCCAACAAGAGAATGCTGGATAACAACACTTTTTTCTCTATAAACCACTTTATTTTAAATTTGTGAATAGTACTGACCTACACTAAGCTTCGTAGAGTTTTTTAAATACTTGTCTTTTTAAAAATAGAAAGTCACCAATGCTTCAATTAATTGTAAAATTCCGAGGTGCTTCAAATTTTCTAGTGAAAGTTAAAAGTGTAAACATATTTTCAAAATTTACCTGTTTTTTCCCTGTAAAATAAGTGATGCCTTGGCAGAGAATATGCATTCTTGCCCAAAGTGCCTACAGTTTGCCTGACTCACTCTGCCTGGGATAGTTCCATCCTGAAGTTCAGTGAGCTCTGAATTTTCACTCTGCAAAGTAAATGAAAAATTTTGGTGTAACAGGCAGAGATTTTGCCACCAACCATCTGTTTGTATTAATTGGATTTGTGAAATGAAATTCCTGCATGGTTTAATGAGAATAATATGCTAAAAACCTCGTTGAACTCCATCTCATGCAGACAGACTTCACCAGACAAAGGATGTAAAACCCCTGCTATTCCTCAGCACTCTGGGCCTTGTAATTAGTGACATGCATGGCAACAACACACCCAGCATGCCTGTGCTTTTCACTTTGGGTTGTATAGTTGCAAATGAAAAATAGGACCCATATTTTGTCAATAAAATTTATATTTGGGGAAATATAAATTATTATAACTTATAAATATTAACCATTCCAGGGCATAAGACTCTGCAAAATGACCTAATTCACAAACATTTTCAGTCTTTAATAAATTTATGATGGATAATTTTAAGTAGTTTACCATATTAGAAATTTATAATGTCAGGCAATACATTTTTAATAGTAAAAATGTGTTATTTCTGAGATAATGCGACATATTGTTCCTTAGCATAAAGGCCTAGATCCAGTAGTTATCATCACAAAAATAATAATCACAATAATCACATGTATTATATGACTTTCATGCTACGGAGTTTTATGATCAATATGTAACAGATAATCTGTTTTCTATGGAATTCTCTAATTATAGATTTTAAGAATATTTTAGTAAAATTTAAAGCATCCATTTCTGCAATATTAGTAAAATTGAAGGATAAGTGAATTTGTGCCTGTCTGTTGGAAGCTTAGTGGCCATACTTAATGACTCATTGAAATTATCCATTAATGAGTCCTGAACCAACTTTCTGAAAACAATTACTTTGACGTTACTATGCTAAGTGAGGAGGATGCAAAAGTGAATAATGTCTAGTAGTCACTGCCCTAAGTCTGTTAAGAGAAACACATGTATAGAGCAGACATTCACAATTCAATACAGTGTGCACAAAGTGATGTTGACGTAGGGAATCAGAGACTGTTTTCCTGTAGATTCTATGAGGATTATATCATATGGAGAGAACAGTTCAACCACAAAGGAAAAAAAGGGTGTATCACGAAGATAATGAAGATATTTCATCATTGAATAACATGCATGGACCATATCAGTATGTCATATGATATTACATACTCTTTCCTGGTAATAATAATATTTCCAGGTAATTGAAGCCAGGAGAAAAATTGTGAAATTTGAAGATAAAATTATAAGATCAATAACTTTCTTTTTTGGCACAGAGTAAAAGGCAGATATTGGCAATCTGTAAGTATTTGTTGAATAAAAGAATACACGTTACACATTTTTGTATAAAATGGATCATTTAAGATTTGCAATGAGCCTACAAAAGACATAAAGAGACACAAAAAAGAGATAAAGAACCTACAAAAGAGATAAAGCATTATGACCTCCATTTGAGATAATACAGTTTAAGATAACAGACTTTAAAAGAATCAACCAAGATCACCCATATAGTAAGTGACTGAGTAGGGACTCAAACATGTTTTGATTTCAAAGGCAGCCACTTTCTATCACATAATACCCCTTCTACCTACACTTTGTTTATATATTCAAATTTCAAGATGTCTGGAGAGCAAGAAAATGTGTTTAGGACAAAGATAAGCGAGAAGTAGAAACCCTACTTTACTTTGAAATTTATCGCCAAATCCCCTATCAAAATCAGGGATAGCTTCATGAACACATGTAGTATGCAAGAATATATGTAATGTAATTCAACATCGGAGTCACTTTCCTCTAAGCAAAGAACTCTTGAGTCAGAAAACAATGACTGTAACACTGAGAAAGTAAGTCCTTGAACATTTTCTTAGTCTTTCTCCAATATGAAAATTCACTTATCAGATTAGTCCTGTTAACACTGTCTAAACAACCTCAGAACGCTTGGGAGAGACAGAATCACATTCACAGGGGGTTCATTGTAGTGAGGGTCTCAGTGATAGTGGAATATATATAGATGAGCGTTGAGAGCGCCACCTTGTGGCCAACATGGAGGAAGACAATCTGGCAGGAGAGCACCATAGGTGGCCAGGAAGTCAGGAACAAGCACAGATGATGAAAGTTTGAAGGTAGGTTGGGGGACGGGGAGGAAAGGCAAAAATGGAAAAACTCATTATTTTACTTATGCCTCGTCATACTTAAAGCCTGGGCTTTAAAAGAGAAGTGTAGGCATGGGACTATTATATTTTCCAATATTTTCCCCAGACTGTTTTAGAGTTTTAAAGAAGCCATAATCCATTGTGCTTCAGAGGAAGAATATGACATAGTGATGTAATATCTGAGATCATGCAGTTACTTGTAAAATTTCCTGTGTCATGGCCACAGTTTCCCAAGTTAGACCAGAACGAAAGTTACCAAGAGTAAAGCAGTGGATTGCTTTGCTAGTAAGTTCTCTAGTAAAATAAACAAGAAAAACTGTATTTTAAAAATAAGATAGTAGGACTCACAGGTAATATGGCTGAATAGGAACAGCTCCAGTCTGCAGCTCCCAGCAAGACCAATGCAGAAGGCAGGTGATTTCTGCATATCCAACTGAGGTACCCAGCTCATCTCACTGGGACTGGTTAGACAGTGGGTGCAGCCCACAGAGGGTGAGCCAAAACAGGGTGGAACGTTGCCTCACCTGGGAAGCACAAGGGGTAGGGGAACTCCCTCCCCTAGCCAGGGGAAGCCGTGAGGGACTGTGCCGTGAGGGATGGAGCTATCCGGCCCAGATACTACACTTTTCCCATGGTCTTCATAACCCACAGACCAGGAGATTCCCTTGGGTGCTGACACCACCAGGGCCCTGGGTTTCAAGCACAAAACTGGGCAGCCATTTGGGCAGACACCGAGCTAGCTGCAGGAATTTCTTTTGTACCCCAGTGGAACCCGGAACGCCAGAAAGACAGAACCCTCCACTCCCCTGGAAAGGGGGCTGAAGCCAGGGAGCCAAGTGGTCTTCCTCAGTGGATCCCACCCCCACAGAGCCCAACAAGCTAAGACCCACTGGCTTGAAATTCTCGCTGCTAGCACAGCAGTCTGAAGTCCAGCTGGGACACTCAAGCCTGGGGGGAGGGGCGTCCACCATTACTGAGGCTTGAGTAGGCGGTTTTCCCCTCACAGTGTAAACAAAGCCTCTGGGAAGTTCAGACTGGGCAGAGCCAACCACCGCACCGCAAACCCACTGTAGCCAGACAGCCTCTCTAGATTCCTCCTCTCTGGGCAGGGCATCTCTGAAAAAAAGGCAGCAGCCCCAGTCAGGAGCTTATAGATAAAACTGCCATCTGCCTGGGACAGAGGACCTGGGGGAAGGGGTGGCTGTGGGCACAGCTTCAGCTGACTTAAACATTCCTGCCTGCCAGCTCTGAAGAGAGCAGAGGATCTCTCAGCACAGCACTCAAGCTCTGCTAAGGGACAGACTGCCTCCTCAAGTGTGTCCCTGACCCCTGTGCTTCCTGACGGGGAGACATCTCCCAGCAGGGGTCAACAGACACCTCCTATAGGAGAACTCCAGCTGGCATCTGGAGAGTGCCTCTCTGGGACAAAGCTTCCAGAGGAAGGAGCAGGCAGCAATCTTTGCTGTTCTGCAGCCTCCGCTGGTGATACCCAGGCAAACACGGTCTGGATTGGACCTCCAGGAAACTCCAGCAGACCTGCAGAAGAGATGCCTGACTGTTAGAAGGAAAACTAACAAACAGAAACAATAGCATCAACATTGACAGAAAGGACAACCACTCAAAAACCCCATCTGAAGGTCACCAACATCAAAGACCAAAGGCAGACAAATCCACAAAGATGAGGAAAAAACAGTGCAAAAAGGCTAAAAATTCCAACGACCAGGATGCCTCTTCTCCTCCAAAGGATCACACCTCCTCACCAGCAAGGGAACAAAACTGGACAGAGAAGGAGTTTGACAAATTGACAGAAGTAGGCTTCAGAACGTGGGTAATAACAAACTCATCTGAGCTAAAGGAGCATGTTCTAACCTAATGCAAGCAAGCTAAGAAACTTGCTAAAAGGTTACAGGAAGTGCTAAACAGAATAACCAGTTTAGAGAAGAACATAAATAACCTGATGGAGCTGAAAAACACAGCATGAGAACCTAGTGAATCATGCATAATTATCAGTAGCCGAATCAATCAAGCATAAGAAAGGATATCAGATTGAAGACCAACTTAATGAAATAAGGCTTGAAGACAAGATTAGAGACAAAAGAATGAAAAGGAACAAAGCCTACAAGGAATATAGGACTATGTGAAAATACCAAACCTACGTTTCACTGCTGTACCTGAAGGTGACAGGGAGAATGGGATGAAGTTGGAAAACACACTTCAGGATATTATCCAGGAGAACTTCTCCAACCTAGCAAGACAGGCCAACATTCAAATTCAGGAAATACAGAGAACACCACAAAGATATTCCTTGAGAAGAGCAACCCCAAGACACATAACCGACAGATTCACCGAGTTCGAAATGAAGGAAAATATGTTAAGGGCAGCCAGAGAGAAAGGTCAGGTTACCCACAAAGGGAAGCCCATCAGAGTAACAGCAGATCTCTCTGCAGAAACTCTACAAGCCAAAAGAGAGTGGAGGCCAAAATTCAATATTCTTAAAGAAAAGAATTTTCAACCCAGAATTTCATATCCAGCCAAACTAAGCTTCATATGTGAAGGAGAAATAAAATCCTTTACATAAAAGCAAATGCTGAGGGATTTTGTCACCACCAGGCCTGCCTTACAAGAGCTCCTGAAGGAAGCACTAAATATGGAAAAGAAAAACTAGTAGCAGCCACTGCAAAAACATAACAAAATGCAAAGACCATCGACACTATGAAGAAACTGCATCAACTAGTGGGCAAAATAACCAGCTAGGATCATAATGACAGGATCAAATTCACACATAGCAATATTAACCTTAAATGTAAATGGAATGAATGCCCCAATTAAAAGACACAGACTGGCAAATTGAATAAAGAGTCAAGACTCATCGTTGTGCTGTATTCAGCAGACCCATCTCACATGCGAAAACACACATAGGCTCAAAATAAAAGGATGGAGAAATATTTACCAAGCAAATGGAGAGGAAAAAAAAACAGGAGTTGTAATCTTAGTCTCTGAAAAAACAGACGTTAAACCAACAAAGATCAAAAAAGACAAAGAAGGGCATTATATAATGGTAAAGGGATCAATGCAACAAGAAGAGCTAATTATCCTAAACATGGATGCACCCAATACAGAAGCACCCAGATTTATAAAGCAAGTTCTAAGAAACCTGCAAAGAGACTTAGACTCCCACATAATAATAGTGGGAGACTTTAACACCCCACTGTTAATATTAGGCAGATCAACAAGACAAAAAATTAACAAGGGTATTCAGGAGTTGAACTCAGCTCTGGACCAAGCGGACCTAATAGACATCTACAGAACTCTCCACCTCAAATCAACACAATATACATTTTTCTCAGCACCACATTGCACTTATTCTAAAATTGACCACAAAATTGGAAGTAAAACACTCCTCGCAAATGCAAAATAACGGAACCCTCTCTCAGACCACAGTGCAGTCAAATTAGAACTCAGGATTAAGAAACTCACTCAAAACCACACAACAACAGAGAAACTGAATGACCTGCTCCTGAATGACTACTGGGTAAATGACATAATTAAGGGAGAAATAAATAAGTTATTTGAAATCAGTGAGAACAAAGACACAATGTACCAAAATCTCTGGGACACAGCTAAAGCAGTGTTTAGAGGGAAATTTATAGCACTAAATGCCCACAGGAGAAAGCAGGAAAGATCTAAAATCGACACTTTAAATCACAATGAAAAGAACTAGAGCAAGAGCTAACAAATTCAAAAGCTAGCAGAAGACAAGAAATAACTAAGATCAGAGCGGAACTGAAGGAGATAGAGACACGAAAAACCCTTCAAGGGATCAATGAATCTGGGAGCTGGTTTTTTGAAAAGATTAACAAAATAGATAGACCACTAGCCAGAATGATGAAGAAGAAAAGAGAGAAGAATCAAATAGACACAATAAAAAATGATAAAGGGGATATCACCACTGATCCCACAGAAATACAAACTACCACCAGAAAATACTATAAACACCTCTACACAAATAAACTAGAAAATCTAGAAGAAATGGATAAATTCCTGGACACATACACCCTCCCAAGACTAAACCAGAAAGAAGTTGAATCACTGAATAGAGCAATAACAAGTTCTGAAATTGAGGCAATAATTAATAGCCTTCCACTAAAGAAAAGCTCAGGGCCAGAGAGATTCACAGCTGAATTCTACCAGAGGTACAAAGACGAGCTGGTACCATTCCTTCTAAAGTCTTTTTATGAAGCCAGCATCATCCTGATGACAAAACCTAGGAAACATAACACAAAACACAAAAAAGAAAATTTCAGGCCAATATCCCTAATGAATATTGATGTGAAAATCCTCAATAAAATACTGGCAAACTGAATCCAGCAGCACATTAATAAGCTTATCCACCATGATCAAGTGGGCTTCATCCCTGGGAAACAAGGCTGGTTCAACATGTGCAAATCAATAAACGTAATCCATCGCATAAATAGAACCAATGACAAAAACCACTTGATTCTCTCAATAGATGCAGAAAAGTCCTTTGATAAAATTCAACACCCCTTCATGCTAAAAGCACTCAATAAACTAGGTAGTGACGGAACGTATCTCAAAATAATAAGAGCTATTTGTGACAAATCCACAGCCAATATCATGCTGAATTGGCAAAAGCTGGACGCATTCCCTTTGAAAACCAGCACAAGACAAGGAAGCTGTCTCTCACCACTACTATTCAACATAGTATTGGAAGTTCTGGCCAGGGCAATAAGGCAAGAGAAAGAAATAAAGGGTATTCAAATAGGAAGACAGGAAGTCAAATTGTCTCTGTTTGCAGATGACATAATTGTATGTTTAGGAAACCCCATCCTCTCCGTCCAAAAACTCCTTAAGCTGCTAAGCAACTTCAGCAAAGTCTCAGGATACAAAATCAATGTGCAAAAATCACAAGCATTCCTATATGCCAATAATAGGCAAACAGAGAGCCAAATCATGAGAACTCCCATTCACAATTGCTACAAAGAGAATAAAATACCTAGGAATACAACTTACAAGGGATGTTAAGGACCTCTTCCAAGAGAATTACAAACCACTGCTCAAGGAAACAAGAGAGGCCACAAACAAATAGAAAAACATTCCATGCTCATGTATAGGAAGAATCAACAATGTGAAAATGGCCATACTGCTCAAATTTATAGATTCAAGCTACCATTGATATTCTTCACAGATTTAGAAAAAAACTACTTTAAATTTCATGTGGAACCAAAAAAGAGCCTGTATAGCCAAGACAATCCTAAGCCAAAAGAACAAAGCTGGAAGCATCATGCTACCTGACGTCAAACTACACTACAAGGCTACAGTAACCAAAACAGTTTGGTACTGGTACCAAAACAGATATATAGACCAATGGAACAGAACAGAGGCCCCAGAAATAACACCACACATCTACAACCATTGATCTTCAACAAACCTGACAAAAACAATCAATGGGGAAAGGAGTCCCTATTTAATAAATGGTGCTGGGAAAACTGGCTAGCCATATGTGGAAAACTAAAAGTGGATCCCTTCCCTACACCTTATACAAAAATTAATTCAAGATTGATTAAAGATTTAAAAGTAAGACCTAAAACCATAAAAACTCTAGAAGAAAACGTAGGCAATACCATTCAGGACATAGGCAAGGGGAAAGACTTCATGACTAAAACACCAAAAGCAATTGCAACAAAAGCCTAAATTGACAAATGGGATCTAATTAAACTAAAGAGCTGCTCCACAGAAAAAGAAACTATCATCAGAGTGAAAGGCACCCTACAGAATGGGAGAAAATTGTAATCTATCCATCTGACAAAAGGCTAATATCCAGAATCTACAAGGAACTTAAATAAATGTACAATAAAAAAACAAACAGTCCCATCAAACAATGGGGAAAGGATACAGACACTTCTCAAAAGAAGACATTTATAATTTATACGGCTAACAAACATATGAAAAAAACTCATCATTACTGGTCATTAGAGAAATGCAAATCAAAACTACAATGAGATACCATCTCATGCCAATTAGAATTGTAATCATTAAAAAGTCAAGTAACAACAGATGCTTGAGAGGATGTGGAGAAATAGGAATGTTTTTCCACTGTTGGTGGGAGTGTAAATTAGGTCAAACATTGTGGAAGATAGTGTGGCGATTCCTCAAGGATCTAGAACCAGAAATACCATTTGACCCAGCAATCCCATTACTGGGTATATATACCCAAAGGATTATAAGTCATGCTACTATAAAGACACATGCACACATATGTTTATTGCAGCACTATTCACAATAGCAAAGACTTGGAACCAACCCAAATGCCCATCAATGATAGACTGGATAAAGAAAATGTGGCACATATACACCATGGAATACTATGCAGCCTTAAAAAAGAATGAGTTCATGTTCTTTGCAGGGACATGGATGAAGCTGGAAACCATCATTCTCAGCAAAGTAACACAGGAACAGTAAACCAAACACTGCATATTCTCACTTATAAGTGGGAGTTGAACAATGAGAACATATGGGCACAGGAAGGGGAACATCACACACTGGAGCCTGTCAGGGGGTTGGGGGCAAGGGGAGGGATAGCATTAAGAGAAATACCTAATGTAGATGACGGGTTGATGGGTGCAGCAAACCACCAAGGCACGTGTATATCTATGTAACAAACCTGCACGTTTTGCATGTGTATCCTAGAATTTAAGTATAATAACAAAAATAAAAAGATAGTAACAAACTATAGTAATGATCCCTGAAAGTATGTTTATTGCAACACTATTTACAAGAGCAAAGACTTGGAACCAACCCCAGTGCCCATCAATGATAGACTGGCTAAAGAAAATGTGGCACACATACACCATGGAATACTATGCAGCCATAAAAAAGGATGAGTTCATGTCCTTTGCAGGGACATGGATGAAGATGGAAACCATAATCCTCAGCAAACTAACACAGGAACAGTAAACCAAACACTGCATGTTCTCACTCATAAGTGTGAGTTGAACAATGAGAACACATGGACACAGGGAGGCAAACATCACACACTGGGGCCTGTCAGGGGGCAGGGGAAAAGGGGAGGGAAAGCATTAGGACAAATACCTAATGGAAGTAGGGCTTAAAACCTAGATGACAGGTTGATAGGTGCAGCAAACCACCATGGTACATGTATACTTATGTAACAAACCTGCACACTCTGCACGTGTATCCCAGAACTTAAAGTAAAATAAAATAAATAAATAAAATACAAAAATAAAAATAAGAAATACAAAAAAATACTCACCTGTCATAAACTGCTAAAAGCAAGTTAAGAGTGAGTTGTATTCCGGAGCAACAACTCCTGAGGACTACTTCCAAAACCGATGCATTCCAAAAGCTTTAAATGTTGTGATGAGACTGGAACTGCTCTTTGACAACTCTCAATGTTTGTCACTCTGCTGAGATTTCAAACTGGACAGGGCTTTGACTCACTATGAAAAAATGCAATGTTTTCATTAATGTATTCAAAAATATTTATTGGTTTACTAAGTAACCAACCGCATGCTAGGTATCGAGATTATAAAGAAAAAAAAGTCTTCTCTGCAATAAATTCACAATCTAGTGAGAAAACAAGCACATAAGCAAACTATGGTAGGTATAGTAATGGAGTTTCAATGAATTTTAAATGCATAGAACATTGAAAAACACAGACAGTAGCACCTAATCCAGCATGATTGGTCAGGGCAGGTTTCCTGGAGGACAATATACTGAAACTGAGCCTTGTAAAATGAATAAGCTTTTCTCCGACAGAGAGGAGGGAAAAAGAGGCTTCCCTTATACCCCTTATGAAAGGGGTAAATATTTCCAACAGTAGCAATGTTAATCACCATTGACATTTCCTGCTTGTTAAGTGATCGGTGCCTGAATGCTGAACACAACCCACAATTGCAAATGTTGCTTTGAGAACAAGATGCAAACAAGAAAATGGTAAATATAAGGATCTATACAGAGCTTTTGACAATTATTTTGATTTGAAGTTTACTTAGAATTGACTTCATTGTAGAAATGACTTTGAAGTTATGTGGTTGAAGGTGTGCTCAATTAAATGATCATTGCATTTATTGTTTTGTTTGTTTAAATGCAGTATTATCTGGGACACTCATACTTAAAATAATTTTAATCTTCCAAGGAAGTTTGATAGTTAAAAAGTTGTGAAAGATTATTTGTCTGATAAATACAATCAGTAATTTTTGAGATGTCATACATTTTACAGTGTACAATTTACACTTCCCTTGTTGTGTCTAGCCCTCTGGAATTAATGAGAATAGTGTGGCAGAATGCCCAGAGGCAGAAGCTAACAAGTGCTTTTAAAAATATGTAACACTCCTTATCTCCTGCCACTCCTAATACACAATGCGCATTTGAGCCTGAGTATGTTATATGCCATACTTACACACTGTACATGCCCCATCAACCTGTTCACACCTGTACTCATGTGCTCTTTTTGCTGAGTAGCTACACCTCTTTCCACTCCCTGAGTGACTCATGAACAATTGTCGTGTATCTTAGTTTCTGATCTCATATATGTGGTAGTGCTTCTCACTATCACTAGTTTATACATACGCTTTTGGGCTTCAAGTGTCAAAATCATTGTATTTGTTAATTACTTTTATTAAAGCTACCAATTCAATTGTGTCGAACATAGTCAAATTTTCCCACCTTAAAAAGAACTTGACAATCTTAATCTACCTTTAAAAATTTAACAACTGTCAGAAATTATATTAATTTATGGTTTCTCCTTAGGGTTAGTGAGATCCTGTGAAGTAGTAGGACCCTAATAAGAAGGTATCTCCTTGGTACCTTGTGGGGAAATTGATTTTTCCAAGTTTTAATGAGATTTAAATGCTTTGCTGGCTACACAACAGCAAACATTGGAGTTTACCCAACAATTTATTGGCTAGGAATACGAGAAATCTAATTCTAGAGGGTACTAAAAGCATTGGAGAATATGTGATACTGTAATAAAATGCCTAGGTAGATTAATAACACAATTATTGGAAAGATACAAATTGAATCATTGTGAACAAATACCATAAAACAATGTCCCAACTTCTATTTTTATACTTTTATTTGTCTTTATGGAGCACTCTTAATTTTTGACCATTAGATTATGGCTGGGAAAATCAGGCCCATCAGAAATTCTCAAAAGTCACTGGCCAAAACTCACCAGAAGCCAGAGGTCAAGAGAACCATTGATGCAGCTCATTCATTCAGCCCCAGAAGCGTGGAGCAGAGTGGAAAGGGTGAAGAAAGGAAATGGGGTTCCACAGAGACGATTTCAACTGTCCATTTTCATCAGAAAAACTTAAAATAACACCTAATTAACTTCTCACCTAGTTGTATACAAAAATGTTACAGCTTGTTTCTTTCTTTCCCTCCCTTTGTCTTTCTTCTTCCTTCCTTCCTTCCTTTCTTTGTTTTCTCTTACTTTCTTTCTTTCTTTTCTTCCTTTCTTTTTCTCTTTCTTTCTTTCTTTCTTTTTTTCTCTGTTTCTTCTTTTCGTTCTTTTTTCTTTTTTATCTGAAAAACTGAGTTTTTATTAAAGGGATAATTTTTAAAATCTCACTAAAGATTTTTGTAGTAAGAATGGGGTACATCTCAGTTGCTACACATACTAGCAAGAAGTGAGTGTGAAAAGATCTGCCTTTGATTATCTCGTCAGATTAATATACTTTAAAACAGCTCTTAGGTTTGTTTTTCTTCCTCTGAGTAATTATAGGTTGAAACTTTAATTTCAACCTGATATAGTGTGGCTGTATAGAATGAAATGGCATTTTGATATTTTTAGCAGAATATATAAAAGGACTCATAAAAATACTAATCTAAAATAATATTGTTCTGTAGTGGTTTGTAAATACTATCACATTACATCCTCATTTTTCATAGTTCAATATCCATGTCTATTAGGAAGAGGCATAATATTTCTTTTTGATACATTAGTAAGGTAATTACTTGGAAAACATACCAAAAAAGAGCTATCTTATGCAAATTCCATTTAACCACAAATGGCATTTGACAATGATGCAGGTATTCATTTTTGATAAAAAAATTTAGCTACCCAGAACTGTTTACAATAAACATCATAGAAAATGCCATTTGTTCCAGATAGTTGCTCTATTTATTTAATTGATGCTTATGATCAAATTGCAGTGCAAGTTTCCAGATATGCATATTGATGAACTAGATGTAACACAGTAAGTTTCTATATTATTTTTTAAAGTACTCTATGATCCAGTGGATTTGAAATTTGCAGCTACTGTCTGGTTTTACTAATCTTTGCAAATTTTAAAAAGGAAAAATTAATAAAATATAACTATAGATGACACAAATATGTACATGTTACTCTTTGAACATGAATAATTTATAAAACTTGCTGAATAAAAGTAAACATCAAGATTATTTCTATTTTATATCTTTCTTTGGCTTTCCCATTGTTGTAAATGCTAGCAATCAAGATAAGCAGTAATCCATATTCTATATCAATTATTAATTGCTATTATACATCTATATCATTAATTGACATTACTTTATATACAGCTACAAAGGTTTTTGTGTAGCAATGACACAGATTGCAGACATCACATTAAGAAATTTGTTTCATTAGTCTATACTTTTGCTCTGTTGTCTCTTCTGGATGAGAAAAGTACTTCATTAATAACATGGGATTTTCTAAGTTGTATTTAGGTTTTAATGTTTTCATGACAGCAATCTGACTGCGTTTATTTAAATTTAAAATATACATACCCTTTACGCAATTTCATTCTGGGAACTTAGTCAACCAAAAAAGAAACCTACCAATACACAAGATGCAATTAGAAGATATTTATTACCATATTATTTATGTAGACCAAAAATAAAAAATAAAAATAAACTGTCAAAAAGTCTATCAATAAGAGAATGTTTAATAAGTTATGGAGTAGGCATTGGGCTAGTCTGGTTCTTATGAGATGCAGATGGCAAGACAATTAAATATGCAAAGATTTATTAGGAAAAATGCATATAGGAGAGAATATTGGGTGGGAGCATCTGAAACTACCCTGCAGTCTGAAGAAAGTTCAGTGAAGCCATTGGGGAGTCTGTGAGCCTAAATAGCAAGAAGGTAAGTATTCCTTCATGCACATGGAATCTTTGATACATACATTGATAAGCCATGAGGCAGGGAAGAGTTAGTAATACCCCAAATATCTCCAAGTTTTCTTACCTTTATGACTAATGGTACCAGTCTGTCTACCAGGATTCATTCTGCACCTACAAACACTACCCCAGCTTCAAAGTTCAGCTCAAATATTATCCTCAAGCTTGCTACTCACGTACGTAGAAATTTCATTTCTACGGTATTCTTGAAATAAAACTATAGAGATGGAGAACAAGGTTAGTGGTTGCGAGGAGTTAGGATTAGGAAGGGTGTGGCTGTAAAGGCATAGCGCAAAGGATCTTTATGGTAATGGAATAGTTCTGTATCTGAGACCTGAAGATGTTTATTAGCACATATTAACATTACATGGTGGTAATATTCAACGGCTCAAGGGACAAACTTGCATAAGAGTACACACACAAAAAATATAGAAAATTGATGAAATTTGAGCAAGCTCTGTGGATTGTACTAACGTCAATTTCTTGTCTTTGCTATTGTAGTTATCATTGGAAGAAACTGGGTAAGAGGTACACAGGACTGCCTTGTACATATTTCGCAACTTCTTGTGAATCTGTAATTCTTTAAATATAAAAAAATTATATATGTACAAAAAAATGTGCATGGCCAAATTATTTGTAATTGTCCCAAATTGAAATAAAATCAAATGACCATCAAGAATAGAATGAATACAAGAATTGTAGCATTTTCACACAACAGCCTTAAAGCAATGCTGCACGCAACACAGATGATTTTCACAAATGTAATATGGAACAAAAGAAGCCAGTATACACTGTATTACATACTTTTCTTAAAAGTAACCTATGTGCTGTATATCAGCATAGTGGTTATCCTTGGAAGGGTAGTGCCTGGTAAGAGGCATAAAGATACTAAAAATGTTTCATTTCTTGATTAGGTTGCGTGGTATGTTCACTTGTAAAAATTATCTAAGATGACACTTGCATGTGTTTTACACTTTAATAAAATGTATATTTGAGGAATAATTGCTAAGGAAACCAGCTGTGTATTTTTATCACATTTTGTCTGATTGATAGATGGGTAAGAGTGAGTTAAGACGATCAAAAATAATTAAAAATAAAAAGATTTTTAATTCTATGCTTAAAAAAACTACTTTGGAGAGTATACAAAATTACATAGCTATTTTTAACTCACTTTCTTTCCTAGTTAGGGATAAAAAACACTGAGCAGGTGAAGGATTCTTTTTTTTTTTTAATGGTGGCCTGAGAATCCAAATAAAATGATGAAACCAATAGAAATATATTCATATATACTTGTATGTCTAGTCTATGACTTACATGTGTCCAGGCTTTGACAAATTATCATCAAAGTGACAATTGTTCCTGGAGAGCCCCAGCTGGGGAAAGTGCAGCTGAAGATGTTTCTTAGCACATATACCATTACATGGGACTCACGTAACTTGAAAAATGCTGCAGCTGTAAACCTTTCTCAGTTGAGGCAAGACAATGGAGTTTAAATATTTACTGTATAACAGCAGGTGCTAAGTTCCATGTTAGGTAGGAATTGTTTATTTTGTTAATCTTCTCTCAGCCAATGTAGGGTGATTAGTTTATTATTAGTGTATGCTTAGCCAGAGATTTTATAGCTATAATATCAGCACAGATTTATAGGGTATAAGTGATATACTGAAGATTCTTATGACTGTATTTTCCTGTTTAAAAAACATAAAAGCCTAAAAACTCAAGAGACCATCCTCTGACTAAAACATAAAGGTAATTTCAATACAGAATAAATAGTAAATCAATGACAGCCCATGCAGTAAGCCTTTGGAGTTTTCTGTGAGATGTTGCCATGTTTTTCCGTGATTGCTTCTTGGGCATTCAAACTCACAAGTAAAATAGAGGGGAGGTCGGGTGTGGTGGCTCACGCCTGTGATCCCAGCACTTCGGGAAGCTAAGAAGGTGGATCACCTGAGGTCAGGAGTTCGAGACCAGCCTGGCCAACATGGTGAAACCGTCTCTACTAAAAAAATACAAAATTAGTTGGGCGTGGTGGTGGATGCCTGTAATCTCAGCTACTCGGGAGGCTGAGTCAGGAGAATCACTTGAACCCAGGAGACAGAGGTTGCAGTGAGCTGAAATGGCACCATTGCACTCCAGCCTGGGCAACAAGAGCAAAACTCCATCTGAAAAAAAAAAAAAAGGGCAGAGGGAAAGAGCATTATAGTAAGAATCCAGATATTTACATGTTTTTATAGCCAGTTTTATCACCATCTTTTTGTCTTATTTTACAAGTCTCTCCACCTCTTTTGTCCTAAGTTTCCCTCCCACAGAAATATCAGCTCATTTTTTTAGTGTTACTATTGACTGATAAGTGACAGAAAAATAGTAGGTGTGAAATTTTTGCTTCAGCAAATTATCTGTTACATTTGCACAGCAGCCTAGTGAGCACGATGGAGAAATATTGGCTGAATCAAAGTATAGCTCGTTGGTTTGCACTTTGGTTGAGCGAGGGAACATGTGTCAGAGAGCAGATTGTTGGTTCCATTAGCATCACCTTAGAACCTGCTGCGGAAGCACTCATTCATTGGCCCAGCCCTGAATAACTCATACATCACTGGCTTGTACCCGAGTATGATAATACAAGTCTCAGATTTGGAGCTGACAAGATGCTAAGAGGTAAAGCATACGTATGAGATCATATTATCAGTTACTCAAAAGATCTAAACAGGACCGAGACTGGTGCCATTAGTCATAAAGGTAGAAAAAGTTGGAGATATTTGGGGAATTGTAAAATCTTCCCTACCTCAGGGCTTACCAGTATACATATCAAAGAGCCAAGATCATGCCACTGCCCTCCAGCCTGGGCAACAGAACAAGACTCTGTCCAAAAAAAAAAAAAAAAAAAAGATTCCATGTATATGAAGGAATACTTGCCTTCTGTGCAAAGTCCACAGAAGCTGTACAGATATCAAATAAATCTAAGGCAAATGTATAACACCTCATGGTAGTAGGTCTGCAAAAGACAGCTTAGAAAATTTTGGATGAGCATTGTTGATATATTAAGTTCAACACATTAACAACATAATGTGCCTATCAAAAAACAGCAATAATATTTGCATAGTATCCAAAGTGAGAAAGCTAATAGTCATATTTTTCACTGGTTGGACAACATCTAGTGAGACTAGTTCATGGCTCCAGATAGGGGACTCTGATAAATTATGGTATACCACATTATTCAGTATGGTGAAGGAACTGAAGCCATGCTATGAGAGCACTGTGGAGGTGCCTGCACATGTATAGGGGGAAAACACAGAAGACAGGATATCTATCATGAAATATTTGAGGAGCTATTAAGAAGAAAACTTATTTGATCAGGAAACCCCTCCCCACAGAGTCAAGTTATAGGAAGGTAGCTTTTTAGTCAACATAAACTAAAAACTGCTAACTATTAGAGATGTCAAAAGATTAAATGAGGCCGAGCGCAGTGGCTCACGCCTGTAGTTTTAGCACTCTGGAAGGCCGAAGTGGGTGGATCACTTGAAGTCAGGAGTTCGAGACCAGCCTGGCCAACATGGTGAAAGCCCGTCTCTACCAAAAGTACAAAAATCAGCTGGCGTGGTGGTGGATTCCTGTAGCCCCAGCTACTTGGGATGCTGAGGCAAGAGAAACGCTTGAACCCAGGAAGCGGAGGTTGCAGTGAGGCAAGATCGCGCCACTGCACTCCAGCCTGGGTAACAGAGTGAGACTCTTTCTCAAAAAAAAAAAAAAAGATTAAGTGAGCCGTCTTAAATGATGCTCTCCATCTCTACTGTCACTGACTTTTCTAAGCCACCATGAACTTTAGCCTGGAGCCCTTCAGTAACTGCTTAACTTTCAAATCCATCATTGTTCCAATTCATTTAGCATACAGAAGCATGAAGGAGCTTTTATAAATGTTTATCTAAAGTAGCTGAAACTTGTAAGCATCTTTCCTTCTAACCCGAGCTTCCTTCCTAAATATTTGGCAGGCCTTACAAGGCTTTCCAGGATACGGTTTCTACTCACCTTCTTAGCCTTATCTCTGCATCACTCACTCCCTCCATCATTTCACCCGTGATTGCAAGGACTATGGGCTTATTCTTCAGTTGTTCAATGCCGTCTCTTACCACTCTACTCAAGAACACCTACATGTATTCATGTATTTCAGAGCTCAACTAATAGTTTCTCAGAGAGGCCTTGCTAGGTCCGATCCCCTTGTATCTTTCATGTTCTGTTGTATGTATTTGTAAGATTCAGTCTGTTTGTCTCTTCAACTGGATTATTTACAAGCTTCGTGGCATCTGGAGCCTAGTATCTCTGTTTCCTGTGTCTCACCCAGTGTAGATTCCGATATATTTATGGATTAAATGTAGCAATAAGTAATATTTTAGGACTTTTTTGCCTATATAACATATAGGGCCTGAATTGGGTGAGATTCACTCTGGTTTTCAAAAAGTTTGAAGGATAGGAAGCCAATAAATAAATAAATAATATTTACTGCTTCTGGCAAAAAAGACAGTGCAAATTAATGTCATATTTTTGTGAGCACGAATTTTCTTAGTGAATTATAGAGCATCCGTCACCTTATTACTCAGAGTGTGATCCATAGACCAGCAGCATCAGCATCACCTGGAAGGTTGTTAGAAATGCAGAGTTTTGAGCCCACCCTAGACCTACTGAATCATAATTTGCATTTTACCAAGACCCCCAGATGATTCAGAAGCACATTAAAAAATTGAGAAGCACTGATCCGCAGTATCTTCATATTTATACTATTAATAATTTAAAATTATTTATGTTTTTCAATATAATTGATGTAATAGAACGTATCACTGGAAAAAATAAACTGGACAACTGATAGTTGATTTCCATCACTGTCTAATGGATGTCACAGGCTATATTCAGCTACCCTCATGATCAGGGCAAGTTTACCTGACCACAAAGCAAAGAAACAAACGAAAACCTTCCAAGTCAATTTGATAGAAAAAGCAGATGGCAACAGCCTCACAGTTTAAAATTTATTCTGTAAGCCCATTTTGCATGATGATGTGTCATATAAGCAGCTAGTTTGTAGCCTGTCATTTGGGATATACCTGCAAAGCAGACATTTCTGAAAACCGTTTCATTTCAGTAACTGTGTGGCTGTGTGCAACTGCCGTTATTGAGAATGATTTCTAATTATTTTGGCTTCCTTCTGGTAAATTACCAGAGAGAAGTCTAATTTACCATATGGTTTGCTGATACGCTAATATTCACAAGCCATCATTAGATGCAGTTAATCTACAGTCAGGTGCTCTGTTTGTTCAGGCATATTGGAACAACCACTGATTAATATCGCTGAAGAAAGTGGGTAATTTTATTAGCCACTAAGAATTCGACTGTGAATAATCTTATTTGCTTCATGTGAACATTTATCCAAGAATGTGCAATCCAGAGAATATATTTTAAATGCAGGCTCCCATTGAAACTCATACCAACACTGGTAATGGAGTTCTATAACAGGCACTGGACTTTGTTCACTTTGCAATCTGAGATTTGAGGGTTTCTTTTTCCCTGCTATGTTTCTACTGCTATTTTTATTAAGTGTTGCTGTTTTCTTCTGTCATCTTCACCCGAAGAGACATCAATCTTGTTCCTCTAGGGCTTAAAATCTAAGCCAGTCTGACAATACAACTCAGACATGTTTCTAATAATCATTTAGAAGCTCCATGACAGAATTCTTTTTCCATTTATCAAGAACTATACACAGGCATTTTGATCATTGTCGCAATTTGGAGAACAGGTAACAGTAAATGTGCTGAGGATCCCCTCCTACATCCAGTAACAGGTTCTGTTTGAGGTGGGAGCATTTAATGAAAACAGAAAAGTTTGAATATAGAATGCATTTTTCCACTTTCCTCTGCTCACCCATAAGGTTTCACTCACTCCTCCTTCTCCCTTCCTTATGATCCTTTTTAGATTCTATTTTCCTTTTTCCCAAAAGAAGTAGTAGAGACAAGCTAGAAACAGAATTTAAATATATTTTAGAATAGATGGCATTCTAAATACACGCTTTGTTTCTTTTGATATCTATCCACTTTAAAAATTGCAAGCATTTGTTTTCACAATTTTACTATACTGTAAATTGTTGTTTATAAGAAAAGAGATTGCATAACTTGGGGAAGGTTTGAATAATTTTTCAGTCCTCAGATATCTAAATTTTGCCCCATATCACATGTTATCTTGCTATTATAATAATTCTCTGAGCTCTTTGAAAATATTCCCAATAATGGAAAGAAATTTGGATATTCAGTACATATCTATTGCTAGTATGTGAAGTATCACATAAAATATTGGGAATGATTCCAAAACATACAAAAATAACTCTTTATTTCAGTATGCCCTATCTGTGCTTATGCATAGTCATAACCAATGTATTAGTATCTGCTGCACTGGTGGCAGATAGAGCTTATGTTTTAGAATCACACAGAAATGAGAATGAGTTGTAGTCACTTCTTACCACTCTGACTGTGAGCAAATTGACCTCTAAACACCCCATTTCCCTCTGTACTGTGGGGATTACATCTTCCTTACGATACTTGTATCAGGATTAAATTAAAAATATATATGTATCTGTAAAACTTAATGCAGTGCCTGCCTGTCAAAATAAGTACTCAATAAAATGTAGTTATTGATATTATTTGTTTAGATATATTTAAAAACAAAAATATATTCTTGTATTCAAAACAACTCAGCGTATACCTATAGGTGCTTATTCGTTATTGAATTCAAACAATGGCTCACTGGTGACCAAAACAAAGTTCTTTCTGGAAGCAACAAACCCACCCACAGGTATAATATTAAGGCTCTGTGACCCACACACTACTGCTTCATGTTTTAGTTGAATACTACAATGGAAATATAAAAACAGCTAACAACAAGTTTTACTGTGTTTTTGTGTATGCAACTTTTATTCCAGAAAATAAAAGAATAAATAGAATACTTGGCTTTCACAATTTTTGTAAAAATTTGTTTCTATAAAAATGAGACAGTATATTATTTTTAAAATCAAAATAAAGTCGAGTGGGTTAAAAGACTAAAAAACAATAATTTTATAATTGTTCATAAGAAAGGGCATTTCTGCAGATGTGACTTCAAACATACATATATCTATGCACATGCCTACTAGAAAATAAGCAGTTATCAAACCTTTACAATAGGTGCAATTCCACTTGTCACAAGTAACAATGTGTGAGAGATAGGTAACTGTAATTTCCTCTATTTTCACTGTCTAGTATCCATTTCTGAAATGTGTATCCATTTTTTCCTCAGTACTTTCGTGCTAATATTCTTTTTTGAAATCAATATACCATGATGGCAAAAGTAAATGTTTTAAAAATACACAATTATGTTGAGAAAGTAGGACTGTGTGAACTACTAGGAAGTTTTTTAAACTTCACATAATACAACTTTATGTTCCTCCTGAGCTTAAAGTAAAATAAGATTGATTACAAATGTAGTGATTCTAAAATATACAACAAATTATCCAGTTGCTGTACGCATATTCCTCTGGCCATCCAAAGATAGTATAAGCATTAAACATTAATTCTCACTACCTGGAAAAAATATCATGAGGGCTTGGCTTTCCCATGTGGTAATTACTGAAAGCTATCAATTAAAAATATAATAATTGTATATGCTTGTTAGAATATTTGAGTGGTGGCTGCTGCATGAAATGGACTCATGAGTAGCAATGGTTAATGGTATATACAATTCTCCTGGAAATAATTAATATCTGGGGAATAAAAGACCAGACCAATAGTGTTTATTTTTCTATTTTCACTTATGATCAGAATAGCTTAATTTTACTTCTAACATATTTTTACTTAAAATTCATGTATTTCAAATAATTTCCTTCATATATAGTGCATTTCGTTAGGTACAAAAATAATGATTACTGGTCAGAACAGGTCTATGAAATACTTGAGTCTACTAAACTATCGTACTCTTGTTTTTCAAAGTGTGATAGAAAGGACAATAAATGAAAAAAGTTAAAATATGTATTTTTCACTCCAGTTAAAATATGGTTTTAAATACTAAAATTTAAATTATTTGGGGTGTGAATAAGAGAGTTATTCGGTTATATTTGGGGGAATTTATATTTGATGAATTTGGGTTCTTTGTAGAGTTTTTTGTTTGCTTGTTTTCTGGATTTTTGTTGTTGCTGTAGTTGTTGTTGTTGTTGTTTTGAGGCCAAGTTATTTAGCTATCCTAGAAGGAGAAATTAACTCACATTTCACCCACAGTGGGACTGGGGAAAGGAGATATCTGAGAGTCAATCACAACACTCTGGTTGGCAAAATAATAAATATCTGTGCTTTTAAAAGTGTTCAGGTCCATAAAATTTGCACCTTCTATTCATTGTTTGAACTAAACAGTTTAGTTTTGCACAGGCTGCATAACTGTTAGCTATTATAATGCTTAAATAACAATCATGCTCACAAGTTGTCAATATTCTTATGCTGAAGTTACTAAGTATCTGTTAATCTTGATACTTAAATGACATTGGTTGTAAGGATGTTGAAAGAAGAAGGTCTCTTTGTTGGCTTTCTTCCAACAGACCCGAAAGGATCATATATTTTTTGGTGTTTGCTTCGGTTCTCCACTTTGCAAGCCTCAGAAGTTTGATTTTTATCGTCACAAAACAGATGATTCTAAGACATTCATACCAATTCACTCTCATGAAATGAACTAGAACTAAATTGCCTAATTTATTAGCTTACATGGAAGAATACATCTGCCAAGGGGAGAGAAGATGAAGATATGCATTCTCTGGCCAGAACATTCCCTCCCTGTTGAAAAAGCCATTAGAAGCCAAATTATAATCAAAAGGTTGCTTGATGATTATGTAATCAGAACAAGAAAAGTTATTTGTATGATTTGTATGTTTAGTGGCACTAAACCATAATGGGAGATAGCAGTCTCCACAGTTCACTTGATATCTGTCACTGAGAGAGATTCAGTCTTTGTCAGGGCCCCCTGTCTTCTAGAGAAATAAGCCTGTCTCTTTGGTGCTTTGCCAACTACAGCTCTTCTGACTGACTCAGTCATTCATTAGCTTTAGTCTAGTCTTGCTGTGTTCAGAGGGTCAGTCTGTGCTTCTAAGTGAGTTTCATGACTTTTTCTAACTCACATCAGGCTCATTCTATAATTGTAGAGCGAGGAGTGTTTCCGTTCCCCTCTTGTCAAGTTCCAGGGGAAGTATCCTTTACACCCAGCAGAGACTTACTGAACAGGCTGGCAAAATCAGAATTGCTATCTTAAATTGTCTGGAAAGTGATAAATAATAAATTTCAACCGCACTTGAAAGTTAAATTAGTTCTTTTCAATGTAATGTCTCATATGATAAAATAGCACTAATTTTTTTCAAACTGAGGGGAGCCAGGGGAGAACAATTTAAGGAAAGAGTACACTATAAATCAGCATGAAAGCTCTTTTAGATATATTGTCCTTTTTATCTTAAAAAAAATTGATACATTTGTCTTAGATTTTTAGCTTTGATTTTTTTATTTTAATTTTTATTATGTTTTTAAGTGTGGCAACCATGAACAAAGCAATCACTTGGTAAAGAATATTATCATTAGAATTCTGAGAGGCGATTACAATATCAGGCAGTAGGCACCGCACTGTAAAGCATGACTGCATAAAATCTGCAATTAGTGCAAGGAGCAGTTTCGTTTAGTTTCAGAGAAATTACAGCAGAACAACTAGGTAGCACGTAAAGAAAAGCATTGCTTGTAGAACAGAGAATTGTTAAAAGCAGAGATAGGTGTGAAGGGTAATGGAGACCTTCCCCCCAATAGTCAAAGGCACTCAAAGTCAATGATGATTTTGCAATGCCTCATGTGGATGATGTAATCTCTACAACAACTCAAGTAAGACAGATAGTATTCTTAATTGCCAATGTGGAAAGTCCTCATTTCCATTTTTTACAGAGGTAGGAGAAGTAGGACCTACAGAATGATTATTTCACTCCATGTATCCTTTGGGGTGCTTGCTTCTGGTCATTTAGCTATAGACTATTTGTTGACTGCTCTTCCCCATGGAAGTGTATCTCATGCACTGTCCTGAGATTCATGTCTGTGGCTTCATTCACTCACTGGACATTTCCACTCAGATGTCATGTGAAAACTGCCAACTTAACATTTCCAAAATTGCACTTGTCTTTTTCATATGTACTCCTGCCTCACCTGACATGTTCTTGACTTCAGTTAATCATGTCGCCATCAATACATTCTCCCAATAATATGCTGAGTCATCCTCTTCTCTTCCCTGTACCTTAGCTCAGCATCCTAATTCAGCCGACTCTATCCCAAAAATGTATTCTGTGTTTTACCTCTACTCTCCTAAGATGCTGCCACTGCCTTCGTGTTCTAATCACCAGCTTCCATGACCTAGCTTCCCCCTCATTAGTCTTATCCAACTCTAGTATAACCTTCATATTTTACCCAAGTGAACTCATAAGTAGCAAATCTGACAGTGAGACTCCCCAACATGAGAAAATCACCAGTCTCCCTTAGAATAGCATGTCAAGCCCATGACAGAGACTGGCCAGCTATTTGTCATTTTCCTTTCCTCCTGGGCAGACAATGAGACTACACTGCCAAGCCTTCCTTGCAATTAGACATGGCCAAATGACTGAGTCCTAGTCAATACAATAGAGGCAGAAGTGATCTAAACCATTTCTGGAACAGGCTGCCAGCTCTATATTGATGCCTAGCACTACGTCAGAAACTGTAAGTTAAAGATGAGGGCGCTTCCAACAGCTAGGATCCCCGAAAGATCAAGTTGGCCAGAGCCCCTACCCAGCACAACTAGGAATATGCATTTTGGACTATAGGTGAATGAGAAATCCCTTTTTTATTCTTAAGCCATTAATATCTTAGGGAGTATCTAGTACAGCTGCTATTATTACTTTAACTGGTCTAAAGCTTAATCATCCTTCCTAGCCACACACATTCTAGCTTAGTCCCAAATCATCCTGCATAGCCCTGTGCTCTGCACCATTACCACACTCTGCGTGTTCACTCTCCTTGCCTTAAAAGGCTTGGAAGACTGCAAGGCGTCCTTCAAAACTAAACTCAAATATTACTGTTACGATGGTTTCCAATGTTCCTAGGGTCCCGTGAATATACATATCTCAGCATTTACTATAGGACCCATAACTATGAGTGTGATAATGTTATAGAAAAATTCTTAAGGGCAAAGGCCATGTTATGAATGAATACACAGCTAATATCCTGCGATTGTCTTTCAATAAATTTTGTGAAATGAATGAATAAATTAGGTTCTACATACTAGGATTTTATAACAAAGAGAAAACAACCAGTAACTAGAGTTTGTCTATGAAAATCATTCTTCATTTGGGCAGGCGTATTTGAATATTTTCTGAAAATATTCACAAACCTTCTAGGTATCATATGTAAATAGCTGTCTTGTTGTTTTCTAGGGATGGCTGACACTAGAATACATCTTCGTTGTCTGTTTCTATAATTTTCAAATTTTTGAAACTACTGAGATTTACTTTTCTAAAGCTTTTCCATGCACTATCAAGCAGAAAAAATGAAGAAAGTAGGTCAGGTTTCTGACCTGTTAGCCTTGCTTTAGTTTTGTTCTTACACAAAGACACTGGCAGGCGTTTAAAATGCAGAAATATGAACAGAAAGTACAATACCAATGGCAAAATCTTCTTCTCCATTTATATATTTTGCTGTTCGCACAAAAGAATGATTTTGACAGTATGTTGTACACAAGAAAAAATAGTTCAAAATGCTGCTACTGGCTAGAGCTTCATATAAAACAGACTCATGCTTCCTGGTCTGAGATAGTTTACTTTTCTTTCCCATGTAGCATCAACTAAATAATCTGATGAAGTGCAATTTCTATTCAGAAATCATGATGTTTTTATTCTAAAGTAATAGAAAATATGTAATAAACATAACACAATTAATGTTCACCCATCTCTTTATGTAATGTTCATGGAACTAAATCATTAAATCTTTCATTGCTGATTTTTCCAGAATGGGAAAGATTTATCACTCTATTCATTAATGTTATTTCATACACATAGTCAAGTATATATACAGCTGCTTACTAAATTATCTTAATGATGACACTTGTCTCAGAATCTCTGACATAATGTAAACTTGATTCAAAATGAAGTATAGGGTAGATAGCTGTGTTAACCTGGGTTATTCTGTACTCAAATACAGATTCAGTGCCTTAAAATACTGAATCATCTTTATTATATTTACTGAAGATGTCAAAAAGATCTTGACTGTGGTTAAGAGAACTTCTGAATGTTCAGGAGTCTTTCAGTATTTTGGGCTGGGAAAAAAAGAGAAATTATAACTTTATATCATTTCATCCACACTTATTTTGTCTAACTTCATTTGTTATATTAGCCTGTCTTGATATATTCTTCCAAGATCTGCTCTCCATTCTCTCCTAGAAGTCTTCTATTTCTTTCTTCAAAATTTAGTTAGCTTTTATTATATGTAATCAGCTATTTAATCTGTTCATGTTTGTTGTCTAACATGAGTAAGGCTAACTTTCACTAGAACTTAGTTATCCAAATAGCATTGGATTCCAAACATATACATTTATTCTATTGCTGCTGATAAGTCTCAAAGCTGTTATCCTCATAAGATCCTTCTTAATCACTTGGTGAAATCAAGGTGTTGGCAGGGCTGTATTCTTTCTGGAGGCTGTAGAGGACAATCTGTTTCTGTGCCTTTTCCAACTTCTAAAGGCTGCCCACTTTCTATGGCTTGTGGCCTTTTCTTCTGTCTTCAAAACCAGAGATAATGGACTGTGTCCTTCTCATACTGCTGTCTGTCTATTTCTCTTCTACCTTCCTTTTCTTCCATTTAAAGACCTCTGTGATTACACTGGACCCACCTGGATCATCCAGGATAATCTCCACATTTTAAAGTCAGTTAAATAGAAACATTAATTCTATTTGCAACCTTAATTCTTCTTTGCCATGTTGTATTAGTCCGTTCTCATGCTGCTGAGAAAGACATACCTGAGACTGGGTAATTTATAAAGGAAAGAGGTTTAATTGACTCACAGTTCCACATGGCTGGGGAGGCCTCACAATCATGGCTGAAGGCAAAGGAGAAGCAAAGTTACATCTTACATGGTGGCAGGCAAGAGAGCGTGTGTAGGGGAACTCCCCCTTTTTAAAACCATCAGATCTCGTGAGACTTATTTATTATCACAAGAACAGCATGGGAAAGACCTACCCCCATGATTCAATTACATCCCACCAGCTCCCTCCCACCATATGTTGGAATTATGGGAGCTACAATTCAAGATGAGATTTGTGTGGGGACATAGCCAAACCACCACTGTCCCCTCCCAAATCTCATGTCCTCACATTTCACAACCAATCATGCCTTCCCAACAGTCCTCCAAAGTCTTAACTCATTTCAGCATTAACTCAGAAGCCCACAGTCCAAAGTCTCATTGGAGACAAGGCAAGTTCCTTCTGCCTATGAGCCTGTAAAATCAAAAGCAAGTTAGTTACTTCCTATACAAGGAGGATACAGGCATTGGGTAAATACAGATACAAGGAGGGTACAGGCATTGGGTAAATACTCCTATTCCAAACAGAAGAAATTGGCCAAAATTAAGGGATTACATGCCCCTTGCAAGTCTGAAATCCAGTGGGGCAGTCAAATCTTAAAGCTCCAAAATGAGTTCTTTGACTTCATGTCTTACATCCAGGTCATGTAGATGTAAGAGGTGGGCTCCCATAGCCTTCAGCAGCTCCGATCCTGTCACTTTGCAGGATACAGCCCCCTTCCTGGCTGCTTTCATGGGCTGGCATTCAGTTCCTATAGCTTTTCCAGGTGCCCAGTGCAAACTGCTGGTAGATCTACCATTCTGGCATCTGGAGGATGGTAGCCCTCTTCTCACAGCTCCACTAGGCAGTGCCCCAGTGGGGGTTCTGTGTGGGGGCTTGGACCTCACATTTCCCTTCTGCACTGCCCTAACAGAGGTTCCCCATGAGGGCTCTGCCCCTGCAGCACACCTCTGCCTAGACATCAACGCGTTTCCATTCATCTTCTAAAATCTAGGCAGAGGTTCTCAAGCGTCAATTCTTGATTTCCATCCCCCCACAGTCTCAACACTATGTGAAAGCTACCAAGACTTGGGGCTGGCATCTCTGAAGCCATGGCTTGAGCTGCACCTTGGCACCTTATAGCCACAGCTGGAGCAGCTGGGATGCAGAGCACCAAGTCCCTAGGCTGCACACAAAACGGGGGCCCTGAGTCTGGCCCGCAAAACCATTTTTTCCTCCTAGGCCTCCAGGCCTGGGGTGGAAGGGGCTGCCACAAAGGTCTCTGACATGCCCTGGAGACATTTTCCCCATTGTCTTAGCTGTTAACACTCGGTTCCTTGTTACTTATGCAAATTTCTGCAGTAGGCTTGAATTTCTTCCCAGAAAATGAGGTTTTCTTCTCTGTTGGTGCAAATTTTCCATACTTCTATGCTCTGCTTCCCCTTTAAACATAAGTTCCAATTCCAAACCATATATTCGTAAATACATTAAACTTTTAACAGCACCCAAATTACCTCTTGAATGCTTTGCTGCTTAGAAATTTCTCCCACCAGATACCCTAAAACATTTCTCTCAAGTTCAAAGTACCACAAATCTCTAAGGCAGGGGCAAAATGGCACCAGTCTCTTTGCTAAAACATAGCAAGAGTCACCTTTATTCCAGTTCCCAAAAAGCACCCCATCTCCATCTGAAAGCACCTAAACCTGGATTTCATTGTCCATACCACTATCGGCATTTTAGTCAAAGCCATTCAACAAGTCTCTAGCAAATTCTAAATTTTCTCACATCTTCCTGTCCCCTTCTGAACCCTCTGAACTGTTCCAACCTCTGCCTATTACCCAATTCCAAAGTAGCTTCCACGTTTTTGGTTATGCTTACAGCAGTACCCCATTCTACCAGTACTAATTTACTGTATTAGTCTGTTCTCACACTGCTAATAAAGACATACCAGAGACTGGGTAATTTATAAAGGACAGAGGTTTAATTGACTCACAGTTCCCCATGGCTCGGGAGGCCTCACAATCATGGCAGAAGCAAATGAGGAGAAAAGTCACGTCTTACATGGCAATGGGCAAGAGAGCATGTGCAAGGGAACTCCCCCTTTTAAAACCATCAGATCTCATGAGCCTTATTCACTATCATGAGAACAGCATGGAAAAGACCTGCCGCCATGTTTCAATTACCTCCCACCATGTCCCTCCCAAGACATGTGGAGATTATGGGAGCTACAATTCAAGATGACATTCGGTTGGAGACACAGCCAAATCATATTATTCTGCCCTTTTTTTGTGGAAATATGACATATTCAGTTTCCAAGGGTTAGGACATAGCCTTTGGGAGGGCCATTATTCTGTCTACCACAAATAGTACAGGTATGGGTTGCAAAACTGACATACCTGGGTTACAAGTCACCACAAATTATCTAGCTTTTTTGCTGTAGTGCTCTTGTGGGGAAAGTAGTACCTCCATCACTGGGTTATATAAAAAACAATTTTTTAAAATGAATCTAAAGAGGGTTTTTAGGACTGTGACTGACATATAGTAAGATTTAAATATATGTTAGTTATTATTAAAATTTTGGTAATCTCTTGACGGTACTTGTTTGACAAAGTGATTGAGCAAAAGCTTTTTTCTTTTCTTTCTTTCTTTCTTTTTTTTTTTAAGACTGGGTCTCACTTTTTAGCCCAGTCTGGAATGCAGCGATGTAATTACAGCTCAGCGCAGCCTTGACCTCCTGGGCTCAAGTGATCCTCCCACTTCAGCCTCCTGAGCATCTGGGACTACAGGTATATGCCACTGTGCCCAGCTATTTATTTATTTATTTATTCATTCATTCATTTATTTTAGAGACAGGGTCTCCCTGTGTTGCCCAGGATGACCTCAGACTTCTGGTCTCAAGCAATCCTCCCACCTTAGCCTCCCAAAATGCTAGAATTACCGACATGAACCACCACACCCTGCCAAAAGTTTTTTATTTATGTCAAGTATGATAGTGATGAACAGTTAAGCTGTAAACTCAAGGTCTTAAAGGCTTTGAAAAAGAAAAAAATAAATTGTATAGTTCAAGAAATAAAAGCTAATTTGAAAATTGCAGTTCTAACAGAGAATATTCTATAAAGGACTTGCCCCCTTTGCCTAATTACATTGGCCTCCTAAGGAAACCTATGTCCCTTTGGCATTGTCACTCACACATGTATAAACTGCAATGTTCATTGACCCAGAGCACAGTTTTTCCAGTCTTAATACATGTTCCCTATATTAAGCTCTGGGACTTTTCCTTCCTGTTACAAAAATAATTTCATTTTGTAAACACTTTGTGGTAGTCTCAAAATACTTTAAATACAGCCAGAGTCTCTTTCAAGCCCCAATACCCAAAAGTAGGATCTTCCGAAAAGCATCATGCACTTAATGTAAAGTGCATTTTTGCCAGCTTTAATCTGTAAGTAAACACTGCAGACAGCTGGTCTTATTGCATGAGGCTGTGTATAAACACAGTTTCAGGTCTCTAAATCTCATTAGTTACCATACTTCCCATTCCTATTCCCACACTAAGCTTTGTCATTGGAAAAATTGGTTCATCTCCTTCTCTGTTTCTTTGCCTATCTTGGATTTTTTAGAACACATATATGCATTTTATTTTATTTTGTTTTAAAATTATTTCCACTGAAGTACCTCTACTTTATACCTTCCAAAAATTCACCAATGCTTCTGTCTCATTAATAACATCCTTTTATGTTTTCCAACAATGCTATAGATTCTTCTCATGTTTGTTTCCTTTGTTGTTTCTATGAGATTTGGAGAATGTGAGCTTCATCCACAACAGGATCAAAAGTCTAAACCATTACATTTTGTTTCGATATATGTGTACGTTAAAAATTTATTTGAAACAAGCCTACTCACATTTTTGAAAGAGCAATATATTTTCATTAACATAACTTAATGATACTATTGAAAATATAATGTATATTAAACAATAATCTCAAATTTTTCTGATGTTGTGTATCATACTTAGTAATAATTATATAATGTTTTTGTATTTAATGAATAATAAAATCAATTGAGGTAATTATCAAGTTAAAATTAACTTCCAGGTTATTGTTTAATTTCAAGAAGAAAAATACCAAATCAAAGTAGAACACATCTCAGAAATACTTTAGACTTTAAGCATTAATTTTTCACCTTAGATTTCTTCTTTTGGTGAGATTAAGTGCAAGCTATTATCAAACATATAATTGTAAAATTATCTATGTGTATTTTATATCAGACTCCAAAGACTTATACTGCTATCTAGTGGCTATATTGAGTAATATAGAATTATTAACTAGGTAATCCTGCTCAAAATGCATAACACTACACCATTGCCAGTATATTTTTGAAAATAACTAAGATTGGCTTACTGTTCATCTTCTAAGAACATAAGCTCTAAAAATTGCACTTGACTTGCTTATGGAGGACAAGGTACAAATTCTTTCATTGTGAATGTAATATACTTTATGAATAAATGTATTGTTTTAATGATGAATAAAATAATGTTTAAGGATGGAAACACTGAACAAAAAAAAAATCAGATAAACACGAGAACAACCCTTAAATAATGAATCACTCTTTCTGATAATAAAAACATAGCTTCTTCTGAATATGTAATACCTTGTCCTTGACTTTTAAACATTGCTAGGATTTTTACATTTTTACCCAGGGATTTTCTAGTGATGGTACAAACTGGGTTACATTTTAAGCAAAGCTATTTACAGGGCACATGAAGTTCAAAGAAATTCTAAGGTAACCTTTTCAGTTTATTATTTGTATATTGAGAATTCACATTGTAAAGGATAATTGAGAGTTCTTAAAACCTAAATTATTCGCAGTGAAGAAAAAGAGGGAAAGTTGCCATGTGAAGATTTGATAACCAATGTGAGGATCAAACAGGCAAAATGTAGTGGTTAGTTGGCCTAGCTTTTTTAATGGCTGTATCACGTCTACATTATTGAAAAGATCACTTGAAAAGGATGACTACTAAGGAAAATAACGTATTCTCCAAATGTCGAGATTTTGAAGTGAGAGCATTACCTGATCCCCCTCACAGTACGTGCAGCAGGGGTGTGGCTGGTCTGTTTGGCCACCATGCACTCAAACACCTTACAGGAGGGGGAGCATGCAGACGGGCAGGTGCAGGAACCAGGGCAAGCACTTTTGGGCTCTGTCCACATTGTAGCACCTGGGGTGGGTGGTACCTGACACTCCTGAAGCCCCAGTGGGCATGTTACAATGCACTTTTAGTTCTGCCATCCGCAGATGGCTTAAGTGTTAACCAGCTTAGTGCCCTCTTGGTACCCAGGTTCTTGTTGGGCATCCAGGAAGAATCAGGGACACGTGGATGAATTAAATGATGGTAAATGTGGGGGATTTTTTTGTGAGATGGAGGTGGCTCTCAGCAGGATGGATGGGGAGCTGGAAAGGGGATACAGTGGAAAGATGATCTTCTCCTGGAGTTTGGCCATCCCTTGGATCTCCTCTCTGACCATCCCCAGCCAAACTCCTCTCAATGTTCAGATGCTCCTTCTCTTCTCTCCTTCTCTGCTGCACTGTTCTGCCACTCTTCTGCTTCTCTGCTCTGCTGCTTGTCTGCTCATCCGCTTGTGGAGCCTGGGGTTTGGGGTTTATATGGGTACAGGATGGGGGGTGTAGCAGGCCAAAAGGCAACATTTGGGCACAAAAACAGGAATGTTTGTTCCATTTAGGGCCACAGGTTTCCAGGCTTGAGGTTGGGGCCTTTACCTAGGGACCACCCTCTTCTACCCAGTATTTCCCTGCCTCCTGTCCATATCAATTTGACAGCACTGTCTCCACAAAGAGGGGCCAGGCAAATGTTTCAGTATTATTGTTCATAGGAGGAAGGCTAGTTCTGCTGTTTAATATCTGAAAATTGTCTTTGCTACCCAAATACATCCCCTACTCACAGATATAGATTGAACATATACGTGCGCCCATAGATGAACATGTGCAGGATCACAGAGTTCAGATTGTTACCTAGGCTACAAGGTAAACATTTAGTTTTTCTCCTAGGGCAGTGTAACCCTAATTACCTTGAAAATTAAATAAATCTTAGAAATTTGACATTTTCTGGAAATAGCCCTTAGATATTTATAAACATATTAAATGCTATATAATTCATATAATGCTCAATAAAAATGTTAGCACATATTTTAATCATAATTTTTACACCTAAATGTTAAAATTTGTAATACTTATCATGGCTATTATTTTGGATGTCTCATGGACTCCTTAAACTCAATCAAAGTATTTAAATGAAGATCATTTAGAGTTTCTGTAAGGTTTTACTTACAAATTATTCATCATCATTTTTCAACAGTAAGGCAATTGCACAGTACAACAAAGGATTATTTATAAATTTTCAATAGGACTGAAATCATGGCTGTGTAATGAAGAGCTTCATGATGCTACTAATAATTTAATTGCTCTGAAGATACTGGAATACATCCCAAGTCAAGTGTCACCAACTACTTCTCAACCATAATGATATAAGAATAACTATTCCAAAATCATTAAATTCTGAGGTAAAGGCTAACTTAAATTGTTTAGTAAAACCTCATGGAAAGTATTTGTTGGGCCAGTGAATGCACTTGACAGACTGTGTGCTAATATGAAATGCCAGCATGTGATTACTTCAATTAAAAATCCACTGACTCGGCCGTGTCTTTTGTGAACCTCATACAAATATAGAGAGTAATCATGAGCAATGGTGCACAAAATGACAAGTTCTGAGGAGGTTTACAACTTTTGTTGCATGTATATTATTTTTATATTAATACTATAATAATATGACTTAATATTACCTTTAAAGTGAATGCAATATATATAATATATAGTATATATAATACATATATTATATACACACACACCCTAGAGAGAGAAAGAATGAGAGAGAGAGAAGAGAGATACTCCAAATAATAAGTGCCATCTAGTAACAATCATCTTACCTTCTTTATATAAGAATTTCCATAGCTTGATATAATTGTTCCAAAATGTGTGCATATATCAAAATGTCACATTGAACCTCATATTGACAATTATCATTTTTCAATTAAAAATAAACACTTTAGCCTGGTGCAGTGGCTCATGCCTTTAATCAATCCCAGCACTTGGGGAGGCCGAAGCAGGAGGGTCACTTGAGGACAGGAGTTCAAGACTAGCCTAGGCAATACAGAAAGAGCCCATCTCTACAAAACAAGTAAAAAATAATTAGCCAGGCACAATGGCACATACTACTAGGCCTAGCTACTCAGGAGGCTAAGGCAGGAGGATTTCTGGAGCCCAGGAGTTGGAGGCTGCTGTGAACTATGATCATATCACTGTGCTGCAGCCTGGGTAAGAGAACAAGACCCTGTCTCTAAACAAACAAACAAATGAACTTTTTTCTGTTGGGGTGCAGAGAAAAAAAAGCAAAACAACTATATATAGTTATATATATATATAGTTTTATATATATGTAGTTATATATATAGTTTTATATATGTAGTTATATATAGTTTATATATATAGTTATATATAGTTTCATATATATAGTTTTATATATAGTTATATATATAGTTTTATATATATGAAAGAATTTTATATATAGTTTTTTATGTAAATATAGGTTTATATATATATATATATATATATATATATATATATATATATATGAAAGAATTTCCAAAGCCGTTGAATACGTTTAAGGTTACCTATTCACTCATTTCAAATACTCAAATATTTTTAAGTGATAAAACATATGAGATGAACAGAAAGAACTAAATTACACTCAGTGGCAACTTTAGAGCCTTCAGAGACTAAAGAACAAATATATATACATATATATCATATATATGTATGAAATATATATATATCATATATATACGTTTTAGTAAAGTAATTACTATTACTTTAACACAGTTTATTACAAAGCAGAGATGTCATCCAGTGGCCTTCTATTAAGAGTTGAAGTTATAATCTACATGAGATCTGATGTTGGTTGTGAAGTTGATTTCTGCTCTTATCTCCCTGTTAAGAGTTTCCACCCACCAAGCTTCAATAGATTGTACAAATAATGGAAGTAGAAACAGTTTCTACTGCTATCTGAAATATAAAGTAAAAAAGAAAAATCACACATGTGCATGAGAAAGTGTGGTTATTATTAAAATGCATGCTCTTTCATATTTTCCATCTCAGCATTTTGAAAACGAGACGTCAGTCTTTGAAACCAGGTGAGAAGAATCCCACCTTCCTCATCAGAAGAGGAAGTGATAACTCATGCAGATCTCTGCGTAAATCGCCATTACTGGAATCAAATCATGAAAGAAAATATTTACCATTTATACCTTTGCTTTTAAAATGTTTGAGGTACAGTTAATAAACATTTATATATTCACATTAGACTCAACCTCTTCACCTCATGCTAATGTAAAAATTTGTCATTCTACTGCTATCACAATTGATACAAAATACAAAATCCATATAAAGATTATAATGGTTGATTAGTTTTTCAAGTGAAGAAGGAAAACAGTATATCAGTTATGCCTACAACTGTGTATTTTTTTACTTATATCTACTTGACAATTGTGGGAGACAGCATTGACTTCCAACTCTTGAGGTCTATCGTGAGCACGTGAGCAAAAATTTGGTAAGTTTGGCTTTTGTCATACATCATCCTCCTTTATCTATTAGTACTTTGTCAATCATAATATAATAACACCAAAGTCATTAATATTCTTCAGCAAGCTTACATTTTAATTCTTTTTCTCATTGCTCACGAATTACAAATAAGTCTTAGTATTATAATTTTAATAATATGTTGGCAGTTTATTTTCAAAGTTGGGAGTACTTGGCTAATGGAGTTATGACTTGCCTCTTCACATTTCAGGAAATATATTTTCTAATATTGCCATATTTCTAATATGATAAGCAATGGACTTATTTGAAATATATTTCACAAACTAAAAATAGTCTAACTTCTGTTCTGAACTTTATATTTTTAACAGCATTTTATACATGCAAAATAACTATGATAGTTTTTCTCTCCAATTAAGCATTTTAAAATAACCAAAAGTAAATACTTAAAATTATTTGATATCTTTTATTATGGAGATGTCAATCAAAACAAAATCAGATACCCAGATATCCAGTATTTCTAGATATCTTAATCCAGGGGAAGATAAAAATGATTTCAAAGCAAAGTGCTTTACACATGCTTACATTTTTAACAAAATGCTTGGAAACACAGAGAATATACATTCTAGTCTGCTCACCCAGGATCACCTCACAACATCCTTCTGGATATTTTCCTCATACTCTGCTCCACTCAAAGCACACATTTCTTCAAAATGTAGTACTCTATGCATGTTGGTTGACAGCAACCCAATGAAGCTAGACACTTACAAAGCCTGTGTTCAATTCAGCAGAAATGAACACTTAACACACCATTAAGCCAACCATTAAGGCCACCTTGTTCTCTCCGCTTGGCTGCTGCCTAACCTGCCAGGAAAAGGCACCTCAAGTGCTTCCAGTGAAAGCGACACATCACAGCAGCAGAGTGATGGATTCAAAGCACAAATAAGAGCTCCAGAGGGTGGTTGCTAGGATGGAAAAGCAGGTGACTGCTGCCCTAATATTCTGTGATTCTGTTTAAGAGCAAGGTTCAAAAAGAAAAATGCACACACAAGGAATGGACCAATCAGTAGAAAATAAATATTTAGATAACTCTTTTCCATTGTATTCAAAAATGCTCTCTTAGAGTTTCTTATGTCTATGACTTAGAGGTAAATTTCCAACAAGCTATATTGTATGTATGGGTGTGTGTAAAAATGTACTCAAGGTGTTTTTTTTTTCTTATTGCCACTATAACACAGTCTATAACAATTTAACAAATGAAGCAAGGTAATTATTCTTCTCAGTGTTAAATTACTTTCTTGAGACTAGGCTGGGCTCTTTCTATGATTTAACTTATTAAATATTCACAAAAATCATTTTTTTATTTTACAAATTAGGAAATAAAAATGTAAAGATGTTAAATAAACTTATCTGAATATCCAAAACTAATAACAATAGAGTTTTCAACTAAGATCTATCTGATATTTTGCCCTGAAGCATCTGTCATTCACATAACGTCACATTACCTCTATTGAAAATTTGTTATCTAATCTTTGGTAGCTATAAATCAAGTTGTTTCATTTGCCGAGACAAGCAGCTAAGTATCTATAAATATGACACTTGGTTTGAAATTGAGCTCTGATGATTTCACTTTTAGTAATTTTATGGAAATATATTTCACATACCATACAATTCTCCCATTTAAAGAATACAATTTAATTGTGTTTAATAAAGTCACAGAATTGTTCAACCGCTACCACAATCAATGTTAGAAAATTTTCCCACCCAACACAAAACCTCATACCCTTCTGCAATCATCCTACCATTTCCCACAGTCTCCCAAACCAGCCATAGACAACCACCGATGTACTTTCTCTCTCCCTGCATTTGCCAATGCTAAGACATTTCTAATAAATCGAATCAAACAATATGTGGTCTTCTGTGGCTGGCTTCATTCACTTAGCATCATATTTTCAAGGCTCATCTATGCTGCAGCATGAATAAGTATTTCATTCTTTCTTATTGCCAAATAATATTGCATTGTATGACTATACTACATTTTATTTATCCATTCGTCTGTTGGGCCTTTGGATTATTTCCACCTTTTGATATTATGAATCATGCACTTATGGACATTTGTATACACAATTTTACATGGACATATGCTTCCACTCTCTTGGGCGTATACCCAAAAGGGAAATTCCTGGATCATATGGTAACTCTAGGTTTAACCTTTTGAGAAACTGCTGAAGTGTTTTTCAAAACTGTGACCCATTTTTCATTCCCAATTCTAGTTGTATGAGTCTTCACCTCTTTTTTTCTTGGTCAGTATAGACAAAGGTTTGTCAATTTTGTTAATTTATTTTAAAGAACCAACTTCTGATTTTATTTTTTTCTTTTGTTTTTCTATTCTCTATTTCTTTTCTAACCTCATTTTTTCCCTTCTGCTTGTTTCAGGTCAAGGGGTGTTTGAAGATGCTAGGTCAATACATAGGTTTGAAGAAATAAATATTTTGATTGTGTATTTACATGACTGTCTTCTCATACTCTGGATTTGAGGTTTTGGAAATCAGGAATTCTGACTTATTCACCTTTGTCTCAATTCCTGTTATCTTTGCCACAAAGTACTGCAAAAAATATGGATAAACAATTAAAACCATGTTCTTGAATGCACTGAGGAACTAACAAGAAAATTGGGGATAATCAGAGAGTGAGAACAAAGTTAAATTAGAAAATTAGAAACAGGTAAGCAACAAGCCATTTTCACCTTGACAATATCAACCAAACAAAGCAAGGTGAATTGAGCTTTAGTTTTCACTGACCTATAGGAGTGAAACAGAATACTGTGAAAGGTAGGAAATCTGGCAAAGTAACGAGGTGGGTCCAATAAACTATATATACACCTGCTTCCCCAGGGTAATGGCAAGGGAAGACACATATTACAAACGTATCTATAGAATATTCAAAGCATACTAAAATAAAATGTATTTTTGATTATACATACATACGTGGTAAAACTATGAAAACTATGAAAGCAGGCAAAAGAATGATAAACACTAAATTCTGATAACGTTTCCTCTGAGCAGAAAGAGAAGAGAATAGGTTACACGAAGACACATAGGGATTTTAAAGTATATGTTAAAAGAATTTTCATAAACTGGACAGTAAAATGTAGTTGTTCATGTTATTATTATTGTACATTTTAAATAAATGTTTGGTATTTTACAACATCTGATTTTAAAAATTAAAAATAAATATACATAGAAGGAAGCCCATAGATCATTGTAAAAATAATATGAAACCTAAATAGTTGAATGACCAACTCAAGGTCAAACAGCTTGTTAACAAAGTCCAGGATTAAACTAAGTTTTATTTAATAAGTATGCATAAAACTTTTGGCCAGGCATGGTGGCTCACACCTGTAATCCCAGCACTTTGGGAGGCCGAGATGGGTGGATCACCTGAGGTCAGGAGTTCAAGACCAGCCTGGCCAACATGACAAAACCCATCTCTACTAAAAATACAAAAATTAGCTAGGCATGGTGGTACGTGCCTGTAATCCCAGCTACTCGGGAGGCTGAGGTAGGAGAATCGCTTGAACCCAGGAGAGGGAGGTTGCAGTGCACTGAGATCATGCCACTGCACTCCAGCCTGGGCAACAGAGAGAGGCTCTTTTAAAGGCCATCTACAAAATGGTATAATTTTATCACTAGGAAAAATGGCTTAAAATAGCAATAATGTAATTGGCCATACTCTGCTAACCATGACAAGTTTTATATCAATTGAAATTCTTATTAAATGTCCTTAAAAATATAGCTACAACAATTTGCAAGAAGATTTATCCACTTGTGGCTCATTTGCCGCAAGTCCCCAATCCCAGGTTTACTTTTCCTATTCACAAAACATTCTTGAAAAGTTGCACCCTACTGCCTTGTGTTGTCAAGATGTGTAAGTAACTTTCAATATTAGAAAAATAGTACCAAAAATTCATAATGGAATATAATCTCTTCATATTTTCAAAAAAGAATAAATCCACATACATATAACAGGCATATGTGGACTTTTTGTGCAAAGAATCACAAGAGTTGGTAAATTTTTGTTATGTTTATTTTACCACAATTTTCAAAAGTGGTTTTAGTCAGCTATGGGAGCTTAAAGAAATAGATCATAAAGGAAAAGTCAGACAAAGTTGATTCTAGCATTGTTAAAAGGGCAGTTCTCAAAGGGCAGCTCCTGGACCAGCAGTATCAGCAACAACATCATTATCACTTGGGAAACTGTTAAAAATGCCAGTTTAGCAATTTATGTTTCAATGAACCCTCTAGGTGTTTCTGGTACTAGCTGTGAGAATCACTGATCTATTATATAGTCAGGCTGAGAGCTATCAACTTCAGGGCAGGGATTTGCAGCCCTAAGACATATTAGAATCACCTGGAGAAATTATAAAATGCTGATATCTGGGGCCTATCCCAAATTAACTTAATTAGAATCTCTGGAGGTGCAGCTGCTATGAAAAACAGTCTGAGGTCCTCAAAAAAAATAAAAAATAGAGCTACCATATTATTCAGCAATTCCACTTTTCAGTATGTATACAAAAGAATTGAATCAGGATCTTGAAGTGATTATCTGCACTTCTATTTTCATTGCAACATTATTCACAATCGCTAAAGCATGGAAGCAACCCAAGTAACTGTTCATTGACAGATGAATAGACTTTAAAAATTTACACACACACACACACACACACACACTGGTATACTATTCAAGCTTTAAAAAAAAGGATATACTGGGCCGGGCGCGGTGGCGCATGCCTGTAATCCAAGCACTTTGGGAGGTCGAGGCGGGCGGATCACTAGGTCAGGAGATCGAGACCATCCTGGCTAAAACGGTGAAACCCCGTCTCTACTATAAACAGAAATATTAGCCGGGTGTGGTGGCAGGCGCCTGTAGTCCCAGCTACTCGGGAGGCTGAGGCAGGAGAATGGCGTGAACCCGGGAGGCGGAGCTTGCAGTGAGCGGAGATCATGCCACTGCACTCCAACCTGGGCAACAGAGCGAAACTCCATCACAAAAAAAAAAAAAAAAAAAAAAAATATTCTGCCGTATATGACAATGATGCAAACATACATGAACAGGTTGACATTATGCTAAGTTAAATAACCCAGTCACAAGAGGACAAATACTGTGTGCTTCTAAAATAGACTCATAGAATAGAGAGCCGAATGGTGGTTGCCAGGGGCTTGGGGCTGGGTAAATAGAGAGTTGTTCAATAGTTACAAAGTTTCAGTTATGCAAGATGAGTAAGTTCTAGAGATCTGCTATACAATACTGTACCTATAGTTAACACTGTATTATGCACTTAGAAAAATGTAAGAGGGTAGATCTCATGTTGAGTATTCGTAACCACCAAAAGGGGGTGGGGGAGACAAGACATGTTTATTGCCCTGACTGTTTTTGTGATGCTGGTTTCACAGGTGCATGCATATGTCCAAACTTATCAAATTGTATACAGTAAATATGTGCAGTTTTTTGTACTTCAATTATACGTCAATTAAATAAAACAGCTCCCCAGGTGATTTTAACATGCAGCTTGAGTTGAGAAACATTGCTCTGATGGCCATAAGATGGTTTAGTTAAGGTCCTTAAAAACTCTTTAAGGCATCTGGGCATGCCTTAGATGTGTAGAGTGATGCAGTGTAAGCGAGTGATATGTATAGTTTAACTCCATCACCAAAATTACCGTTACTAGGAGATGTGGCTGGATGTTCTCTTGTTTTGTTTTTGTTTTTGTTTTTTTGAGACGGAGTTTCACATTTGTTGCCCAGGCTGGAGTGCAATGCGCGATATCGGCTCATCACAAACTCCGCCTCCCGGGTTCAAGCGATTCTGCTGCCTCAGCCTCCCGAGTAGCTGGGATTACAGGCATGCGCCTCCACGCCCGGCTAATTTTGTATTTTTAGTAGAGATGGGGTTTCTCCATGTTGGTCAGGCTGGTCTCCAACTCCCAACCTCAGGTGATCTGCCCGCCTCGGCCTCCCAAAGTGCTGGAATTACAGGCGTGAGCCACCGCTCCTGTCCGGCTGGATGTTTTAAATGTTAAATTAATCAGAGTCCATATTCCTTAAGGAAACTACTGATTATCATTTGATTTTTTCATGTACCATGTCTAGAGTTTAGAAAACACTTTGATCATGTTACATGGAAGCAAATCTGGTCCTTTTCAAAAAAAAATTCACTTCAGATTAATAAATTGGCTTTTGAATTTTTTTTTATCAATCACATTAACTTAATTAATATAAATGTGGCCAGAGATGGGGCCTAAAAGGCCTTGATTCTCTAGTGATAGCATTCCTATATGATCCTATATGTTTAATATTTTGTTCTCTACACCTACCACGTTGTGTTTCATGGTTATCAAGAAACAAAATGGTTTCAAATCACACAGACAATTCTTTTAATTTGTGCTTCATAAATGGTGATTGTTACTATTTTCATCATTTCCTTTCAGCAAAAAGTAACTTTCATGGTAGATCTTCTCCCCAGTTCAAGTGCTTTTAATTCAGTATTATAAATCTCCAGGACTCACCCTGTAGCACTATGCCCAGACTTGGATTTCACAGGCAATGCCCCTCACTCTAAGCCTTTCCATCTGCTTTTCTCCCGCTCACTTGGCTTCCAACATTCTTATTTTATTTCCCACCTTTCACCTATGAGAGCAGTGAACTGATTATGAATACCTACATCTATTGATTAATCAAAAGACAGATGAGGTTGTTATATAGCTTTCCTCATTTTAAATACAGTATGCATTTTAAATATATTAAGTACATTTTAAAAGTTTCCTTTTAAACTCAATTATCTTTCCTTTTCAGTTTAATTTTAAAAAGTAAAAACCCATAGGAAACTTTTGACAAGAAACACTTCCAAGGCAGGTTGATGTCAGCATCATCTCCAGATGATTCTAATGTGTCACTAGGGTGGCAAACTCCTATTCTAGAGTCCATAGTTCATTACCCTGGCTATACATTAGAATTACCTTGGATACCTTTAACTATACTTCTTGAATCCCACTCTTAAAGATCCTGATTTAAGCTCTGGAGGTGATTTGAATGTGCAGCTAGGATTGACACTTGCTGCTCCAAACCAATGATTCTCATAGTCTCCATCAGAAACACAAGGTGAGCTCATTAAAACCGAAGGCACTGCGGGAAAAGACAGCGGGTTGTAGACTTCATGTCTACCAATCAACAGAAATAGAAACTGGATGTTACTTGTTTTATGCCCTATAGTTTCTGATTCTAGTCCCTGATATGTAATAAAACAATACAGTATGCAGTAGTCCCATATATTGGGACATCTGCAAAATGGAGACAGAACTTGTAAAATATGTCAAAAAAATTTTTGGTTTTCAGCAAAACACCATACAAGTCTGTAAACTTGCTGAGTATTATCTGATCTGATTCTATGGAAGGTATTTTGCAATTGTAAATTGTAGACAGCTGATAGCAATGCAAAATGATTGTCTGTAGACATGCAAATTCTGTCTGTCTGGGACAAGTTCTATTGACTTTCCTTCTCCACTACAAAAGAGGCTAGCTTTGCCTCCATTTGCACATTCAGAGCTGTTTTACACCTTTTCTAAAATTATTTTTAACGAATTTAGATTTTTTTAATAGTGCAAATAATAATGGACTGGCAATAGACATTTTTTCAAAGGATCTTTTGAGCTCAAAGGAACAAAAATTTCAAAGGAATTTTTAATTGTACCAGTTTGATAGTGTTTAATAAAAAATAATATTTAATATATTATGTGCCTATCCAGGGACAATGCAAAAATTATAAAGTAAATTTTCCCAGAATAATTTCATCCTAAATATAAATGTAGCAAAGATCTCCTGGTATAGTGTATTATTACTTACAAGGACTCAAATTACATATTACATATTACTTACAAGGACTCAAAAAAAATTTTGAGACTAAATATCAGGATGAACCACTAGGTGGCAAAGTAACATTTGTTTTGTCACATTTTTAAACAGACTTGAAACCTTCCTTCAATGTTATTTGTAATTGAAATATGATGTTCATGGGATTCTGATTCAGTAAGATTTTCTAAATATTCTCTTATTCAAATGAAACTTAGTAGTTTTCTCAGGGAAAAGCAATGTTCATAATACATTCTTTAAAGGAACAAAGAACAAAAAGTTGTGTTGGATTGAAACATCTATTCTGAAATCAAAGCTAAACTTGAATTTAACAGTTTTATATCTGATGTAACAAAATCCTCAAGTATGAATGGACCTTACATATCACCTGTACTAAAAGTTCACCTTTACGCTGAAATGAACTTTAAGATTGTCCTGATCATTAATTCTTTGTGCTCCTATTAAACATTTTCATTTAGAGAAAATATGCTCTCTCACAAGACATATGTATTGTTCTTTCTTTAATTAACATTATACCTTGGGGTCTTCCTTTTTAAAAAAAATTATTTATTTTATTTCAGTTCTGGAAAATGCTTTGTTTTCTATGGCACACATCCTATTTAACACAATGTCAGTCCAAATTTACCCTTTTTTTTTTTTTTTTTTTGAGATGGAGTCTCACTCTGTCACCCAGGCTAGAGTGCACTGGTGCAACCTCGGCTCATTTTAACCTCCACTTCCCGGGTTCAAATGATTCTCCTGCCTCAGCCTCCCAAGTAAACTAAAGGCATGTGCTACCACATTCAGCTAATTTTTGTATTTATAGCAGAGACGGGGTTTCACCATGTTGGCCAGGCTGGTCTCGAACTCCTGACCTCAAGTGATCTGCCCGTCTTGGCCTCCCAAAGTGCTGGGATTAGAGGCACGAGCCACCACTCCTGGCCCAAATTTATCATTCTTAATGGCGGAGCTCTAGCAGTATTTCTATTAAACACAGAAACAAAAATAGGATGTCCCCTACGTTCACTATCTATGTCTTAGTAGTTAGTAACCATAAACTTCAAAGCTTAAAACAACACATATTTATTATTGTAGTTTCTTTAGGTTAGAAGTCCAGTGTGGCTATACTGGGTCCTCTGCTTAGGGTCTCACAAGTTTGCAATCAAAGTGTTAGCCAGGGCTTCAGTCTCATCAGAGGCTGGACTGGGGAAGGATTTGTTTTTGTTGGCAGAATTCCATTTCTTGCAGCCATATAGGACTGAAGGCTTCACCTCTGCTCCTAGAGGCCAAATTCAGTTTCTTTCATGTGAGTCTACCAACATAGGCAGCTTAGTTTTTCAAAGCCAGTAAGGAAAGAGAGAAGCAGGCAAAAAATTCTAGTAAGCCAAGGCATTGCAATCTCACATACTTAATCATATACATCTCATCACCTTTGCTGTATTCTATTGATTATAAACAAGTTATAGGTCAGACCCACACTCAAGGGAATGGGACTACACAAAGACAGAAAGTTCAGAAAATGGGTATCATGAGGAAGCATTCTAGGGTGTGTCTACCACACCACTATCACCCTTTTTGTCTAATATTATACTTAAGGTACTAATGGTATTAGTCCTTTTTCATGATGTTGATAAAAACATACCCAAGACTGGACAATTTACAAAAGAAAGAGGTTTAATGGACTTTCAGTTCCACATGGCTGGGGAGGCCTCACAATCATGGCAGAAGGCAAGGAGGAGCAAGTCACATCTTATGCGGATGGCAGGAGGCAAAGACAGAGAACTTGTGCAGGAAAACTCCCATTTTTTAAATAACCAGATCTTGTGAGACTTATTCACTATCATGAGACCAGCACTGTGAAGACCCATCCCCATGTTTCATGTGGGAATTATGAGAGCTACGAGATGAGATTTGGGTGGGGACACAGACCCAAACCACATCACTAACTTACAAGAAAGCAAAGAATAAGGCAATATAAATAAAACAAAATATAAGAACAATAACACTAAGTGTAAATGAATTTAACTCCCTAAAGACCAAATTCATGGGTTGGATGATTTTTCTAATCCAACTACATGGCTTTCTATTTTATTTTATCTTTAATAAAGTGACACAGGAAAGTTTCAATGTAGATGAATAGGAAAATTATTTCAGAAAAAGATGGAACAAAAAGACAATATAAAAATAAAAATACGGGCCAGGCATGGTGGCTCACGCTTGTAATCCCAGCACTTTGGGAGGCTGTGGCAGGCAGATCACCTGAGGTCAAGAGTTTGAGACCAGCCTAGTCAACATGGTGAAACTCCATCTCTACTAAAAATACAAAAAATTAACCGGGCATGGTGGCAATCGCCTGTAATCCCAGCTACTCAGGAGACTGAGTCAGGACAATCACTTGAACCTAGGAGGCGGAGGTTGCAGTGAGCTGAGCTCGCACCATTGCACTCCAGCCTAGGCAACAGAGTAAGACTCTGTCTCAAAAAAAAATACATAAAAATAAAAATACAATTCTTAATATACATATCAACATGCTAAAGGACAAAGTAGGCTACATTGTATTTATAAATAAATAGCATAATATTCTTTTTCTTTCTTTTTTTTTTTTTTTTTGAGATGGGGTCTGTCTCTGTCCCCCAGGTTGGAGTGCAGTGGCGCTACCTCGGCTCACTGCAGGCTCTGCCCCGGGTTCACGCCATTCTCCTGCCTCAGCCTCCTGAGTATCTGGGATTACAGGCGCCCGCCACTGCGGGGTTTCACTGTGTTAGCCAGGATGGTCTCGATCTCCTGACCTCGTGATCCACCCGCCTCGGCATCCCAAAGTGCTGGGATTACAGGTATGAGCTATCGCGCCTGGCCGATAGTATAATTTTCAAAAAAGAAATCACACTCATAAACCTTTCCATTGTTAAAATTTTAGATCAAAATATTTCTAACAAGGAAAGGCAGGACTTCTGGTAATGACAGCATGAAGAGGTCAGGTGATCTCTTCCACAGAGAATAATTACAAGCACCAGACAAAACTATTAAAAGCAACTCTTTGGAGGCACTGAAAATGACCAGAGATAGGCAAACTCTTGAAAAGAATGTACTCATGGAAGGATACTATTTCCTTGGATAAGAACTCTGAGTTTGTAATTTTCTTTCTAGAACATTCCTCAAACCCACCCTTTCCTTCAAGTCAGGAAGTAGAAATCAGCAGCCTGAACAGCTCAAGATGGCAGGTGATGGAATTCAGAGAAACAGAGCAACTAGAAATTTAACAGAGAAATTTTGAAAGTGAGATTGCCACAAAATCTGTCTATAAACTCTATCCAAGTCTCTGGCTGACCACTAAACTACGTGTGCAGAGGGAATATCCCATAAGCCTGATGAAAATGTAGGCAGAAACTAGAGAAACATAATTGCTCCTGGTGGGATTTGAGGGCTTGCTGCACCTCTGACCCACTGCCTTCCCCAACCCGTACACAGCTTAGAAAGCAGAAAGCAGAAACCTTTCGTTTGAGGTGTGAAAGAGCAGAAATTGGAACGGTAGAGCAACTAGTCATTAAAGGGGGAGGGAGATAGATTTTACTGTTCACAACAAAAAAGCGAAAGTTCTCACAATAACAAGAGATTCCAGAATCACTGCAAAGTCTTATCTTAAAGGTCAATTTATTAAGGCAAAAATGATTAGACGTGCAAACACACAGGAAAAAGATAACCCATTCTTAGGAAAAAAAATAGCAGTTTCTGAAAGGTTCCAGATGTCGGATTTGGCAAAGACTTCAAAGAAGCTATTATAAATATATTCAAATAATTAAATGAAAATGTCATTTAATTTACTGAATAAACTAATAAGGAATTTTAACAGAGAAATAGAAGATATATGTAAGAAAAAATACAATAACTGAAATGAGAAATTAGATGTGAACAACAACAGATCTGATAACAGCAGAAGAAAGAATCTGTAAATTTGAAGATAACTCATTGAAATATCCATTTTGAAGAACTAAGAGAAAAAAGACTGAATCAAAGTAAACAAAGTATCAAAGATCTGTGGGGTGATATCAAACAGTCCAACATTTATGGAATTTGAATCCTAGAAACAGAGGAGAAAGAGTAAAATATAAAAAACTTTTTGAATACAAAATAACTGTAAACACCTTAAATTCTGTGGAAAGCTTGTATTTCCAAAAACCTCAACAAACCAAAATTAGGATAGATGCAAAGAAATCCACACCTAAACACATAGGTGAAAGCCAAAGCTAAAGAAAACTTCTGAAAATAACAAGTGCTTTTAACAACATTATTTATCATAGTGAAAAACTAGAAGCAATCTACATGCTCATCATCGGTGACTGGATAAATAAATTATGACATATTTATATAGTAGAACATGATTCAAAAACCAAAAAGGAATAAATTGCTGGGAGCAGTGACTCAGGCCTGTAATCCCAGCACTTTGGGAGGCCGAGGCAGGCAGATCACCTGAGGTCAGGAGTTCGAGACCAGCCTGACCAACATGGTGAAACCACGTCTGTACTAAAAATACAAAATTAGCTGGGCATGGTGGTGCATGCCTGTAATCCCAGCTACTAGGGAGGCTGAGGCAGAGAATCGCTTGAACCTGGGAGGAGGAGGTCTTGGTAAGCCAAGATCGTGACACCGCACTCCAGCCTGGGCAACAAGAGCAAAACTCCATCTCAATAAAAAAAAAAAAGGGAATAAATTACTAGCACCATAACTTGGATGAAATCTCAAGAATACTACACAAACTAAAAGAAAGTACACATGGATGATTGTATACTGAGCGATCACCTTTATAAAATATTCTAGAAAAGGAAAACTACCCAAAAAGCAAATCAGTGATTGACTGCAAATTGGGATGGAGGAAAGGGTTCACTACAAAAAAATAGGAGAGAAATTTGGGAATGATTATGATAGTCCATACTTTGATTTTGTGCATAGTTACAAGATTATATTCATTTACCAAAACTCAAAAAAAAATATTTAAATGGCTGGATTTTATTGTCCATAAACTATACCGCAATATAATTATTAATAAAAATAACTACAGGTAATGCACACCCCCACATACGTAATATGAAAGTGCAAGAACTCGAACTTAGTAGACATTAACAGGACAAGACAGCAAAAGTAAGCAAAAATATAAAGTGAGATGTTTTAGGCCATTCTTGCACTGCTATAGAAATACCTGAGACTGGGTAATTAAAGAGGCTTAATTGGCTTATGGTGCTGCAGCCAGTAAGGGAAGCATAGAGGCATCTGGGAAGGCCGCAGGAAGCTTACAATCATGTGGAAGGCAAAGGAGGACCAGGCACATCACATGGTGAGAATAGGAGCAAGAGAGAAAGTAGAGGAAGAGGTGCCACACACTTTTAAATGACAAGATCTCATGTGAACTCAGAACAACAACTCACTTTTCATCAAGGGGATGGCTCAAGCCATTCAAAAGGGATCCACCCCCATGATCCAAGCACTTCACATAAGGTCCCACTTTCAGCATTGGGGATTACATTTCAACATGAGATTTGGGCAGGGACAAATATCCAAACTATGTCATTCTGTCCCTGGCTCCTCCCAAATCTCATGTCCTTCTCACATTCCAAAATACAATGGAATTGTATGCCTTCCCAATAATTCCTCAAAGTCTTAACTCACTCCAGCATTAACTCAAAAGTCCAAAAGTTCAAAGTCTCATCTGAGACAAGGAGAGTCCCTTCCACCTGTGAGCCTGTAAAATCAAAAACATTAGTTATTTCCAACATACAATGGGAGTATAGGCATTGGGTAAACACTGCCATTCCAAATGGGAGACGTTTGTCAAAAGAAAGGGGACACAGGTCCTACGCAAGTTTGCAACTCAGCAAGGCAGCCATTAACTTTTAAAGCTTCAAGCTCTTAATCTCGTTTGACTCCATTTCCCACATTTAGGGCACACTGCTGCAAGGGGTGGGCTTCCAAGAACTTGGGCAGCTCAGCCCCTGTGGCTTTGCAGGATTCAGCCCCCAGGGCTGCTTTCACAGGTCGGAGTTGAATGCCTGTAGCTTTTCCAGGTGCAGGGTGCAAGCTGCCAGTGGATCTACCATTTTGGGGTCTGGAGGACAGAGGCCCCCTATTCACAGCTTCACTAGGCAGTGATCCACTGGGGACTCTGTGTGGGGGATCCAACCCCACATTTCTCCTTGGCACTGCCCTAGTAGAGATTCTATATGAGGGCTCTGCCCCTGCAGCAGGTTTCTGCTTGGGCACCCAAACTTTTCCACACATCAACTAAAATCAAGGTGGAGGCTCCCAAGCCTCAACTCTTGCACTCTGTTCACCTGCAGGCTTAACACCAAGTGGAGGCCACCAAGGCTTACAGCTCATACTCTCTGGAGCTGAGGCTTAATCTGCACATGGGCCCTTTGAACCAAGGCTGGAGCCAGAGTGGCCAGGATACAGGAAGCAGTGTCCTGAGGCTGCTAAGGGCAGCAGGGTCCTAGGCCTGGCCCAGGAAACCATTCTTTCCTCCTAGGCCTCCAGGCCTGTGATGGGAGGGGCTGCCATGAAGGTCTCCAAAATGCCTTTTGAAGCCTTTTTCTCCTTATCTTGGCTACCAGCACTTTGGCTCCTTTCTAGTTATGCAAGTTTCTGTAGCAAGTCGTTCCTCCTCAGCTGGCTTGAATTCTTCTCCCATAAAAGCTTTTTCTTTCTTTGCCACATAGGTAAGCTGAAATTTTTTTTAAACTTTTACACTCTGCTTCTCTTTTAAATATGAGTTCCAATTTATTTCTTTGCTCAGACATCTGAGCACAGGTTGTTAGAGGCAGCCATCTCATGTCTTGAACATTTTGCTGCTTAGAAATTTCTTCCACCAGGTATAAATCATCACCCTCAAGTTCAAACTTCTGAATATCCCTAAGCCTTGGCCAGAATGAAGCCAAATTCTTTACTAAGGTGTAACAAGGGTGGCCCTTGTTACAACTCACAATAAGTTTCTCATTTCCACCTGAGACTTTGGCAGCCTGGACTTTACTGTCCATGTAACCATCAGCATTTTGGTCACAACCATTTAACCAGTCTCTAAGAAGTTCCAAACTTTCTCTTATCTTCCCATCTTCTTCTGAGCCCTCCAAACTCTTCCAGCCTCTGCCTGTTGCCCGGTTCAAAAATCACTTCTACATTTTCAGGTATCTTTATAGCAATGCCGCACTCCTCAGTATCAATTTTCTGTTAGGCTATTCTTGCACTGCTCTAAAGAAATATCTGAGACTGGGTAATTTATAAGAAGTTAGAAAGTACAGGAGGCATAGGAGTTCTGACAAGTACTGTAAAGGCCATATTCACAATGTGAATACACTGGAAAGAAAGAAAGTTTAAATGAAACCTCAACAGTAAAATTTTTTAATGATCTTCTGAACAATATCTGCATCAAAACTGAACTTGCAGGCTGGTTTCATGATAGAAATCAATAGCAAAGCTTACAGAGGAATATTTTTGTCTTTATGGTCTCATTGCTAAACAACAAAAATACTTATGTAACCAAACTGGGCATTTATTTTTAGAAATTAGAAACAAACTGACAATACAAACTATGGAAAGAAGAGCAAAAAAAATTTATAAGATAGTAGAAATTGTAAAGAACACCAACAAAATAGAAAAAAAACTGAATATTTTAATAAAGAATTATGTCCTTTTAAAAATCAGTGATTTTACCATGGCTAGGATGGAAATTTTAAAAGCAGTAGAAAATGTTGTATACTACCATTTGCTATATTTTGAAAACTTTAATGAAATAGTGAAATACTGAGGACACCAAACACTATCCCATTTCTAAGTTGCTCTTAAGCCAATTTTCTGGCTCTTTGCTTATTTTGTGTTTGAAATGGGACTGTTTTCCTTGATAGATTCTCAAATACTCTGCAGCATGTTTGGGTTCTCAGGGACTACTGCTCCTGGGCAGGGCACCATGGCCTTGTCTCACTGCCCAGCCTTCAGGGTTCAAGTAGCAGACATACACACTTAAGTAACCTGGTGGGGGACTTGTCATACTATAGAATCTATATTTTGAAATCTATTAATAAAATTAAGCACATCATAAGATTTAATGAGAAACAACAAATGATAAAGTCAATAATAATGGCAATTTATGAGTCCTTCCTAATTTTAAAAATAAAGTAGTGAACTATTAGTAAATTTAGACATTATTTGGAAGTCCCTTAATTTAATTATTCACCATTGTTTTGTTATGTATGCATATGCATATATTAATGACCTTTCACTTGTTTATACTTTTGTAGATATGCTGAGAAATGATAAAGTCACCCCATGATATTACATGGGTGTTTACATAAGCTTGTCATTCTTACTGTTTTATGTCTCCATTTTATTGTTATATAGTGAGCCCCCTGTATCCATGGGTCCACATCCACAGGTTAAACAGATGGAAATTGAAAACATTAGAAAAATAAAATAGAAAATAACAATACAACAATAAAAATAATACAAATAAAAATACAGTATAACACCTCCTACATTACATTTACATTGTATTAGGTATCATGAGTAATCTAGAGATGATTTAACATATACACAAGGATATGGGAAGTTATATGCAAACACTATGCCTTTTTATATAAAGTACTTGAGCATCCCCAGATTTTGTTATATCCCTGGTTTCCTGGAACCAATCTCCACCAATACAGGGATATGACTGTTAACTAATTTCATCCTAAATTTATGTTTATAAGAAACTTATTTTACTGATAAGTTTAAGTTTAAGACAAGTAAACTTATGAGGCCTTATATAAGTAGGAGTCAATTTTGATTGTTTTACATATGAAGAAAAACTTTTCTAGGTATACATTACTTGTTCAAAATAATATCCTCTCAAAACTGTGAAGATTTTGACTCATGAGACTTCAGTCTTTATTGTTGTAGAGAAATTGCTAGCTTTGTGCTGTCTTTTTGTAAGTAACTATTTTCACCCTGTGTGGATATTAAAGGATTGTAAATTCACTTTTGAAATTCTAAAATTTTATCAAATATCCAAGTATGTCAAATCTTGGACCTTAGTTTTATTGTTTGGTTCCTCCTAATCCCTTAACATCTAAATTTTTCAAATTTTTCTCCAGTCCTGAACAGTCATCTCCCTTTGTGTCTTAGATGGAAGTGACCACTTTATCAGCCCTGTATTTCATTTTTGTAGTTCCTGTTACATGCATATTTCATCTTCTGGACCTATATCATATCTTTTATTATATTTTGATTATTTTCCTTTGAATTCTATGCAAATTTCTTATGCATTTCTTCTACATGTCAGTAATATCCAATGTGGTATCAATCATCTCCATCGCACTTTCAAAAATAAATCTGGCTATTCTGTTTTTCATGTCCTGCAGCATTTTTATAATAATTTCATATTGTGCACTCTTGGTCTAACTTTATTTCTGACTGAAATATTTGCTCTAATTCCTCACATAATTCTCCTATCATAAAACAGTAATGTTTTTGGTGCCAATTGTTTTTGCTTTTTCTCAACTGCCAGCAAGAACTCTGTATATGTCTTTTCTTAGGACTGAAGTCCTATCAGAGACTGAGCAGGGCTCCATTTGAATCTTCTAGAGCCATATAAAGGAAAAAGAGAAAGAAGGCCCTTTGTCATCTTTGTTAAAGGAAAGAAGCAGCTGGCCGGGCATGGTGGCTCATGCCTGTAATCACAGCACTTTGGGAAGCCGAGGCAGGTAGATCACCCGAGGTCAGGAGTTCGAGACCAGCCTGGCCAACATGGTGAAACCCCGTCTCTACTAAAAATACAAAAATTAGCTGGCCATAGTGGCAGGCATCTGTAGTCCCAGCTACTCAGGAGGCTGAGGAAGGAGAATCCCTTGAACCCAGGAGGCAGGGGTTACAATGAGCCAAGATTATACCACCGCACTGCAGCTTGGGTGACAGAGCAAGACTCCGTCTAAAAATAAATAAATAAAAGGAAACAAGATGAATTTTCTCTTACATTGGGAGAGTTAGGCTCTTTCATTTTGTTTCATAAGGGCATAGATTGAATCTATGTGTAAATACTAGAGCAAAATCAGGGTAAAGAGATGTGGGAGCCCAGCCAAAAGCTAGTGGCTACACTGGCAGCTTAATGCCCTCTATAACCTGAACCAGGATTGAATTCGAGCATACATAAAGCAGGACATGTATATGGATTTCATGTGGCTTCCCAGTAGTCTGCTGGAAGAGAGTCTTTGTTGCTTACTTTAGCACTAAATATTTTGTCTCAGAGCCAGTGACCCACAGCCTCTAATTTCGTAATCCAGAGATCATTTTCAAACACTGACCTAGTCAAGGAGATATCTTCTAAGTCTAAGACATTGAATTCTGTAGAAAATAAAACAGTAAATATACAATTAGGAAATAAGTATGCCACCTATTCTTCATGTATATGTGTATTTGAATTCCTGATTTTTACTATACTTCTATTTAAAGATTTTAAATATACGTACCAAGTTGATGAGATATGCCTAAAATTGTGCTTAATAAAATTCAAGGCATATTTTAAAGCCTTAAGAAATATTTGTTATTGAACCACATTTTGACAAACAACTGTTCTCCATTAAGCCCAGCACTTGATTCTCTTTTTCTCTCCCTTTACCTCTTACCCCCATCTCTCCTTCTCTCTCTTTTTCTTTTTCTCTCCTCCCACAGCCTCTGGCTTGGAAAAATACCTGAGTGGTGTACTTGTCACAGAATTACAAAATATTATTTATGTATATATATTTTGAAAATGAAAGCAATTATCAGGATTCTACTTCTCATCTTCTATAAATTATGATACTTAATATGATAATATGAGTAATATTCATTAATTCTACAGGTAAAACATTATTTGCAGATGGATAAGAGATATTTTCTAAGGGCAAATTCAGTAAGTCTGCATATTATTATAAGCCAAAAATAGCAGGAATTATTATAATAAAAACTTGAAGAGCAGAACTTGGACATATAAATCAGATAATCTTGTCCCAGAAATGAAAAAGGCTGTACAGCTTGCAAGCTGTGTTCTATTTCTGAAAGAATTTCTAACAAATATTACACATTCCATCAATGAAGAATCAACCTCATCATAATACTGACAACTGACTGTATATACTTATGAAAAAGCTGTTGGATATTCTGAATTTTCCATATGCAACTGTGATATCAACATGCTTCCAGTTTTCAATTCTTGTTTTGTTGTTTTTTCATGTTGTTATTGTTGCTGTTCTGATACTAGGGTAGACATAGCAATTTTAATACTTTAATACTGTCCTTACCATTTTCCTTTCCAAACAAAACTGTGTCATCTACAGCTCTGACCGATGTAAACTAAGTGACACTTCTCCCAGGCCACAGATGGGTGTGACAGAATCCTATGGCATTTTCTCAGATAGCTGGGGCAATTGTAGGGAATATTCTGTGAAAGAGAATTCACAGAAATTTGAATTGGAAACATACAGAAAAAAATGAGGTCATTATTAGTGAAAACTAAAGATGAAATAAAGCCATGAGAACGATTCAGGATCATGAGGGTCATGCTAAATTGAGTTTATGAGGAGAAAGAAACTCTTAAGCACAATAGGAAATTGAGAATATGAATAAGCAAGAGCTGCAAGGTAGGACAATAGAGAAGGGCTGTGTTTTAGCATTCCTGTAAGACACATACTTTAGATTTATGAAAATTTTTAATGTTCAGCCGTAAGTTCCTATAAGAAGGAATCGTGAGGAGACTTACACATCAGACATTTCTAGGCGGCCTACAGGCCGTAAAAATTTTCCCAAGGTGCTTTGGATATTTGTCATCAGTTCAATCATCATGACCATTTTCAACTATTCCCCTAACATGATTGCATGTTTAGGCAATATATTATGTTTTTTAAGATCAGACAGCATTTTTTAATATGATTGCTATTTTATAAATGTCATTTGCAACCTCCATCACTGCAAACTCATTAATTAATTAAACAAATATTTATTAAGCTCTTATTGTAGGCCAACACATTGTTATCTGTGATCATGTGAGGTAAAAACTAAAGGGATCCACAGGAGGACAGTAAATTACAGAAAACTTGTCAAACAATGAATGAATCATACTTAATAGGGAAAAGCTGAAATATTTTCCTCTAAGATCTGGAACAAGACAAGGATACCCACCTTCATCACTTTTATTCAACATAGTACTGGAAATCCTAGCCAGAGCAATTCAGCAAGAGAAGAGTGTAAATGGCATCCAAATTGGAAATGAAGAAGTTAAATTGCCCCGTTTGCATATGACATGATCTTACATATTTTTTAAAACCCCTAAAACTCCACCAAAAAGAAAGCCTGTTAGAACAAATAAGCTAATCTAGTACATTTGCAGGATACGAAATCAACATAGAAAAATCAGTAGCATTTATACACACTAATAGCAAACTATCTGAAAAATAAATCAAGAAAACAATTCCGTTTACAATAACTACAAAAAAATAATAAATACTGAGGAATAAATTTAACCAAGGAGATGAAAGATCTCTACACTGAAAACTATAAACATTCATGAAAGAAATTGAAGACACAAATAAATAGAAAGATATTACATGCCCAAGAATTGGAATAAGTAATATTGTTAGACTGTTCCTACTACCCAAAGTGATCTACAGATTCAATGCAATACCTATCAAAATACCAGTGGCATTCTTCACAGAAATAGAAAAAAAAACTAACATGTGTATGGAACCACAAAAGACCTCAATAGCCAGAGAAGTCTTAAGAAAAAAGAAAAAAACTGGAAGTGTCACACTATCTATCTGACTTTAAATTAACTAAAAAGCTGTAGTAACCAAAACAGCATGGCATTGGCATAAAAGCAGAGACATAAAGCAATGAAACAGACTAGAGAACACAAAAATAAATTCAGACACTTACAGACAAGTGATTTTTGACAAAGGTGTCAAAAACACACAATGGAGAAAGGACAGTCCCTTCAATTAAGGGTGCTGGGAAAATTGGATATCCACATACAGAAAAACAAAGCTAGACCATTATCTCTCACCATAATCAGAAATCAACTCAAAATGGATTAAATATCTTAATGTAAGACCTGAAACAATAAAAGTGCTAGAAGAAAACATATGGGAAATGCTTTGTGATGTTGGTGTGGGTGAAAATTTTTTGGATAAGGTCCCAAAAGCACCAGCAACAAAACCAAATATAGACAAATAGAATTACATCAAACTAAAAATCTTCTGTACTGCAAAGGAAACAATCAATAGAGTGAAAAGACAATAGAGTGAAAAGAATGGGAGAAAATATTTGCAGACTATACATCAGACAAAGGTTAATATCAAGAATATATAAGAAGCTCAAACAACTCAATGGTTAAAAAAAAAAAATCCAATTCTCAATGAGCAAAAAACCTGAGTAGATATTTCTCAAAAGAAGATATACAAATGGCCAACAGGCATATGGAAAAAAATGCTCAACATAACCACAATGAGATATCACCTCACTCTAATTAGAATGGCTATTATCAAAAAGTCAAAAAAATAACAATAGCTGGCACAGATGTGAAGAAAGAGGAACTCTTATACACTGTTGATGAGAATGTAAATTAGTACAGCCATTATGGAAACCAGTATGGAGTTTTCACACACACAAAACAGAACTACCATATGATCCAGCAATCCCACTAATAAGTATTTATCCAAAGAAAATGAAATCAGTATATCAAAATGATGTCTGCCCCCCCATGTTTATTGCAACACTACTCACAAATAGCCCAGCTATGGAATCAACCTAAGTGTCCATCAATGGATGGATTTTTTAAAGTGCTATATATACACAATGGAATACTATTCAGCCATCCTGTCATTTGCAACAGTATGGATGAATCTGAAGGACATAATGTGTATTAGTCTGTTATCACACTGCTAAAGAAATACCTGAAGCCAGATGATTTATAAAGAAAAGAGGCTTAATTGGCTCATGGTTCTGCAAGCTGTACAGGAAACAGCTGGGGAGGTCTCAGGACACTTTCAATCATGGTGGAAGGGGAAGGAGAAGTAGGTACGTCTTACATGGTGGCAGGAGAGAGAGAGCAAAGGGGGAGGTGCTACACACTTTTAAACACAGACTCCTGAGAACTCACTCAATATAATGAGAACAGCCAGAGGGACATCTGCCCCATGCCCCTCCTCCAACAATGGTGATTACAATTCCACATGAGATTTGCATGGGGACACAAATCCAAACCATATCGTTATGTTAAGTGAAGTAAGCCAGGAACAGAAAGGTAAATACCTCATGATCTCACTCACATGTAAAAACTAAAGAAGTTGATCTCATAGACGTACAGAGTAGAATAGTGGTTACCACAGAGGCTAAGGGGACGGGGATTGGGGAGGAGATGAGGGGGGATTGGGGAGGAGATGAGGGGGGATTGGGGAGGAGATGAGGAGAGATTGGTCAATGGATACAAAGTTTACAGTAAAATAGGAGAAATAAATGTTGGTGTTGACAACAGAGAGACTCTGGTTGGCAATACTGTATTGTATATTTCAAAATAGCTAGAAGAGAGGATTTTGAACGTTCTCACAGCAAAGAAATGATAAATACATGAGGTGATGAATATGTTAAGTACTCTGATTTGATTTTTATACGGTGTATATATGTATTAAAACATTGCACTTTACCCCATAAAAATGTACAATTATGTCTCAACTGAAAACAAAATTAAAAAAAAAAAAAACCCTGGTGCAGTGACTCACAACTATAATCACAGCACTTTGGAAGGCTAGAGAGGACGGATTGCTCGAGCCCAGGAGTTTGAGACTAGCCTGGGCAACATGGTAAAACCCTTTCTCTACCAAAAATACAAAAGTTTGCTGGGTTTGGCGGTGTCTGCCTGTAGTCCCAGCTACTAGAGGGGCTGAGGTGGAAGGATTCCTTGCGCCTAGGAGGCAAGAGTTGCAGTGAGCTGAGATGGTGCCACTGCACTCCAGCCTGGGTGACAGAGTTAGACCCTGTCTCAAAAAAGAAAAAAGAAAAAAAAAAATTAGCCAGATCTGGTGGCGCACACCTGTAGTCCCATCCACTCCAGAGGCTGAAGTGGGATGATCGCTTGAGCCTGTGAGGTGGAGGCTGCTGTGAGCCATGATCACGCCATTGTACTCCAGCCTGGGTGACACTTTCCTAGATAATTTGAGACTTCTGCACACCAAACAGGAAAGAAGTAAAGAAAAATACCTATGTGATGCTAATTCTTCAGAGAATTTAGGCCGGAACAACCAAAGGAAACAAATTTTACATCCTGGGGCAGGGTGATACAGGCAGAAGTAGCGACTAGCACAAAGTCCCTGATGAGAAAATGAATTAAATGCCCTTATTTTAAGAGGAGAAATCACGGTCCTGGGTAGGGAAGATTATACAGCAAAGCTGGAGCTCCAACCACAATATTTTCACTTAAAGTACATTTCTCAGCCGGGCGCGGTGGCTCAGGCCTGTAATCCTAGCACTTTGGGAGGTCGAGGGGGGGGGGGGCGGATCATGAGGTCAGAAGTTGGAGACTAGCCTGAGCAATATGGTGAAACCCCATCTCTAATAAAAATACAAAAAAAAGAAAAATTAGCCAGTCGTGGTGGTGTGCACCTGTAATCCCAGCCACTCAGAAAGCTGAAGCAGGAGAATTGCTTGAACCGGGGAGGCAGAGGTTGCAGTGAGCCGAGATCATGCCACTGCACTCCAGCCTGGGCTACAGAGTGACAGTGAGACTCCATCTCAAATAATACATAAATAAATAAATAAATAAATAAATAAATAAAATAAAGTACATTTCTATTCCTAAAGGAATGAAATGAAACTTCCTAAAAATGAGATGTAATATGTATGGATTATGTGATCTACATAAAATCAAATTTACCTACTTAAATATCTTCAATAATTCCCATGATAAAAGAAAAAGGAACATCCTATAAAAGACAGGAGCATTAAGAAAATGGAATATCAAAATGTCATGTAGAGGAAGGTCAGTTAGTGATACAGGAAATGTTAATGATATATTCTAAAAAGAGGATTTACAATGAGTATGTAGTTTGCCTTTGCCTTATGATCCTCCCCAAAAGTTGTTGGTGAGTCTGAGCTATGCAGACTTTGGAATGGGGAGGGGTTGCACCCTCCTAGTGCATACACCCCAGTGGGGTGTATATGGCGTACGTTCAGGAGGTGAATAGACTCGCATGGAGTGTCATAACCCTTACAGAGTGAGGAGGACATCTATGCTGGGAGGTGGCCTGATGTTGGATGTGGAAACCCAAGCAGAGTGAGGAGGGCTTTTGCACAGGAATTTTGTCTGGTTCAGGGTGTCAGAGCCTTAGAGGGGCCAGGAGGATGTCCGTGCAGCTATCTGCCTGTTAAAAAGTATCATATCCCTTGTAGAAAAAGAAAGTTATCTGTGTAAGAAAAAATGGTGACGGTAACAGGACATTAGTTACATACAAGAATATTGATAAAATTAGTAAATACATTAAGTGTAATGAGAGCTAGGTTTCTTACTGTCAATGAAAAGAGGTACCAATAGGAAAAGGGAAAAAGCTAGAATTAATCCTGTAGTGTTAGATAGGAATTGGAGATATCAGTGTTATCTCATGCACTAGATCTACAGATAGGTGAGTAGATTAAAAAAATAGATGTATATGTGTACGTGTGTATGTGTGTGTGTGTCGGTTCTCCTCTGCTGCTGCCCTCAACCCCTTCCTGTTGATATTCCCTGGCCTCTGGTCTCAGCCCTGAGCACTTCTCACATTAAACAGTCAATGAACAACCAACCTTGAAACTTAGGAGTCCTCCTTGATTCTCCCTTCGCCTAAATCCCTGCATCCAAAAAGTAAACACATCTTATTTTCTTAAACCATTCCTCAAAACTATTCTGTAGTTGCTAAGTTTGTGTTATGCATTTTTAACCTCAAAACTTTTCCATCTATTCCAGCCTACCTACTTCTGCATTAATACAAGCCTAAATTACTGCCTCTTTTCCAACCTCCTTGCCTCTAGTTTATTCATTCTGCCATTCATTCATCAAGTATATATTTAACTTATATTACGCATTAGGACAAGACAGCCAGTTCTCGCCCTCATGTAATTTATAGCCTAGTGGTGACTAATAAACTAATTTGATAAATAATTACAAAATTAACCTTGTAAGTATAATTGCGATACAGATGCAAAGGAGAACTACAGGAGTTATGAGAAGATATAACCAAGAGAAAAGTTCTAATCTGGAGGATGAAAAAGTCATCATCAAGAAAGTTGTATTTGGGCATGGTGGCTCACGCCTGTAATCCCAGCACTTTGGGAGGCTGAGGCTGAGGTCGGGAGTTCGAGACCAGCCTGACAAACATGGAGAAACACCATCTCTACCAAAAATACAAAATTAGCTGGGCATGGTGGCGCATGCCTGTAATCCCAGCTACTTGAGAGGCTGAGGCAGGAGAATCACTTGAACCCAGGGGCGGAGGTTGCAGTGAGCCCAGATAGAGCCATTGCACTCCAGCCTGGGCAATGAGACTGAAACTCCATCTCAGAAAAAAAAAAAAAAAAAAGAAAGAAAGTTGTATTTGAGCTGTGGTCTGAAAACAATAATGGTTTTTAATGGTGGGATGGTTGGGATAGAAGATTCCAAATAATAAACACTGCATATGCAAATTCATCAAAGCAAAAAGAAGCAAAGTACATTCTAGAAACCAAAATAAGCCAGCCTAGCTAAAGAACAGTGAGGGAGGGATAGAGAAGAGGTGGATTTGAGAGATAGCTGGGAGGTAAAATTGACACGAGTTTGGATGCACTGGATCTGGTGTTATCTGGGAGAGGGAGGTATCAAGGATGACTCTTGAATTGCTGATTTTAGCAACTAGTTAGATGATTATGCTATTTGCTTTGAAAAAGAACTGGAGCGATTCCAGGCTTGCAATGGAGGAGGAGGAGAAAGAACATGTTTACTTTCAGTTTCAGGTAGAAAAACTTTTATCTGCCTATGGAACCACTTAGAGGAGACAAATGGAGCTTGGAGGAGACATGTGATAGACGTGTAAATTTGAGGGCAGCTGTTGAAGATAATAATTTTCGGAGACAGAAGAGTCAAAGAAGCTAAAGGAAGGAAGCCTTTCTAAATGCAGGAAGTGATTAAGTCTCAATGTCTGCTGACACATCGGAGAAAATAACTAAAATTCATCTATTGGAATTAACCATATGAAGGTCAAATTACTTCAAACTCTTAAACCTACCAGTCAGTGGGAGGGCTGGTAGTGGGGGGTGCAACCCTCCCATGGGACATCCCTCAATTACTCACCTCCACCACAGGGGACTTATTCACATTATTTCTCACTGCCCCACCTACCCATGTTCCCTCAGAAATATTACCTTTACTCAAGCCCTGACTCAAATTTCTCCCCTGAAGAACATTTTTGCCTTGTGTTTTTATTTACAGTGCCCATCACTTTTAATGTTCATTGTGATTTTTATATATATGTTATCTCTCCCTATAAAAATATTAGCTCTTTGAGGGCAAGGATCATATTTCTGTCATCGTTGCTTCCACAGTGACTGGCACATGGGATATAAATATGAGTTCAGTTGTACTTTTTAAATTTTCTATTACTCATGAGTTGCTTTTCAATGAATTTCTCATTATCCTGTTTCTCTTTTCATATGCATTTCTGAAAGAGGCTGACAAGATGTTTCCCAGTGAGCTTTGCCAGGTGTCGGCATATTCGTGAAGTCACCATGGATACAAGTTCTGTTCCTCAATTTTGTAAGTCAAAAAATCTTAATTTCACTGGTTAATCTAGTGGTGACCAGATTCTAGAAAGTATTCACAACAACTGAGTTTATAAAAAATGTATATATATACAGATATATATACACATATGTACACACACACATACACACACACACATACACTCCCCCCCACACACAAATCTGAAGATAGCATACATTCATATGTTAAATATTCCAAATTAAAGAATACTTTGAATGTTTATGAAACATAGAAAAAATAATATACACATTAAAATACTTAGCTTGTCCATGATTTTCATATTTGATGTTTTGAAAAAGGGAAAGACAATGATAGAGAAGGCAGAATCCATAGATACTGTGAGAGTCGTGGTAAAGTAGGAAGAACATAGTGCATCTGAAATGAAACAAACCAGGGTACCAATTGCAACTATGGTTCTTAAGCAATTTTTTTTATCCTTAAACTGGGAATCACAAAGCCTACCAAATAGAATTATTATGAGAATTAACTGACTCGATTTATAAAAAGTTCCAAGCACGCTATATTATATGGGTTGAGGCCTCTGGACTCAAACTGAAACATCGGCTCTTCTGGAGCCTTCAAATAAGAACTACACCATCAACTCTCCTGGGTCTCTAGCTTGCCAACTGCAAATCTTGGGACTTGTTAGCCCCCATAATAGCAAGAGTCAATTCCATATATATATGGAATATATAGGATATATATATATGGAATATAGGAGATATATCCTATTGGCTGTGTTTCTCTGGACAACTGACTAATAGACATATCTTGGGAGAATGAAAGAGTTTGATGAGGGTCCTCCTAGTGGCATAGTTAATGATAAAACTCACTGTAGATTATTGTCAATATTTACTATCTCAACCAATGCCTCCAGATCTCTTAATTGATGTAGCCTGCTAAAAGCATACATTTACTAGAAATATTTAGCAATATTTAGAAATTTTAGTCAGCCATTGAACGTTTTCCAAGGTACACAGGTAAACAAATTTCTGATAGCAACACCTATTGCTACTTTTTTCCCTCCCTGACATACCCAGTTGTAACATTTCTTTTTCATATTTGCAGCATTACAGTCATAAGGAAATGTTTAATCCATCTCAAAAGTGTTCATTAAAGACACCGTAGAAGCTAAAGCATGTGTTTTTGAAAGGCAGTGATTTTTAAAATGTCTCCCCACGCACTCTCTCTGCACACATGGGCACGCACACACTTGCACCATCCATAAAATGTTTATATGAGAAAAGGAGCGTATTTTATTTGGAACTAAAATATACTAATCATATTTTATTGAAAATATTTTAAATTTTACTTAAAGAGCTTTTGTCAAAATCTGTGCCACACTTTTTTTTTTCCTTAGTTACTGTGGAAATTTTTTTCTGTAGAAAAAATGTAAGATGCTACCTATGGTTAATTTTTGCACAGTCTTTTGGAATTTTAGTTAACAGATGAGCCACAGTATAAATTTTTTTACTACAACAGGGCTCCAAAGGCAATATGGATTTGAGAAAACTACTCAACATTTTTATATATGTTTCAGTCAATAATACAATCTTTATTACAAAATATAATTTCAAACATGGTAAAACACAAATTTATAAACTTACTCTTTTTCTCTCCCTTATGTCTAAAGGAAAATAAACATCTTTCCTTGTCCTTGTTAACAGATAATTTTCACACAATGGTAAAATCATGATGCTCACACAGATATAAAAATAAACAGTTGTTCATTGCTATTTAACTCAATCTTTAAAAACAGGCAGATATTATAACTGGTTCAAACAAGAACTCATGAACAGATGCATTTATAGATCAGGAATATTGAAGTAAATGTGCAGATGGGTGCAAAACTGTTTTTCCAGAAGTAGGGGAGGGAAAATTGCAGTCAATTAAACCTCTCTCCAGAAAGGAAAAATTTCATATGCCTGTAGACAATAATTTTTTTTTGCATTATTATCAGTTATCTACATTTAACACAGTGGTAAAATAGCTTCCAAAGAATCAGAACCAGATAACCTGAAGAGGTATTCTGTAGGGCCTAACAATCTGTAGTTTTCCACTGAAGCACATATTTTTCTTTACATTCAAAAATGTGGTGTGTGCCTGCAGTCCCAGCTACTCTGGATGCTGAGGTGGGAAGATGGCTTGAGCTCAGGAGTTTGAGACCAGCCTGGGCAACATAATGAGACCCAATCTATTAAAAGATAAAAGAAAGCAAACCCTAACCCTGTCTCTACAGCTGTCAATGAGCAAAAATATTGGCATTTAAATGTGTTTTCATTGTTTGGCCATATACTAACCAAAAATTTCATAGAGCTTCAGAAGGATAACTTAAAGCCTCATTCCTCCAACCCAGCCAGAGAAATATAGCTTTTAAAAGACTCAGATTAATTCTTTTAAAAGGCCCCAACTGTTCAAAGTTTATGATGGAGTCAGTGGGGCAGACAGGGGTAGCGGATGGAAGCTGGCTGGAGAGAGAAAGAAGGGAGATGTTGGAAAGAAAGAGGAAAAAGGGAGATGTTGATGCCCTCTATCACTTCTCTGCCTGTCATTACCTAATCCTGTCTCTAAAAAATAAAAATAAATGTGGGCTTTGTTATTTAGCACAATCGTATTTATACATGAATCTATTACTTTTATACCCAGTAATCTATTTTTTAAACTGTGGTATTTTAAAATATATGTAACATAATATTTACCATTTCAATCATTGTTAAGTATAAAATTTAGTAGAATTAAGTGCATTAACATTGATGGGTAACCGTTACCCAATCATCCATTTTTTTATTCCATACATTTCCAGGACCTTTTTCCAGGGGAAACTGAAATGAAGTAGTAAGAGGAAGAAAACTGTAATACATTTTATATAAAGAAAGCTTCTCCTTGTCAGCGGATATTTTTCAAAACATCAGTCTATCACTAATACATTGTTATTGGTGACATTTCATATGTTGATTAAAATTTGCCTGAAAAATTGGTTTGAACTTGTGAAACACAATAACAGACCTGGGATCTGAGGCTTGTTTGCAAATGTAAGAATCTGTTTGTAAAAGGCCACCTTTCAAAGCATCTCCAATATGTCTTTTTCCTACTAATATAAAAGGGTGGACTCATTGCTAGACAATAGTAATAAATAATTTGTTTAAAAGCTAAGACTCCATAACAAAGAGAATATGTGTGGAGGTCTTTGGCTGTAATGGTGTTTCCTGATTACCTCAGTCCAGTCACATTTAGAACCTGTCATCATGCCTGTGGGGTTTCCTGCCTATGGTTTTTTCAACATTAATAAATCATTTTACTGATTCATAGGACCTCTTCTCAGCTTGACTCTCTGTTTCCTGATTGGAGCCCACTGCTTCTGAATCTACCTCCAATCAGAGTCATATAATCATTAAAAGCAACAACAATAATAATAGCTAGCATTAATGACATGCTAGGCCTTTAATTCTCCCAATAACCCCATTGCAAACTTATAGATGACATGATTGAGCCTTTGATTGGTTAAATAATTGGCCCAGTCATAAAACTATTAAGTGGTTGAACTTTAATAGATAGGTAATTCATTCAGGCTTTTATTAAATGTTGACAGGCAGTCACGGACTAGATGCTAGAGCACAGAGGTAAAAAGATAAGAACTCAGGCCTTACGTGGCACAGTTGTGCTTAGAGTCAAATATGGTTAATCAGATACCTGATGGATCTGAACTGGAAAAATTATGATTTGAGGAACTTATAAGCAGTTTTTACCCTTTCAGGCGAATAATGAAATATCTTTAACGAAATTCTTTACTTTTTTCTTAAAAGTGACCTTTTGATGATACCCTGTAGTCAAGAACTGATAAAGCACCTTCCCATAAATTCTTCTTACAAGTCCTGATCGTTGATAAGTTGTTTTAAAATCAGATGCTTGAATCCACGTATAAATGCAAATTGCATGTGCTCTCAATATTGAGAAAATCTTTTGTACTAAAATTTGAATTTAGATCAATCTGTAACTGAAGATCATTATTTGTTCTTGAGACATCTATGTGTTTTTGCCCAAGAAGTTCCCAAAAGGCTATATTCGTCTAAATCAATAACAGGTTAGACACACAAAACTGACCTTCTCTTCTGCTCATAACACAGTGAAGTTTCCAACAAGGAATTGGACTAGATTTGGAGAAAGGCTACTCAGAGTAAGTGGTTTTTGTCCTAAGAATAGTGTTATTAAAGGCTGAATAACCTGGGTTTTGGATGTTTAATGTGAACTATTGTGAATGTCTTGATTAGTTCTTGCTGTTAAGAGCACACTTCCTGGAAGAAAAAGGATAGACTTACACTCAGTCATCCAAGGAATTGGCCTCTGATTGGAAAATGTTTATTCCTCTCTTGGTCCAAGGGCAGTTGGGCGTAGATGGAAAGGTGTAGAAATGACTGCAGATTCACATGGGTGAAAACTAACCTTCCATCTCTTGAAGCCCACCAGCAATAGATATGGACTTTGCAAATAGGGTTTGTCCCGCGGGCTCTAAAACTTCAGGAGGGGTTGCTGATTCTATCCCATACATTCAAGTATTCCCAGGCCTTCAGTAAAACTTGGTTAAACTTTGGAGCTTAATTTTAGTTGTACTGTGGGGAATAAGGAGCATTGCTTCTTCTACAAGGTTAGAATGGGAATATCTGCAGAGGTACCATCAGATTTTGGGTGTTCCTGAGGGAAAACAATCATAGATTTTTACGTTTCTTTCATTTGCATATTTCATGACAATAATTTATTTAGGTTTCTTTCATTTGCTTATTTCATGACAATTATTTATTTTTGTTTTGAAAATGTTTATTATGTTTTTCCCCTAAGCAGACTGTAAACTCGTTGAAAGAAAGAACCATGTGTCTGGTTTACTGTTGAACACCCATGGCCTAGCACATTGATGAGTACAAGAGAAATGCTCAAAAAATATATTCCTTGAATAAGACAGTTATTGAGAGCAAAGGCAGCTGTAAGACGACAAGACAAGAAATCACTGGAAGGAAAAGGAGAAACTAAAAGTGAAGTTTGCTTAATTTTGGAATTGAGATGGGTAAATATGCATAGGGATTTTGATTACTGAAAACAACCAGAAAAATCAAGTCATAGATCAGTGTAAGTGTGCCTCCATGAGTAAGGGATAATATAGTGCCACTCAATAAATTAAAGGGGTGGCGGGAATCCCAAAAGTAAGATGTCTTTATGAATTCATTGCCCGAAATGGGTCAGGTCACTGTGTTTGTGGTAAATATGCATATGCATGAGCCTAATAAATTTCTTAGTCCTCATATTATATACTTATTCTTAAGGCAAGGACCATGTTAATAATCATAATTAGTAGACAGCATGAACTAGCTGGTTTAAGATAATGTGTTTTTTTTTTTTAAGGAAGGAACTTAAGAGAGTTTCCACTACCCATGTGAAATAATTACTAAAATTCATTATTCTATTGATCTAAAGAGTGGGATTATGACATTTTACAACCCAGTACAAAACCCTCTTAATATTTTCATCAATAATAGATTCAGTCATCAAAAATTTATCATCTGTGACCAGGCGCGGTGGCTCACGCCTATAATCCCAGCACTTTGGGAGGCCAAGGCAGGAAGATCACCTGAAGTCAGGAGTTCGAGACTAGCCTGGCCAACATGGCAAAACCCTGTCTCTAATTTAAAAATCTAAAAATTAGCCAGACGTCATGGCACACGCCTGTAGTCCCAGCTACTCAGGAGACTGAGGCAGGATGATCGCTTGAACCCGGGAGGTGGAGGCTGCAGTGAGCCAAGATCGCACCACTGTATGCTAGCCTGTGCAACACAGTGAGACTCATCTCAAAAAAATAAAAACAAAAAAAAATAAAAAAAGATTTATCATCTGAGGCCAATGCAAGGGTACTTCACATGCTAGCAAGTCATTCCCTATTTTAAAACTATAATGATAAATTCTAATGTGATTGTTTAGCCATTAAATTTCCTGATTTTAAAAGTATTAATCTAGAATAATGGTTTTTGCTTTGTTTCTTATATTTCTTCCAAAATCTAGACTCTGAGTATTTACAATATGGATTTAGCTGTCAGTATCTGAGAAGCAGCAGAGAGCAATTGATTTTAAAATTACAAAAACATGAATAAAAATATTAGGTCATATCTATCCAATCTCTAAGCAGTTTTACAGAGAATGATAACTATAAAGGAATTAACATCAAGGGCATTGTTCCCTGAGTCTTTAATTCATCTTCATTGTTGGAGGCTGCCTTGTAAACTAAATTGAATGCATAGGTGTCTGCTTCTTTAAATCCTGAAGTCAGAGCTGTTCTGCAAATGGCACCTTTATTGTCTTCATTTTAGCTGTTTCCTCTCTCTTATTTTTTTCTTTTTGTCATGTCTATTTGTTATCTCTCCAGTAATCAATTGTGCCTTCCATGTTCTATAAGTTAAATCAAGAAATATGATTTGGTAGATTACACAAATGGATTGCTTTGTGAAAAGTAGAAAGCAGGAATTTGCCACCTCCCTTAATAGATTTTTCAGAGAATTTATCCACAGAAGAGCATTTATTTTCTGTGGCTTAATCTTCTTAAGGGTACCATCAACATTCTCAATAATTACTATACTTTAGTTCACTTGTTTGATTGCCTTTTGTACACTTTGAGGAAGAACAATACAGCCTGTTTTCTATTGTGTTTTCCTACAGTAATTCCATATCTGTAGAGTAGGCTCCCAAATATCTTCTTGAATACAAAGGACTCTATTCTTCCATTCAATGTGAAAAATTTGTACAAATAACTACCCATACACATCACTCGAATGTGAGGAATAAATAGCTCCCTTAAAATATCAAACACATCATTTAAACTTACTCCCATCAATGATTTTAAATCTGTTGTCACACTTCAAACATTTGAATTGGAAAATTTAAGTAATAATATTATAAAATATTAAAGTCCACAAATTTCCAGAAGACTTGACATAGTTTCCAAAAATTTTAATTATGACAGAATTTATACCTTTTTAATTGGACTTTAAAATTACTCAGTAGACACCTTATCCCATTTGTGAATTTGTAATCCTGTCGCAAGAGACAATTGGATTGTGCCCTGAAGAGATATATGGTCAGACACAATTGTATACATTTTTAACACATTGACAATATTATTCTAAATTATCATGCATTTATCTGTATTCCACATACTTTTATTTTAGTCAATATGCAATTCAGTACTTATATTTCAAGGATAAAAAATTTGATCATATTTTTCTATATAATTGTTTAAATAAGTCTGATTAGGTTTATATTTCTATTAGAAAGCATATGTTTGAATAACAGAGCCAATATTATGTTTAATTTTTAATTGTAGGAAGTCATTTGTAGCCACTAAAGGTTGTTGCAATTTGTCTAAATAGCTGTACTACTTTCTTTCTTTTTTTTTTTTTTTTTTTTTTTGAGATGAAGTCTCGCTCTGTGGCCCAGGCTGGAGTGCAGTGGCACGATCTCAGCTCACTGCGGGCTCCGCCCCAGGTTCACGCCATTCTCTGCCTCAGCCTCCTGAGTAGCTAGGACTACAAAGGCCCACCACCTCGCCCAGCTAATTTTTTGTATTTTTTTAGTAAAGACAGGGTTTCACTGTGTTAGCCAGGATGGCCTCGATCTCCTGACCTCATGATCCGCCTGCCTCGGCCTCCCAAACTGCTGAGATTACAGGCGTGAGGCATCTCACCCGGCCTTAACTTTCATTTTAAATCAATTGTAACATCTGCCTGGTTTCCCAATACCATGAGTAAAATAAACACTTTATTTAACATATTGTTCATGCTTATATCTGCATGAGAGTCAGAATTTTACGTTTTATCTGAAAATTATTACTAACGGAATTTTCCAAACCAAGATTATTGTCATAAATTGTATTACCCAGAAGCAGATGCTGAGGTGGAGACTGGAGTATAAGATGTTTCTTAGAGAGTAATAGAAAAGTAAAGAGAGGAAGCAGAACTGGGCTGCAGAACGAGTGGAATTGCAAAGCAGTCCTGACTGCCTCTGCCAGGCCAGTTGTAGCCCATTAAAGAGTCCCATGCTAGCCGTCTACCTCGCCTGCCTTAGTCATGCGATGTGGGCTTCCCAGAAAAGGCTGTGACCTCAGCCAAGGAAGCTCCCTACCCCTAAGACAAATCCTGTATTCTCCTTCTTTCTCTTTCACACGTATAAATTTGCCTAAACGATGCCTGCAAGCCACCGCATAACCTTTGACTTGCACTTTTTGTGTGTTTCACAAAGCTGAGTGAACTAGCGAGTTAGCAGGAGTCCTCCTGGAAACTATTTCTACATGGGACTGCTAGGCCAGCAGTAACACAACTGCACTTGGAAATGACTGTAAAGCACATAAACACAAGCCCCTAATTCCATGCTCAGTGTATCGCCTTAAACAGATTCCAGAAATGCTTGTAGCCTCTGCCAAACCACAGGCACTAGCGAGTGTTAAATAGGAGAAGCAATGTTACTTATCCAATGGCAGTTTTTAAAAAAATCTTACATTTGCCAAAGTCACAAAAGCATATATCCATGTGAACACATGGCAAGGGCTCCGAAGGAGCTTACCCTGAAACTGAAGCATCATTTTCTTCATAGCAAATCTATTTCTAAGTATATGTATGAGTTCAGTGTCATAGGGGAGTACAGAAGATAGAGTGAGTAATGCCAGGAAAACTTTACCAAGGAGATGATATTTGCTCTTGCTAGGAAAAGAGGAGGCAGCAGGTAGAGAGAAAATACTGGACTTACAAATCAACAGGAAATACGTATAATGAGTGTAGCTTTAAAGATCTGGTTTGGATAAACATTCTAAATTTGAATGCTTATCTCAATCTCTAGATGTTTTCTGAAAACCAACTACATTTAGAAAATAGGAATGTAAATATTCTGAGAATGGATTCTTTCCTCTGTGAACTTTTGCCTGAAGAACAAACTTGCCTTGTTTCCCAGTGGGTATACAACAATAATCTGGGCTAGACTTCTCTTAAAGGAGACATAACAAGCTATCAGTAATATTCCATTTGTAATATTGATCAAATAAAACAGTGTATCTCTTTAATTCCTCTCCCAGACTCTCATTCCTTTACTGTTGTTGTTTCTTTACTTCTCATTCTCCCTTTTTTCTTTCATTTTTAATGCACCCCATTAAATAAAAATCCCAATTCTCCTCCCTTCCCACCCTTTCCTAATATGGCCTCTGGAAAACCTCCTTCAGTAAAGAAACTCCTATATGTCCTTTATGTCTTCCTGCCATAGCTTTGCCTTAATTGAGATCTGCTTCTTTTTCCTATTGAGAAAGATTTTTTTTTAGCTCTTAAATTTAGGGCAACGGTACACTTCATCATTCTAACTGGAAAATTTCAAAGAGTGAAAAGCGGGATGTTGGGGGGCAGTCTGTTTATCATAAGGCTGGGATCACAGGCATAAACCTAAACTGCCTGGGACAAGCCAAGATGTCTGTTACTCTACCTTAACCACAAACATGAAATTAGAGTTGGGTCAGAAAAAAAAGAAGTAAAGTTTCTTAAATCTCCATCGTCACTTCCAAAATATTTTTTCACTATTATTTGACAGTTCATCACCCAGATAACTGTATTGCCAGCCTAGCACAGGGGTCAGCAAGCTACAGCCTGCAGGCCACGCCTGTTTTTACAAATAAATTTTTATCTGAATACAGCCACAGTCTTCATTTGCATATTGTCTGGCTGCTTTTAGCTACAGTGGCAGAGTTGAGTGATTGCAACAGAGCAGAATGGCTCCATAAAGCCTAAAAGATTTACTGTACAGTCCTGTAAACAAAAGTTTGCTGATCCCTGGAATCCACTGTAAGTGGGGGTCTGAGCATGTATGTGTCTATTGATCTTACTCATCATGTATATCAAAACAACACATGAAGCACAGAGTAGTTGCTCAGTATTTGTTTTATAAATAAATAAAATGTAAAATAAAGCTACAATAACTAATATGCATGAACAGACTGATCGATTGAACAGAAAACACAAAGTCTCCCTGATAGTTACCAGTATTTAGCATAGGTATTTAGTATTTAGTAAATTTTCTACAAAAGAAAAAAAATGGCTTACGAAGTAAATAAACTTGAAAAAAAATTAAACTGTTTGGAAAATTTATATATTTACCTTAGCTATTTTGTGTGCAGAAAAAAATGTTTTCTAGTTAGATTGGGAACATCTGCCACCACACTGATGCTCTCCTCTTTGAACTGCAGAAGTAACTCTGCACCCCTGCTCTGGCTTGAGCTCCTCCTTGTTCCACACACTCGGGCTGTCACTCCACTCATTTTGTTTTCTTCTTTCTCCAGGATCTTCCATTTCTACCCCTCCTAACTCTTACTCAAGAGGCAATGGTTATATACAAGGGCTTTTGAGTCAGACTTCCTGGGTCTGATCCTGGCTCTAACTCTAGCTAGTTAATCTTGGGCAAGTTTTTAACCTTTCTGTGCTTTACTAGGCTTGTCTTAAAAATAAGGAGAGCTATCTCATAGATGCCTCATAAATTTTTTGTGAGAAGTAAACACAACACTTCATATAAAGTGCAAGAACACTAACACATAATTAGCACTTGATTTTTAAAAAATAATCGTAAAAAATAAAATTATATTTAAGGCTAAGCTATCTTTACAAATCCAAATGGTGTATGACTCTATATCCCTCTTTATATGCCCTTCCCTTCTCAGACAAGTTCTTTGAAAGAGTAGTCCTAATAAATTCCAATGCTCCTTTTTACCTCCATCCTTCCACCAAATTGCTCTTCTCTCAAGCGTCCCTGGTGACCTAATTTCCAACATCAAGGAAAATGTTTCATTGCACATTTTTAAATAAACTGCTGCATTTTCCTGTTAGCTACTAGATCCTTTTGAAATTCTCTTCTCTCTTACCGTCTGTGAAAATAATTTCTTTTGATGATATACTGAACTATCTGATTAGTCTTGGTCTCCTCTGTGAGCCCTTTTGCCTCTGTTAAAAGATGGTTAATCTCCAAAGTTCTATGTAAGTTCTCCTCTCTTATAATTCTATTCCCTCTCACTGGAAGGGTAGATGAATGCCTCTGACTGTATCTACATCAGAGGATGTATCTTTTGATCTCTGGAGTTGCATGTGCAAATGCTTCTGTACATATCTGATTGCTTACATCACAGATCTTTCACAACCATCATATCCAAAACTGCACACATCATCTTTTACCTCCACCCATTATTGCATACTTTCATTAATGGTCTCACTAGCTACCTAACTGGTCAAGCCAGAAATCCTGTGGTCCTATTGCTCCTTTAGTGCTACTGAAGGAATTCTATCTAGAATGAGAAAACTGTGTATTTTGAAGCCGAAACAATCTGGCTTAAATACAGCTCTTGGACTGCTTAACTGGTATTCTTTGGCATGTGAAAAACATTATTTGATCTTCAAGTTCCTCTTCTATAAAAATGGGGCAGCAGCCAGGTGCGGTGGCTCATGCCTGTAATCCCAGCACTTTGGGAGGCTGAAGTGGGTGGATTACTTGAGGTCAGGAATTCAAAACCAGCCTGGCCAGCATGGTGAAACCCCATCTCTACTAAAAATAGAAAATTAGCTGGGCATGGTGACGCTATGATGTAGTCCCAGTTATGCAGGAGGCTGAGTAAGGAGAATCGCTTGAACCCAGGAGGCAGAGGTTGCAGTGAGCCGAGATTGTGCCATTGCACTTTACCCTGGGCAACAAGAGTGAAACTCTGTCCAAAAAAAAAAAAAAAAAAAAAAAAAAAAAGTTGGGCAGCAGTACTAAATTCACATATTTGTGGGGGGAGATTGAATGGTAATCTGCCACCACATGAATGCTCCCCTCCCTCAATTGCAGAAGAAACTGCACCTCTGCTCTGGCTTGGGCGCCTTCCTGTGCCAAATATTCAGGCTCTAACTCCATCCATTTTGTCTATATAATATATAAAAGCACTTAACATGAAACTCATAATAGATTTTCAAAAAATACTAATTTGCCCTGCCTGTCTTCATTAACCACACATCCAGTTCATCTCTTTCTCTGTCTTCTTTCTATATGGTTTTCAATCCCATTTTTTCTTTTCCATTCCTATTGCCACTACCTTAGAGCCGCCCTTCATTGTTGCTCACTTGAATCAGCAACACCTTCAACTAGTCTCCTAGCTTCCAGTGTAAACATCCCCCAAATCATCCTTTACCTTTAGAATGTGCTTTTTGAAAATTTTGAAATCCTGCTTACATCTCCTTTCTTCCTTTCCCTCTATACCAAAATTCCTTGAATGAGTTGTGTCTGTGCCCACTTTGCCCACTCCCATATGCTCTTAAATCTTCTAATTGATTTTTCATAAAACATGCTTCTATTAAATTCACCATCATACTTTACACTGCACTATCCAGCCTGTATCCTCAGTCCATTTTATTTTCACTGACCTGTCAATATTATTGAACTCATTAGCTGACTTTCTGCCCCTTGAAATATTATTTTTTATTCTTGACATTTAAAATATAACATTATCTGGGTTTTTCTCTCTCTCTCTGGACTCTTTCTCAGTCTCCTTGATGTTTTATCTTCATTACCTGATCTCTAAATATGGAAACCTTCTAGGACTTTTTCATTCAGGATATTCTCCCCATGTCAGTATTCAGTCTTTACGGGATTTCATCTAATCTCATAGTATAGTATAATATCCCATCTATATGCTGAGGATCCCTGCATTAATACATTCATGCTGATCCTTTCTCCAAAATTCAGACTCATATAACCAACTGCCTTATTTATATCTCTACTTGGATGCCCAATACCAATAATCACCTCAAGTTTAAGTATCCAGAGCTGAACTACTAATAACTCTCCACCACCATCACCAACACAAAACTGTCATCCACAGTCTTCCTATCTCAATAAATGGCAACTCTAGGAAGGTGTATTAGCAGAAAGTGGAGGTTGTGATGTAGATGTAGTTAAAAATTAACCTGTGTTAACTAATTATAACCCTAGTTAAAACCAGTCATCTGCCAGGTGCAGTGGCTCACACCTGTAATCCCAGCACTTTGGGAGGCCAAGGTGGGAGGATCACCTGACCCTGGGAGTTTGAGACCAGCCTGGGCAACATGGCAAAACCCTGTTGTTTCACCATTCAAGATTTTTTACGTCTATGGATTAGATTAGTAGTATTTAATTTTCCTTATTAGCTTGAATTCAATGAATCCGTCTTAATTTTGGTTCTTTAGGTGGAGGGAAGCCTATATATTAATATGCTAATTAATTGGAAGTATAATCCTAGGGCACTAACAGTGAGAGAAAAAGAAAGTGAGGCAAAGAAGATTGAAAAATAAATGCAAGGGGATATATTATCTATCGCTATCTGACAAGCCTTAAAATGACATGTCTGGAAAACTTGTGTAATGAAACAGTCCATTGGCAGGAAAAATAGGAAATTTATCTGCTGTCTCTTTTGTGTCTCTTACCAACTATTGGTCAAAATTTGCCCTGGCCTGCCTCTCTTTGTTGTGTCCTGGTCCCTATGGCAGCCTCTGGTGAAGTGAGATCCCAAATTCTGCAGTGGCAGCTGTAGTGGGGATAGTAATACAGAGTCTGAAAGCTAGGCAAGTCCAGGAAGCTCTGAGGAGACATGTGGACAGTGTTTGACAAACCCCCATATAACTCCATCAGCAGATTTAATAGTTAATGCCTCCTAAACACCAATGCAATTTATTTCTCCTCTCAGCAAGAACTCACATCTATGCTTCAATACTTTCAAGTAATGTTTTAATTAGAAGAAAATAGTAATTTAGAAGTACTATCTGGCCAGGCGTGGTGACTCACACCCATAACCCCAGCAGTCTGGGAGGCCCAGGCAGGAGGCTTGTTTGAGGCCAGTAGTTCGAGATCAGTCTGTACAACATAGGGAGACCACATCTGTACAAAAAATTGTTTAAAAATTATCTGGGCATGGTGGTGCACAACTGTAGCCCCAGTGTACTCTAGAGTACACTGTGTACTCTAGATGAGGTGGAGAGTCACTTTAGCCCAGGAGGTCAAGACTGCAGTGAGCCCTGATAACGCCACTACACTCCAGCGCAGGTGACAGACTGAGACCCTATCTCAAAAAAAGAAAAGAAAAGAAAAGAAAAGAAAAGAAAATCAATACTATCTGATAGCTGTTATTTTTAAAATGAATATCAACTTATATGTTGCTTACAATTGTGGAATAGCTTGAAAATACATAGGCATTTGGGACTATTAGTTCATTGTTTTATGAGTATTCACAGTTAGAGTTTCTCACTCATTTCCTAAATTATTTCTCAAATAAGAAATAACCTGATACTACATTTTATTCTAACCGTACTTTTCAATCTCTTTGATATTTAGAATGTTGATGACTAAGGCAAATTTCATGACTTTTTAATATCTAATCATAAAATTTTTCCTTATAAAGTTTCAGTTTGAACTCCTGTAGCAAGGATTTTTTACCATTTCCGTTTTAACTATTTTTGGACCCAGCTGACTAGAATAATATTTGTATGTGAATTAGCTGTGAAGTCTACACAGATTTACAAATAAAATATCATTGTTAGAAAACTTGGCCGGGCGTGGTGGCTCACGCCTGTAATCCCAGCACTTTGGGAGGCCGAGACGGGCGGATCATGAAGTCAGGAGATCGAGACCATCCTGGCTAACATGGTGAAACCCTGTCTCTACTAAAAATACAATAAATTAGCCAGACATGGTGGCGGGTGCCTGTAGTCCCAGCTACACTGGAGGCTGAGGCAGGAGAATGGCGTGAACCCGGGGGCGGAGCTTGCAGTGAGCTGAGATAGCGCCACTGCACTGCAGCCTGCGTGACAGAGCGAGACTCAGTCTCAAAAAAAAAAAGGAAAACTTATTTTGGCACCAAATTTTATGGCAGGCTACTACTGAATGGTAATGTTACTTGTTTTAAAGGTACCTCAAGAATAAATGAGTCCACCTAAGATATTTAAAACCGCACCTTTGACACAATCTGGTATTAACTAAAGAGTAATTCTAAATTCTGGAATAGATGATCAATATTAAAAAGTGTACAGTTTATTTTTCATACAAATAATTGAGTTACTTTAAGAAAAGTACAAAAATAAAGATTAATATCTATTTAAATTATACTGACAGGAAAAATTTTCATATTTTTTAAGTGATTGTAATATTAGTTCAATAAATATCATCCATTAGGCCCAAAGGTTTGAAATAGTGCTTATAATATGAAGAACTTTCTTTAGAAAATTCTCAATTTTCACCTCCATTTAACATGTTCTGTAACATTCTCTTTCTTGATATGAAGGCTGATTACAGAACTCCTCCTTGTTTTACACAGTAAATGTGGAACTAGGTGTGAATATAAATTTGTTTAAACTAATAATTGCCATTCAATAGCCTTCTGAGTTCATTTCCATCAGATTTACTTAAAATCGTTTTTAGAGTACAGTAATAGTGAGAGTTGAGTTTCACATATAATGTTCATGAGGGAACAAAATGTTCTCAAACACAAATTTTGAAAGCAGTCTTACAGTGTCTTGTATTGGCTAGATCATGCAGATAAATCTTTATGAGGGTATCACTTTGATAGGAAAATATATTCAATTATTACTAATAATTTCTTTATATGTAAAAGACAATATTTTATTTGCTTTTCCTAAACCAAACTGGTGCATGCCATACTTGGTCATAGTAAATAAAAGAAAAGATAATATCAACATCTTTCTTCTAGTGAGCAGAATTCAGGAAAGTTCTCAACATGAATACATTGTGGTCAGGTTTATAGACAGGTTTATTAGGCAGTAGGTTTAAAGAATATTCATATACTATTAATACCAAGTGGTGATAAGCAGTGATAAAATAGCTTACACTACCCAGTTCTGTTATAGAAGCAAAAAAGGCACATTTTATTACTTCCAAAAGTGTATCTCTTCTTTTTGAAATGGAGTTTTGCTCTTTTTGCCCCGGCTGGAGTGCAATGGTGTGATCTCAGCTCACTGCAACCTCCACCTCCCGGGTTCAAGAGATTCTCCTACCTTAGCCTCCCAAGTAGCTGGGAGCTACCACCATGCCCAGCTAATTTTTTGTATTTTTAGTAGAGATGGGGTTTTGCCATGTTAGTCAGCTGGTCTTGAACTCTAGACCTCAGGTGATCCACCTGCCTCAGCCTCCTAAGGTGCTGGGGTTACAGGTGTGAGCCACCTTACCCGGCCAAGTGAATCTCTTTTTATAAACCATTGTTTTAAGGTAGTCTCTTGTTTGATGTTTCAAAGTAATTCATCTATTTTAGTGGCAGTAACTCATTAGCCCTATCGACCTACAAAGATTTCTGGTAGAATAACATCAAAATAGTAAGAATAGTGTTGTTGACATTAGGCTAAGTACACAAATAAAAAATAAAAGATTAATTTAATATTGCAAAAATTTGAATCTATAAAGCAAGAGATCCTAGTGAATCTAACTAGCAATTGAACCAGCTGTAGGCAATGAATGCCAGATTCAAACTAAAGAGTAAAGACAAATTACAAACAGTTCGGAGAAGGATTTTTATAGGCCACTAGGTGCCACTGTTTTGTGAAAAACTTATTAAATGATATAATGGAACTCTAACTTATATTCCTTTTTTAAAAAATCACATCTTGAATTGGGATGTTGCTATATCATAGTTCTAAAGTGAGTAAATTTCTTTGTCTCTGGGATTAGTTAAACTCACAGCAAAATGAAAGTAATACAGTATTTGAAATAAGTTATAAAGCCCAAAATTTATCATTATCAATGTAAATTTTTGGCTATTAAACTTGAGCCATCATTGATCTGGAAACAGTGATTTTGAACTGAAAGCTTAAGTGGTTTGACTGTATGTAATAAGAGGGCTGCATAAGCATATTTAAACTGTGGCATATTACTTGGGCCCAAAATACTTTCTTTGAAAAAGAAACATGATTGCTTACAGAAATTTAGGAATGGCACCACCCATAAGGTAGCGTGAGAAAATTTCTTGAAGGCAGCTGTCTTTAATCCATCAACTGGCATTGATCTCAAATTAGATATAAACGAGTCCACATCGAAACTACAGAGGAGGAGATCATCTTCAGAAGTAACCAACCTATTGATATTAAAATACAGAAGACCCTTTTCTTTTAAATATACTGCATTTTAAAGGATGATTCTACTTATTTTCCAAAATGAACCTAAGCAAAATCATTAATACAATCCTTTAGTGTCAGGCAGAGATACAACATTTTTTTCAGCACTTACGGAAGTTTGGTGGAAAGCTGTAATAGACGAGTACTTATTCTTTTCTTTATTTTTCTTTCTCTCTTTCTTTTTTCTTTTTTGGCCAGTAAACAGAATTTATTAGTAAGCATAAGTCAGATCGGCATGGCCCAAGGAGACAGTGCTGCCAAAAGCCTTCATGAGTACAGAACCTGCCACTTGTCCAAGGGGCTGTGATTGGGAACTTACTTGACCCCACAACCATCAGGGATGAGGTGCTTCTCAGCCACTTTGTCTTCAAATTTGTCAGCATTAAACTTGGTGAAGCCCCACTTGTTGGAGATATGGATCTTCTGCCATCCAGGGAACTTGAACTTGGCCCTGCGTAAGGCTTCAATCACATGGTCCTTGTTCTGAAGCTTAGTGCGGATAAACATGATGACTTGACCAATGTGGACCCTGGCCACAGTACCCTGGGGTTTTCCAAAGGCCCCTCACATACCCATCTGGAGCCTTTCAGCCCCAGCACAGGGCTACATCTTGTTGATGCAGATGACATGGATGGGATGGAGCTACACTCGGATGTGAAAGCCATCTCTGCCCCAACTTTTCACCATGTACTTATTGGCACAAATACGGACAGCCTCCAGGGCTTCAGAAGACAGCAGCTCATATTCATCAGACACCATGTGGCCACAGAGTGGGAACTCATCCACTTTTGCCTTCTTTCGACCCAAAGATACAGATCTCAGCAGAAACGAGACTTTGGGTATGGCTGTTTTTTACAATACCAATAACAAGGAGCAGGATGGTGGCCCCTGGCGACACAGGAACTTCGCCAGTGCGTGGAAGAGACAGTGCACTCCTATACTTTTCACCTAACGCTAATATCTAAATATTTACAAAGTATTCCTTTGAATAGACTAATGGCTTTCCAAATCTAACCAAAGTAATTAAATGAACTAATGTTGACTAACAAGCTATCATCTTTTTATTAGACAAATGATGTCTAATAAGCTATCATCTGATTCATTTTTTAGATACTCAAGCTAATATACTGTTGTAACACAGGATACTCTATTAGTTATCTATTGCTGTATAACATATCTCAAAATCTAGCAGCATAGAAATAACAAACATTTATAATTATCTCACAGTTTCTGAGAACCCAGAATCCAGAGTGGCTTAGCTGGATAATTTTGGTTCAGTTTTCTTGGAGGGTTGTGGCTAAACTGTCAGCCAGGGCTGTAGTCATCTCAACACTCAGCTGGAATCAGATCCACTTTAAGGTTCATTAACGTGTTGTTTGCAAGTTTCCATTTCTCTCTGGCTGTTGTTCAGAGACTTCAATTACTCACCATGTAGGATTCTCTATAAGATGGCTTATAGTATGGTAGGTTGCTGGCCTGAGAGTGAGCGATATGAAAGAAAGAGAGTGGACACGCAAGGCAGAAGTCATAGTCTTTCTATAATCTCATTTAAGTGACATACCATCTTTTATTCATTAGAAGTTCACCACTAAGTTCCCACACTCAAAGTGATTGCAAAATAACATAAATATCAGGAGGTGTGGATCATTGACAGTCATCTTAGAAGCTGCTTACCACACCAACAGTGAAGTCTAAGATATCCTTTCAGTATCTCTTAAAGTAACTAAAGGCTTTCTAAAGCTAACATTGACTACTAAGCTTTCATCTGATTATTAAACAACTAATTTGATATTTTTAAGTATTCAAGGTAATATTGTCATAGCACAAGGGTACTGATTTCACAGTCTATAAAAAGAAACACTGAACAGATCCTTTCGTTGTTTCTTTATACTATTCAGGCAGTTTCCCCAACAGAAATAACCCCCTGAATTAGGATATAATAGTTTGATGACATTATTTCCTGAAATCACTGTTCTCCTTACATTGATTGATTATATTACATACAAACAATATAACCTTGACAAAGTGAGGGTCTATTGCAAACCTGTCTAAATATTTGTCTTTCATCTGAATAATATAAAAATTCCTGATGAACCCTCTTAAAATGTGAGTGTTCAACAATTTTATTTCTTAGTGCAAACTAGAATGTGAAGGTAATCTGGCTGTGTTATGTGTTGTCCCATGATTAATTCCACCCATCAGACTAGTTTGCTCCTTGGCTATGCCAAGTGTCTACCTCCTCCAGCTGTGACCTGGATTGAAGGAGATGATATTTCCAGAAAGTGCCAATTAAAACCTTCATATTTTATTATATTAGTCTCTGGTGATTCATGTGAAATAATTTCTCAAGATCTTAATAATCTCTGAGTAAACTCATAAAATTATGACTTTGGCATATAATTGATACACAATAATTCTGTAGAACGACTGAACATGCAAACCTCAAGAGCAGTTTGACCACATGTACCCTTCCCTTCCCTTTCTTTTAAAGATCCATTAGTGTCCTTTTAAAAGCATCCTCTATGCTTGTTGTTTGTTTGACAGTTACTTTAGTTTTAGAGTCTCTTACTGGAAGCACTGGGGTTATCCGAACAGCCCTGCAGCACGCAAAGATGGTGGAGTTTTTGTGGCCTCCTGGGAAGGGTATGGGCTGGAAGGGATGTAGTTTGACCCTGCTGGATGTCACAGGTATTGCCTCATAGTTTAAAGTATTCTAGAAACTAAACTGGGCAAAAGCGGGGAGAGTCAGCACTGTTCCTCTGCTCCTTGCCGCCCTCGTCTAAGCTAATTACGGCAAATGTGCACCCAAAGTTAGCCAAGTCCAGCCAGGTTCAGACCAGAGCTAGGATGGCAGAATCAGACTAGTGAGGTAAAACGCCAGAGATGAGACAGAATTTGCAGAAGCAGCTGGGGGAGAAAAGAAAATATAAAAGAGGAAAAATGTGAATGGAGCTATGGTAATTATAAAAGAGAAAAAAATACATTAAGAGGGCGACCATTGCTTTAGGAAGAAGGGAGAATCTTTGTTATGCCCTTTCACAGTCACTTCAAGGTCTGACAGATGTCCATGTTCCCTCCCTGGCTGTTTTGAAATTGTCTCTCTTTTTAAGAAATAACTAGAGAGATATGGCCATGTTCACTGCAGGAAAAACCCCTGAAAAACAAAATTGTTTTACTTTGACTGGATCCCAGGAGGTAAACTGACAGTATCAGTTTTGCAAAAGAAAAAAAAAGGCACAGACAAACCTGATAAAATTATCCTTTGAAATTGAAAAGAAATCACAGTTACCAGTATCACACATATACACACATAATTTATATTCCTTATTAGGCCTTTGCTAACAGTGGGAATATAAACAAGTTATGTAACCAATTTTAAGCTTCATTTTCTTCTACAAAGACGGAACACCTACTTCACAAAGTTAGTCTACATGTTGTATTAAATAATTGTTTTGTGTTTCAGTGGAAAACTAAACGTCTTTTACAGGAGACCTACCTGGGATGTTAGATTCTAGCCTTGTTCATTGTCTTTCAGGTATTTTGCAACTCTTTGTAAGTTATAAGTAGCTGACAGATAAGTAAATTCTGCGCTGTCTGGTAGTGATTTAATTGACTTCCTCCCCTCTGTGGAAAACTAGTTTTGTCTCCATTTGCAATTCGTCTCCACGTTCCTTTATTCTATAATAATTTTTGCTATTTTGCTCATTTTTTTCTGAACCAGTTATAACATCTACCTGGTAACTTCATATCATATAAGGAAAATAAATTCTTTAGCATGGGTTCATTTTTATATCTATATGAGTCATGATTTTTTATTTTGCAGAAAATTATCTTTTAACAAATGTATGATAATGCTGAGCACAGTGTATAGTATATATTAGAAATTCCAGAAAATAAATTATATTTCTGATTTTAATTTTTTAAACTTTTGTGTGCTATTATTATATTTTGAATTTTTTAAATTATATTTATTCTTCGTAAAAATAATTTATGGACATATTATAAAGATAGTGCCAAGACTTACAATGTACATCAATAGTTCACTACAGTATTCTCCATCTTGTAGGCCCTGACCCCACAAATTATGAACTGTGAAATTTATAGCTTTGTATTTATCAATAATATGCTTACACAGCTATTTTATAAGTTACCAATTTTAGATATTTCCTATCGATTTCACATCATGGCAAATTAGAATTTAGCTCTTCCATACCATAAATGTCTATTTCTCCTGCCCCCATAATTAACATAGATATACTGTAAATTTTATTTTATTTTATATTTTATTTTATTTTGTTTTATTTGACAGAGACTCGCTCGCCCAGGCTGGAGTGCAGTGGCTCGATCTCAGCTCACTGCAACCTCCACCTCCTGGGATCAAGTGATTTTCCTGCCTCAGCCTCCAGAGTAGCTGGGATTACAGATGTGCACCACCACGCCCGGCTAATTTTTTTTTTTTTTTCTTTGAGACGGAGTCTCGCTCTGTCCCCCAGGCTGGAGTGCAGTGGCATGATCTAGGCTCACTGCAAGCTCTGCCTCCCGGGTTCACGCCATTCTCCTGCCTCAGCCTCCCGAGTAGCTGGGACTACAGGTGCCCGCCAACACGCCCAGCTATTTTTTTGTATTTTTAGTAGAGATGGGGTTTCACCATGTTGGCCAGGCTGGTCTCGAACTCCCGACCTCAAGTGATCTGCCCACCTTAGCCTCCCAAAGTGCTGGGATTACAGGTGTGAGCCACTGCACCCAGCCCATAAATTTTAGTTAAACCAAGTGTTAGTGCTTTCTTACATTATATGTTGCGTAAATGGTGCCCCAGACGCTCTGCAAAGTAGGAATACAGATTAAATATGTTCACACAAATAATCTTCCTTCCCTCCAAAGTGCTACATTTTGATTATTCTTTCTTTCTAATGCTGCCGTATTCATTGTCTATTGCTGCTGAACGAATGACTCCAAAGCTTAGTTACTTAGAACAACAATGAATTCTGTGGGTCAAGAATTCAGAGGCAGCTTAGTTTGGTGGTTCTTGCTTGGAATCTCTCATGAGGTGCCAGTCAAGATGTTGGCTAAGGTTGCAAGTTATCTGAAGTCTTGACAGAGGCTAGAAGATATTTTCCCAAGATGTCTCACTCATTTGGGGCAGGTTGTTGGCGGGAGGCCTCAGTTCCTTCCCACAGGAGCCTCTCCATGGGCTGCTTAAGCATGTTCATAATATGGTGCCTGGCTTCCCTCAAAGGGAGCATTCCAAGAAATAGCAAGGCAGAAGCATGATATGTTCCATGATCTAGGCTCAGAATTCATATACCATCATTAAAAAAAAAAAAAACCAGACTTTAAAAAATATAATTCACATGCCATATAACTTACCCATTTTAAATGTATACTTTAATGGTGTTTAGTATATTCACATATATGCACAACCGTCACCACAGTCAATTTTAGAGCATTTTCATCACCTCAAAAAGAAACCCCATATTCTTTAGCTATCACCACTATAAACCCCTATCATCTGGCACCCAACTGTAAGTGAGCACTATACTATTTTCTGTCACCATAGCTTTTCCTATTTTGGACTTTCATATAAATAGAATATGTTTTTATGTGGACTTTTGGACTGGCTTCTTTCACTTAGCACAATGTTTTCAAGGTTAATCCAAGTTGTAGCATATGTCATACTTCATTTATTTTTATAGCCAAATGATATTTCATTTTATAAGCATACCACATTTTATGTATCCTTTCATCCACTGACACATTTTGGCTACTGTGAATAATGCTGCTATAAACATTCATGTACAAAGGTGGGCATGGTGGCTTACACCTGAAACCCCAGCACTTTGGGAGGCTGAGGCAAGAAGGTTGCTTGAGCCCAGGAGTCCTAGACCAGCCTGGACAACATATTAAAAACATGACTCTACAAAAAATAAAAAGAAATTAGTGGGGTGCGGTGGTGTGCACCTGTAGTCACAGCTACTCTAGAAGCTAAGCTGGGAAGACTGCTTGCGTCCACCTTTTTGAGACAGGAACTCACTCTGTCACCCAGGCTGCAGTGAGCCAAAATCGTACCGCTGCACTCCAGCCTGAGTGACAGAGTGAGTCCCTGTCTCAAACAAACAAATAAAAATTTATGTATAACTTTTTATGTGGACATGTTTTCATTTCTCTTGCATATATACCTAGAAATGGAATTACTGGTAATTCTGTTTAATTATTAGAGGAAATGCCAGACAGTTTTCTAATGTGACTGGACAATTTTGCATGCCTATCAGTAATTTATGAGAGTTCCAATTTCTCTACATTCTCACCGACACTTGTTATTATCTGACTTTTTAAACGTAGTCATCCTAGTTGGGTGTGAAGTGGCATCTTCCGGTTGTTTTGATTTGCATTTTTCTGATAACTAATGAGGTTGAGCATCTTTTCATTTGCTTTTTGGCTGTTTGTATGTCTTCCTTGGAGAAATGTGTATTCAGGTACTTTAGCCATTTCTTAGTTTGTTTATTTGTCTTTTATTATTAAGTTGTAAGAGTGCTTTAAATATTCTAGATAAAAGTCCCTTATCATGTATATAATTTGCATATATTTTCTCCTATTCTGTAGTGTGTTTCTTTAAATTCTTGATAGTGTTCTTTGAAGCATAAAGCTTATTGAAGTCCAGTTTGCAATTTTTTCTTTTGTTGCTCATACTTTTGGTGTCATATTGAAAAATCCAAGGTCATGAGACTTACTGTTTTGTTTTCTTCTAAGAGTTTAAACTTTTACATTTAAGTCTTTGATATATAATATCTTGAATTTATTTTTGCATATGGTATGAAGTGAATGTCCAACTTCATTCTTTTGCCTATGACCATCTGGTTGTCCCAGCACCATTTGTTGAAAAGAATATTTTTCCCCATTGAATGGTCTTGTCACTCTTGTCAAAACTTATTGACCATGGGTATATAGATTTATTTCTGGTCTCTCAATTATATTCCATTAGTCTATATGTCTATTCTTGTGCCAGCACACTGTTTAATTACCATTGCTTTGCAGCGAGTTTTGAAATTGGAAAATGTGAATCTGCTTACTTTGCTCTTCATTTTTTAAAATTATTTTGGCTATTCTGGGTTTCTTGCAATTTCATATGAAATTTAGAATCAGCTTGTCAATTTCTGCAAAAAGTTTGTTGTTATTCTGTTAAGAATTGCATTGATTCTGTAGATAAGTTTGGGAAGTACTGCTATCTTAACAATACTGCTATCTTAATAAATAATTGCTATCTTAACAATAAATAATAATGAATAACAAACATTCATTGTCATCTTTATTATATATCCAAATAATACATAATCCAATAATCCAAACAATAAGTAAACCTTGCAACCCATAAGTTTAGGTTTTTTAAAATTTCTTTCAACTCTATTTCATAGTTTTCAAAATATACATTTAGCACTTCTGTTATTTATTTCTAAGAATTTTATTTTTTTGATACTAGAGTAAGTGGAATTATTTTCTCAATTTCATTTGCAGGTGGTTAATTGCTAGTATATAGAAATAAAATAGATCTTTTTATATTAATCTTGTATACTACAACCTTGTTTATTATTTGCTCTTGTAAACGTGTAATAGTTTTTAGTGGGCTTTTTAGTATTTACTATATATATACAACATCATGTCATCTGCAAAGAGAACTAGTTTTACTTCTTCTTTTCCAGTGTGGATGCTTTTCTTTTTCTTGCCTACTTGCCATGGCTTGACTCTCTAGTGCAATACTGCCTAAAAGTGGTGAGAGCAGACATCCTTTCTTGTTATTTTGCATGGTGTTGACTGTGAGATTTTTGTAGCTGCCCTTTATCAGGTTTAGGAAATTGTCTCTATCAAGAATACTTGACTGGAGCTCTCCATTCTTCTGATCCACTGTGGACAGGTTGCTCTCTAGGAAAGCCACACAGCAGTTGTCCTGGAATTTCCCTTTATTGTCATCCTTAAAATTTTACTGATATTTTTCTAGAATTGATCATTTTTGCTGAATACTACCTCTGTCTTTCTTAATTTACTTCCTTATTTGTTCAAGTATATCCTCCAATAGCTTCCCATGAATTAGTAACTGACATATATTTCTGCATTTCTAAAAATGACTTTAATTTATTCTCATCATTGATTGATAATTTGGCTATCAAATTATTCATCAAATATCATTTTCATCAATAATTTTGAAGACATTGCTCCAAGGTCTTCTATCTTTCATTATAGCTTTTGAGAAGGCTAATGCAATTTGGATTTCCTGTCTCTTGTAGGTGACCTTTGTTATTTTCTCTAGAAGCTTTTTCTTCTTGATGCTCGTTATTTTGAAATGTCACATTTTATGTGATTTGTGAGGTCTGCCTTTATTTTTTTATGGGCCACTTGTGCTGGACACCTACAATTTGGAGATTCATGTCTTTCTAAAAATTGTTTTTTACAGTTCTTGATAGTTAATCTATTTTGTTTTTTCTTTTCTCTATATATTTTATATAAAATAGTTGCTGAACCTCACGAATTTTTCCTTTCTTTTCTATGTTTACTATTTTCACATTTTGTGTGTGTCTGTGTGTGTGTGTGTGTGTGTGTGTGTGTGTGTGTGTGTTAAGTTTTGGTCCTTGGCTTTATCTTTCAGTCCTTTTATAATGTTATTTATTTCTATCATAGTTTTATTCTCTTTTCTTTCCTTTCCATAGCATCCTACTCTTGTAATATCTCATTGAGAATATTAGATTATTTTCAAATTTTAAAAACTATTTCCTGTATTGTCAGTTTCCAATGGGTATCTTTGTTTTTGTATTTGTTATGGTAGCTCTTTTTTATTACTTTATTGTTTTAATATTGTTTTAGTGAGGTTTGCAGAGGCAGAAAAATACTGTGTGATCAGTCATTTTTTTAAAAAAAAATATACTGGGTTAAATAGTATCCCCATATAATACATGTCTCCTGAGAACCCATGAATGTGGCCTTATTTGGAAATTGCAGAGGTAATCAACTTAAAATGAGTTCATACTGGAGTAGAGTGAGCTCTGAATCTAATATGACTGGTGCCATTATAAAAAGAAGGTAGGCCAGGCACAGTGGCTCATGCCTGCAATCCCTTTGGGAGGCCAAGGCAGGTAGACCACTTGAGCCCAGGAGTTTGAGACTAGCCTGAGCAACATAGGGAGACCTTGTCTCTACTACAAAAAAAAAATCGGCCAGGCCTGGGCATGGTGGCATGCATCTATAGTCTCAGCTACTCAGGAGGCTGCGACAGGAGGACTGCTTCAGCCCAGGAGGTTGAGGCTACAGTAAGCTGTATCATGCCACTGCACTCCAGAGCCTATGTGGCAGAGCAAGACAAAGACAAAGAAGAAGAAGAGGAGGAAGAGGAAGAGGAAGGTGGCAAAGAGGAGGGATATTGGAACACAGAGATAGATACACACACAGGAGAAATGGAAGGAATGTGAAGACAGAGGCAGAGGTTGGAGTGATACGTCAACAAGCCTAGGAACACCGAAGGTTGACGGCAATCACCAGAAGCTAGAAGAGATAAGGAAGGATCCTGCCCTAGAGCCTCAGAGGAAACATGGCCCTGCTGTCATCTTGATTTCAGGCTCCTGTCCCCAAGAACTGTGAGAAAATAACTTCCTGTCATTATAAGTTACCTGGTTTTTGTACTTTGTTAAGGCAATCTTAGGAAACAAATATCCTCTTCCTCATTAAAGTTGGATGTAGAATTTAGCAGGAACAGAAATATTAACTTGCTTTTTTAAAAAATGTCTCAGATTAGTTCCTTTTAAACCTTCCTTTTTTGAGAAAGAGAAAACTGACACAATCCAGAGTCTAGCACCTCTTCCCTATAATCATTACCAATGTTGTAAAAGTTTGGCTGCCTCTCCCTGTTCAGTGGTTTCTCCTGGCCTGTTCAGTTCAAGCAACACTAGCAGTATTTTCCACCCAATGACATGTGAGTAGAATAAAACAGTTCTTCCTATGGTGATAATTGAAAATAAAATTATAGTTTTATATATTTAACTAATTAGAAGTTTAGCTAATGACTGCTTTTCATATATAATTTTAGGGTCTGGGCAGTTTGACGGCTTTTTTTTCTAAATCAGATTGGCATTCATTTTTCTTTTATGTCTAAGAATTTGTTCAGCTCTGCTACTAATTTTACTTAAATATTTTTGTTTCAAGACTAGTGAGAGATAGAAGGAGATGTAGGAAACGAAAAAGAAAGCCAAAAAAAGAAAGTTTAAGAAGGAAATACTCAACTGTCTAGCAAATGCCACATAATCCAAGTTAAATATTACCTAGAAACTGTTTTATGTGGAGGGAGTTAATGTCATCTTTGGTGTCTTAAATACTGTCAGAGGCCAAATTGCAGCAGGCTCATGATTGCATTGGAAGTGAAGAAATGGATATGTTTAGAGTGCTCTACCCTTTCAAGAAGTTTTGTTTCAAAAGGAAGGAAACAGGGGCAGTTATAATACTTTCAGAACAGAAGTGACTAAGAGTGCTTACACTCAGAAAACAAAGGGTCTGAAAGAGCCAGTGGAGCTGAGGAAGTTGAAAATATAGGACAAAAGGAAAGATAGAGATGAGATAAAGAGATGGAGTGATAGCAATAAAGAGTTAGAGAGCTGATAGAGAGAAAGGAAGAGGGGAGAGAGAAAATTGGTAGAGAGATTATCTTGAGCAGGAGGGTGTACAAATATCCAGAGAACAACATTGATTAGCATCAGTTTTGGACATAAGCACAGCCCCTGAGACTAGAAAGAGAAATAACTGATGTGGACGCAGCTTTGTTTTCATGGAGTTAAGTGAGGAGGGACAGGAAATTGAGAACTCTTGACTTTCTGTGGAATTAGAAGGCAAAATCATGTGCTGAGTGCATTTATAGAAAGAAACTAAATAAGCTAAAATCATTATTTTACCTTGAAGTCAAGGTAGCAATAAAATGACAAAATAAGCAAGTGCTCTAAGAGCTCTCTTTAAAACAACATGGAAAGAGAATCATTGAGTAACATCGAGTGTCCTAAACACATGGCTTCTTAGTAGGCCATTAACAGAATTTATGGATTTCACACAGCCCATCCATCTTCTATTTTTAGTTCATTTACAAAACAATAAATGACAGGTACAGACTGTGGTTTCAGATGCTAAGAGACTGGTAAGTTCTGCTATTTTATCTCTGAAGGCTGTAAGTATCCTGTTTTGGTTGGAAAAAAAAATAGTGCTTCCTCTAAAAGACATCCATTGAGGATGTGGCTTTTTGAGGTACAGTTTTGCTTTTATTTGCCTAAGTGCTTGCTCTTCAGAGTGTAAGAAAAAGCTGCATGGAAATTATATTTGACTTCATCTGGTCACACTGTCTTATTCCAGAAAAAAATTAGTACAAGAAGTATGTAGCTCCTGTAGATAAAAGTTCCTGATATAAATTTCTAAATTCAGTAAAATACAGATAAGTTACTTACTGAAGTATTTTATATCAAACTGCTTATTTAGAAAAGAAAGTGCTTTCATCACCTAAGCATATAATTTATTCAATCGTCTCAATTAAAGGAATGCATTCATAATTGAACATGGCACAAATGTTTGCTAGAATACTAAGAGACACGCAGAATAAGACTCTTGTTTACAAAAAATAAAATGTATAGAGACATTTGTAAAACACAAACATTCCAGGAAGAATTGAAAAAGTATTTTTATAAGTATTGCTGTTTCTATTTATCCTTGCTTTTGCTATGTATATAAGTGTATTCTAGACAAAAAGGGAGAGTAATGGCATAGGTACAATTTTTGTATTCAGCTTAGGCACATAGCTACTTGTAGCTGGCTCCATTTCCAAGTGAAATCATACAGTAATTGGTATGAGCCAATCCAAACTTGGATAAAAACTCTGTCTATTTCTAGCAAGTTAATCAATCCTACCATTATGCTGAACCACTTTGTGATGCTTTTCTTCCTGTCCATTGGGTTACTGTGAAAAAGCAAAGTTGCATTAAATGTGGTATCTGTCTTCTTGGCTTTTACTTTTTCTGCCAATGATTATTTCTGAATGGATTTTAGTTTTGCAAATTATAGCACAATGTCAGGGTCAAGAATGATAAGATGAAAAATATAGAATTATGGAAATGATCCTAGCAACACACAAAAACTTTTATTGTACGTATGCAAATGAGACTGCTTTAACTTAAAAATCAAATAGAAATTGAGCATTCTGATTACCATAGAAATAGAAGAACTGAGTTATTTAAGTGCCCATTTTCTTAAAATAGCAGGGTAATATCAAGGCATTTTGATGTTTGTTGGGAGCTGGAAGAAGCAGTATGTGGGCTGAAAGACCTTATATACTTCATTCAACATATTAATTGATAATAAAACATTACTTTCATGATATTTTATAATTTTCATTTTATACTAGATTGTTTTTCTTTAAAAATAGAAAATACAACAAGTTATTTTTAAACTGTTACATAATAGAAAATTTCTTTTAAGTATCCAATAATTAAACCAAGTGGAAAGTAACAAATATTTATAGTAATAAATCGTTTGTAACCATACAAGAGTACATACACATTGGACATCAATGTTATTGTTCATGAATTCTTGACTACTTTCCATATTTAAAAATATTTTCACAAACGTGGTATGCAAACTGAGTTTAGCGTTCACAGCCAAGAAAACTAGATAAGCCATAAATGTATCACTTATGTTAACACAGTTGTACATACCTAAATACCTGATAATAACGCACATCAAGTGATTAACTTACTGGTTTGTAATAATTTGGGTATACTCTGTTTTTAAAACAGAAAGCTCATTTTGATGGTCCTACATTCCTAGGCAATGCTGGGCCCACAGATTACCCCTGAGAGCACATCAATATATATTACCAAGGATACTTATCAAAATTTGTATGTTTTTGATACATTCATAAAACATTCCAAATTATTAGCATTTTGGTTTGTCTTCTAGAGCCTTCTTATTCAAATGCATCCCTGAATCAGCAGTATCCACGACTCCTGGGAGCTTGTCAGAAATACAGACTCTCAGGCCCCACCTCAGCCTTGCTGAATTGTGATTTACATTTTAACAAGATCCCCAGCCCAGGTGATTTGTGTGCACATTAAGAGTTTGAGCAGAGATGCTCAAGGAATTAAAAACCTAGTATATTGGAAGTTTTAAAGGTTTTCAGGTGGCGTAGGAAATAAATAAATTCCAAAGAAAGGCAGCCCAAATCATATTCAACTTTTTCACATCTTAAATTCTCTTTAGAATCTATATGTTGCAATTTGGCCATTGAGTGAGTCAGTTAAACGAACAGGCACAGTTCAGGATTTTGTAGAAATAAGAGACTTTATTATAAAGTACTGTAGTTTGGAAAATTTTTTTGAAAATAGAAAAAGATATGAAAGGATGATTAGCAATATGTTTTCTGGTTAATTTCTTCAGCATTTTAAATCACAGTTTCAATAATATTCAATCTGTCACTGAATCAAAGGCAAAAATCCCTAAATAATGAAGTGATTAAGCACTCCATTCACTTTCATTGCATTAATTGAAAATATTTCCAAAGCTAAAGAAGTTGTAATGCAATGGAAAGTACACAGGACTTGGTCCTATTTCAAAAATTGTCTAAATGTATGTTCTGGAAGTTTTCCCACCATCAGGTATTGCGTTCTGTATAAACATTTTTTGAATAAATGAATTAGTGAGAAATCAGAGACAAAGGCTATTCTTTCTAGAATGTACTGTAACAGGAAAAGATAGAAGGCAATATTCCAAAGGAATATGTATTCAAAATATTTTTGACTGTTTATTAATCCAGAGAGCCCATTTGTTATTTTAAAATAAGAATTGCATTATCGGCCGGGCACGGTGGCTCACGTCTGTAACCCCAGTACTTTGGGAGGCCGAGGTGCGTGGATCACCTGAGGTCAGGAGTTTGAGACCAGCCTGGCCAACATGGTGAAACCCTGTCTCTACTAAAAATACGAAAATTTGCAGGGCATGGTGACAGGCGCCTGTAATCCCAGCTACTCGGGAGGCTGAGGCAGGAGAATCGCTTGAACCTGGAAGGTGGGGGTTTCAGTGAGCCGAGATCGTGCCATTGCACTCCAGCCTGGGGAACAAGAGGAAGATTTTGTCTCAAAAAAAAAAAAAAAAAAAAAAGAATTGCGTTATCAAGAAGAAAGGATACTCATGTTTGCTAATCAGCACATTCTCTTCCTGGGGAAAATATGTGTCAGAAGCAATGTTATAATCAGAAAGTTACTGTGAACCCAAAACATTAGATGGATGATTATAATGGCTACTGCCATCATGCCTGAAAAACTGATAAATAGCTTTTTGCCTTAAGATTACACTAAACCCACAGAATAGATGCTTGTCTTTGCGAGTTCAGGGCACCTCTTCATGTGGTCAGTTATAGAGATATTTTGTTACTATTTGCCCTTCTGATTCTTGTTTCTTTCTTTTGGAAAAAACTGCTTGGAATGAAAGCAAGAACGGATTAAAGGAGGCCAATTAGGAGCCAATTGCGTGTGTGTCTGTGTGTGTGCATGTGTGTGCATACAAGTGACCTCAAGTAAAATTTGGCTTGGACAATCTTCATTTACTCCTGTTTAGCATTTGTCCAGGATTTTTTATTTTTATCAAAGTATTTGTATCAATATTTGCATTAAAATAATCAGAGATGAGTTAGATCTACTCTTTGTATTCCCAGCTTGTCAGTTGGTCAGGCGCATGGTTATATATTTAAAACAATATGCAATAGCTACCTTTTCTAGAGCCTTTCCATATTTAGTAAAACTAACATCTCCCTTTCAAACAGCATATAGTATGCTCACTGAGAAAACCAAGTACATTTGGAAGTGAGTGGCTAAGACAGTCAACTCTTTGCAGTTTCAGGTGGTGATGGGAGAAGTTTTGAAGCCGCAGCCTCTGCCAGACACTTGGTAAACTAGCCAGCTCTGTCATGGCAAATACCACAGACTGGACAATGCACGAAATTACCAGTCAACAGTCAGCAGGGTCAACAGGAAATACGGCAAATGAAAGGTTAGCTATATATGATATTTCTACTGTATAATGTAGAGAATATAATCTCTTGGTACAGTAATTTGGTCATTTATTGTAAGTCTATAAATATTTATTTTATTGTTTGGTAAAGCTTTTTTAGTTTGCAATAGATTTTGGTAGCAATGAACTGAAAACATGAAAAGCAAGTGCTATAGTTTGGATATTTGACTCTCCAAACCTCATGTGGAAAGTTGATCCACAATAATGGAAGTGAGGCCTAGTGAAAGATGTTTGGGTCTTGAGGGCAGATCCCTTATGAATGGCTTGGTGCACTCGTCATTGTAGTAAATGAGTTCTCACTCTATTAGTTCCCAGGAAAGCTGGTTGTTAAAATAAGCCTGGCACCTCCCTGCCCCTGCTTCCTCTCTTGCCATGGGATCGCTAGACAGCAGCACCGCTCTGCCTTCCACTGAGTGTAAGCCGTCTGAGGCTCTCACCAGAAGCAGATGCTGGCACCAGGCTTCTTGTACAGCCTGCAGAACTAGGAGCCAAATAAACCTCTTTTCTTTATAAATTACATAGCCTTGAGTATTCCTTTATAGCAACACAAATGGTCTAAGACAACATGTATAATAAAAAATTTAGTACTGGTTGCCTGTAGTTCCAGCTACTCAGGAGGCTGAAGCAGGAGGATCACTTGAACTCCCAGGAGTTCAAGGCTGCTGTGAGCTACGCTTAAGCCATTTCACACCAGCCTGGGCAACAGAGCAAAAAAAAAAAAAAAAAAAAAAAAAAAAAAAAAAAAAAAAAAAAAAATCGTACTGAATATCCATTTCCATTTTTAAAACAAGTGAATAATATAAATTTGCACAAAAAAAGTTTATCCATGATTACTATTCACCATAGGGACCACAGTAAAGTCAGTAGTCACTAGAAAACCAGAAAACACAAATCTCTGAGAAACCATCAATATCTATTCAAAAGCCAATCACTGGCTGGGTGCGGTGGCTCACGCCTGTAATCCCAGCACTTTGGGAGGCTGAAGCGGGCGGATCACGAGGTCAGGAGATCGAGATCATCCTGGCTCACACGGTGAAACCCTGTCTCTACTAAAAATACAAGATAATTAGCCGAGCCTGGTGGAGGGCGCCTGTAGTCCCAGCTACTCGGGAGGCTGAGGCAGGAGAATGGCATGATCCCTGGAGGCAGAGCTTGCAGTGAGCCGAGATTGTGCCACTGCACTCCAGCCTGGGTAACAGAGCGAGACTCGGTCCCAAAAAAAAAAAAAAAAAAAAAGTCAATCATTATTTTAAGAATGTTTCCAAAGACAACAATTTAATACCTGCAGCTGCTACATTCCATTTTGAAAAGCATGAGTTTTCATTTAAAACAAATGAGTGTTCTTCTAAATAATTTATTTTCAATCCCAATTTTTTTTTTTTTTTTTTTTTTTTTTTTTTTTTTTGAGACGGAGTCTCGCTCTGTCGCCCAGGTCGGACTGCGGACTGCAGTGGCGCAATCTCGGCTCACTGCAAGCTCCGCTTCCCGGGTTCACGCCATTCTCCTGCCTCAGCCTCCCGAGTAGCTGGGACTACAGGCGCCCGCCACCGCGCCCGGCTAATTTTTTGTATTTTTAGTAGAGACGGGGTTTCACCTTGTTAGCCAGGATGGTCTCGATCTCCTGACCTCATGATCCACCCGCCTCGGCCTCCCAAAGTGCTGGGATTACAGGCGTGAGCCACCGCGCCCGGCCCAATCCCAATTTTTATGCACATATGAAAAGTGAAGAAAATAGCTCCAATGCCAGTTTTATATAAGTGTAATTATATGCTTCAAATAAGAAATTTTGTTAGTTGAATCCAATAATGCTTCAGAATATTTTCCCACCCAATTCATGGAATCAAAATCAAATCAATAAAAAATTTTAGAGAAGGTGAGCATCTGTCATTTACAACATTACATCAATGTAAAATCAGTTTAAAAGTTCAACATTTAAGGTACATTTAGATACATTAAGACACAGTTTTTAAAGGTTCATTTTTACAGTGAAATTATGAATACAAATTTTGGTGGAGTCAGGATTATGGTAAACACAATGTTGCAGCTAAGAAATCTATCGTATCAATTGGCCATGCCACATTAACAATAATGCTCCCTAATAAATCACCCCCAAATTCAACAGTTTAAAACATTTATCTTCATGGCTACGTGATGGCCAGCTAATATCTGAATCAATAATCAAGAGTGAGATGATGGTATATCAGAGGAGGGCAGGAGTGAGGCCTTGGGTGGTAATGAGAAGTAACTGAATTTAAATATATGACAGTGAGAGGTGAAGCCAGCTGAGCTTCTGGGCCGTGGGGACTTTGAGAACTTTTGTGCCTAGCTAAAGGATTGTAAATGTATCAATCAGCGCTGTGTGTCTAGCTAAAGGATTGTAAATGCACCAATCAGCACTCTGTTAAATGGATCAATCAGCGCTCCGTAAAATGGAACCATCAGCAGGATGTGGGCAGGGCCAAATAAGGGAATAAAAGCTGGCCACCCGAGCCACCAGTGGCAACCTGCTTGGGTCCCCTTCCACACAGTGGAGGCTTTGTTCTTTCGCTCTTCACAATAAATCTTGTTGCTGCTCACTCTTTGGGTCCGCACTACTTTATGAGCTGTAACACTCACTGCGAGGGTCTGCGGCTTCATTCCTGAAGTCAGCGAGGCCACGAACACACCGGGAGGAACAAACAACTCCGAACGAGCCACCTTTAAGAGCTGTAACACTCACTGCTAAGGTCTGCGGCTTCACTCCTGAACCCACCGGAAGGAATAAACTCTGGACACATCTGAACATCTGAAGGAACAAACTCCAGACTCATCATCTTTAAGAGCTGCAAAACTCACCACGAGAGTCTGCGGCTTCATTCTTGGAGACCAAGAACCCACCGGAAGGAATAAATTCTGGACACAATAGGCTTTGCATCAGACTGTAGCAGCTGAATCCATTGATCTGAGCTCCATTCAGCTGACATAATAGTTCATGTGTTTCTCATTCTTCTCCTGGTACCAGTGGGCTAGATCAGGACATGTTCTTCTCATGGTGATAGCAAAAGCTTAAGAGGGCAAGCACAATTACCGAAGATCTCTTCAAGCCTGGGCTCAGAAATATTAATAGCACACTATCAAATCTGTCTATATGCCACTGGCCAAAATAAATCAAAGGATGGGAAAGTACAATCTGCTTAGGATGCCAAGGGTATGGATACAAAGAAGGATGCAAAGACTTGGGCTAATGTAGTTTGATCTAGAAACCCTTCTGGCAACAATGAGCTCAAAAACAGACATATGCTGTATTTGGAAGTGGTTCTGGTAGACACATAATTAATTGCAAACTGAAAAAGTACAATATTCTATAATCAACATAGAGAATGTAGGTGTCAAAATTTACACATTTTTATATGTGTACAGAGTAGGTAAACTACAAAATTTTTGTGATAAAGTTGATCTTAAATAAGTTATAACACACTTCAGCATAGCAATACATGCTTTTTTTTCTCTTTGCTGCTCATCATCAATAGGATTTTAAGAAATGTTTGCTACTTGGAAAAATTAGTTTGCAAAACAACCTAAAAGGCTTACAGTGAACTGAACTTCTTTAAAAAAACACAAAGCCTCTAAATTTTGGTTCATTTTGTTCAAACTTAAGTTTGGAAATCTTTAATCAAAATGTTCTGCAAATAGAGCAATAAAAAAACTGCAGCTTTTCAGGCTTATAGAAAAGTAAAATGGAAAACAATGCTTAACACAGAAAGGCATTAAAATATATCTACATAACCAAGGTAATGACTGAATAAATTAAGAAATGAGAGCTCAAATGATGTACATAATTTTGGAATACTATAATTTTACTTTGAAATACTTAAATTTGTGGGATGAACTTTTTGGTGTAGGTCTTTTAACAAATTAATTTATAATTTCTACTAAAATTGAATAAAACACCTATAGATTTAAACTTGGTGAAATACACAAAAGAATAAAAAAGAGACACTTATGTGACAAGTTATTTTCTTTTGTTTTATTTTTTCTTTTATTTGGAACGGAGTCTCTCTCTGTCACACAGCCTGGAGTGCTGTGGCGCAATCTCGGCTCACTGCAACCTCCACCTCCCTGGTTCATGCCATTCTCCTGCCTCAGCCTCCTGAGTAGCTGGGAGTACAGGCGCCTGCCACCACGCCTGGCTAATTTTTTGTATTTTTAGTAGAAACTGGGTTTCACCGTGTTAGCCAGGATGGTCTCAATCTCCTGATCTCGTGATCCGCCCGCCTCAGCCTCCCAAAGTGCTGGGATTACAGGCGTGAGCCACCATGCCTGGCCATTTTAACAAGTTATTTTCTTATGAAATACATATGAAAGAAAGGTTTTTAAAATGCAGACAATAAGATAAAGCCTGTTAAAAATATCTAGGTTGAAATATTTGTACATTTGAACACCAAAAAATAAAATAAAATAAACAATAACCTCCGTTTAGCAAAATTTGCTCAGGTCTTACTGGGCATCTTACATCTGTAAAGAGAATATTTGTTGTTTTTTGTTTGTTTGTTTGCTTGGTTTTTGTTTTTGAGACAGAGTCACGTTCTGTCGCCCAAACTGGAATGCAGTGGCGAGATCTCCACTCACTGCAACCTCCGCCTTCCAAGTTCAAGACATTCTCCTGCTTCAGCCTCCCAAGTAGCTTGGATTACAGGCCCCCGTCACCACGCCCAGCTAATTTTTTGTATTTTTAGTAGAAACGGGGTTTCCCCATGTTGGCCAGGGTGGTCTCAAACTCCTGACCTCAGGATATCTGCCCACCTCAGCCTCCCAAAGTGCTGGGATTACAGCCATGAGCCACCATGCCTGACCAAGAGAATATTTGTTTAACTCAAAATATAATGGTCCACATAGAAAATCAACCTAAATTTTCAAAAATTCCAAATTTATTAGCCATAAGATACAACTTTGAAGAAGATTGCACGTAATTTTATGAAAACTGAAAATAATTAAACAGTATTAAAAAATAAATTATTAAGAAAAATTTCAGTGGCATTATATATAGACATGGATAACAAACTGCTTAAAGAACATGAATAGTGGGCCAGGCATGGTGGCTCATGCCTGTAATACTAGCACTTTGGGAGGCTGAGGCTGGTGGATCACTTGAGGTCAGGAGTTCAAGAATAGCCTGGCCAACATGGTGAAAACACATCTCTACTAAAAATACAAAAATTAGCTGGGCATGGTGGCGAGCGCCTGTAATCCCAGATACTCGAGAGGCTGAGGCAGGAAAATCACTTGAACCTGGGAGGTGGAGGTTGCAGTGAGCCAAGATCATGCCATTGCACTCCAGCCTGGGCGACAAGAACAAAACTCTGTCTCAAAAAAAAAAAAAAAAAAAAAAGAATAAATAATATGAACAGTTTTCAAGAATAATTATTCTGCTTATATTTTTAACATTAATATAATCTATAAAATCGATATTAAAACTTTTGCTTTATGAACATGGACATATGCCACTTTTTATTTTTAGAAATTATTTTACAGTTTCAGCATAAAAATAATTGTTTTTAAAGAGATAAATATTTAAAAATATGTAATTTTAGAGGGGGCCTCTTTCATTCTCATAAATTTCCTAGATTGAGATTTAAATAAATGGTCAAACCTATATTTCAGCAGTCTAGGCATAACGTAATATAGCAAAAACTACACAGATGATAGTTGTCAGAAATGTGGATAGAGTTTAATTATTTTTAAGTAAAATCAATAGGATATGAAGTAGACAATGCTAGGTTTTATAAGTTGATGTGTGGAACTAGTTGTTTAGTAGAAGGTGTTGACCCTCATGGGATGAAAATTTAAAAGGCGGCAAAAAGAGGTACAGTTTGGCCAGAAACCAGTTTTCAGGTGGAGAGATTCAAGAGACATTGATACATAGGTCTGAAGCCTACAGAAGTCTTGGCTATTGATATAAATTGAAGGTACAGCTTCTTCTAAATAATGTGAGGGTTAATATTGAGTGTCAACTTAATTGGATTAAAGGATGGAAAGTATTGTTCCTGGGTGTGTCTGTGAGGGTGTTGCCAAAGGAGATTAACATTTGACTCAGTGGAATGGGACAGGCAGACCTACCCTCATTTTGGATGGGCGCCATTTAATCAGCTGCCAGCATAAAAGCAGGCATGAAAGGAGCAGACTTGCTGAGTCTTCTGGCCTCTGTTTTTCTCCTGTGCTGGATGCTTCTCGCCCTCAAACATCAGACTCCAAGTTCTTCAGCTTTTGAACTGTTGGACTTACAGCAATGACTTACCAGGGGCTCTTGGGCCTTCGGTCACAGACTGAAGGCTGCACTGTCAGGTTCCCTACTTTTGAGGTTTTGGGACTCAGACTGGCTTCCTGGCTCCTCAGCTTGCAGACAGCCTATTGTGGGACTTCACCTTGTGATGCTGTGGGTCAATTCTCCTAATAAACTCCCCTTCATATATTCATCTATCCTATTACTTCTGTCCCTTTAGAGAACCCTGACTAATACACCATGTTAAAGGCATTTCTCTTATCAAATGTACAGAGTTCAATTCATTTGAAATCTCTGAATGTAATTATTTTAGGTGTTTTGAAAAAATATTAGGTAAAAGATAACATATTCTGTATTTGTCTTGTTATGATAGACCAGTAACAAGTTAGTAAACAAGAAACAAAAAAATACTCACTACATATTAGTTTTCTGTGATATCAAGGCAAATCAATGAAGCCCCCAGTAAGATAATATAGAGAAAGGTAATTTCATAATTCCATTTACCCAGCAAACATAATGTATAATTCAACTACACAATGAATCCACTGGAATTTAGTACATGGATGAAATTAAAAATTAATATATTTTCATTCTATATTGATTTATTTTATTACTCATGAGAAAACACTGTGTTGTCATTTACAAACATACAAATACTACATACCTTAAAATCCCAGCTCATATAATACACCAGTTGAAAATGTACAGATACAGCAGATAAACTAAGGCAACCTGGCATTTTTAATGTTTAAAAAAGACTTTCAAATTTTTCACATGGTTCACTTTGTAGTCATCCGATATATTTAGCAAGGTATTACCTATTGCTTTAGTACAAACTAGGTTATTCATTTGCATAATCTTATGATTACTAAATCCGTGTTTTTATGTTTTCTCTTTCAAGATTTTTCAAGATCTTTCAAGATCTTATTCAGTTATTTGAATCTGGAAATGAGATTTCTGTGTGTGTGCATATGTGTATATTTTGAAAAATCTTTGTGGAAAATATGTTGCAGAATCCTGCAGTAATATAACATCTAAATTTATAGGATTTGGTAGTTCTAAGACTTCTCATTACATCTGAAGAAAACTCTAAATGCCTCTTTTTACTGGAGACATTTAGATATTTAGTCTGACTAGATGTCAGTAAGTGTAGATAATCAAGTGCTTCACAGATAACTAAGAACAGGACAGAAAAACATGTGCTAGATGGAAACAGAATCAACTGGATTCTAACAATTATTAGAAAGCTAATTCTAAAATTAATATGAGGGTTTAATTTCCTGAACCTTTGAAAATATGTCAGTCATCCTACTTGATGAACTCAATCTTTCATGTCTTGAAAAATAACACATTCATTATAACATTAGAATACAACAGAAACATCCGCTCCTTGCTCCTGGTGAGGATATTCGTTTTCTCACCCCACCCCCAGTTAACTGTTACCCAGGTTTTTCTCTTACTTTATATTTACCTCTCCTTTCCCTTTAATTCTTAGCTGGTGCACACTAGACCTCATTGTTCACTAAGAAAAATGGCTACAGGGAAACTTCCTCACATTTCCTGCAGCAAATCTATTCATTTTCTCCACTATTCCTACTAGTACAAAAGAACTAACTGTGCTATCAAATCTACCCTCATCAGCATGCAGATATTCTCTATTATTTCTATGTTAAAAATCCCTTCCCTAATCCCATATTTCCTCCAGTTATTATCATATATTTTATTCCTTTCCTCAGCAAAAATCCTTTATCTAGTTGCCTGACTTACTCTCTCCAACTCCATTTGTCCAATTCATCCATCAAACTACACATATTTGACTTTATTCTCCTTTCCACTGACTTGATTCTTTTCAAGGTCAGCAACTACCTCAGAGTTGCCAATTTCAATAGGAATTTAACCTACTTGGCAATGCTGTTCTTCGAGAAAGCTTCCCTCCTGGATTCCTGGATCTAATAGTTTCACGCTTTTCTTCCTACCTCACTATCTCTTGAACTCAATCTCTGATTTGCACCCTCCTGCTACTTCTGATTCAAGATTTACCTTTCCCTCCTCCTCTTTACTGTCCACATCTTCTTCCTAGGTTGTCCCTTTCTTTCCTATGGCTTTAGATCACATTCTTGTGCTCCCATGTTCCAAATCTCATTCTGAGGTCAGACCTATCCCCTTGGTCTGAATTCTAGACTCAGGTGTTCAACCGCCTGTCTGACATCTTCTCTTAGATACCTAATTGGGTTGAAAGGTTCAAACCATAGCTGGTGATTCTCTCCATTGATCCATTCCCCTTCCTGTTAAAAATGGCTCTGCCAATTAGTTAAAATACACACACACACACACACACACACACACACACACACACACACACACACAAATCATGCTTGATTCCTCTGTGTTCCACACTGGCATCCCTGATTGATGCCCAATTGACCATCAGGTCCTGTTCGTTCTAACTGAACTGCCACTGCCCTATTGTAAGTTATCTTCCTATCTTTTCTAAAATACTGCACGAACTTCTTACTTCTTAATTACAATCCCTGCGTTCATTTTCAATTTTTCTGTTCTCCAAACTGTGGCAACAGTGATCTTTTAAAATAAATCAGATTACATCCCTTCTCTGTTTATCCCCCTCTAATGGTTCCCATTGTGTCTTTTCATAATCAAGCCCCTAATTCCTCTGCAAACCCAGGTCCTCTATATTCTCTCTTGCTTACACTCCATGTTTCAGCCCCCTGGCCTCCACTCTGCTCCTCTGGCCTCCACCTTACCTTTTTCTACTTGAAATGCTCTTCTTTCCATCCCTACCCATCACCAGGCTCATTCTCAGGAAAATATCCTTTAGATTTCAGCTCAAACATCCCCTCCTCTATAAGATTTAAAGTGGGCTCTGCCTACTATCCTTTATATTCTCACCCTAGCTATTTTGCTGTACACTTATCACCATCTGAAAACACCCAATTTGTTTTCTTGTTTACCATCCATCTATTTAAACGTCCATTTGGATGGATGCTCCCGAACAACAGGAACATTGTCACTTTGGATCGTCCTTAGACCTAGACCACTGCTCACCCTGTATAGCACTTGAGAAATAAATGTTAAATAAATATACAATTAAATAAATAGATTATTTGTATAGCATATTTGTTACATACAAAGGGCGAGGGATTTTGAAATTGGATGACATCACAATCTAACTCAAGCTAAGTGGTCCAACACCCTCAACTGTCTAGAAAATCCAGAAAACATTAATAATCAATGGAGACACAGAACAACAGCACAGCTGAAGAGAATAAAAGTAAAACAAATATATTAAGCTGGAAGGGACCATTATTTTCCTTTTCTGAGAAGTTACATAGAAATGCATATATAACTATAGGAATCTTAGAATATGTTTATAAGAAAAAATAATCAAGAATACATAAAATCCTTCATTTGGTTAGGACCTGAGTTAACATTTTATTATATGATTTTCAGATTTTTCCCATGGAGAGCTGTACAGTTACTGAACTCTTGAAATGTAGTTAGTGCAAATGAAGAGCTTTTTATTTTATTAACCTAAAAGTAAAATTGAAGCAATATAAAAGGTTTTTACCAATAAACACCACTTTATTGTTTAGTATGACTGCATTTCACTTCAATTACTGCAAATAAAATGTGTGAATTTAGACACATAAATTCTGGATTTGTATGCTGGCTTTTTTTTTTTTTTTTTTTTTGAGACAGAGTCTCACTTCGTTGCCCAGGCTGGAGTGCAGTGACACGATCTTGGCTCCCTGCAACTTCTACCTCCCTGGTTCAAGTGATTCTCCTGCCTCAGCCTCCCCAGTAGCTGGGATTGCAGGCACTTACCACCACAACTGGCTAATTTTTGTACTTTTAGTAGAGACAGGGTTTTGTCATGTTGGCCAGGCTGGCCTTGAACTCCTAACCTCAGATGATCCGCCCTCCTTGGCCTCCCAAAGTGCTGGGGTTACAGGCATGAGCCACTGTGCCTGGCCTAATTTTTGTATTTTTAATAGAGACAGGGTTTTGTCATGTTGGCCAGGCTGGCCTTGAACTCCTAACCTCAGATGATCCACCTGCCTTGGCCTCCCAAAGTGCTGGGATTACAGGCGTGAGCCACCATGCCCAGCCCATATGCTGGATTCTTAAAAGACTTAACTAAAAAAAAAGCAAAATATTTTGCTAATAAATTTCTGATGGATAACATGTTAAAATAACATTTGGGATATAATGGATTAAAATAAATTTAACCTATTTATTTTTATTTTTTTCTATGTGCCTATCAGAAAATTTAAACTACATATGTGGCTTATATTTCTACTGAATAGCAATGAATATTTAACCTTTTTGAGTAATTGTTTAGTATTTCACTGTGTGGAATATTAGAGCCATTCTTAGTGAGTGTTTAGATGGTTTCTAAATTTTCATTTGTGTATACAATGCCAGGATAAATGCATTAAGCAAAACTTTTATTGTTGATGGATGGTTATAAGGGCCAAGTATCTTTTATGCTGAATTTTAAAAGAATTGGAGAAGGGCATGGCAAATTTTTAGAAAATCATTTTTATAAAGCATATAAAAGTACATAAACTTATATACTTTATAAAAGTATACATTTTATATACAGTTGTACCTTGGTATCCACAGGGGATTGGTCCCAAGAACCTCCAGGACACCAAAATTCACAGATGCTCAAGTCCCTAATGTCAAATGGCTTGGTATTTGCATATAACCCACACACATGTTCCTGTATACTTTAAATCGTCTCTATATGTACAACACCTAATACAAGGTCTACAACATCACTTCCTTCACATGGATTCAACATAGTACTCAGCACCTAGCAAATTCAAGTTTTCCCTTGGAACACTGCGGAAGTGTGTTTTCTGAATATTTTTGATTCAGGTTGTTTAAATCCACAGATGTGGAACCCACTGATATGGAGGGCCAACTGTACTTTGATAAAATATACTCATTATACAGAGTATAAACTATAATCAAGATACATTAACATAATGTATATTATAAAGATTTCCATGAAGAACATTTAAAACACTTAAATGCTAAATCATTTATAATTTTCTTAAAAAACACATTCTATGACTATTTCACCTCCCTGAGAACATCTTACAATTTTTGATGAAATACTGTTATTTTAAAAAATAGAATACAAGCCCTTGGATATAAGGGACCAAAATCTCTGGTCTGTTTCTGCCATTTTTGCCTGTCTCTGCAGAGATGCCTTGAGTACAACCTCAGAAGACAAAAAGCCAAAAGACAGGTACCCCAGCAGCCCCCCTGGGAAAGTGTGTCCTCTCTGTGCTAATGTCACCCATCTAAGCTCTAGTGAAGGGTTTACAAACAGAAATGGAATTGTTCTCAGTCCAGTTCAGAGAGGTCCTTACTTTCTGAGAGCCAACCTGTTAGACCTACTCCAAGTGGCCAGAATCTATAACAATATTGTCTCCAGAGAATCATAATACACTCCACATTAGAGGAAATAAACAAAGTAGGACTGTCTTCATTTTCCAAGCGTTTTGAGTACTTGACCTGAATATTGACCATTTGCTCAATATTTCAGTATTATATGAATTACATATTCCCAGTGTCCCCAGGCCACTATTAGGTTCCTAGACAGCCAAAGATTCAAGTTTAATATAGAGAAAATTAGAGACATAGAAAAATTATTTTATAATATATGAAAAAACTTCATATTTAATAATTCTAGAAAGTCTTTTAGAGTTTGAACCAGTTATGCTACTTACCTTATTCATAAAATTATATGACTTTCCTGGGTAAGAGCATTACAGTTTAGTCTTTTTCATTTGCTTGTTTCATCAGTAAGGGCTTTGCCTTCGATGTCCTACATTGGAATTTACTATAATTTCATTCAATTTATATAGATAATAAGTGAGATCTAAACATTGTTCACTTTCTCACAGTTACAATTTTATACAACTAGGTTGGAAATTCAGTTAGAAGGCACTCCTCTCTACATAATCTTTGTAGTGTCACAGAAGTATCCAGAAGGTCTGCCTTCTTCTTCCAGCCCTGCCATGTATTGATTATGTAACCAAGGATCTGCCAATTAATCTTTCTGGAAGTCAATTTCCTCATCTATAATATGGGGAAAATAATTTCTGTGCTACCAACCTCACAAGATTGCAATGAGAATCAAATGGGGTAAAACATATAAATACATTTTGAAAAGAAAAAAAAAAGAGAGAGAGAGATAACATTTCTGGAAACCCAGAACAACTTTAACAGCAATAACAATAACAAGTCCTCATTTTGTAACTATGTCTTGTATTAGGAATTTTATGATTGCAATCAATAGAAATCAACTCAAACTAGCTTAAGAGTGGGAAAAAGTGGAGAGAGGACTGCATCATAAGGATTCAATGTCATTCTGGGATCTGAAACTAGGAGCACATCAAGATCTCAGGAAAGAACTGGAACCAGTTACCTTTCCTCTCTTCTCTTGTATTTGTTCTCAGTTTATCTGAAATATTATTTCTAATATCTAAAGATATATTTCCTCTGCCTATCCTTCAATAAAAATTTGGCTGCTTGCATATGCAGAGCATGTATTTTCCAGATCCAGCCACTTCGAGACAGCAATCTCTATTTAATTTCCAATTACAAATTCACTGGGAATCTGGTTACGCTTCGATTATGTGCCCACCTTCAGTTCTACAAATTGTGATGAATGATCAAGAATAAGATTTTAAAAATGGCTGTTGGGTGAATACTGCTATTCTGCAATATATTAGAGACTTTTTATTTCTTTTTCCTCCAGAAAAAAAGGTTGTTGAATATAAAATCCCTTAGGTATCCACTCTTCTCTTTAACTTTCCAAAGCATTTTCACATGTGAATGAAATGAGATATTGTATTATCTTAACAGATAGAAACAGAATTTCTCTGAGGGATGGAACTATTTTTGTTGAAAGGGGGAAAAAAGATACTTCAGTAAGCCATTTGAAAGAGAAGAGAGATCTGGAGGGCATAGGTGCCAGCTGAGTCCCAAGAACAAAAGAGCAGCTTGGGGTGCTCTGCTTTAGAAAATGAAAGCCATTGGATTTTGCTCCTAAGAGGATTGGGGAGAAAAAAGAAAGAAGGAGGAGACTGGGAGGCAAAGAGTCCAAGAAATGTGGCGCATCAAAGTGGCATGAGGCAAGGAACTTGTAAAAATCTCCCCATTGGTACTGTGGCCCCCACCCCTTCACCTTTACCACCTCCACCCTACACAAACTCTTTAAGAAGAAAAATATTCAAGATGTGATTTTCAGTTGTTTTTGTGCAATTTGAATTATTTGTTCATTCTGTGGAATTAAGTAAGAGTGTGTGTGTGTGTGTGTGTGTGTGTCTAAATTAAGTACATCTGGCCGGAAGTGGTGTGGAACAGAGGGAAAGTGTGTTAAAGCAGAAGTGGAGGCAGAGCATACACCACCCAAGGTGTCAAGGGCAGGGAGGCAGCAGCTGACTCTGGGTTATAAATGCATTATCTCCTATGCTCCCTCCAATAACTTGCCAAGTAATTAAAACAGATATCATTACTGTTTGACAGATAAGGAAACCGAAGACAATCATTTACGGAATGTCTTACAGCAAATTAGTCTTGGAGCCAAACTAAAATCTATACATCTTTTCACTGAACTCAGGTTATTGCATTGAACTTCCTTCAAATGTTATGATAGGGACAGGACAATGGTAGCATAACTTAGTGGCAAGAATCAAGAAGACATTTCTTTAAATGAAATGCTCTTAATGCTTTTAGTGAAACCATTAAGATTACCTTTTAGTCATTCTTCCATTCATTTAATATATATGTGTTGAATTCATGCTCTGTAATTAGCATTACGATAGGTGATAGCCTTTTGCTTATGAGTGAGAATCATTTGATCAAAGTTAATCTTTTTTAAATATTTTATTTAATTTTAATTTTATCTATTTATTTTATTTTTTGAGATGGAGTTTCACTCTTGTTGCCCAGACTGGAGTGCAATGGTGCAATCTTGGCTCACTGCAACCTCCACCTCCCAGGTTCAAGTGATCCTCCTGCCTCAGCCTCCTGAGTAGCTGGGATTACGGGCATGCACCACCACGCCCAGCTAATTTTTTTGTATTTTTAATAGAGACGGGGTTTCTCCATGTTGGTCAGGCTGGTCTCGAATTCCCGACCTCAGGTAATCCACCCACCTTGGCCTCCCAAAGTGCTGGGATTACAGGCATGAGCCACCACACCCGGACTTGACCAAAGTGAATCTTAAACCTATGAGAAGAAAAAAAGGAATAAGAGGACCATGAAATCCACAGCATCCTGTTTTTTTCTGTTTTGTTTTGTTTTGTTTTGTTTTGTTTTTTTTGGTACTTTTTGAAATTGCAGTGACACAAAGTCTGACCTAGATTCAGCACCAGAAGTAACTAATTATGAATCCACAACTAACCATATTAATCTTCATACACTGATGGTGGGAATTGAATGGTATATAGCACTTTAGAAAACAGCTTGGTAATTCCTCAAAAAGTTAAATACAGAATTACCATATAACCCAGGAAAATCATTTTAAATTTTCCTAAGATCACGAAATGCCTGGAAAGTGCTCTGCCAGCCTAAACACTCTCCCTTATCCAAAGGTTCCCAAGGAGAAGGCTATATTCTGAATGTCTGTGTCCCTGCAAAATTCATATGTTGAAATCTAATCCCCAATTCAATAGCATTATGACGGGGGGTGCCTTTGGGAGGTGATTAAGTGATGAACACAGTGCCTCATGCATGGAGTAGTTCCTCATAAAAGAGACCTGGGGAAGTCTGGTTGCCCCTTCCACCATGAGAGGACACATAGAAGCCATCATCTATGAGGAATGAGCCCTTGCCAGATGGCGAATCTGCTGACATCTCGATCTTATACTTTCAAGCCTCCAGAACTATAAGCAATACATTTCTGTTGCATATAAGTTTCTCAGTCTAAGGTATTTGTTATAGCAGCCAGAGTGGACTAACACAGAACTGTTTAGAAAGGGGACAGGAGCACTTTGTGAATTAAAGCACCACTCTTTCAATAGCTGTGCAGCCCCAGATACCCAAAGAAGTGCCTTGGTAAAAGAATGAGGTTGAATTTACAGCTGAAGCTTGAGAGCTAAGCAGCACTTTCCAGTTAACACAAATGAAAAATGGGTGAGCCCGTGTGCTCAGGCGTGCTTGTGAAAAACAATGTTTAAGTCAGGCCGGTCCCGAACCCATTGAGCCAACCAAGTGCACTGAATGGAAAAGAGAAGCTCCTGCAGAGGTTCTGCCTATAACACGGAGATTGGAAACACATATGCAAGCAAAGCATGGAGAGCAGAACATTGCTTTTAAGATAAACTCAATGTTCTGAGGCTCATTCCATGTCTGAAACTTCTGCCTACTGAATTTTTAATGTATCTTCTTCAGTGTTAGAGTGACAGTGAGCTGGGAATAAAGGGGGTAAGGATAAGCCAGGCATAGGAGAGGTGACCAAAGATTTTCTTTCAATACATACATTTTTCCCCAGTCACTTTTATCAGAGATTTAGGATCTGATCTTGAGCACTTGGCTGACTGACTCTCCACTTTGCATAATGTTATAGATCGGTATATGGAAGATCTGGATAATTTCATGTCTTAAAGCTCCTCCTGTGTGATATTTTTCCCCATTCAATGGCCCTTAATTCTTTTTGTTTTGTTTTGTTTTTGTCTGAGACAGGGTCTTACTCTGTAGACCAAAGTGGAGTGCACTGATGCAAGGCTGGAGTGCAGTGGTGCAATTACAGCTGACTGCAGCCTCGACCTCCCAGGCTCAAGCAATCCTCCCATCTCAGCCTCCCAAAGTAGCTGGGACCACAGGTGCATGTCACCATCCCTAGCTAATTTTTAACTGTTTTGTAGAGTCAGGGTCTCACTATGTTGCCCAGGCTGGTCTTGAACTCCTAGGCTAAAGGGATCCTCCTGCCTTGGCCTCACAAAGTGCTGGGACTACAGGTATGAGCCAATGCACCTGGACCCTGAACTCTTACAAAGAGATATTTCTTAAAAACTGAAAACATTTTATTCCTTTTAGCCCCTACTCCATATGTGGTCTAATAAACCACTGATATTCAACAAATGTTTGCTAAACCCTTTAATACAATTATTTGGAATAATATTGCCACTGATAGTAATTAGAACAGAAAAGCACTCAATGCTTCCCTGAATCCCTTTGGCCTGCCTCCTACTCCCAGTCCTCTATCAACCCTTCTGTTGCAGTTCCTGCTGAGCTGAACAAGAGACACACATGCCAGCCTCACAGCTTAAACAAAGAGCTACAGTGAAAGAAAAACAGCTGAGCCAGCAGGAAGCATAAACAGAGGGGGAGGTGTCAAGATAGCTATTTTTAAAGCCAATGTAGTAAATAAACTCATAGGCTTTAATAAAGCCAGGTAGCTCTTTTCTTCAGAAGCTAGCCTATGCTTCAAGCTTGGCCCAAGGTTTGCTTGATCCTCTGTTAGGACAGCATATTTGAAATTTTGGTAAGGGCAAACAACACTGGGGCAGGGGAAGACATGTCCTCATTCTTAGGTTTATTCTTAAAAAGAAAAATAGGAAGCTTGAGAACCATGAAAACACAATGCAGATAGGAATCACAAAATATGTACAAAATGTTATTGTTGCCCATCAAGATACAAACGGATACATCATGAATTTGATGACAATTTCTCCTCTTCGGATCTTATCTACATCCCTCCTTCTGGCCCTCAAAGTCCTCAATTATCCCTGTCACCTTAATCTCTTTCTTTTTCCTATTTTGTTCTTATTCTTGGATCTGACAAAACAGAAAGAAAAATGCACTATAATTATGAGCACATGATGTGCCTGGAACTGTGTTATGAGTTACCTTACTTAACACAACACTTCTAATATCTCCAGTGTTGAAGAAGAAACTGAGGTTTACAAATTCCAAAGTAGAAAAAATTCCCTCCACCTGAATGGCCTGCACAGCTCTATAGGATCTGGTTCCTGCCTACCTTGCAGCCCTCGCCTCCCTGATCTCCTACCTCTCTCATCTCCACTTCAGTCAAACTAACCTTTGAGTTCCTTGATCAAGTCAACTTCCATTCCACCCTAGGGCTGTTGCCCTTGTATTCAACATTGAAAGGCACTGGAATCTTCTTCCTCCAAACATGGTTCCTTCTAGCCATCTGGTTCTCTGCTCAAACGTTGTCACCTCATTAGAGTAATCTTCATGAATGTTCAGTTGAAAGTACCTATCTTTCCCTCAGAGTAACTCCTTGTTGTGGCCACGAAGGTGCACCATTCAGATGACCCTTTAAGGGAGCATAGTTGGCTGATAGCCTCCAACTGCCCCATCTTTAGATCTATTGCAGTGTTCTCACTTAGGCCTGAGGCTCTCTCTTCCAAGGCTGCCCTGAGCCTGTGACTGAGTAAGATAGGGGTACTAGACCCAGCCCACTTCACCACTTCCGCCCAGTACGGGACTTCCCTAATGAACAATATCTACTCAGGACTGGGTTGTGGGACAGAGATCTCATCAGGTTGGCCAAGACTTTCTTCAAGCTGCACCATAACCTGTCCCAAACTCCCTCTTTCCTTCTCTCCTTGTCCAGGTGTCAGAGCTGCATCACATTTGAAGTGCTCCCCAGCTACTCCTGCTCCTACTCTCTCTTATCCTTCACAGAATCTTCTCCCAATCTCTTGTTTGTCTAATTCTGTCTTGACGTCTGCTTCTCAGAAGACCTGAACTGGTGCACTCTCTTGTAAAACACTGCTTCATTACTTTCATAGCATTTATAACTATTTTTATTTTATCCAATTAAATTGATCCACTTATGTATTTATTTAATATCTCCCTCCTACCACTGCCACCATCTCCTCGTCAATGTAATCTGTCTTATTCATCACCTTATTCCCAGTGCTAAGAACACCACCTGGCTTATAATAGGTCTTCAGTTAATATTGTTGAATAAATGAATTAATGGATTTAGAAAGCTAGATTTATACTTTAGATCCAGAGGCTCCTCTTTATTCAATTACTGCGGGTTTTACTGTTCTAGGTCTTGGACATAAAACAGTAAGCAAGAAAGACAAAGTCTCTGCTCTTTTGAATTTATATTCAAGGGAGGGAAGACAGGTAATAAACACATAATCACAAATATATATATGCTATGTGATAAGAGATATAAAGAAATTATAGTGTGTAATAAGGGAATAAAGAGTGGTTGTTGAGTAGTTAGGAAAGATATCTCTCTGATAAGATTACATTTGAACAGAGATTTGGATGAAATAAGGGAGTGAGTCAAGCAGATACCTGGCTCAAGAGTGTTCCAGGCAGGGGGAGCATAAATGCCAAGGCCAATGATGGAGTGTGTTTGGCAAGTTCAAACAGTCTGGAGGTCAGGGAGGCTGAACCAGACAACAAGGAGAATGGCAGAAAATACTATGGGGAGGCACATGGTTAAAAAAAAGGGTAAGTCCTTGTATGCCATCATAAGGATTTTAGATGAGATTTTCCTCTAAGTGAGATGGAAAGTGAATGGATAGTTCTCCCTGACATTTTAAAAGGATGCATCTGGCTGCTAGGTGGGAACAGTAAGCGATTAAGGTAAAAGTAGAGGGAGCAGAAAGCAGGTTATTTAATATTTGATAAATATCTCCAGTGTCTATCAGTAAAGATGGCGATATTTGGCCAAGTTCTGGTTATATTTGAAGACAAAGTTAGTAGGATTTCCTAACAGATTGAATAACTAAGGCTTGCAGGAAAGGAAAGAATCTAGGATGACTCCAAGTATTTGGCCTGAGCAAACAGAAATGTGGAGTTGTTGATTACCGTGTTTTCCTCTGTTCAAGCTCAGCTGAACAGGTATAGTCATACAGAGGCAGAGTAGATTTAACCAGATTTGAAGTTTTTCCTGTTGAATACAATGGTGGGAGTGTTTTGAGGATATTGCAAAGGAATAATTGTCCTGATGGAAGATGGGATATAAGTTGCATAAGGAGAGACATTAGCACATGCAGCACACGACAGAAAGAGAAAAGGCATGTGGTCGGTAGATGGAAGGTCTCTGTGGGACTGGAGAATTGATGGTAATAACGTAACAGAGGGTGAGATGAAAAGGTCTGAAGTGGTGGTCAGAAAGTAGGGTGGCCATATTTTTTCCTTTGTCCCATAACTGTATCAGTCTGTTCTTATGCTGCTAATAAAGACATACCCAAGACTGGGCAATTTATAAAGGAAAGAGGTTTAATTGACTCACAGTTCAGCATGGCTAGGGAGGCCTCACAATCATGGTGGAAGGCAAAGGAGGAGCAAAGTCACGTCTTACATGGCAGCAGGCAAGAAAGCTTATGCAGGAAAACTCCTACTTATAAAACCATTGGCTCTCATGAGACTTATTCACTACCAGGAGAACAGTATGGGGGAATTTGACCTCATGATTCAATTATCTCCACCTGGTCCCACCCTTGACATGTGGGGATTATTACAATTTAACCTGAGATTTAGTTGGGATCACAGTGAAACCATATCAATAGCAATCCTTTTTTCTCAGTTGAATAATATTTGAGAAGAGTTACAAGTGAAATGAAACAAATTCCAAACCTACCTCTCCAACTACCATCCCATGTGTCAACCCCTCTCCATGGTTAAGATTCTTGAAAAAGTCTCCTTATTCAGCTTCTGCATTCTCCATGTTTACTTCTTAATTCCATATGGTAAGTCTCCCATTCACAACATAGCAAGGCAAAATTTTGTTTGCTACAGGTTTCAACACCACCTTGAAGCCAGCTAAAAAAGTCTATTCCTTTTGATTTATGACATCTCTTCAGTCATATCTTCTCATTCCTACATTAAATATCCCCCAATTTCTTCAATTATTCCTTATGACATAGTTTGTAGCTACTTTGAAAACCTGAGGCTCTCAGCTGAATGTGTTCTAATTTGTCTTTTAACATATGTCTCTAACTCTCTTAACATATAATGTTCAGTATTATTCAGAAATAAGAAGAAATAAAGTACTGGTGGATGCTACATGGATGAACCCTGAAAACTTTATGCTAACTGAAGGCAGCCAGTCACAAAATACTGTACACTATATGATTCCTTTTATATAAAATGTCAGAATAGGCAAATCTAAAGAGACAGAAATTAGATTAGCGGTTGTCTAGATCTGGGGAAAGATAAAGGATTGGAGATGATGGCTAAGGAATGCAGAGCTTCTTTTTGTGGTGATGAAAATATTCTACAATTGATTGTAATCATGGTTGCACAACTCTGTGAATATACTGAAAGCCACTGAAGTGTACACTTTAAATAGGCAAATTCTATGGCATATGACTTATATCTCAAAAAAGCTTGAACCCGAGGGAAAAAAAAAAAAAAGCTGTTAAAAAACAAACATGATGTTGAAAAGAAAAAACAGTATTCTGAAGTAGAGTGCTTTAACCTCTATAATTTCAATTTCACTCTGTATAAAAGAGATAAATAAATAATATCTGCTTCATCTCCTTGACAAGGTTGAATCATATTTTGCAACATCATAATTACATAAGTTATTAGCTTGAGTGACTCTCACCACCTCACATTTGGATTACTAACACAATTCACTTGCTGGTACCCATTTGTTTTACATGTAGTGGTAAGAGGGTTTTTTTATTTCTTTGCTTTTTAACATCTAGTACCCAACTCAGGAAAGAATGTAAGGAGCACTTTGTACCCACTGTATCAAGTCCAACCCTTCACCTTAGCATTTAAAGCTGTCTTCCAACTTTGTCCCATACATCCCATCATTCTTCACACCAACTTTGTCCCACACATCCTATCATTCTTCACAACCAAACAACTTTCAGTTATAAAACCATTGTTTTCTCTTTCACGTATCTTGCATATTAACTGTTTAGCTGGTTATTCCCCTCAAACAAAATATACCCTATTATGGCCTGAATGTCTCCAAAGCCCTAACCCACAATACGATGGTATTTGGAGATGGAACCTTTGGGAGGTAATTAGATTTGGATGAGGTCTTGAGAGTGGGGCCTTTAAGACAGGGCCTTTATAAGAAGAGGAGAGACCAGACTGCTTTCAAGCTCTCTCTCTCTTGCTCTGCCATGTGAGGACGCAGCAAGAAAGAGGCCATCTGCAAGGCAGCAGCAGAACCCTCACTGAGGAACTGAATAAACTGGCACCTTAATCTTAGGTTTACCAGCTTCCAGAACGGTGAGAAATATATTCCTATTGTTTCAGCCACTCAGGCTATGGTATTTTTAGGGCAGCCTGAACTAATACATACTTCTTTAAACTCCCCACCAATATCCTGTTATCATTTCCTTCAAACGTTTTTTCAAAACTTTCTTATCTTAGAATTTCCCCCCATACTGATCAGTTCATTACTCTGCATTCTCTTAGGAATTGTGCTACATATAAATCTAATTTGCTGTTCTTATTCGTTTATGTATCACATTTTAACTCACCTATTTGACTAACTTCAAAGGATGGAAGTAATGTTACCTATTTGACAAACTTCTGTTACACATACTTCATTTCTCCGAAACACAAGTTTTGTAGTCATTTCTACCAATATTCAGCCAGCACTGCTTCTTCTTTTGCTGAAACTGTTGGTTCCACACTCTGGTCCGAACTTAATAGGAAAGACTCACCATAAAAGATAATTAAGAATGGCTAATACACAGTGTGTTGAAATTTGATTTCCTTAAGTTTAATTCCAGAGTTCTGATACACATTAGCATTTAGAGTGCCTAGAATTACAGTGTAGAAGGTGACTAAGTACATTTAAAGATTGTTCCTTTTTGTTGTTATATTACAAAAGATTATAGTTGAGGCAGATCTTGAAATTGCATCTCATCAGCCCAGCAGGTGGTGTGACTCCCATAGGAGAACAGGAAAGGACATGTCCCATAAGGAGGCAACTCAGTCTCTGCTAGCTCACAAGCGTGGTCTCAGTGACCTACTCGAAAGCTATTCTGCTTGTATCATCAGTTCAGCCTCACCTTGGAAAACTCAAGCCCAGTTTTCCCAAATGATTTTTAGAGAATAAGATTTCCAGATGAAAACCAGGGAGCATGTTCCAATTTTTAGTACATCAAGGACCATGTTTTTCCTTGCTACCAGCCCCATTTTCTAATCAGTTAACGCTTCCTGTGATATCTGTAGGGGAAAGGTGTAGTGCAACTGACAGGGAGAGATGAGATCTTAAGCCTCTGCTCATTCATTGGGTGCTGAGTAGCAATGCCTCCCGCGGGCCACAGGAACTTATCTCCGCCGATTGTTACAGCTGGAAGGATGGGGAGATAGCACCATAGATCCACTCCTCATTTTATGGGCAAAGAAGCTAAGGCCTGTAAAAATGGCATGCCCAATGGTACAGGAGTTACAAACACGGTCATAAATATTGGCTCCAAATTTGGCATGGAAGCTTATGTGCTGCTCTAGAGGAGATCTGCTACGATGTGGAGATTGGCTTGTGTGGGTGTGTTTTATTGCTCTTGTCATTTAAAAATACTTTTGATTATTTGTCTTCCATTTTTTTTAGGTTACGAGGAAATCCTTCAAAATGCGTTCTTGTGAAAAACGTGAGAGTGCAAGGAAAGAGGGAGGGATAGGAAGAAGGAAAGAGAAGCAAAAGGTAGGAAGAAAGTGACCTTGGTGCCCTTTTCTAGTCCCCTCCCCCGACTTTCCTGTTCTCCACTGTGCCCATCTCTGGTTTCACCAGGCTCCATTCCTTCCCCAGTTCCCTGTTTCTCACGGCCCTGAAACCAGCCGACAGGGATTTGCATTTTGAAAAACCTTGCGTGGCTGCCGGCGCTGGGCATGCTCAAACGCCCAGAACTGGCTTTTTTCGGCAACTTTGGCAGCTCTCCCACCCCCACCCGAAGGGGCAGGTACGCACAGCTCCCTCCGTGTGAGTAAACGGAAAGAAATTACCCCACTCCCGCCCAGGGCAGAAGGCCACAGCCCCGCGGGGCAGTGGCGCGCCCCGGGGACGCTGCCAGGGGGCGCCAGGCCCTCAGTGGTGGCGCGGCGCCGGGGTCCGGGGCCGGGGGGCGCTGTCCGAGGGCACGTGCGCGGGCGCGCGCTCTGGGAGTGGTCGCGGGGTGGTGGGAGGGGCGGGCAGGGGCGGGGCCGCGGCGGCGCGCGGAGGCCGAGCTCGGCTGGGCTTGGCGAGGCTGCGGCGCGGCCACCGGCGGGAGTGCAGCGGCCACTGTACCCAGAGATTCAAAACCCCAAACCCGGGACTTGGGGGCGCTGAGCCGGGCCGGGAAGCAGAGCCTGGTCGTGAGGAACAGCCGCCCGTTGCTGTCTGCCCCTTTGCGGACAGCGTCTCCCTCGACTCCGCTTAGGAAGTGGTGGGGGCGGCGTGGCCCCCGTCGGGAGGCGTTCGAACGCCCGCTAGGAGAGAGAAAGGATTCCCCTGTGCTTGGAGCCCGCACTCGGGCGCGGAGGGAGCGGCGGCAGGCTCTCGCTTTCGGCACCATGGGCTGCACGCTGAGCGCCGAGGACAAGGCGGCGGTGGAGCGGAGTAAGATGATCGACCGCAACCTCCGTGAGGACGGCGAGAAGGCGGCGCGCGAGGTCAAGCTGCTGCTGCTCGGTAAGGGCGGCCGGGTCGGGGCCCGGGGGTCGGCGGGGGACCGGGTGCGGCGCTGCGCGGCCCTCGGCGTTTGGAAACCCGGAGGGAAGGGGGAGGAAGCGCCCGAGGAGGCTTCTGAGCGGGAGCTGGGTCCGGCGGTGCGGAGGCAAGGCGGGTCCCCCTCTCCCGGTGTCTGGTCTCTCTCCGCCCCGGCGGGCGAGGACTCCCCGCGGCGGGGCGGGCGCGTCACTTCACTCGGATGCTTTCGTGCGACCCAGCAAAGAGCCCAGGCGCGAGTCCGAGGCGGCGGGTCGCGTGGAAACCCTTTGCTTTGAAGTTTAGCTCAGCCTTGTAAAGATGAAGGGGCATTCGCGGCTAGAAAATGAAAACACCCCCCCCCCCGCGCCACCAACCCCCTCCCGGAAAACCCTTCTTCGTGTGCGGTGTAGGTTGTGTTTCGACTGTGGTTTTCTCATGCCCAGAGTGCCACGTTTGGTGAAATCAGTGCACCTTTTGTGGGGCCTCTGAGATGGGGCTGAAGCGTCTTTCCTGTTAACTTCCTATGGCGACTCCTTAAGTGGTCAAGGAGCGCTGATTACATTCCCCCTGCGCTGAGAAAAGGCTGCGCTGGATGCTTGATTTTTCTTGCTGTGGGGGCATGGAAGCCACCCAAGTGGGGTTGGGAAGCTTTGCTTTAGTAGTAGGCAAGGCAGATACTCGAGTGGTGAAAACTGCTGTGAAAGAGCGAGAGGGTCACGCCAGACAACAGGGTTCTGTCTCCGCTGCCACCGTTTCTGATGAATGAGATTTGCCAGGTACACGCAAGGCTTTTATTTGTTCTTAGCACTGTTCTGTTCGTGAAACGCTACGTGGAGGTCTTTTCCAAATGTTTGACGGGGAAGAAAATAAAGAGTAAACCAGGGTTTTCACTGAGGGAAGCATTAGGAAAATCTTTACAGGTTAAGATTCGTGAGTTAGGGTTTTCTTTTGTTTGCATGTTTTCTTCTCACACTCTAGGTATTTAGATAGATGAAAAATTTCTCAGAATCTTCATTTGCATTTCCAAGGACTGCTTGTATTTTTATACCAGTTATAATAAAAAAGAAATGTTGCACAAACCTGTTTTCAGTAAGCTTCTGTTTCATTGGTTTAATGACTGCAGAAAAAATGGTGGGTTTTTTTTCTCCATTACTAGTAGGCTTGGGAGCAGCAAAGTTGGCATGACTAAAAGTAATAATGATCTGAGTCATTTTGCAAGTAAACTGTGAAATAACTTTGCATTTTAAAGACCTGGGTGGCTTTTTTCACCCTGTCGCCCCCAACATAAATCTTTCTCAGTTAATGTTGTTTGCCTAAGTTTTTACATTAATAAGAAATACTGTGTTTTGATGAGGTTAGTGTATGTACTTCTCTTGTGAATTGAATGTGAGATAGATATGAAATAAGAGGATTAAGAAGTTTTTTTCTTGCAGTTTTTGCTCTCCTGGTGTGATACGTTGTTTCAGTGTATTTCTGTGTGACTCTTAGTTTGAGCCAGCCATCCACCATGTTTAAAGCAATTGAAAAATGAATCATCTGGTGGTGGTGTTTTGTCCTTTAATTAGGTGACTGTTAGGGATGGACTAGAATAAAGGTCCCAGGAGTAGGCTTTTGCTTATGTTCAGAAGAGATCAGTGTGTCTTGATCTTAGCACGGTTGGCATTTGGGGCTGGGTAATTCTTTGTTCTCCAGGTTGTTTTTGTGCATTGTAGGATGTTCAGCAGCATCTTTGGCCTCCGCTCATTGGATGCTAGTAGCAGCCCCCTAACCTGTGAGCTCCAAAAGTGTTTCCACATATTGCTAGAAGTCCTCTGGGGGCAAAATACAGCGTTAGTTAAGGACCACTGTTCTAGATTAAGACTTAAATATAACTGAATGTATAATACAGAACCAGAAGTTGAATCTTGACAGTCATCATAAGTGAGTTCAGAGAAAGATGTAGCAGAGGCCTCATTTTCAGAAGAAATTATGGAATTCTTATTTCTTTTTCTTTTTTCTTTTTTTTTTTTTCTTTTCTTTTCTTTTTTTTTTTTTTTTTTTTTGAGACGGAGTCTTGCGCAGTCGCCCAGGCTGGAGTGCAGTGGCCCGATCTCGGCTCACTGCAACCTTCACCTCCTGGGTTCAAGCGATTCTCCAGCCTCAGCCTCCCGAGTACCCGGGACTACAGGTGCGTGCCACCATGCTCGGCTAATTTTGTATTTTTAGTAGAGACCGGGTTTCACCATGTTGGCCACGCTGGTCTCCAATTCCTGACCTCAGGTGATCCGCCCGCCTCAGCCTCCCGAAGTTCTGGGATTACAGGCGTGAGCCACCTTGCCCGGCCAGAATTCTTATTTCTCTAAACCAGTACTGGTACCATTGGAAATATTTCAGAATGATTTTTAGAAATCTTTAAGTGACTGAATTCTTTTGGCTGTCTTTTCTAGCTTTGGTCTTTTGCTTTTCCCTACCTCTCTCCTCTCTGGAAATCCTGGCTGTCCCTGCTGGCCCAGCACTCTCCTCTGTCTTATCCCCGTTCTAGTCTACCCTTTTGCCCAGAGTTCCATCACCCTAGTCCTGTAAACAGAATTCTGGCTTACTTATTCCAGAAATTCAATTCTTGGAATGTTCGAAAACATTGTTTTCCTAATTTGACTTTAGTAGTAAATTGTGACCTTTTGGTTCTTTTTTGAATCCTTAAAGCATATGTGTAAGCAGCTAAATGAAATAATTCCATGTAAAACACGGCAGTAGAATAAACTAGAAATGTAAAATCGTTTCTAGGTAACGTATAACCAGTGTCACAGCCATTTACATTAGATCGTGTTCATCTTCACTTATTCTGTTTTTCTCATCACATGATGTTTTTTAAATTTAAGGCATAAAATCTCTAAAGTACTTTTAAGACAGTCTGTTAAATATATTGCATTTTTTTCTTAAGGAATGTATTGTCATTTTAAACAGCTGGGCTGAGTAATTTAGATATGAGACTTGCACACTATTAGTAAAGATTTTGGCACTGTCTATATGATTTAAATCAGAGGTATTTCACTATACTGAGCAGTGAATTAGGCCTTAAAAAAAGAGGAGCTAGTCTAATCATTGACACTAAGGAAATCAGGCCAGAGTTTGGGTTGTTTGTCTTTTAGGTTTAGTTTTTATGCTTATTAGGATGATAATACTTAATAGAGAAACATTTTAAAGAAGTAAGTAATAATGAAAGTTTTTTATATAATAATGTCTAATTGTTGAGGAAATTATTTTTTATTGTTATATCTTTGAGAATGTTTTAATTTATCATCCTTTTAAGGGCAGTAAGATTAAGCTTATGCTTTATTTCGGTAGGTAACTATAGTATACTACTTGTACTTATGAAATATTATTTTATTATGTATTTGGAGGACATAAGATTTGACATACAAATAAATGATCATGAATTTATTTTCTGTTCCAAAGCTTTGAGCAGTATTCTCATTTATTCCACCTCACTGTCCTTCCTTCCGCTCCACTCCCCCTCATATACAAAATTCCACACCCTTGTCTCCTTCTTCAGCTTGGTTTAAATATTCCAGGTTTGGGGGAAAATGAGCTGAGGGATTGGATTTCTTCTGTTTGGTGGATATTTTTCTATTGCTGCCACCAGGCAGCCCTTTGGGATGCTGCATCATTAATCTTCACTCCTTTTGAACTTGCCCTGTGACTTCCCCTAGTTGAGAAATGTTGGCTATGCAGGGCTTTTGATTTTTCATTGCTTTGACTTTCTTAGAATTGGTTTAGGATCTTAGATGTCAAAAAGCCCATTTCCTTGAATAAACGGATCCGGTATTTCAGTATGGGTTGTGTGCTTCTTTCTCATGGCATACCTTGTATTAGTTACTTTAGTAAGAAGCCACAGGTTTTGGAATTGCTGATTTTTTTCTGTACCTTCTGTTTTTCATTTTCATATTCATAGTTCAAGTCCTTCTCTGCCTCTGGCAGCCTAATTCCAATAGGCTCTCTTGCATCTTGTCTTTCCCTCTAGCCTGTTCTTTCTACTGCAGATATCATGCTGCTTCCTTGCTCAGAAACCTTTGTTGACTTTTCCGTTTCCTGCAGAATAAAATCTTTTAGACTTGGCTTCCCTCTAGCCTTATACTTTTTCCTTAGGGCACCCTTCTCCAAACAGAAACTGTTGGCACATGTTAAAGCATATTTGCACTTGATTTCTGGTATTGTTTATCCTTCTGCCCAGCCTATTTTCCTACTGCTGTGGGCACTTTAAAGGCAGAATTTTTGTAGGTTTTCTTTGAATACCTAACAACCCTTCTATTTTATTATGTGTAAAATGGCTTCTTAATTATGTAAAATTATTATCTTGCTGGAATATAAACTTTGTGCTCTGCTGTTTTCAATATCAATGAGAGCAAATAACTGTCCAGCCAAATTATGTAAACAAAAAAGGAATAGTAAATTATGTGATGACCACAGTGAACACATGGCATCTAAAATCAAATTGTTTGGTTTAAGATTTTTTTTCATATTTATAAGAGCTTTTCACAGTCATTGTATTTGATAAATTAAAGTTGAGAAAATGATAATGGATATTCATTGGAGGAGGATCTGCTATGTTGCAATTATGGCACTTTGCCCTGCAATTTTTTTTTTTTTTTTTTTTTTGTAAAGGTAGATCTCATTTTCTAATTTTTATTTTTGGCCCCAATTTCTTTTTTTTTTTTTTTCCTTTTTTTTGACGGAGTCTTGCTCTGTCGCCCAGGCTGGAGTGCAGTGGCGCAGTCTCCGCTCACTGCAAGCTCCGCCTCCCGGGTTCACGCCATTCTCCTGCCTCAGCCTCTCAAGTAGCTGGGACTACAGGTGCCTGCCACCACGCCCGGCTAATTTTTTTGTATTTGTAGTAGAGACGGGGTTTCACCGTGTTAGCCCGAGTGGTGTCGATCTCCTGACCTCGTGATCCGCCTGCCGCGGCCTCCCAAAGTGCTGGGATTACAGGGGTGAGCCACCGCACCCTTTGGCCCCAATTTCTAATGCATAAAAAGTATGACTGTTGTTGAATGTCTCAGTGATAGGAAACATGCCTATCTTACAGAATTTAATAGATGTTATTTAAACCTGAAAAAGACTGCTGTAATTTTTTAAACAGAAATTGTGTATTCAACCACAATCAATTTTTATTTTGTTACACATGTCTAACTGCCTTGGAAAATTCTGTGTACAACAAATTCACACAGGAAGACCTGAGTGTATTTGAGTGTGTTTGTTGCAGATTTCTTGGTCACATGTTCTGGCATGCAGTTAACCAATGTATGACTCCCCAGAGTATGACACAGTGAAGTTCAGATCCCAGACTCCATTTGAGTCTTACGAACTAAGGTCAGCTCTACCTAATCTTTTAGTGCTCAGACTGGTTTCTGTCATAACTTGTTAGTGCCAATTAAAAGCCGTAACGGAAATAGGGCAAAAAATTTTTTTTAATGAATGTTCATTACCATAAACGTAGTGACAACACAAAATTTATTGTCATACAGTTGTGGAGGTTAGAAGTCCAAAAAGGGTTTCCACTGGGCTAAAGTCAGGTTGTTGATAGGGCTTCTTTTCTTCTGGAGATTCTAGAGGAGAATCCATTCCCTTGCCTTTTTCAGCTCTACAGAGGCTGCCTGCTTTCATTGGCTCATGGTGCCTTCTCCATCTCAAAGCCAGCAATAGCTGGTGGAGTCTTTCTCATGTGGCATCACTCTCCTGCCTCCCTTTTTCACTTGGAAGGACCCTTGTAATTACATTGGGCCCACCCACATAATCCAAGTTAATAGTCCCATCTCAAGATCACATCTGCAAAATTCCTTTTGCCCTGTGAGGTGACATATTCACAGGTTTCAGGGATTGGGACATATTTATCTTTGGGGACCATTATTTTGCCTTCCACAGTCCGCCCTCTGGCTCCCAAAGGCTCATGTGCATCCTGCATGCAAAATGCATTCACCCTCTCCCAACATCTCCAAAAGTCTCAACCCAATACAGCCACAACTGACTGCAAAATCTCAACCAGGGCTCTTGATCTAACTCAGGAATAGGTGAGATTCTGGGTGTAATCCATACTGGGACAAAATTCCTGTCTGTTTGTGGACCTGTGAAACTAGCAAACAAGTTATCTGCTCCCAGAATATGGTGGGTCAGGCATAGGTTATCATTAAATGGAAAGAAAAAAGGAGTCTCTAGTTTTGAGCACTTTCAAAACTCCTTTAGGTTTCAAGGACTGGGGATAGTTCTCTGTGACTCTTTACTCCACCCTGTGGGTACTGAACTTCTCCACTCTTGGGAGTCATCCTTCTTTTCTAATGAAGGGTGTAGCACCTGTATGCTGCTGATTACTTTTATCAGCCTGTTTCTTGCCTCTGGAATTATGGTGGTCTGACAGCATTATTTCATTTCATATTCTTTTACTTCACCTTTTTCCTGTCCCGTTTTACTGTAACCAGCAAGAAAAAACAAAAACAAAGAACCGGCCACATCTTTAATACTTTGCTTGGAAATCTCTTCATCTTAATGTCCAGGTTCATAGCTTACAAGGTCTGCTTTCCACGTAACTGCTGGACTTAATTCAGCTAAGCTTTCTGCCTGTATATAGCAAGGATCCCCTTCCTCTAGTTTTTGATAACATGTTTCACCTTTCTTCCCATCCAAGTCCTCATCAGCAGCAAATTTAAGCTCCATGCGTCTAGCAATAGTATGTTCATGATAATTCACATATTTTCTAAGGTGATAATGTGTCATCTACCATGCTTCTCACTTCGTTCTGAGCCCACACTGGGAGAGACATTAACATCGTATTTCTATTAACAGTATGTCAAGACCACCTAGACTTTTTCTATTATGCTTCTCAAAATTCTTTTAGCCTCTGCCCATTGCCCATTTCTGCATTTTTAGGTGTTTGTTATAGCAGCACCCCATTTCCCATTATCTTCATCAGTATCTTATATATCACTTTTGAAAGTGCAAAATAATTGTAATTTTACATTCTCCAGTCCCTCATAATTTATGTGACTATCATGGTAACACTAAAAGCACCAGTTTCTTACATGTCATATTGAACCCATGGTGTTACTCAAGTCGTAATGTGAAAGAATAAAGCTTTTCTTTGCCTCTTCTTTATTGACATTTTTCCTGATCATCCAGTCTAAATTAGTCTTCCTTCGTCTCCCTTCCTACTAATACCATATTGAAATCATCTTGTACTTTTATTTTTTATTGTCTGTTGCCTTTCTCTATGGCATTGGCCCCATCAGAGCATGAATCTTGTCAGACTTATCATCTGATGGGATGGCACATAGTAGCTGTTTCATAATTGTTGGTTAAATTAATGGATAAATTGTTGAACATTAATTTTGACTAGTTTTCTTTTAAAGGGAAAAATTGGTACATATTCTTTGTGCCTTGGGTATTTTGAGTGAATTTTAGCCCAATATATATCTTGCTGGTTTAGAGTAATGAAAACCTACTACATTATTCCTAACACATTTCTAAAAAGTAAACTAATTTTGGGGACCATATTCTTGTTGCATGATCAAAATCATGATTCTTGGTAAATAAGTGGTAGAGTGAAATGTGATTTTCATATTTGAATATTCTGGGAACTTTGTTTTTAACAGTATTGCTGCCTTGCTGTTTCACATGTTATTTTGCTGCTTTCTTAAAATGCATACACTATTGCAATGTGGCATTTAATATATACTCACAACTATATATTTCACACAGGATGATGTGACTCTGGTAAACCTCAGCTTTCAGGAGCCAGCAGGCTGCTCAGAGGCTCACCAGCAGACTGTTCTTTATGTCTTGCTTGTTCCTATGTGGTGAGGATGATCACTAGTAGCATTTGTAAGATGTGTTCCATGCTTTTCCTGTCAAATTACGCATTAGCCTTACCAGATCCTTAAGAGAATTTACAGTCTACTTGGGGAAATACAATATATACATAAAGATAAGTCCTCATAATGTCAAATGGGGAAGAAAAAATAAAATAGATACTAGGTAGGGGAGGTGAGTGTCAATATTGGGACTTCATTGTTGATCTTGGGGGGTGGAGGTGGAGGTAGCTTGCCTCTCAGATATTACTTTGGTTATAAATCTGTCAGTTGTTTTCATGTATTTCTGAACCTACTATTTAACCCTTACTGGGTGTAAGCTTTGTGTTGTATGGAAACTTATAATGTAGAAGAGACTTTGCTATCTATGAATTTAGTTTTCTAACATTTTCCATGTCTAAGGAATTTTTTTCCCCTCCAAGGTTTATTTAGCTCTGTAGAAAGGCTTTCCAGAGAGGAAAGGTGAGTTGACTTAGAACTCTGGTGGTAAAAGTTTTCCCATGAGACCTTGGGCAAGTTACCAAATTTTATAAGCTTCAGTTTTTTCTTCTATAAATGCTGGATAATAAATATATCTACTTCATAGGGCTAGTGACAAAGTAAGCTAATGCATCTGAAGTACTTAGAATACTACATGGTACATACATTCTTAATAATTATAGGCTATTATTATAAATACTTCAGAGACTCTGTGGAATCAGCCCTCCCTTGCAGTTTCATCCATTTGTGGTCATAGACATTAAATTCTTTTTATTGGCTTTTCTTAGCAAGGATGTGTGTGTGTGTGTGTGCGCGCGTGTGTGTATCTATATGTGTGCATATATGTGTGTGTGTGTATATATATAGTGAAGACTTCAAGAAGTATAAATTCAGTTTTAAACATTAGTTTCTAATCCCACCGTAACTTCCTTGAGGGACTTGGATTTCTCTTTAACAGCCTCCTTACTGGGGCTAGACCAGGTAAATATCTGTGCTGTGTTAAGAATTCTATAGAGAATGCACTTTACATAATCAGAAGATTTTACAAATGTTATAGCAGTAATTTTCTCTTCATTTTATTATCCATTTTTAGAATTAGTGCAGTGGCTTTTTGCAAACTTTTTTTTTTTTTTGGAAAATAAAGCTGTTAGTGTAAATTATGAAACGTTAAGTTTATTCAAAAGATGGTGCCATTTCTCAGAGGAGTTTGACAACTTTCCACAAAATATAAAATCCTTTCTAAAACTTCCTGCACTGTTGACTCAAAGAGATTCCTGATAGAACTCCAGGATTATAACGGATTTACTTTTAGGAGAAGAATGTCTTTAAAAGTGGTGGTAACCTTAATAGAGAAACAGTGAATTGTTGAATCTGTGATAGTATTTGTGCCTTTTAATAAATTGTAAAATGAGTTCCTTAAGACTTACATCTTCAGTTGTATGAAACTCCTCCTGTTACCCTTGCCTCACTAAAGTACAATCCAGAATTTTTTCTAGTAACTGATCTATATTATTCATTTTTCTTGTTTGGGCACATACATCTTATTTGACAGCCGTTGCTGAAGGCTTACTAATTTTGTTCTTCATGGTATTTAAGAGGGATGGAACTTGTAAGTAAACTTACAGTTATAATCAATATAATGTAGTAGGAGTTAAACTGCCTTCTTATATGGTTCCGAAGTTAATCTAATTCCAAGAATTACATTTATTTCGGTATAGCTTGAAATTGATCCATGTATACTAGCTCACTTAAGTTTTCACAAACTGAGCACATTCAATCAGCAATCAGATCAAGAAATGTATGCAAGGTATATTTTGTTACTGTAAAAAGTAATGGTGGTCAGTAAAGTTGCTGGGACTATAAGATGGTGCTCCTCTAATTCAAGACCAACACTGAGCACTTGCCTCCATCAATTCGTCCTCTCTTGCCTCCAGCACCTTTTTCCATCCACCTGATCCACTAGCATCTTCATACTGCTTTAAAGACTCCTGTGTCCTGGTCTCAAGTCATGCCTAGCTTTAAAAGTGATAAAATCCAAGTAATACACCCCTTAAGTAATTTTTAATCTATTTTTTTATTTAAACTTTTCAGAATATTCAGAAAAATAGGCAGTGTTCATATTTTTCCTTTTTCACTTTGCAGTCACTCTTTAAATTACTTTCTGCTTTAAATTATTGACTTTCTGATTGATATAGAAGTATTGAGAAATAGGCAGTCATGTAACCATATCAATCTATATATTTTTTAAAGAGGTAATGTGGTGTTTATTCCCGTGTACTCTTCTCCTTCTGGAGTTCCTTTTATATGAAGGTTGGGCTTCTCATTCGAACTTAATTGTAACCTCTTTGTGGTTTTTATCTTTTTGTGCTACTTACACATTTTCTAGGTTCATTTTTATCCAGTTGGTAATAACTAATCTACCTATTAATAGATTGAGCTTTACATTTTAGTGGTGAAATTTCTATGTCTAAAAACCATTTCTAATCTTTAGCTTGAAAAAGTGTCTGTTATTCTACTTCTTTATTTTCTGGCTTTTTCAAAGCCATTTTCATTATATTGTACCTATTTCATAGTCTGAAAAACGATTTTTGAAGTTCTTGAGCTTCAGCTATTTATGGTGTCTTGACTCTGTCTCGAGGTAAATTGTGTCCTCTTATAATTTTTCATTTGTGAGCATATATTAAGCAGTACGTTGTCTGTGTGAATCCTGTACACCCTGGGTTGGCTGCAGTTTTCCTTTCAATCTCGTGGATGCTGTGTCCTTCTTACTTGGTTTTTCCCAGGCAGCCCTTTCCTGTAGAGCCAGTATGAGGTAGCCAGGTTCTCAGCTGTTTCGAGTGCTTTGCCTTCTCTGGTTATCTCAAGCATCAGGAAAATTATATGTTGCATACATTCCACAGAGGTCCCATGGTGATGGGGAAAGGTCAGCTCAGGCATTCCCTCTGCTTAGCCACACTTCATCATACTGCTTGGATACATGTTGCTGCCTAGGAGACTTTCTTAACCCAAACAGGCCCCACTGCCTTTAGCAGTTTCTTCATCTTCTCTGACATACAATTCAGCTTTGGCCCAGAGTGGAGATTAAGATATGGGTCTGACTCTGCCTCTCTTTTCCCTGTGTGACTGCTCCAGTTGCTCCTAACTGAATGCCCTGTAGCTCCCAAGCTTGCAGGCTCTGCCATGGGATGCCTGGGAAAGTAAGGCACTTGTACTCTTCCATTTTTGTCTGGATGATACCAGTGTCTGCCTCTTCTCCCATTATTCATGTAAATGCAAAAGAGAAAAAAAGCACTTTAATAATTTTCAAAAATTTCTCATATTACATTCTCTATTGTGTCTGGCTCTGAAGTTAGGTTTTTGTGTTTTTTTCCCACAATTATTCCTACTGTATGTCCTTGCTGCAATCCAAGTGCTGACCTTATTTTTTTAGAGCTCGTTCTTTTTAAAGTTAAACTTTACTATGCATAGAAGTAATTTTGAATCTTTCAAAATGCAGATTCTCATTGAGTAGGTCTGGGGTGGGGCCTGAGATTCTGCATTTCTCATAGGCTCCCGGGGTGCTTGTATTGCTGAGCCACAGTCCAGTCCATCTCAGAGTCCTAGAGGAGGTAATCTTCTCTGGTTCTTTTCCATTTATCCATTTCATAAGCATTTCTCACATCTTATCTGGCCTTTGCCACATTCATGAAACCTATCACTTTATCAGTAAGGTATTTAAAACACTGCCTTGCACAGAGTAAACATTCATCATGTTCTAGATATTCACATGTACATGAACACACACATATCTATCACACTTAATATTATTGCTGTTTTATAGTTAAACTTCTTCTAATGTCAATCTAGAAACTTGTTTTAGTAGTGCATTTTGAGAGAAACCATTTGGTATCATCTTGCATGGAAACATCCGCTTCCTTAGGAATGACCAAAAACTATAATTAGTGATAATGAATCTTTTATGATTTGGCAAGAGTGTTTTAAGTGGAGTTCTTTTGATGATACGATTGTTCAGGTCAGGCTGAAAGAGCCCCAATAATAATGTTTTTCTGACTGTTTTCCTCTGGTAATGTTTGTGATAAAATTCCTTTGTCATAAATAAATATTGTTGCTGGTGCAGACTGAATATTTGTATTCCCCCAAAATTCACATGTCGAAACCCTAACCCCCAATGTGATAGGGTTTGGAGATGGGGCTTTTGGGAAGTAATTAAGGTTAGATTAGGTAATGAGGGCTGGTCCTTCATGATGAGATTGGTATCCTTATTAAAAAAAAAAAAAAAGACACAGGAGCTCTCTTGCTTGTACCAAGAAGTGGCCATATGAGACATAACTCAGTGAGGGCCCTCACCAAGAACCAGACCATTCTGGCCCCCTGATGCGATCTCCAGCTTCTTGACCTATGAGAAATAAATGTTGTTTAAGCCACCCAGTATAGTTTTCTGTTACAGCAGGCTTCACTGACTGAGACAGTTGTAAATTCTGATTAAGTTTACAGTCATTGGACTTGAAATAATCGTGCTGCTTCCCCATCACTTCAGCTCTTCTGATCTGTAGGTGGTGCATACAACATGATTTCCCATTGCTTTTAAAAGGGAATTCTGATCTTAGAAAACTACCCTTCATGTTTAGTGATAAGTAATTGCAAAATAAGAACTATTTGGTGATTAAACAGCATGTGTTCTATAGCTTCTACTTTCATCATAATATCATTTGCTGGTTGGGCTTAGTTGCAGTTACGACATCTGGTTCTTATGAAACGTGTAAATTCATTCAACAAATATTTATAGAATGCCAGTTCTATGGCCTGCATTTTCTAAATATGTGGGAATGGAAGTCTTTGGGAAGCTGATAAAGTACATAACACATTATTGGAACATTTCACCATTAGGTAAAACCATGTGTTTTTTGTTGCTGTTGTTGTTGTTTAGTTATGTTTAAATATAAAAACTGGGCTGTGGATTCTTTCTCTCATTTGTCTTGATAGGCCTTTGTAGTAAATCATCTTAAAGATGTTTTAGATGAATGCAGTTTATAGGTCAGGTTGAGTTTTACTGCTTTTTGCCAAAAACTATTTCAGACTTTCAGAGCTAAGCACTAAGTAAATGGACTCCACAGTAATTTATACTGTGCACATGGTGATGCTTGGAATTTTAGAACTAATTCTCTGGAAGGTTGTCAACTGACAAATGTCCATTGTAGAATTAGCAGTCCCATCTGAAATAACTTAAACTGTAATTTAAAAAGTAGTATAGAAAGAGCAATTCTGAAAAATATGAAACTCTCAAAAAGATCTTAGTGGCCCCTTTTGGAGAATCGGTAGGACTTAGGCTTTGTAATTCATAGACTTGTGTAGATTTTGCATTGTATTTGGGTATATGTCGACGTTTATGTCCATCAGTGAAAAAAATGTTATTTTAAAATTAAAAAAAAAACAAAAAACTTAGAAAATTAGAGCATCTGAATGATTTTGTTAGATAAGCAACTTAACTTTTAAAAATAAAAGCTAAAAACCATTTTGAATAATTTCTAGAATGGGTTCATATCCATGGAGAAATAAGTTGAGAACCAAACTAATGTTTTAGAATTGAATGGTTGTGTTCTAGAAATGATTTAGTATAAGGGTTTGTCTTTATTTCTGAAAGTTAGGATTAGCTATTTAGATTGATGGTAGTTTTAATAACTAAATATTATGTGGATGTTTACAACTAATATCTCCAGTTTATTTGATGGAACTTTTGAGGTAAAAATATAGTTATAACTTCCTTGTAATATATTTCCCACATATTTTGAGGTGTTCAGTCTTGAGACTGATATGTGGTATTACTAATACTAATGTAGTCTCAATAGTCTTAATTATATGCAGTATCAGTGTAGAAAAAAATATAGGAATTGCTTTCTTTTGTTCTAGTATTTACTTTCAAATGCTGCTTCTCTCTATATAAAATATTACAGCTATACTGTGGACATTTAGGGAAGCAAACATTTGAGTAAATTTCTTTTCTCGATGTATTTTGAGTGGTTGATGTTGTATTGCAAATGTAACTTTACACTTATTCTGGCTTAAATATTTACTTATTAAATATTTTCTGTAAATCCCAACTTTAGTGGCTATATATGTTTTACAGATATTCCATAATTTGTTTAATCACACTAATGTTGATAATTGATGTCGCCTACATTTACAGTCATGTACTATGCTGGAACTGTCAAATTTTATGCATGTATCATTGCCTGTATTCCTAATTATTTGCTTAAATTATTGGGTTAAAAGTTTTGAACCCTTTTAAAGCTTATGATGTGTATAGATATTCACCCCCTAAATGGTCCAGTTTCTATCCCTACAGGAGGCATGTGAAGCTGCTGTGTTTCACCTTACCCTCATGAGCATTGAGTGTTCTTGTAATTATCTGCACTAACTTGATGGATAACAATGGCTTCCCATTGTTACTTTAATCTGCAATTTTGGATTTGCTGAGGGGCAGTAGAAGGACTATATACTCTAAAGAAGTTAATGTGCTCCATTTTGAGATTCATCAGAACCTGTCTTGTAATACTTTACATGTTTGTATATTCCCGCTTTCCCATGTACTTTTTGATTTTGTTATTTTTTCACCTAGATAGATTGTTTTGCTTCATGTTAATGAGAGGATTTAGAAAGCCTTAAATTGTTGGCCCATGTAACTATTCCTTGAGTGGTTTTAACAAGGCATTTTTAAAATTTACATAATTTTATATGCCTTCAGGATATACAAACTAAAGTAGAGAAGAATTTGTTAAATGAGAAGAAAAAAGGAAACTACAATAGACAAGATTGATTAATTCACGTTAGCATTGAAAACCTACATACCCTAACAAAGTGGGACCAAACAGCATACCATCTATATACCACCTGTTTTCATGGAAGTGCAGATTACAATGAGATGCCATCAGAACCGGACAATACCAAATGTTGACTTGACAGCTTTAATGTACTGTTGGTTGGGAGCATCAATTGGTAAAACAATTTTGGGTAAAGCTTTATCAATACTTAGTAAAGGTTACATACCTTTGAATCGATAATCCCATTCCTAGGTATAGATTCCAGAGAAAGTGGTGTACATGTACCAGGAAAAATATTTACTACAACATTGTTAGTAATAGCAAAATTTCAAAAGAACTAAATTATTAATCATCAAGAGTGAATAAATATGTGAGCAGGAATGAATAAATAAATGAGGGTATATACTGAAAGTGAAATACTATGTTAGAACTATAGAAATGAAGTGCTATACGGAGATAGTGAATGTTTGATAAATCTCAATAACAATGCTAAGTTAAATATGCACTTTGTAAAGTGATATGCTTTATGACACATTCGTATAAAGTTAAAATATCCTCAGAACTATGCCATATGTTTATAGGTACAAACACATAAAGGAAAACTGTAAATAAATGCAGGGAGAGGATAAACATCAAATTCAGAGTGCTGGTTACTTCTGAGGAGGCGGAGAGGGAAGTGGATCAGGAGGATGCATCCAGGGTACTGCAGTGTTTTAATTCTCAAGCTGGATGCTGGACACACAGATGTTTATTATCTTATTTTCTAGATATTTTTATGTGACTGAAATATTTCGTAAATAAACAGAACTTTTGTTATTGTAGGCTAATTCATCTCAATTTTGGCATGTTTTTCTGTGATTTCACATCCGGTTATTTCCCAAGCCTTATTTACTCCTTATTGCATTGCATTGTCCATCCATCATCCGCCGTTTTTCCATTTTTACACAAGTTATTCTTTTGTAATGTCCTCCTACCTGGTCTTCCTCCCTATGTGCTTCCCACCCTTCAGTCTATATCAGTCCTCCAGAATGACAGCTTTGATGGTATCAGTAACTGGCCAGAAGTCGTCAGTAGCTCTGTTTATTTACAGAATATTGTTCTCTTCATTAGCATGGAATTCAGGAGCCTCTGTGGTTTGGCTTCCACCCTGCATTTCCATATTTCCCATGCTTCTCCCTTGCCACAGTATGAGAACTTCCCCTGCTTTCCCATCTTGATATCCTTGCTTATGTTCCTCTTTCAGGGAGTGCCCTTCCACCCTTACCTGTTTCCAGTCCTGCCCAGGCATGTTCATGAGCAGAGTTTGGGAGAACTTTTTTCAAAGTTGAGTAATATCTGGATCCCTAATAAAACAGTTCTTATGGATTCCTAATATTGATTTAAATGTATTGCAAAATCACTTCAATATACAAAACTATGAAAACATATAATTAAGTAGAAAAATGTTTCTCACTTCTAGATAACCACAAAGCCAAAAAAAAAAAATTACACACAAAACCACAAACCAATAGAGTTCTCATTAACATGACTTGTTCTCTCCTGGTTGTGATGTCAGTCAGCTATAAACTGCTTTCACATGTGGTATGCCTACTATCAAATGCCACAAGATGTCTCAGTTCTTCCCTTCTCTTTCTCTAATTGCAAAGTCCTCATTCCTGGGGTGCTCCCACCCCCAGTGGAATAAATGCCTCAATGAAGCATCATCATGAATGAAAAGGCTCAGTAGTGTTCCCCACCAAGTGGCTGCATTTCTACATGAAAAAAATACATCTGCCTCTAACTTTCAAACTGCCTAAGTGCAGATTTATTTAATAAATATTACCTATTGTCTGCTACAGACTGTGTCAAAGGTTGTGTGGATCCAAACATGTATCATACATGGATCCTGCCCTTGAGGAGTTTCGTGGCAAAAGAAACCAAGGAAACATTATTTACGGGAGGGATAAATGCTAGGGGGTGTGATTTGAACTTGTATAGGGAGGCATCTGAATTTCAAGTTCAGAGCTGTTAGTACATGGCCCTTCAGCTATTAAAGGGCACAAGCAAGAATATGAAGTTGACATGTTTATTTTTAATTTTTTCACTTTGTTCTCCTTTCACGGCCTCTTTTCAGTTTTTTAGTATACGCTATTTCCTTCAGTTTTCTAGAACTAAGGTGGCAGGTAGTATTAATCTCATGTTACAAAGCAGGAAATTGAGTTTTTGATAGATAAGGAATTTGCCCAAGACATACTGCTAGTACGTGGCCATGCTGGGTGTCGTCTCCTTCTATACTGCCTCTCAGTCCTCTGTTATGCTTCTTTCCTTATGTTATTTCATGTGTGCATTTGCAGTTATGCAATTAAATGGTATTTTTCCCTCTATTAGGGAGAAAGGGCCTGGTCAAAAGTAGACACTAAGTAAATATCTGTTGAATAAATTAATGAACAATTATATCTTATGTTGCAAGAATTAATAACTACAACACCATTATTAACTGATATACCCAACAGGTGTTTTAACTAGATAGTTTAAAAGGGGAAACTAAGTTATGCATATCCATTGAAATAGGTCGATGTTTTGTTTTTACAAAAACGGGTTAAAGAAACCAACTTAAGGATCTAATCTGGGGGTAGATTCGGTCTCAATTCTTTTTTTTTTTTTTTTTTTTTTGAAACGTAGTCTTGCTCTTGCCCACGCTGGAGTGCAGTGGCGCATTCTCGGCTCACTTCAACCTCCAACTTCCGGGTTCATGCCATTCTCCTGCCTCAGCCTCCCGAGTAGCTGGGACTACAGGCGCCTGCCACCATGCCTGGCTAATTTTTAAATATTTTTTTAGTAGAGATGGGGTTTCACTGTGTTAGCCAGGATGGTCTCGATCTCCTGATCTCCTGACCTCCTGATATGCCCGCCTCGGCCTCCCAAAGTGCTGGGATTACAGGCATGAGCCACTGCACCCGGCCAGATTCAGTCTCAATTCTTAAACACCTGCATTATTTATGGCTAAAAGATTTCAAATGAAAAGTGAAATTTATTAAAAAAAAAACCTGAGGCAATTAAATATCCTGAATCTTTGAACAGAGAGTTAATTATATCTAATACACTGTATTTACCGAAGAATGTAGACTTTTATATTTTAGAAAGATTTTTTTAACATCATTACTTTCCCATTAACCAAAGTAACTAAAATATTAAATTTATGATAATGTGTCACAATGTAAAAATATTCCTATCATTGACAGGCCAGCCCCTGCATGATAGTGGTGGAGATTCCAAGAGGGCAGTTAAATTAATCAAGCTTGTCATGTCATAGATAGTCTTCAAGAAGGATCAAAGGGTTCATTTTCACTTTGTATTCTTTTTTTTTCCCATTAATATGGCCATAATATAGTTTTACATCCTTGGTTTTGATTATACAATGTGCATCTTAAAAATTAGTAAGCTGTAGTTAATGCTTGTATTTTTCTAATAACTTTTAAAGTATGTTTGAGCACTGATTTGTCTAATTATCAAATTGGAAATAAAACTATTTCCAATTCCACAAGTTAACTTGGAATAATGTCAGAGGTATTTTTTCTCTAATACAGTAGGAGGAAAACAGTGAGGTGGTTAATAAGACACAGGTGGCCGAGGTAGGATGCTTATTCTATCTGAAATGCTTAAATAGTGTAAATATACAAGGGAGTGTTTCTGGTGAGTTTGTTTTGAGGACTTGTATTAATGGCCTTAACATTCTGAAGCATGGCCCTAAAATACTTTTTTCCTGAGGTCATCAAGAAGGTTTACATCCATTGTGCCATAGTCAAGAAGGAGAAAATAAATTTAGGTAACACAAAGTGGTATTTTATTTTTCTTGCACTTTGGTGATTGCCTAGTTTTCTTAATCTTTATATCTTCTGTAACTTCTTTGTTTCCTTGAGCATAACTCCTAGAAATATTTCAGGCAGGCAATTTACATACATTTCTATGGAAATTAGGCTTATATAGTCACTGAACTGATTATTTTTTAAATTAATTAATTATTTATTTATTTTTGAGACAGCCTCATTCTGTCACCCAGGCTGGAGTGCAGAGACATGATCTCGGCTCACTGCAGCCTCGACTTCTCAGGCTCAAGCGATCCTCTCACCTTAGCCCCCCAAGTAGCTGGGACTACAGGCACTCACCACCAAACCCAGCTAAATTTTGTATTTTTTGTAGAGATGAGGTTTCACCATGTTGCCCAGGCTGGCCTCAAACTCCTGTACTCAAGTAGTCTGCCCACCTTGGCCTTCCAAAGTGCTGGGATTTACGGGCATGAGCCACTGTGCATGGCCACTGAACTTTTTTTTAGAAAGGAAATAAAAGGTGCACTTTTAAATTGTTATTTTATGGTTATAATGTCTTGTGTTTAATAGAGTTCTCACTTGTAAACATTTTGTTAATGGTGTATTTTTAAGCTTCTGTGTGAATTTGGTGAATTTTGTACTTGGTGTAGTTATGAAAAACTAGGATTAAACTTGGTGCACAGGGATTTTAGAAATAAAGCTGTAATCTTCCCCAAGTTCTTGGGTTTGCTCTGGAAAGAGTGGCAGGAATGAGGTGGCAACATGATTTTTTGAACACTGTGTATACATTAATTTCCAGACTGAAGTTATCTGGGGCTTCAGTTTTTATTTGGATTCTTCTTACATAAACAAGCCTCTAGCATGCTTTCTGTTGTTTACTACAATAACTTTAGGTTCATTGTTGACAAATAACATGTTAAACTTCTACATCATCTTTTATAGTTGGTTTTCTTTATATTAAAGGAAATGATGTGCACATTGTATATTTAAGAGAAAACTATAATGTTTTCCTGAAAATGGTATTTTCTTGAAAATGGTATTTACATTTGCAAGAAGTTGGTTTTGATTATTGTCAGTGGAGCTTTGGGCTCAGCAATAGCTTTCTGGGCTGTGTTCCAGAATTATTTGAGAGCTATAATTGTGAAAGACTTGGATTTACAACTTCCTAGGTTATAGATAAAATATTTTTTAAAGTAGATTCTTTTTCTATAAAATATAGTTTGATCTTTAGTGAGATATATTACTAGAGGAAAGTTACCTATTACCTATTCAGAAAAAAATAAAATAATACATTGCTTATTTTTTCCATTATAGCCTGATTTTGAATTCAAGTTTAAATGTATTGTTTGTTATAAATGTATTTCTAACTGAAGTGATTTTTCAAGATTACTGACTCAATATGTGGGATTATGCAATTTTTGAAGTATTGAGCTCTTCTTGGTAAAAGAAAAAGTTTAATACTTTTTATAATCTCCTTACATGAAGGAAGACAGAATATTCTGAGTTGATATTAATCAAACACAGGAATTATTTTGGTTTTTGGATATTTTAATCAACATTGAATTGTTTTTTTCTTACATAAAAAGTAAACATTCATTGATACATTATCAACTTCAGTAATATCGAATTCTGTATTTCTATCCAATAGTACATATATAATGCCTAACAGTGATTTCTTTGGGCCTCTGTAAGGTCTATAATATTAAATAGAGTTTTCAGTGATTTCCGTTAGGTAGTTAGAGGTTATGTTTTTATTTATTCTGAAATGATTTCATCAGGATTAAACAAACTTCTGTATGCTTACCTTCCTTAAATGTATTTTATGTAGTCTAGTTTTCAAGACTTTGTACTCTTAGTCATTAAGGTGTCAAAGTCAGTGAGTAGGCTGGTGCCTTTATTATTGAAGATCAGTGATTATAATTGAAGTTTTGAAATTTTAAGTAGCAATGGCATTCCAGGAGGAATGATAGCACAGTTACACAGTTAGATGTTTAAGAAAAAAAAAAATACAGTGTGTTATTGAGCAGACTATTAGAAAACTGCTGGGCATGGTGGCTCACACCTGTAATCCCAGCACTTTGGGAGGCTGAGGCGGGTGGATCACGAGGTCAGGAGTTTGAGACCAGCCTGGCCAATATGGTGAAACCTGTGTCTACTAAAATTACAAAAATATTAGGCGTGGTGGCGTATGCCTGTAGTCCCAGCTACTCAGGAGACTGAGGCAGAAGAATCACTTGAACCCAGGTTGCAGTGAGCCGAGATCACACCACTGCACTCCAGCCTGGGCAACAGAGCAAGACTCTGTCTCAAAAAAAAAAAAAAAAAAAAAGAAAGAAAGCAAGCTGATGTACATATCAGCAAGCAAGTCTGCCTCTCTTCCTCGTGAAATTCAAAAACTAAGAGCTGTTGGTGCAGGCATTAGTTTTCTGAGGCTGTGGTATTCATTTGCATAATCTTCTCACTTTTCCAGTCCTAAAAAATATGTTGTACTCATTAGGCATTTATTGTATGCTTATCATGTACCATTTATCCTGTTAAAAGAAATGAAAGAAAATACGGAAATAAAAGATTCTTATACTCTGGATGTAGCAGTGAATAAGAGATTTAAGATTTCCTTTTGCAAGGTGAATCAAACACCCCGAGTGTATGTTATGTTGTGTTATGTCATGTCATATCATGTCTACCCTTATAAAGGAAAGCTTTTTTTTTTTTGAGATGGTGTCTTGCTGTGTTGCCTAGGCTGGAGTGCAGCGGTGCAACCATAGCTCACTCTAACCTCAGACTCCTGACTCAAGTGATCTTCCTTGTCTTAGCCTCACAAGTAACTGGGACTGCAGGTACATGCCACCATTCCCAGCCAATTTTTTAATTTTTTATTTCGTAGAGGTGGTATCTTGCTCTGTTTCCCAGGCTGGTCTTAAACTCCTGGCCTCAAGTGACCCTCTTATCGCAGCCTTCCAAAGTGATGGAGTTACAGGAGTGAGCTGCTGTGCCCAGCTAAAGGAGGGCTTTTGAGCATTGAAATGAATCATTGCTTTCTAATTCTATAATTTTTTGACAGACTTTATTTTTTAGAGTAGTTTTAGGTTCACAGTACTATTGAGCAGAGAGGGTACAGAGCTTTCCCATATATCCCAGCCCCCACACATGCATAGACTCCTCCATTATCAAAATCTCCCAGCAGAATAGTACATTTGTTAAAATGGATGAACCTACAGTGACACATCATCATTCAAAGACTTTAGTTTTACATTAGAGTTTACCCTTGGTAGTGTACATTCTATTGGTTTGGAAAAATGCGTAATTACATTTATCCAGCATTATAGAATCACACGGAGTAGTTTTACTGCCCTTAAAATCCTCTGTACTCCTCGTATTTATTCTCCCTCCTACCTTATGCTAAGCAACCACTGATCTTTTTTACTGTCTCCATAGTTTTTTCTTTTCCAGAATGTCGTATAGTTGAAATCATGTAGTATGTAGCCTTTTCAGATTGGCCTTTTCACTTAATAATATGCACTTAAGTTTCCTCTATGTCATAGTTTGATTATTTATTTTTAGAGCTGAATAATATTCCGTTGTTTGAATGCACCACAGTTTATCTGTTCACCTACTGAATGACATCTTAGTTTGCCCAAATTATGGTAATTATGAATAAAGCTATTGTAAGCATCCATGTGTAGATTTTTGTGTGGACATGTTTTAATGTCCTTTGTGTAAATACTAAGGGACACAATTTTTGGATAATATGGTAAGAGTGAGTTTAATTTTGTAAGACACTACCAAACTGTGTTCCACAGAGACTGTACCATTTTGCACTTGCCAATGAGTGAGAGTTCCTGTTGTTCCATATTCTCACCAGCATTTGGTTGTGTCAGTGTTCTGGATTTTGGCCATTCTAATAAATGTGTAGTGGTATCTCATTGGTACTTCAATTTGCATTTTCTTGATGACATATGTGAAGCACCTTTTTTCTTTTTTTTATTTTTGAGACAGAGTCTCACTCTGTCACCCAAGCTGCAAATGCAGTGGCATGATCTTAGCTCACTGCAACCTCTGTCTCCCAGATTCAAACAATTCTCCTGCCTCAGGCTCCCAGGTAGCTGGGATTACAGACACTCACCAAAACACCCGGCTAATTTTTTTGTATTTTTAGTAGAGATGGGGTTTAACCATATTGGCCAGGCTAGTCTTGAACTCCTGACCTCAAGTGATTCATCCACTTTGGCCTCCCAAAGTGCTGGGATTACAGGCATAAGCCACCACACCCGGCCCTGAAGAATATTTTTATACGCTTATTTTCCATCTGCATATCTTCTTTGGTGAGGTGTCAAAGTTTTTAGCCCATTTTTAAACTAAGTTATTTTCTTATTGTTTCTGTGTTGATTATGATAGGCCTAAAGTAAGCCTTGCGAACAAGCAGTGTCAGTACTCCAACTTTGTTCTTCTCCTTCAGTATCATGTTGGCTACTCTGGATTTTTTCTCGTATAAAGTTTAGAATCATTTTCTTGATATCTACAAAATAATTTGCTGGCTAATTCCGTAACTCTTAATGAGGTGTTTGTTTGCTTAATCAGTATTCTAATATTTAGCAGTGTTTCCACATACTTATGAAATTCTTGTTTTCTAAAGGGTGACTGAAAAGGTTTGGCTGAGTCCCTACCCAAATCTCATCTCGAATTGTAGTTCCCATAATCTTCACGTGGGAGGGACCTGGTGGGAGGTAATTCAACCATAGGGGTTGTTACCCTCATGCTGTTCTTACGATCGTGATTTCACATGAGATCTGGTGGTTTTATAAGGGGCCTTTCCCCCTTTTACTCACTCACTTCTCTTCCTGCTGCTATGTGAAGGATGTGTTTGCCTCTCCTGCCATGATTGTAAGTTTCCTGAGGCCTCCCCAGCCATGCTGAACTGTGAATCAGTTAAACCTCTTTCCTTTATAAGTTACCCAGTCTCAGGTATGTCTTTAATTAACAACATGAGAACAAACTGATAGTCACAGTATAAATGGCAAATTACTATTTTCTCAGTTTGCACCACGCTATTCAAGCCAGCCTCAGGCAATCCATCCCTTTCAAATTCCTCCCAGTTCATCCTGGGATATGTAGGGAGGACCTTTCAGCTATAATCTTTGACCTATGGCTCCTGGATTCTACAGGAACTCTTATCATTTTCCTCTTTTCTCACTATGGCTCACAGTGGCGATGTCTTCTAAAGCTGTTGACGTTAGAGGTGGCATAGCTTCTGCCACTGCCCACCACCCACCACAGACATGCTGATACTGCTGATGCCCAGGCTTGAATTTGCTGTGTCTATCTTGTGGCCTTGAAGAGTTGCTTGTGATGTTCTCCATGTCAAGCTGAGGGTGCCATCCTGGGCCACATAATAAATTTATCTTGTGCTGCTGGCTCAAGTTCTGGTGGCTTGTGCTCTCACAGTCCCACAGAGACTTTTGTGAAACAATTTTTTGGGGGGGCTTACTTGTTTGTTAGCAGTGCCCTTGTGCCCTATTTCAGTCCAAGTCCAGATGGGCTGGGCTAAGTGACACCATACTCAGAAACATAGTTCTTAGGCTTGTACTTTGTTTTTAATCCAAGCTGTGTACATTGATACCCTGTAGCCCCACCTTGAGAGGTGTCTAGAAAAGCCTCATTTCTAGGTGAGCACATCTAAAGTTCAGTCAGTACTCTTGTTGGCCCATAGCAGACACTTTAAATATTTTCATTTACTGTCTTTTTTTGAAAAAAAGTGTGATTGACACATAATAATTGAATGTAATTATGGGGTACAACATGTTTCAATACATGTATACGTTGTGTACATGATTGAATCAGGGTAATTAGCATATCCATGACTTTAAACATTTATTATTTCTTTGTGCTGAGAACATTCAGCACAACACTAACATTTAAAAATATTCGTTGTTTCCTGTTTGGATGGTGGAGAATCTTTAGTTGCGGTTCTCTCCAGGTAGATATTCTTGATTTCACTTTTTTGTATTGTATTAAGAGTCTAGTGTTCAAGTAGGCTGAATTTAGTTTGAATCTCAGCTTCCTCGCTGGTAGTGTGATTGTGGCACATTTCTAGATTTCTGGGGAACTCAATCTCCTTATCTGTGAAATTGATGGAAAACACATCTCATAGGGATTGCGTGAGGATTAGAGATATATGTTAAGTGTATTGGGATATATGTTAAGTGTATTGGGCACTTGCTAGTACTGGTTATGTAGCAGTAACGTTGACCTCTCTGAGTTGGTTGTATCACTTATTAACTATCAGTAAATAAAGGAATCCCTCCTGTTACTTGGCTTTAAGGATCTGTGCTCAGAGGCAACTCTGTTGCGGATCAATTTCCTTAAAGCCTCTCTGGGAAGATGTCTGCTTCTGTAAGTATCACATCAACACTCTACAAGTGACTTGCATACTCTAGGTAGCCTCTCCTCTAAGTTAGGTTATTTTAGACAGTTTTTTTTTTTTTTAATGCAGCAGTCAGAAGACTGTAGGTAACAAAAACAAAACAAAACATTCCATGGAGCCCAGCTTCTCTGTAAATTTTCTGGACCTCATTTTGGTTACTAAAAAAAATGGGAGTAATGAGCCAGGTGATCTTTTAATAACTCGTTTGTGTTTAAAAAATTCATTATTCTGTAAGAGAAGAACTGTTAGGCTCAATTTTGTATTTTAGGCAGGTGGCTTCCATATATCTAGGATGTATTCTGGTATTTCTGGTGTGGAATTAATTAAGCATTCAGGAGAAATTCAGTATAGGTCAAAGTTTGGGAATTGACCAAGCAGCTTTCAGCCCCTTTTGGTTTTGGTCTGCAAACATTTTCATTACGTTTTAAAAATGAATACTTGTGATATCCACTTGCAAATCAAATTCTTCATTTTAAGCTGTTTGCCAGTGTATTATCTGTTGTGATTTTGTCAGTTGTAACTTTTTAGAAGAATATTACTTTGAATTGTTGATGTAGTCCATTATGTTCTTCAGACCATTATAAAAATCTGTTTTATTAAGGAGAGTATTTTGGTAAAACAATTTGAGTATTTCCTAAGGAAGGCAAAAAGTATATTTTTTATATTCTTTCCATTTAATTCCATTATTTGGTGCTAGTTCTAATTTTTAGAAAAAAAAATGTCCTGGTAACTAATGTAATAGTTGGCATTGTGTAGTACGATATCTTGCAGTCTTCTCCAGAACACCAAATTTCCACAAACCAAGTGGCTCCCTAGTTAATCACATCTAAGAAGTGCCAAATGGAAGTAAGTTAACAGACTTTTAAAATATAGTACTCTTTTGAATCTTTGATACACTAAGTGAATTGTGAATCCTCAAAAAGAAAGTAGAGTATACACCTACTAAACTACCTAGCCTGGTATTCAAAGAACAGATGTTGAGATTCTTCATGATATTAGTGTTCCAAGGATATGGTTTGTGAGAAGCTCATTATATAGTACTTTGTAGTTTATAAAGTACTGTTGCATTATTACCTTATTTGTTTCTCACAACCCTTTTACGTATTGTTTTACTGGTCAGGTACATGAGCATCTGAGAAATTGTTGCTGCATATTGAAGGCACATACTTATTTACTTGGAGATTAATTTGTGTTAAGGAAATTAGAATCTTATATCAGCAACAGTATTTTTTTGATAAGCATTTTAGGAGTTAATTGAGTACAGCTCTGGTGATTACAGAGAAATCTGTTAGAAGTTGTTGACACAAAGAATGAGTTTTAAAAATGTCAACTATTTTACCACTGGGCATGCTAGTGAAATTTTCCACTCAATTATGTTTGTGTCATAATTGTTTGTGTCAAACAAAGAATTTCTTTAAATGTCATATATTTTTAGCAGTGCATTATGCATTATGGCTGTGCAATATAAACTCTCTTAGTTTTTATTAAATTTAAATGTGTGTTAGCCTGTAATGTTATCGTTAATGCTGTGCTTGTTTCTAAAGTGGGAGCTCCACAACTCAAAATACTCTGAATCATAGACTAATAGGAAGTTGAGTCCAAAGAGATTTTTTTTAGCATCCCTTGGTTTATACTGCTCTTCAAAAAGCTGAAATTACCCCTGAAACTACTGGATCATGGAATTATACAGTATGATTGAAAGTCACTGGAAAGATGCTCAGTTTTTTATTTACTGGTAGATACTTATACAGTGCTTACCATTTGCTACCCTATGTCCTAAAGGATCTATAAATACCAGGTTATTTAATAGTTATCGAGTGTCTGTGCTGTGGACTGAATGTGTCCCTCCGAAATTGTATGTTGAAGCCCTAACCCACAGTGTGATGGCATTTGGAGGTGGGGCATTTGGGAGGTAATTGGGTTGGAATGAGGTCATGGAATGGAGTCCTCATGATGGGCATGAAGGGACCTTGAGTTCTCTTTATCATGTCTGGATTCAGCAAGTAAGTGACTGGCTGTAAACCAGGAAGAGGGCCCTCACCAAGAACCTGACCATGTTGGCAATTTGATCTGAGACTTCTAGTTTCCAGAACTATCAGAAATAAGTGCTTGTTGTTTAGGCCACCCAGTCTGTGATACTCTCTTACAGCAACCCAGACTAAGATAATCTGCTCCTGTGCCAGGTAGTTAGCCTGGTCTTTAAGGCATTTTATGAAATTCTACAGCACCTCACTGAAGAAGTTTGTATTATTTTACTCATTTTATAGATGAAGAAACAGATACTCTTCTAGAAATGTGCTTCTCAAACTGAAGGTACACAGCTGTATGGCAAGGTTAATACAAGCAACAGGAAAAGAACTATCCTACATCTTTACGATTTGGCTTTGTTGCTGCACAAGCAAAATCAGCTGAATTCTTTTCAGCTTTATATTTTCGAAGAGAAAGTTGTTCTTGGAGCTTAACATTTCAGTACCAGTGGAAAATCTCTCCACCTACGAAGAAACCCTCCTTGGGTTGAAGGCATACTTTGAACAGCTCCTTGAGGTTGGGGAATAGATGGTTAAGATACATACCTGGGATAAGTAATAAAATGGTCCTTATTCAGCCACACACTGGGATTTGGTGTGGCTGAGCACAATGGATGGGTTTTGAGACATCCTGTGGGAAGAGATTTAAGAGAGTTGAGGTGGCCTTCAGTGAAGAGAAACCGCAAGGAAGAATGGAAGTGTGTGGGTAATATTGATAGGTTTCTGCTCTGCATTGTTTGATGTTAATCTTATTCTTGTCTTCCCACAAAATCTTTAAAGTGTTTGCTTTAAAAAATAATTTGTAAAACTGGGTTTGTTTTAGGGAATGTGGCCAAGTACTGATGATAGATTCAAGGAAGACTTAGAGGACTTGCTGAGACACCCAAGGGAGGCTGACACCCCTGGGTTTCATCTGTCTATCTGGGACTTGTGTTGATTTCCTCTGGCAGTATATGTGTCAGTTCTCTTTTATATAGCATCTGAAGGTTTTACATGTTTGAAATACATTGAAATACAGAATGGTCCCTATCCCCCAGGACCCCTCAATATTTTATTTAAGCTACATAATTTTACTTTTGTAATCATCTTTATCCTACACCTCAGCATGCATACTACTAGCCCTTCTGTGGGTAGGTTCATACCTGTTTACCAAATGCAGGTGTCTTCTGAACAGTAATGAGTTCTTACACCTTGCTTGATCTCTACATGTCCTCTTAATAAGATGGTCTGTTCGTAGTAGATTCTCCATCACTCCATTGTGTGTTTAGCGAACTCTTCACTGTTGGCACATTAATTATATTCAACTGAAATTCACTTACATAACTACTTAGCTCAAACCAGTAACACATATTTGAGAAACTGAGCATTTTGAGTCCAAGTTCTGTGTTTTACATTAAATTAAACATATGTGAAGATAGTTTTAGCCCATTATTGTTGAATTTTGAGATATTTAGAGACAGTAGTTTTCCTTTTGTCTTTTTGCCTACCTCATAGTCAGAGTATGAATTCTGTTGCATATAATCCACATGTTGATACTAATTCATTAATCAGTATTCTTTAGAGTTGCCCCACAAGGTGCAAACCTACGTAAACTGGAGGCCAGCCTTGTATTCTTGTATTGAACATAAGAATATCATGCGGCATATTGTAAAAGCATCACTGAGATTACACTGCTCTAGGCCTCAGATATGGTCCATGCCTTTTTTCTTGTGTCTAATAGTCTTATCAAAACAGAACTGACCTTTTTTAGTGAATCTATGCTGCTTTGTCAAACTGGTGCTTTCTTTTTTTTTTTTTTTTGGTGGGGGGACCGAGTCTCTCTCTGTCACCAGGCTTCTTTGTCAAACTGGTGCTTTCTTTTTTTTTTTTTTTTTTTTTGTGGGGACTGAGTCTCTCTCTGTCACCAGGCTGGAGTGCAGTGGCGTGATCTTGGCTCACTGCAACCTCCACCTCCTGGGTTCAAGCAATTCTTCTGCCTCAGCCTCCCAAGTAGCTGGGACTACAGGTGTGCGCCACCACATCCAGCTAATTTTTGTATTTTTAGTAGAGATGGAGTTTCACTGTGTTGGCCAGGATGGTCTCATCTCTTGACCTCGTGAGCTGCCACCTCGGCCTCCCAAAGTGCTGGGATTACAGGCGTAAGCCACCGCACCTGGCTGCTTTCTTTTTTTCTTGCTTTCCTTTTTTTCTTTTTTTTTGAGACGGAGTCTTGCTCTGTCGCCCAGGCTGGAGTGCAGTGGTGTAATCTCGGCTCACTGCAAGCTCCGCCTCCTGGGTTATGCCATTCTCCTGCCATAGCCTCCCTAGTAGCTGGGACTACAGGCGCCCACCACCACACCCGGCTAATTTTTTTGTATTTTTAGCAGAGACGGGGTTTCACCGTGTTAGCCAGGATGGTCTTGATCTCCTGACCTCGTGATCTGCCTGCCTTGGCCTCCCCACTTTCTTTTTGAGTACTCACATTTTACTTTTTAATGAGTTGTCTTCAGAATTGGCAGAAGTTGACTCTAGACTTTACCTAATTTTATCACTGCCTCTTTTAATTTGGGGCATTTATCCATCTCTGCTCTTCTCTAACATCCTCCATGATTTCTCAAATTTCCTTTGATGAGTTTACAAAGATACCAGTAATTGGAGAAGCAAAAATGATGATTTAATAATAGCTGATTGACATTTCAGAGCATTAGTATACCACTTACTTCTTTACTCGACCTTTTTAATAGCAATGGAGAGGCATTGGAAAAAAGGATATATGAAAAGTTAGAAAATACGCCTATGAGAAAAAGCTAAAGATGACATTATTTGTCTCCAAAAAAGAGAAAGCTCAGACTTTATATGTGAGGATGTATTGTAGTAGCCAGCTCTTTTGTATGTTCCACCAAGACCGAACTGAAGGGAATTGATTTAGGCTGCATTATTAAGGGATGTATATTGAGTATTAATAGGAGTTTTATGATTCTGAATATTGTTCATCTCTGGAGGGACTTTTTGGTAGAAGTTGTGATTCCTCTCCCCTCTTAAATCTCTAAAAATAACATCAATTTTCATCTCTCAGTAATGTTGTACAGTGCTCCCAAAGGCTAAAAGAGATATTAGGTGACCTTTCAAGTCCTTTCTTGCTCAGTGACTTTGTCTTTTCACAGATCTCACTCCACAGCTAGAGATCTGTTGCATTAGATTCACTTTTGTTCTTTCTTTGTCATTTAAAGGGCTGTTAACATTCCATCATGAATCTGCTAATGGAAGGGTGACCCTGCAGTTTAATATACTATCCTAGTGTAAAAATAAAACTCCACTTTGTATGTTTATGTAAAATACAGATGCTTTATGTGGTATTTCAGTTATTTAAAAAACATGAGATATTTGATAAATTATTTTTAAAGACAGTCTTTATTTTCAGTTTACCTTCAGAGTTTTGGCAGAATGTTTTCTCTTTCTCTTGTGAAATTGAACATACTGTGCATTTATTTTTATTTTTTCATTCAAGCACTTTATTTCTAGTTCTTTTAGTTAACATATTCTGTAACTAGAAGTAGTTTTTAGTATAATAGTTTTTAAAAACTAGATTACCAAAGAACAAATGCTATTTGAGAATATAATCTCTCAAAATTTCTGATTTGGAAATAAATCATAGATAAAAAATCAAGGTTAATATGTAAAATACTTTGATAGCAGTTACTGTACCATTTGGACAATATTATCTCGTTTGATCTTTGTTACTTTTACTTCGTTGAGAACTAAATACAGAGAGGGTATATTAATATAAAACCTTGGACTCCTAGATCTCAGCTTACAAATAGGGATTTTGGGCAATTTGCTTAATCTTTGTTTATTAAACCTCAGTTTTACCATTTATAGTCTAGCATGGTAATGGCACAGTGCTTGTTTAGATTGCTGGAAAAATAAATACAGAATCCTTAGCATAGTGTTTGTCACATAGTAAGAGCTATAAAGATTATTATTTTTATGCATTAACAACAGATTACATTTTGCTTACTACCATTCACTAGGCATTATGCTAAGCAGTGAGCATATAAGGACAAAAATATTTCATTCTTTGCACTGGGGAATCTTTCATCCTTGTATTGGAAACATAGGTAGAAACATGTAATTGTGATATGAGTGCTCATAGACATGCAGTCTTCCAGAAAGTAGAGTTGGATAATAATTTGATTGTTGGAGAAAACAGAATTTCGAAATTGTTTAAAAAAACAGAGGGGGTTACTATTTCTTTAGATTGTTCTCATTTTAGCAAAATAGATTGATACATTATTCTTACAAATAATCATAAAGTAGACATAAACAGTTTTCCTTTGCTTGAATATAAATGTGTTTAGAAGATAGTTGGAGGAACTGGAGAGCCTCTTAGTTCCATTTACATACTGATATTAATATTCTAAGTTGATTTTAGGATTACTCACATTCAATTTATATTCTAATGTTGTTTATTTAACTCTACATGTGATAATTTACTTTTAGTCCCTTAAAATGACATGGGTGCTTTGGCAATAATATCTATATTTATAAAGTTACTTTCAGTTTGATATCTCCCACCTCTCACTAATACTACTGTCATAGATTGGGGATGAAATGTTACAAATGAATCTTCTACATGTAATACATGTGTATACCTGTGGTTCTTAAAAATGATTTGCTGCAGCTTCCCAAGCAGGTTCCAGGTGCTCTTCCCTTTTTAGTCTTTAGATTTATAAGTTGACAAGATGTATAAAGCACTTTTGTCATTTGAGGCTTATTTGTCATGATTAGAGTATATTACCTGAGATGTCAAACAGCCTGTGAGAGCTGATGAGGTGACTGTCATCATTATAAATAATAGCCAGTGAGAGTGAGTGGGTTAATGGATTGCCATTTCCTGGTAGTGTTTAAGAAGCTAAGGTCACCTGAGAACCATTGGTGGTTTCATAGACTTCTTAGAGTTGGAAAGAAACTTGGAGTTACCCCTTCAGCCTCACAGCTAAGATAAGAATGACCTTTTTCTACATCTCTGACTAATGGACATCCAGACTCGAACACTGCACATGGATGCATGGAAGAAAGACAAGAAAGTTTTTCCTTGCAATGCTCAGCATTATGTGGAATGTAGACATTTGTAGCGTCTGTAGTATGTATAGCAGGAGGCGTATGCAGTTAGGTTCACTTTTCTGTGCTTAAGATGGTGGTCAGTGTCACAAAAGTGAAGATGGAGTCAGAAGTCTGGCAAAGGAAAAGATTTTCGTATTTTACTTCACCTGGAGTAGTAGCTCCCATCCTGCCAGACCCGATGCTCACTTTTGTAATATAATTTTAATGCCCCCTATAATATTCCGAAACAAAATTTGTAGATAATAGTAACCTATTTTCATATATTTACTAAAAACCACTATAATATGCCCATCTGCAATATATTAGAGAAATAAAAGTAATTTATCCCGTTTTTCAGTATGTAAATGCTCAGCCACAACTGTGTCTTTATAAAAGTTGGATGCTTGTTTCCTTATATAGAATCATTTATAGTTCACTGTACATGCAAACTGCAATAGATGTGCCATTGAGAATATGGCATGCAGAAATGGTGTTCAACTTTACTGAAATTTCCAAATGACAAGGATTACAGTCTTCTCTCTTTTATGCAGTAGTTGCATTGCTGGAAAAAGTCAACACATATCAAAATCATGCAAAAAAAGTCTTTGTGTTTATGTGGAAAATTGAATTAGGTAGTAGATTCAGATATTATAAAGTTACGATTTTTCACCAACAAAATATAGGTCATTAGCAAATTGTGCAGGACATGGAAAGTACTCTGTTGATGGGATTCTTCTGTATATCACAGTAGTATACCCAACCACACCAATGACCAAAAATGTTCCCACAAATTCCCATTAAACTGTTCCTGGGCTAGCGCTATCCTTTTTGAGAATCATTGCCCTTAGCTGACTCCATGAGAACTTCAACTTGCAACTTGAAGCCCTAGGTGCTGCCTCAGACTAGAGAATATACAAGAAATGGCATTTGACAGGTGCTCTAGAAATCTCTAGTCATGTACTTAACCCTCTTTTTACTCATTTACTCGGTTTTTAAAAGATTACTGTGAAATGTATTAGAAACAAGCCCCCCCATGCATACAAAGGCCATAACTAGAACATCTGATTCACTTAAAAATTCCGACAAAATATACATAATATTCACCATTTTAATTATTTTATTTATTTATTTATTTATTTTTGAGACAGAGTCTCACTTTGTCACCTAGGCTGGAGTGCAGTGGCACGATCTCGGCTCACTGCAAGCTCCGCCTCCTGGGTTCACACCATTCTCCTGCCTCAGCCTCCCGAGTAGCTGGGACTACAGGTGCCCGCCACCACGCCCGGCTAATTTTTGTATTTTTAGTAGAGTCAGGGTTTCACCGTGTTAGCCAGGATGGTCTCGATCTGACCTTGTGATCTGCCTGCCTTGGCCTCCCAAAGTGCTGGGATTACAGGCGTGAGCCACCGCGCCTGGCCAATTATTTTTAAGTGTACAGTTCAGTGGCATTAAGTACAGTCACATTGTTGTTCACCATCACCAGTGTCCATCTCTGGGACTTCTACATCATCCCAAATTAAAACTCTTTACCAATTAAATAATAAATCCCCATTGCTTCTTCATTCCCAGCTCCTGACAACCACTATCCTACGTTTCTAAAAATTTACCCTACTGGTTTGACTAAAAATATTTTATTACAGGTTTTTCTTTTTGATGATGTTAGGTTGACTGTCTTTTTATGTTACAGGACCTATATATTGCCTCTGTTGCCAGAAACTTACGCTTCATTTTGTTTCTTTAATGTTGCTTGTTCTGTCCCTTAAATGTAACTAATAATATTCTAATTACTCTTCTTTCTGTACTTCTGTCCCTGATTCTTTTGATTTTGTCATAAACTATGATTTTCCCCTTTAAAATGTTCTTAGATTTAAAATAGGGGGTAAGAACTGTGTCTTGACAGATGACAATTGTAGTTAGATTCCGTAGTCTACACGTGGCTTTTGCGGTGGTTTTCCATCCACTTGCCTCTGCTCTCTTTAATAAAGTTCTGTTGTGACTGTTAAAAGGCCTAAAACCTTTTAACGTTTGCAAGTTGGAGACTTATAGGCTAAAATTTCCTCCTGAGGGAATCCTTTTGTATTTCTAGTATCATTTTAAAGTAATAGACATGTATCATTTTCTCATATCAAACACCACCCCTATCTATTAGGTAAAATCTTTGGACTTCTATTTTATATAAAATCAGTAGTCTTTCAGCAAATTGTGTATTCAGAAATGCTACACAATAGAAGAGGAGGTGGAATGAAGGTTCCATTTAGGAACAGTTTGCTCTTAGCAAGTAACCAGGTGTTAGTGTTTCAGGATGACTTCATGGAAGGGAAGTCATTGAAATGTCTATAATCAGGTTTTTAAGTGTCATTCCCAAATTATCTTGTTGATTATTGATTACCAAATTTTATTAACTTTTAAAGACAGTTTTATTGAGATATAATTCACCAAAAATCATTAAAGTATATTTCCATAATTTTCAAGTTTAGGCATAATGTCGTGCAGCCATTACCATAATCAATTTTGGAATATTTATATTACCACCAAAAATTTCATGACCTTTACCAGTCACTTCTCATTTCCCACAAAACCCACACCCTTACTCAACCACTGGTCTACGTTCTGTCTCTATAGATTTGACATTTCTGGACATTTCGTATAAATGGAATCATATAATACGATCTTTGGATTCTTTCACTGAGCATAATAATGTTCATAAGGTTCCTCTACATTGTCACATGTATCAGTACTTTGTTCTTTTTCATAGCTGAGTAATTCCATTGTACAGACGGGCTACATTGTTTACCTCTTTATCCGTTGATGGACAGTTGTCTTGTTTCCACCATTTTGCTATTATGATGCTGCTATAAACATTCATGTACAACTTTTTGCCTGTGAGTATATTTCATTTTTGTTGTGTATGTATGTAGGATTGAGTGTTTAACCTTTTGAATAAATGCCAGAGTGTTTTCCAAAGTGGTTGTACCATTTACATTCCTAGCAAGCAGTGTATGAAGATTCCATAATTCTTCTACATTTCAGCAATACTTGGATTGTCTACCTTTTTATTATGGCCATCCTAGTGGGTGTGAAGTAGTACCTTTATTGTGGTTTTGATTTCCATTTCCCTGATGACTAATGTTATTGATCATCTTTTCATGTTTATTAACCTCTCTGAAAACTCAAGTGTACAAAATCCCTAATGGAGGCCTTATTAGTCCATTCCTGCACTGCTATCAAGAAATACCTGAGACTGGGTAGTTTATAAAGAAAAGAGTTTTAATTGGCTCACAGTTCTGCAGGCAGTACAAGAAGCATGGCTGGGAGGCATCAGGAAACTTTCAGTTATGGTAGAACACGAAGGGGAAGCAGGTATGTCTTGCATGACTGGAGTAGGAGGAAGAGAGAGGCGGGAGGTGATATATACTTGTAAGAAACCAGATCTCAGATAACTCACTCACTATCACCAGAACAGCACCAAAGGGGAAATCTACCCCCATGATGCAGTCACCTTCCACCAGCTCCACTTCCAACATTAGGGATTACAATTTGTCATGAGATTTGGCTGGGGACACAGACCCAAACCATATTAGAAACTCTAACCTGGCAGTTTGCTCCATTAGTGATGATGGATCAAAGGGACATAGTGTATTTCATTAATTCTAAGATAGACATTTTTCACATTTGACATCACTAAAATCAGTGCATTTTACAGTAAATATATTATGGCTTTAGTAAAGACAGTTTGGAAAAGAAAATTCAGTTTACAGTTGAGGTTCATTACTTCTGGTTCTCTTAGTCCTAGAGCAACTGATTCAACTAGAAACTAAAGTATATTGTTAAATTAGGACCAAATAGTTCCTTCTCTTACAGCTCATCAGATTAAAATTATGATGTGATGCCTGTTTACCTACGTACGCCTTTTCTGATTAGTATTTACTTGCCAATTTATAGGCAATGATAAATTTGATGTATTTATCCTCATTAAAAAATCCTTGTAAAAAATTTATTAATTTATTGGGTGTTTCCTCAAGATTTTTTTCTATGTTCTTCTTTGTAAACTTTAGGTCTCTGTGTGTCAATGCGTGTGAAATAGTGCAGGGATTTAGTGAAGGCTGCACCATCATTTATCATTGTTAGACTCACTCTTGTCTGGCAAAGACAGCTGACGAAGAAAAATATTGAAGGCTTGTCTTTTATTGATCTCCACTGGACTTTGACCCTTGCAGAAACTGGCTATGGCCAGAATGTATGAAGACAACGTCATCTTTTATTATTGATGTTTATTTTAATTTACATCTTGATGTAAAATGGCATCTAGCGAAACTGTATGCTTCCCATAGTATTATAGAAAACTAGGGTGCAGGGCGAAACAATCCTATTGACAGATGATGTACTTTGATAGATTCTGGCATCAGATTATTAGATTATATCTTTTCCGGAACCAAATTTGCTTCTGTATAACTTCTGTTTTTGATTTTAAATTTCAGTGTCTTAGTTACACAGTATGACTTCTCTTTCATAGGAGGGCTCTTCAGTTATTTATCAGACATCTTATTTACACTAGTCTTTTTTCCTTCTAAACATTCCTTCCTCCCTCAGCTTTTCTTCAAATGAAATAGTTTGTTTTGTACACCACATCTCTGTATATAATCCTATTTGTGTGCCCTTCCTGGAAAAATGTCTTTAAAAATGATATTTGAAAGAATAGTGGTCCAGTGAAAAGTATAATAGTACTTGTACTTTTAGGATTATATGAACTTGTACACATTTTATTTGTATCAGCCTTTCTGTAATCTTTTACTGTCATTTTCTTGTAATCTGAGCTTTTTGGAATTAGGACCTACATGTTATTTAACTTTGACTAGATTTCTTAACGTTGTCCTGGCTATGTCTATGAAATAGTTCATTTTGAAAGATTTCTATGGCTAGTGAATAGTTGGAGGTTCGTAAAAAGAGGTGAGGCTGAAAGGTCTTTGGGTCCAGTTCTAGAAATGCCTGGAATGCCATGCTAAGAAGTTTGCATTAAAAAGTTGTTACAGATTTAAACATTTTAGAAAAAGAGTTCTGTAAGGAATATGCAATTTGGGAGCTGAAGGTAGTTAAGTTTTGAATATGTTAATATGCAGAGGGAAGTTTCCTTTGTCTCATGGGATCAGATTTTGTCTGTCAAACCAACCTGTCTTAAGGGAACTTCTAAAAACAAAATAAAAATTGCCAGCATACCTTGAGTATTTATTTTAGTCAAAAACATATGCTTCTATTCAGCAATCTTTTGATGTAGAGTCATGACCTTTTTTTTCTTGAAGTATTGTTCAGAGTTGTCTTTTTCACATAACCAAAATGTACTCATTTCCAGTTTCTGTTTCTTTCAAGTGAGAATTTAAAGATACTTGCAAAGCAACGTGAATGAAGAATCCTTCCAGATTGTAACATCCTTTTTCCTCCGTACTTAAGAATTATCTCACCTTTTTACCTGTTCAGCGGCATTTTTTAGCAGCTTGCCTTACTTATTTTCTTTCCGTGGCATTCACCTTAGTTTTCACGAGGAAAACCAAAACAAATTTTTTTTAAAAAACTTTCATCTTGCATGTTTATTTGCATAATATTAGAAGTTTTTTAAAACGTAAAGATGGAACCGAGGGTAAAGGAAAGAGTAGGTTTATGGAGTGTGACAGAGACTGCCAGTTATCCCCCCAATAACCAGTGTCCTTCAGCATCTGTTTTCTGGGCACATGGCCACACAGTTAGTGACTGTATTTCCTAGCCTTTCTTGAAGCAAAATGAGGCCAGAAGACAAGCTTCTGCCTATGAGGATGTGAATGGAACTGATGGGTACTGGTACCACTTCTGGATTGTGCCCTTAAGGTGAAAGGACACCTCCTCCACTTCCCGTACTTGTTTTCTCCCTCCTGCTGACTGCAGGGTTCATGTACAGGTGGGATCATGAACAGATATCTTACATCTGAGGTGGAAGCCATCTCATGAAGATGACAGCACAAAAATATATGTCTTTTATATCTTGTCTAAATATACTTTTAAATTATGCTTAGAAACCTGTTACGTATGTTTTAGTAGGATTAGAGTAATTAATTTGGACTATAGCTTAGATGTCAAGTAAAAAAAAGTTATTTTAATTTATCCTGTACACAGCCTACCTCCTCCTGAGCCCCTATATTCTGATAAGTAGGGAAAAACTAGAGAATGTCCCAAAACTGCAAAATGCTTAAGCCTTAGTCCTGTCTGATAATTTTAAAAGTCCACTTATATAGTGTTCAGATAAAAATGTTTCATCACTTGCCATGCTCCCCTTCTGCTATGCTCCCCAATTGGTGTGGGGGACAGCAGGTGGGTGGGAAGGGAGGGAAGAGTGGCTTAAACTCATTGTAGCAGGAATTGTCTGATCGCATAGATGTGATGTTCTGTGCCTCCCTAGTCTCAGAGGTGATGGCTTCCTGGTATTCCTGGCATCACAAATGAAATATCTGGTGCTATAACTCATAGCTTGCTTGGAGCTTACCTGCTTGAGTTCCCTCTAAGTGCAGTCCTCAGTCTTTTACTAAGTCTTGGTCGTCTCTCCTACGCTATATTGGTCCATGTAACATCCCAGTGTCTGTCAACTCAGTTACCACACTGTCTGAAAATTAGAGGTGCCTTGATTGGGAAATATCAACCCCAGAGGCTCTCCTGCCCAAATGTGGTGTGGTCATTTTTAGGGCCCACGTTGATAAGGGGCCCAACTTGGGAGAAAATGTGGGGAAGGATTGGAGGTAGGGGTTATCAGGAAACTTTGGAGAGTTAAAAGTAATTTGCTTCGACTAGGAGTGAGATTTATGTATATGAGTGATGAGATGGGAAGATGGGTAGATGCAAAGGAAATTAAAGATGATTTTATTCAACTTAAATCATAGAGATACCATTTTTTTCTAAATAAATCGCATAATTTTGATTTAGTGTAAAAATTTGGAAATTACAGAAACATTCAAGAAGTAAAAACACACTACTCCAGTATAAACACTTTTTTCACTCAGAGATCATTGTTCTGAGTTTTAATTTTTTTAAATTTATTTTTTAAACAATATTTCTTCAATGTAATTTTTCCCTTGTACTTGTCTTTTATGAATAAACATATGTATATATAGCTCTAAAATACACTATATATGCTTATTTTCCCTCTATGAATAGTTTTTGTATCTTCTGCTGTTTTTTTTTTTTTAGAATATTGGTATTTTTCTTGTAAGTTCATTATGTATTAAAGAAAACTATAGTTTGATACTCATTAATTATAAATATTTTTTCCTATTCTGTAGTTTGCCTTTATATTTTATTTATGGTTTTACTTTTTTTCTTCAAGTAGGTTTTGGGGCTTTTTATTTTATTTTATGTGTTATGTTTACATGTTTATATATTTGTTTATATATTTAAGTCTAGCCTGCTTTTAAAAAATTTGTCAGCGTAAAAGCCAGGCTCTTGGATCGCATAAACCGAACCTGACCATGGCTTAAGGAAGGCAGATGTTTATTTCTCCCATGTCACAAATATAAGTTTAAATAGTCTTGAGGTGCTTTACCCCATGTCATTCAGGGATCCAAGTACTAGTAGTCAGTCATTGATTCTTCACTACTGTGCACCTGTAATAAAAGAAAAAGCTAAAGAAGCAAAAAGTATTATTATTTTCATTAAACCTTGAGCCATAAATATATATCTCTTTAATATTCCATGTGACCAAATGGGAAATACACTTACAGTACTCCTGTATACCAAAGCATGATGGTTGGTTATCATGAGGGAAAGCAGTTGTATGAATGTTTGAGTTGTGAACTGAACTAGTTCTTTTCTTGGAAAACCATTTTTAATTGATAGACAAACTATGGTTAGTCCACCTTGGGATTGGCAGAGTTAGCCATTCACTTCAAGGAAAATAGCTAACAGTATTTGTTGTCAGCAATAAAATTTGAACTTTCAAGCCAAATAAAATTTTTAAAATAAAAATATTTAAAAACTTGTTCCTGCTACTGGCATCTCGGCGTCTTCACAAGACTGAAATCCTTTTCTGAGGAGATTATGAGTAATTTTGAAAAGGAAATTAAAAAATATATATGTGTATATTTATGTGTGTGTGTGTGTGTGTGTATAAAAATAATGAAAGACATCAACATTTGGTCCTGCAAAACTTAACCAATTTCCAAATCAAACATGGGTTAAAGATTCATTCCAAGTACAAGATAGACCGATGGATTTAATGTACAGGCATACCTTGTATTATTGTTCTTCACTTGATTGTACTTTGCAGATACTGCCTTTTTTTTTTTTTTTTTAACAAATTGAAGGTTTGTGGCCACCCTGCATCCAGCAAGTCTGTCAACACCATTTTTCTAATATGTGTGCTCATTTTGTATCTCTGTGTCACATTTTGGTAGTTCTTACAATATTTCAGATGTGATCTGGGATCAGTGATCTTTGATGTTACTATTCTAATTGTTTTAGAGTGCCATAAACTCTGCCCACATAAGACAAAGAACTTAATAAATATATGTGTTCTCATTGCTTCACTGGACTGGCTGTTCTCTCATATCTCTACCTCTCCTCAAACCTCCCTATTTCCTGAGACACAGGAATATTGAAATTAGGCTTATTACTAACCCTGCAGAGTGGCCTCTAAGTGTTCAAAGGAAAGGAAGAGTCACAAGTCTCTCAGTTTAAGTCAAAAGCTAGAAATGATTAAGCTTAGTGAGGAAGTCATGTCCAAAGATAGGCTAAATGCTAGTGCTGTTGCACCTGAGATAGGCTGAATGCTAGTCCTCTTGCACCAAACATTTAGCCAAGTTGTGAATGTAAAGGAAAAGTTCTTGAAGGAAATTAAAAGTGCTACTGCAATGGACACACGAATGATAAAGTGAAACAGCCTTATTGCTGACATGGAGAAAGTTTTAGTGGTCTGGATAGAAAATCAAACTAGCCACAACATTCCCTTAAGCCAAAGCCTAAGCCGTATCTAGGCCCTACCTCTTCCGTTCCGTGAAGGTTGAGAGAAGTGAGGAAGCTGCAGGTTCAGGAGCTTGAAGGAAAGAAGCCATCTCCATAAAATAAAAGTGCAAGGTAAAGCAGCAAGTGCTGATGTAGAAGCAGCAGCAGGTTATCCGGAAGATCTAGCTAAGATCGTTGATGAAGATGACTACACTAAACAACAGATTTTCAATGTAGGCAAAACAGCCTTCTATTTGAAGAAAGTCTCATCTAGGACATTCATAGCTAGAGAGGAAAAGTCAGTGCCTGGCTTCAGAGCTACAAAGGACAGACTTACTCTCTTGTTAGGGGCTAATGCAGCTGGTGACTGCTGAAGTCAGTGCTCATTTAGCATTCTGTATATCCTAGAGCCCTTAAGAATTATACTAACTCTTGGCCAGGTGTGGTGGCTCACGCCTGTAATGCCAGCACTTTTGGGAGGCCAAGGCGGGCAGATCACCTGAGGTCAGGAGTTCGAGACCAGCCTGGCCAACATGGTGAAACCCCCATCTCTACTAAAAATATAAAAATTAGCCAGGGGTGGTGACAGGGGCTGTAATCCCAGCTACTCGGGAGGCTGAGGCAGGAGAATCTCTTGAACCCAGGAGGCTGAGGCTGCAGTGAGCTGAGATCACGCCACCGCACTCTAGCCTGGGCGACAAGGGGAGACTCTGTCTCAAAAAAAAAAAAAAAAAAAAAATTATACTAAGTCTGCTGTGCCTGTGCTCTGTAAATGGAAGAACAAAAGCATGGATGACAGCATATCTTTTTTTTTTTTTTTTTTTTTTTTGAGATGGAGTTTTGCTCTGTCGCCCAGGCTGGAGTGTAGTGGCACAATCTTGGCTCACTGCAAGCTCCGCCTCCCGGGTTCATGCCATTCTCCTGCCTCTGCCTCCCGAGTAGCTGGGACTACAGGCACCCACCACCATGCCCTGTTAACTTTTTGTATTTTTAGTAGAGACGGGGTTTCACCGTGTTAGCCAGGATGGTCTTGATCTCCTCACCTTGTGATCCACCCGCCTCAGCCTCCCAAAGTGCTGGGATTACAGGCATGAGCCACCGCGCCCGGCCAGCGTATCTTTTTAGAGCGTGGTTTTCCTAATATCTTAAGCCCAGTGTTAAGACCTTACTGCACATATATAAAGATTCTTTTCAATATATTTCTGCTCTTTCACAATGCACCGCATTATCCAAGAGCACTGATGGAGAGGTACAAGGAATTTGTTGTTGTTGCTGTTTTTAGAGACAAGATCTTGCTCTGTTACCAGGATGGAGTGCTGTGGCATGGTCATAGTTTACTGCAGCCTTTGACTCCTGAGCTCAGGTGATTCTCCCTCCATAGCCTCCCATGTAGCTAGGACTACAAAATGCCTGGCCAGTGTTTTTTATTCTTATTTTTTGTAGAGTTGGGGGTCTTGTAATGTTGTCCAGATTGGTCTTGTACTCATGGCCTGAAGCTATTCTCCTGACTTGGCCTCCCAAGGGGATTATAGGTTTGAGCCACTGTGCCCAGCCTAATGTTGTTTTTACGCCTTCTAACACAGTATTTGTTCTGCAGCTTATGATCAGGAAGTAATTTCAACTTTCATGTGTTATTATGTGAGAAACACATTTTGTGAGGCTATAGCTGCCATTAGATAGTGATTCCTTTAATAGATCTGAGTAAAGTAAATTGAAAACCTTCTGAAAAGGATTAATCATTCTAGATGCCATGAAAAACATTTGTGATTCATGGGAAGAGACCAGAATATTAACATTAACAGGCATTTGAAAGAATGCCTGGGTTGATTCTAACCCTCATGAATGACTTTGAGGGGTTTGGGACTTCAGTAGAGGAAGAAGCTGCAGATGTGGTGGAAATAACAAGAGAACTAGAATTAGAAGTGGAGCCTGAAGATGTGAATGCAATATCATGATAAAACTTTAAGGAAAGAGGAATTGCTTCTTGTAGATGAACAAAGAAAATGGTTTCTTGAGATGGAGTCTTTTCCTGGTGAAGATGCTGTGAACATTGTTGAAATGACAACAAAGGATTTAGAATCTTAAATAAACTTAGTTGATAAAGCAGTGGCAGGGTTTTAGAGGATTGGATCCAATTTTGAAAGAAGTTCTGCTGCGGGTAAAGTGTTACTCAAAGAGCATCACATGCTGCAGAAAAATCTTTCTTGAAAGGTAGAGTCAGTCAGTGCAGCAGACTTCATTATTGTATTTTAAGAAATTGCCACAGCCACCCTCAACTTTCACCAACACTACCCTGATCAGTTGGCAGCCATCACCATGGAGGCAGGACCCTTCTCCAGCAGAAGATGATGACTCGCTGAAGGGTCAGATGATTGTTAACATTTTTTAGTAATAAAGTATTTTTTATTAAGGTATGTACATTTTTTAGACATCATGCTATTGCATAGTTAATATAGACTATGGTAGAGTGTGAACATAATTGTTATATGCACTGGGAAACCAAAAAATTGATATGAATTGATTTATTGCAATATTCTCTTTACTGCAGTGGTTTTGAATAGAACCCGTAATATCTCTGAGGTATACCTGTACAAAAATAAGAAAACTTCATAGAAATCGTTTCAGATTCTACACTGTAATCAAACTTTAAGAAGTTACCACTTCTCAAATTACGATGTAGAATAAGACTATCCATAATTATACTTAAATGTTATTGAATGATCCACCCTTTTCTAACTAAAGTATGTGAAAATGGATTTTCTTCTTATATTTCAACAAAAGTGTAATGTATTACAGTATATTAAATGCAGGAATAGATATGAGAATCCAGCTGCCTTTTATTGTGCTATTTGTAGAAATGCAAAACAGTGCTACTTGTCTTACTATTTTGGGGAGGGAAGGGAAAATATAATTATTCCATTAAAATAGTGTATTCCTTTTTAATAACTAGTTAGCAACTTAATGACTGTGTTATGATAACTAATCAAGAAAAAAGGAGGTGACCTTTTTCTTCTTTTTCTTCTTAGTGGCTCTCCATCTTTAGCATGCATCAGAATCACTTGGAGGAATTGTTAAAACACAGATTACTGGACGCCTCACCTCCAGAGTTTCTTTCTGATTCAGTAAACGCTGGATGGGGCCTGAGATGTCCATTTCTAACCAAATCCTCAGGTCATGCAGATACTGCCATCATAGCTTCAGAACCACTGTTCTACGTATTTCTTTGGCTTATTAGGCAAACTTGTTTTACCTGCCATTTGGGAAGGAAAAATACTAGAATTTTAAAAAGACATGTAGTTCAGGTATAAAGATGCTGGAAGTGTAGTATCCTTAGTTGCCAGAAATTTGGGAATTAATTAAAAATTAAGCAGAACAGTTTGTCAGAAATTATTCAGTGTCTGAGACTTTCCCCTACGTACAAGCTAACAATTTACCATATCACCATTTCATAAATACTGTGAAAAGACCTGAAATTCCTGGGTTAGAGACAAAAAGTTACTTTAATACAGCAGTTATGCCAGAGAATCAGCACTGGTGGTGATTTACCCAGTCCATAAGGGCAGCCTGAACAGTGCCAGGTGATAGGTGCACAAGAAGTGGGTTATGTTATAGTAGAGGAACCCTGACCTTAGGGATCACAATTTTTTAAAAATAAGTCAGTGTCTGACCTCTGTCCCAGAGGATATATTACCTTTATTATACTGGACAGTAAACCTATTTTTTGCCGTAGAAGGAGACATTATCTGTATCTTCTTGTCTCTGCAAATATCCTTGAAAAGATAGGAATAGGTAGTCTGTGACTCCGCTCACAAATGTGAGAGAGGCCCATGAAGAATTGCAGCTTGGCATAGGAAATGTTGAAAAAGTTTGTATATGTTAATTATTTGCCAGTCCTTAATAGAAAACAGCTTAGCAAAAACATGAGCGCAATTAGACTTGAGCTTTAGACAAAGCAGTATATGATTTCCTGATGAAGAAAAACATCCTCTTCCTGTGTGGTTCTAAATTATTTTCATAAATGTGTATGTATAATTGTCATAGGAAGTAAAATTTCTTACCCTTATAGGTCTTACATGAACTATAAAACAGAACATTCTTATAAAGTGTGTGTGTGTGTGTGTGTGTGTGTGTATATAAAGTGTAAATGTGAAGTTAGTATAAGAAGTAATGGTATGTTAGCCACAATAAATTGCACTTGCGATATGATTCTTTTGATTTGGCATACCTCTTCTGCAAAGGGCTGTATAATGTCAAATTTTCCCACATCTTTTTCTACCTAAAATTCTGTAGCTTTCTTTTGTGCAGCATGCAGTGTTTATTTGGCCTTCACTTGGTACAGATGCCTCATTAACCTCCTTTGTTTTTCCCTCATTAGCTCAAGATAATTAAAGTATTACTACTTGGCACAGGGGTAGTCAAGACTCTTTGGGTCAGTGTGACAGAAAGCAACCTCATACCTGGCTCTCATAGCTGGGAAATCAAGGTGGATTTGTCTGCAGTTACGACTAGAGTGATATATTTCCTGCTTGGCCCAGGTCAGTCCAGTTGAGCTTGTGTCCACTTTAACTCTCAAAAGTCCCTACTTTGAAGATAAATTATATGTTCTCCTGACTGGGCTTCATGTAAAGGTTCAAACAGTACTGTCAGGCCTCTCATGTCCTGGTCTTCATTCAGTGATGCTCTCCTAGGTTTTGGCCCATCCTTTAAGGGCATCCTCCATTATGTGATCATTGAAAATGGCTTTTGTGGGCCAGATTTCACATACCTTTTCAGTGCTGTAATCTTTCTTGATAGCTTTCATATAAAAGGGAAGGGAAAGACCAGCTCATTCCTTTGTGGGAGGAAAAAAAAATCACTGTATCTTAAGTGATTGTTTTGTAAGTTTTTATATATATATATTACATGTATATATCTTATATTGTAAAATTTTTGTTTGCTGGTTTATCTATAAGCATAAGGAATTTTATTCCCAATGACACCACTCTCATGGGCCACTTGGAAACACATGACACTTCTTCTTTGACCAGTTGGGTGACTGACAGTCAAACCAGATAGAGTGGTAGATGGAAAGGTCCCTCCAGCACAACATTTAACATTTGCTTAAGTATCTTAGGGACTTATAAACACAAACTCAAATATAGACCTTGAAACTGTATGACACCCTTCAAACATATGGTGTGATTAGAGTGACTTAGAGTTTATCACTATACAAATAAAAACACTGTATTAAAATGTTTTGCAGAAAACGTACACCTGAAAATATGCCTGTGGCCTCTGGTCCTCCACCCTTCCTCATCGAGTGGGTGTGTAGATTCAAATTTTAGAAACATTTTGTCTGTCAGTTCAGTTAGCCGAATGGTCTATTTGACGGGCATCTCAGAAAAGAGCTTCCAGTGCTGCACACAATTCTTTCTTTTGTCCTGCCTTTCTAGGGTAGCTTTGTGTGTGCATTCATTCATTTTTTTAAAACCACATAAATGTATTCTTTCATGCTTCTGCAGCTAAATGTTCAAAATCAAAGTGACAGTGGGGTTGCCTCCTTTGATACATAAAAATTATATATATTTACAGTATACAAGCTGATGTTTTACTATATGGGTACGTAAATAATTAAGTCAGGCTAATTAACGTATCCATCATCTTGCATACATACCATTTTTTGTGGTGAAAACATTTAAGATCTACTCTGTTAGTAGTTTTCAAGTATACAATATGTTGTTATTAACTGTTGTCACCATGATGTACAGTGGATCTCTACAACTTATTCATCGTAACTAAAACTTGGTACCCTTTGACCCACATCTCCCTCCCTCCCCTTCAGTTTCCCCAGCTAATCCTCCTGGTAATCACAGTTCTATGCTGTTTCTATGAGTCTGACTTTTTTTAGATTCTACATGTACTATACAAGTTAGATTATGTGGTATTTGCCCAGGTTTATCCATACTATCACGAATGACAGGATTTCCTTTTTAAGGCTGAATAATATTTCATTGTGTATATATACACAACATTTTCTTCATTCATCTCTTGACAGATAATTTAGATTGATTGCATAAGTTGGCTATTGTGAATAATGCTGCAGTGAACATATCTCATCAATATACTGATTTCATTTCCTTTGTGTGCATACATTCTTGCTCATTGTAATAGTATGATACCTATCTCAGAAGTGAATGGCTCAGGGGATAGTTTTATATGGAGTTAAGATTGGGGAAAGTGGGTCATTTTGAAGCTGTGGATTTTGGATTTGAACGTTTACAGTCATTATTAAATTCTTCTTATATTCCAGAATGTCAGATATCTCCCATGTATGTGTAAATATTTATTTAAATATAAGTTCAGAGCTTCTTAGAACTAAATGGAAAAGATTTTAGATAATTACCTTTGTTGGGGAATGATAATTAAAAACAAAATCTCCCAACCCAGGAATCCTCTTTACAAAAATAGCACAGAAAGAAAATATTTTCATTATTAAATAAGCATTAAACCAGATTGTGATGTACATCTAAGAGATTGAAAAGACAAAAGACCCTCACCCCTTTATACATTACAGCCTATTCAACCCATTACATGCATGTTCACGTGACAAACAGTAAGTCCTCAAGTAAGAAGACTTCAAAGCACCTTTGTCACACATAGCTTACCCTACCTTTACTGTGGTAATTGGGATGACCATCATGTTAGCTAATTGGCCTCATTCATAGGAGAAAAAGAAACTTCTATCTTTAGGACAGAAGTTAGTTTTACATCTTGGAGCAAGGTGCCCATGAAGTCAAGTTCCTACCCTGCCACAGAAACTGGGAGGCAGGATGCTATCTCCCTTGATATTTACATTTCAAAGAGATGGCTCCCAGGTCCTTGAGAAAGACATTCCTGAGTCATAAAGCTGGCAGAAGGCCTATTTTGTTTTCAAAAGAATATATTATATACATTTCAAAGAAAGAGAAACGTATTTCCAATTATAATTTTTCTAAAGTAAATGCTCTAAGAAAAAGGGAGGGAAATGTTTTTCATTTCAACAGGGAGAATTGAACGTTTTATTTTTAATTTATATTTGCCCTTGCACCCCTACTTTATCTACTTCTGTCTTAAATATAAGGACCTTGATCTTATTAATCTTACAGTAGCATTATAATAAAGAGAAAGGATTTTAAATGCATTTATAATTTAGTTTTAGTTCATTGTAGTTTAGTTTTATTCAGTGTTAACATTTTAAATCAGTAAATTCAACATAAAAATTAAGATTTCTTAAAAGGAGAGTAGAGGTATGAGGACTTCAGCATAAGATAACTTGGCTAAATCCCCATGTTGTAGCTGAACAGCCTGTGATGTTGGACACCCTCCATCCTTGAAGCCAGGAAATAAATGATATAAATGTGACCCTAAGCAAAAGTTGACCAAAGGATTTTTTTCTTTGAAAGAAAAAAAAAAAGATACTTGTTTTCTGAGGTCAGAAGTGTTTTTTTGTTTTAAACTTTACCAGCAGATAAAACTAAAATTTCCTATGCTACCCCCAACCAAATCAGAGGCAGACACTGTTTGACTATCACATTGATAGCGATAAATTACATAACTCTCTTAAAGGAATTAGAATCTAGCAAAGGGTTACCTTATATCTTGATTTGTTTTTATTTTTTCTCCCTTCCTCCCACCGTCTTGACTTGATGCATTTCCCTTTCCTGGATCCTACCGGTAGGCTGCTGTATGTTTGAGACCCCAAAATGCCTGTGAGTTCTCTCTCCGGTGTTAATGTGATGGTGCTCCTTTGTCCTCAGCACAGTCTTATTTGCTGGGCTCCATATTTGCTGTCAGAGATGCAGTTTTTCGTTAGCCACTTCCTCCTTAAAGGAGACCAGTGGGCGGAGGGGGAGGACTCCTCTGTGTGCCTGTTACCAGTAGCGAATCTGATGCATCTGCAGCAACCTCAATTCTTACCTCCTCAGAAGAAAGAATTCGGCCGAGGGGCATAAGGTAGGGAGACCGAGAAGTTTTAGAGGAGTGAAAATTTATTAAAAAGTTTTAGAGCAGGAACAGAAGGAAGGAACGCGCACCTGGAAGAGGGCCAAGCTGGTGACTCGAACGGTTATTGTGCAGTTTGGCCTTTTGACTTGAGGTTTTATACATTGGTACGTCCAGGGTCTTGTGTCCCTTCTCCCCTGATTCTTCCCTTGGGGTGGGCTGTTCACATGCGCAGTGGCCTGCTAGCGCTTGGGAGAGGAGCCTGTGCAGTGTGCTTACTGGAGTTGTGCCCATACTCACTTGAGGCATTCTTCCCTTACCAGTCTAGCATTCCTAGAGGAAGGTCATATACCAGTTAAACTCCACCATTTTGCCTCTTAATGTGCATGCTTGAGCTCACTCACCCATCTCTTCAGATCTTATTGGGAAGCTGCTGATCACCAGTTGCAGGTTTTTTTCTATCTATATGGAGACTGCCTTTCCCTTTCACTGGCTGTGACCAATTACTATTTTAGAGAAACATTTAACAACCTCCTGTCCATCACCTGATGGTCACCTGACATTCCTGGTCAGGTGGAACCCTCTCCTGCCCTGCTCATGCCTGACTAGCTACCTACTATAACATCACAACTTTGGCTTTATCGCCACTGGCCAACCATAACCATTGCACACATATTCTCAGCCCTCTGGGAGTCACATTCTTCCCTCTAAACTCTCATTCACTCCACAGTGATTAGTTGACTGATAGTTCCTGTGCCGGCCACTTAGTCACCTTGACCAGCCAGGTTTCGTGACTGCAAATGGTCACGCACTTTGATCTTTCTTGACTGACACATGTTACATATTTCTCTTTTCTTCTTGAAGTTGCTCTTGGTAGATGGGAGCACTTTTCATCCCATCCTGGATTTAAGTGAAAAGTAACAGCAACTTGGCTGAGTACTACTGGAAAAAATTTACCCCCCAACCCCATTTTTTTCTTTACAATATTGTTTCCTGCTGAAGCCATGTTCACAGGGTTAAAAAGAATTCTAGACAGAAATATAGCTATAATTAAGCATTATTCAGTCTGTGCTTTGACCCACTTCCTTGTAACTGAAAGTCACATAACACTGGATACTGACCATTTGCATCCTGGTTGTTCCTATAGATAGTATTTCTGGCCTTAGATTGGATCTCTGGTGTTAGAATCATGAGGCTTTTGTTTAAGAATTGTTTAAGTAGATCCTGAATTCCAATTTAACAGCTGAGGCCATCCAGTTTAAAGACCCTCACAGAAGAACCGAATCAGCCTAAGAATAGTTTCTTCATTTCCCTGTCCTATGGCTTTACCCTGCATTCGTTGACCGTTCAATCTGTACACTTCAACCCACTCCAAAACCCCTAAAAACGCTAGCCCCAAACTCCTCAGGCAGATAGATTTGCGGTTTCCTCTATCTCTGTTCGGTGGCCCTACTACGATTAAACTTCTTTCTCTGCTGCAGCCCAGGGTCTCAGCATATTGACTTGGCATGCACATCAGGCAACGATGTGCAGCGTTACACTCCCAGCCTCCCAGAAGTGACTGTGCTGCCTGAGATTTGTAGAGAACAACTATTTACTCTTTCCTGTATGCTATATGGAGAAAATACCAGTGTTCAGAATGTTGAAACCCTAACCACGTGGCATTTGTAATTTTCCTCTTAGGAGACTCTGTATGGAATTGAGAGTTGAAAACTAATTATGTAAATTGCTAAGCTTTGAAACGTTTTTGCAAAATTTCTGCCTGTAGATATCTATTCCACAAAGAGTATTTTGTGACTAGTAAAGAAAGTACAAATCCAGTTAATAAGACTGCCATCCGCACTCTTTTTTTTTTTTTTTTTTTTTTTTTTTGAGACGGAGTCTCACTCTGTTGCCCAGGCTGGAGTGCAGCGGCACAATCTCCGTTCACTGCAACCTCTGCCTCCCGGGTTCAAGCAGCTCTTCTGCCTCAGCCTCCCGAGTAGCTGGGTCTATAGGCACCTACCACCACGCCCAGTTAATTTTTGTATTTTTAGTAGAGACAGGATTTCACCATATTGGCCAGGCTGGTCTAGAACTCTTGTCCTCGTGATCTGCCCGCCTCAGCCTCCCAAAGTGCTGGGATTACAGGCATGAGCCACCGTGCCTGGCCCCCCACTCTTTAATGTTAAACAGATTTCAGGACTTTTTGAACCACAAGCCATTGACTGGATGTGCAATGCAAAGTAAGCTAAGCGTCCCATGTTCCCATTTATTTGAAGAGATAAAAAGTTAATTAGAATGTAGAGATAATATCTAATAGCAGGAAAATTTGTTTTTTTTTCTTAAGGTTTAAACATTCTCATTTGTACATACATAGTTCAACTGGAAAAATCTTATTCTTTACTATTTCTGATTTTCTTCCTTTCGTGGATCTCAAAACTCACGAGCTTACATCACTTGAACCTTTCTCTGGGCTTTTCAGTTGTTTCACTAACAAAATGGACCATAGTGGCTATTCATCAAAGTTCACTATATCTGTGGTATCACCATCCCTGTGTACGAATCCTGGGATCTAGAGTGTCCCATCATCACAGCATGGCAACCACTGCCTCAACTCACAGTACTCTAGAAACCCAGAGTGGTTTATTAAAGACAGCCCCACTGGAAACTGCCTAGGTTATATTGCTTGGGTGGACCCCCTGGATTAGAGAAATGTGTGAGCCAGAATGCCTGCCATTATGCTTTTCATGGAGCCAAGCACACTGTTGTTGATTAATAAATAATGGGTTGTTTATCTTGGAATTGTTTTCATTGGCAGATGCCCTGAAAGATTCAAAGGCTGTCTGTAAATGGAGAATGCCTTTATTGTTTATTCAGTGCCTGCCTGCTTTTCTATTCAGTGTGAGGGTATTTTGGGAAAATTTCTTACATATCAAACCACAAGTAAAATTTAGGGAGTTTTATCCTCAGATTTTCAAATAGGGCATTTAACTATGACCTCTTTTCAGATGCCTCTGATGATTTGGGTGTGTGTGTGTGTGTGTGTCTTTGTGTGTGTGTGTGTGTGTGTGTGTGTGTGTCTTTGTGTGTCTGGAGAGGGAAAGAGGTAAAGGGAGAGATGAGGCCCAGAAGTTGACCATCAGTTGTATCAGTCAGAAATAGCTTAAATAAATTCAAGTACATTTCTGGTTGGTTGATTTTGTGTATAGCACAAGCTAGCTTCTGAGAATTCAAATACAAACATGTGCAAAGTGAGAGGCAGCAGGAATCACATGCAGAGTGGGTAAGGAGAGGTTGACAAAGGAGGTAAGTTCGATGCTTAATAAAAAATCACCAGGGTGGCAAGACCAGAGCAAATTGCATTTTGGCAGGGGAAACAGTGTTTGAAGATGTGTGGCATGAGCAGCAGTGGGTGTTCCTGGAACTGTAAGTTGTTCAGTAATGCTGAACATGAAACTCTGTAGGAATGGCCCAGGGAAAATGGGAATATGGAGCCTAAAATGAAATGAAAATATAGTGAAAATCCTGGGCCCGGTGTCTCAAACAGTCATAAATTCCTCCAGGATATTGTAGTATTGGCCAAAGAGTATGTGAAGCCAAATGATAGACTTGTCATATCTTCCATGTCTTGTGTCCTTTGCTCAGATGTTCTCAATACCCAGCAATCAAGGGAGGGGAGCCTGACAAATAATTGATCTAATTTGGTATAAAGATAGCAGCTATTGTTAAGTGGAAAGGGTATTTAAGAAGGGCCTGATTTTGTAAACTGTCATTTCCTTAGTAGTATTTTCATGTTAGGGTAGCATAGCACTAGGAACTCAAATCTTGAGGAGAGCCTGCATGTATACAGAGTGAAGGAGAGTTCTGAGAATGGCTCCTGGCCTTATGGCTTGCATAACAATGAAGATGAAAAAACACTTTTTATTTTATTTTTGTCCAGCACAACACTGAACCCTCAGTGCTAGCAAGTCATGTTAGTTCTGTATTAGGTTTTTAATAATGGTGATCGAACACATATTCCATGAGACATAGCTGTTTGAACATCTGATATTTTAAAATAGTTTTTCATGTGGCTTCTTGGTGCCACTGCTGCCTATTTCACAAGAGCCACAGGTTAAAATTAAGATAATTGGTCAGGCAGTTAAAACATCTTCCAATGGAGAGCAGAGTCTTAAATAAAACTAATTTATACAGGTTTAATTTAACTTAGAGAAGACTGAATTTTTTAATGCTTTGGAGAATACACACAAACAACAGTAGAAGCATGTTTTTTTATTTGAGTTGATTGACTTTAAGTATATGAAATAATAGGTAGAGCAGACTTATTTCCCAGAACTTTTCTGTGTGTTTAGAAACCGATGAAGCTCATTTTATTTATTTGTTTTAAAGTAAATTTTAAATGCATACAACATGATATTACAAAATATATGTATCAAAATGGTTACCATATTGGGACAAATGAACATATACATCATTTCATGTAATTACCTGTTTGTCCCCTGTGGCTAGAACAGCTGTCATCTACTCATTTAGCAAAATCCTGACTCCATACAGTATTATTACTGTACAACTACAGTTCTCATGTTGTATGTTAGATCTTTATACTTATTCATCCTACATATTTGCTGCCTTGTATCTCATTTTAGTATAAAACAAAATTCAGCTCTAAGAGGTAGACACACAGAGAGAGACTGGGTGTGTGTGTGTGTGTGTGTGTTTGTGTGTTGGGAGTTGAATATACTTAAGTGATTATGATGAAATTAGAAACCTTTTATGTTTTATATTTTTAGGTGCTGGTGAATCTGGTAAAAGTACAATTGTGAAGCAGATGAAGTAAGTAGATTTAAACACCAAATTTGCTGTTTAAGTTAGTGTACCGTTCTACCAAAGGAAGTAAATAATTCTTTTTTTTCCCTTTTGTCTCATTAGAATTATCCATGAAGCTGGTTATTCAGAAGAGGAGTGTAAACAATACAAAGCAGTGGTCTACAGTAACACCATCCAGTCAATTATTGCTATCATTAGGGCTATGGGGAGGTTGAAGATAGACTTTGGTGACTCAGCCCGGGCGGTAAGTTATTAAATTTGTTGGAGCTGACCTGATGGGTAAAAAGAATAACTTGTATGCTAATACCATACTGTGTAACATAGGCTTGTCAACTATCAGGACCATTTCATAAAAGGAACCAAAAGGATAGAAGTGAGTGAAATGAGGAGCGTTAGAAGTGAGTGAAATATTAGAATATGTAGGATTGTATAATCTCTCCTTTATGCTTTCCTTATCCATTAGATGATTTGGACAACTGAATAATCACCACAGTGCTTTCTGTGTAGCATGCTGTGTTGGGTACCCCTGTATTCCCATAATAATTTTTAGTACTGAGTAAACTGCTTACCCTGGCCCTCTTCAAAATCTGTTTCTGCAATTTGGAATACTGAAGTGATCTAGTCATTTGTATTCATGCCTAGACTGAAAAGCAATCTAATCTCGAATAATGAAAACAGTATAAAAGTTTGCTTATCTTTGGAATAGGAAAATATCGGCTATTAAAAACCATGTATCAAAATTTGAGAGCTAAAAGAGATTTTTGGAGACAAGCTAGTTTCAATTCTTTATTTTGCCAAGAAAGAAACTAGCACCCAGGAAATTACATGGTACAGAGATTGCCATACAGCTCGTGGTAACCAAGGCACTATGCCTGTGCCTCCTCATTTGGCCCAATAACTTGTTTCAGTTGGATTGGAAGCAGCCCAATCCAATCCGTAAGGCACCTTTGTTTTCTTTTTTTTTCTCTTATCTTCTCTTTGATTGCTTAATGTATTTATTTCTAGCAGATATATTATTGTATTATTTTTACTAGTATTTATTTTTATGGTTCCTTTATAATTCTGTATATTCAGTATACATACTGTCTTCCTACTAATACTATGAAGATTTTGTGTATAGAGACTATAAATTTTTCTTTTTGTCTTAGTGTCAGCTAGATTTTATTTTTTAAACATGTAGGCTCAATTCATGCTTACTAGGGAAGAAAAATGAATGAAAGCAATATTAGGGAATATACATTGGAAAAATCTGTAAAATCTAGTTTTTAAAATGTTACTTTAAGAATTCTCTTACAAGTTACTGAGCTATATTAATTTACTGTTTTTTAAACTTTTTTAAAAAGCTTACTGTCATTAATTAAAAATTTCAAGTAGATTTCAATATCATTTTAAATAATTTATACATTTATCATTTATTCAGCAAACTTTTTGAGCTCAAAAAGCATTTGTTGAATGAATAAATGATAAATGCATAAATTAGAGTGATTTCCAAGCAATAAGCATTCTTGAGATGATCAAATCTTATTTCAGAAAAGACATTTTAAAAGAACATTATAAATTATTATTGAAAATAATGTTGAAATCTACTTGGAAATGCTAATTAAACTAAGCCTTTTTAATCTTTGTTTAAAAGACTGCACAGTAGGGAACCATGCTTAGATTAAGAAAAAAGAATTAATAAAAATTGTACCTTACACCAATTCTAATTATAAACTTTTAATTTAAACCTTTTGCCAAATTCACATATATGACATTCTGCATTTGGATCTTTTATGTGCTTACGAAAGAAAAAAGCGTTGTAGCCTCCATTTTAGGAGATCATGAAGGGTCAATACAAACAGTTTTTCATGAGTTCTTTTTATTTTCAAGTTTTTCTCTCAAGGAATGTTGTCGTTTTCTCTTTCTTTTTTTAAACATAACTTGGGCGTAGTTTCAAGACTGGAAATAACTACTCTCAAGCTCTATTTTTTTTTTTAAACCAGTTTTCTGATGCTTTGGAATCTTATGTGGGCCTGCTTTGCTCATCTTTGTTTCACTATTGCTGGTTTGACCCACTCTTTTTAGACTGTCTTTAGCGATACTTCAGTAACTGTCTTCTTCCTGCCTTTAGACTATTACTTCTGTTTGCTTTCTCCATCATCATTAACTCATTCACACAAATGCCTCATGTCCTCCCATTGCTTCTCGTTGGTCTACTCCGTGTTTTGTGTTACCTATCTTTACGTAAGCTTTCAAAACTACTGGGCTTTTGCAGTTGTGCTAAGGAATACAAAGACGAATTAAACGTGGCCTGGACACGAGGAAGGGGCATTGAAACTGAGTGTTGAAACATGAATAAGAGTTTTCTGGACAAAAATGGAAAAAGCGTTGTATGAATAAGAAACATTTTATTATTATTATTATATTTATTGTTGTTATTATTTTGAGACAGTCTCGCTCTGTAGCCCAGGCTGGAGTACAGTGGTGCAATCTCAGCTCACTGCAACCTCTGCTTCCCAGGTTCAAGCAATTCTCATGCCTCAGCCTCCCAAGTAGCTGGAACCACGGATGTATGCCACCACACCTGGCTAATTTTTGTATTTTTAGTAAAGATGGGGTTTCACTGTGTTGGCTAGACTGGTCTCGAGCTCCTGGCCTCAAGTAATCCGCCCACCTCGGCCTCCCAAAGTGCTAGGATTACAAGCGTGAGCCACCACGCCAAGCCACAAACAGTATATTCAAAAGAAGTCTGAATATATTTCTATTTCTGGAAGTATTAACCCTGAGTTGAAGGATAACCAGATACTGAATTTTGATAGGTACCACAGGTTTGCTTTCTGAAGAAAAGCAACATGAATAATCTGTTTTAGTATCCGTTCATAAGTGTCTGTTTTACCATAGTCTCAACAACTTAGGTGTTATCAACATTTCAGTTTTTAACATCTGATAAATCAGAAGTATTGTCTTTTTCTAGTTTTTTTCTGATTTTTAATGAATTTGAGAATTATTTTAAAACATTTTGTTCATTTATATTTCTTCTGTGAACTCCTCTTAGTTTTCACTCATTTCTGTTCAATTACTTACCTTTTCACATTGATTCTGTTTAAGTATTAAGCATATTAATCCTTCCTTGCATATTGCAAACACTTTTGCCTAGCATATTTCTTTTAGTTTTTGAAATAGTACATTACAGAACTGTTAAGATTTTTACAATCGATTCTCACTTCTGTGTTTTGTTTCTTATTAGAATGGCATTCTTCACCTTATAATTTTTTAAATTCTCTTATTTTTTTAGAATGTTTGTAGTTTTATTTTTTATATTTATCTCTGTCTCTTCACACACCTTTAAATGTTGTGTTTGTTGCTAGTTAGGATCTAAGTATATTTTATAATATCTTTTGCCTAACAGTCATTTGTTAAATATTAAATAATCAGCCTATTCCGTCTATTCCTCAGTGACTTGAAATTGCTGCCCTTAGCATTAAATTGGGTGTGTTTCTGGACTCCAGTTTTTCTTTCTATTGATGTGTTCTTTTTCCCCACATCTGTCACTTACTAAGCTATTCAACCTCCCTAAGCTTGTTTCCTTATAATACAAGGGAAATAATATCTATGTTGTAGGGTTGTGAGGAATAATGACATTTTGAATATTAAGCACTCCCCACATGCCTTGGTTATAATACAGGCTCAATAAATGTCTGTTGCTGCTATTGTTATCTTTTGGTTTTTTTTCTGTTTGTTTTTTTTGAAATGGAGTTTTGCTCTTGTTGCCAGGCTTCAGTGCAGGAGCATGATCTCAGCTCACTGCAACCTCCGCCTTCCTGGTTCAGCGATTCTCCTGCCTCAGCCTCCCGAGTAGCTAGGATTGCAGGTGTCCACCACCACCACACCTGGCTGATTTTTTGTATTTTTAGTAGAGACGGGGTTTCACCTTGTTGGCCAGGCTGGTCTCGATCTCCTGACCTCAGGCGATCCACCTGCCTCAGCCTCCCAAAGTGCTGGGATTATAGGCATGAGGCACCGCACCCGGCCTTGTTTTATTGTTTTTTTTTTTGTTTTTAATAATTATTATTACATTACTGTCATTCTACTGAGAGTCACATCATTTTAATTTCTATGGCTTCATGGATTAGTTGGCACCTGGTAGAGTAAGCGCACCCCATTTCATTCCGTTGTTCTTTTGCCGAATATCAAGGCCATCATGGTTTTCTCTGCCAGATGAACTTGAGAGCCAGCTTAATTCCCCCACAACCCTGTTGAAACACAACAAACCAAAACAGCTTGTTGACTTGGTTGGGATTACATCTTACTTAGTATATAGGTTGATTTGGTAAGAATTGAGTAAGAAGATGTAAAATCTTAATAAGTGTTGACTAATTTTCTGTGGTTTGCTTCATATTTGGCAGTTACCAGATTTTCAAAACAGATTAAAGACTGGTTATTTAAAATGAGAAGAAATAAAATTGTTTTCAAGGCTTGCATAGAGCAGTCACATTTTATGCCTAATATCATTTCACAGCTTTCGTAGAATGAGGATAGTCCATCTGCGAGTGATAATATATTGATAATTTAGGTGATTATGTTTCTAATGAAGTAAAATTTTAGAAGCTTTACAAAGGGGCCTATTCACCTGTTCAGGCACTGAGCACTTAGAGGAGAGCTGTTCAAAATGTGATTCATGGACTTGTGGACTAGTGCCTGTCCACAAGAGTGTGCACAAAATGGATATAGAAATTAAATGTAAGCATTGGGTTTACAGCAATTGACAGAGTAATTTATATGTTCACTCTGAGAGTTTTTAAAATATTAATTTATATTTTGTGTGTCATTTAATTTTTTCTACTATTATTCTGGAATAGACTGGAAACAAATGCAAATGAAATAAAACACAACACCGGTTCTTCATCACAGATAGCTTGAGAAGCACTTATTTAGAATATAGGCTGTGAGGAGTGGGAAACCTCACCTTGAATTGACTTAAATAAGTTTTCCCCCTAAGCCTCATACATGCTCCTGCATAATGGCCATTTTTCTGTTCCAATAACTTTGTTATTTACTTTCATTAGTTAGTTTGTCTGTGTCTGTCTGCCGGATTTGCTAGATTGTCTTTTAGAAAGGTTCTATCAGTTTACCTTCCTTGCAGCAGTTTTTGGAATGCCTTTTCTTAGCACTCTGGGCAGCCAAAATTTAGGAGTCTTGTATTTAAAAAATCTTTGCTAATTTGTTGTTAGTAAATCATGTATCAGTTTAATTTGAATTTTCCATTTTTAATGTAGCTGAACAGTTTTCCCTGTCTATTGATTATATTTTTATTTTTCTATGTGGCTTGTGCACTTTATTCATTTACCACTTGGAATCTTGGTGTTTTGATGATCTGTTTGCTTGTTTATATGTGTGTATGTATTAACTCTTTGTCCATTAATACAAATGTTTAGTAAGTCAAATTTTACTTAACTGCCATTAATGTTATGGTAATATTGTATTTTAAAAAATGTTTAAAATTCCCGTTATTTCTTCCATTGTGTTTAAATGTAGAACATCCTCTCTCAACAAAAGATTTACCAAATATTGATGCTCTTTTTAAAGCAAGGGGAATTTTGAGGGAGTGAATTTTAACATTTGTTTCTGTGTTTATTTTTTAATCTGTCTGAAGCATGTTTTGTTATATGCATGGAGTAAGGATGCACATTATTTTATTTCTCTTCAGGTGGCTATCTAATTATCACCAGTGTTATTGGATTAATCGTATCTTTTCTGACTGATGTATCTTGCCACATTTATCATGTAATAAGTTCAGATTTGGGATTTTTTTCCCCTATGGATCTGCCTTCATAGTAGACTGTTTCTACATATTGTAGGCTTTTAATATCTGATAATAACATCCCTGTGCTCCCAGTCTTTTTCAAAATGCTCCTTGTTACTTTTACTTGCTTTTTCCACATGAATGTTTGAATCATTTATAGTAGTATTCTGGTTTATGTTTGAGAACTAAGATGAAAATACGGTTTTTGTTTTGATTCTGAAAAATATTGATATATATGTGGCAAAATGATACTAGCCACCATTTGAAATGAATGTGTGCTTCTAATACAGTATTTTTCTATCCTCATTTCACTTATCTCACATTTCTGTATTGACAAGTTCTCTTGTCAATACCAGGAACACTTAAATGTCAATATTTCTCCATTTTACCAATTTGAAAAAATATATCTATACATGTATAAGATTTATAAATTTGTATATTTATATAATATGTTTATTGATAATTTCCCTTCTTGACTTAGTGAAACTCATACTTCATGCTAAATTCACTGCAATTTGGTTAAAAATTTATCTCTGCAATTTAGTTAAAATTAACTTTTTATTTTAGGCTTTTTCCCCCCTTTTAAGTATTCTTATGGGGAAAAAAGAAAAATGACTTCCTATTTCATTTCCTCAAGACATTTTTACTTTGATTATATTTCTGCTTTTAGAAAAAAAAATGTATTTTACATGTATGTATTCCTTAAAGCAACTCTTCAACATCTGATCAAGTCGGCTTCATCCCTGGGATGCAAGACTGGTTCAACATACGCAAATCAATAAACATAATCCATCACATAAACAGAACCAATGACAAAAAACACATGATTATCTCAATAGGTGAAAGAAAGGCCTTCAATAAAATTCAACAGCCCTTCATGCTAAAAACTCTCAATAACACTCCATTACCATATTATTTAGCTTCTATTTTAGAAGGGCTTGCAGATCTTTTTAAATTTAAACTCTTAATCTCATACATAAATTCTATCTGCTGTATTACAATAGTCATCTGACCTTTGCTTTAAAAACTCTGTCATTCCCCTTCCCTTTTTTGTTTTTCAGGTGGCTTTGATTATTTTAAAAAAAATTCCTCTAGTTGAGATGAACTCTGATATCTTTTGCTCTAAGAATGCTCCTTTTTCTGCTCTGTGCCTAAACATGAACTCTGTTCTTTCTTACCTTTAATTATGTCAGATGACAGCCATCATGCTCCCTTAAAGTCTTCTCCTCCCATCCTAGGCAGACTCTTCTGAATTTTCATCAAGTGGGTGACAGCTTTAAATAAAACATGTAATCACTAAATAAGTACAGCATGCCAGATATCCCCTGACCACCGCTTGGAATGAGGACTTATTATTTGTCTCTTTGACAAAATAGTGCTTCATAGCTCCTTTCTGAGTTCTCAGAGCACATGAATATATGAACTGGAATTTACTTTCTCTAAATCAACTTATTTTTGTTTAGCTTTTAGTAATTTGAAAATATTTTAGCTTTGCTACATGCAAGGAATTTTTCTGTCAAATAATTGCCTGGCAAATAATCTTTCTTTTCACCACCACAAAGACTTCCTGTAAACTGCTTTATTAACCTGTTAACCCTCCTTACCAAACTCCAGTCTTCTCTTAAGTAATCCCTATTCTTTTTCTACTCTGTATCACACTATTTTGGTACACTTACATTTATATTTATAGATGTTAAGTAATTTTCTTTCTCACAAATTTTGCAAAGACCTCATTCCATGGCAAGATAAAATCGTTGTCATCATTCTGTGCTTTTAAAATTTATCCTATTTTAGATAATGAATCATTGACTCCCTAATTTGTATGATTGGGTGACTAGCCATGGAACTTTAAGTAAGTTGCTTAACCTCTTTGTGCCTTGGGTTCGTTTTATACAGAAGATTAGGTAGAATAATTTCAGCAGTGTTTTCCTGGTCAGATTTATTGCCTGAAAGCTCATCTACAGACACACCTGAATGTCCTGGTAATGATGTGGAAGTGAATAATCCCAGTAAATTTTTTTTAAAGAAAAGAGGCTTGAAAAAATTATCTGAGCTTTACAACTTGATGTTATGAGATACATATAGATAGTAAAATTGTTACTATAGTAGAGTAGGTTAACATGCCCATTATCTCACATAGTTAATTTTTTTGACTAGAAGAGCAGTTAAAACCTGTTTAACAAAAATCTCGAATACAGTACTTTTTAATTAGCTACAGTCCTCATATTGTACTTCAGTCTGGACTTCTGTAGACTTGGTCATCCCATGTATCTGCTACTTTGTATTCTTTCAATATGTCTCTCTATTTTCTCTTTCCTCTCCCTCCTCTCCTCCCCCACCCCATAACCATAACTACTGGTTTGTTCTCTAGCTTTGTATATTTGACCTTGACCTATTTTTGTTTCTGTGGATTTTTTTTTTTTTTTTGGAGACCTGGAGGACATTATGCTTAGTGAAATAAGCCAGACACAGAAAGAAAAATAAAACATCATCTCACTTATATGTAGAATTATGAAAAAGAAACATTTTTTAATGCCACAGAGAGAATGTGATTTATAAATACAGCTTCCAAAGTTTCTTAAGTCTTTACTTCAGGCCTATTCCTGGAAAGTTTGAGAAGAATGTGATCTTGTGACCCATACTGGAGGGCATTAGTCTTTTTTTGTCAAAAAACGCTATTGAAATTGAATGAAGACGTCGTAATGAAAGCTCATTTGAAAACCTACTTAAGCGAAGAGTACTTTTCTAAAATAGAAAGGTTATATTTGATGTAATTTAATAAATAAAAATGGTCAAATTCAGAAATTTCTCATGTATAGGTAATAATTTGGATAATTGAATAATTGTTTACTGGAATTAGACTAATGGTGCAAAAATGACTGGAAACCATGTTATGTGAGGTTTATTAAGGATATCATGCACGTGTCGCTTGCATGCATTTCTCTTGTGATTTGCTAAAAAGGGAAGCATATGCTTGAATAATATGTTCTCATGCTGAGAGACTTAATTATTTTTCATGATGGGTTCCAGCTGAAAAGAAAATGTTTCACAAATTGGCAACAGCATGAATTTATATTGTCAGCTAGTACACTCTGCTAGCCTGTGTCACCAAATGCTGCTTCTCTTCTATACCCCTTATAATAATGTGTGCCATCACTTTATAAGCATCTGCTACAATACTTTGGAAGAATGCCTCTTGAAAGAAATTAGGAATTGTCCACCCAGTTATCTTAAAGCTACATATCTCAAGTTAAGGAGAATCTCTGTGAAGAAAGAAACTTCATATCTGGGTTTTTTGTTTGTTTATTGTTTTGTTTTTTTTTTAATTGTGTTATTACTTGGAAACTAGAGTTAGGTTATCCAGTATGGTAGCTACTATCCGCATGTGGCTACTGAATCCTTAAAATGTATCTACTTTGAATTGAAATGGGCTGTATGCATAAAATACACACCAGATGTTGTAATACGTATGAAAAAATATGAAATATAATTGTGTATTTATTACATATAAATGAATTGATATTTTTATACATAGGTTAAGTATACTGTTAAAAATCATTTCACCTAGCTTTAAAAAAAGCTTTTAAAAAATGTAGCTATTAGAATATTTAGATTGTATTAGTGTTGCACATTATATTTCTCTTGGTCCACACACTGATTTAGAGTGGTTGATTACTTGTGGATCAGAATAACCAAATATGAGTAGCCTCAAATTTTAAGCTAAGTTTAATTAACTTTATATAAAGTATCTTTTCATTTAGAAATTTTTACATACTGTCCTCTATGTATATCATGAGTATTTCTACTCCAAAGCTGTGCTTATTTTGTTTTCTATGCCTGGATTAGCAAAACACCTGCTCCCAACTTCTGCCCCATTGATTTTAATGTGTCCATACTTAAAATCTCCTGAAAATCTCAGACCATTACATGAAATTAGTCTTCTGGTCTTGCCCACTCCACATTGATTTCTCCCTTCTCTGAACTTACTTTGCAACTATAAGGTATATCAGAAAGCTAACACTTAATTCAATTCTATCTCTAATCTTTGAAAGTTATGTTTCTTAGTTTAGAAAACATTTTGAGGAGAGAGGAAGAAGACATAGGTTCTTCTTCTGTTTTCTCAAAAATGATCATCTTCAATACACAACAAACTGTCAGTGGATAATTGGCTAATGTCCCCTTTATGAGCTGGAACCTTAATTATTCTTCCAGCTTCCTAGTGCCTTGACAGATACTACTAACACCACAAAACATAGACATATGATGTGTGATTATTGTCTTTTGGTCAAGGCAATTTTTAAGTGGTGGCTTAGAGAAAGAAAAGTAATGACGTGTTAATAAAAACAAAGGAAGTTCGCTATTGCCTTTTTTTTTTTAACTCTAGAATTGTCTCCTTTGTACTTTTTATCTCTGACGTATCCCTTTTTACTTAAAAAATGTCCTTTGAATGTTCAGGATGATGCACGCCAACTCTTTGTGCTAGCTGGAGCTGCTGAAGAAGGCTTTATGACTGCAGAACTTGCTGGAGTTATAAAGAGATTGTGGAAAGATAGTGGTGTACAAGCCTGTTTCAACAGATCCCGAGAGTACCAGCTTAATGATTCTGCAGCATAGTAAGTAATCATAACTTCAGAACTAAACTATCATGAATAATTACTTGCAAGTCAAATATACTTCCAAGTCAATTTTACTGCAGAATTGGCTGACACATTCTTGTACAACTTAGGATATTCAGGATGACAATATTTTAAAACTTTGTCTTATGTGTGTTGTGTGTGTGTAGATAGCAACGTTATTTCCTATATGTTCAATAGTGTCTCAAGAGACTCATGCTATGTAACTCTAATTGAAACATGGAGAATGGTACCTGTTGCAATATATTTTCAAGAAAGTAACTGGAACTTTCCAAAATCCACTCCAAATTGGGGTGTATTTCTAGTTTACTTGGAGCTATGTTAATGAGAGTGTAACTGATTTGAGTTCCTTTCATTATGTTAGCAGTGCCTGAGAAGAGTTACTTGTCCAATGACAGGTACTGTAAGTAGGGATTTTTTGAAGGAGTGCAAGATGACTCCAAGGTATTTTTTGACTAAGTAAAATAGCTCTGTATTTGAAAATTGTCAGTTGTGTGTGTGCCCTGTTGTATTTGACACTGTTTCCAGATATTTAAGTACAGTTTTTTGGAAGAAAAATCTGCCTTGAATTTTCAGGTGGTGGCCCCAGAAAGTTTGCAAAGCAAGTTGTGATGAAACCTAATCAGGGAGGCTGGGTGAGGTGGCTCATTGCTTGTAATCCCAGCACTTTGGGAGGCTAAGGTGGGCAGATCACTTGAGCCCAGGTGTTTGAGACCCATCTGGGTAACTTAACGAGACCTCCCCCCACCATCTCTACAAAAAATACAAAAATTAGCCAGTCATGATGGTGCACACGTGTGGTCCCAGTTACTCAGCGGGGGCTGAGAGAGGATGATTGCTTGAACCCAGGACTTTGAGTTTGCAGTGAGCCATGCTCGTACCACTGCACTCCAGCCTGGAGATGGAGTGAGGCCATGTCTCAAAAAAAAAAAAAAAAAAAAAAACCTAATCAGGGAGCTTTCTGTTTGGTGATCTCCATAGAACAACACCAAAACAAAAAAAAAATTTATAATTTGCCACACATACTCAAAATGTCCTATATGATATGTATTGCTCTTAAAACCTATGTTGTGCATTTGTTTTACTTTCCAGGATTGTTCCATTTTCTTGACACAGCTGTTGGCTGTTAGGGACACAAGGATTAGATAGATGACAAATTTTGAAAGGTCTAGGTGAATGCATGCACTTTGCCACAATGAATAAATAAATGAGGTGTGCCTCCTGAAGAGCGAATTATTTGTTCAGCATCAGACTAGGTACTATATGTTGTGTGATTTAGTGTGTTTAAGAAATAATGAATATTGTATCACCCACATCAATCTTTATAACCCTGTATTTCATAATCTATATTTTTAACATTTTACACTTGTATTAACCATATGTATTATTACGTGGTTTATACATGTATATATAACATAAACATATTGAATATGTAGCCCATCTCTCCAACTGGTATCATATCCTATACAAAGAAATATTCCTTGACCCACTGAGTTGGTCCTTGCGCTCCAGTTTTAGGTACTCCTAATGTACTTTTTCTTCAGCTTTACATTTATTTTGAGGTTATTTTGTTCCTGTTTATGTTGTGAATATTTGATTATTTTCTGTCTCTGCCATTACATTGTAAATTCAGTAATGTGTTTTTACCTAATATTGTATTCCCATAGCCTGACACAGTCATCACCCAATATGATCTTGTTTAATAATGAATGAATTCATAAACCAGACATCACAGAGGCTAGAAGACAAATTAGAAAAAATACTTACAGGAAGAACACAACTCATAAACCATATTTGCTTTGACACCACCAGCATCTGTGGAGATTTAAGTGGGAGTCACTATGATGAGAAGATTGCTTTGAGTCGAGTCCAGCAAAAGGAGCTACTTCAATAATTAAGGGGTACTACTTGGGAATGACAGATTGAAGTTCTCTTTCTCACTGTATGGGGGAACTTCCAGACCCCCTCAGTCTCTTGTCCAAGACCCTCTCTCCTGTGCACACTACTTGGACGTGAGTTAACAGAAACATAGGCCGGGCATTGGTGGCTCATGCTTTGTAATCCCAGCATTTTGGGAGGCTGAGGTGAGAGGATCGCTTGAGCCCAGGAATTCCAGACCATCCTGGCCAACATACTGAGACCTTGTCTCTACAAAAAGTAAAAATAAAAAATTTAGCCAGCATGGTGGCCCATCCCTGTAGTCCTAGCTACTTGAGAGGCTGAGTCAGGAGAATCACCCAAGCCCAGAAGGTTGAGGCTATAGTGAGCTATGACTGCACAGCTGTATTCCAGCCTGGGTGACAGAGCAAGACCATGTCTCAAAGAAAAAAAAATTAAAATTATAAAATGAAAAATATGTTGCTTTAGTTTTACATTATTTTATTTCTAATAGTTGTGACCTTAAGATGGCACTAATGCGGCTGCTTTTTAGGAATGAAGAAAGTCTTAGAAACATTTTTCTCCATAGTGATTAGAGGGCATCGTGATCTATGAGTTCTTGACTGGGGATGCTAAGATGCAGTCAAGTTGCCCATTAGGACTGACTAGCCACCAATTCACACTTTAAATTTGTAATCATTTAAAACAATCAGAATTTTTCACAGTGCCTGCTTTTCTTCTTTGTCTTATTGAAATACTATTTTTAGAGATTTTTTTGAACTATAGCAGTTTTTTTGTTGTTGTTGTTTCTGGTTTTTTTGTTTTTTGAGATGGAGTCGGGCTTTGTCCCCAGGCTGGAGTGCAGTGACGTGATCTTGGCTCACTGCAACCTGGGCCTCCCAGGTGCAAGCGATTCTCCTGCCTCAGCCTCCCCAATAGCTGGGATTACAGGCACGCCTCACCACGTCCAGCTGATTTTTGCATTTTTAGTAGAGACTGGGTTTCACCATGTTGGCCAGGATGGTCTTGATTGCCTGACCTCGTGATCCGCCCACCTCGGCCTCACAAAGTGCTGGGATTACAGGCGCCAGCCACCACGCCTGGCGAACTGTAACGGTTTTAAGCAAAGAAATCTGTGAGTAATCAAAGAACATTTTAAATAAGAGTAGCTCATTATTTTAAAGAGGCAGTAAAATCTTGCCATGGCTTGTTTGATTTGTTAAGTCGGATTTTCTTACAGTAAAGTAGAACATTTAGAATTAAAAGCACAGAGAAAGTACTGGAGGATTATCACCAATGTGATAATAAGATTCTCTTAAATTCAGTAAATACAATACAGGTAACTCAGGCTGTCATCTCTCTATGTATTCTAGTATAATTACCACATACATACACTTGACTGTCTAAAACATTTTTTATTTCTAAGTTATCAGTCACCTTATAGGTCTCGTAATAAAAACACTGCGGTGATGGTCTCTACATTCAGCTGACCTTAGGACTCATTCCAAACTCCTCATTTAAGGCTTTATATAGCTTACTAGTGGCTTTACTTTCCAAGAAAGACCATGCAACTGTTCCCATCTCCATACTGATTTACAGCTTCTCCTGGGGCAGTGTCATTCCTTTTCTTCCATCCCCATTATTCATGTTTCTGTTTAGACCCCTCGCTATCCATGAATCCTTCTTTAATCACCTAGGTCCACATTAATCTCTCCATACCTGTATTTTCTGTGAATTACTGACTATACCATATAATTTGACACAAGATAACTTAATCTCTTACATTGCATGGTATGATACTACTACATTTTTATATCACAACATATGTAGCACCAGTGGCAGAGAGTATTACATGAGTGACTAAAACATGTATTGATTTAGAGAGCAGTAAAGTGCAGCGTAAAGGAGTATGTGCTGTTTTCCTGTATGTAACATAAGACTGGTTGAAAAGAAACATCTCGTTCAGCCTTTGGGAAGAGCTTTCATCACTACTTGCTCCAAAATTAAGACTTTAAAAATCTTCAGTAAAAAAAGAATGATGTCTGGATCATAAACACAGTGCTATATCCAAAAGGTGTGATAAAGAATTCTAAGAAACAAACTCATGGTGTGTATTAGCTTTTTTTTTTTAAGTTATTCTTTTTCCTTTGAATCACTGATAACTGTCCCTAAGAAATAAAGTACACATTTAAAAAATACTAAAAGAGCTTTGTGGTTGCAGAGGTGTAAACATTTTTATTTCCGTGGGAGTTTGTAAGATAAGATACAAGCTTAAACTGGATTATATCTTTACACACAAATTTAAAAACTTTTAGTGATTTCAGATTATCGCTTGTATTGAAATGTGTTTTAATTTTTGTTTTGGATGATCTTTATTGGCTATATTTACCATTAACATGTTGTTTTGTTTAATTTTTTTCAGCTATTTGAATGACTTGGACAGAATAGCTCAACCAAATTACATCCCGACTCAACAAGATGTTCTCAGAACTAGAGTGAAAACTACAGGAATTGTTGAAACCCATTTTACTTTCAAAGATCTTCATTTTAAGTGAGTAGCTTTGAAATATATGATTTCTAAATTTAGATAAAAACACATTGCTTTAGAAATAAAAAGTGTAATAAAAGTTTACAACATTTTTACAGTTGGAAATTACAGTTGGAAAAAAACTTTCTTCAGATGATTGGACAAAAGAATGTTTGGGAGAAAGAAGTCAAAAAAAGCATTCCTAAGAGGAATGTTTTTATTTAAGAAAATCTATCCACACAAATTCCGTTTTGCCTATAGTTTTTACAGTGATTCAAACAAAATAGTTTTTGGCTTTTATTTCTAAACAAAATTCTGCTCTAATATACTGTGTTTTCGGAAAGTGTTGCCATCTATTTTTAGGTAATAAGAGAGCAAGTTTTACTGATAGCATAAGTGCTTATTTATGGAAATATTAAGAAGAGCACCTTTAACAATTTTTTCGTGAACAGTTTTCTTCATAGGGAACTTACCTTCCCTATGAAGGTAGTCCTTATGCACTATTTCATGATAAGAAGTATTCATTTAAAGTGTACTGAATATCCACTTACTGAGGTCGGAGCAGAAAAGCACCGAATCGTAGTCTTTAGAAATGCAAGGGGTCTTGGAGTGCATATTTTTCCAGTTCCCTCATTTTAAGATGAACGAGGCTCAGGAAAGTTTAGTAAAATATCATATTCAAATTTACAAAACTACTTTCCTCTTTTTCCAGTAAATAACATTTTCCAAGGTATGAGGAGAACTGTTGGACTTAAACACAACGAAATATAATGTTTTCATTTGCAGAGTCTTGTTTTATCTATACAGCCTTCCTGGTCAGTTAATCTGTTTCCCTTCCAGGTCATCTGCTAGTCATTACCATGACTTTCTTCTTCTAAAATGCTCCATCTACTGATTTCATTGTTCACTCAAACAAAATTACCCTTAAGTCTGTACTGTTATTCATCATTTCTGTTAATGTAATAGTAAAATCATGAAAAAAGAAATTATGTAGCCTATGTAAATATATATACATTAATAAGATAACATCACGGGATATTCTACTGAAACAAAACTTCTGTATTTTCATAGACATCTAAGACCACTGTAGTGTTACTTGATGTTAAAAAAATATTTAAAAATACAGATGTTCCTTTTTTGCTTCTTAGTATTATTTATTTCAGTACATTGAAGCTAAATAAAGAGGCAGAAGTTCTTTTTTTAAAATCTGCTAGTTTCTTATAATTCACATTCATTTAAAATGTCACATGTCCCAAGTGCCAGTTGAGTGTTCAGCTGAAGGAACACCAAACACAAAGCCCTTGAACAGCTTTGGGAGGCCCGTCTGAAGTCAATGACTAATTTATATGAATATAATAGAGTCACATTATTCACACAGTATTAAAACCTATGCATGTCCTATACCAAATATTCCTGGAAATGAAAATAATAAAAATGCTAGAATTAAATGAGTTGTAGACTTACAGGGATTTTGTTGTTCTTTTAAGTTTAACAGATAGGGATATTTTTGTTTTTTTTTTAACCCAACAAGGTTAAGATTGATTTTAAGGAAGATTGCCACTGCAGTCATGGGCATCAATTAGATATCATCTCTCAGCTGCAGAGCTTTATAGATACGTTGACCCAAATTGAGCACACTCCAGTTGTCACTGCAGGAAATTGGATTAGAAAAGGTGTTTATGATCTGTTTTTTAAGGAAAATTTTAATATTTCATGTTTTTCTAAATTTCAACTTTTAAATACAGCGAAGGATTAGATAAATCATTTGTTACCAGTTTGTGATTTTTTTTTAAGATTATGTTTAGTGGAGTTTTTTGGTTTCTTTGTAGAAATTCAAACTTTACAAGACCGTGTATATATCTAACTTTTACCCAACTCCATCCCCACAATACCAAACAGAATTTTTTAAAAGATTACAAAAGCAGAAAGCAGAATTTACTGTTATATTATTCTGTTTGCAAAAAAGTAATTTATCTGCATTTGGTTTGCAAATGGAGTATCCCATGTCGTTATTGAAATTATTTTGTCTTTTTTATTTTCATTAAAAATTGTATGATTCAACATAATCATTCTAAATAAATCTTTACTGTGAATTATGGATTAGGCTTTGCTTCAGCTAACTCTGTTGCTCTGAAATGGTCGTGATGATAAAGCAGAATTTCTAAAATCATCTTGGAAAAAAAGGTTCCTAAGTGAGAGAAAAAATAATTATCAGTTCATCTCATAAAGAAGTCTCACTGTTAGAAGTAGTCAACACTGTTAAATTATATGCAACGATACTTCTGATTGCTTCCATAAGTATTTTAAATTTAATACATTTGTTACTATCACTTGTCACTGATTTACAGGTGGTTCATGTAATTGAATTTACAGAAAACTAAAGCTTTATTTCAATTTTTCATGGCTACTTCTCTCCAAAAAACAAACATTGACCTGCTTTCTTAAACAAAGATATAGGTAATAATTAATTTATGTGGCAACATTAGCTTTGTGCTTTAATACATGCTATGGTGTTGCATATGCTTTTTTTTATTTTCATTTTTTTCTTAAAGCCTTCAGTGGACATTTTACGCTGCTGTCATTATCTGTTACTGAAATCGTTTAACTTCTTTTAGTCTGCTCATTACTATTTCCATAATATTAAATAAACAAACTCAGTACTCTGATTTCAAGTAATCAGATATGTCTGATCTGGAGAATATTGTCATTTTATCTTAAAACTAAGAAGTGATTTTAATGACAAGGAAGTTCACTATCAGATTGGGACTTAGAATTTTTTTTTTAACCTAGTATACCTTAGATTCTGATTTTGGTTTTGTTCACCTTGTTTTAAAGATTATGTTCTAAAGCAAACTTAAATTATGTTCAGGTAATGGCTTACGGTAGTCTCCCCTTATTCGAGGGGATACGTTCCAAGACCCCCCATATATGCTTGAAACTACTGATAGTACTGAACCCTATATACACCATGTTTCTTCGTAGGCATACATATCTATGATAAAGTTTATAAATTCAGCACAGTAAGAGACTAACAAGTAATAATAACATAGAACAATCATAGCAACGTACTATAAAAGGTATGTGAATGTGGTCTCACTTTCTCAAAATACTGTAATATTTTTGGACCTTGGTTGACCACAGGTAACTGAAACTGCAGAGAGTGAAACCAGGAGTAAGGGGGAGCTACTGTATTTCTAACCAATATTGTCTGAGAAGAAAATGTGTGGAGTTGGAGTTAACAAGTAAAGATTCTAGACTTAGGTTCCCCTAATAAGTAGTTGGGTAAACTTGGTTAAGTTTCTTAACAGGCTATTACAGTTTTGCTCTGTGTTAGAGGCTTAAAAATAAAATGAGTTATTGCCTATGAAAAATGTTGTAAAAGTGAGAACTGTATACATAGTAATAAGTGGCAGAGGCAAATATTAAATCGATTATTTGGTACTTAAGGCAGTCTGACTATATAAAATTCACTTTTCATCTTGGTTAGGTGCACTCTTAAACATTTATTTCAGGACCATAGTTTTCACTTCCAGCCTAGGTTTTTCAAACTTGTCATTTCAACATCCAGCAAATACTGGGATTCAGTAAAGTTGACTCTCAACATTATCCTTCCAGGAGGTTCATTTATCATACTCCATTTAGGCTTCTTGGTTGAGGTTGATGTATTTAGTTGCTGTTTTTATTTGGTGACTTAAAGATAAACACACGTTTGTCAGGAACCTCAGATAAACTTTGTCTTATTTTGGATTTTGAGTTCTGTTAAATTACTATCATTACTAGCATATAGTTTCAACTTTGCTTTTTATAGGTTACATGAGCCTCAGATGAATGAGAGCAGAAATGCATTTAGAATAATTCTACTGGGAACTCTTGAGTGTGGTCATCATTTTGTGGTTTTTTTCGTGCTCTTCATGTTGTAATTCTGTTTAATTTTAACTGCTGAGTAAAATTCAGTTTCACATTAAAAAATGGTATTAACAAATTCAAAATGAGGCAATAGGGCATCATAATTTAAGAATTCATATTATCCCTGTGATTAGGCATTTATGGCCAGTGTCTATGTGGATCATTTTGCTTTAATTAAAGAATCAGCAACTGTGTTTTACTTTTTTTTGTCAGATATAAAGCATTCTTTCTATCCTAAAATTATCATAATATGAGATAAATTTCTATTTCATTTCTATAGTAGTATAAATGCGTTATGCATTTGGGAATGCAACATCCAGTTTATGAGTTTGATATCCATATATGGTTAGCTAGCTTTGTACCAGTTAGTTTTGGTGACAGTGGTATTAGATGCTAGTCTAAGGCATAAATCATCACTTCTCAGCATGTCCAACATCTCCTTCCACCCCACCCTTCAGAATCCCTAAGAAAACTCAAATTCATTTCCTATGTGATGTTGGTTTAAACTCTTATCTTTTTATATGAAGGAGAAAATACCATATTTTTGCTCTTTTTAAATAGAAGTTCAGAACTTAACAGTATATAAAATAATGAAGATACTTCTAATATAAGTGTAGAGCAATGAATAATGCTTGTACATTTTTAGCTACCATTATATGGAAAATGAAAGCAGTGATAAAAATTAGTGTTTCTTCTAGTTATCTTCATCTAGCTCTCTCTGAATTCCAACAAACTTAAGCAGTTTGATCATTTGTAATATCAGTTCTCTGTCATTGTTGCTTCTGGATTAATTGACTTGGGGATTAATTGATCCTCAAAAGGATGGTCCCCCAAGCTAGTAACATCTGACTCCTAACATTCTGAATCACATCAAAGTTTGAGAACCACTAGCTTAGACTCTGAGTTCTTTGTTTATGACCATGACCATTCTCCACCTGTCATCACATGTCCTCCTTCCCTGTGCGTCTGGTTCCATTTGGCTTAATAGTTCATTCCTCAGTTTATCTCTTCCACTCTCATTTTACTATAAGCAGCAAGCAGGAAACTGCAGCCTTCTACACTTTGCTTGCAGTTTTCCTCAGCTAAATATCCAAGTTCATTGCTTAGAAGTTGCACCTTCCACCCAGCGCTGGAACACACAGTTCAGCCAGCTGTTTGCCACTTTATAACAAGGACTGTCTTCTCTGTAGTGTATAATAACATGTTTTCATTTCCTTCTGAGACCTCATTAAAAGCTCCTTTAACGTTTGTATATCTACAACATTCTGTCCACAATGATACATGTATTCTCTAAGACAACAGAAGGTTCTTTCCAGCTTTATTTCCATCTCAGCTCTTAGCAGAATTGTCTTTAATCTCCCTATTTCTACCAGCAATCTCTTCAAGATAGTGTAGTTTTATTTTCTGTCAAATGCTTAAATATTCTTCTACCTCCTACATATTACCCAATTCCAAAGTCACTTCCATGTTTTTAGGTATTTGTTAGAGTAGCACCTCATTCTCTGCACTAAAGTTGTATCATCAGTATTCACCAGAAAAGCAGATCCAGTAGGTTATGTTTATTTCAAGGAATTGGTTTATGGGATTATGAAGGCTAACAAGTCCGAAGTTTGTAGGGTAGGCTGGCAAGCTTGGACATGAATTGTCATAACATTGTGGAGGAAGAATTACATTTTCTTCTGGGAAACCTCAGTTTTTGCCAGTTTTAGCCTGTAGAGTGATTGAGGGCTGTTGTATTATTAAGGATAGTCTCCATTACTTAAAGTTAACTGATTACAGATGTTAATCATATCTATAAAATACAGCAACATCTAAATAAGTGTTTCATTAAATAACACCTAGATAAATGTATGATGGCATAGCCAAGTTAACACACAAAACTATACCATCACAGAGAGGAAATGTGGGCTAGGGTCATTTGGGTTGTTATTGACATCTGTTATTGGATGGACAGAGGATGTGTGACATCTAATCAGAGAAGTTATCTGAGATATGCTATCTTTTCAGTAAAGTTATTTTCAAATTGTGTTCCTGGGCATTTTAGCAAATGGTAACCCAATTTATATCATTTTAATTTACTGTCATTTATTTTGTTCTTGTTTGATCGTTATTACCAGCTATGTTTTTTACATCTTAACTCTGTGATTTAGTTTGTGGTAGAAACATTTTGTTATATAGCTTACCTGAATTTAATGAACAATGGTACCAGCTAAGCCAAAAGAATGAAGAAGCCCACTTAAGTGATCATAAAAGTAACAATACTAGTTGATGTACTCAAATTTGGTTTATAGGCCAGTACTGCTCTGTAGGGAAAATTCTTTTTGCCTGGGAATTAAATAGGGACTATTTTAATTAGTGCACCATCTAGATAAATGGAGCCTTTAAAAATGTACCAGTTCGCATAGTGTTTTCATTATATAAGTGGTTATTTCTAGGTTGCATAATGTAGTCTATGCAAATTTTAACTTTTGCTTAACTTTATAAAGTCTTATAAGAGAAAAGGAATAGACTATTGTCTTTATATTGTTTGATTTTGCTACTACTTTGTTCACTAACCTATAGTGGTTCACTCTTGTATAAAAATTGAATTTTTTTCATTCTAAATTTTAAGGCCATTCAGTAGGATCCCTCATTTATTTCATATTTCAGTTCTCTCATTTTGTAATGTATCATGATTTTACTTTTTATGCAAACCTACCCTATCTGAATTTCATTTGCTTGCCCTACATTTTCTTACCTGAAATGGTTTCTTCTTTACATCAAAGCCTTGCTTATTATTTCTGAGTTAAAACGACATGTTTTAGTAGGAGGAGGGGTCTCTGTTCTCTGCCTTCAATGTTCCGTGACTGTGGCAAATGGAATATTTACTCTTTGATCTCTGCATTCCCCAGTTGCTTCATGTGACTTCTCAGTGTTTACACATAGTGCAGTCCATTCATTTGTATTTGCTTTAATGTTCTAAGTGTTCTCATGTGTGTTAATGTCTCGTTTTTTTGAGGTTATTTTTGTTTTTGCTTTTTTTTTTTTTTTTAGAGATACCCTCCCTTCAATCAAAAATTTTAAAAACTAGCAGGTTTTTTTCCCCTTTTGAGAAGTCCAGTTTGTGACATTTTTTTCTCCCATAAAGTCCTTCTCTCCTTCCTTTTCATCAGACATTTCCACAACTATTCAGAGCTTTTTTTGTTAGCATTAAAGAACTTCTCAGAGCTTTTTGAACATTTAATGTGATGTTAACTCATTTCTCCTCTTAACAGAATGTTTGATGTGGGAGGTCAGAGATCTGAGCGGAAGAAGTGGATTCATTGCTTCGAAGGAGTGACGGCGATCATCTTCTGTGTAGCACTGAGTGACTACGACCTGGTTCTAGCTGAAGATGAAGAAATGGCAAGTAGAACTACTTTAAGAGTTGAGCTTGAAACATGAAGAGCTGAAGGTGTTGCCAAGAATTTCTTTCTAATGTCTATAACAATTTGAAAGTACAGGGTCTTTCCTCTAACTTTTCTATTTGATAAAAGAGAGATATACTAGAGAAGCACAGGTGGATCTTGAGGAAAAGGAAAACATGGAGAGTCAATCTCACCTCAAGCCTGTAAGCTTAACTATGCATTTCTGTATCTAATATCAACATAGCACATGGAAATATAGTTACATAGTAGTCCAAGATTCCCTTTTCTTAATTTGTTACTTCTGTTAGTTTAGTAAATCTTTTTTTTTTTTTTTTTGAGACGGAGTCTCGCCCTGTTGCCAGACTGGAGTGCAGTGGCACCATCTCTGCTCACTGCAACCTCCACCTCCCAGGTTCAAGCCAGTTCTCCTGCCTCAGCCTCCCAAGTAGCTGGGATTACAGGCACGTGCCACCACACCCAGCTGATTTTTGTATTTTTAGTAGAAATGGGGTTTCACCATGTTGGCCAGGTTGGTCAGAAACTCCTGACCTCAGATGAGCCACCCATCTCGGCCTCCCAAAGTGCTGGGATTACAGGCCTGAGCCACCGCACCCAGCCGGTAAATCTTTAATATATGTTATGCTTTGTTGCTGCCCTGTAATTTTCAGATAGGTTTCAGTGTACCATTAATATGGGGGAAATGTTTTTAAATAGAAATGTAAAACTTTGTCATTTTAAGTTAACTTTATTACAAAGTGGGGGAAAAAGTAGAAATGTCGGTTTTGTTCAGTTGACCCTTGAACAACGGGTTTAAGCTGCATGGGTCCACATATATGAAAATTTTTTTCAACCAAGCACATTCATGGGATGCAAAACCTGAGTATACAGAAAGCCACTTTTTCCTATGTGTGGGTTCCACAGAACTGCCTGCTGGACTTGAGTGTATGCACATTTTGGTACCCTTGGAGGTCTTTGTACTAATCCCCCTGAGTATACCGAGAGACGATTGTATTTTTAAAATCAAGTATATGAAATTATAGTGTAGTAGGTGCAGTGCAACACCACATGTTCATTTCTTTCATTTCAGCACTATAAAATGTATCAGTGCCCTCTTTGATGAGCACAGATCCTGGAAGGTCAAGAAACAGGAATTGGAAGTGTCCTTCCAGTATTTATATTTATTATAATATTTAGAGTATTGGGCTAATTGGGTCTTAGCTTGTTCAATTTAAGTTATTAATCTTTAAAAACCTCTATTTATCTTCTAATGGAAATTTAGATGAAATGAACTCTATGACAATGTCATTTCTTTTCACATGTTCACACTTCACATCCCTAGATTATAATGTCCTGTAGCAGGATATTCCCTGGCACAGAGCATGACATATAGTGGGCACTTGGCAAGTAAAAGTTGAATGCAAAAAGTGGTGAAAGATGATTAGACACTTCTCTTACCTAAAGTGAAAGTGTGTTCTGAAATGGCAGAAATGTATTTTTGTGATACGTATTTTTCAATCACTAAACTCTGTTTTATTACAACACCTTTTATTTTTTAAAATAGTCCTCAAAAATCCTTGCTGTTAGTGACGATTGGTTTTATTTTTTTCTATTACAGAACCGAATGCATGAAAGCATGAAATTGTTTGACAGCATATGTAACAACAAGTGGTTTACAGATACATCCATTATACTTTTTCTAAACAAGAAGGATCTCTTTGAAGAAAAAATCAAAAAGAGCCCTCTCACTATATGCTATCCAGAATATGCAGGTATTTTCCTTTTCTGGGAATAACTTGTCAAGTTACATATTTCTAAGTGAAACTTCCCCTAAGGCAAGAATTCAGTTGTTAATTTAAATCTCTTGGCTTAGTGATTCTTAGACCTTTAAGGGGTATTATTTATCAAACTGCAGTTGAGCATAAAAATTTCCTTAAGATGTAGATGAAATTACTGAAAATAATGTATTCATTTTATGGAAAAGCAGTTAGATAATTTTTAGTGATGACTCCAAGTTAAAATACTATTTTTTAAATCCAGTTAACAGATTTCATATCAGGTACTGTGTGATGTACAATAAATAAGACATGTCTCTGCCCACCATCTAATCTGAAAGACAGACATACTTAAACAACAGGCAATAGCAGTGCAACCTACTGCTAAAATAAGGAACATGAACATTATAGTAAGGGGAAATGAAGACAGGATCATTGAGGCAGCTAACTCTTCCAGAAGGGCAGGGAAGGTTTCACAAGAAGCCAAAACTTTGGTAATGAGACTGTTAATAGTGCTTTAATTTTACTATGATGGAAAATTCCCTGGAGTGAGGAAAGTAGACCTGAAGTACAGTCCTGACTTTTCCATAATTAGCTCTTTGATCTTGAACAAGGCAGTTAGTTCACCTAGGTCTCAGTATTCCATCTGTGAAGTCAGGAGTTGGGCTAAAACATTAGTTTTAGTTTAATTTAGTTCCTTGGAGCACCTCCTGGGTTGCTGTTGAAGGCGGAAATGGGAGAGGGAACAGAGCTAATTACTGCCCCCTGCACCCACCACCTTATAACTTTTTCATTAAAGCAGAGTAACTCAGCTTTCATCTGGTTTATGTATTGAGTAAAGTTTTACTTTAGTGAAGAGCATTCAGTATGCCTTAAAAAAACAGGGAGTTTGATTACCACTGGTTTATGTAATCTCCAAATCTAGATAGTTTGAAGAGTTTAGTTATTTACCCTCACCCCACTCTTCCTGTTTTTTTTTTTAAAAGTCTCAAGAATTTGTTTTTTTATAAACAGAATTTTCCTCAGTCTTGTGTTGAGTAAATTGTACGATGAGTATTCACTGCCATTTTACAGGAAATGTTAAGACAACCCTGTGATGTCAGTGCTCAGGTATCCCTACCCATACAAATGAGAATACCGGGGCTTCCTGAAGCCAGAGTCCAGTTCCAGACCCAAGTCCATTGTCCTCCTGCTCCTAGACCATGAACGACTAGGCTACATTTAATTAAACATTCAGTGGAACCAAAAGGGGAGGGTTCTTTGGTAAATATAATCATGTTACTTATAGCTCTTTTTGTGTACGGTGAAATTACACTTCAGTTCAAACTAATTTCACACATTTACTTACTTTAAAACTTTGCTTTCTTTTTGAAAGTCAAAGTCCTAAATCACTGTATTCAGCAACATTTTTTTGTGCTTATTAGAAATAAGCTACCCAGAGTCAAGATGGCTTAATTTTTCCCTTATTTGAATATATTTTTCAGTTTATTTTTATCATATTCTATGATGTAGCCATTTTGTACTAATTCATAGTACCAGATTCCCCAAGTGAATCCATAAATATTGTATACCTACGGGGATTTTAGAGCAACTAAGAATATACTTGTTAGCTCTTTCCTTGCCAAGTAGACAGTGTGTTTAGGAATTTTTGCTTGTGTTTTGCTTAAGTTAATAAGAATACCTGACTTCAGAATCTTTGCACAAAAAGAATATTACATAATTCTTTCACATCCCCAGAGTTAAGATTATTGTTTAAGATCTCCATGGCATGCCCAAAGTATTGATTCAGTTGCTTCTTGCTTCAGCCGCAACTCTCAATTTCCTGTGGCTGTGGAAGAACCCTGTGTAGCCCCTAAACAACTCACTTGATTTATCTCCTGTCTGTCTGCTCCTGTGTTACCCTTCTCCTCCTCTTCTTTTTCCTGTATGTTGCCACTTCACCAGTTTCATCTGCAGTCACGTCATCTTAGCTCTCTTATCCTTTCATAGTCGTATCTATTCTCAATAGGTTAAATTTTGTGGTCAGCCCTAATTTCTCTCTGGAGCCTTAGATTTACATTAGCAACTGCTTGAACATACATGTTTTGTTGTTGTTTGGTTGGTTGGGTTGGTCGGTTGGTTGGTTGGTTAGCACCTGAAGCTCAAACAGAACTCTTTTTCTTGTTTACACTCAGATCTCTTCTCTTTCCCTTTTGATTGTGTCATCAGCCTCCCAGTTCTTCATTTTTGAACCTGGTTATCACCTATACTTACCTTTGTTCAGGACAATTCTATCACACATTAAAAAACAATCTATCATATTTGCTCTCCTGTCCCTGCTTTGCCATTTGTTTCTTAAGACTTAAAATCAGAATGAAGAATGTTCATTCATATGTGTTGTAGCTTTTAGGGTAATCTAGCTAGCTGCCTAGGATATATAGAGCAAATTGAGCTAGGCACTCAATGTAAGCTGTTTGGCTGAAGCATAGTTTAATTTAGCAGTTGCATTAGCTTCTGTGGGCCAACAAGATGCTGTTGATTGCTTTAAAATTTTGGAGAACGAAACTTATGATTTAATAAAATTTGATTTTTAAAAGTATGTGATTTCTAGTGATATAAAAGAGTTAAAATGTAAACTTAAAGACGATAGCTTTAGTACCTTTTTATCCCTAATAAAAATCTCATAATCTATGCTGTCATAGCACATTACACAACATTCCTATGGGCATTTGTCACATTGTATTACACTGGATTCTATAAGATATAAAAGGAGTATGAGGCTTGTGGGGTATGATATTTACTCTTGAAGAGTTCACATTCTAGTTTAGGAGATTCAGCACTGAAAAAGAATTTAAGACTCTATAAAGCAATATAACAAAAACTGAAATAGTTATTTCTAGGAGGAGGAAAAAGTTTTTAAGTGATAGAGAACCCAGCTAGATTTGATTAATTAGGAAAAGTTAGATGGAGTGCCAATTTTGAGCAAATGTGAAGGCAGGCAGAGATCTCAGCCGGTGAAGTAGAATGAAGAGGAAGTACTACAGTACCACAGGTGGCAGTTTGCATGTTAGGTCCTCACGACATGGACCTGGGGTGAGCGCCAGTGTGGAGGAGAGGATCTCAGAATGATGGCACTGCAGAGCAGGCTGGGTAGTAGAGGACCTTGAAAGTCTGGCAGATAATTTTGGATTATTACTACAAAAGAGGGGTTTAAACAGTTTTTTTCCAAATGAAATTTGAATGTTTTTCAGTTTTTTTATTGAAGCATTACATAGAGCATTACATTATATACATTAATGTATATTATAATATTATGTACATACATACATACGTACACACACACCCTCAGCATAAGTGCGTGTTTAAAGGTTAATGTACCAGTATCCACCACTCAGGTCAAGAAACCAAACAGCTTCAGGACCCCAGAAAGCCCCATCATGCTTCCTCTCAGTCTTAACCAATCAAACCCTCCCCACAACACACACATAACACAATCACAACCCATACACATAGTAATCACTGATTACTCACTGATAATCACTGAAGACCTTAATAAAAGAAAGAACACAAAGGAAATATACACCCACTTCACATGTTCCACAGACACTATTGGTGAGGTTTTTGTCCTCACCAGTTCATTTTTCAAACATTGTTGGATCATACAGTATGCGATCTTTTTGCATCTAGCTTCTTTTGCTCAACAGTACACTTAGGAGATTAATTCATGTTACTGAGTACTTTCATTCTCACTTCTTCTGTGTCTTCAGTGATACACAGTTCTGTCAAGTGTATATCTAGAAACTGAATTGCGGGGTCAGAGTGTGTGTGTGATTATCTTTAGATATTGCCAAACAATTTCTGGAGTGTTTGTACTCAGAGGAAGTCTTTTATAGTCAATAACCTGAAAGCTGGAGTGTGTCATTCACTTTTTTTGTAACCTCATACTCCTAAACATCATTGTAGACCTTGGTACAATTTTTGAATAAAGAAAAATGAGTGAAGAATGCAAATTAATGTATATATAGAAAAGGGAGGAAAAAATACTGATCAGCATTCAGCCAACATTTTTTGATCCACCATTGGGCCAGAACTGAAATAGCATGCCGTCGTCAAGCATCTGAGCTGGGGTGTAGAGGACAGAGGATAAGAGGATAAAAGATCTGGCATTTGAGGATTGAGGCAGGAACAAAGATCATGATGAACACGGAATGCCATGTAAAGGAAATTTTTTGTTTAAGGGATAACTTAGTCATTAAAGGTAATTAACATGGAGTGTTTTTCATTTAGAAGAAATAGTGTCTCCCATTCTAGAAGGGAAAGCACAGTTAAGGAGTCCATGAATGAAACTGTATGAAACTGACTTCAGTTTCATATGTATGAAACTGAATTCAGTATTTTAAGCAGTTATTTTAACTTTTTGCATTTATGTTTCTTTCCTTTTTCCATCTCAGGATCAAACACATATGAAGAGGCAGCTGCATATATTCAATGTCAGTTTGAAGACCTCAATAAAAGAAAGGACACAAAGGAAATATACACCCACTTCACATGTGCCACAGATACTAAGAATGTGCAGTTTGTTTTTGATGCTGTAACAGATGTCATCATAAAAAATAATCTAAAAGATTGTGGTCTCTTTTAAGTTTTGCAGTTCATGGTAAAATGCATTTTCAAACCAAATGAGTACTTATATATGGATCTCTGTAGACTAGAGTCTTGCAGCAACACAGAATGTAATATAAGGCAAATGCATCTGGGACTTGACCAAAGTTGTTCTGTTTTGTTTTTTTAACTGAAAGTAACAGAAGGACCTTTCTTAAATGTGACAGATGGTCCTGCAGTGTGAAACTGAAGGACAGTGTTAAAGCTGGGCTCTAGTATATTGATGATTTCTGCATAAGTGTAAATATGCAAATGTATGTATACATGTATTTATGACTTTAGTTTTCGACATTATTTTTAGGTTTTAAGAGTGGCAACTTAGGATTTTAGGGTGATGGCTTTGGAAATAACATAAATATACCTTGTACTGAATGACAGACTATTACTACGTTTGCCAGTTTTAAACAGCTTTATTTATGTTCATGTCCTGTAAATTTTTAAGTACAGTAATTAATATTAGGAAACATTACAGCCCTTATCTAGATTATATGTATACTTGTATTAATAAAAATGTTATTTGTACAAACATTGCACAGACTATTTTAATAACATGATTTGTTCTTTAAATTTTATGTGTTTTATTGAAATGTTCTTAAGATGAATACACCTGCCTTTGGATCAACTATTTAAACATTGTATGCATTTTGATTTTTCCTACTTTAAGAAAATAAAATAATTTAATTTTACATTAGATTCCACGTTAGATTTGGTTTGAAAAACTAAAATTTCAGATTTCTGAGGATATACTGTCTTAGACTTATTGTACACACTTAGTTTTTATTCACTTGTTTTCACTCTGAATTTTAATATTTGGCTGATATGAATGCATTGCCTCAAAGGTGATGTCATCTTAATTTTTATTCACTTTAAATAACTACATTTTTGTTTATAACTAAGTTTGGAGGGATCCTAAGAGCATTTTTGTGGGTAAAAAAAAAACCTGTGGACATAATGAATTTTGAGACATTGATTGGTGAGGCTTTTATTTCCCTTGAGGAGTCTCTTGTACCTAGCATACATGATAGCTCCTTGTTGGGAAGATAACAAGAAGGATCTTTGAATACTCTATTGCTGATATAATGCAAGATTTAAATTTATACATATAACTAATTTCAAATGTAATTATCACACTATGTTAAAATTACTTTTTTCCCTTAGATAATTCAAATTTCTCCACTTGCTTGAGATTATATCATTTCTTTTTCAATTATACTATTATTTCTGAGAATGAAATGGACGATTACACTTAGAAAATGAGTAATAGTGTTTAATAAGTCAGTGATTATATGTGTGCTCAAATAAGTGTTATGTATCAGCTAGATACTGAGCTTTGATAGAATAATTTTCTTTTGATTATTCATGATGTGTCATCTCTGACCTTGTTTCAGCAAAGTAAACAGCACTCCCCACCCCACCCTCCTTTTTTTACTCATCTTGGAAAAGGTTAGTCTTTCAGTACACGTTGCTGGTAAGTAGTTTCCAAGTTACGTGTTGTCACTGGGTTGAAGTATATTTGTGTGTGTGTGTGTGTGTGTGTGTGTGTGTGTAACCATAAACTATATTCATATCTGTTTCATTTGGAGGATTTTCTTCTTTGTAATGTAAAGAAATTCAAAGTTATCAAAGTTCCTTAAATGTGTTAGTTTAGATTCTTTATGTGCCTTTCATGAAAGATATGTTTTCATTAATTTTACTGGTGGACCTGTAATATCCACATTGTGAAGCTGTGTATGAAATTCAACTATAATATGAATAAATTTGAATCATGAGAATTATGGGTTAAAAAGCCACAAAGAAGCACATATTGGTGACCATCATTAATGAAATCCTGAACTTTATTCTGTGTAATTGTGTTAATAAATCCTAATAAATTTAAATTTTTAAAATTTTACAAACCTATTGGCTAAGTACATTTTGGATTAGAATTTAAGTATCAGTCTGTTGTTTCTTCATTTCTTCTTTTTCTATGCTCTTTTTACAATTTCAGCTACTCCAGAAGCTCAGATTTTCCCTGTTCCAAGCTATGAGATGTGATGCCACATTTGGAATTGCCTTCTTGATATCCCCTTCTGAGAATGCATTGCCTGCTTTTTAACTCATTATATTCAAAACTAAATTCATCATCATTCTCTCCTTACACCAGTTCTCACCCTGACTTTGCCATTTTTCCTTACTAAGTACCATCATCATTTATTCCTTCAATGGGGAACTTTTTAGTTTAAGTTCTGGGATACGTGTGCTGAACATGCAGGTTGGTTACATATGTATACATGTGCCATGGTGGTTTGCTGCACCTATCAACCTGTCATCTAAGTTTTAAGCCCTGCATGCATTAGGTGGAACTCTTCTGATTCCTAATCTCCATTTCAATTTACTGACAGTTCTACAAAGCCTTAAATCTGTTTTTTGTTTGTTTTCCTTTCTATTCCTACTACTACCTATTCAAGTCTTTGCTAAACTTCCTCTTAAAATGGCATTATTAGTTAAATTCCCCACCTCCCATTTCTCTCTTCTCGAAAAACCCAGGTTAGTTATCCTAATGTAGAACTGTGGCCCTATCACCTTCTATTCCTTGATCTGCATTGGCTCTGATTTGTCAATAAAATTAAGTATAAGTTAGCCTGCCATTTAATGCTCTTCATCACCTGAGGCCTGTTCCTTTCTACACTGTATCCAAATAGTGTCCTGTGCATAACCTGGGCTTTCCTCCAAGTACTGTATTACTTACTACATGTGATATGCTTAGAGCAGTGCCTACAATGTGGGAAGTGTTCATTTGTGTCTGTCAATGTTATTTTTATTAGCACTTTTAAAATGGTGTGTAAAATGTATTGGCACTTTTAAATTTGGCACTTTTAAATTTGTTTGTGATACCTCTTTTAGACTCCTCTGGCATCTGTTCTTCAGGGTGCCCTTCTGGGAACTACATGATTCTGATAGAGCTGCCAATCGCATTTCTTACTTCTCCGTCTCTAGGCTTAGACCTGACCAATCCGAGTCCTCCAGCATTGGACGAGTGAGCCAATCATTGTCCCAGTTGCCATTCTTAAAGTCCCTAAGGCGCTTGTGGTTTCTAAAATTCTCTTCATTTCAGTAACCTTCTAAAAGTCTACTTTTTTATGCCTAATCTAGTTTAATCGAATTCAGTTTGTTACTGAAAAAGTACTGATTAAAATCCATATGTTCTCATTGAATACTGACAGTAACTAGAGATCAAAAAAGGCTTAAAGAGGTTAATTAACTTGAGCAAGACCAGATGAAGGTTTTAAACCTAGAGCTTCTGACTCCATGTCTGTCAGAGGACCCCAAAGATGCTACCTTATTTCCAGAAAATGTGTAAGTAGTGTTTCGCCTATCCCCACTCTGCCCTTGAGTTCCTCTGAGCCATAATAGTTTTTCAGATTTAAAAAAGGAGATACTTATTAATGTCTTTCATCAGAGCTATTTTTTACTCCTTAGATGTGAAGCTACTTAAGAGCACAGTTACCATTTTTTACATCATTTGCCGTTTGCAGAACCACCTTATGTAAATGAATTTAGTTGATACTGTAATCATTATTACAGATGGTAGCATCATCATTGCTTAGTGTGTTATGTTGGAAGTAGAAAGTGATGGTGAAAATCCTAGGCTCTGGCACCCCGTCTGGCTTCAAATCCTGGCTCAATTTCTTATTAACTGGGAAAATCTGGGCAAATAATTTAGTTTTGCTCTGCCTCCATTTATATCATCTGAAAATAAATAAGGATTAAATAATCCATTAATTTTAATGGTTGTTGTCAGCATTAAATAAGTTCACAGTACATGTTAAGTACCTAGAGGGGAGTGTGGAATGTATAAGCCGTCAATACAATTTGCTGTTATTTGATTATAAATAATAGTTTTAAGGTGCCTTTAAAATCATAATCAGTGCTTAACAAATGGTTGTTGATACGTGCTTTGAATGAAATGCCTCAAAAACAAAACTCTCATAATTCGTTTTCATAATGAAAACTAAGTGTCTCACATATTGATACTGGAAAATGAGAAAATGCAATCTCTAATCAACTTGAGGACACTTCTGTCGTTTTAATGTAACCAATAGTATGAGAGAGTTTATATTTTAATGTTAGGTTGGAAATTTTCTTTTTTTTTTTTTTTTTTTTTTTTTGGTATGGAGTCTTGCTCCTTCACCAGGCTGGAGTGCAGTCGTGCAATCTCCACTCTCTGCAACCTCCAACTCCATGGTTCAAGCAATTGTCCTGCCTCAGCCTCCCGAGTAGCTGGGATTACAGGCATGCGCCACTACACCCAGCTAATTTTTGTATTTTTAGTAAAGGGGGGTTTCACCATGTTGGCCAGGATGGTCTTGATCACCTGACCTTGTGATCTGACCGCCTCGGCCTCCCAAAGTGCTGGGATTACAGACGTGAGCCACTGCGCCCAGCCAGTTTTCTTTTTTAGTTCTTTTCAAAACCCTTTCTTAACAGTTGAAATGCATTTATATAAAGAAGTTTACGTTTCACAATCCCACTGGCCTGTTTCCCAGGCATTTTTTTAAACCAATTACTGTTTGCTTTGGTGTCTGTTGTGATTTCTCTTATTTAGTTGGATTTTGTAGTTACTTTAAAAGTTACGAAATTTCACATTTCATCAAGTCCAGAGGCCAGAGACACCCAAATATGCACAGACAGGAATCAGCTGCAATTGTCCAAGCCAGAGCTGATTAGGCCTCAACTGGAATAGTCCCACCATGTAATAAATCTTCCTGAGTATTGTGTATAAGGTCAAATATTTCCAGCTTCTTTGATTTTACTGCCCGTCTTCCTAGGTCTCCATCCGTAAAGTGGATGGAAACACTGTCATTGAAGGAGCTAGTTCTTCAAATTTAATTTTTTTTTTTTTTTTTTTCCTGAGACAGAGTTTCGTTCTTGTTTCCCAGGCTGGAGCGCAATGGTGCGATCTCGGCTCACCGCAACATCCGCCTCCCGGGTACAAGCAATTCTCCTGCCTCAGGTTCCCGAGTAGCTGGGATTACAGGCATGCGACACTACACCCAACTAATCTTGTATTTTTAGTAGAGACGGGGTTTCTCCATGTCGGTCGGGCTGGTCTCGAACTCCTGACCTCAGGTAATCCGCCCACCTCGGCCGCCCAAAGTGCTGGGATTACAGGTGTGAGCCACCGCACCTGGCCAAAATATTTTTAATTGATTAAAAATGAGATAATTTGAGGAAACATGCATAGAATACTAGACAGAGACTATTTTAGCAGATAAGAGTGCCACTTTTAGTAAAAGAAGTTGTCACCTAGAAGAAAGTACAGGTGCTCCTTGACTTACCGTGGGTTAAGTCCTGAAAAGCCCACTGTAAGTTGATAATACCTTATTTTGAAAATGCATTTAATACACCTAACCTACCAAATGTAGCTTAGCCTGGCCTAACTTAAAGGTGCTCAGAACACTTAGATTAGCATACAGTTGGACAAGATAGCATAAAGCCTATTTTACAATAAAGGATATCTCATGTAATTTTCTTGGATACTGTACTGAAAATGAAAAACAGATTGATTGCATGGGTACTTGAAATATGGTTTCTAACTGAATGCATACCAGTTTCGCACCAATGTAAAGTTGAAAAATTGTTAAGTTGGACCATCATACGTTGGGGACCATCTGTACATAGAGTAGGACTCTTGAGAGCCTAAGGGCCACAGAAATTCCTTTTCCAACTGCAGTGTCTATGGAGGGATTCTTATAATTAATTTTATTCCTGTGCAAACACACTATCTGTGTATTCTCTATTTTACCAGGATTTTTTGTTTTTGCTAAATTAGACATACAATTTTGCAGTTATTTTTTACTAAGTTGACAAATGTTTGTACAATTTCAGTGTAAAGCTAGTCTTCAAAATAAACCACTGTGAAGATTGGATATTACCTTGGATTTTCTGTTGTGCACTCTTGAATTTTAATTATGTTCTGTGGAAACTTCACAGAGTTTTAGCTTTGATCCTTCCTTCACTTTTGAAAATCAAGAGTAAAGTTAAGTCAAAGCTACTTCTAAACAGCTCTATCTTTAATTTCTATTAAATAGTACTGAGGTATCAATTTTGTAGCTTGTGGAATGCGGACTATCCCAGCAGCAAATTCATTAATATGGTTTGTATAGGACTCACTTTGCAGCATTCAATTTTAGTATAACATGTTTTCCTGTTTACAAATATAAGTAATTACCTTTCCGTTTTAAGTGACCAATTGTCCTAGCAATCTACTTCACAAGGCAATTTACCTGTAATAAATATAACTTTTTTGCAGACTTGAGCATACGTTTAAACCATTTAACCATTCTTGAATTTCTTAACATAGTAAGTTACAAATTTTAACTATGAATCTTCTTCTTCGAAAGGAATCTTGTCTAAATCTAATAAAGCATTTTTCTGGCTGAAGCTGCAATGGAAAGCTTCAGTATGAAGCTGGCATAAGGAAAGCCAGTAAAAAGTGCCCTTTCTTCTTTCTGAGAGCCCCACCTCTGATCCTCCTACACTTAAGGCTTCTAGATGCAGATTTATACAATAGTGCTAAATCAAGACCTTGAAAAATGTACTCATATAGTAAGATTTACTCAAAACCACGAACTCCTCCATTATTTAAAATATGTTAGAGATACATAAATATATAGAGAAAATGCATACATACATAATTTATTGAGTGCCTACTGTGTGCTAGGTACTTTTCTGGGTACCTTACTAATGCTCTCATTTAGTCATCAGAGCAGTCCTGCAATATTGGTAAAATTTCCATTTTCTATATAAGGAAACACATTTAAGAGAGGTTAGTATTTTGTGCAATGTTGGCTATCTAGGAAGTGGCAGAGCTGGGTGTAAAATCTAGAGTTAAGACCTTTGTTAGCCATATCTTCAAAATCCAGTGTCATTTCTTAGCCATATCTTCAAAATCCAGTGTCATTTCTTAGCCATATCTTCAAAATCCAGTGTCATTTCTTAGCCATATCTTCAAAATCCAATGGCATAAAGAAGTTTTTCACAAGGGTGCCACATGGTGTAGTGCAGCATGTCCAACAGCATTGCCTGAACAGATGTTAATAAGTATGCATGATGCACATTAGCATGTCAATGGCTGTGAAAAGCCAGTGCAGTAAAGAAGTAAAGAGCTCTCTGTGTGTTAACCCTCCATTTCACAAACATAGGAACTGCACAGACACAGCAGCCACTACCCAGGTGTGAATGCAGAGCACTTAAAACGTAGCTAGTCCAAAGTGAGTTGGCCTATTAGTGTAAAATACAAGAGTTCAGATACACAGAATTTAAAAATTACATGTTGAACTGATTTGTGATATATTGGGTTATATAATTTTAAAATTCTACTTTTTTTTACATTTTTAATGTGGTTTTGGAAAATAGGTACTCATGTGTCTTTGCATTATATTTGTATTTGGGAAATGAAATGCTTTATTTTTCTTCCACAACAACTCTATTTGCATTGCATGGAAATGTTCCCAAGTTTTAGAGAAACACATACAAAAACTAAAAAGGATAGAATGCTAAAATTTGAATGTGGAAGATGTGGGTCTTGGTGTCTTGAATAAATCACACCTTCAGTGACTTTCTTGGGAAATGGTGGGCCTCAGTAAAGACTTGGACTATTCCAGTTTTAAATGCTATCGTTTGGTTTGGTGTAATATAGCCTTTCCTGTGGGGGGAAAACCCATCTCATTTTCACTTTAAATATGTCAGCTATAATAAAAGAGAGACATACACATTTTAAGATCTATACTCTAAAACAGGGTTTTGAAATTAGCAGCTCTCTTTATTTTTAGTTCCAATACATGGAGGGGGAGTTGACCCTTCAAGATACTGGAAAATTATTAAATCCAGTTTACAGACTCATCTCTTTAGTCTGCAGCCAAATCAAAAGATTAGTGGGGTTTTTTTTAATGTTGTTATTGTGTTGTGTTTTGTTTTTTTAATATGTTTCAATTCCCCTAGCCAAATTCCTTTCTTTCTCCACACCTCCCACAGGACTGGGCTGAGCACAGTCATGCATTAAAAAAGCTTCTGAACTTATTTTGGAAAGAGTAGCTCCCTGGAGTGTGGAGGAGGACAGGAATTTGCTATCTGCAGGACTTAAATCAGGATAGAGTATCAAATATTCCAAGGCCTTACATGCATGTTTTGTTTTTTGATAAAGACAGAAGATTGCAAATGGTTTGCTCTTTAACAGTCAATAAAATCATATCTACTAATCAATACATTTGAAGTTTACTAGATTCTCAAACTTTCCATAAGATTTGAGTTCATTAGTTTAATGGGATCGATCTGAGAAAAATTAGATTTATGTGCAGATTTTAGCTACCCTTGTCCTTGGAATGTGTATGCACACACACACACATCTGTGAGAATGATTATTTTCTACTTGATACAGTGTGCATCAAATAAAAGTTTACTATATTGGAATATGGGAATAAATTCATTTATAATTAGTTGAAATTGTCCAGACACATATTTTAGAAAAGTATGTTATTTTTGTTTTAAGTTTGGAAGAACCTGAATGATTAAACCTGATTTAAGTCCCTCTAACAATTATGAAGAAAAAAAAAGACTAGATTTTATATCAACTTAATTGTCTTTTGGTTTAAAATTATGTATCCAATAAAGACATTTAAAAAGTAAATTTATGTCCATATTATTTTTAATAATCCAGCCTTTGAAAAAAATCATTGGCCGGGCACGGTGGCTCAAGCCTGTAATCCCAGCACTTTGGGAGGCCGAGGCAGGCGGATCACGAGGTCAGGAGATCGAGACCATCCTGGCTAACACAGTGAAACCCCATCTCTACTAAAAATACAAAAAAAAATTAGCTGGGCATAGTGATGGGCGCCTGTAGTCCCAGCTACTCGGGAGGCTGAGGCAGGAGAATGGAGTGAACCCAGGAAGCTGAGTTTGCAGTAAGCCAAGATTGTACCACTGCACTCCAGCCTGGACGACAGAGCAAGACTCCATCTCAAAAAAAAAAAAAAATCATTTTTTAATCACATCATGTTCCTATTTATACACATCATTAAGGTAATTCTATTTTTATCTCTTGTATTAAGTTGGTTGAATGCACTTTATTTAAATACATTATGGTTCACATGGAAAGCAGAGCTTTACATGGAAGAAAAGCAGCATCAATCCTACCTAATTTCTTGGGATCCAAGTTTTTTTTAGGACTGTGATTTTTCTTGGCATTAAGTATGTGGATAATCAAAATCAAGGATTATTCTGTTTACTAACACATATTTGACTGGCAATCTCAGGCCAGGGCTGTTTTAAACACGACTTATCTCAAATTTAGCGAAAGAGTTCACTTAAGTCATATAAACGCTTCATCTTTTCTAATTAAGTGTTATCTCTTTTTTCCATGAACCTTTGGCAAAAATGTCCTTTGTGTTTAGCTACTGTCAAGGACAGTTTGGAAGCATTTGACCCGTTAAGGAAAATACAGCTGCTATCTCCACTTATAGACATTGTGGCAAAGCTCTAATGAAAAAGCAACTTTAAAAATGTATATGTTTCTTCTAATAACTCATTTCACCAAGTCAATTTAATACTTTTAATTTAGGTCTGAAAAGACTAAGGACAACATTTGGTGTGGATAGGTTTTTAAAAATTTTGCCACAGAGATTTGGACAGAACAAAACTATTATATTGACATTATTATTTTTACTCCAAACCCTGTTTTTCCACAGTATTTAGGAATAAGAGTGTAAGTGTGTGAACTCAGGTGTCATTTACTTTTCAAATGACAACTTAGCACCTTTGCTGTGAAAAGTCCCATTTAGGGACACAAAACAGGAATAGTAATGAAGAGGCCAGACTGTCTGAAACTGAATCCTGGCCCTGCTGCCTCCAATTGTGTGACTTTGAATAAGTTACCTGGCCTTTCTATGCCTCAATGATTTCCATATAAAATGAGGATAACATTAGTGCTGTCCTCCTGTAGTTGCTGCAGGGACTCATGAGTTATTAATGTAAGGTGCATGATGTGTGCCAGACACATGGTAATTGTGATGGAACTTTTAAATATAAATTTCATCATAGTGATGTTGGTGATGATGACAAATATGAAGAATAGAGAGGAAAAGAAAACGGAGATAGACATTTAAGTAACTAATTGTAATTCAAGGCAAAACAAAATGGGTTTGGTGACCGTCTGTTCCAGCACAGTTCCAGTTTATCTCTATTGTCACAGCATGATTATTAACTTCATCCCATTGCAGTCTCAGAATGGATCTATAGTCCTGGACATAAGAGCAACCTGATATGAGAGGTCACAGGACAGACTTAAGGCCTTACGAAGGAAAAGACTTTTGAACTGACCCATAAAAGGAACAGGGGCAGAGAGGGAAAGTCATTTCTCTGTCTGTTGCCCAGCTCTTCGTGAAGGGGAGCTAGAAGAAGCTACATTTTCCTTTAGTTTTCAGCAGAGCAGAAAAAAATTCCAAACAAGACTATATTAATGTTCTATTGCCACTGTAACAATTTACCACAAAATTACTGGTATAAAGCAATATAAATTTATACACTTAAATTCTGGAGGTCAAAAGTCTAAAATGGGTCCATGGGACTGCACATCATCTAGAAGCTCTAGGGGAGAATCTGTTTCTTTGCCTTTTCCTCTTTCTAGAGGCTGTTCACATTCCCTGGCTCATAAGCCCTTCCACTGTCTTCAAAACCCAAAGCCTATCCTCTTCCCTCCAATCTCTGCATCTGTCCTTACATTTTCTCTATATGTGTTCTGACTCCTGCCTCTTTCCTATAAGGACCCTTTTGATTACACTGAGCTCATCTGGGTAATCCGGAATAACCTCTGTAATTTAAGAGGCTTAATTTAATCACACGTGTAAAATCCCTTTCACCCTATAAAGTAACATGTCCACAGCTTTCAGGAATTAGAACATGGACAACTTTTGGTGGGGGCGGTGTGTTATTCAGCCTACAACCGAGACTCATTTTTCTGGTATCAACAGTACAGTATTTAAAGTCAAATATCATCCTATTAAAGATGAAAGGTTCAATGTTTTAACAATCTCAGGCGCAGAGCTGTCAGCTAACTGCAGTTTCCAAAACCAGAATCAGGAATTCTCTGAGTTACTTTAATGTGACTTTTTAGCTATATGTTTAGGAGAATACCAGTGCAAGAAATCCTCATTATCTGAGAGCAATTGGTAATGGAAAGGATTTTAAAGTTAGACCCTTTAAAATAGGAAGAGAAATTCACAATAAATAATCATAAACAAGGTTGACTGGTTTATTTTTTGACAAATGAAGTGTAACATTCTAAAAATATGCTTTTTGTGCTTAACAAAATTTAAATTACAATTTCAGTTGTGCTCTGATTTGTTGAACAAAGAGTAAAGTAAGTTGATTCTTTTAGTATGGTATTTTTCAAAAATGTCAGAGCATGACTGCCTTCCTATTTGGCTTTCACAGAATGATCATAAAGTGTTATTTCTGAAAATACATTTGAGGACTTTCCAGGTTTTTCAAAGACCTCCCTTAATAATTCACTTCTGAATAATTTTGTTATCATTCTTATATTCTTTATTTTTAAACAATTCTCATTCTGTGTCTTCATTTTTTATGGGCTTTGATTAAAGAATTTCTCCAGTATTACTTTCATCAATTACATTAACAATATATTCACAATATTTCTAATTTCACTAACAGTTTATTTGAATCATATTTGCACTGAACATCAAACCACACAATGCAAATAGAATAATAAAACTTGGATGGGCAAAGATGTTGCTGTCATTGGTATGGCTGTGTACTCCTATTAATAGAAGAGCACTGCTTGAGCAGAGACTAAATCAAAAGTTCCGAATGAAATTTTCATTATATGATGCCTTTTTCTTCCCCATGCAATCTTTTTTTATAATGGGTAAATCAAATAATAAATACCCAGGTAATCAATCTAGCCTTTTACTTGAATAGAGATGTTATAACTTGAGGGAAAAAAGTTGGGACTAAAAACTCCATTTAATTTGTCAAAATTATGTTTTTTATGTTACTATTATAATAATTATATTCAATAGTGTAGTGATCAATTTCTGACAATTTTTTCCTTACCCATAAGCTCCATGAGGGCAGTAATTATGTCTATAATGTTCACTATTTTGTCCCAAACACTAAGATACTGTTACAGAATAGGCAGTCGTTCAATTTTCAAGCAGGAAGCAAACCATCAAACATAAAAGATGGTTATGTTGAGCAAGTACTCACTTATAGCTATAATATTTACTATAGAGAATTTGTTATATCCATGTGAACCTAGAATTCATTGTAGAAAGTGGGAGAATTCAATAAAAATATTTTGTCACTAAGACTTAATGTAGAAAGAAGTATAATTTCTTCTCCTTATACTTTGAAGAACATTCTTGGTGGTAATTCAAACTCAACATTTCCCACATTTTTCCACTGAATATAGTATTATCCAAGATAGGTATTTGGAGAAAAGGGAAATTGTTTCATCAAACAAATTTGTAAATAAACAACATACTATACCCTCCTCTTAAAGTTCTCTAAGTCTTGCTGCAAAAAAAGAAAAATGTTTCATTGGCTATGTTTATTTGATAAGGAGACATCAACTCCCCCTGCCCCCCAAATACCAACAAGGACACAATGAGTATACTTAGAATAGTTTTTAAGTACTTCCTGCATTTTTCTCCTCTTCCCACACCATCTCTATTATTTTGAGCTTTAAGAACTTGGCAAGTAGAGAATGGAGGGAAAAAATAGAAAAGTAGGTGAAGAAAAGAAGAGAGAAAAAAAGAAGAGTGGAAATGTTCAATAAATACAGATGGGTGAACAAGAGGCTGTACTCTGGAGCCAGGGTTTCAGGGAGAGGAGAGACTTAGTAAAACTGCTGGAAGAGGTGGGTGGTTTTCATCCACAGGAAGGCTTTTTCAGGAGGAAGCTATCCAGTGTTTAAGGATATGGTAATAAATGTCTGTGGTTGTTTGCAGAGAACAGCTAAGAAAGAGTTGGTATTTTGGTCCTTCCTCTCAGAAAGCCTCTTGGATTCTTATCCAAATGAGTCTTCACCCGCCTAGAGTTTTGTGAGCCAGGGAGTTAAGGGATAGCCATGGAGATTTACGGACTTTCACTTATGTAACTAACCCCACCTAAGTGAGTCTTTATAAAAATTGTTTATGAAATTGTATATGTGTTTGTGAATGGGTATGCACAACACATAATGTATAAGATACGCATGCATGTGTGCATATGGAATATATGTAATATATGCATGTATGTCTTAAAGAAGAATAAAGCAAACACTTGTGTTCTCTATGATATATGAAGTTACAATATCTGGAGGCTACCATGTGCCTGTCCCTGATCAGTCCCTGATCACAGCTCTCTCTATTCCCTACAGAGCTAAGCAGGATCCTGAAGTTTGTGTTCATTGTTCCTTTGTGGTTTTTTAAAATTTATCACATATGTACATACTCTTTATATATTTTTCTTTTTTTTTTTTTTGCTTTTTTGAGATGGAGTCTTGCTCTGTCACCCAGGCTGGAGTGCAGTGGTGTGATCTCAGCTCACGGCAACCTCTGCCTCCTGAGTTCAAGTGATTCTCTTGCCTCAGCCTCCTGAGTAGCTGAGTGCCTCTGGGACTACTGGCATGCGCCACCATGCCTGGCTAATTTTTGTATTTTTGTAGAGGCAAGGTTTCACTATGTTGGCCAGGCTGGTCTTGAACTCCTGACCCCAGGTGATCCACCGGCCATGGCCTCCCAAAGTGCTGGGATTACAGGTGTGGGCCACTGTGCCCAGCCCTGTTTTTCATTTTTTAACTTTAGATATATGACCTCCAACTGTAGGTGTCCTTCTACAACTTGCTTTTGTTGTTATTCAACATTGTTTGTGAGATTTATCCATGTTGGCATGTCTTGCTTTTCATATACTTTCACTGGTAAATTTTAATTGATTGTATGAGCATGTCATAATTTATTTGGTAATTCTCTATTGTTAGACATTTTGATCATTTCCCCTTCTTTGGTCAATACTGCTGTGAATCCACTCATCTGGAGCTGCTACTTGGGGAATGGAAATATTTGATACAAACATACTTGTATCTTGAACTTGGCTAGATGTGAAATTACTTTTCAAGGTGGACATAGCAATTTATACTCCTGTGCACATTTTATAAAACTTGCTGTTTATTGTTATACTCAAGAGCACTTGGTATTGTTAAAGTCGTATCCAATATGCAGCAGGGCAGCAAAATTTGCACCATGATCAGCTGCTAGGGAGACAGCTTGTGAAATTTTGAGCATACTCTCTAAAAACATGTCTGCACTCTGTCTCTGTGAGTCAGCATGAGTTCAGCCCCAGCCAGTCTGTATGGTGTCCTGTCTTAGGAAACAATGTTTGAGAACAGAAAGATTTGCTTAAGATCTTTATTTGAAACTGAAAGATGGCCACCACTCCATCCTGTGCAGGTATCTGGATGAGCAAGGGCGTGTCTGCAAGAGGGGGAGAAACCTCTGACTGTGTGAGATGCACATGATCAAATCAATGGTGTATGGGGACTCATCTAACTTTACAGTTCCCTTTTCCTGTTTGGTATTTGGAAACAGAACTAATCTCTCTTTATATATGTATTGAGTTAGCCCCTTGGTTTTTGGACATTTCAGTGTGGGGCGTGAGTATAGCGGGCTATCTCAAAAAGGGAAATAGAGAATCTCACGAGGTATAAGGAAGAAAACTTGAAAGCTTAAGTGACTATCTGAAAAATAAGAAGTGTGATTGTATTTATGCTGCAAACAAGTTAAACAGGTGTTGCCAAGTCCACAACAGGTGATGTAGAAACCCTCCTTTTGCTTCCTATTTCATTCATACTAAATCCAATTTAAACTTCTCTCATAAACTGTACCCTAACGCAACCCTCTCATAACTAGCCAGCTTTATTTCTCACAACTCCCTCCAAAATTTCATCTTGTCTCATCAGTTTGGTCTCAAAGCCTTGTGAATATGCCAAGGTTTATTGTCAATATTTTCCTTTTTCTGGCATGACCTTCTCACTTCCTTCTCTGATGTAAGTAGTCTGAGGTTATACTCAACAACTCTTCCTTAAATCACAATAGCTGCAAGCCTTCACCAACCTTGCTTATAGAAATTCTAATAGATCTAAGGACCTCGCTTTTCTAGATATTCCCAGTATCTTCTTGTGGTGAATTATGAAATGTTTCCCATTGGTCTTACACTTCATGATTCCAAGGAAGCAGTACCTCAAAGCTCCTAGAGGTCAAACTTCATTTCCAAACCCCTTTTGTCCAACAGTTGACCATGATCCATGTGGCATTGCCAATGATTTATTGCCGTTCTTCTCAGTGGTGCAACTGGACATACACTATCACTGATAACTTTGCTATAAGTCCTAATAATTCTGCAAGCCTATGACTCACCTGAACACCAATCATCTCTTTCTGAATTTCTGGTACTACTGCTGTCCCACATGCTCTCCAGGATCCTGAAGAAAACTTCTGTCAATGGCTCCATCCATTTCCTGGCTCCTTTTTGTGAAAACAGGGTGACTATCCATTAGTCAACACCCACTTTGTAAAAGAAACCAAACATAAATTCAAGACAGTTTAATAAGTACGTATTAACTCCTGTAACTGGCAAGTCTGAGCATGGGGTAGACTTTGAGCACATTGTGATCTAGAGTTTCTAACAAAGCTGTCATTCATACTCAGCTTTTCTATGACTCTGGGCTCTGCTTTCCTCTGTGCGATGGTTTCATTCTTATGCAAGCTTTTTTTCCACACGGTAAGAAAAATGGTTCCTGTCAGCCTCAAGTCATTATTCTCTATAACTTATTAACCAAAAGAAAGAGAGTCTCTCTCTTTCCCAGTGTCTAGCTAATCTCATGGGGGACTGAGACAGGTATTTCTGGGATCATATGTCTAGCCCTTGGATTATCCCCCTTGCTAATCAGGAAGGTAAGTTACTGTGATAAGCTAGGCCAGGTCTGGGGCAGAGCCCTGTGGCTAGAGCTGGTGGAACTATGTAATTGACAGGCCTCCTCAGAATCACACCAGATGGAAGAGGAACATTTCCCGAGGAAATATGATGAATGAAGCATGCATGCATGCATATGTGTGCATGCAGACACATATACACACAATATCCCCTGGAGTCTTCTTGATTAAGCCCAGTTAGGAGTTCTACACACTTCCATGGCCCTACATATAAGAGCTTTTTAATGGTTTAAGCTCTTTCTTTCTTACAGTACAACTTGTCAAACTGTCACTCTCTAAGTTTTCCCTCAATGCTAGAAGGACTGCTTAGAAAGTTCTGGAATTAAGTGTGTAATGTGCCTGAAAAGTCGCTTTCTTCAAATAACTTAGACCTTGGCACTAAGTATGGTTCACTAGCCCAGCTTCCCTTTCTGAGGTAAATTTCTTTTTGAGGAAGAGAAGCTTGAGGAAACATAAGCTTCATTTAATAGGTTCCACTTGTGTCAATTAGGCTTTTATGCATTTAAATCTCAGTGATCAAGGTGTCGGTGCCTTTTCCCCCTGGAGGCTCCTAAATATAAATGAATACGTTGGGTAGAGTTGCTCATAAATCCACCCACTAGCACCCAGGTTCTAGCTTTGGAAATAGATGGTGCCTCACTCCAGTGCTCAACACAAGCTGAGCCCCATGTTTTAAAACTCCAATGAGGTCCCATATTATTTTCCCAGGGCCCATTTAGATCCCTCCTGTATCTTTAACTTTTCCAGTGTTTATTTCAGCTGACATTGCTCTACAGTCTCCCTGAACTGTTAGGCATTTATAGTCCTTACAATTCAGAACACCCATCCAGCACAGTCATTGTATGTTCAACAAGAATGTGTAGTTATCGAAAGAGCCATACCTTATACATACAATACTGCATGTTGTATGTGTTTAATACATACTTTTAAATAGTCTTGAAGATACACACATCGGTCACTCATTTTATATATACATTTTTTAAGCTCACAAAGTTCACATAGTTCAGAAAATAATTCTGAGCAATCAATTTCCTGAGAGATAGAGGAAAGCTCCCAGCAACACTCCCCGTGATTTTCCTCAACTTTCTTGGAGTGAGATATGTACTGATGCATTTAAACTAATGCTTTTCAAATTGTTTCACTGACTATTAATTCTGCAAGATGTCTTTCAAAATATTTCCAAAGAAATGTTTACTATTTCTCCCTTTGGGAGATTTACAAAGCACATCACCATAATAAAGATTCTGAATATGACTGCATTAGAGAAAGCTACTTAATTTAACACAGCACCTCACAAACTTGTTCCACCAGAGAAATGAATTTATATGAAACATGTATTAACCTCTTGTACATTTAGCGCTTGAGGAACACAGTATGAGAAGTGCTAATAAATTGAGAGATGTAGACTTTTTTTAATGCATCAATTGCATCTCAAATGTTTGCCAGTAAACAGTTACTTTATGTAAGATGGAAAGGAAGGGATTAAAGTGTTAGGATGGTGTAAGAAAAAGGACATTTACCTGGGAGATCAGTTTTTCTGGGCCCTATGTCTATCATAGCACATTTAATGTGCAATTTCACTTCTGATCCTATATTACCTTATTGATTTTATTCTTTGGTTCACTTCTTGATGATTTTTAATTTGTTATTTGGTTGCATTACCTGTGTTTAGGTTGTTTTAAATTCATCCTCTCATTTACTCAATAAAAGTTTTTTCAAAACATATAACCTCTCTGCTAGCTGTGGTAATGAAAAATTAACAATAGATACATGAAAATACCTTCCCTAATTTTCCAGCCCACTGGAGATTTCAGTAAGCAATTACCGCAAGCTATAAAAATTCTAGGGCTTTCCAGAGAGTGCTATCTCAAGCTCAAATAATCAGGTAAGTTTTCTTGGAAGAAATTGTATCAAAGACTTGAAGGATGAATGAGTGATGGTGAGGTGACCATCTGTCAGAGGCGGCGTTCCAAGTAAAGAGAACAACATGTGTTCTGCTGATAAGAAGAGAGAAAAAAACATGCTGGGTTCAAGAAACCTAACATTTAGTACGGCTACATCATTGAAGGGATTCAGGGAGGGGAATAGTTGATAAAAGATAGATGAAGCAGGGCTATTACACAGAGCTTATGCAGTGCTTTGCAAGTCATTTTAAAAAGTTTGAACACAATCAAATTTGCATTTAGAAAGATAACATTGACTACAATGTGAAGAATGGGTTGAAAAGGGATAAAACAGAGCAAGCAGATCAGTACTAGCGGTGTGTTTAATAATCCAAAGAATAGTGGGCTGATTTTTAAATCGAATATACAAGTTTCTAAAATGGAGCAACTCAGATGAATGCCACTCTAGTAGCTAGGTGTGGGAATGAAAAAGTAACAATAGATATACGAAAATATCTTCTTAATGTTCATCTTCTTTCTGGCTCTTGTAGCTTCAGCTATTGAAATAGGAACAGCAAGAAAGCAGGGTCAACGAAAAGGGGGGCAACAGTTATCACCACAGATTAGTATATGCTTAAGACATGGTAAGAAGTTGATCTATGGAACAAATATGTGTAGCTTATACCAGTGTCTCTCTATCCTGCCTGCTCAACAGCCAGAGAGCTTTGGAAAATTCTGATACTAGGGCCGAGATTCTGATTCAATTCAATTCTGATTATCTGGTTTGGGGTCTTATAAACATCCCCAGGTAGGATTAGAAGGCGAGAGTGAGATCCAATGAGAACCAATGAGTCTACAGATAAATTCAGACCTATCTATTTTAGCTTTGTTAATTTACATTCCATAGTCAAAGGTAGTTTTCCTCAAATTTTAGCAGGCATTAGAATTACATGGGAGGCTTGTGAAACTCAGATCGATGGGCCCTACTCTGAGAGTTTATGATTCAGTAGGCCTGGGTGGGACCTGAGAATATACATTTATAACAAATGCTCAGGTGGTGCTGCTATTGTTCCAGAAACCAAGATTTCAGAACCACAAGTCTAAGAACCACTAGTCACTTTGGAAATAAGAACTTCATAATTTCTTTTTTGCTAGTGGAACAATATTTTCTTATTTTATTCTTTTATTTATTTAGATGTTTGGAATTGTTTTAGTTTCCCACCTGTGCACTGCACACCAAAATGGAAACAAAATTGAGAAACTATGATATGCTTTTATTTTATTATAGACATGAGAAGTAAATACAGGGCTTAGAAGAATTTCCTCAAAATATTTTCTATGCTGAAATTTCTTTTAAAAAATTTATTCTGATTCAAATAAGGAAGGAAACCCACATTTTAAACATGATGCATATGCCGTGGGAGAAAATATAAAATAATCTGATGATTCACCACTGTTCATGATTTAGCAAAAGCTTGCCCACCATAGTTACTAGAGTGGCATGTCTGCCTTATGTTTCTCTCTGAAGTGAGTCTACAGCTTATACCAACACCCAGTACCTGGGGTTGGCTGGCTGGCTCACAACTCACAGTCAGAATCAACTACATTGTAGTCTGTGCTAATGAGTTATTTTTATGTGACATTATTGTTGTTCTGATTTTTTAGGAACCTTGGTTAGTTTATAAAAGACTGTTTTTTAACAGCAAAATATTACCAAGAAAATTTTGATTTCATAGTCAAATCTGACATGTTTCTCAAACGCACACAAATCATTTCAAAGTTTTAATTAAAAGTAAAATCTACGCTAAAAAAACTGCACATGGATTAATCACATCAATTATAATTTAGAAATTATATACAGACATGTGTTGCTAAATTGGGAAAAGTTCTGAGAGATATACTGTTAAGCGATTTTGTTGTACAAAGATTATAGACTGTACTTCCATAAACCTAGATAGCCTACTACACACTTAGGTTATATGGTACAGCCTATTGTTTCTAGACTACAAACCTGTACAGCATGTTACTGTAGTGAATACTATAGTGAATACAGTAGTGAATACTGCAATGTTAACACAATGGCAACTATTTTTGTGTCTAAACATAGAAAAGGTATAGTATAAATATGTTATAAAAGATAAAAAATGGTATTGTGTATTGATCTGTTCTCACACTGCTATAAAGAACTACCTGAGACTGGGTAATTTATGAAAAAAAGAGGTTTAATTGACTCACAGTTCTGCAGGCTGTACAGGAAGGATGGCTGAGAGGCCCAGGATACTTAGAATCATGGAAGAAGGCAAAGGGGAAGAAAGTATGTCTTACCATGCTGGAGCAGGAGAAAGAGCATGAAGGGGGAAGGGCTACATACTTTCAAATAACTAGATCTCGAAAGAATTCACTCGCTATCAGGAGAACAGCAAGGGGGAAATCTATCACCCTATGGTCCAATCACCTTTCACCAGATTCCTCCCCTAACATTGGGAATTACAATTCAACATGAAATTTGGGTGGGTCACAGAGCCAAACCATTACAATCTATATAAGACACTTATCATAAATAGAGCCTACAGGCCTGGAAATTGCTCTGGGTACGTTAACGAGTGAGGCCTGGCACAGTGGCTCACACCTGTAATTCCAGCACTTTGGGAGGCCAAGGCAAGAGGATGACCTGAGGTCAGGAGTTTAAGACCAGCCAGGCCAACATGGTGAAGCCCTGTCTCTTATACTAAAAAAAAACAAAAATTAGCCGGGCACTGGTGGCTGGCACCTGTAATCCCACCTACTTGGGAGGCTGAGGCAGCAGAATCGCTTGAACCCAGGCAGCGGAGATTGCAGTGAGCAGAGATTGCACCATTGAACTCCAGCCTGGGCGATGAGTGAAATTCCATCTAAAAAAAAAGTTAATGAGTGAGTGGTGAGTAAATGTGAAGGCCTAGGATATTATTGTACATTACTATATATTTTATAAACTTTATACTTAGACTACACTAAATTTATAAAAATATTTTTATTTCTACAATAATTTAACCTTGGCTTATAAAGTAACTTTTAACTTTATAAACATTTTAATTTTAAACTTTTTGACTCTTTTGTAATAACATCTTAAAACACAAACATTGTACAGCTGTAGAAACTATGTCTTCTTTCTTTATATTTTTGAAAGGTTTTTCTTATTTTTAAATTTAAATTTTTTTTTTTTTTTTTTGCTTTTTAAACTTTTTTGTTAAAAACTAAGACATAAACATACACATTATCCTAGGCCTACACACAGGGTCAGGATCATGAAGACGTCACTAGACAGAATTTTTCAACTCCATTATAATTTTATGGGACCACTGCTGTGGATGTGGTCCCTCATTGACCAAAATGTCATTATGTGGCACACGACTATATTAAATTTTAATATGAATTATTAGAAATTTAAATTTTTTCATAAAATTAATTCTTAAGGAATATAAGAGCCACAATGTCAAAGGTCTTAGCATTACCCTTTCTGCTTAGCATGTAACATTTCTTGTGCCTATTGGTGAATGAAGCATTATGGATAGGAAGAAATTTTCATACTGAATAATTTCCCAAAAATACATTTTTTCAGAATAAGTTTGGCATGTTTTTTACATACCATACATTTTTTTCTACCAATATCATTTTTAGCAGTAACAAAATGAAATCTACTCAATGCCCCAAAACGTAATGATCACTATAGATTTTACTTCTAAAAATATACCAATATGAAATATCACAGGAAGTATGGCTATAAAAGCAAAACTCTCAAAATAAAATGAAATGTTGCAGTTTTGAAGTTAAAGAGCCAACTGACTTCTTCTCAATTAGAAAAAAATCTGGCTAAGCAGATGGATCCTGTACTGAGAGCCCCAAGGCCAACAGACTTGGCTTTATTGGACCATGACCATTAGCCATAGCTATGCCCTTTTCTTGTCATTAACTCATATTACTTTACCAAACTGGAATATTCTAAAAATAAGGTAACTATTATATTAGTTTTTGGGAGCATCATAAAAACTGACAGGAAAAGCCAACAAACCAATACTGTTTATTACTTATCATTCCAGATTGTCACCAAACAACATGAGAAGTTTTCATCAATTTTGGATGCTTGCCGAATTTCATCTTTACCCCAATTTTTCTTGATAGTCCCTTCTTTAATAAGATGGTCCCTGTAACCTCCAAAATTCCATTATGAAAGAAACAATATTGTTTCCACAATCTTGCTATTGTGAAAACATGCACTTAAGAACTCATAATTTATCTAGAGCAGTTTCAAAATGTCAGGGTAATAGGAAATTATTTTAAAATATGTTAAAATTGCAGACAAAAACCCTGTAACCTCTGTAAGCTCCTCGAAAACTTTACTGTTGATTATTTAAATTATCATTTGTGTCAGAATTTGTGGAGTATTTAATTGCCAGCCAAGTAAAGAAACGTTTACTACCAGTACCAGTACAAGACATTGCACTAGATACTTTTCAACATAGATTTAATTTCATTCTGAGTACATATATTATCTATCATTACTTATTCATAGCTTAAGAAGATATATTTTAACTCAAAACAATAATAGAAAGCCTCAATAGTTAAACATATATTCCAAATTAGCCATTAATAGAATGTAAAGATTGCATTTTTACAATAAAAAATAAAGAAAATCTATGACTAGAATTAGACGTTGAGACAAAATAGGATGTTATTGGATATTACACTTTGATGTTTTAAGTATTTATGCCAACAATGGAGATAAACTTGAAATATTTGTCTCTAGCCAATGCAACAAATGCATGGTGAACATGGAGTCCCAAGAAAGGCTGTATAATATTATTTACGGTTTTTGGAAGTGGCTATAGGTTGATAAATAAGTAATTTAATCATAGCACTTTAGAACAGGAAGAGAAATTAGAGATAATCTACTTCCACATGAAGTAGATTTATTTTACCCATGAAGCACAGAGCTAATACCAGTAATGCTTGTAGGTCTACTTTTGTTGTATTTACACTTGAAGTACAGATAGCACATCTGATAACACATTCTCATATAGTATAGCGTAAACTTGGAAAGAGTTTATTCTTGGCTTTCAAGCTTTTGTGTGCTGCTGTGTTTGTTAATGCCCAGAGATCCCATGCAATAAGTCTGAATGGAACCCAGGTATCTGCAATTTCAGTGGACACTCATAGTGATTGCGATGCAAGTCATCTTTGGTTAGTACTAATGAAATACAGAACTATAGAATCTTAAAGTTCTAAAAAGGGATTTTATGTTGAGTAAGCACACTTTTCCAAACAACTCACAGTTTTTTTCTTATTCAAATATGTTGCTTTTTCTTTTCCTTTGTCAACTCTAAGGAAAAGGGAATGTTGTTTAAACAAGAAGCCTGGAAGACCCTAGAGCGGTACATTTGACTCACTTCCTGCACTTGACTAAGAATCAGAATCACTTGTAAAAATACACATTCACAGGCCCTTTTCTTGGAGAGTCTTATTTATGGGAAGATATATGGTAGGACACACAAATCTCCAGTTTTCAGAATCACTCCTGGTGATTTTGTTAACTCACCCAATTTGAAAGCCCAGCCATGATCTGTTATATTGGAATATGTTTCAGTGGTTCTCAACTTTGGCATATAGGATTAACTAAGGGTCTCTGTGAAACCTAGAGTGTTAGACTCCAACTCCAGAGCTTCTGAATGTGTAGGTCTGGGGTCAAGAATTTGCATCTCTCCCAAGTTACCAGGCAATGCTGCTGATGTTTCAGGGATGACACTGAGAACAACTGGGCTAGATGATGCTGTGCCAAAGCAGATAATTAACAGAAAGTGCCTAGAAGTTGCTGCAATACCTCTGCCAAAACCCACAATTTGCCTCCTGTTGCCTAAGAACAATATTATGCCCTCTACTTCTTTTCTTTCTTCCAAATCTCAAGCAGGTGTTTCTGATTAGTGGAACCCAAACTGGAAACTCCTGGTAGAGATTCTGGTACCTGTAGTTCCCAGGCTTATAGCTGTTACAATGTTTGGGTGCAGCTGGAGCTAGACTGGAGGCTACAAGAGGGAAAATGATGTTCAGTCACCAATACATAACGTAGCACAAACGTGCAGGTAGGTTTTCGTAGTAGTTGGTCCCAAGCTAAGGAAGTCAGTTAATTCCTGACCGTACTCCAAATGTGAAAGGGCCAGTAGGATCTGAGGGTCTGGAAAATGGAAAAAAATATAAGACACTTAAAAGAGAGAAACGAATTTTAGAGTTAGGTGATCAGGATGAGACCCGACTGCCCAATATGACTAGTAATATAGACTCAATCAAGGCCAAAAAGAAATCTTACCAATGAAGAAAGGCATTACACTTTTGACAATGCACCCAAATGTAGAAAAGACCTGGACATCTGAAAACTATTATATGTATAAGTGATCAGTAGACAGAACAGGAACTGGAAGCAAAAACAGATTGCAAGAAGGGCCAAAAATCTGTGTTAGGGAAAAAGTATGCACAGAATAAGGCATACTTCAAGTGAGAGTACAAGAGAGAAAAGAAAACTGAAATCTGATCTGAATATACAGAGGTCTCACATTCACCAGGTAAATGAATGCATTCATATGCAATGACCAAAATGAAAACAGGAAAAAATATTTCAGGACATAGAAAGAAATGAATGTTAAAGGTATAACTATAGAGGAAAACAGCAGCTAAGGCAAGAAGCATAGTGTTCACAATTAGCGTCCAGTGAGTGGAAAGAAGTAAATTATTAAGATTCTGGTTAGCTTGACTGACTTCTGCCAGGCCTTCATTTGTACAGACACCATTTTTAAAATCAGATGTCAAAACAGAGAATAGTCCTGAGATAAAAGATTCAGTTTTACGAATGAAACTAAACAGGGACATTGAAGCTGTCATTGATTTGGGTAGCCCAAGGTACCAAGATGATCACATTAGCACAGAACAAGATTTTCAAGCACTAGGTTCTTTTCAATTTTCTCTTGAATCCCTATCTTAGTTACAGTTTAGGGAGATAAAAAAGCAATATTCTTTGCTTTCAGTAAATTGAATAAATACCCTACATTGCTGCAATATCTAAACACATTTTAGCTTTCATTTAAGCATTTAGAAATGCTTAGGTAGAAGAAATCATAAAATAATAAACATATATGTGACCACATTAAAATTTAAAACCTTTTAATGCTGAAACAAAAACAAAAAATAATACGTATTAGAAGGGAAGGGTGCCTAGGATAGCTACATTGTGTGAACAACACAAATTGCAGCATAATATGTATGGTTTTCTCACATCTTGTAAGATTAAAAAATGACTATGGAGAGACAGACCTTAAACTGTGAAGTGGGTATGTCTGGGAGTGAGGCAGGAAAGGGAGGAAGGGGGCTTAAACTTTTTACTTTATACAGTTTAGTTCCACTCAAATATTTTATAATGAGCCTTTTGTTTTATATATATAAATGATTGACCACTTAAGTATTCAATATTAAAATATTGGATTGTGGAATGTTGGTTATTTGTACATTTTCATCACTCCCCTGGCTTTAGGATCTTCTCAGTAGCATTTTGTAACAAAAAGCAATGGAGGGATATCTGCTGAATGATGAGGAAAAAAATTATTTCTCAGAAGTGTCACAATAATTGAAGACATCAGAAAGACATTTTCCAATGCGCAAGGACTCATGAAACATATTAAGCATGTACTACTAAATAAGACATCCATCCATGCATACATACATATATATAATTCACTAATTAGAAATCACTGTGCTGCAGACCAGTGGTGAATGTAATCATTAGAACATGGAAATAATGCTAAAATAATATGGACTGTCATTACAGAAAATAACCTAGAAATTACAATTCGTGAAATAAATCTACATAACAAAAATAATAATTTCTCTATAAAATATCAAAACAAAAATTATGCAGTGTCTCCCTTAAAGTGGTAAAATTGAGACGGAAGCAGCATAATCGCAAAAGTGTCCTCTTTTTTAATGCATGACGTGCAGTGAGTGCTGTGATATGCTACCCGGATCCCTCTTCAGGAGTGACACACATTTCCTCAGCTGCCTGGAAGTTGCTGGGTGTGCTGCCTGGTCAACAACTGTCTGTCTTCAGCTATTTTCAGGCAATGCCTCATTTGAAGTGACACCTGGCCCAAGGTCACAGCCCCTTCTAGGGACAAGGCAGTATGCAGTGACTGGTCATCTGGATCCCCTCGCCAAAACTCTCAAGGATTGATTGTCTAAGCTTCAGAGCTCCCTGTGGGTTGCTAAGGACTTTATTGAGATTGCACAACAACACATTTTTTCGGCTGCCCAGTCCTGTTTTCCTCTATTCCTTCTCACAGGTGTTGATTTCAAGAGCAATTCCCCCAAATCTTCCTGCACTCAAATCTCCATCTCAAAAAATATGGTAGGTTCTGACTCTTATAATAAGGTTAGTGAGAACTAAATTCAATATTAATTATTGAAAAGTAAAAAATTACTAATTTTTTAAAAAATGCGGAAAATGAACAAATGTAAAAACTCATTGAATTCCATAAGGGGATCAATAAAAGATCAATTAATAATAAAACCTTTAATCACCCCATCTCAACAATCAAAACCTTGAAAATGTAACGGAATAATTTTGAATAGCAAGTAAAAGTAAAACATCATGATAATAAACTTAAAAAGAAAAGTATGTGATATATAGAAAATAAATTTAAAATTTTAAAAGAAGAGGATAATGAGAAGGAATGTCTTACCCTACCATTGAGCAAAATGTCATATAAACCTACGGTAATTTTATCAATTTATTATTGGATGAGGAATAAAGAGGTTATGAAATAGATGAGCCTAAAAATAAACTCAGGCATATATAATTTAGTTTGTGCTAAAAGTAGCAATTTATATAAGTGGGGAAAGAAGAAACTGGTCAAGAACAGTGTTGAAATGAGTGACTAACCATTTGCAAAACATTAAGTCAGATTTTTAAGTCATCCCGTCTAAATAAGGTTAAGCCTTAACTTTCCACTTGAGCCTGTGATTCCCACTCTTCCTGTCCCCTCTGTAACCTCATACAATTTATTTTTCTCATATATTTTTCTGTATCTCCTGTCCCTCCCCCTCCATTCTGTCAACATGTAAGCATCCTTAAGCCTTTTCTGTCTTAAACAAACAACCAACAATAAGGAAATAAAACCTCTCTCAACCCCTCTAGCTCTTGGAGCTTCCACCGTATTTCTTGCCTCTTTTTGACTGAAACAGCTTCCTATTGTTACTCTCTTGGCTGCTTCTCCTGCAGTCACTTCTGCTTATAGCAGCTTGTTGTTTGGCCCCATGTCTTAGACTCAGTCCCTAGAGACAGATTCTGAGACAGAGAATTTGGGCCAAAGGGTTTGTTGTACATGCTCCTAGGAGATGCTCTAATAAGGACACGAGGCAGGCAGGATTAAACAGGGGGAAGGAGATCTCCAATGTGTTTCCTCCTGAGGCCTCAGTTGATCCTGTGGGGAAGGACTGGAATTCTTCCAATTAAGACAAATCTCCTCACCATACAGTCATTGACCTGGGCTGCCTCTTGCATGGCAGTTCTGCAAATGGGGGCACCTGCCTCTGACGGATGGCAATTCCCAGAGAAGGAATGAGGTAATTGGCTCTACAGAGAGGGTCTGTATAAGCAACATAGTATGCACTACACCTAAACTTTGAGAGGTTCACAGCTACTTCCTTCCTAAATTCTATCTTCCTACCAGGGCAAAGCTTTCCAGGATCCTGATTAGTCTTGTTTCCTGGGAAATTATGAAAAGAAGTGTCAGTTGGATGAACTACAGCCCCTGTTGCTGCAGCTGATTTCAAAACTATAACTGATACCATCTTCCTGTACCATCCATTGGAGGTTCTCCTCTCCCTCAGCTCACACTTCCATTGATCTAGGAAGTTTGCCTCATTAGGTGATGCACACCATCATTCTTGAGCAGTATGAGCTCCTGGTTGCTATTCTCAGGCCATGGCAGATGTATTTTCCTATATAGGATTAAAACTGGGCATGGCAGCACCAAAGAGGCCCAAACATATCCCATCCTGCCCTCATGGGGTAGCAGCTGCCCTTCCTCCTCCTGAAGACCGTATCAATTACCTCTTCCAGGGTGGTGCCTCCTTTCCTTCCCTGCTGGTTTCTTGGCACAAGGATTCTGGAAGACTGAATAGCAGTAGTAGTCTAAAATTCAATGGTACTGTTATAGGAACCAGAATTTCCAGACATGTAGAATCTAAAACATATAGGGGAAAACGCCAATTCCCTCCAAGTGGATCACTGGGTGTAATGGTTTCCAGGGCCACTACAACTTTAATCTTTCAGTTCCCAAGCCCTTGAATTCTACCTTTGGGGAACAAAGCTCCATATGATGATTGTTGATTTAGGCTGTATGTGACACCCTGGATGGTGATGCCCATTCTCATAGGGTATCCTTTCTAAGCTGGCACCTCAGCTAGGCTTTTAAGAAGCCAATCTGCCAGGTGTGGTAGTCCACACCTGGAGTCCCATCTGCTTGGGAGGCTGAGGCCAGGAGCATAGCTTGAGCTTCTGAGTTCTGGGCTGTACTGTGATATGCCAATTGGGTGTCCACATTAAGTTCAGTGTCACCATGGAGACCTCCCAGGAACAGGGACCAACAGGTTGCCTAAGGAGTGGTGAACCAGCTCATGTTGGAAATGGAGCAGGTCAAAACTCCTGTGCTGACCAGTGGTGGGATCACATGTGTGAACAGTCAGTGCACTCCAGCCTGGGTAACACAGAAAGACCCCTTTCTCTCTCTCTCTCTCTCTCTTTTTTTTTTTAAAGAGGCCAATTTATCTCTACCAAGCTGATTGCTTCTGAGTTGGGCAGGATATCATAGGAACAGTAGATCCCTTAATCTCAGACAGGACCAGGAGTAGTGTGAGGCAAGAGGGTCCCCTAGAATGCAACATTTAAGGAGCCACTCAATCTCAGGTTTGTGCCACTTACCTCAGGCTGTTTCTCGTTCCATACAAAATGGCTGACCAAGTCCATTACTGGGAGCTCTGCCCATCCAGAAGTTTTCCTCTCACTGTTGATGAAAAAAGTCAAACTCTCTAAATAGTTGAAGAGATTTATTCTGAGTCAAATATGAATGACCACTGGCCTGTGACACAGCCCTCAGGAGGTCCTAAGAACATGTGCCAAAGGTGGCCGGGCCATCGCTTGGTTTTATCCATCTTAGGGAGGCATAACGCATCAATCAATACATGTAAGATGTACATTGGTTTAGTCCCAAAAGGTAGGACAACTGGAAGTGGAGGCTTCCAGGTCATAGGTGGAGTCAAAGATTTCCTGATTGGGAATTGGTTAAAAGAGTTATTATCAATAGAAAGGAATGTCTGGGTTATGATAAGGGGTTGTGGAGACCAAGGCTTTATCATGCAGGTGAAGCCAGGCAGCAGGTTTCACAGACAAAGATTGTAAATGTTTCTTATCGGACTTAGAGTCTCTTCTATCAGTAATTCCAAAAGGGAAGTGGGTATAATGAGGCATGTGTGGCTCCTCCTTCCCTTCATGGCCCAAACTAGTTTTTCAGGTTAATTTTGGAATGCGCTTGCTGAGAGGAGGGGTCCATTCACATGGTTTTGGGGTTTAGAATTTTATATTTTTGGTTTACATCACTGATGACTTGCAGGGCCAGGCTTGAGATAGATTATAGTGTAGAAGCCTCCACTTCTAGCTTGAACCCACCATAATAATTTACCCATCTATTAATCCTGTTTGTCCTTTTACCTTCTCAGTAGTTGCCATAGGGGTTTCCTGTGAGGCAGCAGGCATGAGCAGAGGGAAACAAGCTGTACAACCCTGGCAGTTGACTGGGAAGCTCGGCCCCACGTCATGCAGTTTACTTGTACATTCCAGCTTTCTGGATCTGTCATGCTCAACTCCAGATGTACCAATTCCATCTGGCAATGGATTGCTGCTGGGCTTTTTTGAGCCCTTTATGACTTGGCGATTTAGACAGAATAATGCTCATGAGGAAAACTCTAGCCATGTGGTTACTTGATGGTCCAGCATCAGATGCCCTCATCTATTAGGCTTGCCATAAAATCCATACAGTGTTTGATCCCACTGCAGATAATTCTAGCACTAGAGTCCCAGGTTGTATGGCCTCAGTGACAGGGTTGTTTGCACTGTAGCCTAAACTTGTTCTTTCCTGGAAAGCTCTTTCCTGTTTTTGTCTCCACTCAAATATGGCAATTTTTCATGTCACTGTCTGTGGTAAATAGGTTAATCAGTATTTCCAGTAGAAGAGCTCCAAAATACCTACTCAGTGTGGTGATTTTGTTTTGTTTTTAGTTGTGGGAGATGCAAGATGCAATCACTTGCCCTTTATTTGTCCTCACACACCCAAGATTACTGGGTCCCTAAAAAACTTTACTGATTTGGCAGTTTGCTAATACATTGTAGTATGTATCTACCACCCTATGGCATGCATGAGTCTATTAAGTTTCTGACATACTGTTTACTGCTCGCTCATCCCATGAGATTAAAATAATGCCTCTGTGACATGTCCAGATAATTAAAGTTCCTTCAGACTCTGATAGACAAGCAGGAGAGCTAACAGTGTCCTGAGGCAAGACCATTGTGTGTTGTCCATTACGCATGAATTCAAACTGCTCCTCATCCTACTTCTCATATGAGTGGGAAAGAAGGCATTTTCCGGGTTAATGGCTACATAGTATGTGCCAGAGGCCATGTTAATCTGCCATAGCAAGTACCTTGCTGACAGCTGCAATTGCGACTACCATTTGATTAAGTTTATGGCAACCCACTAGCAACCACAATGATTTATCTGATTTTTGCAAATTAAATGGGTATATTACATGGATAATCACCTCTGCCTTGTTTAAATCTCTGGGGGTGGTATTCCTCCTGAGACAATTTTTTTAATTAAATAAAGTTATTATCAGGGCTGATGTAGGGGCTGAAGGCAAGTCACACCAGTCCATCAAGATAACTTTCACCTCACAGGTCAAGCAAACAAAATAAGGGGTTGGGCCCATCATCAAGTATGTCCATTTCAAATACAAATACAGGGAGCAGAGAAATAACCATCAGGTGGGTCTGTGGACCCAGTGGACCAACTGTGAGCCAGACCTGGCCAAGACTTTATTTATTACCTTTCCTCCTATAGGCACCCATACTAACTGGGAGAGCAAGAGAATCCTGGTGCTTTGTGTCTCCAGTTTCAAAATCTGTTCTTACCCCGACAACACTTCAGAAAATCTGGAAAATCTTTCCACAATACAGTTACCTGAGCAAATGGTTATGATCCCCTAGGGAAGTTGTAAGTGATCCTGAATTGAACTGCAGTTTTCTAGGTTCCTTCCCCATCAGGCCCTGGCTTCTCCTTTGTTCATTGCTTGGATTTAACCCTTAATGTGATCGCCTGCCAGGGAAGTAGGAATACAGTTTAAAGAGGGCAAACATTGCTTTTTGAGCTGCTGATGCATTTGAGGCCTCTGCATGATCTTCAAGCAAGGGGGACAGCCACTATATTTTAATTAGAGGGAATGGGCCACATCTTCAGGCACAATGGTTTTATGGAACTCTGGGAGCTCAAGATATTCAATACCATTTATCCCTTCCAGGGTCTCTGCTTTTCCTATTAGGGTTCTATCAGTATGCAGAAAAAATTTCAGAGCTGAAAATTTAACCTTTTTGAAGTTCTTCTGCTCTTATCAATAAATCATGAGCCCGATCCTCTCCTCCCTCTGGCTTTAGGAGATTAGGATTTTCATAAAACTTGCCAAGAAGTCCCTCTGACTCTCATATTTTGTCTTTAATTGGTGATTTCTCACCTCAAGCCCATCTTTATCTTTATTCAATGATAATCAGCCATAGCCACCCAATTTCAGGATGTATTTGAACTCATTCCTGTCAAGTGTCAGAGATATTCCATTAGTCAGCATATCCTTTTCTACTGGTATTCTATCCAAGCTCACCATCAGTGAAAGTTTTAACAATTGTACTATCATAGCATGGCAGGAGCTATCCATACTACAACTACTATCCTCATTGCCAGCTTGCCAGTGAGAGATCCACCTCCAAAACCCAATTTAGAGTCTACTTTGTAGGACTACTTCTTGTACCAGCTAGTTTAGATTAAATTTCCTGAAATTGACTCCGATATGAGAAATTGTGAGCAGAAAGTTTATTGGAAATTATCCTTGGGAGATTCACTTGTAAGAAAGTGATGAAGGTAGAATTGGGCAAAGGGAGAAACTGACTCATTCTGCAAGTACAATTGCAATCTCAGCTAAAGCTATAAGAGCTATGAAACTAAGATGGCTTTTCAGAGTTATCTCAAATTGAGAGAAGAGGTTCTTTGTATTCTCACATCAGCAAGTATTTGGTCACAGGCCATCCTCTGGGGAGGGCATAACTCTGGGCAAGGAAGTCCTCTGTTGGCTGAAGACAATTCTCACTAAGGGACACAGCTGAGGACTAACAGATATTCAGAGCAGCTGGGGATGGATGTTTGGGCCCTATAGAGATCTGGATGGAGCATGCCACTCTCCTCCACTACTTCACTGATCCACTGAATCTATGCCTGTCTTGTTGCACAATGAACACTTTTTAGATTTTTATCTTACTTGTGTTTATCCCAGCATTAGGTTTTGTGGTCATTACTCTCGTCTTGAAACACTCTTTTTTGTTGCTTCCTTGAGACCATTTCCTTGCCGCAATAACCTCTTGGTTTTTCTGTCTAGTCACTGCTTTGTCTCTGCTGTTAGTTCTCTTTCTCTGCATATTTCTTAGATGCTGTTTTTCTCAGGATTCTGTACAAAGCCCTCCTCATTCCCAGCCAGTATCACAGCCAGTTGTGTAGAATCAATTTCAGTCCAAGTAATGATGACTCCTGAATATAGATTATACCTTTATACTGATTGTATCTTAAATAGGCATCTTGCTTTCTTGATATTTGGAAAAGCCACATTTAGGCTCAACATGTCAACAATGGAAACTATCTTCTTTGTTAAAGATGGGCTCGTCTTCTCAGGTTTTCTATCTTGGTGAAAGTCATCACCTTCCAACAATTACTTTAACTAGAAACCTGGGAGACTTCTTTGCTCACTCTCGTTCTCACATTCATTATTCTGTTTCACCAAGTGCGGCTGATTTTACCTCAAGTCTATTTACTTTCCTTTACTTCATTTGCCCCATCTTTGATCAGACTACGTCAACAGCCTTCTAATTGGTGCCCATTGCTATTATTCTGAAATTCAAACTTCTTGTGGAATTTTCAATCTCTTTATTTTCTTGCCACTCCTTATTCCCTACAGCCTATTTCTCACCACTTCTCAATTTCTACTGTTTCTGTTTATCTCTGACCTTTGATTGGACAATCTATTTTTAGCTCTGAGATCTTATTTGTTGCTCACCTTTGAAGAAATGCTATTAAGCATAGCTAAAATAGTATAGTATATTGGTTAATAGAATGTGTTCTGAAATTAGAATCCTTTAGGTCAAAGGCTCCACTGCGTATTAGCTGTAAGCCCGTTGACAACTTACTAAATCTCTTTGAGCCTGAGTTTCTTTCTTACAGATTTGTGGTGAGAATGATACAAGATAGCACATGTAACATATTTAGAATATCCTATGTGACAAATAATGGACTAAACAATGTCAACACGATACATGGAAATGAAACAACTTACACCTGAATAACTCTTGGGTGAATATTAACATTAAGGCAGAAATAAAAAAGACTTTGAAATTAATGAAAATATGGATGGAACTTAACAAAAATCTCTGGGATGTCGCCAAAGCAGTGTTAAAAGAAAAGTTTGTAACCCTAAATGCCTTCATCAGGAAGTTAGAAATATCTCAAATGAACAATGCAACTTTGCACCTAAAGGAACTAGGGAAAAAAAGAACAAACCATCCCCAAAGCTAACAGAAAAAAAGAAATAACAAAAACTGGGGCCGGGCACGGTGGCTCACACCTGTAATCCCAGTGCTTTGGGAGGCCAAGGTGGGCGGATCACAAGGTCAGGAGATGAAGACCATCATGGCTAACATGGTGAAACCCTGTATCTACTAAAAATACAAAAAATTAGCCTGGCGTGGTGGCAGGCACCTGTAGTCCTAGCTACTCGGGAGGCTAAGGCGGGAGAAGGGCGTGAACCCGGCAGGCGGAGCTTGCAGAGAGCCGAGATTGCACCACTGCCCTCCAGCCTGGGCGACAGAGCAAGACTGTCTCAAAAAAAAAAAAAAAAAAGAAAAAAGAAAGAAAAGAAATAGACAAGAAATTAAGAAAATTGAGATGGAAAAATTTCATACTAAAGATCAATGAAACCAAGTGTTGGTTCTTTGAAAACATAAATAAGACTGCCAGCTAGATTAACAAAGAAAAAGAAAGAAATCTAAACAAGCACAGTCAGAAATGACAAAGGCAATACTACAACTTATACGACAGAAGATCCTCAGAGACTCCTATAAACAACTCTATGTACACAAATTAGTAAATCTGGAGGAAATGGATAAATTCCTGGAGGCACACAATCTCCCAGGATTGAATCAGGAAGAGATTGAAACTCTGAATAGGCCAATATCAATTTCTGAAAATGAATCAGTAATAACCTACGAACAAAATGAAGCCCTGGACCAGATGGATTTACAGCTGAATTCTACCAGATATACAAAGAAAAACCGGCACCAATCCTACTGAAACTTTTTTAAAAATCGAGGGAAAAGGGGCTCCTCCCTAACTTACTCTATGAAGCCAGCATCGACCTGATACCAAAATCTGGCAGAGACACAATGAAAAAAAGAAAACTTCAGGCTAATATCCCTGATGAACATAGATGCAAAAATCTTCAACAAAATATTGGTAAACTGAATCCATCAGCACATAAAAAAGTAAGTACATCACGATTAAGTAGGCTTTAGTCCTGGGATGCAAGGCTGTTTCAACATACACAAACCAATAAATGTGATTCTCCACATAAATAGAATTAAAAGCAAAAATCATATGATCATCTCAATAGACACAGAAAAAGCTTTTGATAAAATCCAACATCCCTTCATGATAAAAACTTTCAACAGACTAGGCATCAAAGGAACATACCTCAAAATAATAACAGCCATCTATTACAAACCCACAGCCAACAACGTAATAAATGGGGAAAAATGGAAACTATTTCCCCTGAGAAATGGAACAAGACAAAGCTGCCTACTCTCACCACTCCTATCCAACACAGTACTGGAAATCCTAGCATAGCAATCAGGCAAGAGGAAAAAAAGAAAGGACATACAAATAGGAAAAGAAGAATTCAAACTATCTCTCTTTGCTGATGATACGGTTCTATACCTAGAAAATCCTAATGAATCTGTCAAAGGCTCCTAGAATAAATACATGACTATAGTATACTTTCAGGATACAATATCAATTTACAAGAATCAGTAGCATTTCTATGCACCAATAACACTCAGGGTGAGAGTGAAATCAAGAACATGCTCCCACTTTATAGCAGCCACAAAGAAAATGAAATACCTCGGAATACAGCCACTGAAGGAGGTAAAAGATATCTACAAGTAGAACTTTGATATTATTACTTCTTCTACTGAACTTCATATATATTATTGCAATTGCCTATTTTCTCCTTAAATTCTTCCTTAGAGTATAAGTTCCTTGGTAACCTAATATATTCCCTGTTCTAATAAAATAATCTAGTAATAATTTTACAAGGTTTGTATAGTCTGCAGTGACAATGATTAAAGTCTGTGTAAATCATGCTAAAAAAAAAAGATTAAAGAGCTTGGGAAAGGAGCAAATAATTTCATTGAGTTCTGAGGGATAAATAAGACAGATACAAGAAAGGAAGGATGATCCCTGTAGAGAAGACAGGATCCGTGAAGGCTTAGACACAATTAACAGTAGTTGGTAAGACCGCTGCAAAGCATGGTCAGGGAAGCAGTAGGAGAGGAGATCAGAGGCTGGTAGCAAACAGATGACTACACAAGTCAAGGCCTTGTTTTCCAGGTGCCTCGTAAACCTTCCTGATTCACTATGAACCTAGAAAGTAAAGGGTCCTTAGGAAAGCAAATAGTAACTTTCTCAACATCCCGGATGAAGAGAGACTTACAGTTCTATTTAATTTGATTGAAAGTAATTAAGAAATGTTCCTTCTTTTTTATGTGTGTGTGTCTTTAGGTGTAGAGTCATATCTGCTGCAGAGTTTCAGTGAAGTATGATTAGCAACATGGCCTTAGGTTTTATATCAAATTTTAGCTGAGGTAGTTATGATAACATACTACTTCATAAAAAAGGTATATTATAAAATCTATGAGAGAGAGGTTAACTAAGACATAACGTGGGATCACAAACAAGCTGTGTATATTTAACATAGATGGGTCTTGAAAGTGTTTGAATGCTGTACAAAGGGGAAACCATAGGCTGATGATGAATCATAGTTTTTGAGGAATGAAAATAAATAAAATCCAAAGAACAGGAGGAAGAATTAGACTTAACCTGGAGACGAGAAACATTTTCTACCAAGGCTAAGTAGGAAAGTGTACAAATTAAATTATGTTTATGTGGGGAAGAGAAGGATTAAGTACCTGGGAGAATGAAGGGGACAGTGGTGGGGTGAGAGTACTCAGGAAGAAGATAAAAACTTGATGTTATGGTCCAAATGCTTGTGTTCTCTCCCAAATTTACATGTTAAAATCCGAATCCCCAAGGCAATGATATTAAGAAGTTCGAACTTTGGGGAGGTGATTAGGTCTTGAGGGTGAAGCCCTCATGACTGGGGATTAGTGCTGTTATAAAAGAGGTCCTCTCTACCTTGCCCCTTATACCATATGAAGATACAGCAAGAAGGCACCATGATGAACTAGGTAAGGGGCCCTCACCAGATTCCGAATTTGCTGGCACCTGGATCTTGGATTTCTCAGCTTCCAGAGCTATGAGGAATACATTTCTGTTGCATATAAGCCACCCAGTAAGTTTATGGTATTTTGTAGTGGCCTGAATGGACAAAGATACTTAAAGAATTCCCTGAGAAGAAAAAAGAAATGAGTATTTTGGGGCGTCATTTAGAATTGTACCTAGGAAGAACTGAGGGTAGACCTAATATGTTGGTCAGTCTGCACCTTGAAGAAAGAGGATTTGTTGGAGGCTGGAGGAGTAATGATCTGAAAAGGCAATGGGAGCCAAAAGAATCATTGGTGTCCCCCAAAATACAAAAATTAGCTGGGCATGGTGGCACATGCCTATAGTCCCAGCTACTCAGAAGGGTGAGGTAGAAACCCAGGAGGTTGAGATTGCAGTGACCTGTGACGGCAGCATTGGACTCCAGCCTGGGTGACAGAATGAGACCCTGTCTTAAAAAAAAAAAAATGAATCATGGCATCATCTATTATCACCTTTAACCATATTACATTGGCATTATCTATTTACTGTCCTACCTAATGGCAAGATTTAATCTACAAAGACAATGACTATGGTTTTTAAAATATATTTTTGTATTCCTGACACTAGAACTATTTTTGTATCCACACAGTAAGCACTGAAAGAAATTGACAGGGATCTGCCTGCAAAGGTAACATTCTGTTTTTATTTTTTTAAAAATGGTTAACTGTACATTTCCTATGAAATAGGGGTTTATGGAGACAAAATGGAAAGGTGTCATAAGGAAATAAGTTGTGAGGGCTGGAAAGAGAAAGAAGGACAGAGAAAAGTTGTGATGAGGACACAGTGTAGGAGAGAAGGACAGAGAGATTTGCATTGAAGCTCATTGTTAAGTAGGGCAGAGTGAGATGAACTGACCTCAAGCTGAAATTCTGGCCTCAAGTTGTTTCCATATTAAAGTAGTTTGATTCTAAATTGTATGTTTTATTTGGAGTCAACATTTGCAGGCTCTGTTTTGGAATATCAACAGGATATTGGTAGGAAGTTGTTTTTTGCCTGATCAGAACTCAACAAAAGAAATGGTGTGGTTGACCCAAGTTATGAAGTCATGTTACAACAACCAGTACTAGGATATGTTTTAAACTAATCCCTCAGCATATAAACCAGTTTATATAAACCAGTCTTTAATTCTGAGTACTTCAGTATTATTTCTGCCTGTTCCTTTTCTTCTTTTAGCTTTTTCTGCTCTCTCTCTCCCCTGTTGTACCTCTGCCTAATATTTCCTTGTTTTTTAAATTTACCCTTTATTCTTTCCCTAACCCTTTCTCCTTTGTGAGGAAGGGGGAAAGTTTGTGTGATGAGACCTAACACAGAAAAATCAACATGAAGAAAAGAGAGGGGGGCTATGAAGTACAATAAGCATGTCTTTCTCTTCCCTGTTACATAGAAAAATGTCATCCACAAGCTGTGTTTGATTAGAAATAAACTGCATCAATTATCCAAAGTGAACAATGAGCATGGAAGAAAGAATTTCAGGGTCATGGGAAACACTAAGCCTAGACTCAAATGCCTTTGTCCTTTAATTTTAGCTTTGTCATTTACGATCTGTGTGATTTCTGGTGAGTTTTCTTTTCTGAATCTCAACTTTCTTATTTCTTAAATGAAAATGTTATTCTGTAACTGTGGTAAGCAGAATCCTGGTCCTTATGATCATTGCTCCCTGATGTTACACCCATGAATGTGTTACTTTACATGATATAAGGAACTTTCAGGATGTAATTAAGGTTACTAATATGTTGAGTTTAATAAGATTGTGAGATTATGCTGAATTGTCTAGCTTCACCCATTGTACTCATATGAGACCTTCAAAGTAGAAGAGGAAGGAAGAAGAGCAAGTTCGAGAGATTCAGGTCATGAGTAAGGTTCTGTGTGCTGTTGCTGACTTGAAGATGAAAAGGGCTGCCTGGAAATCAAAAGAAGGAATAAATTCTGGCAACAATCAGTTATCTTGGTAGAGGACCCTTAGCCTCAGTGGAGACCTGCAGACCCGTCCAGCACTTTGACTTCAGCCTGCTTAGAGGCTGAGCAAAGAATCCAAACATGCTGTGACCTATAGAGCTTCTGACCTATAGAAACTATGAGATAATAAATTTGCATTGTTTAAAGGTGCTGAGTTTGTGTGAATTTGTTATTGCAGCAATAGAAAACTACTACTAGTAGTACTACTAATATTACAAGAATTAAAGGAATTGACACATGTTGGAGTTTAGGGAGTAAATAAATCACATCTCTTTCTTCTCTCAAATAAAGGACCAAGTGAGAAAGAAGACAGAAAGGATAAATGGAAAATTTACTAATAAAGACTGAATTGCATGACACGACCTCAATGTGTGGCCATCATAGGCTTTCTAATATTTTTCTCTGGAAATAAATGTACACTTCTAGTCATGATCAGAGTCAAATACGTCAGGCATCCTCTGTAGAAGTAGATTATTTACTACGTGGTTGAGGAGAGACTAAATAGCAGCATGAAATAGTATGAGAGAGACCATGTGCTTGGGCTGAGCAAGGTTATTTCCTGCTCACAAACTCACTAATTGGATCATTCATACTTGCCAATGAGTGAAAAGAGAGACTGGGTTGGCTACTCCAACTAAAATGCTTCCACATGGAAAAATAGTCCATGAGAACTAAGTCCTTAGCAAAGAACCTGGCACAAATTAAATGCCTCATATATAGCTATCCCAAAGTGGCAATTATTTGGCTTTCCTAGCATTGTCAAATTTCCTGGGTTTGGGACCCATCCCATTTCAGTGTGGCTCTTTCTCCTGAATTTGGTCCTACTCCCTCACATTGACCTCCCTGTGCTGAGAGAGTCAAGGCCCAGAGGTCTTCATTTCAGCACCCAGAGGAGGTTGGCATCTCCTGCTTGTAGACCTTCATGTAGCCGCCCTACTCCATCCACTTCCTGTTTTATTACCCTTGGGAATGACCTATTGGGTCTCATAAACTTGAGACCAGGTTCTCTGTGTTTAGCAAGTGTAAACTTACAATGCATATAGAGACATCCTTGTAGATGAGTTTTCAATAAAGAGAAAGGTGGTAGGGCTCTCTTCTGTCCCCATTTTAGACACTTTGCACCTACCACTTGGAAATCAAAAGATCCTCCATTGAACTTGAGTATTCTTGGAACTCATCCAGTAGTGGCAGCCTTTTTCTAATTTTAAGAAACATATGATACAAATACATCAAATTTTATAACGTTCACTATTGATAAAACTTTGCTAAATGTGTATTATCATCTAGGGACCAACAGTATCTAATTTGGCACAAAATTATTGGTGGTGTAATTTCATGGTTAATGTTCATCAATAATTTATAGTACTACACAAAAAACTTGATGACTTTCATATCTATTACCAAAACAAATTTCATTTAAAAAATGACGTGATATTAGTGATGGGAATTTCAGACTATGTGAGAAAAGATATAGGGCTGTAGTTCTCTACTGAGGAATTCTGAAGAAGGAGCACACATTGCAGAGGAGTATCATAAATCACAAACTTAAATAGTCACTGCTTTAAAATCTAGGCTGGCTCTGACTATAACACTATTTTATGCTCCTCTTTCCCAGCCAATTAAAATTCCAGCAATTACATGGCATTCCAGTTGGCTATTTTTGCTATCTGCGTAAAGGCATGCAATCATCTTAGAATTATAGGATGTGGAAGGAAAGTGAGAATAGTGCAAACGCCTCTTAGTTAAAAAATACATATATTTTCTTGAGCTTTATAAGGAAAAGAAAACCCCATCTCATGGCACTACCAAGATGCCACAGTCTATTCCAAAACATTTGTGAACATTAGTATGTTCACTTAAAAAAATCTTTTGTTTTTGCTGCATTTATGCAAAATGCCTGTGAAGAATCTATGAGACCTTTGATAAGTTACTTATCTTTTCTGTGCTTCAGCTTTCTCATCTGAAAAATGGGGACAATAATAGGGGTTTCATTTTATCCAACAACATGGATGTTTTTGAGTAGTAAATTAGCACCTCTCTCTTTCTCTACACACACACACACACACACACACACACACACACAATGCTTAGAATAGTGATTAACACATAAAATGACATAAGCTATTATTATTGTTATTCTTAATCCGTAACACTATTTATATTGAATGATGTGTTCTTTCTGTGACAATATTTATATAGTGTTTACAGGTATTTGCTGTTTATGGAGGGTTTTAATACCTTACTAAGCTTAAATTAACACTTTCATGTAGTTGTACAAACAGTCCAGGTAGAATTATATTGACCTAATAGATGGAAAAAGTATAAATTGTAAGCTTTAAAAAAGGCTTTAGAATTAAGGCTTGTATTTCCAACTTCCAACCAGGATCACTTTTATTGTATAAGTAATAATACAACTGTATGAATCTTAGTAAAAATGTTTTGAATTTTTCATCTTCTACACAGAAATTCTACTCAGAATAGCAAAAATAAGATTATTTCAGAGAAAAGTTTTTTTTGTTTTTTTCTTTTAAGATGGAGTCTTGCTCTGTCACCCAGGCTGGAGTGCAGTGGCGCCATCTTGGCTCACTGCAAGCTCTGCCTCCCGGATTCACGCCATTCTCCTGCCTCAGCCTCCTGAGTGGCGCCCACCACCATGCCCGGCTAATTTTTTTATTTTTATTTCTTAGAGACGGGGTTTCACCGTGTTAGCCAGGGTGGTCTCGATCTCCTGACCTCGTGATCCACCTGCCTCAGCCTCCCAAAGTCCTGGGATTACAGGCGTGAGCCACCACACCCGGCCTCAGAGGAAGGTTTTAATTTAATTCAATTTGCTTTGAACGTGCTTCATCCTCAGTCAATATTTTTGATAGAGTAAAAGGAAATGCACATTTATGTTCTGAGATTTTGAAGCAGTAAACATTTATTTTTCAGCTAATAACAAGACTCTTTGGCTAGTGGTTGCTGATGACAAATGTTTACCATTCTCCAAGCTTAGAGAAAGGATTCCTTTGAGCAGTGGGATTTACGTTGTCTCAGTTAGGCAGTGACTAGACTGACCTTTTCAAAATGCTCTAAAATTGATTATAAGAGGATAGAGACTTCAATGAAATAAATAAATAGGATTTAAAACGTAACACAAAATGCACTAGAAGGCACACACAAATAATAGCGAACTGTACATTGAAGGCCAAAGAGATCACATATTGCTCAATAACTCCATCTGTGAGGTAAATAGGAATGAAATATAAAATAGACAGAAAGCCATCCAAATGCTCGTTGCCAGATCTTTTCCTTCAAAGTCAAATGGAGACAGGTACATTCACCAAATGAAACAATAGTTCCTTGACTCTATTTAGAAGGCCTTTGATTAGCTGGCAAAAAATGCAAATTCTTGGGCTTTCCCCGTGCTTTACTTAATGTCTCCGAAACCACACTTTTAACATACATGGTATCAGACCTCAAGGATACTTAATTTAAGAATAGCCGCTGTAATTTAGGCTTCAATCTTCTCCTTATTTTGTAGTCTAAGAGTAGGTTCTAAGTTGGAAGAAAAAGAAGATAAAGGCATGTGAGTGCTTGGGTCTAGGCGTCGGGAAACAGTAAACATTGGAAACATAGAGGAAAACTCCACTGAAGGGGGAATTGGGATTGGGTTGGAGGGAGATTGGACATTGAGAAAAAAAAAAGATTAAACATTTCTTGGGTTGATAATAGTCATATTTCTTGCTTTCAAGTATTAGAACCAAACTCTGACTATCCTAAGCAAAACATTAATAATAATAATTTCATCAGAAGGACATCGGAGGCTCACAAAATTTACGATGGGCTAAATGACTTGGTTTGGTAAACAAAGATCAAGGGGGCTGTAGAAGGCTAACTAGTAAGAGCATGACAAGATTCATGGAGCAGTAAGAGGCTGGTTTAGACTGCCTGCCACTTCGGGGAATATAAACTGCAACTTGTTACTAAGATCATCAAGATTCATGGTTTAAGGAGCCCCCAAGTCAAACTGACTAATCCCAAAGTATGTGCTTTCTCCTGGCTCTGTTGGCATGGGGTAAGAAATATTTACCCCCCTTTGGTATTTATGGGGCTGGGCACTACCTCTTATCAAGGCTCCACAAACTGGGGTTTGACAACAGGCAGAGAAGCTGTGAATAGGAAGAAGGAGTGTGGCTGCTAGAGAACCAAAAAACTGTCAAATATCCACTATGAGCTCCATCAGGAACGTTCATTTGGGTCTACTTACATCCCATTCAGTTGAGCTCAATAACCACTCATGGTGGAACCTACTTTTCTCAGCTCTTCCTTAATCCATCTCTGCTCCCATTTACATGAAGACTTACATATCTGATATATTTTCTAGTTAGAAATTTCTCATTCCTTGTGCTCAATATCTTGCCAAATACAGTCATTCAGTATTTCCTACTTATTACTTTCTAGGATTACATAATTTTCTGAACATATTTGAACAGACTGAATGCAATCTTACTCTTATTGAATACTATCTGTGTTTGGAAGCAGTACATTGCAAAGGCAGGCACAGTCTAAAGCCAAAAATAAATTGTCAAAATTCTCCATTTTAATCTTAGGTTTTTGTAATGGTCATAGTTCTCAGCAGTAGTACTACAAACAAAAGTAATTGATATAAAACTGGAATATTTTATATTTTAAAAATGTGAGTCAAATTAATTTAAAAATATATGTCCAACCAGCTCATGTCAAACAGATCTCTCAAATATTTACCAAGTTCCTTCTTGGCTGCCCATCATTCTTCTTGTCCTTATTCTAAATGAAATGCCATTTTAGTGGGGAGATAAAAATAAAATTAGATACATTATAAAAATAATACAAGATTACACTTTATGACAGTGTTTGCTCAACATAAGATAAACCTTCATAAAACAAGTAGAGTTCAACTTAGACCTTGAAAAGCAAAGGGCATCTAGATGAAAGGGAGTAAATCAGAATTGGTGAAGCTATGCTGTGTTCTCCACTTAAAGGCAACATTGCCCTGCTTAGTGCCTTTGTAATTAAGCATTGTTTTCACTCCTACTACTTCCTTATTCAATTAGCTGGCTCACTTGGTAGGAACTTGAGTTTTCTCTTGTCTTAGAAGATTTTTCTTTCAGTTCTGCCCTGCTTGTAGATAGAATTTTAAAAATGTTTGGTAGTCATTTGATCTACTGATGTTAAGATGTGGAGTATTTTGCAGGTAATATCCTTAAAGCTAAGATGTCTAGAGAACATGGATCCATCTAGAAATGCTTTGGTCATCATTAGTAGTTATGAAAAGCCACTTTATTTATTCCAAAACTCATAATTTTTTTTCCAGAACCTATCTGTGAAGTAGGAGAAAGTAGAATAGGTATGCTGTCTTCTCTCTTCTCCAGGGAGGAAACAGAGCAATCTTGACATGACAATTAGAGCCAACCTCCTGGTAAAATCTTCCAGTGGCCTCTCATTTTACTTAGGATAAAATCTGAATTCCACAGCGTGGTCCACAATGCTATGCATAATTCAGCCCTGTCTCCTTTCCAACCTCATTTCAAACCATTTTCTTCCTTCCTCACTATGCTGCAACCACATTGGAACCTCTCTTATTACCCAGATACATCAATGTACTTCTGAAATCAAGGTTTGTATTCTTCTTGATACCACTACTTGGAATCTTTTTTCTCAAGTTCTAGAAATGCTGTGTCTTCTTTTGCCAGGCCTTAACTCGTGTTATACAACCCAGATAACCTGCCCTGATGGCTCAATCTGTAGTTGTCTCTCTTTTATCCAATTTATTTTCTGCTATATCATCCTGTTTATTTGATATAACTCATCACCTGAAAATTATCTTGGTTATGTAATAATTCACTGTCTTTCCACTAAATATGTTAGCTCCAGAAGGGCAGGGATGGTGTATGTCTTGATAACCAACGAATCTCCAGTGCCTTGATGATCACTTGGCATACAGAAACTCTAAGGGTAAATGTTTTGAATGGCCAGTGCTGACTCTGTTATAGATGAAGCATTATAGAGGCAATTACAGAGGGCTCAATTTTGATGACAATGGGAAAAAATTAATCTTATATTCCTTATAATTGTGAACTTGAAAAGCAGTTGGGTCATTTCATTGTTTTCTCTACTGATGGTAACATCAATAGTCATGAGATCAATTAAATTACTGAAATTCTAGAAGCCAGGTCTATCATTGTCTTTTTTTTTTTTTTTTTTTTTTTTTTTTCATTTACTGTATGACACCAAGAGTCTATAATCACTAAGAAGGAAGGTTTCTTGCAATGGTTCAGACTTTGGCGGCAGGAAGGAAAAAATCATTCTGAGGAGATAATGCAACATTATCCTATGCCTGTACACGTAAATAAATTAAGGGATGAAGTTAAGATTCTGACTAAAGTGGATATAGTTTAGGGGAGCTATAAGAAGTAAAGTTACTTGGAAGTAAGGTTAGATTATTGTTAAGGTATGATAAGACTAAACAATAATCCAGGAATAAAAGCATAAAGTCCATACTGGAAATACTTGGGAATAAATTTAATTTCTTGTACAGGGAAGTGGCCCCAAATTAGCAGTATTTGTAAAGAGTAATCTGTCGGTTATATATTGAGTGAATTCCAAAGGGGAGCAAAAAGAAGAAAAATGTTTCTTAAGAAGCACGATTAGTGTTTCCATGCTTGCCAAGAAGAGAATTGCCTTTGCTTTGATGAATATAAATTTTAATATCTGTTTGAACTCCTTTGCAAGACATATATTTCCTCTTTACTGCATAAACTATTGGAATTTTATTACTTAGTGAAAAAATAAAAGGGGTAGGTCTTCACAACTGTATAACAAGTAGGATAACTTACATGTTGACCCGAACTGATTTCTTTATTTTTTTTTCTTTTTTTCTTCTTTCTCTTTCACAGATGCCATCTTCCGTTTTCACTGTTCCCCTTTCTTTTTAATAGACATCTATTTTACAGAGTTTTTAATGTGAGTTCAACAAGACGACACTGTGGGGGATAAATGAGAAGAAGAAATACAGAATAGATTCAGGAATTTGGCGGAGAGAGTGGTGAATGTGGGCTGGAGATGTTGGAGAAAGATCCAGAAATGTGTGACTGACTGCAGATCTGCAGGCGCCTCCTTTGAATTTGTGAAGGGCAGGAATCTCTCTTGGTCTCCTCCCACACTGAATTTAGCAACCCTGAAATCATCATTTCCTAGACTGCCAAAAAGAGAAAAACTCATGAAGTCACTTCAGTTTCTGTCCCTTCTCACTCGCATCTATTTTCCATACAGAAACTGGAGGCATCTTTTCATTTCCCAGATAAATTTTGATTTGCAATCACATTATGTGGTTCAAAATATGTGAGTCATTTACACTTTATTGTGTTATCCTTTTTCTCTTAATGACTTCAGAAATTTCTCTGTATCCTTAATGTGTGAAAGCTACAGTGTGTTCAGGTGTGAGGTTTTATTTGTTGCTTGTTTAATTGTTTTCACTTTGCTTGGCATTATATGAGTTTTTACAATATGTGGAATCATATTTCTAAAGTTTTGAGAAATTGCTACACATTATAGTAGTATTTTCTATTATTTCTAAGTATTTTTCTATGATCTCATCTGGCATTCCATTTACATTTTTAAACTTCTAGATTTATGCCTCATGCTTCTTAACTTCTCTTTGATAATTTCCAGAGTTGGTTCGCGTTATGCACAGTAGTTGTGTTCTAGAAAGTCTTTGGTGACACTGAATTAGGGAATACTGAGCCATTGTTCCTAGGGTGCAATCTCACTTAGATTATAAACTTAAACCCTAAAAAACAATTTATCCTGGAAGATTCTGTTTTCTTTATTTTACAAAAGAGAAAATGAGATTCAGAAGTTTTAAATGACTTGTCTAAGGTCACCCCACCAACAAGTGCCAAAGTTGGGACCCAAACTCCTTCCAACTTATCCTAGAGCCAGAGCTTCTTGCACTGCAGTGTACTGCCCTGTACTCCTCCATTCTGTCCTTGCCTTTGTATGAGAGCTGAAATAAGAAGGACAGCATCACCTTAGTTTGACCTAGCTTGGAACATGTACATCTGGCAACTCAAATTTTTCACCACACTGTGCATGCCCGTGAATGACAGCAAATGTGCTGTGAGTATTGATTTTAGAATTACAAATAAATTTTAGTGAGTAGATGTATTCCCAAATATGGAATCTGTGAATAATGAGAATCAACTGTGTACCGCCACCAGGTAGAATTCCTTAATCTTGCAGATCACTATTTTGTTCTTCAGTTAGGTTCAATTTGTTATTTGACTTAACTGTGGTGAGTTTTCATAATTCTTAATTTCCAACAAGTTGGTAGTTTTATGATCTCTAAGTTCTGTGTCCACAACAGTCAATTTTTGTTCCATAATTATATACTTTTGCATAATGAGTGCATTTCTCTTATCTCTTTGAAGATAGTAACTATATTTATTCCAAATTCTTTTTGTATTTATATATTATCTGTATGTTATTGAGTATAAATTCTTTGTTTCTTGAATTTGTTGCTTCCTTTTCTGGCCTTTCTCAGATGGTGGCTGATTCTCAGTCATGTGTTCACCATGTGCCTTTGATTATGGCCACGTGCTGACACCATGGCCTTTTAGTGCATATACTTGTTGGTGATGCCGTTAGTTTAGGTCTAGCACTTGTGGGAGGCTTTGGTCGCTGCTTTAAAGCCTTGAATGTGAGGATCTTTTGTCCTCTTTACCCTCTTAATACAGCTATGTATTAACATCTATTTTATAAACTTTTTACAATGTCAGTTTTAAACTGATAATCTATAATGTCGGTTTTGAATAGGAGCCAGAAATTTTGGTATGAATATTCAGTCGACTAACTTCAAGCTAAAAGTCCCATGATATTGTCAGTCCTGGTAGGACATGTAGCTATGGAAATAAAACTTCCTGACATAAATTAGACCATAGCAAAAAGTGCATCCAGAGCCAAGCAGTACGCCTGAATGAAGGAGATTAAGGGAATAAATGCTCTGATGTCTATTTCTTCTCTTCCTCTCATCTCCTGCTGGTGCTTTTTCTTTTCTTTCTCTTTTCTTTTTCTTTTTTGACTAGAACCAATAATAAGCAAGAGAACTGGTAAGCCCAGGAGATATAATCCATTGAGAATTTTAAAGCAGAGTCTAGAAGAACAGAGAGGGAAAAATCAGCACATCAAAGTACTTTTTCTTTTTTTACTTGGCCCACACCTGCCTTTAAGCATTCAATGCAGTGTTTGATTGTGAACTTATAATTGAGGGCTAACATCTAGTATTTGCCAAAATTAATGTTCCTGTCAGCATAATCTAACCCTCTGATTATGTTTTTATTTCTAGGTAAAAAAAATTTACTAATTTACAGTCAACATACATAATCTAGATTATATATTTATATATAAATACATAAAATATGCACATATATTTTATTAATATATGTTAATAAAATATATACAAAAACACAATTATTTTGTCGGTATCTTAGTGTCTTTACTAAGAAGCTTGATATATGTTAAAGTCCACCAGTGATCTAAAAATCAAGAGATTGGGGCTTGGGATACTCCCGAATAACTCAACTCAGTAATAACTCAACCGACTGCCCTCTCCCTCTAGGCCTTCTTAGCACATCATTTCTTTTCTTTTTTTCTTTTTTTTTTTTTAAAGAGAAGACAGCAAAGCAGTTAAGGCAAATATTTGCCATGCTTGATAAACAATGTTCTGATGTTCTAACTGATTCTAATTAAGACAGCCAATACCAGCTAAATTAATACACCATTACACAGAAAATAAAAGTATCATCAGGAATACATCTACTGATTTGCTGATCATGGTCAAACAGCAGCCAGTAGGTAGTAATGGCATGACAAGCAGGTAGTCACTGAACTATATTTAGAATATTCTATGCAATTCTTTTTCTCTTCAGCTCTATACTTGATGGTAAAATAGTATCTTTGGGTATCCTTGTTATTGCTAAGTATACCAAAATATTATTGTAAGAAAATTACATAAAACTTATATGCATACATATTTTCCTCCAATCAAATTTGCATCCCAAGGCATTTTGTTTTTGCAAATAGGAAGCATATATATAAGTAATTTCCTCAAATTAATTTTAATTAATTAATTACAATTTAGAGGCCATTAATAGACACATGTACCATGTGTCAGGAACTGTGATAGGGACTGAGGATATGAGGATGAAAAATCATGGTCATTGCCTTAAAGAGCCACCATAAAATAGACAAAAAAGCCAGGTAGATAATTATGCACAGGACAATAGGTGAAGTGAAGTCTACGGGTGAAATAGGTGGCATAGAAATAAGTTAGAGAGACTGTGATTAACTGTGTGAGAGGCTTATTGGTCTCATAGAGGAGATGCAACCTAAATTGTGTTTTAGAGTAGGCTTACCAGCTTCCTTCAAGATGTGTATTTATATAAATTGGTGGTGGGTTGGGGAGCACAAGGGAAGAGGAAAGTGTCCTTTGGTTGAGCATTTCTCTCAAGGAAGAATATAAATAAGTCATTGACTATCATTTGCACTCTGATCTCTTAATTTTAAAATTCTTTATAGAGTAGTTTGTAACTCCAAATCCAAATATTAGAATCAGCCATGTAACAGCATTGATTGCCTATCAGCATTATTGAGGATCTTTACGTGAAAGGTGCCAGCAATATGTGGTAGTGGAAGACACACAGATGAACAATGAATACTCCTTTAAAGCAGTAATCATCTAGTAAATGGGCAATATACATGCAGACAGAAAGTACATAAAATGATGACTAGTATAACAGTGGCATGAGCACAACAAAAAATAACATAAGAAATAATTAAAATAAAATATTAGTGCGATATATATAATGTTAGTTATATTTTTGTAGTGTTTCTCAAGGATACAACATTTTTCTTGATATTAATTTCATTTAATGTTCACAAATACTCTGAGGTTGATATTGATATTTCTATTTTATAAATGGAAACAAAATAGGCACATAAAGTTAATACATATATTAAAAATGAAAGGAAATATTATTGTCAAGGGTAGTTAGAGAAAAGAAAAAAGGCTGTAAAAGATGGACTGGGCTTAAAGCCATTGAGAAGCTGGGAAGGCATGTCACATGGGTTAATGTAAACGAGAAGATGAGGGGTATGAATATGTAGATCATAACAGTGAGCAGATCAGCTTGGCTAGAACAGGCATAGGAAAAAACAACTACATATAGGCATGCAAAATCTATAATAAAAATTAGAAAAAACTCACATTCAACAATAGAAAAATTATTAAATTATTATGTATTTATAGGATAGAAAGTTAACTATTGAACTATGATTTAAATTAGTATTTAAAAATCATAGTAATGATGAAAATAATTAGCTTTTACATAACCAATCTTTGCATAATTAATAAATGCAGATGGTACAAAATTCAGAAAATACAAAAGGGTTGATAGTGAAAAGTGCTCATTTCTCCCTGGTCCTCATTTCATTCCCCACCCAGAGGCAAACATGATGATAGGTCACATATATTTCTCTGTAGATAATAGGTGCATGTACAAGCATGTACACACATATATTACAATACATATATATCCATTTTTATTCCCAGATTATAAATATTTGGTTCTTAAAATTGTTTTCTTTTTAAATTTAACAATATATCTTGGAAATGGTTTGAAATCTGTTTATGTAGAGCTGCCATTGTATAAATGAACTACAATTTGTTGATGGGCATTTAGGTTCTTTAAGTATTTCGTTTTTTGTAAATAATACCATAAAGGGGCAGAGTAGTTACAATTTAAATTTTGGTAGACATTGCCAAATTGCCTTCTGTAAAGGTTATGTCAGTTTATAACTCACCGAGAGAGTATGAGAACAGCTCCTTCCCCACACCCTTGCCAGTATAGTGCATTTTCAAACTCTTTGATCTCTGCCAAAATAAATTAAAATTTATGTATTACTTTTTTTAAAAAGTAGGCTGAACATCTTTAAAAAATTCATATTTCTTTTGTTGACGAATAATTGGTTAATATCCTTTGCTTATTTTAATTGGGTCATTGACTTCTTTCCTATTAATTTTAATTATTCTTATAATCATCTGTTTTACAAGTTTTGTCTCACAATTTTGTCTTTAAGCCTGACTGCATTTGTGATGCTTGTACCCTGTAGTTATGTTTTATTCATGTGTAGTTGAGTTGTTAAATTATTTCATATTTTCTTCTAATATTTTTATCATTTACCTTATATTTACACCTTTGATTCCTTTAGCACTTAAAAAATAACAAATGCAGGAAGGAAGGATCCTATGTGGTTACCTTAACATCACTTGTTGAAAAATGTGTCTTTTCCCCAATTACATGAAATGCTTCTATCATACAGTAAACTGACATAACTTTAAATTTATTTCTGGAATCTCTTGTCAATTCATTAATCTGTATAAATATGCCTTGCCTGTCATTGTCTAACTTATTTTAAATATGTGTAACTACTTAATGACTCTCAGTCTCCCTCACTGTAACTATATACATGTATAATCATGTTGGCTGACCACCCTTTATTATGTTTATTTTTTGAAATTTTCAGGGACAATGACTTATTAATAATATGCAAAGGTTAATGTAATAATATACTTTCTCCACTACTGCAACTAGTCCTAAAGTAAATGATTGCTAATCCCATAAAACAAATAATTTATTTCCTTCTTCCTCTTCACTGATTCTTTACTTTTCTCATCATTGGCCAGAACTTTGGTCTAGTGGCTTGCTTCCTGAGGGTTTGGAGCCCTCAGTTGCTTTAATGTTGCCAGTTTGGATTTTCTGCAGTTGCCTATAACATTTATCAATAGGCATGAAAACACCAAGATGCTCCAGTGAACTTGGATCTCGACATATTCCTCTCTGCCCACATTGTGTTACAACAACCCCTCCTTATGGTATTCCAGATCATGTCCAACAATATTGTAACTCCTTTCTTTACCTGCTGTTCCACTGGTATAAGAGAATCCTGACCAGTCTCTACTTTAATGGAACCCTTGCTGTGTACACAGTTAAATGTTTCCCCTTGTTGCTTCCCTTCCCCAGTCCCACTCAGGAGCTGGGTCTTCTAATCCAACAGAAACTCAATTTATAGGGTGAGGAAGTAGAAATTCTGCAAAAGGGTTACTGGGAGCAAAGGCGCAGGGGCCAATCCTGCTTCCATAATTTGTTTCTTGCACTCAAGTAGTCTAGCTACTGGGGACACAGTGCATTAGTTCAGTGCATACATCTCAACCTAGAAGATGCCCCAAGATGCTGCTTTAGATGCTTTAATTGGTGTTTGAATATTCTATTAACCAGCTTCTTCCAAGATGACACACTGTATGAGAGGACCAGTGAATCCCTGGTCAGGTATTTAGTGTCCTACCTTCTTCCTTAGAATGAATCATTTGATCTGAGTTTATATTATAGAGGGTCCCATGTACTCTATAAGCATTTGAGTTGTGTTGTGTCAAGAAACACTGTGAACAGGAAAGGCAACTTGATATCCAGAGGTGATTTCAATTCTGGCAAGAGAAAATTGCTGTCACCTGCAGCATGAATATAGCCCAAACTGATCAACCTGACATAAAATGAATGGCTGGGCTCCATAAGCTATGTTTCTATATGTAAGACTTGGCATTGGTTTCTGTTGCTGGCAGATTGGGAATTCCACAGTTGCAGTGGTAGATCAGCAACTTTAGTGCAATATTTTTGCTTCTGTGTCCCATTGACCTAGGGCTGCCCTTCACATATTCTGGTTTGCACAAGCATTAAAAAACTGAATTGATTCATATACGTGTCCCACATAGTGATGGCACAGAAGCTCCGAGGTCAGAAAGGAAGGCATACAGAGTGGAGTGGAGGCAAGATGTTGTCAAGGGACATCTGTATGCAGCTGGTTAATGCACCAATGGCCAAAGCAAAAATGGATTGAGAGGATGTGATGCAGAACATATTGAGCCATCTGATATTACATCTCTTTAAGAAAGAAGTCTTTGAGAATGTTATTTTGCTTTTAGTAAAATCAAATAGATCATGGATGTAAAAGAATACACCAGATCTCAAGGCTAGAAATTAGTCGCTTTACAACTAGGCAGGACTAAGGAAGGAAAGCCTCTAATTTTAAATAGCAATTCTTTTAAGCTCTTGAATAGACACATGGTATGTGAGTACTTTAAGGTCCTTAATACAGATTATGAAATTGCTTTTTTCAAATTACCTAAGTAAAGTAAACTGTGTAAGAGTGTCAATTTCATAGTATCTTTGACAGCATTGGGAAGGAAAATTTTAGTCTCAGAATTTGGTAGTTGAAGAGTGGCATTATATTTTAAATGTGTAATTATTTAATTACTAGTATAGTTATATTTTTAAAACTTATGTGTGCTTATTCACCTCTGGTTTGCCTGTTCAACAGTTCAAATCATTTTCCCATTTTTAAACTGAATCTTTTTATATCTAAGACCTTGTTATATATTTAAAAGTTTAATCTGTCTCTCATGTACATTGTAAATATTTTCCCACTTTTTAAGTTTGCCTTGTATAATGTGACTTTAAATATTAACCCCCTTGTTTCTGCATTTTTGGTTAAAAGCTGACACTTTGGTAGTTTTTTTTCAAGTATGGCTTCCCCCCAACCCCAAGCTCTTCATAGAAAGCTAAAAAAAAAGACCTTGTCAGTCATACTTTGTTGTCACTTAATTTATGTTGACTTGTCTCTACTTCTCTGTTACAATCTCCATTTGTAAGGCATTATGTGTTATTTTTTGATAGTTAATGATGGTTATTGAAAAGAACTTAAAATTTGTCTGGAAGATCAAATGGCTGATAAAATAACATTTTTAAAAATTCTAACTTATCTCCTTTGTTTTGGCTCAAAAATTTATATTTATCCCTCATCTCAAGCAATGTAGATTTTTGTTTTTGTTTTTGTTTTTGGGACAGAATCTCACTCTGTTACCCTGGCTGGAGTGCAATGGCATGGTCTCGGCTCACTGCAACCTCCACTTCCTGGGTTCAAGCAATTCTCCTGTCTCAGCCTTCTGAGTAGCTGGGACTACAGGTGCATGCCACCACACCCGGCTAATTTTTTTTTTGTATTTTTAGTAGAGACAGGGTTTCACTATGAAGGCCAGGCTGGTCTTGAACTCCTGACCTTGTGATCCACCCACCTCGGCCTACCAAAATGCTGGGATTATAGGCGTGAGCCACCGAGCATGGCCACAATGTAGAATATTTTAAGATCTTAGATTCCTGCTTTTCAAGCTGGTCTGCAGACAGCAACATCAGCATCACATACATGCTTACACAAATCTCAGGCCCCATACCAGAACTGCTAAATTAGAATCTACATTTTACAAGGTTTTCTAGTCATTCATTTAACATTATATTTTGAGAAGTGTCATTTTAGACCCTATAGACTATTTTCAAGGAGACATAAAACTAACCAATTAATTAGTTTCCTGGATTATGAGGTTTCTAAAAATTTAAATTGTAGAACGATGTAACAGAAATCTATATTGTTGCCTAATTTTCTCCATCCTCACCTCAAGATTTTTATTTTAAATAGTTGAACAAATGAATAGGCATCTGAGTTCCTGATAACTTACATTATTGATAATCACCATTAAACTGAGATTCTCAGCACCATACAGTCAATCTACAGTTGGAGGAAAAATTGTGAAATCTCATCTCTTTATTTCCAGGGATTGTGAAAATCCTGAGTCTTTGTCTTTAAAGAAGAAATTAGAGGAAGAAGGAAAGAAAAAGTATTTAATATAGTTGTACACATTTTAAGAAGTTGTATATAGTCATATCATAATTATTTTCATTAATTCATTAATACATTCAATTTATTGTATACTTGTGTACAAGGCACTGTGCTAGGTACTGTCGGGGATAATAAAAAAAAGAAATAGAATAATATTATTGTTTCCAATAACAAGCACTTTTGAGTGCTTTCAATGTGCTGGACATTTCTTCTGGGCACTCTTCTGGCTCTGCAATCCTCACAGCTACCCTGTGAGGCTGGTACTGTTATTACCCTCATTGTATAGAAGTGGAATCAAAGGCTCAGAAAGATTAAGCAAAATTTGTCAAGGTCTTACAGTGAGTAAGTGTGAGATTACAACCATATTTGCCTGAATCCCTAGTTCTACCACACATGGTTGACTACTTGCTTTGATTCTATCAGATGGCAGTTTGAAAAACTAATGAAATCATTTATTTGCATTTCTGATTTCCTCTGTTTAAAGTTTAGGGCAATGGAATGTGAGCATTTTTTTTTCTACTGCTAAGGGTGAAAATAAATAAGCAATGTGTCAAATATAATAGGCATGAATAGAGACATAATAAGCCCAAGTAAATAAAATAAGCATACCCAGCTTATTTCTAGTTTCTTTAAAACGCCTGAGGAAATACATCATGGAGGCATAAAGCTGTGCATTTTCACCTTGGGTAGGCAGGAAAGAGATGCTATTTTATTTTTTGTTTCTGAGACTGGTCTCTGCTCAGGTTGGTCTTGAACTTCTGACCTGGGCAAGAGACACTATTATGAACAAGGTGAGCAGGGCTGGACAGAGACGCATGCCTCCTGCTTCTTCCCTGCTCAGCCAAAACCGTGGCAAAGAACTCTCTCCTCTGCCGAGTAAAGCACATAGTCCATAGAGAACTGAGATCAAGAGTTACTTCAAAGAAGAATAGAATGATTTAGTAAGGGAGGAGGAAACATTTTTCTCTGTGTACATGTGTGCATATGTGAGAAGTTTTATAAAGTATTTTTCTTAATTTTATTTTTAAAACATTTAGTAAGATAAATATAACTATGAAAAACATTTAAATTAATGTGTTTAAACATGCTAATGTCCTGTGATCCCAGCTTTATGATAGAATTTCCTCTTTGATTGACTATGATTATGTGATATACCAACTCTTTATTCTAAGCAAGATATATGATAAGAGCATGGAATGTTTGCAATACTAATGACTTACAAATTATATGCAGATTATTTCTGAAGGCACGAGACTTTTTTTTCAGGTTCCAGTAATGGGAAAGATGGGAAAACACCCAGCAATTGACTTCACGCCAGAAAAACTCCAACTGACTCATTCTACTTAATTGCTTAATCTAAATTATTTCTCCACAGTAGCTTCACAAATATGGCTTTGAGTCTTTTTTTCCTAAGGATTAAAACAAATTGTGGTGACCCACTGAAATTACACAAATTAGGGTAAAAGGAATGTAAGTTGCATCACACAATACTAATATTCAGTGATATAACTTTAAAACATGCATTCTCAATGAGAATGATATCTCCGCAAGGGGGCAAAAACTGGTTCTTGGGGGAGGAAAAAACTCTACTTTTTTTATGTATAAATCACTGATATATATACAGTATATCAAAAATACATAACATACTTATGGTAATACAATTTCATGGGACGTGATTAGACGTCTAATCAAGTCTAATCATGTCTAAAAAGACGTCTAATCATGTCTAAAAAGGTAATAAAGGGGAAAAACAAAATGTTGAAAAACATTGTTTTAAAATATATCTCCTAAATCTCGGCCAGTAAGTCTCTTCCATATTGCTGTCACTAGGTGAAGAGCACATATTGCTCTCCTTTCCTGGCCTTAACCCTCTTGAAAGCCAGTGATAAAATGCCTCACCTCCAACTGCCTCTAGTGAGGTTGTACATACAAAATTATGGACAAGAAGGAGTCCAACCAGCTTTCCTTTCCGAGGTCCTGCGTGCTAATTGATTGTGTGTGCTTGATGCCGAGACACTGTGAACTCGAGAAAAGAGACACTTTAATATCTCTGAAATCAGGATGTGTTTTACCATCAGTGGCATCCTAGATGAAATGAACAATAATACTTTTTGTCATCACTGTGAGCTGAATATTTTTCTCCTAAATTTACTAAAGTTTAATTTAGACTGTTTGCATCTCTAGTCAATAGCAAAATTTACTCCATAGCCTTTTTTGTTCATACTCCTTTTATCTAGAGCAGGGTATTATATTAAAGTTAAATTGGGATATTTGCATTCATTAAATGGCCTGGTTAATTTAAAAGATGTTATGATTACATTTTTGTTAGAAGTTATTTTGCACCGGTTGGTCCAGCTGTTTTTTTTCTAATGGTACATCTTTAATCACCTTTTCAGTCTCCTTTATGAATTTCAGCTCTTCAACTGCTTGGATAAATTTTAATAACTTATATTTACCTTCTATGTTGTTTGGTGAATGTGTTTATGAGAGTTGCCTCAAACTATATTTTTAAATTATATACTGTAATCTAACCTTGCTGCTGCTTTTCATCTTCCATCTTGTTATCTGATATGAACATTACCACTCCTACTTTCATTTTGCTTGAATTTGCAGAGCATGTTTTGACCCATTCCAGTATTTTCAACCTTTCTATATCATTTGCTTAAAGTGTGTTTGTTTTTTGATAATCCAAAATGACAATCTTATATTTTAAGGGGATAATTCAGCCCTTTCTTATTTTAGTACGAAATTTGTGTAGTTGTTTTATTTCTATATCTTATGTCACACTGTTTATTATATTTTGAGGTGTCTTCTTTTTCCTCTTTTTTTTTTATTTTGCTAGTTTCATTTGCTATTCATTCTTTCCCCTCCCCCCTTTTAAAAATTAGAGACAGGGTCTCGCTATGTTACCCAGGCTGGTCTTGAACTCCTGGGCTCAAGCAGTCGTTGCCCCTCGGCTTCCCAAAGTGCTGAGATTCCAGGCCTGAGTCACAGCACCTGACCCCTTTCCCTCCCTTTTTAATGTTAAGTTCTGCTGAAATTGATTTTATTAAGACTTATCTTCCCTTTTCTAGTGGTCATAATCATACGTGCATTTTCTGCTATTTTCTGGAAACACAATGTTAATTTTTAATCACAATCTTAATTTGGTAATTAATAAATCAAAATGCTTTATTCCTCCTTGTTTCCCCCTAATCTGATAAGAATTTTAGAAGACTGAGTCTCCAAAACTTATTTGCTGAAGCTACTTCCTTTCTAGCAAAAGGCCAACTGTATTCCACCTAATGACCTCTTAGGAATTTATAAAAGAGGAAACACATCAAATCTAATTATCATGCCAAAGAGAGATATAAAAACCACATGGTAGTCTATATATAGATGAGTATACATTACTGCATATGTTTTTGCAATCATAAATTCAAAATAAGACATCTGAATCTATAATTACAAGCCATACTGTAATGGAATCTTTAGTATTTATTTTGGTTCACTGAACTTAGTGACAAAATACAATGTAGCTAAACAGTGAATTTTGTTTTATTTTAACAGAATATTAGGAAATTTAAAAGTTATATGTATAAAGAAAGTTTTATGGCTATAAAGAGGTATAATTTCCCTGAAAAATAAGTATAGCAAAATATATGTTTTGTTAAAGGAGAGGTTGCTATCAGTCCACTCTACAGTAGTCCAGTCTTATCCAGGAGGGATGTGTTCCAAGACCTCCAGTGGATGCCTGAAACTGCAGGTAGTACAGAACCCTATATATGCTATGTTCTTTCTTATACACACCTATAATAAAGTTTAGTTTATAAATTAGGCACAGTAAGAGATTAACAACAACAATTAATAATAAAATAGGGGAACTAACACAACATACTGTCATAAAAAGTATGTAAATGTGGTCTTTGTCTCTCAAAATATCTTATTGTACTGTAATCGCTTATCTTCAGGCTGAAACTGGAAAGTGAAGCTGCAGCTAGGAAGGCAATGGGCCAGGCGTGGTGGCTCATGCCTGTAATCCCAGCACTTTGGGAGACCAAGGCAGGGGGATAACCTGAGGTCAGGAGTTCAAGACCAGCTTGGCCAACATGGTGAAACCTCATCTCTATTAAAAATGCAAAAAAATAGCCAGGCGTAGTGGCACGCGCCTGTAATCCTAGCTACTTGGGAGGCAGAGGTAGGAGAATTGCTTGGATCTGAGAGGCGGAGCATGCAGTGAGCTGAGATCGTGCCATTGCACTACAGTCTGGGTGACAGAGTGAGACTCGGTCTCAAAAAAAAAAAAGGCAATGACTATATTCCCATATGCTAAGCAAACAATTCAGTAGCATTAAATTAATTAAGCTACTACTTATAATTTCATACTTTAGAAAATAATTTGTTTAGTTAAGCTAGTTTAACTTTATTTAAACTCGCAGATAAACACATTATGGTAAACCCATACAATGGAATATTACTTGGTCATTAGAGGGAATGAAGCAGTGATGCATGCTACATGGATCAATCTTGAAAACATTATGTAAAGTGAAAAAAGCCAGACACAAAAGGTCACATATTGTTTAGTTCCACTTATATGACATGTTCAGAACAGGCAAATCTACTGAGATATAAAGTTTTATAGATTACTGGTTATTTATGGCTGAGGGAATGATATGGCTGAGAGGATGGACCAATGAGGAATAATAGCTGAAGTTTATAGGATTTCTTTGTGGTGATGAAAATGTTCTCAAATTGACTGTGGACATGGTTGTACATGTCTGTGAATATATTAAAAATTATCGAATTGTGAACTTTGAATGTTTGGATTATATTGTTTATTAATTATATCTGTGAATAAATCTGTCAAAAAACCTTCTTAAAGGTTAGTTGCAATGGAGAATCTGAATCCATTTCAATGAACATTTCATACTTTGCAACATAAAATCAATTGATCTATCCAAAGCATGTAAACTTTGATTGGATCTTTGACTTTGACTGGCAGACACCCTAAAAGGGTCTCAGAGACAGCCAAGATCCCCAAACTGCAGCTGGAGAACTGTTGTGTTAAGCTACAGAGTTTGAACTTCAGAAAGGTACAATTTGTTTTTTTTTTTTTTTTTTTTTAAAAAAGCTCTTTCTCAACTTGTGTGAGTTCCTGGAGTAAACTATTTCTGGTTAGGTTGGAAGTAATATTCAAACTTTTTTTTTAGATAGAGTACAAAAACATTTACATTTCTATCAGTCTAGAAATAATGGCAAATGCATGTGAGATGCAGGTCAACTAAGGAGACTAGTGAGGCTGGAAATGAAGATTTTTGGGAAAAAATATTGGATGCTTTTACAGATAAAGCATTTAATACCATGAGAAAGCTGTCTGAACTCAGATAGTTTTGGAAATCTGACTCTGAGTAGTAGTGGGAGAGAAAGAAAAGCTGGATACAGAGTAATACCGCAGGCAGAACCCAGGAAGTTCCTTGTTAATGTTCACCAGACACAGGGAAAATCATTTCCTTAAGAAACAAAAGAGGTGGGGTCCACGTGACTATCCTTGACGTAAATTAACATTCTTTCTCACTTAAAAAGTAGCAATAAATAGCTCTTACTTATATAGCCAAAGGTTAAAGAGTGAATTTTAAAAACATTTTAATGTAATAAGTTATCTATTTTTATGCATGTATAGTCAGGAGAACAACAAAATTGGGCACAATAAAATTGCTGTATAAATATATTGTACTGGAGTAGAAAGAGCAAAAGATAGAAGGCATAAGAAAGATGGACAAGTTTGGGGTAACCATTGCATGCCAAGACTTGATCATTCAGGAGCAAACTTTCCCAACTACTCTGCCAGAAACTCAGTCTCCCGTTGTGATAAAACAGTCTTCACACTCTCATATTTCAGAGCTGACATGTGTTTTATCCTATTTATTCACTCACTCAAGCCACTCTATTATTTAATGACTAAGCCTTCAGAGGCCATTTAAACTTCAGTTTATGTGCTTGTTTGATCCTGGCACAAATACCTTAAAGGTTAATTTAGATTTTCATCGTTTCACTTGAATTTGTTTCTTAATGAGTCATCCTTTCAACTAATATTTATGAACTGTGTACAGGGTGTTACTATAAACAGCAAACTTGCTCTTCCCTTAACAAAACACACTTATAAAACTTTTATCTTCGGGTAAGACTATAAATGTGTGTATACATACCACAGATTGGTGTGTGTATGTAAATACCACAGATTGGTATGTGTAACAGTTTTTAACTTCATAGAAATTATTGCTAGATAAAAAGGTGGTTTTATTGAAAAGGAGCAGCACACTCTCTTTTTCTAGAACACACTGATTCCTGTGAAATAACTTGCAGTATGAGATTGGCTGTTCTTGGACCATATTACAAAAGAGCTTAATTATTAGAGTAAACAAAGGTATGTATTACATAGAGCTCTCATTTATAAAGATGGGGGTCAGAGCTTGGGCCCAAAATCTAATACAGTATCTTCCAAAATTGATTTATGTTCACTTCGGTTTCTCCAACTAAAGAAATATGATTTCATAATATTGAACAATACTCTTTAGTTTCTATGTGTCTTCATTTCTTACTTAAACTCTGTATTCTGGCTTTTATGATTCAATTGTTAGATTAAACAACTCCAACTTTGGTTCCAGGTTTTATGTTTGAAAATTCTGATGTCAAAAATGAAAGCACATTTTCTTAGTTCAAACAACAACAACAACAAACCACAAAGCAGGTTAAATGTATTTCTCTGAAATTAACTGTCACCCTTTTCTGAAGAGTGAACTGTATTTGGATTGTGTGACAGAATGTGCTCTTTTAGTCATGATTTATTGCTGTTGTTGAGACTGCTCTAAGAATGCGATTTCAGGGTATTCTAAAAAATGAATATTATTTTTTAGAAATGTGCATTCAGTTTATTTACTCGTCTGCTTGGCCAGATGATAATATCAGAATGACACTGCAAATTTTTTTGTTATCAGGATTTTAATAAAAATGAAATACAGATAATTCAGGAGTTAGAAAAATTTATTTATTTATTTATTTATTTACATGGTCAAAACTAAAAAGAGAGGACTGCAAGCAGAATCTTGGCTAGAGAAATGCCAGACAGAACTGAACATGCCGAGCACTAGTGATAACTGTAACACTGAAGGAGTGAATGGCACTGTAAAATTGTCTTATGTGCCTTTCATTTGTTTCTTTGATATGTGCCCATTATTTTGCATAAACATGCAAAGTGGAATGTAAACTAGAGTCATAAAACCATAAAATTCAGATCTGGAATCTCTTAATTTTAATAATGAGAACCTCGGACTAATTAGTCAATGTTAGGTCTCTTTATCCACATTTTTCACATATAACTTTATGGAATTTTCAATTCCCTTACACAGATATGTAATTTTATAGACCTCATTATTGTGATGTACATCACAGTGCCAAGTTGACTTTGTTTTCTAATAAAAGCTTTCCTTGCCCTTTTAATTTTTATCTTAGGAAGGAAATGATTGTAAAACTATCTAAATTAATACATTGCCCTTTGGAACCATATTATTGATGCCTCTTAAATAATTGTTTTGTCCTTTAGTGAGGAAACAAACTCCTCTCCAGTCATTTTTTTCTTTGTTTTTCTATTAAAATGATTCGAATAGCCTTGACCTATGTGTGTTTATCAAATGCTTGTTGAGGAGTTATCGTCTAGACTAGCTAGTGAGCTTAAGGACTGAAATTGTGGAACCACAGCTGACGCAGCGCTTGCCTGTGAAGATGCCTGCCAGAAACTATGTTCAAGGTTGCTCCATAAATAGTAAATCTTTTTCCTGTGTAGTCTTTAATAGGAGCTTAAAATGGATTTGTAGAGGGCCCTGTGGATTGAACAACAGGAAATTTTAACCAAGTCATTAATAGCTAATGATGTGAACTGTAGGCAACTATCCACCGTCAGTCATAGGAGTAAGAGGAGACAAAGGCCAGATCAAGGAAAGGGAGGGTGGCAGCTTTTACTGCAGCAACTTCTCACTTCCTGCCTAATATATTTGTTATTCCAATGATAAACATAATTCACTGGCTCATTTACTTTTCTCTTTATTTATTTATTTATATATTTATATATGTGCTTATATATTTATAGTTAAATAGAAATGTTTATTTCTAATAAATACTTCTAAATTTATTGTGTTGTTTCCTTGTGTTTTATATTACTTTAAATAACCATAAAACAGCTTACATATTCCTTTTTACATTTGAAGCAAATATTTGTTGAAATGTACTCTGTTAAGAATCACATATCTGATAAACATCTTGTATTCAGAATATATAGAGAGCTCTCAAAACTCAATAGTAAGAAAAACAACTCCGTAAAAACAGTCAAAAGATTTGAAAGGACACTTCACCAAAGAAGGTAAATATACACATGAAAATATGCCCAATTTCATTAGCCATTTGGGAAGTGTAGGTTAAAACCACAATGAGATACACTAGGTATTTATTAGAATGTTTACAACTGAAAAGTTTGACCAACCAAGTATTGGAGAGAGTGTGAAGGAAGTGGAACACATGTATATTGCTGGGAGGGAATGTAAAATAGTACAACCACTTTGCAAAACAGTTTGTCGGTTTCTTCAAAATATTATACCTACACCTACTGTAAGATTTAATAATTCCACTCTTCGGTATTCAGTCCAAGAGAAGTGAAAGCTTATGTCTATACAAATACTTGTATATGAATGTTCAAAGCAGCTTGATTTGTAATTGTCTCAAATTGGAAACAACCCAAAGGTCCATCAATAAGTGAATGGATAAACAAATTATACGATATCTATAGAATTGAATATTACTCAGCAATAAAAAAAGAACTACTGATACTGCAACAACTTGGATTAATTTCAGAATAATTATTCCAAGTGAAAAATATGACAGTGTTTTCCCAGAGACAATAGTGTTACAGTATGATTCTGTTTACATAAAATTCTAGAAAATACAAACATATCTACAGAAAGATTATTAATTGCCTGGTGACATGGATGAGCGACTTCAAAGGAATACTAAGAAACTTTTGAGAATAATATACATGCTCATTAACTTCATTGTTATGATATTTTTATGGGTACATACATATAGATATGTAGTGTGTCAAAACTAATCAAATTGTATATTTACATGTGCCCAAGTTATTGTATGTCAATTATATCTCAATGAAGCTTTTATGTGACCTTCTTTGTTTAGTAATTTATTAATAAACACATCTAGACAATAAAGAATCTGTAAGAGATCAGAGGCTGCCATGTTTGAACTTTATCCTCAGTTCAATTTGTATCAAGACTATTTTAGAGGTATCTTCCTAAACTCCTCCTCTTTCTTTTCTTTCTTTTTTATCTTCTCCTGTTCTTCGCTTTCTCTGACTCGTCTTTTCTCCTCCCTTGCCTCCTTTATCTCCTGTTCCTGCTCTTTTCCTTCTTAATCTAAAAAACTTCCAACTTAGTTTCTCTTACATCCCATTAGGGTCTTTTTCTTTTCCATTCTTTTCTGCATTTATGCTCAGCATAATAAGCATTGCCTATGGACATGCCTGTGGTTCTTGGATTTCTGCAGCCATATGAACTGTGTTGCATCTTGTGTTGTGCGACAACAGATCAGAATCAAAATAATAAAAACACGCACTATTGAATTTCAGCTTAAATATCACATCTTCAAGGAGGTCTTTTCTCACCTTACACTCAATGTGGTTCCCAGCTCTCCTTTCCCACTGCTTTCTGACTCCATCTAACATAATATTTTTATCCTTTATTGTGAATATTCATTACATATGAGCCTCCCCTTTTGATTTGCAAGATCTCTGAGGGGGATCCTTGTTTGCTGTGAAATACATGCTAGTACTGTATTCTCTGCTTACTGTGAAGTAAATGCTAATACTTTATTTGAATGAATTGAAAGGATACTGATTAGATTAGACCAATCTTACCCAGACTATCTTGGATAAATTATGACCAGAAACCCCAGAGAGAATTCTTCTTAGATCAATATCCACCTACTATATGGTACTAAATCAAGTAATAAGGAAATAGTTATTCATTTACTTGTTTATCAAATATTTACCATAGGGTACTGAATTTTTCCCTAAGGAATACCAAGAATAAATAGACATTTCACCTGTCCTTATTTACAGTATAGTTAAAGCTATATATAGTATAGCTAAAACCTACACATTAAAAGACAACTAACAATGCAAGAGAGCATGTGAAAACTGCTAATGAATGTAATGGATAGATCCATTAGTTATTCAGAGCACCTAGAGATCACATAAGAACAAAGTAGTCAGGGATCACCGGGAGACCACAGGAGTATCATCTGGACGAAATTAAATCTGAGACGCACTTTGAAAAATAGATATCAGGAAATTTGAGGTTTGTTTACTACTTTTGGAGACTCAAATACACAAGCTTAAACACAAAAAGAGTTTATGTTCTCAAGTGAAAAAAGTTTAGAAGCTGTGATAGAATCTGGTTGGAATTATGGCTTAAATTAATGTTCCATGAAATCATCAGAGATCATGATTTCTTTTCTTTTTCTGTTCTGCACACATGCTTTCTATCCTCAAACATATCTCATGGTGTAATATGCATCTAGCCATTCATTGCATTACATTCTTAAAGGCACTAGGATATAAAGAGTAGGAGCACTATGTTTTTTGCTATTTTTCTTCCTGTTCTATATATAGCATGTATAACCATGATGATATGGCTTGGCTCTGTGTCCCCACCCAAATCTCATCTTGAATTGTAATCCCCACGTGTTGAGGGAGGGATCTAGTGGGAAGTGATTGGATCTTGGGGGCAGTTTCCCCCTGCTGTTCTCCTTATAGTGAGTGACTTCTCATGAGGGCTGATGGTTTTAACGTGTGACACTTCCCGTCTCTCTCTGTCTCTGTCTCTCTCTCTCTCCCATCACCATGTACGACATGCCTTGCATCCCCTTCACCTTCTGCCATGATTGAAAGTTTCCTGAGGTCTCTCCAGCCATGTGGAGCTGTGAGTCAATCAAACCTCTTGTTTATATATTACCCAGTTTCAGGTAATATCTTAATAGCAGCATGAAAACTGGCTAATACAGAAGACTGGTAGCAAGAGTGGGGCACTGCTATAAAGATAACCTGAAAATTTGGAAGCCACTTTGGAACTGGCTAACAGGCAGAGGTCAGAACAGTTTGGAGGCATTGGGAGAAGACAGGAAGTTGTGGAAAAGTTTGGAACTTCCTAGAGATATATTGAATGGTTTGATCAAAATGCTGATATTGATATGGACAATGAAGCCCAGGGTGAGGTGGTCTAAGGCTGAGATGAGGAACATATTGGCAACTGGAACAAAGGTCACGCTTGCTATGCTTTGGCAAAGAGACTGGCAGATGATTTAGGGTATCTGGCAGAATAAAGCGCTAAGCAGCAAAGCATTCAAAATGTGACCTGGATTTTTATGAAAGTGTACAGCCATTTATGTTCAAAGAGATGATTCGGGATTGGAACTTTCGTTTAAAAGGGAAGCAGAGCATAAAAATTTGGAAAATTTGTAGCCTGACCATGCAGTAGAAAAGAAAAATCAATTTTCTATGGAGAAATTCAAGCTGGCTACAGAAATTTGCATAAGTAATGAGGAGCCAAATGTTAATAGCCAAGACAATGGGGAAAATGTCTCCAGGGCATGTCAGAGATCTTCGTAGCAGCCCCTCCCATTACAGACATGGAGGCCTAGGATGGAAAAATGGTTTCATGGGCGAGGCCCAGGGCCCTACTGCTCTGTGCTGCCTGGGGACATGGCACCCTGAGTCCCAGCAGCTCCAGCTCCAGCCATGGCTAAAAGGGGGCTAAGGTACAGTTCAGGCCATTGCTTTAGTGGGTGCAAGCGCCAAGCCTTGGCAACTTCCATGTGGTATTTGGCCTGCAGCTATGCAGAAGGCAATAATGGAGGTTTGGGAAACTCTGCCTAGATTTCAGAGGATGTATGGAAACACCTGTATGTCCAGGCAGATGTCTGCTGCAGGGGCAGAGCCCTTGTAGAGAACCTCTGCTAGGACAACGTGGAAGGTAAATGTGGGGTTGGAGCCCCCACACAGAGTCCCCACTGGAGCACTGCCTAGTGGACCTAAGAGAAGAGGGCCACTGTCCTACAGGCCCCAGAGTGGTAGATCCACCAACAGCTTACACCGTGGGCCTGGAAAAACTGCAGACACTTAACATCAGCCTGTGAAAGCAGCTAGGGGACTGTACCATGCAGCTCCACGGGGACAGAGTAATATACATATATATATATATATATATATATATATATATATATATATATATATATATACACACACACACATATAAAATAAGGAAATGTACAGCTATTTAGTAGTTAAGTTAATGTGATAGTTATAGAACCAAAATAATAGAATTAGTTATTGATATGTCAACTACACTGAAAAATTTTTGAACAAAATTATTACTTGAATTCTGAAGCTTCCTTGTATCTTAAACATTCTTGTGTAGAATACCCACACACCAATAACTGCATTTTTATAAAGAACTTTAAAGCTTCTTTTATTGTTGCTCCTCTCTTTTTATGTAGGAACAACTGTGTGTGTGTGTGTGTGTGTGCGTGTGTGCATTCTTTCATTATTTAGATAGTGAGGTTGAGTAAATTACCTTGATTAATTGGACTTAATGTCTACTAGAACATTTTTTCAGTTTATTTTCTTTGGCTAGAACACAGAATAAAAAGTAGAAAACAATAACCCTTGTACTTTAAGTAGAGCTTCACTACATTAAATAGTGTATTTGATGGCAAAACCAGGCTGTAAGCTGAAATTCAACTTCAAATTCTTTGCAAACTCATGTCACCCTGTTCTGTTCTATGTTAGGCAATTGACCCAGCAGTAGCCAGATAAAAGGGCTTAGCATATGAGTAATTTAGACCACATCTGTGAAACTCATATGTATACTCTGCATGCATCATAAGCTTTTCCCAAAGTAGAAAATGAAATAAACAGAGATAATTATTGCTGCTGAAAAATTCAGTGCTCTGCAAGACAGATTTTATTTTAACTAGTGCATATTACAGTACATTTATGGAACAAAAGACAAGCTTATGTTTTTAGATTTTGTTTTCACATTCTGTGTGCCATGAATATTTTCTGACCTATGCATAGTAAATGCAATAGGGTGTTTTTCCTGCCTCCCCTTACTTTTTCTCTCTAAAAGATTAACATTAAAGGAAAGCATCGGGGTTACTTTCATTTACTTATCAAACATGTGAACATTGATTTTAGTTATTTAACCTTTGCTGAAGAAATGTAGAGGCATATATGGAGGAAAAAGAATGTCAAACCAGTGCAGAATCCTTTTTTATACAATACTGATGAGAGTGTGGATAAACTGACATTTTAATACAGTCATGGCAGAAATGTAAATTTTTCAACCTTTTTAGATACTAATTTAGCAATATCTACCAAATTTCAACATGCACATAAAATTTGGCCCAGAAAATCCACCACTAGGAATTTATCTCATGGATGAATTTACACAAGTATTAAAAGATACAAGGATATTTACTGCAGTATTGTTGGTTTTAACAAAACAATGAAAAGAAATGTTCATTTGTAGGAGAATGGTTAAGTAAACTACTTTTTGTAAAAGCCAGCTAATGAAATAGATATTTATGTGGTGACCATGATGAAAATAAAGTATGCATATGTACTCATATGTATGTGCTTGTATGTTCACAGAAACTTTCTTGAAGGGTGCATATGGAAGAGTTAGCAGTAGATATAACGGGAAAGAAAAGAATTGAAATTTTCTTGAAGGGTACATATGGAAGAGTTAGCAGTAGATATAATTGGAGAGAAAGGAATTGAATTTTTCTTGAAGGTACATATGGAAGATTTAGCAGTAAATACAATTGGAGAGAAAGGAATTGGTTAGGTGAAGCCTTTTAATTTTCTCTGTATTAATTCTTTTCATTTTTGTTTTTCCATAAGCATATACTATTTGAAGAATCATAATACAATATTTATTAAAATTGTTTTAAAACATAAGATTGATACTTTTTTGAAATGCTTAATATGGTTTGGATCTGTGTCCCCACCCAAATTTTATGTTCAGTTGTAGTTCCCAGTGTTGGAGGTGGGGCCTTGTGGGAGGTCATTGAATCATGGGGGTGGATTTCCTCTTTTGGTGCTGTTCTCATGATAGAGTTCTCATGATATCTGGTTGTTTAAAAGTGTTTGGTACTCCCCCCTTACTCTCTTCCTCCTGCTTCGGTCGTGTAAGATGCACCTTCTTTTCCTTCACTTTCTGCCATTATGGTAAGTTTCTTGAGGCATCCCCAAGCAGGTGCCAGCGTCATGCTTTCTATGCAGCCTGTAGAACTATGAGCCAATTAAATCTCTTTTCTTTATAAATTACCCAGTTTTAGGTATTTATTTATAACAGTGCAAGAATGAGCTAATACACGCTCAAAAGCAAAAGTCCTTCAGATATCAAGATTCTAGATTTTCCCAGCTTAAAATTTTATAATTACAATAAACATCATGGAATATATTTTGAACCAAGATAAAAGAATAGAAAAAGGACTCTAATACTAGCAACTTGATCATTGGGAAAAATCAAGAGTAATGGTAGTAGGAACTTGACCAGTCAGCAATAAAAATTGATTCGAGGATTATTTTTAATTATATTTATCTTATTAACTATGATACTTAGGATTAATATTAGAATTATATGAACTTTCTCTTTTCTTATTGGTAGTGAGAAAACATAAATTGCAGCCATGTTTCTTGCATGTAACAAATGTTCATTAAATATTTGTTAACAATTTAATAAGCCTATATAAAGACATTCAATCATTAAATCAAACTGTAATATCTGACCTATGATTTTATACTAGTAAAAGTTAGGGGAGAGAGGAGATGGAGCAAGATGGCTGAATAGAAGCCTCCACTGATCTCTACACAAAAATCACCCTCAAAAGGACCAAAAGTCATGACACTAATCACAGTACCTGGTTTTAACTTCATATCACTGAAAGAGGCACAGAAGAGGGTAGGAATGACAGCCTTGAATTGATAATGCCTTCCCCTGGCAGTGGCTGCATGGCATGAAGGGAGAATCTGTGCATTTCACGGGTGGAGAGAACAGTGATTGTAGGACTTTGCATTGGAACTTAGTGCTGTCCTGTCACAGTGGAAAGCAACAGGATAAGAATTCAGCTGGTGCCACAGAGGGAGCATTTAGACCAACTCTAGCCAGAGGGAAATCATCCATGCCAGCAGACAGAAATTGAGTTCCAGCAAGCCTTGCCACTGTGGGCTAAAGTGCTCTTACATCCTAAATAAACTTGAAAGGCAGTATAAGCCACAAGGACTGCAATTCCTGGGCAAGTCCTAGCATTGTGCTGGGCTTGGGGCCAGTGGACTTGGGGCAGGGGGGCACATGACCTGGAGAGACACCAGCTAGGGCAGCCAAGGAAGTGGTTGGGCCACCCTTCTGCCAACCCCAGGCAGCCCAGCTTGCAGCTCCAGCAGAGACGCCTTCCTTCCACTTAAAGGGAGGAGAAGAAAGAATGAAGAGGACTTTATATTTCAACTTGGATATCAGCTCAGCCACATAGGATAGGGCACCAGGCAGAGTCCTGGAGCTCCCGTTCCAGGCCCTAGATCCCAGTTGACCTTTCTATACACACCCTGAGCCAGAATGGAACCCACTGCCTTGAAGTGAAGGACCCAGTTCTGGCAGGATTCATCACCTGCTGATTAAGAGCCCTTGGGCCCTGAATAATCAGCAGCAGTACCCAGGCAGTACATGCCATGGGACTTGGGTAACACTCAGAAATGTGCTGGCTTCAGGTGTGACCCAGCACATTCTCAGCTTGGTGGCTACAGAGAGGGAGGAACTCCTTCTGCTTGAGGAAAGGAGAGAGAAGAGTAAGGGGATGATGTCTTGCAACTTGAGCACCAGCTTGGCTACAGTGGGGTAGAGTATCATGTGGGATCTTGAGGTCCCTAATTCCAGGCCTTGGCACTTGGACAGCATTTTTGAAACTGCTCTCGGCCAGAGAGGAGCCCACTCCCTTAAAGGGAAAGTCCCAGGCCTGGGAGCATTCACCACAAGCTGAATGAAGAGCCCTTGGTCCTTGAGTGAACATTGGCAGCCTGGCAGTACTCATTGTGGACATCAGGCAGTGGTAGCCATGGGGAGAGACTGCTCTGCTTGTGGAAAGGGGAAGGAAGAGTGGGAAGGACTTTGTCTTGTGGTTTGAGTGCCAGCTCAGCTGCAGTAGAATAGAGCACCAGATAGGTTCCTCAGGTTTCTGACTATAGGCCCTGGCTCCCAAATAGCATCTTTAGACCACCTGAGACTGTGGAAAACTCACTGCTCTGAAGGAGATGACACATAACTGGCTGAGTCTACCCCCTGCTGATTGTAGAGCCCTGTGGCCTTGAGTAAACATAGGCAGTAGCCAGGCATTGGTTACAGTGGGCCTTAGGTGAGACCCCGTTCTGTTCTGGCCTCAGGTCTGACGCAGCACATTCCCAGAGGTGGTGGTCACAGGGGTGCTTGTGTCATCCCTCCTCCAGCTCCAAGCAGCCCAGCACACACAGAGAGAAATTCTGTGTACTTTGGAGAAAGTAAGGAAAGATACAATAACAAATCTGTCTGGTTATCCAGAGAATTCTTCTGGATTTTTACACAAGACCACCAAGGTGGTACCTCTATGAGTCTGCAAGGGCCACAGCATTACTGGGCTTGGGGTGCCCCCTAATGCAGATATGGCTACAGTGACCAAAAACTTAGATCACAACACCCAAGTCCCTTCAAATACCTGGAAAGCCTTACCAAGAAGAATGGGTACAAACAAGCCCAGACTGCAAAGTCTACAATAAATACCGAACCCTTCAATTCCCAGAAAACTGATGAACATCCACAAGCATCAAGACCTTCCAGGAAAACATGACTTCACCAAATGAACTAAAAAAGGCACCAGGGACAAATCACTTTCAGACAGAAAATTCAAAATAGGAAACTCAATGAAATTAAAGATAACACACAGCAGGAATTCAGAATCCTATCAGATAAATTTAAAAAATAGATTGAAATAATTAAAAAGAATCAAATAGAAATTCTGGAGTTGAAAACTGCAATGAACATACTAAATGCATGAGAATTCTTTTAATATCAGAATTGATCAAGGAGAAGAAAGAATTAGCTGAAAAATAGCTATTTGAAAATACACAGAGGAGACAAAAAAAGAATAAAAAAAAAATGAAGCATGCCTAACAAGGTCTAGAAAATAGCCTCAAAGGGGCAAATCTAATAGTTATTGGCCTTAAAGAGGAGGTAGAGAGAAGGATGGGGTAGAAAGTTTATTCAAAGGGACAATAACAGAGGACTTCCCATACCTAGAGAAAGATAGTAATATCTGAATATAAGAAAGTTATGGAACACCAAGCAAACTTAACCTGAAGAAGACTACCTCAAGGCATTTAATAATCAAACTCCTAAAGGTCAAGAATAAAGAAAGGATTCTAAAAGCAGCAAGAGAAAAAAATATATATGTAAATATATAATGGACTTCCCATATGCCTGACAGCAGACTTCTCAGTGGGAACCTTACAGGCCAGGAGAGAGTAGTATAACATATTTAAAGAACTGAAAGAAAAGACCTTTTATCCTAGAATAGTATATCCAGTGAAAATAACCTCCAAACATGAAGGAGAAATAAAGGCATTCCCAGACAAAAAAAAAGCTGAGAGATTTCATCAACACTACACACCTGTCCTACAAGAAATGCTAAAGGGAGTTCTTCAATCTGAAAGAAGAAAATGTTAATGAGCAAGAAGAAATCATCTGAAGGTACAAAATTCACTGGTAATAATAAATACATGAATATCATAACACTGTAACTGTGGTGTGTAAACTACTCATATCTTGAGTAGAAAGATTAAAAGATAAATTGATCAAAAAGAATAACTACAACAACTTTTCAAGACATAGGCAGTAGAATAAGACATAAAGAGAAATAAAACACATAAGTAGAATTAAAAAGCAGTTAGATGACATCAAAGTGTAGAGTTTTTTGTTTTTCTCTTTTCTTCTTAGTGAGTTCGGTTTTTATGCAATTACTGTTCAGTTGTCATCAATTTAAAATAAAGGGTTATAGATATTATTTGCAAGCTTCATGGTAATTTTGAATAAAAGAAATCTTTTAACAGATACACAAAAAATAAAAAGCAAGAAATTAAAACAGACCACCAGAGAAAATCACCTTCACTAAAATGAAGACCAGAACAAAGGAAAAAAGGAAGAGAAAACCAGAAAAAAACAACCAGAAAACAAATAACAAAATGGCAGAAGTTAGTCCTTACTTATCAATAATAACATTGAATGTAAGTGGGCTAAACTCTCCAATCAAAAGACACAAAATGGTTGAATGGATAAAAAGCAAGACTCAATGATCTGTTGCCCACAAGAAACACACATTGCCTATAAAGAAACACATGGAATGAAAATAAAGGGATGAAAAAAAGATATTCCATGCCAATGGAAAGCAAAAAATAGCAGGAGTGGAAATCAGACAAAATAGATTTTAAGACAAAAACTATAAAAAAAGACAAAGAAGGTCATTAAATAAAGGTCCATTCAACAAGAATATAACAATTTTAAGTATACATGCACCCAACACTGGAGCACCCAGATATAGAAAGCAAATATTAGTGCGACAGAGAGAGATAGGCTGCAATACAAAAATTACTGGAGACTTCAACACCCTACTTTCAGCATTGAACAGATCATCCAAATAGAAAATCAACAAAGAAACATCAGACTTAATTTTCACTACAGAACAAATGGACCTAATAGATATTTACAAGAGAGATTAGCACATAATTGGGGTTTTATTCCTGATACAAATAAGAAAGGCAAATCTAGTGAAGAAATTTGGACCTCTCACTGCTTATAAGGAATTGAATCATGAGAAATTGTGCTTAATTTTGTCTTCAAAATGATGGGTTTATAATTTAAATGATTATGTTAGTTTTCAGTCATAAGTCAGGATTGAGTGAGTTTGGGATTCAGAAGCTTTTCCTGGGGCCTAACTCCTGCTGGTTAGGTTCATCTATAATGAACCAAGTGGGCTACCTCAGGAGTAGATGATGGTTAAAATGTTTTCTTTTTATGCATATTGCCTACTATATTTGTCAGTTTAAAAGATTGGTGTTGGGACACCTGGATTTGTGCCCTTCAAATTATACAAACAATCAAAAAGCCAAGATAAATAACAAACAAACTCAGTTTTTCTCACACTTCTTATTTATGTGAAGTGAAGAGATGTGGAATAATGCCCTTTTCACCTGTGGCAGGTGGGTGTTTTTCTTTGTTTGTTTGTTTTTAATTAGGATCTTGCTGTCATTCAGGCTGGAGTGTGGTTGTATTAGTCTATTTTTACACTGCTAATAAAGACATATCTGAGACTGAGCAATTTACAGAAGAAAGAGGTTTATTGGACTTACAAAATTCCACATGGCTGGGGAGGCCTCACAATCATGGTGGAAGGCAAGAGGGAGCAAGTCACATCTTACATGGTGGCAGCAGGCAAAGAGAAAGCTTATGCTGGGAAACTCGTATTTTTAAAACCATCAGATCTCATGAGACTCATTCACTATCGTGAGAACAGTGTAGGAAAGACCCACTCCCATAATTCAATCACCTCCCACCAGGTTCCTCCCACGACACATGGGAATTGTGGGAGTTACGATTCCAGATGAGATTTGGGTGGGGACACAGCCAAACTATATCATTCTGCCCCTGGCCCCTCCCAAATCTCATGTCCTCACATTTCAAAACCAGTCATGTCTTCCCAACAGTTCCCCAAAGTCTTAACTCATTTCAGCATTAACTCAAAAGTCCACAGACCAACATCTCATCTGAGACAAGGCAAGTCCATTCCACTTATGAGTCTGTAAAATTAAAAGCAAGTTAGTTACTTACTAGATACAGCAGAGTTATCGGCATTGGGTAAATACAGCCATTCCAAATGGGAGAAATTGGCAAAAACAAAGGGGCTACAGGCCCCATGCAAGTCTGAAATCCAGTGAGGTAGTCAAATCTTAAAGCATCAAAATCATCTCCTTTGACTCCATGTCTCACATCCAGGTCATGCTGATGCAAGAGGTAGGTTCCCATGGTCTTGGGCAGCTCTGCCCCTGTGGCTTTGCAGGGTACAGCATCCCTCCTGGCTGCTTTCATGGGCTGGTGTTAAGTGTCTGCAGCTTTTCCAGGTGCATGGTGCAAGCTTTAGTGGACCTACCATTCTGGGGTCTGAAGGATGGTGGCCCTCTTCTCACAGCTCTACTTGGTAGCGCCCTAGTAGGGACTGTGTCTGAGGGCCCTAACTCCACATTTTCCTTCCACACTGCCCTAGCAGAGGTTCTTCATGAGTTTGCTGCCCCAAAGCAAACTTCTGCACGGACATCTGGGCCTTTCCATACATCCTCTGAAATCTAGGCAGAGGTTCCCAAACCCCAATTCTTGACTTCTGGGCACTGGCAGACTCAACACCATGTGGAAGCTGCCAAGACTTGGGGTTTGCACCCTCTGAAGCCACAGCCCAAGCTCTACATTGGCCCCTTTCAGCCATGGCTGGAGTGGCTGGGACAAAGGGCACCAAGAACCTAGGCTGCACACAGCATGGGGACCCTGGGCCCGACCCATAAAACCACTTCTTCCTCCTAGGCCTCCAGGCTTGTGATGAGAGGGGCTGCCGTGAAGACCACTGACATGCTCTGGAGACATTTTCCCCATTGTCTTGGGGATTAACTTTTGTCTCCCCCTTACTTATGCAAATTTCTGCTTGACTTTCTCCTCAGAAAATGGGATTTTCTTTTCTATCACATTGTCAGGCTGCAAATTTTCCAAACTTTTGTGCTCTGCTTCCCTTATAAAACTAAATGCCTTTAACAGCACCCAAGGCACCTCTCACATCCAGGTCATGTCTCTCAAATGCTTTGAGAGGTCAGCATCCTCTCAAATGCTTTGCTCCTTAGAAATTTCTTCTGCCAGAAACCCTAAATCATCTCTCTCAACCTCAAAGTTCCACAAGTCTCTAGAGCAGGGGCAAAATGCTGCCAGTCTCTTTGCTAAAACATAAGAAGATTCATCTTTGCTCCAGTTCCCAACAAGTTCCTCATTTCCATCTGAGGCCACCTCAGTCTGGACTTTATTGTCCGTATTGCTATCAGCATTTTGGGCAAAGCCATTCAACAAGTCTCTAGGAAGTTCCAAACTTTCCCACACTTTTCTGTCTTCTTCTGAGCCCTCCAAACTGTTCCAATCCCTGCCTGTTACCCAGGTCCAAAGTCACTGCCACATTTTCTGGTATCTACAGCAGTGACCCACTCTACTGGTACCAATTTACTGTATGAGTCAATTTTCATGCTGCTGATAAAGACATACCTGAGACTGGGCAATTTACAAAAGAAAGAGGTTTATTGGACTTACAGTTCCACATGTCTGGGGAGGCCTCACAATCATGGTGGAAGACAAGTGGGAGCGAGTCACATCTTACATGATGGCAGCAGGCAAAGAGAGAGCTTGTTCAGGGAAACTCTCATTTTTAAAACCATCAGATCTCTTGAGACTCATTTACTATCACAAGAACAGTGCAGGAAAGACCTGTCCCCATAATTCAATCACCTGCCACTGGTTCCTGCCACAACATGTGGGAATTGTGGGAGTTATAATTCAAGATGAGATTTGGGTGGGGACACAGCCAAACTATGTCAGTGGTGACACAATCTCGACTCACTGCAACCTTTTCTTCCCGGGCCCAAGTGATCCTCCCACTGCAGCCTCTCCAGTAGCTGGAACTACAGGTGCATGTCACTATGCCTGGGAAATTTTTTGTGTGCATGTGTGCGTGTGGATTTTTGTTGCTGTTGTTGTTGTTGTTGTTGTTAGATACAGGGTTTCACCATGTTACCCAGGCTGGTCTCCAGCTCCTGGGCTCGAGCAACCCACCTGCCCTGGCCTCCTAAAATGCTGAGATTACAGGCTTGAGTCACTGTGCCCAGCCTGGTGAAAGTCTTTAATCATTTTTTCTTTCTCTTTCTATTTTCCTACATGTTTCCCCTTCCTTCCTTCCTCCCTCCCCACTCCCTCTTTCCTTCCTTCCTTCCTCCCTTCCTTCTTTCTTTCCTTCCTTCCTTCCCTCCTTCCTTCCTTCCTTTTTTCCTTTGCTTTCTCTTCTTTCCTTCCCCAGTTTTTCCTTTCATTTATTTATGTGAGGCTGCAGGACTTTGCTGAAGATACCACAGTAGTTGTTCACATTTGCCCACTGATAATCACTGATGAGTCACAGACATACCCAAATGTTCTTATAATGTGACCAAGGAGAACTGTGCAATATGTTTATAATAAAGTCTTCAACAAGTCAATTATTCTTAGTCTTTTTGAGTAATAAAGTCCATCTGAAAATATGATAAAAGTGAAGTAAAAATAAACAAGGGTACATACATCCCAAAATTTGCCCACAAGTGGTCCCCTTATGAAGAACTTTGCTCTGTCAAAGATGTAATTTTGTCATCTCTGCTCAGAATGGATAATTGTGTCTATATTAAGCCAATAAATATACTGGCATCATTTCTAAGACCTTTCTGTTGAAGCTGGTTAGTTTAGCCTCATTGTTATATGTGTCTTCTTTGGAGAACAGAAGACACTGAAGGCAATGATAAAAACTGTCAAATATTAAAGAGTTTTCTCTCAGAGAGAGTGAAGCTACTTTGAGTGGTTCCAGAGAAACTTTAGGATAATGGAATGGAACTCTCAGGGAGGAAGATATGACTCCGAAAAAGAAATAACTTTCTAAAACTTATGACTTTTAGTAAAGTGGAGAACATCCTAACATTGCAATTTTCATTAGGAAACCTGGCTCTAGTTGTATGAGACTAGTTGTACTCAATGGCCTCTTCCCACCACCCATACCATTTTTCCCTACTGAACAAGATGTTAGAATATACAGGTCCTGAGATTTCTAGTTTAATCCAGAGAAAGAACTTTATCCAGAGTGTCTGACACACCCTTTAACCTAGAAACTCTGATTAGTTTGCAGGTGTCACACAAATTTTCTGATACTAGCAGACTAACATATGCTATGATGAAGCCATAGTCAAATAGTGAGGAACGTTCCTCATGTATCAACACAATTTTCTCTTATAAATAAAATAAAAAGTAAAATAGTTATAAAATCAGCAATAAAGAATTTAAAGGCTATTTTGTAAATTATTGATGGATTTTCATATTCATAGTTCATTCTGGTTCCTTCCAATTCTGTGACCATCTAAAGGAGTGTGTGGTGAACCATTAAGCCAATCTTAGCTGTTGCTGTATGTTGAGTCATGAGATATTAAAAATGGCTTATGGACAAATCATCTCCCAGTTAGGGCAATTGTACATGACCTGATCTAAACTTTTTTAAAAAATAAATTTAATTTTCCCCAAAGTTATTGAGGTATATTTGGTGCACAAAACTGCACATAGTGTGTACAATTTGGTGAGTTCAAACATATGCATATACCAGTGTTACCTTGCCACAATCAAGGTAATCAATATATTCATCACATCCAAAAGTTTCCATGTGCCACTTTATTTTTTGTTTCTTTTTTTAAAATTTGTGATGAGAACACTTAACATGAGCTCTATCCTTGTACTACCTTTTAAAGTGCACAATACCTTATTGTTAACTACAGGCATTATGTTGTACAGCAGAATTCTGGAACTTACTCATACTGTATAACTGTAACTTTATATCCATTTATAATAGTAACAACTCCATACCTTAACTATTGTGAATAATGCTGGAAGGAACATGGGAGTACAGATATCATTTCAAGTTCCTGATTTCAATTCTTTCAGATATACACCTAGAAGTGGGATTACTGGATCATACGGAAGTTTTATTTTTATTTCTTTGAGGGACCTACATACTGGTTTTTCTTAGTGGCTATACCATTTTACATTCTCACCAACAGTGTACAAGAATTCCAATTTCTTCATAACCTTGAAAACACTTTTTTCTCCCCTTCTCTTTCTTTTCTCCTTCAGAGACTCTCATAATGTGTATATTGAACTACTTGATGGTGTCTCATATGTCCTGTAGGGGTTCTTCGGTGTTTTTCATTCTTTATCCTTTTAGCTTCTCTGACTACATAATTTAAATGACCTGTCTTCAAGGTAACTACTTCTTTCTTCTGCTTAATTGGGTCATTTGTTGAAGCCCTCTATTAATTTTTTTTCAGTTTAGTTATTGTATTCTTCAAATCCAGGATTTCTGTTTCTTTGGTTTTATGGTTTTCATTTCTTTTTGAACTTCTCATTTTGTTTATGTATTGCCTCTCTAATTTTGTTTAGTTGTCTGCCTAATAGTTCACTAAGCTTCTTTAAGACGATTATTATTTTTCTTTGTAAGGCACTTCGTAGATCATCATTTATTTGGGGTCAATTATTGAAACTTTTTTAGTTTCCTATGGTGTTATCAAGTTTCCTTAATTTCTCATGATCCTTATATTCTTACATTTATGTCTGCACATTTGAAGAAGTGGTTCTCTCTTCCAGTCTTTATAGTCTGTTCTTAGCAGGGAAAGACTTTCACTAGTCAGCCTAGCTTAGGACTCTGGGTGGGCCAGATGGCAGTTATCTGTGGGCAAGTGAGGCCTGTGAGTGAGGTCCATTGGGTTCAAAGTTGAAACAGGGCCTGTTGAATTCTTGGTTAAATGGAGCCTGTTACCAAAGTTTTACTTTTGAGCATGGTTGTCTGGTAGGGCTTCACAGGTGGGTGGGGCTGGTTGCCTGGGCTCTAAGGTTATGTGAGCCTGCTCTCTGAGCTCTATAGTTGGGTGGAGCCAGCCGACTTGACTCTTTGGTTTGATGGAGTTGTTGGTTAGGGCCACAGTCAGGCAAGGCTGCTCACAGGGGCTGTGGGACTGCCTCTGAGATCTGTATGCACTGGCTGCTGAGAGCCCCTGCCTCTTTCTGTTATTCCTGATTGTTCCCAGGTGGTCTAGCCATGCCAATTTCCCCAGTGTGTGATATGAGGTGAGGCATAAGTGGGTCTCTAGAGCAATGCCCTGAAATGCTGGGGAAGTTCAACATCCACCATGATCTCTCTTTACTCCACTGAAGAAATCACGGGTCAACAGGATCTTTCTTGGCTCTGTGTTGTGCTGGATTGGGCAGGATTGCTTCTGACAAAGAAGGGTTATTTTTATCTTTTTTAATGCAATTTTTTTCACTCTACCAGGGTGCTCAACTTTTGGAATTCTCACAAAGGCATTCTTTTCTATGAATAGTTGCTAAACTGTGTTTCTGTGAGGGTACTGGGGCTAGGGACCTCATACGCATCCACCTTTCTGGAAGCCTTGATCTGCTAATTTTACTTTTCTCTTTCTGCTTCATACCAAATTCTGCTAAGCACCGATTCTTGGTTTTGTGTTTCATTTCAGCTCTGAATTTGTCATTAGCATTTGATATGTTTTTGTTATTAATTCTTAAATCTCCATAAATTATGGCTCATATTCTCCAGGCTGTTGCCTGAGTGAAATTGACCCCAAGGTCCTTGGATTTTCACATCTCCTCGTCTGCAGAATGACTCCCTATAGAAGTAAAATGAATAGTTTCTTTGTTTAGGGAAGAACATTCAGGAAAAAAAAATATGGGAAATATGTAGTATAAATGTAACATAAACCTATTCTAAAAAATAAAACATAAAACTACATGTTTTAAATATAGCTCTCATTTAATTCTTTAATAAGAAATAAAAATCTTTAGTTATTTGAAAAAATTGCTGCCCAGTTATAGAACCAAACACTAGTAGCACAGCTCTAGCCCTTTCCCCATGCCATAAAACAGAATAAATTAGATATATGACTGAAACCAATCTAGTTTAAACAGAACAAATTTTCATTAGGGGGTATTCTGTATTCACTATGGACTGCGATGTTACTTTACTGTTATCAATCATATTATACAGAAATATGAAAACAGTACATCACAAAGATATAAATACAATGTTTATATCAAACCATCTTTCTTCAATGTCTATCCTAATTATCTTTTTAATTTTTCATATTCCCTCTTCATGAAACATTCACTAGAAAATTACATATTACCATTTTCTGCTGGAGAGTTTTATGCATGTTTACATTAGTCACTTAGTCACATCTGTTGCAAAATCTTGGTGAGAAAAAGCTACTTAGGCCTTTGTTATTGTCTGGTGATAATATCATGTTTGAAAGTGTATTGTCTTCTAACAAGACATTTTGGAGGCATAGGAAAGCACATACTGGTTAGTAATTGGATCCAGTCCCCAAGATAGACAAATATGAAAATGTATTACAGGTTTACTGCACCCAAGACTTCATAAGATACTTTCCACAAGTCATAATACACTGCTGTTTTTTTATTGTTACTAGAAGGTAATGGAAAGGACACTGACAAGAAGTCCAAAAGGATGAGTTTAAGATTTAGCTATACCTGCAGTGTTATCTTGAATAAGTTATTTCACTTCTTTGGACATTGGCTGATGTAAATTATCTGAAGAGACTGGAACTGTCATATTCAGTTCTGAAATTAAAATACATTTAATTTAAAAGTCTATTTATCAATTTGTCTTTTAAATTTTTTAACTCTAAATTATTAATTTAACTTTTTTCTTGCAGAAATAAAATTTTTGACAAGTTTCCATTATGTGTCTACCCACCACACCCTGTGTTCAAGATTACTTTTTTTAAACCACTTAATTAAACTGTTTATTTATTTCTCGTCGATTTTGTTTGAATATATCCTGGGGCTGGGATCTTCTGCTGTACCTACTTTGTATGATTTGCAAAGTGCGGTGATAATGTCTCAACTTGATTGGGCTAAGGGATTCCTAGATAGCTGACAAAACATCATTTTGGGATATATCTGTGAGGATGCTTCCAAAAGAGATTAGCATTTATATCAGTAGACTGAATATGGAAGATTGTCCCTACCAACGTGGGTGGGCATCATCCAATCTATTGAGAACTAAAATAGAACAAAATGGTATAGGATAGGTTAATTCATTTTCTCTATTTGAGCTAGGACATTCATGTTCTCCTGCCCTTGGGCATTGGTGCTCCTGGTTTTAGGGCTTTAGGACTCAACCAGGACTTACACCATTAGCATTAGCTACCCTAGTTCTCAGGTAGGGTAGTCCTAGTCTTTTGACTAGGACTGAATTATGCCACCAGTTTCCCTAGTTTTCCAGCTTGTAGGGAGTAGACCATGGGACTTCTCAGCCTCCATAATTGCATAAGACAATCCTTCTAATAAGTATCTATATAAACCTCTCTCTCTCTCCCTTTGTATATACATATTATGTTCAGTTTCTCTGAAGAACTCTAACTAATACAGAATAGTATAAATAGGTCAGATGGACATTTTAAACCTTTCGTGTCACGGTCTTATCTTTCAATACATAGCCATTTTCCTTTTCATCTAAGGCCACGGCCAACTTGGGGAGTGAAAGTTTAGAGATCTCAGTTATTTCTCCAAATCATTTTAGCTATAATAAACAGAGTTAAATGATAGACAATTTGGAGTCTATGGGCACATATTCCAGGTTAGCATATCACTTGTTCTATGTCTTTAAGAGTGGGATAGCCACAGTAAATAGTATCTAATCTACAAATGGTTTAAAGACTGCCCTGGAAACATATGTAGTAGGAGATAATTACTAACTTCACTCAGTTTATCTTGGGTCAGGCTCTGTCACAGGTTGTCTCAAGGAGCTGATCAGAGTGTGTGCATGTCTCGTTCTATTCATGAGCATGTGTGCACGCACACATACCTATACTGGAATATTTGGCTGCATCTGGATCACACAGCATAAAATATTCAATGATAATTACTTGACAACCTGTGGCTATAGTTTTGCATTCTTTGAGGCTTCTCTCAATTTTAATCGCTACTCCCTTTACTCATAAAAGAATGGATATACAAGTTTGGTAAAATTATTTCTCCATAGAGAAAACTCCTTACAGAATATGCCTGTCTGTAAATAATAACTATTTCCTTTGATGTAATTTATTACTGTTAGTATTTGACCTCATGTATACTTTTACTTTCATTATCAATTTTAAATTCTTCATCCAGCAAAATGTAAGTTTCCTCACATCTCCCAATAAAGAACAGGGGAGATTATTATACCATGATGTAGGAAAATTGGGCGTTAAAGATGTAGAGCTCTATACAGTGATGAAGAAAGAGGGCTTTTGTGCTTCCTGCACTACACTGACTCCCAGAAGGTACGTCAATATTCCAAGCTGTTGGAGAGTAAATGCTATCTGCAGGAGAAAGTCACTACCTGGTCATTCTCAGAATATCTTGATATTTGATGATCTCCTCCAGTAGAGCCTCTGATCTCTTCTTCCTGCTGGAAAGAGCCCATGGGTCTTACCTTGCAAGGAGAAGAAGAACTATCTGTATACTACAAAAACTTCTAAAACTTATGTCAAGAAAGAGAAAGGGAAAAGATGCCTTGAAAAGTCCTTGGAGAAGATCAAAGTGCTGTGGACCCTTTGACTCAAAGAAAGTAGCAGAAGTTGCTGTTTCCACAGAGCCTGCACAAATTCTACTATGACTTCCCTGTTGAGAAGAAGCAACAGACCTGTGTGTTCCCGAAGGTAGTCACACTCCAGATCCAATGATAAGCTGACCTGGAGGGTGTCTTTCAGATGGCAGCTGAGATGTTCTTACTTCTGAGAAGCTTTCCCTGTTTCTGGGCTGGGCAGCTCTGGATATCCCAAAAGGATGCCTTGAGTCCCATTCATCCTGAGATCTTTGAGAGCCTAGGTCTAGTAACTATCCACTTATTATGGAAGTATGAAAGAACCTGTGATGCTTATTTTCTTTTAGAAAGCTGACCACCCAGGCAAGGTTAGAACAACTACGGAATAAAAGGAATCCTCAAGAGAATTAAACTCATGCCCACATTCCCATTAGCACTAATTCATCATTGTCCACAGGTAACACTGTGTCGCCAAATGGGGCTTAGTATTTCATGACAGATTCTCTTTTCTTAGAATAGTAGCTTGTAGAAATAATATAGATAGATAGATAGAGTTATAGATAGTTATAGTTTCTTGATTCACCATAGATGTAATGATTCTTTTACTACACTGCTCTAGAAAAAAAAATGTTATGAATAGAGGCAACCCTAATGTTAAGTCACTATGTGGCAGAGAAACACACAGGCAGTGGAGCAGGATGGGTATAGACTGTGTAACTAATTACTAGTTACTCTAAACAATGAGCATGTTTTACCTCTACTTTGAAAGACAAAGTAAAGTTCCTATTACTTTGGACTAGGAGGAAAATATTTTGGGTAAGACAGACTGGGCAGCAATGACAGTAGAAAATATTTATAATTCCTATTCCCTTATTACTGGTCTTGTTTTCTTTCTTTCAATTTTTTTCTCTCTTGCCTGCCTGTAATACAGTGTGAACATAAGGTCTCAGCTTCCCTGTCATTCCTGAAGAAAAAGTTTGAATAATCTCCAAGGTGTTAGGGACTCAATATATTTAAATAAGTACCTCCCCTCCCTTTCAGAAATAGTTACATCAGAAAATTCATAAAATAACCGAAAAGAGCCATGCTTTACACAAAGGCAAGGGATGGCATTATTGGTATTTGTCAAATTACATTATATAAAAATTTGATATTTTAAGAATAAAAACCGTGATACATCGTTGTATATACACTTTAATTTTAATATTATAACAAACTGCACGTAGGCAAATGGGAAAACAAAGAGAAGAAAAAAAATCTTTTTGTCAACAAAAAGAGCAGGGCTATATCTTTTCCTTTTAAACTTTCCTTTTAGATATTTTTAAAATAATTTGTTCCTTGTACACACACCTATACACACATGTACATTTTATCTGATACAGCCTAAAAAACAAAAAAAAATCAAGGTATCCTGGCAGAGAAGGTTAAGGGAAAGGTGAAAACTAGACTTCTGAGGGATGTTGTTTTCTTTTCTCATTCTTATTCCAATCTGCATTGCATCAACAGCTCCCTGTTGCTTTTAGTGGCCCGGAGTATCTTAACCTTTGTTGTAAGGATTTGTTAAGCAAGATGCCTGATACATTCTACCTAGCAGAACTGTTGCTTATACAATACAAATTTTGACATCTGTACTCTTTCGTTATTTAATTAATTCTCTTCTACTTACAAACTCACAAATCGACGGAGGACTTCGGTGAGGATTCCATTAATCTAACACAGTGCTGGAAAAGCCAAAACAGTAATTCAACTGTCCACTTTGAAAAAAATGTGTGATTTATAGATATTCTCATATCATAACATTTCCTGTCAAAGAGAATCATAGCTAATGGGTACAGGAAGATTATAAAATATTTTGATTCAAAGAATACTACAAATGGCTGTCAAAACTTCTTATTTCTCATTCAAGTAAGTCTGTGGAATGGAATATTTCTGACTACTTCTTTTATACATAGGATCCAGAATAATAACAAATGTTTACAATATGCTATGTTTAGGTCAATTACTGTTCTTAGCGCTTTATACATACTGACTCATCTAAACCTCACAACACACCATAAGGTATACAAGATTATTTTCAATATGGGGAAACAGAAACAGGAATGTTAACTTACTTGGCCAAGGTCACACAACTGGGCAGTAGCTAGAACTCAGACTCAAGTTGTGCTTGTAAAACTGCGCTCAGAATCTGCAGTTCATTTCACATCTATGAAAAAAATAAATAAATTAAGTACAATAGCTAACATCTATTGAGCACTCCCTCTGTGCCAGGTGTTAGCGAAGCACTTTGCCTGCAGTATCTCATTTAATCCTTGCAACAGTCCTCTGTGGTATAATTAGCTCTGTTTTAAAGATAAAGAAACTAAAGATCAAAAAATTACTTGTCCAATTTATAGAGCTAGTAAAAGGGAGACAGGATTCAGGTCAACTCCAGGGCTCATACCCCTTTACCACTACTCTTCCTGTTTAATGGTTTAGTCAATTATCAACATTTAATGAACACTTATGAGGTTCAGAGACTGACAAGCATCTATTTCACCCTTGGGATATGTTATTGTCTGAAGAATGTAGTTTGATAGCGTGAAGAATGGAGTCCAGGCAACAGCATTAGATAAGACTATTTAAAGTTCAAGAAATTTGAATATCAGATGATTACTGTTTGCAATGTACTCTGAAATGGCTGAGGATTTAAATCCTGCTCTCTGTGCCAAAGCATTCTTGGATGTATTCATAACATTTGAGTGATTTGCCAAGACATGCCAAGCTTATTTAAATAACTATTCCTGTCTTTATTGATTGACAGGGTTGATGTGATTTCTTTCAGTGATTATACTTTTGGGCAAGATGGCATCAGGCTAACTAGACACAGTATGATTTACTTGTGAACTTTGTTCAACATTGGTATTCTTGATATATTCTTCGTAGAAAGAGAAAATGCTAACAACAAGAGTGAACAAATTAAAAACTGATTCGTATGAGTGTAATTAATTTAAAAATTAGAATAAAAAAGAATTAGATTGAGAACTAGTTGTCACAACTTTTCCACAAAACCAGCTGGGTGATCTGATGTCTTCTAGGACCCAGAAACATTACATATAAAATGATGAGGTTGATGATCTCGAGAAGATGTTTCCATTTCTAAAATTTAAGTACTAATACTTCTTATAAGAGGTAGTCTAGTTCAAGATCTTCCTGACAAGGGTTGGTAACAGTGGTAAAAGAATGGATAGATTATGGGGGAGGTAAGGTGGGGAGGTGGTAGTAGTTTGTGGATGCAGACATATAATGAAAAAGTAATTTACAAAGTAGACAAGGTCATCATAATATTTTATAGTTTAGTGATGCCAATATTTGTACTATATTCTATAAATATCAGAGTATTACCTACTATTAGAAGTTTCATAAATTGCAAGAAATTAAAATGCTTGTGAGGATAAATCACTATTGATTTCTACCATGCGTAAAACATTAGCATATGAATAGTTACATAGAGTGGTATCCAATTCTTTGTTTGCTTTTTAAGTATAAAACAGAGCAAACCGTTCTTATTTTGCAACAGGAATGGATTAATATCTATCTATCTTTCTATCTATCTATCTTCTAGACAGGCTCCAGATACTGTAATTAATAATCTAGAGTTAATAACCTAGAAATCTTGCAGCATCTCCCATCCAAAGATCTTACAAAGTCTGACTTAGCAGCATTCATATCAGGAGGTGGGTGAATGTCTTCAGATGTCCTTTGCTGCTGTTTAAGTTATTTTCAACTTTATTACATTTTTTTTTTTTTTTTGAGATGGAGTCTCGCTCTGTCTCCCAGGCTGGAGTACAGTGGCCTGATCTTGGCCCACCGCAACCTCTGCCTCCTGGGTTCAAGCAATTCTCCTGTCTCAGTCTCCCGAGTAGCTGGGACTACAGGTGCACACCACCACACCTGGCTAATTTTTGTATTTTTAGTATAGATGGGGTTTCACCATATTGGTCACCCTGGTCTCGAACTCCTGACCTCATGTGATCCACCCACCTGGGCCTCCCACGGTGCTGGGATTACAGTTGTGAACCACTAACTTTATTAAATTTCTAAACTTTGTCATACCTAGTAGTGTTGATGTACTCATTTTAATTTTAGTTCACTTTACCAAGAACAAAAAGACATTGAAATAATTTCTCTCAATTTCTAATTTAAACAAATTAGAAATTAAAATAAATTATTGTAAAGCCATATTACTGCCTGGAACTGTAGACATTTATTGGTTTTCAAATGTTCTGCCTAAATTGAAACTATTACTGTTAAATAGATTCATTTGCTAGTTTTGTGCCATGGACAAGCCAATAATTTGAGATGTCTGGTGTTCTTATTTCATTTGAACCCTATCTTTAGCAGGCTCTCTTCCTTAAATCAGAAATCCCAATTCTCTTTTATTTTCTTTTCAACAAACAAGTAAAATTAATTCCAAATGGGCAGGGATAAGAAGAGACAGGTGGCATCATATAAAGAAGCAGAAACTGAATGTAATTAACTAAAGTTGTATTTCTAAACCAGCAAGTCTACTTTTAATTATCTTTCATATATTTTCTTGCAGTATTTATTTGTTTATTCATTCAGAATATATATCATCGAACATTGCCTCAAAGCTAGGCAGTGCTAGGTAATAGGTATACCTTAGTGATGAAATAGATCACTTCTTTCTGGAGTTTACATACTAGAGGGAAGAACAAACGTGAACAAGTAAAAAGATAGTGGTCTTTTAACTGATACATACGACATGTAAATCAACTAGCCTCTGCATTCAGCTCTTCACTTTTGCATTTCTGTGTCCCTCCTAATCATCCCCTAGGCTGCTTCACAGTCAGCAAAGGGCTTGCTCCAGGTGATCCAGATAGCTTTCTGAGTTTACCCTATTGTTAAATCATCCTATGAGTAAAGAACCCTAGAAAAAGAGACGTAATAGGTGTCTCTCCCTCAAAAGTCGTGGTGGCTCCAGAAAAACAAAAAAATAACAGAAAATCTATAGTGGCTCTTCTATTCTTGGTGAATTTATTAACTAGGATTAGACAATGCTTGATCAAGGGTGAGCTGTTGGAGGCAGGGATTTAGTGGCATTTATTCAACCAGATCTGGACAGACTAGGTGAGGTCTGTCCATGGGGCTGGTAGAATCAAAACAAGATGGCCACCAGGAATCAGTGTTACAGCCAAGAGTTAAGCAACTGAGTCAAATTTAGGAGAGAAGATGAAGACAGGAACTGAAGTTAGCAACTCAAGTCAGCTGAAATGGGCAGAGAAGCCAAGTTCCAATGGGTCTCAGGAGTATCTCTAAGAATTCAATCTCTGTGTCAGGATTCTTCCATTCTAGTCCACGTACACACATGACACTAGACCTGTAATCAGGACTGATCAAAGTCACTTTCTGACGTGTAGACATCATTGAATAACGGAAAAAACAGCTAATTAAAAAGAGCAAAAACAAAACCTAACTCCAAATTGTGGCTCCAATATTAATGTCACAATAGAAAGGTTAATTAGTATCTCTGAAAATCAGTTCTTTTCATCAGCAAAATGGGGATAACACCACCTCCTTGAAGAGACCTTTATTTGATGATTAAGTTAGATCTGTACAGTAAAGAGCCTCCCCAAATATACCATATACATTTAAAATTGACTATTAATGTGACATTATTTCAATTAAGAGTACTCAGATAATAATTCTTTCAGAAGACAGATTTTCTCCCATATTTGATTTACATAATGCCTAGACACTTTTAGACTCTTGAGATTCCTATTAAAAATTCTAGTTATATCAGAGATTTTTCTCAAACACTGAAAAGCCTGAGAGAGCTTAGAAGAAGAGTATGCTTGGGACTCAATGTGGGATTAATAGTAAGACTCACAGCTGTGAAAAAGATGAACTTGAAGTTCTATGTGGCCCACTGGTAGAGAGTCTGATCGGTGCATTTCTGTGACCTCTGAAGACTGGAGCAATCAGGGTACTATTGTGGTGGATCAGAGGAAAGGGTGTGGTGGATCTCACAGAACAGTAACTGACTGCAGGCATAGAAAGGAGACAAAGGGGCTGGGCACAGTGGCTCACACCTGTAATCCCAGCACTTTGGGAGGCCGAGGCGGGCAGATCACAAGGTCAGGAGATCAAGACCATCCTGGCTAACACGGTGAAACCCCGTCTCTACTAAAAAAATACAAAAAATTAGCCGGGCATGGTGGCACCCGACTGTAGTCTCAGCTACTCAGGAGGCTGAAGCAGGAGAATCTCTTGAACCTGGGAGGCGGAGGTTGCAGTGAGCCAAGATCACACCACTGCACTCCAGCCTGGGTGACAGAGCGAGACTGTGTCTTAAAAAAAAAAAAAAAAAAAAAAATAGAAAGGGGACAAAGGGGACTAGACATACAGGTACATGACCCAAGCTCTCATAATGACCTTGCCACTCTCCTGACGTGGTCCTGTGGACAAGTTTAATGAATTTTGCTTCATTTGTGAAATGACAGGCTGAGACCTGGCGGTCTCTAACATTTCTTCTGGTTATAATAGTGGATGATTCTGTAAGTTAATCATACTCTGCATTTGTACGGCATTTTTCACTTTCCAAAGCATGCTGACATACATCACTCACTGATCCTGTGAGGCAGGCATGGCATGTGTTTTTACCCCTATTTTATAAATGAGGAAGTACAGATTTAGAGGTTGTGTCCTCTATAAAATTTCATTGTTCAACCTGTGTCAAGGATCTAGATTCAGAAACATTTAGTTGATTTTTGAAAATATATCAGAGTTGGGTGTGTTTCCCTTTAAAAGTTCTTGGCAATTACAAATTATTTTGAACTATCATGTGAGGTAGTGGCTGCTATGGAAACTGCATTAATACATGAAGCTTGCAAAGCCTGTCACCACATCAGATGTTGCTGCCCTTTGGCTATGCTAACTTACTCATCTGTTTTTTTGAAAAATATTTCTCTCTTTCTTCTTTTTCTTTTTTTCCCCAAGCACAAGCACACTATGTTTATAATCCAAGACATCTCATTTTGAACAGACTCATCCTTATGAAATTCATTAAATGACTTGGAACAAAAGATTCTAGTGAAAATATGACCTGGGAAAATAATAAATTAAAACATATATGCATAGTGTTCATTTCGTATTTCTGTGGCTCAAACAAAATGTGAAAAGAAGCTAAAAAAGAAAAACTAAATTCATGAGGTAGGATTATGTTTATATGATAATTGCAAAGAAAAATAATGCATGAGTTCAAGTATAATAATTTTATTCTAATAATAAAGATATTTACTATGTCAGTTTTGACCAACACTATACATTTAACCTTTGCATTATTTTGTGAAATATTAGCACTCATAGGCATTAATGAATCTTAAAAAAGCAGTCATTACTTTTAGATTTATCAATTATCTATTTTATACGTGTATATATAAATATATAATATGTATATATGTGTGTATATATACATATATGTGTATGTATATATATATATATAAAATGTACATAGTATCTGTAAATAGTTGCCACCTATATTCCAAAGTTTCATATTTCATATTTTGAATACAGGGTCTCTGTGTCCCAAATGGGACTCAACTGTCTTGAAATTGCCCTTGTTCCATCCAAAGAAATAGTGGAGATTTAGATTCAATAATTATATAAACCAGAAGTACTTACTTCCTCCTGTTTTCACTATTCTTTGGCAAATACATAAAACCTAATTTTTTTGCCAGATATCTTACTTACCACCTTGTGAGGACTATATATTTGAAATGGCAACAGTCTATATATTTTTCTTGCTGCCAATTTATAGGTTATTATGACCTGCTGGTATTCCTTTATTTGAATTTAACTAATTAATCACAAGTGGGATTTTTTCCATATGCTCATTAGTTATTTATATAACTTCCATAAAATATTTATTCATAAATTTGGTCATTTTGCTTAATGATTTATATTACTTATATGTAAAAGGAAATAAACTTTTAAATAGTGTAGAAAGTATTAATGGGTTTGATATATGAAAATTTTAAATTTTTATGTAGTAGGCAAATCTATCATCTTCATGATGTATTACAATGATCTTATGCTTAGAAAGTCTCCCAACTGCATACAGTACATATTCATATGCATTTCATAGTTTCAGTTGTTACTTTAAACTTTCCATCAAGTTTCTATATATTTTGAATGTAACACAAACTGATAATTGGGCTTTTTTCAAAATAAATAATTTTCCAAACACAACGTTAGAAATAATACATCCTTTCCTATGGATTTATGATATTTTAAATCTTATATTAAGATTCTAACATTGGTTCCAGAGCTATCCCTTATCTTTCCCTAGATTCTTAAGCCACCACCACATTGTGTTAATTTTATAATGTTAAAATAAATGTTGATTATCTGATAACATAATTCACTTTTGAACATGATTTGCAATTCTCATTTGTTTAATTTTCCAGGTAAATCTAATAAGTCCTTACTCCCAATCAAAATTCTCAACGCTCTTTCTTTTCTGTTTCATTTCATTTGATTTATTTACTCTGCCTTTGTCTTAGGCCATTCTTGTATTTTTATAAAGAAATACCTGAGACTGGGTAACTTATAAGAAAAGAGGTTTAATTGGTTCACAGTTCTGCAGGCTGTACAGGAAGCATAGCGGCATCTGCTTCTGGGGTGGCCTCAGGGAGCTTTTACTCATGGCAGAAGGTGAAGCGGGGTCAAGCACATGTAGGATGAGAACAGAGCAAAAAAGAGAGGGGGAATGTACCACACACTTTTAAGCGACCACATCTTGTGAGAACTCACTCACTCTCACTAGGACAGTACCAAGAAGAAGGTGTTAAACTATTTCATGAGAAATCTGTTCCTATGATTCAGTCACCTCCTACCAGGCCTCACCTCCAACATTGGGGTGAAAACATGAGATCTGGGTGGGACAAATATACAAACTGTATCAGTCTTGTAGTTAATGTTTATCTTAAGCTTCAAAGAAGTCATTGTTTTATCAAAAATATTGAGTATTGAGAGCAGAACTTACAGATTTTTTTTTTTTTTTCGCACAGGGCACTGTGAATGAATAAAAGTTAACTTAATCTCTTTATTTGGAAGACACTGGGGAAGTCACTCTTGAATAGATGCAAGTTTGGACATTGAATACAGAATTTTTTTAAAGCAGGGTGGTGATAGTGGTAGCAATAAAGAATCGATAACTCATGCAGAGACAACATAAGATGTTTAACTGAAAAGTTAATTTACATTAGTAAACTGCAGTAATCTCAGCCTCAAGAATAAACAATTTATTTACCTTGGGAAATTTGCTTTGAATATGAAAAAGTAATGTAGGAACATTTCTCAAAAAGCATTCTACCCTAGAATGTTCTCTGCCAAACCACTTCCTACCCCGCCCCCACGAAATCACACTCACATCGTAGAAAAGATTTGCGCTGGTTAAAGTTACTAGCAAATTCCAGTAACTACTGTGCTTCATTTTCTTATTCACAGATTTAAACAGAGTTATAAGAATTACAAGACCAATGTAATTATGGTTTAAGAGATTAAATGGAGGAAGGAAGTTGTCATTTCAAGAAAGGACCTGTATATGAGATAGTGAAATATCACAGATAAGCTAAGATTTGAAAGCCCAGTTCCCTTATGTACTGGTGGTTTCATGATGGACAATTGCTTAATCAAGCTAATTTTGGTTTTCTCATTTGTAAAATTGATAGTAATAATGTTTTGTAAGGAATGTAAAAAAGACTAAAGGAAATAATGGAATGATTTACAAAGTAGGAATGATGCTTAAAATGTAGTAGTAATAAATGTTAATAATTATTATGTAGTATGATTACTGGGCAAGTTTTAAGAATGAAAACTCTCCCTAACACTTGGAAGTAAGCAAACTACCATTGTCCAATGTAAAAATTACAGAAGAGCTCCCAGACACTAAAGGGAAGATATAACTATAATCAGGACAGAGACAAACCTAGCTGCTCCTTCTAAGAACTCTATTCATATACTTATAGACAGACCACCATTAAAACACCAAGAGTCCTGTAAAGGAGTCTTATAAATGGTCCTCCACTATCTGGACCTTTGACTAAATTAAACTGTTTCAACAGTGGCAATGTGGCTGATTATTTTTGAAACAAAAGGCCCTGAAAATAATAGCAACCAAAGGAGTACATATGAAAGATCATTAATTGTATTGAAGGAAGCCAAGGAGAATTATACATAAGTGATGATTTTAGATGTACAGCCAAGAAGATTAAGGCTTAAAGAAAAATTAAGAAGAAAAAGTAATTCAACTGCCAACAAAAATATCTTCAGTTAATTTGAAGAAATATGTTTTCCACACTGGGAATGTCTAAAAGCTACATTATTTAAAAATTATTCAAAAAATGTGTCACAAGTCCCATAGCTCAGCATGTATTATGGACTATGAAAGAAACAAAAAGATCTGAAAGTAATAACCAATCAGATGATTAGGAGAGATAAGTGGAAAAATTAAAACATATTTTAAAACCCAAGAAAGAAGCTAGCTCTGATAATCTGATTAAAACCCAGAAGAAAAACACTGCTGTGGCCATTTATCCCTAGTGACACGGCAGAAGTAGATGGAATAATTTCTGAACAGATTGTTAGCAAAAAGTCCACTCAGAAGATATATATTGTGCTACAGAGTTTTCAGATAAGTTATCAAGACTCAGAAGGGAAATTTATAACTCTACTAAGAGAATCAGATAATTATCAGAGTAAGACAACATCCTGAAAGAGATAAGAGGTGGAAAATATATACGAGTCTATGTTCCTTAGTTCTAAATTTACTCTAGTAGGTAACAATTACTGTTGAAAAGAGTACAGTACATTGAAAAATGTACATATATGGGGAACTTCATTTTCTGTAGAACTGACAACTCTATTCTAAAAGATGACTAGTAATTTTAAAAAGCACTTTAAAAAATTTAAGGCAATTTTAGGTTAAAATTAAGGAAATAATTTTCCATAAAATGTGAACAGTAAATTCCTGGACAGGACACCTCATCAGATGATCTTTCACGAATCTGTGAACTCCTTTGAGGTCCAAGGGAGTTATTGAGATTGGCTTTGTGGCATTTCCATTCAAACACATTTTATTGCAGAATAAGATGCTGAGAAGCACAGCTTAAAGAAAAAAAATAAGAAAAAAGAAAAATAGTGCATTCATTCATTCATTTTATCACTCACTTAGTAGACACTTATTGAGTGCTACTATATGCCAGTCAGTGTGATCTAGGTGCTGGTGATAAAATAATTAATTACACTGTCAACATCCCCTCACATTTTTACATCATAACAGTCACAAAACATGTGACAGCATACAAATTAAGTTATAATATTATGGAATAATAGGTGCTATGAAAATATATAGTGTTGTTACCCACAACGTCAAACAATACTCAGGAGGTACAGAGTATTTCAGAAAAAGCAGGCCAATGTAAACAATCCCCGTGAATGTTGATTCAATTCCTATGGTAACTCGGCAGCACTTCCTGAGCAGTCCGTGCTGCAGATTCTGTGGTGTTCTGCCCAGGGCTGACTTACCCATCTCCAAGCTGTTGCGGAAATAGGCTTCTGACATTTCATAGTGTGCCTCACTCAAGGTTATGCCCTCTGCCAGCAAGCATAATGAATGGCTGATGGGGAATAAATACACAGGCTCAGTCCCTCACCTCAATTTAAAACAACTCTAGAAGTTCATTCAGCTCTAGGGCTCCAAGTAGGATAAGCTGAGGCCTCACTTGTAACTGCAATGTGAGTCAGCTTCTCCCTCTGTCCAGTCTTGCCTCCATCTTCACTTCCTTTAGGTATATTTCCTGAGGGCATTCTCCAATAAACCTTCTACCTGGAATTCTCTGTTTCTAGAAGATCCAGTCTAAGGCACTGAGATAAACTGGAGGGATTCAAGTGCTTTCATATGGAGCCTGGGGAAAATTTGAAACAGTTTTCATATGCAAGGTAATACAGCACAAAGTTTAGAAGGAAATTTAGATACTAAATACATGTAAAATTTGCAAAAAAGAATTGTTGAAAACCTTTAATGAGAAACTTGAGCTTATATCTGTTTAAAAATTGGATTTTATGCTTGAAAGGGCTACACACAGCTCCTTATCAAGACTTTTTAATTACATTTTCAAATTCTTAATAGTCACCATCAATAAAAATCTGCTTATACAGACATGGACAAATCATTTAAACACATTTTACAACCATTCAAAAATTTGGGACTTGTAACCTGTACAGACCTGGTGGACTGAACAAAGGGGGGCGAACACAGGAATCAAAGGCAAGAGACAAGAGTATATTTGTAAGAAGGGGTCGGGGGGCACCTTGCCTCTAGTGCACAAGGGCCCTGAGATTTACACAGCCCTCCATATTTATTAGGCAAAAGAGATCGGGGTGGGGGGTGTGATTGTTGGGTAATTGTCAGTCAGCAATTTGGTTCACAGCAGGCAAGACTGCATCCTTTGGATAATAGGTGCTAGATTTCTCAGTAGATAACTTCAAGGAGCCGGGTGCCAGGGAGTGATGTCCCTCAGCAAACCTTTTGGTGGCAGGGCAGTGTGAGTTTGCCCACATCCTGCATTCATGATAAACAGTTTGCTGTTTAATCATATCCTCCAGTGGACTACTGAGTTGGTCACATCCTACGGGCCTTCGGCTCCCTGCAGGGACTATTGAAGTTATATACATAGAAAGAATCCTACAGATCTTTCTTTCATTAATAATCTAATGATAGCATTTCTTGTGATAGTTATAATAGATTTCAAATCCATTTAAACTTTTTGAAATGAAGAATTTCAAATAATGGTAAATCTTTCATTTGTAGAACACACATAACATTGCTAGGGCTATGACGCAGCTACTAGCTTGGATGACTCTAAAATGCACCTGAATTGTAAAATGGACAGAACCCTCAGATATACGTGCAGACAGTTTTGCCCTTGACTTTGATCTGCACACCATACTCTTTGGGCACATGGAACATCCACAGTGGCTACTATATGGATGTCCAGTTGATAAGAGTATTTCTTTCCTTATAGTAGAGCAGTAAGTGCTGGATGTTTCTCCAGTTCACTGCTTGCAGAGACTTTGGACACACTGTCAAGTGGCACTCAAAAGTGCCACTGTCTGACGCACTGAGGAAGAAAGACTTGAGGCTCTAGAGACTATTCCAGACCCCACCCTGAGGATTTAAGTGATTTGTGTAGTGTGTCACATCTTGAACCCTCTTATAGCAGATCACTATGTGCTGCATACAAATTGGGTAGATCAGGAATACACTTCTACGAGTGTCAACTCAAATAACCAAGAGAGAATCCCAGGGAAAGATGTAAATATTAAGCACTGTAATTGGGATAAAGGAACTGAGATTGATTGTCCTGGCAATATACATATACAAAGTCAACGGAAGCTGGAAAACAGATGAACCTGTGGTAACTTGCTGAACAGAGCTGAGAAAGAAGACTACTCAGGCAGCAGTGGAGAGATTTGAGAATCCCCTAGATTTAAAGCAGAGAACCATCGAAATAGTCAGCAATAGGCAACACCATGTGTCTGTGAGCTAGGAGACAAGGGCAAGAAGCTAAAATGGAAAACTGAGAGAAACTGTTTGCAAAGCAGTTTGATCTCTAGTTCCACTTCTCCACTATCCCACTGGTCAGAGGACAAGGGATTTATTTCCTGGAGAAAGTATGACTGAGGGTCTTTGGCATGGGGATCAATCAACACTGATGATAGTGCTGCTATCCCACAGAAAATAGGGGATACAGTGACCAGATGTACATTATAGGTTGGGCTGAAATCTCCAGGCTTCTTTCTCCACTGAACTCTGAGAATACTTACAGCCAAACCTTTAGCCACCTGGCAGAAGACTGGCGGAGAACATTCTAGGAAATCTGACCAACTTAAGGGAAAAAAACTAAAGACACTAACCCATATGGTTCATCCACCAGCCATCTTTCTGCAGTGTTCAAAACCCCAACACTCAAACTCAATGTTTCCACTCAGATTTTAGGCTGTCTCCTTCTTTCATCTCTTTTGACTCAGTCCTGATCAGTTTTTATTCCTCTTCAGAGCAGTTCCTCTGAGTGCAGAACTCTGTTCTAGGAGGACGTTCTGCCAGGTCAATTTTTAGAGTGCATAAGGCGAGACTGCTCAAGCCCCTTCAATTTCTCCTTTCCACTCTCCCCAAAATTGTGGAGGGCATAGCCCTTCCTGTTCTCGAACTTGCCTGCTAAGCTTTATAATGAGTAGGTGTTGGCTATTTTGTGGGGTATTCTTTTCAGGTAAGTCAGAGGCTGTTCCCCTCTTCTTGTTTCCGTGGAAACACCAGTCCCATGCCGATCTTGACATTGTTAGAAATTTGTCCCCACCTGCTTCTGTTTGGGGATTCAAGGGGCACATTGTCCCTGAATTTTGTAGTAAATCTTTCCCATAGGGTTTTGATTTGTTTGTTTTTATGTAGGAATTCAAAACAATTTAAAAAGCTATGCTGCTATTGTTGCCATGTCCCTGGAATATGCCCTGTACCATTATTATTATTATTTGTTATAGTCAGGTTTATTGAGGTATAATTTACATACAGTAAAATTCATCCTTTTAAGGTGTGCAGTGAGACGAGTTTGGGCAATTATATAACTACCACCCAATCATAATGTAAAACATTTCCATCATCCAAAAATCTTCTCTCAAGCCATTTAGTAGTCAGTCTTTTTTGCCCACCTTAAGCCCCTTGGCAACAGCTACTCGGATTTCTGTCCCTGTAGTTTTGCTTTTATCAGAATGTCATATAAATGGAAGCATACAGTACATAGCCTTTTGTGTTTGGCTTCTTTCACTTAGTATAATGCTTTTGAAATTCATCGGTTTTATTGCAGGTGTTAGTAGTTCATTTCTACTTTTTGCTGAGCCGTATTCCATTGTATGGGCACCTCACAATTTGTTTATTCATTCACTTGGAGATGGACATTTGGGTGGTTTCATGTTTTTGGTTGTTAGGAACAAAATTGTTAAAAACATTTACACGCTGGTCTTTCTGTGGATATATTTCTTTTGGGTAAATATTTTGGAGTAGAATTGCTAGGTTGTATGGTAAATATATATATATATTATATCTTTATAGGAATCTGCCAAACTTGTTTCTTAAAGTGGTTCTACTATTTTTCATTCTTTCAATGTGCTCTCCTTTTTAACCTGATATAGTAACTGTAGCATATGTATCACTGAAAGTAAATCTATGAAAAACAATGTTATGAGGTTAAGGAAACAGAAATCCAATCCAGGAGAAATGTGAAGAAAATTCCAAGGATATCAGCAAAATTATTTCCATATGACACGTGTGTCTTTGGTCTAGAGAATGGTCAGTCTAAAAGCATTAAAATGGTGGTCTCCAGAAGGGATATCTCCAAGAAAAAAAAATAGTATCATGAGAGAGCCTGATGAGGTTGACTTTTTGAAAATTTGCTTATAGAGATTATTGGAAACTGTGGCAAGAATTTGGAGTGGATAAAAAGAAACTGAAGCAATAGAAAACAGAATCAAAGTCATTATTTACTCAAGGAAAAGGAAAAACCAGGAAGGGAAATATAATCATAGTGCACTACAATTCTCGGCTTTGAAGAACACTTTCACAGGCATAATAATGGAAACGTCAAATACTGATTTTACCCAAAATTATGAGATAATTAATTAGACATACACACTGGGTACAAGAAAGAGGAGAAATGGAGATGTTGTTGATGTAAGAAAATTAAATCCTTGTTTGTCATAAAAGGTACTCGGTGGCTAATATGTAAAATTAATAGCAGTCTGCACACATTTCACTTGAGAGACACAAATGCAAAAGAAACATTTAGAAGGTCAAATTTGGTTGGCTCAGGGGAGGCAAAGTAGGAGAAGTTGGGAGTCATAGGACAGGGAACCATCCTATATAATAATACTATTTGCCTTTGTGTGTATGTATCATGTTATAAAAATAAATAATTTTTAAGTAAAAATAAAAGGGTATCACGTGCAAGTTCACAGTCCTGGGACCAAATCAGTGAATACAGTATTTATGTCTAATTAGAATAATTGTCCATTCATTGAAAATTATGCGTATTTTCTTTTTAGGAGACACATAATGCTGTGATCTGTATGCAAAGCTCCCTTAAGATAAAATGCATTGTATTTCCTGATCTTAGGAACACTCAGTCAGCCACAGGTGATTGGAAAAATAACTGACTAATTCATTGTTTGGCCAGACTAGTCATAAACTCTCCCAATAATGTGAGTTGAGATAAAGACTTTGAAGTAAGTTAACAAAGAGACTGAGGCTGCTACTTTGGATCAAGCAGAGATTTATTAGGAAGAAGAGAAAGCTAGACTACAGAAAGAAGTAAAGCAGCATATACCAAAGGAAAAGACCCAAAAAGCAAAACAGAGATAAAACTAATCTCAAAATGGCTTTTGTCTCTTATTTTCTGGAGGACTTGATGAACCCAGTTCCCATATTTGATATATATCAGATCAGGGTCCTGAAATTAATCCCAATAAACACTGTTATTCTTTACCATGCCACATTCCCCACATTTATCAACATTTAAGAGATCCCAAAGAGAATCTTTGATAAGCAGAGAGGCAAATTCAGTTAGGAAACTTGCCCAATGATAAGAAAGTGACAGAGATTCCTGACCAACTTTTAAACCGGGTCCTCTGAGCCCAGTGGGGCCTCTCCTTGTGTGGAACCTCCCAGAGCTCAAATTTAGCAAGAATCTCTCTAAGTAGGTTTAGTCAAAATACCCCATCCTTGATGTCTAATTCCCCTTGATATCTGACCAAATTCCTCATCCCCCATCATCCCGCAGGTGATATCTGATCACACTGGCCTATCTTCAGCAAGAATCCTGTTAGGTCACTATATCCAGAATGTCCTCCTGTCCCTGATGTTTTCTCTTAATAGTTTTCCATCCACTGAGCTCCATCCTGCTCCTTGGCTATAAATTCTCACTTTTCCTTGTATTTTGAATTGAGTCTACTTCTATACTGAGGTGTCTTTTTCCTTATTGCAATAGTGTTTGAGTAAAATCTGTTTTATCTGCTTTAACTCCCACCAGTCTCTGGTTTTTTCTTTAACATTTATGGTAAAACAACTTGGATAGTATCAGATTCATCTTTGGACTCCTGAACTTCTCACTTGGGACCCAAATGTGCACATTTGAAGTCTTTGTTTTCACTCCTGACTGACCAACCAGGGATCCATTGATGAGTCTGACTTCTGAACCAGTGCTCCAGATGTCCCTTGAAGCACACAGTTAGGACAGATTTCTATTCTTAACATCGTGAGTATACTTCAGAAGCTGTGGGTAGAGCCCTTGATTTTTCTGTTTGTAAGAAGCTGTATTAGAGTCCTGGGCAAAGTGAAGTTGAATTAGAATCCTAGACTTGTCTCTGCAAGAAACAGAACCTGGGCTGTGTGTGGTGGGGCATGCCTGGAATCCCAGCTATTCAGGAGGCTAAAGTGGGAGGAGGGCTTGAGCCCAGGAGTTCTGGGCTGTAGTGAGCTGTGCTCATCGGGTGCCGCACTAAGTTTGGCATCAATATGGTGACCTCTCAGGAGCCAGGGACTACCAGGTTGCCTAAGGAGAGGTGAACTGGCCAAGTTCAGAAATGGAACTGGTTAAAACTCCTGTGATCAAGAACAGAAGCCAGATCAGAGTTGCAGTCTTCTCTATTCATAAGTGTAGAGGTACCATTACTTAAGAACATGGGAGCTTCTCAGTTGACTGGAAACTCCCTTCTAGAACCCCTGCTGAATTGTGCTCCACCAACTCTCTCTGCTTTCTTTCTTGTTAGCATGATTGTACTAAGGATAATATGGAGCTTCAGTGGCCTCTTTGGGAAACTTAAGTTCTCCTGACACTGGTGGCTTCTCTAAGCCCTCTACCCCTCCCATTGCATTCACAACTCCTTTATCCTTGTACCACCCTTGACCATCCCATCAGCTCCCTTGAATCCTTCAGTGTGTCCACTTCAAATCTTTGCCTTCCCTATCCCCGCTGTCCACGCTGCCAGACTTTTGACTTCCCACTTCAGCCCCCCAGTCACTTGAACTTCAGTCCCTCTGCCCTCAGTGGGAACTTTGAAGGGTCTCTGGACCTCCAAAAGCAAATTTCTGAGGTTGGAAAGAGAAAGACAGAAAAAGGGCTATTAATAATTGGAAAAAGAAAATTGAGTCCACAGCCTCCATCAGATTATATATTAGGGCAAATGAAAAATCTTAAATGTCTCCCCTACAGATATTGGTAAAAAGCATTAGGCCTCATGTTGAGTAGGTGAAGTTAAATTGCTCCATCTGTCAGAAACACATTTCAGATAAAAATACAAAGTGGAGTAAAGAGGGGCAAAGTATTCATTTAAACCAGTGAGTTTTGTCTTGGTATCTTTAACTCATGGCTAAAATTTTAGAATGAAAGCTATAAGATTTTTGTTTTGTGTCTGTCTGTCTGTATGTTTATGTATGTCTAAACATGTATGTTATATACACATAACATTTTCTTACCTCTGGATGGTATTACCAAATTAATTTATAAAATCTGTTAAAGGAGTTCTATTCAATTTGGCATAGAGATGAATGAGCACTTGTATAAATTGAATACTCATTAAACTCCTAGAAATATAGAAACTAATTCAAATTCACATGACTTGAGTAAATCTTTGGTAAATAAGATTAGTTTAATATGTTGATTTAATAAGAACAGTCTTTTGAGTTTTCAGTATTATATGTGAGTAAACATTTTTATTCTACTTAGGTTTAGTAGTCAAATAATGTAAAAATAACAGAGAAACAACTCGAAATGATGGCTAGTTATGTTTATTCTTATAGTATGACGGCCTAAAAACAGTTGCCAAAATCCTTTTGGTGGCTTGCAGCCTTAGAGTTATGCAATAGATATTCATTGAGAATTTCTAAGTAGGATAAAGTACTGAAACACACACTACTAAGCATAAGTTTGAGTCCATATGCTTTTAGCTTTTTATCTTTATATGATATAGAGAGATCAAATACATCTGAGTCTGTTAATGAAAAATTATACTATCAGAAAGCATATGCCTTCAAAAATAGTGAAATAATATGTTAATAAATTTGCTAGCCTGCTACAGAATACTTGTATGTGACAGACAATTCACAATGTATCCTTCCTAGTTTTCTCTGTAAAAGGAGGTTACTAATGGTTAAAAATTATAATCAATATTTGGAAATAAAGCTACCAGAAACAATAAAGGTGAAGAGAAACAATTTGGTATGCAAAATATGCAAGAAAAATGGGATGTGTTTTTGATTAAAAAAGGTATGAAGTAAGCAGAATGTGTTTTTGTTAAATGAAACACAAGTTTTTTATTCTAAAATAGAATGGCTCGTTGTTCCAGAATGAGAAAGAAGAAAATGTAGGAGAAAGCAAATCTTTAATGGATATAAAAATTGTAGAAGTTTTGTGGTAAAGGAATTTTTAAAAAGGAATTTTATGTGTGGTCAAATTGGCTAAAGATTTGAATGGATTTATTTATAAGTTTGTTTTTTTAAAAAAACTTTAATACCAAAAGCATATTGATGAAAAATTAAAATGACAAAGTTTTCTTGGATTATTGGTCTGTTCTTAGTAACAGATTGTTAAAGGCTTTTTTTGGGGGGTGGTGCGGAATTGCTGTGCTTTATGTCTTATGACGTCTTTTTTTTTTTTTTTTTTTTTTTTTGAGACAGTCTTGCTCTGTTGCCCAGGCTTGAGTGCAGTGGCTGGATCTCGGCTCACTGCAACCTCCGCCTCCCAGGTTCAAACAATTCTCGTGCCTCAGCCTCCCAGGTAGCCGAGTAGCTAGGACGTGCACCATCATGCCTGACTAATTTTTGTATTTTTATTAGAGACGGGATTTCCCTATGTTGGTCAGGCTGGTGTCAAGCTCCTGGCCTCATGTGATCTGCTCGCCTCTGCCTCCCTAAGTGCTGGAATTACAGATGTGAGCCGCTTTGCTTGGCCATTATCATGTTTTCTTTGTTTTTTAATTTAATTTAATTCTAAGTTCTGGAATACACTTGCAGGACATGCAGGTTTGTTACATAGGTAAACGTGTACCATGGTGGTTTGCTGCACTTATCAACCCATCACCCAGGTGTTAAGCCCCTCATGCCTTTTAATTAAGAGAACTGACATGTCTCAGTTTTAAAAGAGTTAAGGTTTTTTACATTTTTACAATTTTGCCTTCCCAAAATCAAATCCTAAACGAAATCTTGTTGTAGAACTGACTGAGATTTACTTGTGGGTCCCTTGTAAAGAGAAATGTTAAAAATAATTAGGTTTATTTAATATGTTAAATTGCATGGGGAACATTGTAAAACAAGAAGCGATGTTTCACTTTTCCTATGTTATATGTATATGGGTAAATACTATTAATATACATATTTCAGAAATTCTATAAAGTTCATAGAAATTTGTCACTACCTTTGCCATTCATATTTCCTGGTATAATGTTATCATCAGTCATAATTCGTTATTTTTAAAAATGTTGTATGTAACAGAAATAACCAAATTTCCTTCTCAAATTAATTCCTTTTTTTCTTTTCTTTTCTTTTTTTTTTTTTTGTGAGATGAAGTCTCGCTTTGTTGCCAAGGCTGGAGTGCAGTGGCGTGATCTCAGCTCACTGCAGCATTTACCACCCATGCTCAAGCAATCCTCCCACTCAGCCTCCCGAGTAGCTGGGATTACAGGCGTCCACCACCATGCCTGGCTAATTTTTGTATTTTTTGTAGAGATGGGGTTTTGCCATGTTGGCCAAGCTGGTCTCCAATTCCTGAGCTCAAGCAATACCCACCTCCTCAGTCTCCCAAAGTGCTGGGATTACAGGCCTGAGCCACTGCACCCAGTTGTCAAATTAATTCCTATAAAATCTTTAATCATGGTCATATAAAATATTTCTCATCCGTATAGTTTTTGTTTCACTCTGATTCTTCTCTGAAAGCATTTGTAACCAGCTATTGCCCAGAATGATTCCTGATGTCATTGCTTAAACAACTTTGAGACCATTTCACTGGACTGAGTAAGGATTTGCCAAACATTAGTGGAGAAATTGATAGGTTTTAATGAAACTGCAAACCTAAGATCAAGCAGAATGGTTTTTGTTTTGGAACATAGCTGTTTTTAAATGTTTTATTTTCCATATTTAAGGAACCCTTTTCTCTTGCTACACTTTTGTAAATAGAAATGGAACAGTTATCTTTCTCCCTACTGATGCCTCCAGAATTTGGAAACTCATTGAATTTTCTTATTTTCATGGCCATTCGTTATTGGCATAAGTTTAATAAGAATCTGTTCTTCTTGTAATAGGACATAATTGGGAACATTGGTTATGTTACCAAGGTTTTAACTGGAATGCCATATTTGAGAATTATGTGCATGGAATCTGGTTTAAGGAACTAAAGTTGACTTTATGAAGCCAAGATTTACAATGGTCTCTTTGAAAAGCTACCCTGGTACCTGGGTTACAAGATTCCCAGCATCAGAGGTGAATAAGGAAAGTCATTTACTGGCAGCACCAGGAATATTGAAATATCTTGGGGACCTCAAGAAGAGAGGAATTCACCCAAATCTATAGGTCCAAAGTTAAGTCTGTTGGTGAGTTCTTGGCTTGGCTTCTTAGCCTCAAGAGACTTCTAAAAGTCTAATCTGAGATTCCTGATGAAACTTTCAGCAAAACAAACTCAAAAAGGCATGTGTGATCAGGTACCATTTTTGCTGCACATATGTAATTAATCAGGCCAAATCTAATGAGACTAGGCATATTTTGTCAACAAGAATCAAAATGGAAGTAACTGTAGAGATAAATTTTATGTATTGATAAAAACCTATAGTGTACCCTTGTGGGTTCTCAATTCTTCTGGTTTCCTCTGACGTGGCTACAATTCTGAAAACTAAAGTTTCCAATTTTTCTCCCAGCCTCCTGACTTGGAGTTACTAAGAAATAAAACTGCTCTTTTCTGAAGCTGGGTGATTTAATATAAACTTTGAAGAAATCACTGCAATAGATCATGTACGGGCAAACCTTGTGCCTGCTTCTGTGTGAGCCACTCAGAAAGTTCATCAGAACTCCTGATGCCATCACCAAAGACATTCAAAACACAGACAAGGACATCTGTGGGACTGCCACTTTCGTCCTTGAGAAAAACATTTAGAAATTTTCTCAATTGGCTGGTCCCTGGACTCAAACGAAGTTTCCAACTACTTATCCTTGTTTTACTTTAATTTTCATAGAAATTCCTTTCATTGTATTCCTGACTGTTAGCACTATTCAGCAAATATCCTCTACTAGCAGCTTCCAAGAGATGGTTCAGCTAATCCTTAATGAATAAAAGGCAACCAAAAAAGAAATGCACTTACATTGTTCCAAGGAAAGAAGAATGTATCTTCTTCCCTTTAACAAGAGGAAGAACTGACATTGATTTTTCCCTGGACCAAATTTTAGTCGGCTGCTGTGAGCCCCACTAGGCCTTGTCCTTGGGAATATCCTCCAAGAGCCTAATTTTAGCAAGAATTCTGCTAAGTAAGTTCACCAGAACCCCCCACCCTTGATATCTAGTTACCCTCTAATCTGACCAAACTCTTCGTCCATACCATCCCTGAGTTGATGTCTGATCCCCTGGCCTGCCTTCAGCAAGAATCATAATAGGTGGGTTCAGCCAAAATCTATCTTTACCTCTGATGTGTTCCTCTTAATAATTTTCCATCTACCAACTACACGCTCTTTAACCATAAATTCCCACTTTTCCTTGTATTCATAATTTTGCCCAATTCTATACTGAGATATCTTTTCCCCTGTTGAAGTAGTTTCCAAGTAAATCCTGTTTTTACCACCTTAACTATTGTTAGGGTCTCATTTTTCTTTGACAAAGGGAACCAGCTGTACAGAGAGTCTAAGGAGAGAGATTCTTTAGGACTCTTTGGAAGAAATAATTTTGTTATGTAAAAGTAAAGTGGGGTGAAGAGTGGGAAATCTTGTGTTTCTGTTTTAGAAAAAAAAATTTCTGACTTTAGAATATATATTTTCTATTAGGTAGTCTGCTGTCTTGTATTTGGTTGATAACTTTGGTATTGGTTGTTTTAAACTAGAAATAAGATATGCCATGTAATTTTTTGCTTCTGAATTTATTTGTTAAAATTGATTCAACTATTGTCTCTGTGCAGGAGAAACAATGTAAATGGATTAAATGTTTTTTGAGGCACTGAAAAATGGTCATTGAGCCAATATATTAGTAAGATGGTGAGATGGTAATGGCATTGAGCTAGATCTTGGTGATAGAGTTCTGTGATTAATATAACCGCAATGGAAACACAGAAGCTAGTTTACAGATGGGTAGCAGAGGACACATACTTATAGAAAAATTCAATGGCAATTTGCCAACATCAAAGTCCAGGTACAGAATGACAATTATCCAATTAAGAAAGTATGTAGACAATGTTGGATCCATGTGAATGTTTCTAATGTTCGTGGCATTTGGATTGATGCCAGTGGAATTTGGCCCAGTAGGAACCAAGACTACGATTCAAGGAAATGATGTCTTAGGAGGATGAAATTGCAAAGGTAAAAGCCCCAGACAATTAGGCACCCTCATTCACAATGGGGACTTTCAGATATTTCCTAAATTTGCAGGAAAACAGGAAAGCTACTTTTCAAGAAGGGCAACATCCATGAGGATTTTATGTTGTATATCTTAGGTTAGCAGCATCTATTTAGCAATGGAGGCCTCTTTGGGTTATTGATTTATTTATTTTTATAATTTCTTATATAAATGAAAACAGAGAACATTTAGATTCTGTTTTCCAAATTATGTAACCCTCCTCCTGAAGCTTGGTACTGAGAAAAGCCATGACCCTACTTTTTCCCCATAATTAAAATCTGGCTCTAATTAAGTAAAAAGTAAAGCATTCTTTAATATGATTGCCTTAGTACCCTTAAGGCATTTCAGATTACTTAACACTAACGGTAAGACATAGATCTTGCTTGTAATACTAATGGTAAGACATGGATCTTGCTTGTGATCTTGCAGTTTGCTTGGACAAATTTTTTTTTTTTAATCTTCATCTTGTGAGGCCTCGGCAGGTTTTAATGAACATTTCTAATTCATACAGTTTGTCTCTTTTAACTACCTTCTGTAAACATCTGTAGCAGCTGGCAACTTTTTACACACTGAAAACACAGAAAAGGGGCTGGGTGCAGTGGCTCGTGCCTGTAATCCCAGCACTTTGGATTGCTTGAGCCCAGGGGTTTGAAACCAACCTGGGCAATATAGTGAGACCCCTGTCTCTACAAAAATTTTTTAAAAAATCAGGGCCGGGCATGGTGGCTCATGCCTGTAATGCCAGCATTTTGGGAGGCTGAGGTGAGCAGATCACTTGAACACAGGAGTTCAAGACCAGTCTGGGCAATACAGCCAAACCCCATCTTTACCAAATAAATAAATAAATAATAATAAGCCAGGTGTGGTGGTGCATGCCTGTAGTCCCAGCTACCAGAGAGGCTGAAGTGAGAGGGTCACCTGGGCCTGGAAGGTCAAGGCTTCAGTGAGCCATGATCATGCCACTGCACTCCATTCTGGACAATAGAGTGAGATCCTGTCTCAAAAAAAAAAAAAATTAGCTGGGCATGGTGGCACCTACTTGAGAGGCTGAGGCTGGAGGATCACTTGAGCCTGGGAGATCAAGGTAGTGCATCATTATTGTGCCACTGCACTCCAATCTGGGTGATAGAGTGAGATCCTGCATTGAAAAAGAAAAGAAAGAAAGAAAGAAAGAAAGAAAGAAAGGGAAAACTTTTGTTGTTAACGTTATATATATTGCACAAATAATATACATTCATTAGAAAAAATTAGAAAATAAAGCAAAAGAAGAAAACTCATCTATAATCAAAACACTGAGACAAGTAACTAATACCTTTTTGATGTGGAGTCTTCATACTTCTCATACATACATAACTACAAAATATGCACATATTTTAATTGTAAGTTGGAACAAAATCTGCTTTCATATAACTCAATCCTTTATCATGAACACATTTCCATTCCTTTTTGATATGTAAGTCTTCATTCTCAGTAATACACAGAATTCAAATAGTGGATTTATTACTTTTTTCACTTAAGCATCTATTAATGAATATTAGAGTTGTTCTTAATTTTTCACTAATGAAAGAACTCTACAATGACTATTCTCTTGAATATATCCTTGCCAACATGTGCAATTATTTCCTTATGATATAGTACTAGAAGTAGAATTTTTTGATCAAATTTTAAACGTTTTTTTGTTTATGCTATGAAATTACCTTTTAGAAATTTTGTACCGACTTCAATTCTAAAGAATGTTGGGGGAAACGACATAAAACATCTTACAGATCTAGGGCAAGTACGAAGATCTAAAAGAACTATCTCTTTGCAAAACATTATGCATTTTGATGTGTACTGTACATTAAATCAACTTTTTTTAATTCAAACATGCAAAAATTTACAGTTCTTTCAGATAAACTGCTCTCTCCTCTTCAACATTTGGCATAACAAGTACTTTGTGCAAATACTCTTCAAATTTTGAATGAAAGGGAAGAATCACAAATATGCTTTCTAAAAACCATTACTTCGAAGAAGAAATCAACCCCACAGAAATACAATCATAAGAGAATACTATAAACACCTCTATGCAAATAAACTGGAAAATCTAGAAGAAATGGATAAATTCCTGGACACATACACCCTTCCAAGACTGAACCAGGAAGAAGTCGAATCCCTGAATAGACCAATAACAAGTTCTGAAATTGAGGCAGTACTAAATAGCCTACCAACCAAAAGAAGCCCAGGACCAGATGGATTTACAGCTGAATTCTACCAGAGGTACAAAGAGGAGCTGGTATCATTTCTTTTGAAACTACTCTAAACAATTAAAAAGGGTGGACTCCTCCCTAACATTTTGAGGCCAGCATTATCCTAATACCAAAACCTGGCAGGGATACAATGAAACTTCAGGCCAATATCCCTAATGATCATTGATGTGAAAATCCTCAATAAAATACTGGCAAACAGAATCCACCAGCACATCAAAAGCTCATCTACCACGATCAAGTTGGCTTCAACCCGGGCTGCCAGGCTGGTTCAACATAAGCCAATCGATAAATATAAATCATCACATACATAGAACTAAAGACAAAAACCATGTGATTATCTCAATAGTCACAGAAAGGCCTTCAATAAAATTCAACATCTCTTCATGTTTAAAACTCTCAATAAACCAGGTATTGAAGGAACATACTTCAAAATAATGAAAGCTATTTATGACAAACCCACAGCCAATATCATATCGAATGGGCAAAAGCCAAAAGCATTCCCCTTGAAAACTGGCACAAGACAAGGATGCCCTCTCTCACTACTCTTATTCAACATATTATTGGAAGTTCTGGCTAGGGCAATCAGGCAAGAGAAAGAAATAAAGGGTATTCAAATAGGAAGAGAGGAAGTCAAATTGTCTTTGTTTACAGACGACATGATCCTATATCTAAAGAACCCCATTGTCTCAGCGCAAAAGCTTCTTAAGCTGATAAGCAACTTCAGCAAATTCTCAGGATATAAAATCAATGTGCAGAAATCACAAGCATTCCTTTACACGACAACAGACAAGCAGAGAGCCAAATCATGAATAAACTCCAATTTACAATTGCCTCAAAGACAATAAAATACAGAGGAATACAGCTAACAAGGGAAGTGAAGGCCTTTCCAAGGAGAACTACAAGGTGCTGCTCAAGGAAATCAGATAAAACACAGCAGATGGAAAAACATTCCATGCTCATGGATAGGAAGAATTAATACTTTGAAAATGGCCATACTTCCCAAAGCAATTTATAGATTCAATGCTATTCCCATTAAATTAACACTGACATTCTCCACAGAATTAGAAAAAAACTATTTACTAATTCATATGGAACCAAAAAAAGATTCATATAGCCAGGACAATCCTAAGAAAAAAGAACAAAGCTGGAGACATCACACTACCCAACTTCAAACTATACTACAGTGCTAAAGTAACCAAAACAGCATGGTGCTGGTACAAAAACAGGCACATAGACCAATGGAACAGAATAGAGAACTCAAAAATAAAACCACACATCTACAACCATCTGATCTTCTACAAACCTGACAAAAACAAGCAGTGGGAAAAGGAATCCCTATTTAACAAATGGTGCTGGGAAAAGTGGCTAGCCATCTGCAGAAAATTGAAACTGGACTCCTTCCTTATACCTTATACAAAAATGAACTCAAGGTGGATCAAAGACTTAAATGTAAAACCCAAAACTATAAAAACCCTAGAAAAAAATCTAGGCAATACCACTCAGGACATAGACATGGGGAAAGATTTTATTATGAAATCACCAAAAGCAATTGCAACAAAAGCAAAAATTGACAAATGGAATCTAAGTAAACTAAAGAGCTTCTGCAAAGCAAAAGAAACTATCAACAGAACGAACAGATAATCTACAGAATGAGAGAATATTTTTGTAATTTGTCCATCAGACAAAGGTCTAATATCCAGAATCTACAAGGAGCTTAAGCAAATTTACAAGAAAAAAATAAACAACCTCATTAAAAAGTGGGCAAAGGACATGAACAGACACTTTTCAAAGGAAGACATAAATGTGGCCAACAAACACATGAAAAAAATTTTAACATCACTGGTCATTAGAGAAATGCTAATCAAAACCACAGTAAGATACCATTTCACTCCAGTCAGAATGCCAATTATTAAAAAGTAAAGAAACAACAGATGCTGGAAAGGTTGAGGAGAAATAGGAACACTTTTACAGTGTTGGTGGGAATATAAATTAGTTCAACTATTGTGGAAGACGGTGTGGTGATTCCTCAATATTTTAGAACCAAAATACCATTTGACCCAGCAATCCCATTACTGGGTATATACCCAAAGGAATATAAATCTTCTATTATAAAGATACATGCATGTGTATGTTCATTGCAGCACTATTCCCAATAAAAATGACATAGAATCAACCTGAATGCCCATCAATGATAGACTGGATAAAGAAGATGTGGTACATACACACCATGGAATACTATGCAGCCATAAAAAGGAACAAGATCGGCCGGGCGCGGTGGCTCACGCTTGTAATCCCAGCACTTTGGGAGGCCGAGGCGGGCGGATCACGAGGTCAGGAGATCGAGACCATCCTGGCTAACACGGTGAAACCCCGTCTCTACTAAAAATACAAAAAAAATTAGCCGGGCGTGATGGTGGGCGCCTGTAGTCCCAGCTACTCGGGAGGCTGAGGCAGGAGAATGGCGTGAACCCGGGAGGCGGAGCTTGCAGTGAGCCGAGATTGCGCCACTGCACTCCCGCCTGGGCCACAGAGCGAGACTCCGTCTCAAAAAAAAAAAAAAAAAAAAAAAAAAGGAACAAGATCATGTCCCTTGCAGGAACATGGATGAATCTGGAAGCCATTAACCTCAGCAAATTAATGCAAGAACAGAAAACCAAACACCGCACGTTCTCACTTATAAGTGGGAGCTGAACAATGAAAACACATGGACACAGGGAGGGGAACAACACACAATGGAACCTGTTGTAGGAGGGCAGGGGGGCAGGGAGAGCATCAGGAAAAAGAGCTAATGCATTCTGGACTTAATACCTAGGTGATGGGATGATAGGTGCAGCAAACCACCATGACACATGTACAAACCTGCACATCCTGCACATGTACCCTGGAACTTAAAAAATAAAATAAAATAAAAAGAAGAAATAAGATTATACAGGACAAATTACTTGGAAACTTATTAAAATAAGGATACTTCAAAGAAAAAGCTATGAAATGCGACTAAAGTTATAGTTAGTTTTCAAATATACAAACCATTCAACTTAAGGAGTTAGGAAAAAACAATAAAAGAAAATTGCTATCAGTTAGAGACAACGTATGTTTTTGCTTCTAATTTAAATTAAAGCCAAGTAGAGAGTAACAATTTAATTGTTCCATATATATATAAATGAGAATTTATAAGTAAGGATTTAATAAATATAAAAGATAAAATGAATGAGGTATGAATGATCTAAAAAACAAAACCAATAGCATTTGTAAAGTTAACGTGAATAAAAAGAGCTGTTAGATGATTTTTAAAGAACGGGCTTGGCAGCCAATATTTATTTATGTTTGCCTGTTTCTGTGATATTTTTCTATATTGCAGAAAACAAAGGTCCTTCTACGACTAATGAAATTCAATATCAAGAACTGGAAACATCTGAAGTTTTACCCTTCTTGCAAGCTATCATGTTAGTCTGCCACTGCTTCATGGAAGCTGCCAGAAGACATGAGACTCTTAGGCTAGATATTAATGACTTTATTATTCAGAACAGCAAAAACCAGAGTATCAGCATTTGCATTGGTTCTGGAAGACACAAATCTACAGGATAATACAAAGAAGTCTGGGTAATACCTGCACACATAATGGGGTGGGGTACAAGAGAGGAATTCTAAACATAGGGTACCTGAATCTTTTAAAATGAGCAGTAATTCTATCTGGTCTTCACCCTAGAGAGAGACATTTTCTCTGTCATTTGCTATATAAACATCCTTCAAAAGATAATTTGAAATAAAGTCAGTGAGTGCCTTCATTTGCAAGATGTCCAGAAATGTGAGAGACCCATGGAAAACAGTCTCCTAGCAGAAAAAAAGAGAAGGAAGCACAATTAGTGAGTAAGCAGCTGATTTGTAGATTTGTAGGATTATAATAAAGCAGATTGAAATTTTTGCCTGCATTTTCCCAATATTATCCAGCTGAATCACCCACTTTGATGCTGAAGGCAGCTGAGGAAATAAGTAGTGGTTTCTTGCAATTCCTTACTTCCCAATTTCTTGAATCTAACAGATCTTTGCTGTCTCTTCCAAACCAGGTTTTCAAATTGTTTTGTAAGGTTATAGTTTGCTTTATTAATTTTTTCTGGCTTATTATATTTAGTGTGTCTTTCACTTTTCTGACCAAACTCTGGCTGATATGATAGATAATGTAAGGATGTGGTTCAGAAAACAGATTCTCGCAGATGGGAATCTGTGATTTGCCCTTGGAAGGCCATAGTGACCCCATCATCAGTGGAAAGTAGGATACTAGTAGTTGAAAGAAAACAATGGCAAACAACTTGTGTTTACAGAGGTACGAAATACTAAACCAGAAATAGGATTTGATCATGTGGTTTGCAAACGTAAAAGGAAAATTAAATTCTTAATTATGCCAGGGCTTCAATGTAAAAGTTGGGGTATTGATTAAGAAAGAGTAGAATTCCAGGAATTGGGATGAAAACTTTTTGATGAATTCCAAAAAGTCTGAGGACTTCAAACTGCCTACCTCATTGATCCTTAATTTCCATCAGAAACAGCCCATCTTTTCTGTTTGAGAACATCAGTCTTCCTTCACCTGAAGATTCTAAATGACCTCAATGATGTGTCCTCTTGTAAGGCAATGACAATTTTATTCAATACCTACTACCACTCATTGCTTCCAGATCTATAATTAGAGGATGAAAACAAGACAAGTTGGGAATAACTACAAAGTCTAATCCGAGGGATAGCACATACACGAAAACAGAAACATTATCTTTCAAATTTACCTTCACACAAACCAGGGGAGGAATGTAGGGAGGAATGACTGTAAACGTTTTGAAGCAGCACACACACACAAAAATACCATACCAGGTACCACATTAGATTACTGATATGGGTACCTTTACCGGAGATTCTGGTGTGACTGTGACCTCAAGCAGGTGGGAGTGGTTCTCGTAGTTTATTCAGTCTGTTGATTTAAATCTGAACATAGAAGTGACCTAAATTAAATAAGGTTGAGGTGCCAGAATGTCCTTAGTTTAATGTAGACTAATGAATCTAAAAGCTTAAGGAAATAGGAATGATGGAGGGTGTTTTCATGGGAAACTCACATATTTTCCATTATTGTGTCCCTGAGGAGGATTTAGAGAACACTTCCTTCACCAAAGCTTTAAGAGATACCAGGGAAGGCAGATCCAGCATTGTTGCAAAGGTAGTGGTGGCTGTTCTTTGCAGGCAAGGAAAGACTGTGACAGATTAAGCCTCTTACATGGACTCATTGATTTTAAAGAAATAAAAGATCTCAGAATGACAGAAGCCGAATAGTAGCACTACCAACTGCCAGACACAAGGAGGTTCAATTACCATAAAGGGAAGAAGGGTACAGCAGAGTGGCTTGGCTGGGTCTAGGACTTGATAGTTAAGCAGCCTACTAACATTTTGTATAATATATACTTGATCTGGATATTTGATTGAAAAATAAAACTATAGGTTTAGTGATTAGAGATCTGAATTGAGTCACTACAAAGCAGAGTCACAGCCTCTCACTGAAATGCCATATTTAATCTAGTACGTAGATCCAGAACTTTTTGAATGAAGAACAAGCAGATTCCCTTTGGGAGAACCCCAACAAAATTACCATGAGTAGGTACTACGAATAATCCTTTTAGCCTTCCATCAACTAAACTATGGCAATTTCCCAGGGGACACCATGCATTGAATAATGCAAATGGCCAGATTTCTAAGGCATTTTTGGACGTAAGTCCCAAACTGACCCTAAAACATGGAGCTTCAAACTGCTACGGCGAGACTGGTCTTATTGTGATCAGGCAATACGTGAGATTTTGGCTGCCAATAATGTCTATCATGTTGGAATGTGTACTAATGTCTATTAAGTTGTAATAGTCATACTCAGCAACTGACAGAGTCCCCACATTGGGTTTCTGCCCTTTAGAAGACAGCCACTATAATAGGAAGGGAAAAATAGAAGCCGAGGGAGTGCTTCTCTCTAGCAAAGCAATAAATGAAAATTAAGGCCAAATCAAGGGCAGTTGCAGACTACTGCCACTATCAAATATGTGAAAATGCAGAGTAAATTTTTAAATATCACATTCCTATTTAACTCAACTATTTGTTTTGTGAAGAAGACATACAGATCTTGCAGAATCTCTGTTGATTGTCATGAAATTAATCAGGTGGTGACTCTAATTTTGGTTGCTGTTCCAGATGTGGTATCTTTAATGGAGTAAATCAATTTAGCTCCTATTATCCAGTATATAGTTAATATTCGGGTATTTATCTGGAACTTTTTAATATAATTTGTGAAAAACAACAGAAAACAATTTGCTTTCATTTGGCAGAGACAGTAGTATGTCTTCATCATCTTACCTAAGGACTATATAAACTCTTTCTCTCTCACAATAGTTTCTACAGGAAACCATCACACAGGATATAAAGTAGGAGGCTTAGTAACAGAGATATCTAGTGAAAGTGTATGTGAAAGCTCACAAAAACATTCCAGAGAAGGCTTTCAATAATAGTTGTACACAACCCATTCTGTGCAAGTCAGTTTGCCTCTTTTCTTAGTCATTTCATCACTGGATTCATGAATAAAATGGCCATTATGAAGATGAAGTCTAAACAAAGATTTTTATTCTGAGAAAGCTCATGTGGCAATCATGACAGCCAAAGAATGAAACAACCAATAGTGTAGACCAAACCGAGGCCCTGATATAGAACCATTTCCTAGTGTGACAAGTGAGCCAGTCAGTGGCAGAATAATTACTTTGGACCCCCGCCATTCTGGAAGGGAAGAAAACATTGCCTTTAGAAAAGATAATTTGGATATAAATTTGTATTTCTTCCCCCACATTGCTTTCACCAGCATCACCACCTGCGTATAATACCTTATTCTCTCACTTGGTATCCCACATAATATGGCTTCGGACCAAAGAGCTCATTTTACAGTGAAAGTAGTCACTCATATCAGTGAGACTTACTGGTGCTACCATGTACCACATTGTCTGAAGATGCTGTCTTAATGAAATAGCCCGATGGTCTATTGAAGAAACAGTACGTCACCTGCTGGGAGGACAAGAAGAGCCAACACATACACATAAAAGCTTGCAAGTCCAAGGTATCTTCTGACAAGATGTACAATATATTCCAATAGCAATTGATAGCAATAATGACTAATAAATACATGATGCTGTTTCTACAATAGTCAGGACACATGGCTTTGAGAACGAAGGGGCTGGAGTGGGAATATTCCCTGCCCTGTTACCTCAACAATGCACCCAGTAAAAATTTTGTTTTCTCTTTCTGTAACTTTGAACTCTGCTGGATTATTGAGTTTAATTCTCACACACACACACACAAAAATGGTTCTATTCAACTGGAAACTGAGAATTCCATGGAACCACCTTGAGCTCCTTATACCACTGACTCAATGGACAAGGGAAGAGTTAAAGGTCTGAGATGATTGATTCTGATTATTAGGGGAAAATAGGGTTGCTAGGGTTGCTTTTACGCACTCTTAGCCATTACTACTAATGCCTATTGCTGCTGTTGCTACTGCTGCTGCTAATACTACTGGGAACACTTTAGGAATAATATTTAGTCACCCAACCAGGTAAAGAACTGCAACCAGACCAGAAATGCCAGCTGAGAGACAAGGGGCAAGAACTAGATACTGGAAGAAGGAAGTTGTAAAACCCAACTCCAACCTCATGGCTTGTTGCTATGTGTATTTTCAACTCTGCTTTGTTTACATATGTACATGATGGCAAATGTGGACTGAAACAAAAAGTTAAGATTAAAAAGATATTATTTGACTTGCATAAAACTGAATAAGTCTAAAAGAAACTAAATAATTAAGCCTTCAAACAATGTTGTTTTTAAAGTTTGTAGCATTTCCACTTCTGAAATTATTAAAGCTTAAACCCTCACTACGATTTTGGGGCTAACCTGTTTTCCTTGTGTATGTGTCTGAATTTATGCATATTAACCAAATGACATTTTTTCCTCTCTCTTACCTTACCATTGCATATATAATGTGTGCTGTTGCTGGTGGTGATCCTTCTAATTTAGTTGTAAAATATCAAAGAGGGATTTTATGGTAGGTATGCATATTTTCTTCCCTGCTTTGTTTTGCATATATTTTTATGAATAAATTAATTTTTCTCCTCCTTCTTTTTCTCTTTCCTGGGCAGGGGAAAATAAAGTTATTGACATATTTCCAAAACTTCCACTGGATGTCCTTGTTCATTTTCTCCCAAGATCTGCAGGAACAAATGCAAACATTGGCTACAGGAGAAGAAATATTCCACTCCTCACTTGAGGGAGCTGTAATCTGTTTTCCTGTTGCATCCTTTCCCTTAAATGTTTTTCCAGGGTGTTGCAGAGCCACAGAACCCTTGGTAATTTTGCCAAGAACAAATTGTGAAGTAGCTTCTGAACCCATTACCTACTAAGATTTTATTGTTCATCTTAATTTTACAAAATGTCCATTCTTGGCCAAAACATTCTCTTCCTTAAATAACAAGAGATTGTGTAAGTAATTCTTAGAAGGCTCAACTGTATAGACTCCCTTTGGCCAGAGGGGCAAATCCTGGATTGAGTTTTTGAAATATCTTTTTAAAAATTATTTATTGCATAACAAATTAAAGAGGGCCTATAAGTTTTTTTTTTTTTTTTTTTTTAACAGCTGTTGAGCTATTGCTCTTCTGTGATAAAATCCCGTAGAAGATTTAACCTGCTATGGATTTCTGGGAGGTCACAGGGCTAAGTAAACTCGGAATTTGGGGTAAGCTTTTTCAAACAAAGTCACTGAATAGATGTGGATGAGGAAAAAAGCTTGTGAAAGGCATCAGGCACTGCAAACAACAGCTGCAGCTGCAAACCGGAAAGCATTCATATCCCTGTGTGACAGTTTGCTCCTCAGCCTTCCTAGGATTAGGGTGTGCACGCAAACAACACAGATAACACGAGAAAGAGTCGTTTATATCCTTACAATGTTTGCATTTATGTGCACGAGGGTACAAAAGGTGACATAGAAACATATTTGAAACATTGCTCTGTGACTAAGAACTTAGTCTTATCATTAAAGTAATAAACTGTGTGAACTGCCCTAATTTATGCTAAATCTCTCAGAAGCACCAAGCAGCTCAGCTGTTGCTGCTAGACCTCAGCACCTTAAAGATTGGGGATTCCGTGCTCTCTGGTGACAACCCTTGAGGACAAAACAGGCCTATTGGAGAAAGCCATTTATCAGAGCCCTCCTTTGACACAGGGATGCAGGGTGTTTGGACTTCAGGGGACTGCTGTGGAGATGGAGGAGAAGGAGAGAAAGGATAAGTCTACCCTATGCTCTAGAGAAGAGACAGCTGGCTACATATTCTTTCCAACCACACTTGTTCCTACTGGTAGTGCAATCAGGAACAATCTCTAAAATCTATTGCTGCGTATCTAGTATCTGCTTTGAGACATGGAGTCTAATTTTTTGTTTGCTTGTTTACATAGTTTGATTTCTTTTCTAATCTGATGTTAAATAACATCTATAATTTTGCGCTTAAAGTGTAAATTATCACATAAAGAGAACAGTAACAGGATTTCACAAACACTTGTTGTTCTGTCTTATATCAAAATAATATAAAATACTAAGACCTTTATATTAGATATCAGTATGTAGACTCTCATTATTTTGGTATGTAATGTACATTTTAGAGCACCTACCATAAGAATATGATAAATCATGTTGAAATAAATGATTTTTAAGAGAAATTGACATATGATTTTAAGCTAAGTGTATTTCAATCATATTGTATTTTTTTTGCCTAAAATGTTTTATTTCCTTTGTCACCATAGTGAAAAATTATCAGCAAAATATATCTACTGTTATTATAACAACCATGAAAACATTTCCAAATTTATTTTGCCAATCTCTTTAAGGGGCAAAGAACATTCACATTTAAAATATGATGAAAACAAAGTTGCTTAGCTTTAAGTGAAAACTTAACCACTTCAAGAGCAATGATCATACAGAGTATGTTAAGAAGAACTTTTCACTGAGAGACAAAGAAGGATTTTGTCTTTCTAACTTAGTGAATCAAGGGACAGAAATGGAGAGAGAGGCAAAGAAGGATTTTGTCTTTCTAAATTAGTGAACCAAGGGATAAAAATGGAGATTTTAGAAGAGAAAGTCACACTAATTCTCTGCAATTGGAGGTTTCCCAGAAATACATCTGGGAAATGTATTTCCCAGGCCTGAGAGTCAACCTCTTGTAAGTCAGTGTTATATGGTGGTTACATCATCACCTCATCTTCATAGATGCAATAACTTGGTGGAAATTTGGGTATGATTAGATATTTTTCAATGAGTATTAGTCATGAAAATAACTTTTAAAAAAATTAATAGATTTCAAAAGCAGTTTTAGGTCTGTAGGGAAAAAATGAGCAAAAAGTGCAGAGAGCGCCGTACACCCCTTGCACTGCCACCGAGTTCCCCTGTTCTTAACACCTTTCATTAGTGTGGTACATCTGTTACAGTTGATGAGCTAATATTGATATGTTATCTTTCACTAAAGCCAAAATGTGCCTAGAGTTTACTGTTTGTGTTGTACATTCTATGGGTTTTAACACATGTAAAATGACCTGTATCCATCATTATAGTATCATACAGAATGATAGCTTTCACTGTTATATTGCATTTTCATTTAATATTTTTTAAACAATTTACTGAACACATTTTGGGTTAAACCAGCTTTCATGTTGTGCTGAAAGTTCTCCAATTGTTCTTCCAGATTATTCATTTATCTCCTTTCATCCTGCTCTGTACCCCTGGTGGTGACCTCTACAGAATGCATTACTGGGACTCTGCCGAATTTGGGTAGTTTACTCAGTGAAAATTATCAGCAGGTGATCAGAGGAGGGGAGGAGAGGGAGGTCAGGGTGTTTACTCCCTGCTCCTTCCCTGTCTATTTGGGTTCTTTCTTTCTTTCTTTTTTTACTGTACTTTAAGTTCTAGGGTACATGTGCACAACGTGCAGGTTTGTTACATAGGTATACTTGTGCCTTGTTGGTGTGCTGCACCCATTAACTCATCATTTACATTAGGTATTTCTCCTAATGCTACCCCTCCCCCAGTCCCCCACCCTCGTGGCAGGCCCCGGGGTGTGATGTTCCCCACCCTGTGTCAAAGTATTCTCACTGTTCAACTCCCACCTATGAGTGAGAACATGCGGTGTTTGGTTTTCTCTCCTTGTGATAGTTTGCTCAGAATGATGGTTTCCAGCTACATCTATGTCCCTGCAAATGACATGAACTCATCCTTTTTTTGTGGCTACATAGTATTCCATGGTGTATATGTGCTACATTTTCTTAATCCAGTCTATCATTGATGAGCATTTGGGTTGGTTCAAAGTCTTTGCTATTGTGAATAGTGCCACAATAAGCATAACGTATGTGCATGTCTTTATAGTAGCATGATTTATAATCCTTTGGGTATATACCCAGTAATAGGATCGCTTGGTCAAATGGTATTTCTGGTTCTAGATCCTTGAGGAATCGCCATACTGTCTTCTACATGGTTGAACTAATTTACATGCCCACCAACCATGTAAAAGTGTTCCTATTTCTCCACATCCTCTCCAGCATCTGTTGTTTCTTGACTTTTTAATGATTGCCATTCTAACTGGTGTGAGATGATATCTCATTGTGGTTTTGATTTGCATTTCTCTGATGACCAGTGATGATGAGCATTTTTTCATGTGTCTGTTGGCTGCATAAATGTCTTCTTTTGAGAAGTGTCTGTTCATATCCTTTGCCCACTTTTTGATGGGGTTGTTTGTTTTTTTCTTGTAAATTTAAGAGCTTCTGCACAGCAAAAGAAACTACCATTAGAGTGAACAGGCAACCCACAGAATGGGAGAAAATTTCTTCAATCTACCCATCTGACAAAGGGCTAATATCCAGAATCTACAAAGAACTATTTGGGGTTTTGGCAATGACTGTGTTCCTTTACCCATAGCTACAGCAAGCCCCTCTTCCACAGGTTCGGCTCGTACCTGGTTCTAGAAACAGCTCCTTCCTCTGTCCTCTGGGGTCTAGGGGTGGTAAATTCTTCCTGTTGTGACTAGTCCTTGGGTATTTTACCATCTTTTGTTAGTTTCTTTATGCTGCCCACACTTTTGTAAATAGACCCTTCAATAAGTTCTTTTCAATTACCCCTTGAGTCTGCATCTGTCTCTGTAGAAAGAACACACACCTATTTCATTGAATTTTTACAATACTGTTAGAAATTCCAGCCTGTAGACTTAACTTATTCTCATTTTATATTATGTTTAAAAATTAAGGTAAAATTGAGGCTTGGGAAGATTAAAACATTGCCCAATATCACAGACTAAATATATCTTGAGCCAGGGATAAGAATCAGGACTTAGGGGTCTTCACTTCTTGTATAGCCATCTCCCCATGCACAATAGTATCTGGAAAAATGCTTTGCTATTGTGTGGTATGTTCATTATTATGCAAAAAAAAAAATCAATAAGAAAGAAACTATCTATTTTGGAAACAGTGAGTCTGTAAGTGAACTGAATAATTTAGAAAGTGATGAAGTAATACATATGTTAACTAATTTAACTGAGCCGTTTCACAAGTATACATATTTTAGAACATGTTGTACATGATAAGTATATACAATTTTATTTGCCAATTAAAAAAAACAAATTTTAAAAAGTGATGTGAATATTGTGGAGGTCCTTTTGTATTTTGTCATTTTCTGAGATTTTGGATGAGAAGTGGAAAATTTATTAGCATACATTTACATATTCATGAAAGAATATATTTTACACATAAAATTCATTGACTTTTAAAGGCTTCTTTTCAGGTCCTTAATGGTTTGGATAGGTTATTTTATACCTATATTAATATTAATATGAAAGAAAAAATATTTGATTTGTAGAGATGTTTTACTGAATGTAGAAAAATCTCATATAATTTAAGATTAATAGGTATTTTGAAAGAATTCAGCACATTAATAAAACACTGATCAAATAACTAAAGCCTTGGATTTCCACAAAGCACTGACATTGCCCCTTGTAATAACCTAGAGCCAAGATGGAGAAATATGGCTTAGGTTAGACGAAACAGAGATTCGAATTAATTATTGGGCAGTGAAATATAGGGGATGAATTCAATAGATTGGATTGTTGTTAGGAAAAATAGTTAGCTGGAACTCTTATGTAGTGAGTCTCACCCTTGGTCATACAGGGGAATCACCTGGAATACAGTGGAATACCAATGCCTGGATCCTACCCTGATTTAATCATATTGTAGCCTGGGCAATGTGATCTTTAAAAACTTCCTGGTGATTTTGATGTGTAACCAAAACGGAATTGAAGAAGAAATCAAAGATAGATTTCTGGTATTGACAACATCTACAGTATGTCCTGAAGAGGGGTGTGTGTGTTTGCGTGCATGTGTGTGTGCCCGTACATGCACAAAGCATTCTAGACGCAAACAATGGCATAAAAAAAGACATGGAGACTATGATGTATGCGGGAGCCACAGCTGAATTTTATTATTAGAGAGTAAATATGTGGCCAATATTAAAACTTAAGAGGTAGGCTTAATGCTTAGTTTCCTGTATTCTATACTGAGGACAACAAAGAGTCACTAACATTATATCTGAAATGCATTTTAAAAGTGCTCCCTGTGCTGTAGTATGGAGAAATGGTTTGGAAGTAAATCACATGACATGCAAGGAAACCATTTATGGCATTTTAGTTTAGGGCATTGGTGGCCTGGATTAAAGTGGTGATAGCAGTGATGGAGAAAAGCAAATGTACTCACAAGATATTTTGAAAAATTTGGTGACTGCTGTGGTTTGAATGTGTCCCCCAAAGTTTGTGTGTTGAAAACTTAATCCCCACTGTAACAATGTTGGGAGGTAGAAGCCAATTAGTGGTGATTAGGTTGTGATGGCAGAGCACTCATGAATGGATTAATGCCATTATCACAGAAATGAGTTGGTTATCTTGAGAGTAGGTTTGTTACAAAATCTAGTTTGGCCCCTCTTGCTCTTCTTCTCACCCTCTTTTGGCATTCCACCTTCTGCCATTAGATGATAGGGCATGAAGGCTCTCACCAGATGCTGGAACCATGCTCTTGGACTTTCTAGCCTCCAGAATCATGAGCCAAGTACATTTCTGTTTGTTATAAATTACCCAGTCAGTGATTTTCTGTTAAAGCAATGCAAAGCAGACTAAGACAGTGATGGAGTGCATATGAGGTAAAATACTGGAAGGAGTCAACAGTGACAAATATTCTTTCCAGAGTATCAAATTTCTTATACTATAATCTAGCACTTCCTGATAAGAAAATCTGGGAGATTCATTATCTCAAAACATATTTAGCCAAAAATCAGGGAATGGTGTTTATTGCAGTTAAATTGCACTCTTAGCTTTTAAACGCCATTGATTAGAAAGAAAAAGTTATAAATTAACATTGTCGCAATTGACCCGTATACATCATCTTGAGATGAGTGGAGTTTTCATGTACAACAAAAAATTATTGCAGGTGCACAAATGATGTATGCATTTAAAATCTAACTCAATTAATTATATGAAGAAAAGAAATATGCTTTGTCAAATTTTAAAATAAAACTGATATATGTGTTTCATTTTGCTTTCAAAATGTCAGTTACAGCTCTCTTTAAGGAACACAGTGGTGAGAAAACACAACACTTCAAAACTCCACTAAGAACTACTTTGTAGAAATGGCAAGTTTAAGAGCAGAGTATTTGACAAGGTTCTGGAAATCCTAAAGGAAAAATATCCAAATATAATATCAAAGTGAGAAGTGAATCTGAGAGATGGATGTTGCCATAATTTTCAATGGTAACTCAGCTCCCTTAATAGATTCTTTATGAGCATTTGGAAAGAAAAAGTAATGGTTATAGTTAGAAAATGAAAATAGTACATTTAATTCTCCTGGCTCAATATATAGTAAAGGTATTGTGGATACACCCCTTGCCTAATTCAATCATTGACTTATCTGGGCTTCACCACTCATTACAATACATTGAGGTATTCACATCAATGGGGCTAATTTGTATATAAATATATAATTCCATATAAATTGTAGGTTACAGCCTACATGGAGATAATAGTTATGAGATTATCTATATTTTCATATATTGTTTTATTTTTTATTTCAATTCAACTAGATGAATATGCTTTTTGTCATCCTTGAGGGATACATTAAACTCATTTTCTCAATATCATGTCCTTTCAGTTATATAACTTCTATGCCCAAAATACTGTATCAGTCATTGGCTTTCCATAAGAATATTATGGCAGGTAAAAACCAAAACTATTGACTCTTAGGTAGATTTATGTGGTGATGATTTCATTGGTGATGTTCTCCCATTTAATATCATTTTTTGGAAAGCTATCTCATTATAGCTCGTGTGTATGTGTCTGTGTGTGTGTGTGAGTGTGTCACAGAGAGAAAGATGTGAAATTTGCTGAAAAATTTCTCCATCAAAACTAGAAAGAAGATTCTGAGATGGTAAAAATGTAATAAAACAGCGAACAGACAGGATTTTAAATGTTCTTACCACAAATAAATGATAAATATATGAAGTAATCATTATGATAATTAGCCTGATTTGATCATTTCACAATTGAAACACTGTATCCCATAACGGTATCCCATAATGTATCCCAATATTGTATTCCATAAATATATACAATTATTATTTGTCAGTTAAAAGTCAAAGTTTAATGGTATCAAAAGTTAGAGCCATTTTAATGTAAAAAACACCCAATAGTTCCCTCTACTGAAATCCACTGTGTTTTTAGAAACCAAGTCCTAAGGCAAACTGTTAAATATGAACTAAGCAGGTGTTTCTGCACACTGCTAACGATTAATGGTCACTGCCTTTGGTGAAAAATTTCAAATGAGTACAATTTGTGAAAAATATACATGTAATTGTATTATGTAAATTCAGTGTATATATCCTTTCTGAGCTTAACTGTATATATTTTTTAGGTTTCTGTCCTTGGGGAATATCATGGGAGTTATTTAGTCTTTATGTAAAATTTTAATTATTTAGGATAATATGTTTGTATGATTACAATAAGACACTGCGGAAGTCAGCTGTGGCTTAAGTGTTAAGAGAACAGAGTAACAATATCCAGGGGCCAATGTAGACATTGCTTAGGATGTTGGCAGTATAGCTTCATTAACCAAATCACATATAGCATATGTTGTGGTCTAAGAAAGGATCAGAATAAAGTTCTTATAGCGAAAGGAACATCAGATGCTGCAAAAACTTTAGCAAGTGTAATAGGAGCTTGCATAGTTAAGATGTTACCTTGCTGTCCCTCTGAGTGTCAATAAATATGATGAAGTTCATTTACAGTGAAGAATAAAGGAGGATACAACAATTGGAATTTCTCAAAAGAAGAGGAAGGAAAAAGTTTGAACTGAAGGCATTTTATTGACATTAAAGAGATGGTGAGGTGGACATTGTTGAATTGCATTGATGATGAAATGCTTGACAGGAATACATTACACTTGGTGACCCAAAAGTTTTCCTTGCAATTGAAGGTGAGGGTAGGCTTATTTGGGTATGCACACACCATGGACATTGTTGAATTGCATTGATGATGAAATGCTTGACAGGAATACATTACACTTGGTGACCCAAAAGTTTTCCTTGCAATTAAAGGTGAGGGTAGGCTTATTTGGGTGTGCACACACCATGGGAAATATATAATTCTTAGGGCCCTAGTATATGCTGAGTATCTTTCCAGGTCCTAGAATGCAACATTGTGTCTGGGAGAGAGGGAGAGAGGGAGTGAGGGCATGGGGGGCAGATGCAGAAACACTTTCTTCACTTTGTATTTTCACATGAACCTGAAATTAATCTCTTGGAGAGATTACCTTGTAAATATCTTGAGAAATGTCAGGCAATTTTTTTTTTTTTTTGAGACGGAGTCTTGCTCTGTCGCCCAGGCTGGAGTGCAAGTGGCGCGATCTCGGCTCACTGCAAGCTCCGCAATTTTTATAGAAAGAAAATCTAGTAATTTAACATTCTTCCTTTCGCTTTCCCTTCTAAAGTAAATATTTTCTCTTAAAAATAAAAATAAACAAATAACTAAAAAGAAAAGGGGGTATTTTTGTTGTATTTTTAAATTTTCTTTCACAGAATAGACCAAAGTTTTAAGCATTCTGTATCTCTTAGTTTCTATTAAATAGGGCTTTTCTCTTTTTATTCTATGTTGTAAGAAGCCATTCAAATATTTTTGGGCACAAATTTGAGGAATGCACATGAAACATTAAAAACTATGGGCTTAGGAGTCAGAAAAACCAGAGTTTGTATCAGTTTTGTCACTTATTAGCTGCCTGACCATAGGCAAGTTACTGAACCACTTGGAGATTTGTTTTTTTTCTTCTATAAAACAATGATATTTTGGAGGATTAAAGTGTCTTACAATTGGTCATTTTTATACTCTTTCTCCATCATCATCATTATTATTATAAATATTCTCTTTTGCCAGATGAAAATATTAGTAGGAAAAAATCAAAATAAGCAATATTTGTGCAAGTAAATACAATAATACTTAATTGTTATGTTTAATATCCTAACATGCTCCCATACATTATAGAAATAAAAGAACGGTTATTTTGAATGAAGTTTTCGCCTTTCTTCTTGTCTTTTCCTACTTTGCAAGTAAATAAGTAGTTAGGCAGAAGGAATGAAGGTAGAATCCTTGAAACTAAACATTAGATAGTATTTACATAATTGAAAGTTGACTACATGGGATCTTTCATAATAATTGATTTATCTGCATTTTTTCAAACCGCTTCCCACAAGCCAGAGGCAAGCAAGTCAAAGAAAATTATTAGAAAAAAATATATAGACAAGTTGTCTGAAAAAGGACTTGTAGTTGGTATAAGTTTTGGGGAGCTATAGTTGCTAAATTAGTGTTTTACCATAAATATCCTGAATTACTTCTGCTGAAACAGTTAGTGAAGTTTTCGTGAAAATAGCATTGAATTTCTTCAAAAGTCAAAGCTCATTTCAGCTATATAATATTTTTCATAGCAATAAATATATTTTCAGAATTGAGCTTCTATAAAAAATTTTAAGTAATATCACAAAATAAACCAGAAAGCCTATTAGTAGACAAGTAATGTTTTCAGTTCCAAGCAGTTTTCCTCTTCAAGTATTTGAGGTTGTTCATTTCATAACATGGTTACTATGATTGGAATAATGTACTAGTAAGAGTGATAAGAAATTATTTTTGTCATTATTCATCTCAATTTTGAGGCATGTGAAAAGGAACTTTGTTGTATGTGGTATAACGTGTTATTCAAGTTCAGATGTGACAGATGTCACATGTGAATTTAAAAAAACAGATTTCCCACTACTGGGTATCTACCCAAAGGAAAAGACGTCATTATATAAAAAAAAAAAAAAAACACCTACACATGAATGTGTATTGCAACACAATTGCAAAGATATGGAACCCACCTAAGTTCCCATCGACCAAAGAGTCGATAAAGAAAATGTGGTATACATATACCATAGAAAGCTACTCATTAAAAAAATGAAATAATGTCTTATGCAGCAACTTGGATGGAGCTGGAGGCCCTTATTCCAAGTGAAGAAACTCAGGAATGGAAAACCAAATATCATATGTTCTCACTTACAAGTGGGAGCTAAGCTATGGGCATATAAAGGATTACAGAGTGGTATAATGGACTATGGAGACTCAGAAGGTGGAGGGTGGGAGGTGGGTGTGGGATAAAAAGCTACATATTGGGTATAATGTACACTACTTTGGTGAAGGGGGCACTCAAATCTCAGACTTCCCTGCTATAATATTCATCTATGTAATCAAAAGCCACTTGTTCCTCAAAAACTATTGATATTTAAAAAATCAAATTTATTGAATCACAGTATTTTACACATAGAAAGTAATAGATAGTTTAATTAAGTTCTTTCACTTTATTAATGAGAACATTGGGGAATAAAAGAGTGACTTTCTGAAAGACCAACAGCTGATTTCCTGTATTTTAAATCTGAATGAAGAGTAGTTTTGGTTCCTAATATAGTGATGAGCTACAAAAATATACACATTTATGTCATCTGTGCAATTGCAAACCCTCTTCTTATTCATGGGCCTGTTTTTTAAATCTATTTATGGGTATTATTTCTCTGTTTTTATGGTGATGATGATGATGGTAAAAATAATGAGACCATAAAGACTGACAGTGTAAGGATCAGCTTTACTGATTTCAATAGATCTCAATTTCCATTAGGATTGCATAACCACTAAAAAGATTCAATGACACAATTTTCACATATGTGTCAATTAGACCCACAGTGCTCCCTAAATCTTCCCATCCTTCCCACCAATTCTGTTGCTACTCAAAGTGCGGTCTGCACTGGGGTAACCTAGGAGCTTGTTAGAAAGCACAATCTCACATCCTATCCCAAACGTACTGATTCAGAATCTGCATTTTAACAAGATCTCCAGATAATAGTGAGCAGTAGTCGCTCTAGAGCAACTTTGATGGACCCCATGTGCCTCTTTGATAAGAAGTTAGACTGGTTAATGGGGATTCTCTGAGTATGACTTTAAGGTTACAAATTTCATTATGCTTTTTGGTTTGGGGCAGGCACAGACCAACGCAATCCAGACTCTTTTTGTGGCGCCTCCAAAATGTTTGCTATTGCTGAGAAGAGAGGAATATTAGACTCTCATATCAGAATTTGGTGAAAGTTGTATTGGTTACCATTTCATGGCTGTGTGGTGTACTCTACACTTAGAACGGAGACAGTGCACTTAATAGAAGTGGCTTTGCATTGCATAGCTGTTAAAACTTTTCCAGCAAATGCTACCAGCTAAATTATAAGGGTGAATTAAAGAGTGCCCTTTATAAATAGTCACAAAAGGCCTTTGCAGCTGATTATAGTGTGGGTGTAATTTGGAGAAAGGTTTGCTGTAGGCATGAAATCGTAGTACTGCTATTGGAATAGAGTCAAGAGCCTAGCCATTTCCAGTAGCTGTATCACCACCTGCTAGTATACTTATTCAGATTTGAGTCAGAGGGATGCATGAAGTCTAATGAGTCATCAAGTCTTCACCTAAAACACGTAATCTACCTATTCCTTTTCAAATGAGACTTGTTTGAGTCAGACTCTTGCCTATGAGCTGACCTGAAGTCTTAAATGCTTTTCTGCCAAATGAATTGCTTAACACAAATTGCTTAACAGTTTTTGTTCTGAGTTAGTCCCAAAATTTTGTCTGGGTCTCAGTTCTCCTGGAAATCTTCATACATGAAGACGAGTCCTGGCTGAGTGTGGTGGCTCATGCCTGTAATCCTAACACTTTGGGTGGCTGAGTTGGCAGGATTGCTTGAGCCCAAGAGTTCAAGACCTTCCTGGGCAACAAAGCCAGACCCCGTCTCTACAAAAAATTTAAAAGTTAGCTGGGTCTGATGGCTTGCGGTGGGAGGATTGCTTAAGCCCAGGAGGTAGAGGGTGCAGTGAGCTGTGATCATGTCACTGTACTTCAGCATAAGTGGCAGAGCCAGACTCTGTCTCAAAAAAAAAAAAAAAAAAAGACAGAGCTAAGGAATCTTATCTTGGACTCCTCCTTGGCTGCTGGTTTGATTCTCCAGCCAAATATTTATAGCACTAAGCCAGCCTGAGAGTCATTGGTCTTAGACTCAGAATGACCCAGAAAATGCATCTTATCATTGCTGTCATTAACAAGTTGCTTGCCACTATGATCTGCTGTGCCTTGGGGACTGTTAGCTAGGGAGTAGTTCCCTCTTGCTAGGACTACTTTTCCTGCTAAATAGCCTTCCCATGCCTGTCTGATTTGGACAGGGATTTTTGAAAGTATATCTGTGTGTGTCTGTGTGTGTCTGTGTGTGTGTGAAACTCTTATGTGTCTTCTATAATAATAATAGCTACATTTATATAGAACTTACCGTGTACAAGGCATTGTTTTAGTATTATATGTATATGTAAGTGTGTGTATATATACACATGATCTCATTGAATTCTTACTATAACAATGATGTAGGTGGTAGTATTATTTGTTTTACAGGTAGGGAGACTGAGGCATAGAAATGTTAAGTGCCTTGATCAAGGCCATAAAGCTAAAAAAGAGAGGCCAAGATTCTATTCAATCCCAGGCAGTAGAGATCCTAATTTCTACTGTAATTGCAGATTCGTTGATGATACTCCTGACTTTGGTGGAGGAATCAGGGCACAGGAATAGAGGAAACCCTGAGAATGGGGACCTCTAATTAGGGACTGGGAGGAAGACAGTCTCTAGCTTTCACAGGGACCTAAAGCGACAGGGTAGTGAAACAAAAGAGAGACAGGCAATTCCTTCTGTCTTCTCTGGCTAAAAAACAAGGGGAGCAGAAAGCCAAGGGGACAATGCTAGAAGGCCAAATAAGGAACAAGTCACAAATTCCTCATTCCAAGGAGAAGATGCCAACTCCTAGGCAGGTCCATGTGGCTAGTCAATTAGGGTCTCAAGGAGACACATGCAAAGAGCTTTACCATTGATCTACTTTCTCTGAGCAGGAAAGAGCCAGATTGACCCTAAGGCAGTTGGACAGACTGTCAGCAGTTAAATGGAAGGATGTGGGCTGATGGAAGCAGATCTGAAAAATCCTGTCTCAGTTGTCCATTCCCAGATGGAGGGAGGAAGCTCTTGTGGGCAGAACAGGGTGTGGACGGGTGAGCTGTAATTTCTTGGGGACTGGAGAGAACATAATTCAGCCAGGCCTACTCTCTTCCTACTTTATGCAAAATATTTCCAGCTGTGTTCATTAGATTATATAATCTTGAATATTGAGAATAAGATACAATTTCTTAAATTCAGCAATGCACAACGAATTCTTCATTAAAAGAAATTTGGTATGCTTTTAGAGATGGGAGACACAGCCATAAGAAAATATGCTACTATAAAAGAAAATGCTCTTAATTAATACTGACATAGTGAGGACTCCTCTGGCATTGAGAACATTTAATATTAATGCAAAATGTTGTTGTCTACCATTTCCTTTTTTCTTTAGATCATTAGCATAGGATTACAAAATTTTAAATTGGATTTCAAACCCATACCAAACAGCTGTGTCTTCTATTACAAAAGACAATGCACTCATACATATGTATTATGCACTTAATTAAAACTGTTGGATTTTCATTTTTAAAAGTTCTGATGATGTCCTGAATTTTTATAGTGATTTGGATCTCTGGCCTGTCATCAGTTTGCATATTTTGGGTGGAAAAGTAGGGTTTGGGTGAAATAAGCATTCCAAAGTTTATATAACGGGAGGAACATGGCCTAAAATTAGCCTTACCATGGGCTTAAAATTCATTATAGGTATTAATTCCTCGTACTTCTCAAGGGGTTATTTTCTCCCTTAATTTTTAAAATTCTAAGTGACATGTATTTGTTTTAGAAATATGTAGAAAAATATAAACAGGAAAATTAAAATTATCTATAATCTTATTCTGCTGAGTTGAACATTACAACTCATATATTTCTTTTCTATAATTTTATTGCATAAAATCTATATATTTTATAGAATTTGAATCACACCATATTGATAAATATGCATTTTTAAACTTGCACTTTATTTTAAGTGGTCAACATTTTACCGTGTTATTAACTTGTCTTCACAAATATGAGTTTACATGGCTGTATAATAATGATGATAGCTGTAGAATATTTGAGCCTTCCAATTCTGTGATGAATGTAATTTGAATTATAGGGGAAGTAAGGACAGGATAGAAATATATTGGAGGAAGAAAGAGAGAGGTGAGAAGTAGTGTAAGATAAATTCTTAGAGATTAAAGCATGAAGTAAATTATGTGTAGAAATGATTATTTAAAAGATAAAGAAATAAGAGTATAAGCAGCCAAAAGCCATAAAATTTCCATCTGTTTCTAAAATGAGAAACTGGAATTCAAACAGGCAACTGATGATTTTCATTATAAGTTCCTCTAAATTACTTGATTTTTAACCATCTGCATATATGCTTTGGGTTTTTTTTAAGTGTAAATTAACTCTGGTGAAGAGTTGGACATTAAGATTAACCTCAGAATACCATGCTGGAAGGGGTGCCGGTGTGTGTTTGTGTGTGTGTGTGCGTGTGTGTGTGCATGCACGTACTTACATGGGAAGCCGACTGGGAATACAGTCTATCAGCAATGGCAGAAGAGGGAGTAACCACCCAAGAGCAATGCCCTCTGGGATAGCATGAGGGCTTGGGGGGCTGACAGCAAGGAGCAGAAACGGAGGACAAAAGTCAAGGAGCCCTTACTCTCTATGTCATGGCTTTGCTGTAGGGTAACCTTGCTAAGAAGACCTCATCAAGTGGGATGTAAGATCCCAACAGCAAAGCGCATTGGACCTGGAAAAAGGCCAGTTCTCCCAAATGTGATCATTATGTAGAAAAATAAGGGAGCAGTATTCTGAGCAACATGTCTGTATACCATTGATTGACACATAAGGTCCCTTCATTATAAATTTTACAGGGTGCCCAAGTCATTTTGCTGTGGTGTGATTTTGTAAAAATAAATATGTAGCTAAAAATAACATTTCCAAGCTGAAATATGTAGAAAGGCAAAACAAAAACTTCTAGCTTTCTTGTGGTAAATTGTGAGGTAAAATAAAATGAATCTTAAATATAGTGCAAAATAGGAGGTATCATGCCTTACATCATCTTTATCTCCTCCCTCCCATTTTTTCTGTTCTAAATGGAGTTGTGCTGTTATTTCATTTGTTATCCATATTTGGAAGTTTAGCTAGGAGGCTAGAAAATTTGATGAAGACACCTGATTAATTTTTAAATTTTATTTATTAATATTTCGATAAATATTAATAAATATTAATATTTTGATAAATATTAATAAATATTAATATTTTGATAAATATTAATTGATAAAAGTGTTTGCAATGTGCCAGGAATTAGGTTAGCTACTGATTTATAGTGGTGAGTAAACCACTGTCCCTACTCTCATGAAATCAGCCATTTGGTCTAAGGGCAGCAGGGAGCCAGAGTAAACAATTCAGTCATGGCAGTAGGAGAACTCTGTGAAGAGCTCAAACTAGCTGAAGTTGCTTCCCATAGATATTATAAAATGTTAAAATATAATCATTCCTATGGGAAGAGTAGAATAAGACTATGTAAAGAAAAAAGAAAGAGACAACAAAGTGTCTGGGCACAATGCCTCACACCTATAATCCTAGCACTTTGGGAGCCCAAGGTGGGAGGATAGCCTGAGCCCAGGAGTCCAGACCAACCTGGGCAACATAGTTGGACACTTTCTCTACAAAAAATATAAAAATTAGCCAGGAACAGTGGCCTGTGCCTTTAGTCCCAGCTATTCTGGAGGCTGAAATGGGAGGATTGCTTTAGCCCAGGAAGTCGAGGCTGCAGTGAGCAATGATCATGACACTGAACTCCAGCATGGGTAACAGAGTGAGACCCTGTCTCAAAAAAAAAAAAAAAAAGAAAGAAAGAAAAAAGGTAAAATTATTTTTCATTGTTAAAAATTCATTGGAATCCAATATATCCAGTCCTGGGTGTCCAAGTGAATTTGCTTAGAACTGAGATGGTATATTTACTTTCTTCTTTGGTTGAGCTTTTTCAGTAGAGATTTCTCTTATCTCTCTTTGTCTCCTTTTCTCCTCTAGGTAAACAGTATTTCCACAATTGTCCCCCTTATCTCTCTTTGTTTCTTCTGTCTCCCTCACTCCCTTTCCTAATAGTTTCTCTACTCATTATTTCTCCTTTTCATTCCTATTTGGATACCTTTTCTTCCTCTTCTCTCCACACTGCTTTACCAAAACTACCAGTCATTAAAAGGTTTTAAAATTACATACAGTTGAATTCAGCTTTAGAAGATACATGTTCTAGCCGGGTGTGGTGCTTCATGCCTGTAATCCCAGCACTTTGGGAGGCCAAGGCAGGTGGATCATGAGGTTAGGAGATCGAGACCATCCTGGCCAACATGGTGAAACCTCATCTCTACTAAAAATACAAAATTAGCTGGGTGTGGTGGCACGTGCCTGTAGTCCCAGCTGCTCAGGGGGCTGAGGCAGGAGAATTGCTTGAATCCGGGAGGCGGAGGTTGAGCCGAGATCACACCCCTGCACTCCAGCCTGGCAACAGAGTGAGACTCAAAAAAAAAAAAAGAAAGAATATACATGTTCTGCAAACAAATGTCCTTCTGCTACCTATTCTATATTCCCTTTGCCTTCAGCAACACCTCAGCAGGTCGTGGATTTTTACTTAGTGGAGTGACCAAAACCTTCATTTCTTAAGGGTCTAGGTCATTTGTAGTCCTGTCTGGATTGGGTTGTTATAGTTTCCCTTTGACCTTAATCATATGGCATGGTAATACTAAAAGATGCCCTAAGGGTTCGCCTGTATTCCACATATACACTTCCTTACCTCCATTGTGGAGTAGTAGACTAATTTCATCTTGATAGTCTGGGACAATCAACCCAGCCAACACTGTAACTCCCTTCTTAGCCTGTTGACTTAGAGGTAGGAGGAGCCCAAGGTGTCCAGGTGGCAATCTCAACTTCCAGTTTAATGGAATTATTGTTGTGTCTCCTGGTGGCAGCATTCCTCCTTCTGGAACTAAGACCTCTAGGCCAGCAGATGTCTAATGTTGTGGGAACAGGAAGCAAAAATTTCGCTGGTGGGTCACTAGGGGTGATGGTGAGTGATGCCATTTCTACTTCTACCCCTTGATTCCTGGACCCCTAAATTCTGGCTATGGGAGAAACAATACCATATACTGAGCGGTGATTTGGGGCATACACAGCCTTCTGGAGAACTTGAAGTCTGATATTTGAGGGCAGAAAGCATCCAGCCTGGGAGAAAGATGAAATCTGGAAGACTCAGCAAGTCTGCTCTTCCATCTTCTGCCTGCTTTATTCTAGCCATGCTAGCAGCTGATTAGGTGGTGCCCACCCAGATTGAGGGTGGGTCTGCCTCTCCTTGTTCACTGACTCAAATGTTAATCTCCTTTGGCAACACCCTCACAGACACACCCAGGATCAATACTTTGTATCCTTCAATCCAATCAGGTTGACACACAGTATTAACCATCACACACATCCTTGGGATTCAGCCACTTCTTAACTTTTCCATAGGTCCATTTTGAGACAGAAAATAATTACTTTGCAAAACATATTCCTAGACTATAGGTAATGGATAGGATACACAATCACAATTACTCTCAGAGATTTCTTTTTATATTTATATTATGTACTTATTTTGGTTGAATGTCTAAAATTTGGATAATGTTTGAGATGTCTGTTTTGTTTTTTCTCTTCTTCCATGCATATACTTGAAGGGGTCTATACACTCTCTAACCCAGGTGTACTGTTTTAATGAACCTGGATGTTGGCATTCCAGGACAATAACAGAAGCCATATTTGCTCAGGCCTGAATCAGCCAAAACAGTGGATAACACAGCTTTTGAACCATCTGGGTATTTGAGCTTTTCCTAAACACTTGGATAAGAATAATAGTAGGGGAAGCGGATATATCTACTGTACTTAATATCTTTTGCATGTTTGATGAGCTTACATTTGGAGTTGGTTTTAGAAGGAAGAATGAGATGAAGTGGAAAGTACTATCCCAGCTGTAGTATAAAACTTTATATCCTAAAAATGGAACACAGAAATAAACGAAACCAAAACAAACAAATAAAACCCAAAAACTGAACACAGTGTGCCATGAAACTCAGAATGTATCTGCAATAGCACAATCATAACACATTTAAAGACACATAAGTAGTAACTGTAAAATTGAAGAGAACATAAATCTGAAATCACTATTTGCTTGTAAGAAGTATCTACAAAACCAAAATTTATTTCAATTCTTCTTCTACATTTCCAGATGGCTATAGAAAAATTTCTGAAGGAGCAAGGTATTGAAATATGATAGGTTAGGGTGATATAAATTAGCCTCCCTATGGTTTTAATTTGTTCATGCCTTTTTGCAGGATTTCTTGTGGTGTTGGAATTCTGAAATTCGTATAAGCTCAACTCATTGAATTTGGACATAAAATTTGGAATAGACTCAAGGAGCAAGCAGTGTTAAGGTACAACTCTTTGTCTGATTTTTTAAATTGTTCATAAATTTGTCAGTATGCCTATTCATTCATTCATTCAACAAATATTAGCTGAACACTTACTATGTAAAGCATTATTCTAGCAGCTGAGGATATAGTAATGAATAAACAGAAAAAAATAGTCCCCACTCTTCTGAGCAGAATTCTAGTAGGTGGTCATAGACAATAAACAAGGTAAATAAGTAGAGTTTACCAGACAGTTTCTATGGAGAAAAATGAAAAGGGAAGAGGGGTAGTATATGAGGAAGGAGGTAAAATTTTTTGATGACATGATCTCAAGACTTTATTCAGAAGCTATCACTTAAGTAAAGACCTGAAGAAACTGAGGGAGGGAATCCTAGAGATACCTAGAGGAAGAATTTTTGAGCAAGGGAAGAACTGAGGAGAGATCTGGAGGTGAGAGTGTGACAGCAAGGAAGCCATTGTGGCTGTGATGGAGCAGCAGGGGAGAGGTCAGAGAGAAAGTGTAGATGACAGAACCCTAATGTGTAGGTCCTTTTATGTCACTATGAGGACTCTGGCTTTTACTCTGAATGAGATGCGAAGCTAATGGAGAGTTTACTGAACTACATGACTTACAACATAAATATGGAAGATATGTGTTATATGAAATAGTAACCTTAGGCCAGATGTGGTGATTAAAATTAAAATTAATCAAAAATGAAAAATATTAACATTCAGTTCTTCATTCACACTAACCACATTTCAAGTGGTTAATAGCCAAATGTGGCTATTTACTATAATATTGGGCAGCACAGACATAAAATACATTCATTATTGCAGAAATTTTATGGACGGTGCTATTGTAGACCAATCATATCATTTATTTATTAATTCTACAGAAATGCATGCCCATAAAAATTGCTAGATATCATATTAAGCTTTCTATATATATCTCAATATATATTGAATATATATATTTGATACATATAAATGTATATATCTTGAAAAAAAAGGCAAGAAATTCAGAAGATAAAGAAGCTGCCAAGATCACACTTGATATATGAAAAAAACCTGATATATGAAAAGTAAAGGTAGGTTAACTGTAAGCAGAAAAAACAAGTTACTCATAAAAATGAGGCTAATTGCCACATATATATAGAAGATACAGACTTTTCCTTACCTATCATTCAGTCTTGAAAGGAGAACGAGACACAGAATTATGGTCACAGAATTATTACTGAAACATGTTCAGGATATAGGTTTCAAATGATAGAGTCAATTATTCAGGCTCCTCAGTTATTCTGGAGGAGAGGAGCTATCCTGAAAATGAGTTGAGAACATGAGTTATAGTAACACCATGAGTAAGTAAGAGTATTTCAGGTGAAGAGATTAGGTTAGTAGAGATAGTAGTACTCCATAACTACCATAATAAACCTTGTATCTATGATGCCTTATTTAATTCTTGCAATAATTTTGAGATGGCAGTATTGATATTTCAGGCCTGGTGTGGTGGCTCACACCTGTAATCTCAGTGCTTTGGAGGGTCGAGGCAGGAGGATGGTTTGAGGCCAGGCATTTAAGACTAGCTTGGCAACATAGTGAGACCCTGATTCTACAATTTTTTTTTAATTAGCCAGATGTAGTGGTGCATGCCTGTAGTCTTAGGTACTTGGGAGGTTGATGTGGGAGGATCACTTGAGCCCAGGGGTTTGAGGTTACAGTGAGCTTGGCGACAGAGTAAGAACTTATCTCTTTTTTTTAAAAAAGGAAGAAATTCAGAAGTTAAATAAGCTGCCAAGATCACACTTGATATATGAAAAACAACTTGATACATGAAAAGTTAAGGTGGATTAACCGTAGGCAGAAAAAACAAGTTACTCATAAAAATGAGGTTAATTTCAAAAGAAAGTGAAAGAATGGCAATTTGGACTCTGGGTGTCTGGCTTTAAAGACTGTGATTTCATTTATGTACTATTCTACATTACTTTACTAAAAAGGGGTGTTTTATATATAATAATAAAGATAAAAAATAATGAACAAAGATATATAATCAATGTGAACATATGTTCACTCAACAATATGGCCTCAAATTATATAAAGCAACTGATGAGAATGTCAAGAGATAAACCAACAATTAAGGTTGAAGATATCAACATATGCTTCTCAGGAAGAGATAGAATAAAATAGACAAAAAATAAAGTGGAGATACTAAAAATCTGTTCAATTAAAGGTTTGAGTTATTATGTATATTATATATTCCATACTAAAACAGAATATACTTTAAGCATACACTGAATATTTACTAAAATAGTTCATTAGGAAATAATGTCAGGGAAAGATGCCCCATGTTCATGGATTGAAAGTCTTAATAATGTTGAGATGCAATTCTTTTCAAAGTCATCTACAGACATAATACAATACCTATTAAAATTCCAGTGGCCTCCTTTTTTCCAAAAATGGAAAAGCTAACCTTAAAATTCATATGGAATTACAAGGGCCTCTAAATAGCCAAAAACTATTGAGAAAGGAAAAGAACTTTGGAGGACTCATACTTTCTAATGTCAAAACTAACTGCAAAGCTACAGTAACCATAACGGTGTGGTACTGGCAAAAAGATAGACGTATAGATGAACAGAACAGAATTAAGAGTCCTGAAATAAACCCAAACATCTATGGCCAAGTAACTTTTGACAATGGTGCCAAGCTCTTCAGTGAGAAAAAAATAGTCTCTTTAACAAATGGTGCTGGAACAACTGGATAACCACATGCAAAATAATACATTTGAACTCTTCCTTTACTCCATATATAAAAATTAACTCAAAATGGATCAACCTAAATATAAGAGTTAAAACTATAAAATCATTAGAAGAAAACACAAGGGTAAATCTTGATGACCTCGGATTTGGCAATGGGTTTTTAGGTTTGACACCAAAATCACAAGCAATAAAGAATAAATAGATGAATTTGACCTCATAAAAATTAAAAATGTTTGTGCACCAAAGGACCTCATCAAGAAAGTGAAAAGACAACTCACAGAATCAGAGAAAATATTTGTAAATCATATATCTGATAAGAATTTAGTATGGAGAATATATATTAGGTTGGTGCAAAAGTTATTCCAGTTTTTGCCACTAAAAGTAATGGCAAAACTGCAACTACTTTTGTACCAACCTAAAGAAAACAAGTCAAGAAGAAAAAGATGAACAATCCAATAAAAAAATGGGTAAAGGACATAAATATACATTTTTTTCAAAGAAAATGTACAAATGGGCAATGAGCACAGGAAATGATGTTCAACGTAAATGGTAATTAAGGATATGCAAATCAATACTACAGTGAGATATCACTTCATACCCACTGTGATGGCTATAATTAAACAGCCAAATATGGCAAGTGTTGTGGAGAATGTAGAACTCTTGTACATGGGTGGGGATGTAAAATGATGCAGCCACTGGGGAAAACGATTTGGTGGTGCCTCAAAAAGTTAACATATATAATTACCATATGACCCTGCAATTTCGTTTTAAGTGTATGCCTAGGAGGAATAAAATGATATGTCCACACAGAAACTTTCATACATTATTCATAATAGCCAAAAGGTAGAAAAATGATTGAGATGTCCACTGAGAGGTGAATGGATAAATTGTGGTCCATACATGCTATAGAATATTATTCATTCATAAAAGGTAATGAAGCACCGATGGCTGCTAAAACTTGGATGAACCACAAAAACATGCTAAGGAAAAGAAGCCATGCATGAAAGCCATTCCTTTTATATGAAATACCCAGAACAGATAAATTCATAGAGACAGCAAGCAGATTAGTAGTTGCCAGGGGATGGGAGGAGAGTTGAGGGTTTTTAATGGATACAGAGTATTGTTCTGGGATGAAGAAAGGTTTTGAAACTGGAGAGCCATGGTCTTGCACAACACTGTGAATGGGCTAAATGCCACTGAATTATACATTTCAAAATGCTTAATAGTATGCTATTTGAGTTTCATCTCATTTAAAAAAAAAACCCTAGAAAGAGAAGAGAAAAAGTATTACAATAAAAATTTCAATTAATTCCATGGAATAGAAATTTTGACTTTATGTTCTTTAATTTAGTGTAGTAAACTTATAAATTAAAAACCTAGACGTTGGGCGGGCACGGTGGCTCATGCCTGTAATCCCAGCACTTTGGGAGTCTGAATGTGATGGGCGGGTCACCAGGTCAGGAGTTCAAGACCAGCTTGGCCAACATAGTGAAACCCCCTCTCTACTAAAAATACAAAAATTAGCCGGGTGTTGTGGTGCGTGCCTGTAGTCCCAGCTACTCGGGAGGCTGACACAGGAGAATCGCTTGAACCCGGGAGTTGGAGGTTGCAGTGAGTGGAGATGGCACCACTGCACTCAAGCCTGGGTGACACAGCGAGACTCCATCTCAAAAAAAAAAAAAAGTAGCCAAACATTCAATCTATTTGGAAACTAAATAGCATAATTTTAAATAACCACTGTGCTTAAAATAATAAAGGGGATCAATAAATATTATAATTCATTTAAATCATTTAATTTAATTTACACTATTTGTAATACTTAAGGCACTACTTGTCAAAATTTGAAAGACAAAGCTAAAGTACTACTTAGAGAGAAATTTACTGTTTTATACATTTTTAAATAAATTTATATTTTTTTCTAAACAAGTAAAGGAAAGAACAAATAAACCAAGAATTCTACATAAGAAGCTGGAAAATGAACATAAAAATAAGAAATAAATAACATAAACAACAACAATAATAAATTATATAATAAAAACTGAAAAGATAAATAAAATATAGAAAAGCAACAAAAACAGAGAACTGAAACAAAACCAAACATTAGTCTTTGAAAAGGATTATGAGGTAATACTGGGGAGATTGGAGGAAAGTAAAACACCGTCTCTATGTTCTCCCCTAATCTTCATTAAATACTCCAGTGTTTCCTAGTTTTACTTTTCCTGCCGTTTCCTCATATCTTTCTTCTGTACCTGTGCTTCTAAACTATGAGAAATTTTGAATAAGGTTAGACTTCTGAAAAATGTTCATAGAAAGGAAAAATAGCAGAACCCATAGTATTTATTTATTTAGCCCATAATTATATCTGTTTCCCCTGCTTCCTTCCCTCCCTCTCTCCCTCCTTTCATTCTTTCTTCTTAAAAGTCACCTGTATTTATGATTTAATTTTTATTATTTATGGTGGACAACTTGCTTGTTATCATGGGACACTGTATTTCTCGTATCTTAAGCTCTATAGAAATAATATATAAAGCAATGAGTGAAGTATATTTTTACTGTTAACATTTTTAACAAAGAGTCAGATTATAAATCATGATTTTGATAGGGTAAAGAAAAATGATCCCAAGCCCCACTGCCTTCATAAATGGGCATGCACGTCAGTGAGTTAAGCTTGACTAGTTTTATGATGCAGTTTGAAGTCAGAAAAGATTGTAAGCAGGTTTCTAACCTTTTTTTTAAAATTTGGCTTTGCATATGAGTGACTCTTAACGCCTAGATCATTTCCAATGGTCACACACCAGGTACTACTTTTTTAAACACAGAAATCATAACCCTTTTATAACTAGTAACCACTCTTACTCCTTGAGAATAGCTAAAAAACCTGGAGGCAAAGCTAGGCTGAAATATTAATTATGTGTATGTTTTGAGTAGTAATACATTTTTTCAACCATTTCTCCTGTTACTGTGAAGAAAGAGACCACGTTCCTGTTCAACTGATTGGATTCACTATGCAGCCCCAGCCTGTGGTTTCAACTATTCATTGTGTAGCACAACCATTTCCAGAACATAATATGTCTATTCTCCCTTGGGCCTATTTTTATTTTCTGGGCGTGAACAAACTATTGGAAGTGCCTCTTTGTCATGAATAAAGTTCTTTGTCATGAATAAACCTCTATGATTCTTATGAGAGAGGAGAATGCTGGGAAAATCAGGAAGAATTGGCTTCTTTCACAACTATTAGGCTTCTGCTAACAGTTCTTTCTCACCTGCTTCTGTCTTCAGTAGACCTCACAGCTAAATTTATTGATATTTCCCCCTACCCTAACCCCAAGCTCACCCTGACAACCTGGGGACCCAAGTCTTCCTCTAGTCCTTAGGAACTAAGGCCAATAAAGGAAGTGTATCTATATTCTTGGGTCTATCCCCTAGCTTAGAATTGGAATGAAATCCTGATTCCCTAGCTCAGTAACAGCTACTGGACTCTCTTTCACTTCTATTTCCCTCCAGTTCTCTGAACTTAACTGATATGAAGGTGTTTAGTATCTGACCAGCATCCTTCAGCTTTTCCTCCTTGTATTCATGTACCTCTCATCTTCTAATTCAGTAATTAATTTTACGAAGACGTGCTGAGCACTTCCTTTTTTCCAGTCAATCTTTTATTTTCTTGGAGAGAACAATAGACTCAACAAATTGCCTGCTCTTACAGATCTTAGTGGAAGAGAAAGAAACAAATAAATCTATTACACAAGTTCTGGTGGACATAAGTTGACCTAATTTAGATATTTGTCCCCACCCAAATTGATGTTGAAATGTAATACCTAATGCTGGAGGCGGGGCCTGGTGGGAGGTGTTTAGATTATGGGGGTGGATCCTTCATGTCTTGGTGCTGTTTTCAGGATAGTGAGTGAGTTCTCAAGAGATAGGTGTGTGGCATCTCCCCTCACCTTTCTCTCTCTCTCTCTCTTGCTCCTGCTTTTGCATTTTACATACCAGCTTCAACTTCTGCCATGATTAGAAGCTTCCTCAGGCCTCCCCAGAAGTGGATACCACTATACTTCTGTACAGTCTGCAGAACAGTGAGCCAATTAAACCTCTTTTCTTATAAATTACCCAGTATCAGGTAATTCCTTACAGCATTGCAAGAACGGTCTAACACGTAAGTATTATTAAGAAAAATAAAATAATAAACCCTCATGAACTGAGGAGGCCAGTGTGGCTAGAGAATGTTGGATGACAGGCAGAATGGGTGAGGTAGGCAAGGGCCAGGTTCTGTAGGATCCTTGCAGGCTATGATGAAGAGTTTACATTTTATTATAATTGTTATGGGAAGTCATTGAATGGTTTTTGAGCCAGGATATGACATGATCATTCCTACATTTTAAAAGGCCTTTCTGCTTTAAGAACAATAAGCTGCAGCAGGACAAAAGTGGATGCACAGAGACCAGTAAATTAAAATGCGATTGCTATGGTCAAGGTGATAAATACTGATGGCTCAATTAGTGCATGATAAATGATCAGAATTGAAATACACATATGAAAGGGATAATACCTTGGAATTCTTGATTCTGTTCCTTGATTGCCGGACCTAACTCCATGGGGGTGATTTGTGAAGCTATTGAGACTTGAACTTTCTAGTTGCCCTTGTCATCAGCAATTTTTCAATCTCTTTAACCTCTACCTACAAATGCTTCCCAATTTTTTCTAGTGATAACAGTAGTCTACTTTTAGACTTGAACTTTTTGATTGCCCTCTCTAACAACAAACTTGCAGCTTCTTTGATCCTGGACTGCAACTGTCCAATACTTTTCACCTGTGAGGGAGTCTCTTCTTGGTCTCTACTCACCTTACCTTCCTGCTGGCCCTGAGTTTCAGAAGTCTTTGTGGGCTTTCTAGTGAGCCTGTGAACTCACGGAAGCCATCTAAAAACTTGACCTGTGTAAATGTTGTAAAATAGTGACTAAGTGTAATAGGATAAATCCAAATTTGCTGTATATTTTTCCTTTTATGTGTTTAAAAATATTTACTATTTCCCTGCTCTTACATGGTTTCCATGTGTGGAATACAATTCCTTATTCTCAGTCAAAAATAAATAACATGTCTAAAGAAAAGATAAAATAATTGTATCAAAAGATACTTGAAAAAATAGTGGGTAGACGCAGAATAGTCAATGATTCAGTTAGTGCAAATATTAGAAATATAATAAATGAATTTACAAAATAATTTTTTGTTCAAGTAATTGAAGTCAACAGTGAGCTTTCTGGCAAAGAATTTGATACCATTAAAAAAGAACCAAATGGAAATTCTAGATTTAAAAAAATACAAAATGACTGAAATTAAGAAATCAGTGACTAGCCTGGGCAAGAAAGTGAGACCCAGTCTTGAAAAAAAACTAAAATATTAGCTGGGTATGGTGGTGCACACCTGTAGTCCCAGATCATGTCATCCAATTTTCAAAACTGTGTTTTTCTGCTGATCTAAAAAACTTGCATGATTCCCTTATTGGAAGAGCAATTGGAGTAGATGTGTTCCACATACCTTGGTAACAGATGTTATCTCCACATTCTGCAAATTCCTGGAATCATTTAAAGTAAGCATGGTGTCCAGGATGGTAAAATGTTTCAGCCAAACATCCATCCAAGAGCCAGCTGTTTATGCAGTTAGAAAAAGATGCCATTCAGAGTCTTTTTTTTTTTTCAGTTACAGGATTCTATAGCATGCTTTATAAATGCTACAAATATTTACTTTTCTTTCAGAATAGCAAACAGATTGCCCACAAATTTACTAAGCATTTTGTGTTTCTCTTTGCTTTTCTTTGATGAAGAATGAGTGTTATTTGAATTGGAACAGAGTAAATCTTGGTAGACTTTTGGGCATTGGAAATCTGTAAAGCCACCCCTGTAATGGCGTTAAAGAGACCATATTTTTTGGATACTTCTGTTTAACTGCTTGGATTTTTTCCTGGAAGTCTTTTATTAAAACCCTTCTTAAAGTTTCCTTTCATTCCAATTTCCCAATTTGGATCACTGTTACTTGCTCTGGTGAAGAGAATGAAATGTTAAAGTTGATTATATGTCATTTTGCCCTGAAAAAAGTGAGTTCTACTACTCTAAAAAAAAATCTTATTCTTAATTTTTTTTTTTTTTTACAAAGCGAGTGGAACAGAAATAGAATAATACAGGACCAAGTGTCAGCAATATGTTAATTTTCACTGACTGCTGGTGATATTGGCTTTTTGTGTCACTCTGACTCAAAGCCCATTTTAAAATTTAATGTAACTATTATAAGTGTCTTAAAATATGTCATTTGGGCCATATGACTCAGAAAAGAATGACTTTGCAGGATATATGCCAAGGGTGAATGCCTGCATAGGAAAGCAAGCTCATAATCATGAAAATCATTAATATATTTTTTTAATCAAAACGCATATTCCCATTCAAACTATTATTATCCTGAATAAGATCCTCATAATCTCTCACTTAACTATCACAATAACTCTGATTGGTCTCTCTTCCTCAATTGTACATTCACCTTTTCCACCACCTCACTTTCAATAGAGGAAACACTAAACCAATAATAGTCAAGTGAGGTAGATACTACTATGGGCCTATCTAGATTTTGGGGGGGCAATTCTGAGTGTTCTAGCTACAACTCATTTCTTTCCTCCCTCTAAGAAAGAAAATCAGAATGCAATCTAGTGAGAGTGTTACTATCCCAATAATTGCACTAATTTTTTTGCTGTCAATTTGATTTTTTAATCATGGAAGTATGATTTATATGCAACAATATTCACCAGTTTTAAGAATTACAATTTCATGAGTTAGGACAAACATACAGTCAAATAAACACCATGACAATCATGATACAAAACAAGCTTGTCTAACCCACAGCCCAGGATGGCTTTGAATGAGGCCCTACACAAATTCATAACATGAGATTTTTTTTGTGATTTTTTTTTTAGTTCATCAACTGTTATTAGTGTTATATATTTTATGTGTAGCCCAAGACAATTTTTCTTCTTCCAATGTGGCCCAGGGAAACCAAAAGATTGGACACTCCTGAATTATGAAACATTTCTCTCACTCCAAAAAGTCCTTTGCCTTTCATTTCCTGGCCTCAAACCCTTTCCCCTGACAAACACAGATTTCTGTATCTTATAATAGGTTTACCTTTTCTAGAATTCATAAAATTGATTCCTAGAGCACATATTTCTTTATGTATGGCTTCTTATATAATAATTTAGAGATTCACCCATGTTGTTTTATTAGTATTTCATTCTTTTGTGTTGCTGAGTAATATTTTTAATGGATATACCAACTTTGTTTTTACATTTCAGTTGATAGACATCTTTTTGGCCATTATGTTATTGTCCAGTTTTTGGCTATTATGAATACAACTACTTTGAATATTATTGAGTACAAATCTCTCTAGGAGAACATAGGTTTTCGTATCTCTTGGGTAAATATCTAGGAGTGGAACTGTGGTTGTATGATAAATGTAAGTTTAAATTTATTAGAAACTTACAAACTATTTTCAAAGTTTCATTTTACGTTCACACAAACATTGTGTGAGAGTTCAAATTTCTTAGTATTTTTATCAACTCTTGTTATATGACTTTTTGTTTATAGCCTTTTTGGTGGTTATCTAGACATATAGCACTGTGGTTTTAATTTGCATTTCCCTAGTGACAAATAATATGGAATATCTTTCATGTGCTTGTCATTCTTATATTTTTTTTGTTAAGTATCTGTTGTGTGCATTCTGGACCTAAGACACCAGTCTTTGAGACATTCTTCCTTTTTCTTCTCTGGTGTATATGTACCACATTTTCTTTATCCAATCCATTGCTGATAGGCACTTAGGTTGATTCCATGTCTTTGAGTGAACAATGCTGTAACGAACATCTGGGTGCATGAGTCTTTTTGGTAGAACAATTTATTTTCTTTTGGATATACACCCAGTAATGGAACTGCTAGGTCAAGTGATAGCTCTGTTTACAGTTCTGCGAGAAATCGCCAAATCGCTTTCCACAGTAGCTGAAGGAATTTACATTACCATGTGGTTGTATCAGCCTATTTTCTACCCGTAAAATTTGGAGACTTCAACAGCCTTCTTTCATTTTGTATCCATCCTCTCTTTGTCCCTTTCAGAACCTCAGGCCCAGAGGGTGGAGCCAGGAGCCATAGAGGATTATTCACAGACCTTGAAACCTAATGGAGTTTACCCAGTTGGATTTTGAGGGAACTGAGACTCAGGGAGGTCACATTGCTATAGGAATAGAAATATGAGTCTCACTATAAAGTCAATATATTTTTTTCCTTTACCTTACTGCTTTTGGGGTATGATGGGTTATATAGTATATTTTTTGATAAAAGGGAACATATTAGTTCATTAGGAGAATATAGTATTTTCTGGATAATAGTATCTGAGAGGAAATTATGCTTTTATGGAGAATATTGAATAATGATTAAAGAGTATTCAACAATGGTTTGATATAAGATACAGAAAATTTATTCATTTCTTAAAATTTCAACTTTAATACATTGTGACATTAATACATGTCTAAATGAAGATCTTTATACTAAGCAGATGAGAAGTACAAATATAGCTTTTGGGTTAGATAAGTCTATATAAGACAGATCTAGGAGACCCAAAGGGATATATTTGTAATGTCCATTAAAAAATGCCAAGATATACTGCCCAAAGCAATCTACAGATTCAATGCTATTCCTGTCAAGCTACCAATTTCATTTTTCATGGATCTAGAAAAAACTATTCTAAAATTCATATGGAACCAAAAAAGAACCCAAATAGCCAAAGCATTCCTAAACAAAAAGAACAAAGCCAGATGCATTACATTACCAGATTTCAAACTATACTATAAAGCTATAGTAACCAAAACAGCAAGGTACTGGTACAAAAACAGACACAGAGACCAATGGAACTGAATAGAGCACTCAGAAGTAATGCTGCACACCTGCAGCCATGTGATCTTCAAGAAAGTTGACAAAAACAAGCAATTGGGAAAATATTTCCTGATCAATAAATGGTGCTGGGATAGCGGGCTAGCCATATGCAGAAGAATGAAACTAGATCCCTATTTTTCACTAGGTATAAAAATCAACTGGATGGATTGAAGATTTCAATATAAGATCTCAAACTATAAGAATCCTAGAAGAAAAGCTAGGAAACACCATTCTGGACATTGGCCTTGGGAAAGAATTTATGACTAAGTCCTCAAAAACAATGACATCAACAACAAAAAAATTGACAAGTGGGACCTAATTAAACTAAAGAGCTTCTGCACAGCAAAAGAAACTGTCAACAGAGTAAATGGACAACTTACAGAATGGAATAAAATATTAGCAAATACAAATCTTACAAAAGTCTAATATCCAGAATCAGTAAAGAACTTAAACAATTGCACAAGCAAAAAACAAATAACCCCATTTAAAAATGGACAAAAAACATGAACAGACATTTCTCAAAAGACATACAAGCAGCCAACAAACATTTGAAAAAATGCTCAACATTATCAGAGAAATGTGAATCAAAGCCACAATGAGATACCATGTCATACCAGTCAGAATGGCTATTACTGAAAAGTCAAAAAAATAGATACTGGTGAGATTGTGAAGAAAAGAGAACAACTGTTGGAGGGAATGTAAATTAGTTTAGCCACTGTGGAAAGCAGTTTGGAGATTTTTCAAATAACTCAAAACAGATCTAGTATTTGAGCCAGCAATCCCATTACTGGGTATATATCCAAAAGAAAATAAATTTTTCTACCAAAAATATGCATGCACACATTAAATGCAGTACTATTCACAGTAGCAAAGACATGGAATCAACCTTGGTGCCCATCAATGGTGGATTGGATAAATGTGATATATACACACTATGGAATACTATGCAGCCATAAAAAAGAATGAAATCATATCCTCTGTAGCAACATGGATGCAGCTAGAGGCCATTATCCTAAACAAATTAACATAGGAACAGAAAACCAAGGACTACATGTTCTCGTTTATAAGTGGGAGATAAACATTGGGTACTCATGGACATAAAGACGGCAACAACAGAAACCGTAGATTACTAGAGCAGGGAGAGAGTGAGGGAGCCAAGGACTGAAAAACTATTAAGTACTCTGCTCAGTACTGTGATGATAGTATCACTCACACCTCAAAACTCAGCATCACGCAATATACTCAGGTAAGAAACCTGCACATGTACACCCTGAATTTAAAATTAAAGTTGAAATTATTTTTAAAAAACCATAAGTTTTAAAAATATAAATACATAAAAATAGCCAGAAATTTTATGAAGAATGCCTAACATTATATCTGATTATTCCACAATATCAATAATAGCTTCTATGATCCGCAGCAGCTTTCCAGGTAATGTTTTTGTTTGTTTGTTGATTGGTTGGTGTTTTTTCTTTTCTCCTGGTTACTCTATTTCATTAGTTCAATATAGTTTTTATGTTTTATTTGTTTTTTTTTTTGCCATTGTCAAAAGTTAACTTCAGTTATGCACTTATACCTTAAAATATGGTTAATATCCAAGTACTAAATTCAAATATCTTGTGTAAGTTCTCTTTAGATTTATTTAAGAAATTGTTAGCCAGGCACAATGGATCATGTCTATAATCTGGGCACTTCAAGAGGCCAAAGTGGGAGGATCACTGGAACCCAGGAAGTCATGGCTGCAGTAAGCCGTGATTGTACCACTGCACTCCAGCCTGGGTGACAGAGTGAGATCCCATCTTAAAAACAAACAAACAAACAAAGGAAAAAAAAAAAAAGAAGGCCAGGCACTGTGGCTCATGCCTGTAATACCAGCACTTTGGGAGGCCTAGGCAGGTGGATCACCTGAGGTCAGGAGTTTGAGACCAGCCTGGCCAATGTGGTGAAACCCCTTCTCTCCTAAAAATACAAAAATTAGCCGGCCGTGGTGGCCCACACCTGTAATCCCAGCTATTCAGGAGGCTGAGGCTGGAGAATCTCTTGAACTCGGGAGGCAGAGGTTGCAATGAACTGAGATCGGGCTGTTGCACTCTGGCCTGGGCGACAAGAGCAAAACTCGGTCTCAAAAAAAAAAAAAAAAAAGAGGAAGAGAGAGAAAGAAATTGTCATTAAAAGCATGAGGTAAATTTCCACCGAGAAAATGTTACTATTTCAGTTAAACAATTGTACACAGAACGATGGCTAAAACTGACATTTATTTCTGTATTGGTCAAATTTTAATCTGTCCTTTAATAAACTCCTCTGCTAAGAAGTTGATTCTTTTCTTATTATTGAATCTTATTATGTCTCTTTGATAATCAGACAATGTGGTATAAATCCTGGTTTTAGGCTATCCTTTAACTTACCATTAATTTGCTATGGATTGTACTTTGGTAAGTCTTATAAAACTTTCTTCTATGTAACTCTGAGAACTATCTTCAGATGATCAACTATTTATATAGGGAGTCTAAATTTCAGATTATAATAACACTATTTCAGTGCAATAGCTGATATTTATCTAGTACTTACTATGCTAAGTACATTATTCCATTAGATTCCCATATAGTCTATGAGATGAATACTATTACATCAATTTTAAAGATTAGGAAAATGAAGTTTGAAGAAAGTAAGCAACAAATTTACATAACTCCTAAAAGATGGAGAGACTTATGTTTCTGTTGGATTTTGGAGCCCACACTGCCACTCCCATATGGTTCTTTTTTTTTTTTTTTTTTGGAGACGGAGTCTCACTGTGTTACCCCAGACTGGAGTGCAATGGTGTGATCTCGGCTCACTGCATCCTCTGCTTCCCAGATTCAAGCGATTCTCCTACTTCAGTCTCCCTGGTAGCTGGGATTACAGGTGCCAGCCACCATGCCTGGGTAATTTTTGTATTTTAGTACAGACAAGTTTTCACCATGTTGGCCAGGTTGGTATTAAACTCCTGACCTCAGGTGATCCTCCTGCCTCAGCCTCCCAATGTGCTGGGATTACAGGTGTGAGCCACTGCACCCGGCCACTCCCAAATGGTTCTGATGCCTTAAGTGGAACTACCATTGAGTCAACACATATTCATATTATGCTGACTCTATCCCAGATACTGAAAAGGACACTAAGGATGCAAAGGTGATTCCAACAGACATGGTACCTGTCTAGGGATTGTTCAGTCTAGACACAAATGACAGCCATGGAATGCTCCAATTAAAAGAAAAATATTTTGAGTAAAACTATTTAAAACACTGGTAATCACATTATCAGGATTCATTCACGGCCGGGCGCGGTGGTTCACGCCTGTAATCCCAGCACTTTGGGAGGCCGAGGGGAGTGGATCACGAGGTCAGGAGATGGAGACCATCCTGGCTAACACGGTGAAACCCCGTCTCTACTAAAAATACAAAAAATTAGCCGGGCATGGTGGCGGGCACCTGTTGTCCCAGCTACTCGGGAGTCTGAGGCAGGAGAATGGCGTGAACCTGGGAGGCGGAGCTTGCAGTGAGCCGAGATCGCGCCACTGCACACCAGCCTGGATGGCAGAGCGAGACTCCGTTTCAAAAAAAAAAAAGAAAGAAAAGATTCATTCACAGTAAACAAACAAACAAACAAACAAAAAACTCTTCGTTGATTTCAATCTGGAAATGAAAAAGAAAAGAAGAAAAGGAAAGGAAAAAGAATTCTGACTCATTGATAGATTTGTTTAGAAATGTTTTTCTTTTTTCTGTTAGAAAGCTCAGAGTTAAAGAGTGGACAAGAGAAATAACATTTTTTCAACTCTTCCATTTTCTAAATAAAACACTGCCACTATACATTGGAGTATGGGATATTATTTCCACTTTAAAGATAAGGAAACTGACTCAAATACACGGAAAACAGGATTTAGTAAACGTGATTTATTTGGAACGTGATCTCAGATCCACAGAGGTGAGAAAAACAGGAAAGGAGAAAGAAAAAGTGCTGATTGAGAGTGTGGTCTCAGCTGGAGACGCTCTTAACTCTGATTGCATGGAGACACTCAGGAGCACAAATTGCACCACGGGGTTAGTCCATCACGGGGTTAGTCCATCCAAAAGCAAGGAGGCAGCCTTTGGTACCCCTGTGCCAGTCAATATTCATTAAAGGGCAGTTTTTTCAAGGAAGTCGGAGCTAGCTGCTGGACACTAACAGTCAAATCTCAAAGGAGCTGGGAGAGAAATGCACAAGCAGGTAAGGGGGTTCTGGTTAGGGGACCTACACCATCCACTATGCGTTTATATTTTAGTGCACCTACAGTCTATAGTTGGGTACCGAATACCATCAGTTGAGTTGCTTTGAATTCACACTCGTGTATTCCCCAGGCTTAATTAAGAGCACGTGGTGAATGGGAGGTGGTAATGACTCAGTATAAGATTACCTAGAGGCTGAATACCTAGTGGGCCAGAAAGCTGTTTTGTGAAAAGATAAAGGTTAGATTTTGCCTTTGGTCAGTTATTTGGAATTATACCCAACACCTTACTTTTCCAATCCTTTAGTTAACACCTACTATAAAAATGCTGCCTAATATAATTGCAATGATAAAGCCTATGTAAACTGTAGTTTTATATGAGTTGTTTACTCCTAATTATGGTGTTGTCTGTCAATATGGAGTTACCAGGTGGTGTGGGCAGTCACCTAGAGGTTTTTCCATCTGAAAAAGATTGCTTTAAGATCATGGTGTTTTGGACTCTCTCACTATTTTTTTTTTTATTCTTTATCACTGAAGAAAGAATGAGGCCTATAGTAGTATATAGAACACCTTATTAAAATGAATCATTTACACACATCTTTTATCTAAAAACAACATTCAATAAGTGTGAATTGAATCAAACCTGTTGGGCTGGGATAAAAGATGTAAAATCCAACCACGTGATTCTCTCAGATAAATGCCACAATACACATTCCTGAATATGTTGGATTTAGTAATATGGTGCATTTAGTAAAAGTGTTTTGTTTTTTCCTAATAAGGCCTTTTTGCTTGAGGAAACAAAATGCAGAAATTTTTGTTGTTTTCCTTCTGATTTGCTTCTCTTTGTTGTTTTCCTTCTGATTTGCTTCTCTCTGGTTGTGTTTATACTGACTACTGAAATAACAGAGTTCAATACCCAGACAACTGGTTGAATGTTAAATACAGTATGTCTCTCCCACCATTGTGTATATGAAGGGGTATCAGTGTTTTATTTGAAACAGTACGTCACTTTGGGTTTTATCCTATGATTATCTAAATTAGAGTCTATATTTAACTGCAATGACAACAGCCATAGCAACCCATGGTTTAGTAAAGCCAAGGATAACTTTAAAAATCACAGATGAAAGAGATCTGAGGTTCCCTCTTATGTACACTCTTACATGGTTTTGTTTACTAGCCACATTTTAGAGAAATATGAGTATTTCATCCAGAATAGAATACACAATTATAATTCAGAAGGAAAACATGGAATGAAAGTAAAAAGAATGAGAAAGGCAATTGAAAGCAAACAAGAATTCTAGTATAAAAATGTGTTATAAAATGTTTGAAAAATATTTAAATCATTAAATTGATTCCATTCCTAACAAAGATAACCTTTAAGAAATTAGATAACTAATGACAAGAAATAAAGTTTCATTTCATGGGCCTTTAAGAAACCATAATTTATTTATAGACATTTGGAAGCAGTCAGTATATTCTTTTGACCATAGGCACCAGTCTTAAAACCATCACATCTCTTTCAGTCTTCGTAGGGGCATTGACAACAGAGTTTCAGTGTAGTTCCTAATTAAAGATTAAGAATACTTTGAAAATATAAAACAAATGTATATTTTTTAATGTATCATTTGGGGCCTTAACCATTGAGGAAATCATAGAGAAGTTTGTCGTGAGGGACAAGGGGAATATACCACACGTTTACAGGAAACAAAAAGGTAAGAATAAGTTTTATAATTTTATTCTTTGGAGGTCATGAAAAAAATTTCTTAATATCTTTGCAATTCACCAGTTGTATTTTCTCCTAGAAAAGAAAATGTAGCAAATTTATTTGGGGAAATAATATATTTAAACAATGTAATGCATGCCATATAAGAAAATTTTTAGGGTTTTAAAATTAGTATAGCTGTGTTGACTTATGAAAATAAAAAAGGTATCTTGTCTGTCCAGAATCATTAGGCCATAAGTCATTTGGAAGATAAATATTTTCTAATGAGTTAAGAATTTATACCTTTACTCACTATAAGGATTTGCTTATATTTTAAATATTTTATAGAAGTTTTTTCTAAAATATTGTGTATGAATGTGTGTGTGTTTTTAGAGTATGGTGTGATGAATATAATTCGAGCATCATGCTGAGAGCAAAAATAGGGCTTGGCATTGATGGATCAGGATTCTAGTTTTACCTTTTAGCAGCTTTTGGGAAAGTTGCTAAAATAGTTCTGAGTCTCAAAGGTTTTATTTGTTTTTGTTTATTTTGTTTTAGTCTGTGATGTAGGGATAATGATATATTTCTTGGGATTGTTGTAAAAATTAAATTTGATTGAAATTACACAAGTTCCCTGGTACTCACCCATTCCTTAGATGACTTGAAACCATCATTGTGAACATCAGTTAAGAGATTTGTTTGACCATCTTCTAATTAAGACTGAGGTTTTTTAGTTCCTTTGTCTGATTAAACATTTTTTCTGTTTCTTTTGTCATTTCTCCTCCAATTTGCTCCCTCTAATTTACAGTAAGCCTTGAAAAACAGATATATATTTTAAAAAGGAATAAAAATACAACCATCCAAAAAGCCAACTAAAAAGTAATTCTTTGAACCACTATACTAATTGTGTACAAATGTGCTGTTCGATTCAGTAGGTCCAGTCCACATTTTAATTTTAATTAAGAGTTCAGTTCTTGAGTTTCACCTTTCAAATGGGTGATAACCACAGTAGCTAGTAGCTGCTGTACTAGATAGCATAGAGAAGCATTTCGATCATCACAGAAGATTCTGTTTTACAATGCTGGTCTACAATGTCTAAAGCTCTGAATTTGTGTTGTGGAATTCTGAAGATGAGTGGAATGTGGCTCTTGCTTTCAATGTAACTCAAGTCTGTGAAAGAAAATACTTAGGGGAAATGTTTGGAAAATATGAAAAATTCAGTGATGTGGATGATGACTATTTGACAAACATTGGGGAGTTAGCGTAAACAGTTCAGGATAAAAGGAAGATAGAAATGACTGAGCTGAAACCTAAAGCATATTAGTGATATTTGTGACCTTCCCAGTGCATGAAAGATTATAAAACATTCCAATGTGGGCCCACTTGCAAGAGGAGGCAAGGGGAAGGGGCAATTCTATTTGTATCCAGAATGTTGTATTTTTCTTTTAAAATGTTCTGTATTAAAATATTTTTACTATAAATATGTATAATTTCAATAATACAAGTTAAAAATTTATTTTAAAGAATCTTGACCTTTGTGTAATAGCATTGACTTTCTGCCCCTTTTCTCATCTCTGAAAACTCTTCCTGGCATCCCTTCCCATTTTTGTCTTTTAGCTCTCCCACACTAAGGGAGGCATCTACCCTCCTGTCCAAGCTTCATGTACGCTCGTGAGCTTGAATGCCGTTTCTTTTTATCTCAAATATCACCTGATATTTTATTCTTTTTCTCTTCTCTCTTCAAACATACCTTCTCTATGATTTTTCCCTTCAGTCTATAAATACATGTAAGGTTTCTGAATCAACCAACCCCCTGTTGATCCTACTTTTCTGTCAGTCTCCCTTTTCCACCAAATTTTCTAAAAACATGGCTTCAATTTGTTGTCTCCAATTCCTCACTTATAATTTACTCTTCAACTCTGAAATTGAATTTTTCCTCTAAGCATGAAATTGCTGTATCATTTACCAAGGTCTCCAGTTATTGTCATCAACAATTAATCTTGTCAATTCTAGCAGACCATTTATAGTTTATCTTTTTCTTGGGAAATATGTTGATCACTCCGTTTACCTATGTTAATGACACCACAATCTGTCTTATGTATATATGAGACAGAGATATCTGAGCACATCTACAATTGCCCATTAAGTAAATATTTTCACAAGGATTTGCCGTAGGCAATTCAAACTTTTCTTTAACATGAACTGGTCATCTCACCAAAATTTCCTCCTCCTGTCCCAGGTAGCAATGATTGATACCTCCTTAAAGTCCCTCTAATCCAATCCATCCTTTCCACCCCCACTATCATTGACTTCATGCAAATGTAACTTACTCACAAAGTCTCTGACTGAATGTTCGCCCTTCTCCAATCCATTGTCCACGCTGCCTCCTGGGTGATTTTTCCAGTATCAAATCAGCTGTATCAGTTCCTTTTCTGTTTCCTTTATTTTTAACTTGCTTTTCTGCTACAGCTCTCTGATAGTTTCTCTCACTTTTAAAAATACCTATTGCCTAAATAAATAATTTTTTCTTTTTAAGAGAAAGCAAACACAGAATTTTCAAGGTTTTAGCACTACATTGAGAATCTCCTGAAAAGCATCCAAATATGACACTTTTCCTTGAGTTTCACCTTCCCTTGAGGGTCTGTCACAGTCACACTGCCACCGCCAACATGCTAGGTTCTGAAGATGCCACTTCTCTGATAAATTTTGGTTTCAGACAATACCTAATCTCTTTACACAATACTCAGAGAAGGACCAAGTATAAATATAATTATAACTAAATGTTATAAAATATATAATTAAAATTTTAGGGAGGACTGTAAGAAAATCAGCAAGGGAAATCACAAAAGTAACACTTACTGGTTTTATTATTTTAAATCTTGCTGCCTTCTTTGTTTTTAAAAAGCTCTATAGATCTCTTAGGCCAACGTGTTACATGAAGAGAAAGTAGGCTTCTCGCATAGCTGTTCAACTGCTTTCCTAGTTTATGAATAAATAAGCCAAGATCAATAGAGTGCTGTTTCCATTCCCTCTCTATTGGCTTGTGATTGTCTATGCAGAGGCTGATGCCAGGCTCTGGCAGAACATTAATGTGGACTCACAGTTATGGATACATGATTCACATTTAAAAATCCAATAAGAACCAGAGTTGGCAGGCACGAGCCTGGCAGATTGGCAATTATTTTGACGATGTGAAAGTTGTTTTTTAACTTTCCTATAAAATACATGTGCATGATATGACGCTGCTTTTAGAAGAATTCAATGAATATTTCGTGGCTGTTGTGAATAGAAAGTTGCTCTTGATAATGCAACTAGGACTAGTCTCAAGACACAATTGGCTCAGTGGCCTAATTACTGTCAATGCCATCAGTGAGAAGGGTTTATTATTAGTTATTCTCAAATTACTATCTTAAATAATTTCCAATATTCTATCAGGTCGTGGCAGAGAACTCCACACAGAAAATCAATCAGCTTAAAAACCCGAAGACAGGTTTTGCAGTTAATTTGTATGGGTTTGGGTAAAGGGGAACCAGGAGACATGAGAATGCCACTTTAATAAAAACTACATGGTCACATGGTCATTAATTATCTTATGTCTTAGGCTGGGCACAGTGGCTCAGGCCTATAATCCCAGCACTTTGGGAAGATGAGGTGAGAGCCTCACTTGAGCCTGGGAGTTTGAGACCGGTCTGGGCAACGTAGCCAGACCCCAATTCACAAAAAACAAAAAGAATTACCTGGCTCTGGTGGCTTGCATTTATAGTCCTAGCTACTCAGGAGGCTGAGGTGAGAGGATCGCTTAAGCCTGGGAAGTTGAGGCTGCAGTGAGCTAGGATCACTCCACTGTACTCCAGCATGGGCAACAGTGAGAACTTGTCTCTCAAAAATATATATATATAAAAATTATAATGCCTCATTAAATTAAAATTTTTCCTTATAAAATGAGACTGTCCCATAAGAAGTATGTGAAACATTATTTAATTTCTTTAGTTCACATGTGGATTAAATCTTTCATGTCACGAGCATATCTGCATTGGCCTATGTGTGAACCTATAGTGATGTTTATGTTCATAATAATGATCTTGAAACTTTTCATAGAAAATCCTTATATTTTTTAAGACATTGTTTTGTATAGTTTCAATGTTAAGATTAATTTAAGGTTAAAATTAATTTAATTGCAACCAGAGTATTTTATTTTATTTTATTTTGAAACGAAATCTTGCTCTGTCACTCAGGCTGGAGTGCAGTGGTGTGATCTTGGATCTTGGCTCACTGCTACCTCTGCCTCCCAGGTTCAAGCGATTCCCCTGCCTCAGCCTCCCGAGTAGCTGCGACTACAGGCATGTGCTACCATGCCCAGTGAATTTTTTTTTTCTTTTTTGTATTTTTGGTAGAGACTTGGTTTTACCATGTTGACCAGGCTGGTCTTGAACTCCTGACCTCAAGTGATCTGCCTGCATTGGCCTCCCAAGGTGCTGGGATTACAGGCATGAGCCACAGCACCCAGCCCTCAACCAGAGTCTTTTTTTTTAACTTTTAGGTTAAAGGGTACTTGTGCAAGATGTTACATAGGTAAATGTGTGTCATGGGGGTTTGTTGTACAGATTATTTCTTCACCCAGGTAACTAGTACCCATTAGTTATTTTTCGTGATCCTTTCTCTCCTCCCACCCTCCACCCTCCAAAAGTCTCCAGTGTGTGTTGTTTCCCTTTATGGGTCTCTGTATTCTCATCATTTAGCTCCCACTTATAAGTGAGAACATGCGGTATTTGGTTTTCTGTTCCTGCATTAGTTTGCTAAGGATAATGGCCTCCAGCTCCATCCATGTCCCTGCAAAGGATGTGGTCTCATTCTTTTTCATGGCTGCATAGTATTCCATGGTATATATGTATCACATTTTCTTTACCCATTCTATCATTGATGGGCATTTGGGTTTATTCCATATCTTTGCTATTGCGAATAGTGCTGCAGTGAACACACACGTGCATGTGTTTTCATAATAGAACAATTTATATTCCTTTGGGTATATACCCAGTAATGGGATTGCTGAGTCAAATGGTAGTTCTGTCTTTAGGTCTTTGAGGAATTGTCACACTGTTTTCCACAATGGTTGAACTAATTTACACTCCCACCAACAGTGTATATGCATTCGTTTTTCTCCACAACCTTGCCAGCATATTATTTTTTGACTTTTTAATTATAGCCATCCTGATTGGTGTGAGATGCTTTCTCATTGTGGTTTTGATTTGCATGATGTTGAACTTTTTTTTCATATGATTGTTGGTTGCACGTATGTCTTCTTTCAAGAAGTGTCTGTTCATGTCATTTGCCCACTTTTTAATGGCATTGTTTTTTTCTCATCAATTTAAGTTCTTTATAGATGCTAGATATTAGCCCTTTGTCAGATGCATACTTTGCAAAAATTTTCTCCCAGTCTGTAGGTTGTCTGTTTACTCTGTTGATTGATTCTTTTGCTGTGCAGAAGCTCTTTAGTTTATTTAGACTCCATTTGTCAATTTTTGCTTTTGTTGCAATTGCTTTTGGTGTGTTTGTCATGAAATCTTTGCCCATGCCTGTGTCCTGAATGGTAATTGCGTAGGTTATCTTCCAGGGTTTTTACAGTTTGGGGTTTTACATATAAGTCTTTAATCCATCATGGTTAATTTTTGTATATTGTGTAAGGAAGAGGTCCAGTTTCAATTTTCTGCATATGGCTAGCCAGTTATCCTAGCACCATTTATTAAGTAGCGTATCCTTTTCTCTATTGCATTTTTGTCATTTTTGTCAAAGATCAGATAGTTCTAGGTAAATGGTCTTATTTCTGGGCTCTCTATTCTATTCCATTGTTCTATGTGTCTGTTTTGGTTACTGTAGCCCTGGTAGTACAGTTTGAAGTTGGGTAGTGTGATGCCTTCAGCTTTTTTTTTTTTTTAATATTCTCTTAAGAGTTTATTATAAACCAGTTTCATGGGCCACAAGGAAATAAAAGGACTATGTACAGCCTTTCAGGAAAGAGGCAGGGAGCTAGGAGGGCCAAGATGAGTCTAGGGTCTTGATGGGCACATTCTCAGGGGATGGGGCTCTGTAAGGAAAACCAGACAATCTGGAGAGACTCCGTGAACAGCAGCATAACAAACAAATAGGTCTGTGGTAATGTGGCCCTGAGGAGTTGAGCCCATGTCTCTGTGGAGCTACTTCCATACTCTGTGGCCAAGGGTCAAAGACGGCCTCGCATCCCATGGGGAGGAGGCTGCATTCCCAGAGGGGATATGCCCACTGGAGTCTGTCTCCCAGGGGAGATCCCCACTGGGGGACCATAGGAGGCCTGACACCAGGAGGTAGGCCCATCACACCTTCAAGAGAAAAGCCCCAAGAATGTAACTCAAGTGTCTGTCTTGGAAAGATATCAAGAAACTATAAAGCTGTCCACCAAGTTCTGAGATAGGTGGACAATTCCACCCTCTCAGCACCTCCTAGAAAACTGACATTTGAGCCTAACACCTAGGGTTCCCAATGGCTTTGCTCTTTTTGCATAAGACTGCCTTGACTTTAGACTGCCCTGGCTATTCAGGCTCATTTGGCTCCATATGAATTTTAAAATAGATTTTTCTAGGTCTGCAAAGAATGTCAGTGGTAGTTTAATGGGAACAGCATTGAATCTATAAATTGCTTTGGGCAGTATGGCTGCTTTCATGATATTGATTCTTCCTATCCATGAGCATACAATGTTTTTCCATTTGTTTGTGTCATCTCTGATTTTTTTGCGTAGTGGTTTCTAGTTCTCCCTGTAGAGCTCTTTCGCTTCCCCTGCTAGCTGTATTCCTAGGTATTTTATTCTTTTTGTGGCATTTGTGAATGGGAGTTTGTTCATGATTTGGATCTCGGCTTGACTGTTGTTAGTGTATAAGAATGCAACCGGAGTCTTTTACAATTCTAAAACGAGTATTCTTTGAATTGTAACCTTCGTCAACAAGTATATATTTTCTGAATCACAGAGCTAAAAAGTACCTTTGAAATTATGTAGCTTATTGATTTACAAATCTGTTTATGGATCCTCACCTGGGGAGGATTTTTGTTTTTTTAAAAAAGATAGATCTCTAGGACTTACCCAAAGCTGACTATAATTTGAGAATTAGGGTTCTTAAGAAATTCCTTAAATATGACAATGCTGATGAATGGCTAGTTTAGGAAACTAAGAATAAATTTATTATTTCCAGTTTGTAGAAGATTGAGGCAGACCAAAGGAGGTAAAGTGACTTCCCCAAATAACAGCAGATCTGACACAAGATTCTAAGCCTCTCAACTTCTAAACCTGTGGAATTTCTATGAAAAAAATACAGAATTTTCTAAGTTATCTGAAAGACGTGAATTAGCTAAAAGAATTACCCAAAACAGTGGACAATGTGTAGTTTCTGTGATTTCATATAATGAGTGTCTAATAGATATAAAGTTGTTTGCTTCTTTCTTAGGTGCTATTGGTCCACATTCTGAGTAAATTATGTGTTTGCTTGAAATTTGCTGGCAGGGATTGAGGCCATGCCAACAAACGTTACTTGTGACAAGAGCAAGCATATTAATGTCAATAAAATATTCATATTATAATAGTATTTTACTTTCCTGTAATTTTCTAAGAAACTCAATGTGATATTTTCCTTCAACTTCCAGCCTTGTGGTTTTTATAAGCTGGATTTTCAAGTGACATTGAAATGAAGCATTATGTTCTAAAAATATATTCACTTGTTTTATAATACAACATTCCTGAGACATGAGCAATTACTTTTTATGCTGCTGCAAAGCTACAATCATACTAAATTCTAGCCAAGTCAATAGGTTCAACTACAGCAGCCATTACATGAATCATAAATCATGGAAAAGGACCCCTATAATTCATTGCGTTTTTTTTTTTATCTCTGAAGAACCTTGCATTAATAAAGCAGCTAAAATCTATGTAATCTTCATTAATTTCTACCTGTTGACACCCTTCAGTTTTACCTTAGAACCCACTGTTGATAATAAGCACTCTGAAACATTTGTATGGTTCAGAATTCAGCTCTAAGTGCATTTGGTTGAACAGCATTCTAGGTCTTTAAAAAATGATTTGTTTACAATAGTAATTATTTATTCTCATGCTGAATTGAAATTGCAGTTCTCTCCATGGGAAACCATCGCTATTCCATTATTTATTGGTTCTAGCGAGTACATTAAACTTTGATAAAGTAGGCAATCCTTTTATTTTGCCATTGTAAAGTGTCTTCTAAAATATACCAGCCAGTGCACTTTCCTGCTCTTAAATGAAAAGCAGGGGAATGTCTCTCTGGCCATTCTGTCATCAGTGTGCTTTGAAGCTTTTTATGAGGATCAATAATCATGGTATATGCCAGAGAAGTAAAGCCTTTGAAGAACAGAGTACTAGCTCTGTTTTGAAATAGCAGATTCAGGTTCAATGCAACCACTGCAAAATGAGGGGCAGAAATAGAACATCTCCAAGGAATTTTTAGCTCCAAAGGACTATATGATTTTGTAAATGAGAGGTTGGACATCTGTACTGACTCTTGTCGATCATCTTAAATTTCTAGCATCAACCTCTTCTGTCATCTTTAGATTTCTATTAGAAGTAGAGAGGATATTCTAATTAACTGAGGTTTAATCTTAATTAACTAGTAAAAAGAATAATTAATCAGAACACTGATTCGTTGAGCATGCCAACTGATCAAGTAACGTGAACACTATCTGTGCAACAAACATGAAAAGAAATGCCTGATAAAACTCATTCTTGTTCTATGCTCCTCTCATACCTGTTCATGTTCTCTTACCTTGTCTACCATTCTTTTATTTTCTTTTGTTTGTTGAGACCGGGTCTCACTGTTGCCTGAGCTGGAGTGCAGTGGCATGATCATAGCTTACAGCGGCCTCAAAGTCCTGGGCTCAGGTGATCCTCCTGCCTCAGCCTCCGGAGTAGCTAGGACTAAAGGCACATACCACAATCCCCAGCTCTTACCATTCGTAGGGAAAGAAATAGAGCAGAAATGACTCAGACTTTTTACAGGGCTTCAGATAGTTTTGTCCTTCTTTTCCTAATATGTAGTCAGAAAAATGGGCAAAAATAATTAGATAAATAACCTAATCTATTTAAGTTTGTTCTGAGATGTTTTATAGATATTTTGTAGAATCACTTTGTTACAAATGCTTTGAGGATATCCTATGCTATTATTGGTTGTGTTTTAAAACCATGCTTTTGCCAGGCATGGTGGCTCATGCCTATAATCCCAGCACTTTGGAAGGCTGAGGTGGGCAGATCACTTGAGGTCAGGAGTTCGAGACCAGCCTGGCCAACATGGTGAAACCCGTCTCTACTAAAAATACAAAAATTAGCTGGGCATGGTGGTGCACACCTGCAGTCCCAGCTACCTCGGAGGCTGAGACATGAGAATTGCTTGAATCTGGGAGACAGAGGTTGCAGTGAGCTGAGATTGTGCCACTGCACTCCAGTCTGGTCAACAGAACAAGACTCCATCTCAATAAATAAATAAATAAGACAAAATAAAACCATGTTTCTAAATATGGAGTACATTTTAAACATAAAATATGTGTAAGATATAAGGAATGATGATTCAAATGCACACTGTGTCCAACATTTGGCTTTAGAAATGGTTATCATTTCTATCTTTGAACTATCCTATGTCATTCTGAATTTCATTCCCTTTCCTCTCAGCTCAGAGGAAATTAAATCATAAATTTTGTGTTTAACATTCCTTTGCTTTGCTTTTTGACTTTTACCATATATCTATGCCAAAACAGCGTATTGTTTTACTTTTGCATAGTTCTACATAGAAATTACATTGCACACAATTGTCTATTATTTGCTTTTTAATTTTATTACACATTATGTTCCTGAAATTCATTCATATTGTTGTTTGAGGATACAGTACATTTATTCTCACAGTCATCCAGTGCCAACACAATGTGAATGTAGCAAAATTTATTTACTTGTTAATGTACACAGTCTACTTCTGTAACTATTCAATTCTATTATGAATATTTTTGTTCAAATGGACATGTTTTCAAAGTTCTCTAGGGTAAATACTCACCTGTTGAATTACTAAGTTACAAGTTCAGCTTCGTTAAATAATATAAATTTGTTTTCCAAAATGCTTGAAGCAATTGACATTCACATCATCGTTCTAGAAAAGTTTAATTCACATCACATCTCACTAACCCTTAATATTGTCAGACTTTCATAGTTGTCAATTTTGTGAGTATGGAAATGTATTTCATGGTTATTTTAACTTTCATTTCCCCAATTAATGTTTAGGTAGAATATAATTGTGTATGTATATTTGTTTTTCATGATTCCTCTTCTGTGACATACCTTTTCATGGCTTTTGCTGCTTCTTTCTGTTAGGTCGTATAGTCTTTTAATAGACTTACAAGATTTCTTCATGTATTTTGGATGTTACCTCATCTTCTTTCCCCTAGTTCGTGACTTGTGTTTTACTTTATCGATGGTATCTTTTGATGCCATAAAATTGTATTAATCATTTCCTGTGTGTGTGACTTTTTGCATCTTATTTATCTTTCCCTGACAACATAAAGATACATTTCATATCATATATATATTCATATTATATATGAATATATTATATATTCATATTATATAATATGAATATGAATATAATTATGAATATATAATGTATTCACATATAATATGAATATATAATGTATTCATATATAATATGAATATATAATGTATTCATATATAATATGAATATATAATGTATTCATAGATTATATATAATATGAATATATATAATATAATATATACAATATATATAATATTGTATATATATATTATATGTATATAATATATATACAATAATATATACAATATATACAATATATACAATAATATATATATATTTTGAGATGGCGTCTTGCTCTGTCACCCAGGCTGGAGTGCAGCGGCACAATCTCAGCTCACTGCAACCTCCACCTCCCATGTTCAAGCGATTCTCCTGCATCAGCCTCCTGAGTAGCTGGGATTACAGGCACCTGCTACCGTGCCCAGCTAATTTTTGTATTTTTAGTAGAGACGGCGTTTCGCCATGTTGGCCAGGCTGGTCTTGAACTCCTGACCCCAGGTGATCGACCCGCCTTGGCCTCCCAAAGTGCTGGGATTACAGGCGTGAGCCACGATGTTCGGCCTCATCTTTTAAAAGTTTTATAGCTTAAATTACACATTTAAGTCTTATACAGCTAATAGTTTTATATGTAAGAATTTAATTTTTTTGCTTTCATAACAATAAACAGTCGTCCCAGTACCATTTATTGAAAACTCTTTTTCCACTAACCTATAATGCCAGTTCTGTTATAAACCAAGTTTCTGAATATGAGTGGGGCTCTTTTTCTGGAGGGGAAAAAGCAATGTCTGTACTGTTCAGTTGGTTTATACCTGCACCAATACTAGATTATCTTAATTACTGCAAACTTTATATTACTCTCAATACTTGATATAAAGAAATTTTTCCTACATTTTTATCTTCTTTAACAGTATTTTACCTATTCTTGGGTCTTTGTACTTCTACATATATTTTTGATTCAGCCTTTCAAATTCCAAAAGAATCATCTTTTGGAAGGTCGACTGACATTGGTTTCAAACTATTGATCAATTTGAGAAGAATTTCTATCTCTACAACATTAAGACTCTGAATTCATTATTCATGGTATATTTTTTATACAGTGATGTGCCACATAGTGGCATTTCAATCAGCAATGGACTGCATATATCATGATGGTCCAATAAGTTTATAATAATGTATTTTTACTGTACCTTTTTCATGTTTAGATACACTAAGATAAACAAATACTTAGCATTGTATTGCAATTGCCTTTAGTATTCCATACAGTAACATGCTGTACAGATTTCTAGCCTAGGAGCAATAGCCTACTACATAAAGCCTAGGTGTACAGTAGGCTATACCATCTAGGTTTGTGTAAGTTCACTCCATGATGTTTGCCTAATGCTAAAATCGCCTAACTACACATTTCTCAGAATATATCCCTGTTGTTAAGTGGTGCATGACTTTATCTTGGTTTTTTAAATTTTTTCAGATGATTATGTACATCTATAAAGATTTTGTAACTTTTGTTAAACTTTTACTATGTATTTTACATTTTTAATGATATTATAAATGAAAATTACATTTTAAGTTAATAGACTACATTTTTTAGAACAGTTTTAGATTTACAGAGAAATTGAGCAGATACAAGAAAATTTCCATCTACCTCAATCCTACTCCACACAGTTTCCCCAGTTATTAACATCTTACATTAGTGTGGTACACTTGCTCCCATTAATGAACCAATATTGATATAGCAGTGTTAATGAAGGTTCACCCTTTATTCAGATTTCATTTGATTTTACCTAATGTCCTTTTTCTGTTTCAGGATCCCATGGAAGACACCATGTTACATTTAGTCATCATGTCTTTATAGGGTCCTCTTGGCTGTGACACTTTCTCAGACTTTCCTTGCTGTTGATGGCTGTGGCTATTTAGAGGATTACTTACTGGTCAGATATTTTTGCAGAATGTTCCGCAGACAAAATTCATCTGATTTTTTTTATGAACAGGCTGGGGCTCTGAATCTGGGGGAGGAAGAACACAGGGGTAAAGTGTCACTTTCATCATATCATATTAAGGGTGCTTATCTCTACATGATTTATAACTGTTGGTATAACCTAGATCATCTGTCTGAAGTAGTGCTTGTCCTTTTTCTCCATTGTAAAATTATTCTTTCTTCCCCAGAACCCTCATTTTGTACTTTTAGAAGGAAGTCACTATACGTAACCCACACTTCAGGATGGAGAGTTATGCTACCTCCAAAATTACATTTTCCTTTCTTTGAGACAGGGGAGGAAAGCCTGGCTGAGTGCAGTCATGCAATCGTGGATCACTGTAGCCTTGACTTCCCAGGCTCAACCAATCCTCCTGCCCCAGCCTCCCAAGTAGCTTGCACCATAGGCATGTGGCACCACACCCAGTTAACATTTTAAAGTTTTTGTAGATATGGGGTCTCTCCATGTTGCCCAGGCTGGTCTCGAATTCCTGGGCTCAAGCCTCCCAAAGTGCTGAGGTTACAGGTGTGAGTCACAGTGCCCAGCCCAAAATTACATTTTCTAAATTGCATTATTATCATTTTTTGCTAGTGAACAGAAATTAGTATATTTATTTTTTATAACCAGAAAAATTGCTGAACTCTCTCATTAATATTTCTTTTTTATGTTTCTTAATATAGACAATAACACCCTCTGCAAATAGTATTCATTTTGGTTCTTGCATTTTGATACTTCTTTCTTTTTATTTCCTTACTCTGTTGGCCAGATGCCCCAGTACAATTCTTAATGGAAATGTTGATATTGAATATCCTTGTATTTTTCCTGTTTTATCCATATATCTGCTTTAATTTAAAGTGTACCTTGGTTGATTGTATCCTCAAGAACCTTGCAAAAGCAAATTTGGGAAAACAGATTTTTTAAACCAAATGCGGTAGATTATATTATTTTGCAGCGATTAATTTTTTTTCCAAAATTCACCCTTATTAGCATCAAGCTCTGGTTAAGTTACCTAAAACACAACGACAGTTGAATTTTGTGACAGAGCTAGGAAGTATACACCTTTGTTTTTGTGCAACTGTCACCTCTCCTGCCTACTGTGTATCCACAATACACTTTCCATTATTTCATTTTCTCTTTTTAACTCCTGTCATCTCTACTAAGATTGAAACCTGCCTTAATTCAATTTCTGCTCCCTAAACAGGCATCCTGACGGTCATTTACATATTGGAGAATAAGACTTTTTTCAAAAATTGCAGCTCTAGTAATATTTCTATCTTACTAAAACATCTTAAATGTGTTGCCTTAAAGTTCTGAACCTGATGTTCAAAGGCCTCTTCAAAATAATGTCAATGTTTATTTTTTCAACATTTATCAGCATTGCCCTCTTAAATTTCTGAAGATATATTTATTACATTCACAGTATGATTTGATAGTAAAGTGGAATTTAAAATGGATTTTTACCTCATACAAGTAATGTTTTTCAGAAAACAGAGAGGATATCACCCTTTTAAATGTTCTACAGTAATATGTTAATCTGCTCACAATGTTTAACACACTAATCCCAGTAAGGGAAATCAGAAAACTGTTTTTTTAACCTGCTGCTGACCTATTGTACTCTCTTGTGCAAGTCTGCCTGTTCTTGTTTGCTTTCCTGTAAAACAGTAATCATAAAATGTTTAATTCTTGACTATCAACAGGTGAATTATATTCATTGTGGATAACCTTGATTTAAAATCCTTGTTGGCTTAATTACACAGAGTAGTGGGAACTATCTTTAGCTGAAATTATATACTAACTCTTACTTACTTTCACTCTTTCTCCAAGCAATTTACTGCCCAGCAAGAAGCACTTTTTATGAAAAAATAATATTTTCATATTTCCAGAAATCTCTGAACAATTATTTCTTAGTAATATTTTTAAGCTGATACATTTTTCTTACTTTGAGAGGCCATGCTTGTTATCTCTAGCTCAGTGTGAGGAGTAAGGATGAGAGGTGTCAAGAAAAAAAATTAAGTAATGTTTTCTCATCTAATCAATAATTTTATTTTTTGAAACAGAAGTGCCTTGATACTTAATGGTGGACCTATCAAACTATACATATTTACCTGGGATCATTTCAAATTTAGTTTGAATGTGGATTACAGCTTTCCTATTTCTGTAACCTTGGTTATATTACTTAATCTCTCTCAACCTCTGTACGCTCATGTGTAAAGTGAGTATTATACATTTTTGTTTTGTACACAAAGTACCTTAAATAATGACTATAGAGCACTTAGCATTGTTGGAGAAACCTTGAACAAACATTCCTTAAGTACCAACTGTTACTATTTGCTTAATAAATTAAAAGTCCAGGCCATTAAACATGCACATAATCTCAGTTTTAGAAATACTCAATTTCTGTTGATTCTTTGAAGAGACAAAGAATTATGATTACTTCACATTTTCCATGGAAGGACTGTAAACCTCTGAAGTATGAAAGATTTTTGTTTGACCCAAACATATATATTCTGTTTTGTATAAGGAATTCACTTTTAAGAAATCATGTACAAATTGACATTTTTACCATTAAATGAATTTTAATAAGCAGAAGATTTCACCATTTAAAAATTATTTCTTATACTATGTAGCCACACTTCACTTAGAAGATGCATCAGACATGTGGAATAATAACATTTGGAATAGTCAGAGTTAGAAAACATGAGACCAGAGGTTCTCAAGTGTGGTGCTTCAACTGCACCATCCGCATCATCTGGGGCCTTGTTAGAAGTACCAAATCTTGGGCCCCATACCAGACCTACTGAATCACAAACCCTGTGGTTGGAACCAACCACTCTGTGTGTTAACTAGTCCTCCACGGGATTCTGATGCTGCTGCTTTCTGGGAGCAATTGCATTAAAAATACCAAAAGGTGAGAAACAACACTGGGATGCAATTGTAGGAGGAAGGAGGGAGTGATGATATCTTCTTTGCTTGACGAAAATGTGAGATAGACACTACTTTTGAGCTGGTAACTTGTCCTTAAGCTGAGAGGCAATGCAGAACAGAAACATTTAGTCTGGAAAAATTAGGAAGTATTTCCAGGAAAACAAGGTGGGAACGAGAGTTAGGTCTCCACATCACATTTAGGGAGTTGGGAGTTCTTTAGAATTCACAGAACAGAGGACAAGAGAGAACTTCAATGTATTTAGTTGAAAATATTTCTGTAAGTTTCTAGGCTGCAGAGTCGGTTTTAAAAAATCAAAAAGTCACTTTGTGGTTTAGCATATAATTAAGAATTTTCCAGCATCTAATGGTTCAATAGTGGGACCACGTCATTCAAAAGCAGTGATAGAAAACTCAAGATGGCGTGGGGAATTGCTATTCTCAAGGTCTTAGGATTTTTAAATTAAATTCCTAATTAAAGTAAGATAAAGAAAAAGGTGAAGTCTACATCTCAACAATTAACATAGGTGTAAATTCTTTAAACTCAGTAATTTACTATTCCTATCTCCTGGTCACTAAGAAATATTTAAATATGTATTCCAAACTGGGTGGATTAGAACTAACCTACTTTTAAGGTATTCTTTTCCTGATTGAATTATGTGAAGGTCAGAATTTAAAACAAACAAAACCCCCAAAATGCTACTAACAGATGAACGTGCGCATTTCAACCAGAGTGTGCTGCTTTGCTTCACTGAGCAAATTCGTGATTGCCCTGAGGCAAAGCAATTCCCTTTCACTCCTGACCCTCTGCTCTCAGCCCTGCTTTGCCTGCTATGAGGTTTTTTGAGTTAGAAATATGTGATCCTAAGCATATGTTTGGAAATAATATCATTCTGGCTTCAAGGCATAACTTCTGTTACTTAAATTGTCAACTTGTATGTGCATGTTAAGACAGAAAGGTCTAGGAACTATTCGGTATCATTCAGCAGCCTGCTGATCTGTTCTGCTAACACTGTCACCTTCTAAGGAGAAAACAGACACAGGGTTTTGCTTTGTTTTTTAATATTTTTTTTCTCTTCTTCCTTTGTCTTTAGTAAGTATTCATCTTTCTAATCAGGGCAAGGAAGTCACCAGGGTTATAAGACCATTTAGATCTTATTAAAGCTTTGGGGATTAAATTTATCTTAGATGTGAACATCAAATATAATCCCTGAAGTGTATTAAAAATGGTTTTACCCATCACTCATTTCTAAAAATTGAATTTGTCTGTTAATTTTTACCAACATGCTATTTTTTAAAACTGATTTTTAATCCCCATACAATTGTGTGATTCTTCCAGACTTTTCTTCATGTCACTCTTGAATTTCTTTGGGCAAACTTCTCGCCATCTTCAAGCTCCTTACACCTTCTCTAGTTAACTGACACTCATCCTCTTCATGATTCCACCTGCCCCTCAGAAGCCCAGCTTGTGGAGAATGCTCCTTCTCTCACCTTCGATGTGCCACAGGATCTCAAAACAAGGGTGGTGCTATGATTTGAATGTGTTCTTCAAAGTCCATGTCTTAGAAGTGTAATCCCTAATGCAACAGTGTTGAGAGGTGGGACCTTTAAGAGGTGATTACATCAGGAGGACTCTACCCTTATAAATGGATTAATGTCATTATTTCAGGAGTGGGTTTGTTAGCACAAGACTGGGGTCCTTTTCATAAAGATTGGCTAGCTCCTCTCTCTCTCCCAGGTGATGTCTCCTGCCTTGTTAAGATGAAGCAAGAAGGTCCTCATAAGATTCTGGTCTTTCGATCTTGGACTTGGATCTTGGTTCAGCCCCCAGAACCATGAACCAAATAAATTTTTGTTTGGTATAAATTGCACGGTCTCACATATTCTGTTACGGCAGCACAAAATATAATAAGACAGCCACTAAGGTGGCTTCCAAACCACTATGCTTGCTTTCTTTAAAAAATAATTTTAAATCTAATTATTTTTATCAAAATGAAACATGAATATACTTTAAATTTTTAAATAGTTTTACAAAGCTTATTATTTATTATAATTTAAAAAAAAAACAGTAGTCTCCAAAATACCAACCCACATCCCCAGTCCAGAGATAACACTTTCATTTCTTAACTTTTTCTTTTTGGAATTTGCTACCAGTTGGCTAACTAGCATCTCTATATAATTTTTTTCTTTTCCTTCCATTTTTTATATTAGCTATTGACTTCCTACAGAGGAAGAGGGAGACCTTACATTTATTACATTAACTTACCCCATCTACCCCGTTGTCCTTTATCACCTACAATCCGCCAAATATAGGTACAATTATTTATATGTTATTTAATATTTAGATTAAGATTGTTTATGTTATTACGATCATGAGATTATATTCACAGCTGAGTCATGTAGTGTTCTACACTTACATTTCTTTCCTTGTATGCTTTTCTGCATGATATTTCTCCCTCCAGTAGTTAATTGTTATTTCTCTCTCTGTGAATCTTTAGTTTTCTGTTTAACTATCACTATGTAACTATCCACAAACTCTTTGTTATATGTGGAAGTCACATATCACTGCTTAATTTACTTTTCTGTTCTCCATAGCTATTGTTACGAAGCCTCGCCTTTTCCTCACACTGTCTCATTATATGGCTACAATCCTTCTGTCTAGAGACTTCTAACTTAACATCTAAACCTATGTAGAAAATCAAGGTGATCAGCCACAGTTATAAATTATAACCTCTCTGTTACCACCCTCACCACCTTGCCTCTAGTCCTAGTAGACAAGCTTGAGGCATGATAATCCTACCTTTTGTGCTCTAGACCATATCCCTTCAACAGGTCAGTAAATTACATACATCAGTAGTTTGCAGTCCATTTCTCACTCTTCATTTCCTATGCAATTACCTTAATCCAGTCCTGTCATCCTATGCTTTACAACTGCAACAGTCTTGTAAGTGGTCTGCTTATCTCATGCTTCATGCCACTCCAATTCATTCTTGTACTGCCACCAAAATACTGTCCTTGAACACATTTTGGGTCATGTAACTCCCTTGTCTAAATCTTTTGGAAACTCCCCAATGTATGTATGGTAAAATGCCTACTCCTTACACAAAGTCACCTGTGATATGGCCTCTTCCTCTCTCTCCTACCTTGTTTCTTTTAAAACTGGCATCCCAGTTTTTAAAAGTGAGATGATATTTATATATATGGAAATGCACAGTTGTAGGGTGCCGAGGTGGGAGGATCACGAGGTCAGGAGATCGAGATCATCCTGGCTAACATGATGAAACCCTGTCTCTACTAAAAATACAAAAAATTAGCCGGGCCATGGGCTCCTGTAGTCCCAGCTACTCGGGAGGCTGAGGCAGGAGAATGGCATGAACCCGGAAGGCGGAGCTTGCAGTGAGCCGAGATAGCGCCACTGAACTCCAGCCTGGGCGAAAGAGCTAGACTCCGTCTCAAAAAAAAAAAAAAAAAAAGGAAATGCACAATTGTTAAGTGTCATTCAATGTGTTTTGATAAATATGTACACCCATGGTATACATTTTAAAACTTAGGCTTGTAGAATAAGGAACTATTTGCATTTCCTCAAATATGTATGACTCTTTGGTACTTCTGCACAAAGTACCAATGTCTTTTCTCCTTTGACCTGGAACATTTGTGGGCAATGTATCCACTCTCTCTTTTTGCTTTTATAACTAATACATAAGTGTCATGGCACCCGTAAATCTTTATTGTCCTTATAAATCTCATGTCTATATTCTACACCAGATTGTACACCTGCCCGAGGGAGGTTCATTTCTAAAATTTTCTATGAATATTCAATAGTTAATACCAAGTGGGCACTCAATAAATATTTGTGGAATAAAGGTACGAAATGAAAGCTGAATGCATAATTTTAAAAAAATAGGGTAGTTCAGGTGCATGGTGTAATGTTTAAGGGAAGCAGCTGAAGAATCTGACTGCCTGGTACAAATCAGGGCCCAACTTCATATTACCTGTGGGATTTGGAGAAAGTTATATAACCTAAACATGACTCAGCTTTCAAATATGTAAAATGGGGACATTCGTTGCACTTATCTCATAGGTTGTTAAAAGTTTTTTGAAAAATTAACCTTTTCCATAATGCTAGGAACATTTTCTGGCACCAAGTAAACATTCAACGTTATTCTGCTTAGTATTTACATGATTATTAAGCAATAATTTAAAAATTTACATAAATTAGATAACGTTACGTTAAAGATATTTAAAATTCCAGCTAATCAAATGGATGATCAAATATTCTATCTTATGAAAGTCATTTATTTTTATTAACTAGGAATCTCTTTCACAACATCTCTTATCGAAGGTAAGAAGAAACCACTGAAATATCAAAATCCTTTGATAACTGGAATGAGAATATATTAGTCTGTACTCACACTGGTAATAAAGACATACCTGAGCCTGGGTAATTTATAAAGGAGAGAAGTTTAATGGACTGACAGTTCCACATGGTTGACCTCACAATTGTGGCCTCACAATCATGGCAGAAAACAAAGGAGAAAAAAAGGCACATCTTACATGGTGGCAGGCAAGAGAGAGCTTGTGCAGGGGAATGCCTATTTATAAAACCATTAGATCTCATGAGACTTATTCCCTACCATGAGAACAGTATGGGGGAAACTGCCCCCATGATTCAATTATTTCCACCTAGCCCCACCCTTGACATTTGGGGTTTATTACAATTCAAGGTGAGATTTGGCTGGGGACACAGCCAAAACATAGCAGCGAATAATTCCAGATTCCTAGAATCAAAGTTGTTAATATATGTTATGTGGACGTTTACTTTTTATTGTTATCATTATTATTTTTATGGTTATTTTATTACTACCTAATACATAAAAATTAGTGTAACAAACCGAATTTAAACCTATATCGCCAGTATTCAAGATCACAAGAAGCCATATTAGCATATGTAACAGGATGATGTAAGCAAACCCCACCATCTAGAGCAGTTCAGGGAAGCATGGACAACTGATCAGTTTTTGAAAAATGAAGAAGGATAAAACGTTGGAAAATAAAGCAAGGAGAGTGTGCACGATTGAGAACAGGTGGGATTGATTTAGAATGCCTTCCAAAAGGAGATGTTGATTATGTTGATTAGAAAGGAAATTATTTTAATGTCCAAATCTGGTGGTAGCTTGTTTTTTAAAATGATTCTTTTAGAAAGCAACATAATCTAACTGATGGAAAAATAGTGAGTTGGCAGCCCATTCAAATGAAAAAATTTTGTTAATCAAAAAATTTTTTTCTTATTTAACACATAGCAAAATTTTGCTGCAATGTATTTTTCTGTCTGTTCAACTAAAAATAAAATCAGGATGAAGACTGCAGTTAGTTTCTTCTGTGTATAATTTGAATCCTTAGATTCTAAAATACTGTAGCTTTATTTCTGCCATCTGGTGGTAGAAAATATTGATGTTCTTGCAGTCTGTGAAGCTATATTAATTCTACATACACATGTATTAATATACATTGCTTCCCCAAGGAATAATTTGTCTTAACTGAAATTGGCATGCATTTTAGTATATTGCACAGGGAAAAATGGAATATATTTTCTGTCTCTGAATTTTTCAATCAAAATGTATGATGACCTATTTATTAAATTATTTGCACACAATTATGTTTTATTGTATTAAGTCCTATAAATAAGTTTTTTTTTGGGGGGGCTACAGCTTAAAAAATAATTCAACATGCTCTAAGGCAGTGGTCCCCAACTTTTTTGGCACCAGGGACTGGTTTCGTGGAAGACAATTTTTTCCACGGATTGGGGTGGGGATGAGGAGGATGGTTTCAGGATGAAACTGTTCCACTGCAGATCATCAGGCATTAGTTAGAATTTAACAAGGAGTGTACAACCTCACATGCACAGTTCACAGTAGGGTTCACACTCCTATGAGAATCTGATGCCACCGCTGATCTGACAGGAGGCAGAGTTCAGGCAGTAATTCTCCCTAGCCTGCCACTCATCTCCTGCTGTGCAGCCCAGTTTCTAACAGGCCACGGACTGGTACCAGTCCATGGCCCAGGGTTTGGGACCCCTGTTCTAGATATATTTTTCTCCACATTCTTCTACTCAGTGCATTTTCAGAACACCAAGACATTTTTAAGTAGCTTTAGGATAAATTATTAATTTTGGTTAATATCTATTCAAGAAGGGGCAAGTAATATTGAATGCAAGATGTAAAAGCAAAGTGTAGTTATCAGTGGAGTAAAAGACAAATAGCTGGAAGATCGCTTTTGAGCATTTCGTACTTCCTTCAGTTCTGCAAAGTCCAGTTTATTGTATGCCTTCCTAATTATACAAAGTAGGTAATGCAGCAAGAGTACATGAAGTGGCAACGTGGGGAGTGAGAGACTATAGACATTAAAGTCATTGTAGTAGAAATAAACTTCAGAGAGCTCAGGCTATATAGTCAAGGGTCTCTTCTCCACAGTTTCAGGGTCAAACCTAATTGCTTACCTCTTCTAAGAACCTGACTGCACTCATGACTCCCCTTAAAATATATTTCTCTTAGGCTGAAGCAGGAGAATCGCTTGAACCCAGGAGGCGGAGGTTGCGGTGAGCCGAGATCGTGCCATTGCACTCCAGCCTGGGCAACAACAGCAAAACTCCATCTCAAAAAAAAAAAAAAAAAAAAATATATATATATATATACATATATATATACACACATATATATATATACATACACACATATATATATACATACACATATATATATACACACATATATATATATACATATATATATATATATATATATTTCTTTTCTTTACTAGGTTATTGGGAACCCCTACTGTTCTGTGGCTACCAAGAGGACTTTTCAACGCTGTGGAAAGCTCCTCCTCTTAGAATGATATTAGTCCTGTGTGGCTTATTTCTTTGTTTAAACCTTTGCACCTGCATGTGCAAGAGGAGTGGTTCAGCCTAGACAAAAACATGTTCAATATTGACTGAAGGTTTATTTGCTGTTTCCTTTGAGGTCTCTAGATCTTTCTTCTTTATTTATTTTATTTTTTGGAAGGGTGGGGAAGAACATGGAATTTGGAGGCGAACTACCTAGATTCTAAGCCTAGTTCCTTCTCTTAACTGATTTCATTGAATAATTTGAATCTCAGTAAATTTATCTGTAAAATGGGAATAATGGTAACACACACCCTACCTGCATCAGACATTTTTTGATGATCCATAAATACCCTGTTTCTTAAAGATTTTTAAAATTAGATTGTTAAAAAATGTAAACAATATTCCATGTCAACATTTGTTCTATTCTACTTGCTTTTTTCTGTCACTGGCTCCAGCCAGTTCAAAACAAAGGAAGGAATAATATTTAATAGACAAAGAGAATATTGTTTGAAAGAGAAAAATTTTCCACAAAGGCCAATTTACGATGTAGCCCAAGTATACGAAGAGCTACAGAATGTGCTTTAAGAATAACAGGCCAGGCGCAGTGGCTCACGCCTGTAATCCCAGCACTTTGGGAGGCCAAGGCGGGTGGATCACAAGGTCAGGAGATCGAGACCATCCTGGCTTACATGGTGAAACGCTGTCTCTACTAAAAATACCAAAAAAAATTAGCCAGGCCTGGTGGCGGGTGCCTGTAGTCCCAGCTACTCGGGAGGCTGAGGCAGGAGAATGGCATGAACCCAGGAGGGGGAGCTTGCAGTGAGCAGAGATCACGTAACCGCACTCCAGCCTGGGCAACAGAGCGAGACTCTGTCTCAAAAAAATAAATAAATAAATAAAATAAAAAAAATAAAAAAGAATAACGATTACTCCCTTTCCAAATGGCAACACCATCTATAGCTGCCAAACTCAAGTGAAAACATGCAATTAATGATGTACCCTTTTTACATTTTCATGACACCTCCTCTTCAAAACATCTCTACCACAGTGAGAACAATTTGTAGGGGTCCAGAATTATTAGTTATCAAAAGCATCTTGACAGAAATACACACTGGATTCTATGGGTCAGAGGCCAAGCAATGTGTGTTGGTAAGAAAAGGAGAGGAGATGTTTTTCCTACACCTTCAACTTCTTAATAAATTTTCCCAAGACCAAGCCCTATTTCCGAGATTTTTTTTTCCAAAAAATTACATGGGTTCACTAGAATATAGTTAAAATAACTCTTTACCAGAGATATAAATACTTAGGTTTGTTTTCCTTCAATACTTTTTAAACTTTCTCTGAGTTTAAGTTTGTTTTTTAAAAATATAGTTTTGAATTTGTACTGTGTGTAATTATCACTGTGGTAACCTTAGAAATAAAAATATCCCTAGCACATGCAATATATCCAAAAACATTTTTGTAGATAAGCTTGATATGTTGGTGATTGCACAGAACATTTTCTATTCTCATTTAAGAAATCAGGGTGATAATTTTTGTCTTCCTAAAATTATTCCCCACCAAATATATTGTGTTCACAATCATAAAAATGGTGTTTAGTATGGTGACAGGTTGTGATCACAATTTTCTGTGTGCCAAGGATAAATTTTAAAAAATACCAGTCTTGCAAGTTTGCCAATTATCATTTTATATTCCTTTCTCAATATATTTTTGAGAACTAGGTCTCTGAAATAGATAAAATAAAAAGGAAACAATTACACCTCAAATGATATTCTCAATGTAGTAAAATCCTCTTAGACTTTGGCATTAGAAGGGCATAGAAATTACATATGTGATTCTTCATTAAATATCATCAGAATATCTGTTCATTCATTTATTGCTAGAGCTAAGCCAAGAATTGTGCGGGGTACTAAATATACAAAATGAAGTAAGTGGTAAGCGCAAAGATGCCTAAGTTGCTACGTGCTTGGATGATATGTGTAAATATTCAACATGGACCCTGCCTTCAAGAAGCTCATAATTTCAAGAGAATGTAAGGGAGATAGTTTACTATGCAGCATAATAAGAGTAATATGGCAGATACTCAAAGGGAAAGATAAAATCAGAACGAATGACAAATTATTCTGGAGAATAAGAATGAAGAAGCCTGCACAGAATAGAAAAAAAGATAATGCCTGCATAGAATAGATAAAAAAGAAACTGAGACTTTAATGATGAAGAGCATATATATTTTATTCACCAGGTAAATATGGTGAGTGGAGATGAAGAATTGGCATTCTGAATACATAGGGTAACATATATAAGAACTATATATTACATAAACTAATATTTAAATAATAGATTCCAAAAGAATAGAAAAGTATTAACATGACATTATACATCTAACGACCCATTAGGTATTTTTAAAATTCCCTCATTGGAGTAATAGCTACACAAAGAATGGAGTTACTGTAAACCTTAATCTTTAGCCATTTTACTTATTTTTCTGATCTAATATTTTAAGATGTCAGTAAATTATACATGGTATATGCATATACAAGAATGTGTTTGAATGCTAAGGAAACATATGAGAATTTATAAATCTTATATTCCCTCCTCAAGATGTGCTACCATGTTATAAAATTAACTTTGATATTTTTACATCAAAACATGAGACTGTTTTAATATTTCAATAATTTTGAAGTGTATTTTTTCAGATTTTATTTAGGTAAATATGAAGACTATGATGAATAAAGATTTTGTAGATGAATAGAGTGACTACCAAATACTTATAAATCTGATTGCACACAGGACTAGAAAAGTCTATTTTATTATTAAAGAATTATTTATAATAGTAAAATACTAAAACTACCCTAAATATTCAATAGTAGTGGAATTACTAGATCAATTAAGGCATATCCATAAGTTGGAAATACTATGCAGCTACTAAATGCTGATTTTTAACAACAACTTTTGGGAAAATTGTCGGGGTTAAATATTAAGTATGAAAACTAAACAAAACAGTTTTAAAATTTATTTTTAAAAATTACTTTTTTGGCTGGGTGTGGTGGCTCATGCCTGTAATCTCAGCACTTAGGGAGGCTGAGGCAGGCATATTACTTTAGGTCAGGAGTTCAAGACCAGCCTGGCCAACATGGTGAAGCTCCGTCTCTAGTAAAAATACAAAAATTAGCCAGGTGTGGTGGTGGATACCTGTAATCCCAACTACTTGGGAGGCTGAGGCAGGAGAATTGCTTGAACCCAGGAGGTGGAGATTGCAGTGAGCTGATATCATGCCACTGTACTCCAGCTTGGGCGACAGAGCAAGACTCTGTCTCAAAAAAAAAAAAAAAAAAAAAGAAAAAGAAAAAAAATTACTTTTTTTGTTGTTGTCGCAGACACCAAATCACAAAAGAAGTAGCCTGAACTAGTGTTTTATAGAGTTGGAACTCAGCTGACAGGTTGGTTCCAGGGTGGTGTTCTTAGCCACTATCCAACACTGCCTCCCTAGCAAGTTACTAAAATGTTAGTGATCATACTCTCCTAATGTGCAATTATAGTTGCTTTTAACTTCTTCTTTTTACTTCATATATTGGCTCAACTCTTTGTAATTAACATGTATTAACAGTTCTACTATAATATACGTCATTTTTTTGGATAAAGAAAAATATGACAAAGGAGTTAGTACTGAATTTATCAACTAGACTAACTGAAAATTTTTCTTTCTCACCTATATTAGTCTTGAAATCAACATGAGTGTTAATTGCTTCTATTCAGATAATAGGTGAAGATAGATGAAAGACATCGCATTCATTCATTCATTCATTCATTCGTGTGATAGCTAAAATTGTAACCACTGCATTTCCTATAGTTGTCTAGTAAATGATATAATGAGATTCTACTTTCAATGTACATTTTGTGAAGAAAACATGCCCATTGTTCTTGGTAGTATCCTTTAGAAGTGATACCATTTTTCTAACATACTGGGTTTAATATCTAAATAAGCAGCTACATTTGGAAGAGCTAACTGCAAAGTTAACCTAGGTATATATTAACCACCAATCAATGATTGAGAGTGATAACACTATACCAACTTATGGAATGCTAGTTGCACCTTAGAGATAATATAATTTAACTTTATTCAAAACTCTCATTTTTACAGATAAATAAATTATAGCCCTAAGTCTTCTGTGAAACAGTTATTCTGGCTAATTAGTAACAAAATTAAGATGAGATTCATTCATATTTAACAACTTGCATGTCAAATTCATTTCATTCTGTAATATTGCATCCAATTATCCTAATGTTTTACATATTTGTTTGAAAATATTTTAATAATTTATTTTTCAGTCTTCTAATAAAGACATTACAAATCTAAATGCAAATGTGTTTGTTAAATGAAAAAGAAATCCTAATGAATCCTGTATTGCTTTGGGTCATTTTGAGGGAGTATAATGTTTTTACAGTCTCTATTTTGTACTGCAATGAAGAGTGAATTTACAAAGTTTATCTGTGATATTAACATAAGTTATTTAAGGTGCTTATGTGATAAAATATATAAAACTATATACATAATTCTTAAATAGGTATCAGTTTAAGGCCATTAATGGGAGACATCAAATGAACAATGTGTTTCATGGGAAGATTTTTATAAAAAGGAAAGTTGGTAGCTATTATGTAAAATAGGTATGTATAGCTTTTGAAAATAAATAATATATTTTTCTTCTGAATAATTTGAAGAGTCTATCTAATGTTATAGTCTGTCTCACTTTTTAAAACTGTTTCTCACCTGCAGCATCCTTAAATTTAAAACTGTAATAGGTATGCTGGAACTATTTCTTATACTATGTTTCAATACAGACCAACCTATTATGCAAAAGAATGGTTCACTAAAAGCAATCTGAGAAAAGGGGGAAATAATAAGCAATTCAGGAAACTATCAGAATCATTATGGCCTGACTTAATCCACAGGTAAATTTTTGAGAATCTGTAAGAATACTGCATATCCCCTGGGTAATGCTCCATAGTTACTGTTTTGTTCATCTGAGCATTGAAAAATATTGAACAGTGGTGTATTTTATTTTTTCTTCCTTACTGGTACATACATGACTAATTTGCCAGCTGCCAGTTATTTCAGTGCAGTCATGTCATAGATTGCTGGCTATAGAAAACAATTGTGTAATGCAGGATTGACTTCTGATATGGTTTGGGTCTATGTTCCCACCCAAGTCTCATGTCAAATTGTAATCCCCGATGCTGGCAGTGGGGCCTGGTGGGAGGTGATTGGATCATAAGGGCAGATTTGCCCTTCGGTGCTGTTTTTGTGATTGTTAGTGAGTTATTGCTAGATCTGGTTCTCTAAAAGTGTGTAGCTCCCTCTTCTCTTATTCCTGCTCTGGCCAGGTGAAGGTGTGCCTGCTTCCCCTTTGCCTTCGGCCATGATCGTAAATCTCCTGCGGCCTCCCTAGCCCTGCTTTCTGTACAGCCTATGGAACCTCGAGCCAATTAAACCTCTTTTCTTTGTAAATTTCCCCGTCTCAGGTATTTCTTTATAGCAGTGCAAGAACGGACTAATACAACTTCTTATGGAAATTAAATCCCTAACAAGGCTAAGTTTCTAAATAAAGGTCACTCCATTTATCCTACGAGGTGAGCCACGTAGAGAAGTGAGATAAAGATAAAGAACTGACACTCATTGATTCACAGGTGCTGTTGGAACAGAGTTGATGGGATTGTTCACAGAAAGCCTGAAAAAATCCCAGAAAAGTGCTACATGAAGTGTACTTAGAAGCCAGAAGTCATATAGGCAACCTGAACATCAGAAAAAAATAGTGCTTTGGTAGTCAAGGATGAAAATATTTCAATAATAATTTGGAGGCTAAGTGCAGTGTCTTATGCCTGTAATCTCAGGACTTTGGGAAGCTGAGGCAGGTGGATTACTTGAGGTCAGGAGTTCAAGACTAGCCTGGCCAACATAGTGAAAACCCATGTCTACTAAAAATACAAAAATTAGCTGGGCATGGTGGTGGGTGCCTGTCGTCCCAGCTACTCAGGAGGCTGAGACAGAAGAATCACTTGGACCTGGGGGACATAGGTTACCGTGAGTATAGACCACGCCACTGCACTCCAGCCTGGGCGACAGAGCAAGACTCTGTCTCAAAAAAAAATAAAAAAAAATTAAAAAAGAGAATAAATTGGCCTAAAATATAAAATATAAAATGTCAAAGAGGAACCAAATGAGATTAAACTGAAGGTTAGCTGTTATTTAGGCAATTAGGATGTTACTATTGACATTGTCTTTGACAAATAAAGACAGATTGACCTGCACTTAGCACTACATGAGATATCAGAAGGTGCCCAGTCTTAAGAGAAATTTGACTGGCAGATGTTTGTTTGGTGGTGATCTAGGGTAGATTTAGGTCATAAGAACAGAAACTATTTGTAGTCTTAAGAGGGAAGAGTTTTATAAAGGCACAAAAGGCAGAGAAGATACTTGATGGAGCAAGTCCTGGGGAGGTGGAGGAGGGTGAAATCAAGGTCACAAGTGAGAGAGGTGATCTTGGAAAATAGAGAGTATACCTACTAGAGAGAAAACACAGATTCTAACTACCGGATAAGGTAATTGTCGTGAGCATAAAACAAAGATTTGCAGATAGTGCTCAAGATTTTAAACAACTACTTAGAGATCAGTTTTAGGGGCTGATTAGAGTAAATAACTAGAGTTCTAAACAGAGTATGGGCTCATTCAAAAGAAAAATGTATCTTAGTAATCATGAGGAGATGGAAGGCTTTCTGATTCTCCCTAGCAGTGCTTGGCAACCAAAGATTTGGAGTAGAGGAAGGAGATAGATTTTTTTAGAAATGGGATTATTAGGATAGTTGTGGTAGAAAGACAATTAGACCAAAGAGATAATTGAACTGAACAATGAAGGCTCTTTGGACAATCTGAATGAAACTACAAGTATTGGGATGCCAAACTAAAGGTGGGTTCAGGAAACCTTTGGGGCTTAGGGTGTTGCTTCCAGTTTATTTTCTATATAGGTTTATCTCTAAATTTTTGTCAAAATTTGTATCAGAACTTGAATGATTTGACTACAATTACTTCAACTCTAATTATTTATTTTCTATAAACACAGGCCAAAGGGAATGGAAAAATATCAAGCACAAAATGGCATCCAGTAGTTCAAAATTTTTGCCAGTCTATACATGTGGTTGATATAAAGTAATGATGCAGGAAGCAACCTCATTATATAAATATTCACCATGCAGTTGTAAAGCTTAATGAAATTACAATGAAACTATATTAGAAAGAATAGCTTAAATCCTAATTACTCCCCGAAATGACAAGAGCCAAGGTCACTGTTGGTTAAAAATACAAAACTATATTTGATGTATTTTGTTTGTTCGCAGTAGATTTCTTTCTACTCAGGGAGGCAGAGAAGAAGTGATGAGATAAGATGACTATTTAATATATTCAGCTCATTTCACCCTGAAATGTGGCTTAAAGCCAGCTAGAAATGTATTTTCTAGCTTTAGCCATTCCTTTATGTTTAATCCATGATACTTATAAATATATTTATCCAAATAGGTCAATATTATACATATCTCATTGAGAAAAATTACTAGTTAATTTACTTCTTGGTTATCTCAGATTTATTCTGAAATGTATTATGTTATTATCATAGATTGCAAATAGAAAAACTTGTCTTTTGCTCTCCTTAAAAAGCTAACATTTGCTGGGCACAATGGCTTATGCCTATAATCCCAGCACTTTGGGAGGCCAGGAGAGGAGGATGGCTTGAGCCCAAGATTACGAGACCAGCCTGAGCAACATAGTGAGACCTTGTCTCTATAAAAAAAGTTTTAAAATTAGCCAGGCATGGTGGTACATGCCTGTAGTCCCAGCTGCTCTGGAGGCTGAAGTTAAAGGATCACTTGAGCTCAGGAAGTTGAGGCTACACTGAGTCATGTTCATGCCACTGCCCTCCAGCCTGGGTGACAGAATGTGACACTGTCTCAAAATAAGTAAATAAATAAATAGCATTTGAGAGTTTGGATTTTTGACCTCGGAAGCTGTTGTGAGGACTGAAGTTCAGTCAAGAGGGTGAGGATAGGCTTTGAACTTTAAATGTTAATCTTTATTAATTTTATCTTAAATGTGTGCATGAGGTGTTCTGGATAGAATACAGATTATTGCTATTGACTTAAGAAGCAAATAATGATTCTGTAATTCTCTTTACTCTGATTGTTACCCCTGGCCAATGTGATGAAACCTAATTACAATGCCCTAGAAAGGCAAACTTCTAATAAGAGAAAAAAGGAGAAAAATTGATTTTCTCTGCTTATGTACTGGAGAAAGACATAGCTGCCTCCTCCTACCCTCCCAAAATAAAGAAGAAAAATCTTTCCTTCTCAGACAAGGATGAAAAAGAACCCATGTTCTCACTGTAATATTTTGGAATGTAAATACATCTCTCCAAGGCCACTGGATTCTGTGACAGAAAGATGTGTACATAGTTTTAGACCTTTTTTTCCCTTGAAATATAAATTCATACATATAGAATTAGGTCAATCTCTGGAGTTCTTTTACTATCTGTACAGTTGTAAATAAACTTCCCAAGTCTTGCTCTCATTTGAAGATCCCAACTTTCAGAAAAATTTATTTAGATGGCCCCACCCCCAGAAACACAAAAGCATTTCCTCTTTCTCCATAATAGATGATCTAGGGCAATTTTGGAAAGAGGTGATAGGAAAATTGGAGAATAAGTTACAGGCAATATGCAGATGCCCATGACCACTTAGCCAGGATGTCAGCTAGAGTGACTACCTGACATGTGACATGTTTAAACATGACGCCAGGGCAGTCCAGGGACAGATTCTAGGCAAAAGTCCTCACGTGAAAGAGGTCAGCATCAGGTATAAAAGCTTATAAGATAAACTTTGATTCAGGATGCAGAAAGATTTTTTGAAAATGTGTAAATTGCAAGGGAGTAGAAAACAAAGTAGAGAAATAGGATAATGTTCTGTGTTGAGCAGGTATGTACAAACCTGTCCCCAAAGGTGGAGGGAGCTGAGAAGCCAAAGAAAGAGGCTGAGAAATCCAGTTTCTCAGAAAGAAATATTTAATAGGGACTTAGGAACAGAGCAATATCCAGGCCAGCCATGAGATAGTGGATCCCTGCACCCACTCTCCATTAAGTGCCCTTTACGTAGCAAGCTTTTATGGTAAAGACATGTGCAGCTGGGCAAGGGGGGCAGTTGGATAAGCATCCTTATGTGGGGTTATCTATGCTCCAGGCATTGTTTAGAGACCTTGCTGCAGAACAGCATATCATGCAGGAGTAAAATATCGGTTATCATGGCAGTTTCGCTTTAAGATGGCGTCACTCTTGCCATGCAGCAGGCCGTTTTCCTATAGATAAGAACTTGGTTCTTTATATTATGAAATTCCTAAATTATATACCTAGATGGGTCATTTTAAAATTCATTCTTTCACACTTGTATGCCCTTTCCTTTTGAAGACTCATGTCTCTTCCCTTCAGTCCTGGAAATTTTTCCTTTATTATTTTTTTGATAATTTCTTTCCTTCTCTGTTTTCTATTCTCATTTTAAAAAATTTCTATTAATTAGGTCCCAGATTTATTGGATTAATATTCTGCCTTCTCTTATATTTTCTGCATTTTTTCTTGACTTTTGTTCTATATTCTGTAAGATTTCCTCGGCTATTGTTCCCTTCTTTCTAATATTATTAACTTATGCAAATATATATTTAAGTTCTAAAACCTCATTATTATTCTATTTGTCATAGCTTTATGTTTTGTTCTGTGAATGGAATATCTTCATACATATCTGAGGGTAATATTCACTTTTTATTATTTTTTAAATTATCTGTTTTCCCTAAGGTTATTTTTTCCTATAAAGAAAAAAAAAAGGAGCTCAGAGCTGTGCAAAGAATGTAAAGTATGCACAACTTACCAAACTCAGAGAGAAATGAGAATAAGCCTTCATAAGGCTGGGGGACACCCACCCACACATGCCTCATTGTGGGGAAGTGTTTAAAGGCAAATTGTTCTTTCTTTCCTTCCCTGTAGTTTCCACACTCACTGATAAGTTACCTAAAATGCTATCACAAGTTGCACAATGTGACCCTCACCCATTATCTTCATGCTCCTGGAATTTGCAATGCAAAGAACAATGTATACTTAATCAATAGCTTATGTTCAACTTAGAAGCTGCCCCTTCATTTTTCCTTTAAAAGCACACTTGTAACGTTGCTAATCAAAGCATATAATCAAGGCAATTTGAATCTGTCTCTCAAGTTGAAGGACTCAAATTTGGCCCAAAGAAACCCTCTACTTATAATAATGTTGCCTCAGTTTCTTTCTTTAGGTTGATACCTGTTTGGCTATGCTTTTACAATAAAGCTTTTTTCAAATGTCACATGATCCATTATTATCTGTCCATATTTAACAATAAAAAGTGTGACTAGGGGCAGTGAAAAGCAGTTGGGACTTCCTAACAGACAACTTCTTCAGTTTGGAGTGAATGTTACAGAGCCAGCAGTTCTGATGGTGCATCCCAAATGCCAAAAGGAAGGAGTTTCTGCTCTGTGGTGCTTTCACACAATTTTTCCTGGTTCTCCTAAGACACTTTTATAAAAAGAAAGATTCCTGACTATTTTTGTTAAACTTAACGTGTGACTGTAGGTCAAGTATTGAGGTATTGGAGGAAAGGATCTTCCTTATAGACTTCCAGTTAGTTCAACTTTTCGATGCACCAACCCTCACTCCAGCCTTTCTTCAATTTACACTCCGCTCCCTGAGTTCTTAGTTTTTCTGGAATTCCCCTTTGCTTTATGGTTTCTCCAGTTGTAGCACCCATTTAGAATACTTTAGGTGAAGTTTGCTCCACCCTTTATCAGCTGACACCCTTCCCTCTGCTTTCTGTATTCGCATCTTTGTTGTAAATTTGCACCTGCTAAGGTGCCCTTTCCTGCTGTTTGTATTGCTGTGATTGTAACCATTTTCATTAATTTTCATCAATTTTTATGTTGTCAAACATTCTGAATAGAAACACATGTACTTGGTCACAGGCTAGGCACTAAGCTCAAGGTCTAACCTCTATAGCTAAACAAAAATATTCTGTGAGGTGCTTTGTGAAAAAATTCAGAGGGAGAAAGCAGAAATAAGGAAGCCAGATCCATGTCATCTAAGCCTTAAACCAAATTTCATTCAGCCTGAAAAACAAACAAAAACAAAATACACCCCAACATGTAGAGGATGAGGTGAAGTTGAATATAAAATCTTTAATATTCCATAAACAATGTGATATATGTGACTGTTTAAAACTAAATACAAATGAGGCAGCCAACAAATATCTCTACTCTAGGAATATTCCAGCTATGAGATTCTTATAGATCAATCCTGTTCCCTAGAAAGCAGCTACTTTGGTTTTCACAGCTGAGTTTTGGTGATTATCTCACTTACATGCTTTCCTAGTAGACCAACCATTCCTTGTAAACATTTACATGCTACAGATGTTATCTCTAATAATTCCATCAAATCAAATGGAACGAAGCACAGTAATAAAAATCAGGATTGTTCTATATTTTAGAGGATCTATTTCTTCCTAGCATCTGTGGGAAATCCTTGGATTAGGATAATGCTTTCATTATAGTCTCAGAAAAAGTGAATTATTACCGATTTGAATGGACAGTAGAGAGTACATTTAGGCACCTTGGGTGTCAACAATTAATGGTTCGATTCTCTGCATGGTAAATCAATATGTACTTGGGATATATAATTGGTACACAAAATAAAATATGTGGCTTAGATATACTTTATAATTAAATTTTACACTTTTTGAAATGCTATAATTAACACAGACAAGATTATTTTCTAATTGTGTGTATTAAGTAAAATAAAGTATTTTGCAAAATGAATAATACTTTGAACTATATATAAGTATTATTCTAAAAAAATCAAACAACTATATAATTTTAAAATCATAGTACTAAAGCAATTATAATAAAATGTTTAATGAAGTTTAAAATAACAAATACTTACGTAGTTTTACATTTCATAATGCTTAAAAGTATATAATAAAAAATAGTGTTGCTTTGTTCCCCATCTTCCAATATAATTCCTTTGCGCAATTAACAATTAACAAGCTAATACAGATGCACATTAAGATTTTTATTCTAAAACACATATAGGCATATTCTTTTTAAATGAAGTAGATAGAATCCACATACCACAAAACTAACCGATTTAAAGTGTACAATTTGGGATTTTTAGTCTATTCATAAGTCTATCACAGAGTTCAACAATCACCATTATCTAATTTCAGAACATTTTCATCACCTACCCCACCCACTAAAAAACTCACATACTCATTAAGCAGTCATCTCTTTCTACCCTACCTGTCTCTACGAATTTGCCCTTTCTGGACATTTCATATACAAATGGAATAACACATATGTGGCCTTTTGCATCTGGCTTCTTTAACTTACCAAAATGTTTTCAAGGTTCATCCATGTTTTAGCACATATCAATAGTTCGTTCCTTTTCATAGCTCAATAATATTCCATTGTATGCATATAACATATTTTATTTATCCATTCATCAGTTCATATAATTTGTTTGGGTTGTTTTGTTGTGATTTTGATTTGTGTTTCCATAATGACTAATAATGTTGAGAAAAATTTTCATATACCTGTAGGTCATTTGCATACCTTCTTTGGAGAACTGTCTACTCTGTTTCTTTGCCCATTAAAATAAAATTAATTATTTGTCTTCTTGAGTTGTGAACACTCTTTATATATTCTGGATGCTAGACCCTTATCAGATATAGGATATATAAATATTTCACCCATCTTATGGGTTGTCTTTTATCTTTTTTTTAAAAAAAATATTACCTTAAATTCTGGGATACATGTACAGAATGTGCAGGTTTGTTACATAGGTATACATATGCCATGGTAGTTTGCTGCACCTATCAACCCATCATCTAGGTTTTAAGCCCCACATGCATTAGGTATTTGCCCAAATGCTCTCCCTCCTCCTTGCCCCCAACACCCCCCATGACAGGCCCTCATGTGTGATGATCCCCTCCTTGTGTCCATGTGTCTCATTGTTTAACTCCCACTTATGAGTGAGAACATAAGGTGTTTGGTTTTCTGTTTCTGTGCTGGTTTTCTGAGAATAATGGTTTCCAGCTTCATCCATGTCCTGCAAAGGCCGTGATCTCATTCTTTTTAATGGCTGCATAGTATTCCACAGTATTCCACATTTTCTTTATCCAGTCTATCATTGATGGGCACTTGGGTTGGTTCCAAGTCTTTGCTATTGTAAAATAGTGCTGCAATAAACATATGTGTGCATGTGTCTTTAGAGTAGAATGATTCATAATCCTTTGGGTATATACCCAGTAATAGGATTGCAGGGTCAAATGGTATTTCTGGTTCTAGATCCTTGAGGAATTGCCACACTGTCTTCCACAATGGTTGAACTAATTTACACTCCTACCAACAGTGTAAAAGCGTTCCTATTTTTCCACATCCTCTCCAGCATCCGTTGTTTCCTGACTTCTTAATGATCACTATTCTAACTGGCGTGAGATGGCATCTCATTGTGGTTTTCATTTGCATTTCTCTGATGATCAGTGATGATGAGCATTTTTTCATATGTTTGTTGGCGGCATAAATCTTCTCTTTTGAGAAGTGTCTGTTCATATCCTTCACCCACTTTTGGATGGGGTTGGTTTTTTCTTGTAAATTTGTTTAAGTTCCTTTAGATTCTGGATATTAGACGTTTGTCAGATGGATAGATTGCAAAAATTTTTTCCCATTCTGTAGGTTGCCTGTTCACTCTGACGATAGTTTCTTTTGCTGTGCAGAAGCTCTTTAATTAGATCACATTTGTCAATTTTGGCTTTTGTTGCAATTGCTTTTGGTGTTTTAGTCATGAAGTCTTTGCCCATGCCTATGTCCTGAATGGTATTGCCTAGGTTTTCTTCTAGGACTTTTTGGTTTTGGGTTTTACATTTAAACATTTAACCCATATTAAGTTAATTTTTGTATAACATGTCAGGAAGGGGCCCAGTTTCTGTTTTCTGCATATGGCTAGCCAGTTCTTTTATCTTTCTTGATAGTGTTCTTTGATGCACGAAATTTTTTGATTTTGATGAAGCGTAATTTATTTATTTTTTTATTTTATTGCATGTGTTAGGTGCCATATTTGAGAAACTATTGTTTAATTCAAGCTAATAAACATTTACACTTATTTTTGCTAAGAGTTTAATAGTTTTAGCTCTTACATTAAAGCATTTGATCCATTTTGAGTTAATTTTTATACATGGTATGAGACAGGGCTACAACTTTATACTTTTGCTCATGCATAACTAGTCCTCCTAGCACCATTTGCTTAAAAGACTATTTTCCTCCATTTAATTTTCTTGGCCCCATTGTCAAAAATTAATTAATTATGTATAAAATTGAAGGCACTGATGTAGTATCTTAGATTCTAGTAAAAAACTTCAGAAAGCCCATATCACTTTTATTCTCTATCTTTTATATTTGGTTATTTTTCCCTTTCTAGAAACTTTTAGAAATGTCTATGAATTCCAAATATTTTGATATTTTACTATCAATTCATTGATGTAGGAAATTTTCAAATTCTCTGTGCTAGACCTTTATTCTGACATTGAAACTGCAGCAGTTTTGAAACATGTCTACAAATCTTTGACACTCCTCCACTCAACAGGTGGGGTCTCTGTTCCAACCGCTTAAATCTAAGCTGAATATAACAACTTCTTTATAACTAAGAGGATTAATTGGTGAGAATATTATGTGACCTTCCAAGCCTAGGTCATTAAATATAATGAAGCTTCCATGTTGCATGGCTGGGACACTCACACTGGCTGCTTGAGCTACCGTGTAAGAAATTTGCCTACCTTGTAATCTCCATTTTGTGTGGAAGGCCAGGTCACATGAAGAGTTCAGACACAGTCCACATGGCTTTAGCTAAGGTCATAGATGAAAGTCAGCATTGGCCAGGCACAGTGGCTCACATCTGTAATCCCAGCACTTTAGTAGGCTGAGGCAGACAGATCACTTGAGCCCAGGAGCTCGAGACCAGACTGGGCAACATGGCACAACCCAGTCTGTACAAAAAAATTAGCCAGGCATAGTGGTGCACACCTTTCGTGGAAGGCTGAAGTGGGAGGATCACTTGAGCCTGGGAAGTAAGGTTGCAGTGAGCCGTGATCACACCACTGCACTCCAGCCTGGGTGATACAGTAAGACCCTGTCTCAAAAAACAAAACAAAAAAATCTCAGCATCAATTTCCAGGTAGATGAGTGAGGATGACTCTAGATGATTTCAGTACCCTATCACTGAGTAATCTATAGCCATTGAGTGTTTCCAGCTGAGGGTCCTGAAACTGTGTAGCAGAAACAAACCATTCTTCCTGGGCCCTGTCCAAATTCTCAACTCATTTAACCATGAGCATGATAAAATGAGTGTTTAAAGAGCTAGATTTTGGAGTATCTTGTTACTTGGCAATAGTGACCACAGCACCAGTCTTTCAATTTTGGACAATAATAACTTCCTTCCCCTGGTCTGTTTTTCTGAAACTCCTTTTAGTTGGATGTTGGTCCACCTAGAATGTTCCTCTAATGGTCTTACCTTTTGTTCTCCCGTGACGTGTTACCTTGTCTTTTTGTAGTGTTTTTTTGTGTCTGTATGTATCTGTGTGTGTGTGTGTGTGTGTAGGAGAAAGATTTTCCTTAATTTTTTCAAATTATTTTGTTGAATTTTAAAATTTTTATCATAGTATTAATTTACAATAATTTTTATTCTTGTGGTCTGCTACTTTTTATTATATCTTACTTTTTTTGACATGCATACAATATCATAAGCTCCTTCCCTGAAGATATTAATTTTGGAGTTTTGTGTTATATTTTCTCTGGCTCCTCTAGTTACTTTTCTTCTGTTGCTTACTTTACTTTAGTTTTTTCTATCTTGAAGCCATTCCTTAAATGCCTGGTGATCCTCGGCTATCTGTTCACATTTGAGTAAATTTGTAGCTACATGTGCATGATAAGTATTTGCTGACTTCCAGGCTTCACATTAAATAATGTTTTTATTTGTGTACTACCGAATCCCAATGTTTTAAAGTTACATTTTGTGAGGCCATTTCATTTTCCTAGGGAAGAATCTATGATCTCCTGCCTGTGGAAGCAATTCAGGTAATATCCACTTGGCTGTAGTTCATACTAGCACTAGAATGGGGGCAGGCCCTTAGAGTTTCAACATTCATTTAATTCCCCAGTCTTAGTCTCTTGCCTCCTGCTACTCTGCTGCTTCTCCTGTACTAGTCTGGGACCAGTCTGATTCACTTATTCCAAACAATGAAACCTTAGGCTCTTTAGGGGTCAGGAGGAATGTAATGATTCAGGGAGCAGATCTGGAGGCTGACTACAATTAATGTAGACCTTCAATAATCCTCCAAGTATCTGCTCTATATTTGAAGTTGCCTTCTTCAAGACTTTGAACTGCCAGGCTTTCTTAAGAAATTATGCTTTTTTTTTTTCATCAGAATAGTACTCTGATTATAATTTTCTTTGCTCCTAAAGGTCAGGCATCACTCATCTGTATGTTTTCAGTCTTCTAAAAACATGTTGTAATGTTTTATCCGCTCTTATCTCTTTTTCTTTCTGCTTTGTGATTATAGTTTTATACTTTCTTTTAAAACTCTTTTCTGTTATTTTAGTGGAGTTTGGGAAAAATAGTTTTAGCCATGTTGAACTAACATTTTGCAATTAATTTAAAAAACTGCAAATAAATCATCAGTTTTTATGACGGAATATCTTTGTTTCACTTATTTATTTTTTCAAATTTATTTGTTTAAATTGACTGAAAAAATTGTGTGTATTTCTTCTATACAGCATGATGTTTGAAGTATGTACACATTGTTACATCTGTCTAATTAACATGGTTGAATCTGTCTAATTAACATATGCATTACCCCATATAGTTATTATTTGTGTGGTGACAGCACTTATTCACAATCTTAATATTTTTAAGAATATGATATATTATCATTAGCTATAGTCACCCTGCCCTATAATAGATCCCTTGACATTTTTCCTCCTATCTAACTGTAACTTTGTATCCTTTGATTAACATCTTCCAACACCCCGGCCACCCCTCAACTGACCTAGCCTCTGGTAACCACCATTCTTTTGTATATTTCTATGAGATCAACTTTCTTAGCTGCTACCTGCATGAGATCATGAGGTATTTGTCTTGCTGTGTCTGGCTTCTTTCACTTAACACAGTGCCTTCTAGGATTATCTATGTTGTTGTATATGACAGGATTTCCATAAAATGGCTGAACATCAGTTTTTAGGATATGACACATGCAACATAGTCGAATAATATGATTGTTTACATTAGTATAAGTAATGATATCACAATATTTAATATAACTGAACTTCTATGACATCTAAAATTACACTATATATGGGAACTTTTTTGCATTATATTATTTGGAAAAGTATGTATACACACACACACACAGACATACACTTTATATATGTAAACATATACCACATTGTATGTTTCAAGTTACATATGTATTTATATTTCAGAATATGTGGAAGTAGTTTTTTTGTTTATTTTTTCCTTTTTCCTAGAGAGGTTGGAGTCTGGGACTTGGTAAAGAAGGAATTGGGCAATTCTTTCACTCACAAGCTTGGTTTTGACTGATAAATTAATTACAATACTTTCCATCTACCGTACACTTGGGGAATCTACTTAAATCTACTCTCAGAGCTGACCTCCCAAGAGAATACAAGTCAATTATGGTTCAAGCTTTTCTTGTCTCATTAGCTACTTGAATAATAATACATTTGAATGACGGCCCAGGAGACTAGCATTAGGAAGTGCTTGTCTCAGTCCCAGATGAGCTTCTTGGATAATCCTAAGTGTCTATTATTAGTTCAAGCTGTGCCATAAGACTGACTCAGTAGTGTTCCACTCACTTCCTGAAAAACTGGTGGGGTATAGCTTTATCTGTTTTTAATATATAAAGATCCAATTGTACTAGACTTCTGTAGTTGGGGGAATTATTTTTAAGTCATCAAAACTGCTTCAAAAAAAGAACCAAGCAGTATGTCAGTTTTGCTTATTTTCCACTTGTAAAATAGAAAAGTACAGTGTTACTAAAAGGATTGAGTGTTAAAGGTTTTTTAAAATGACTATGTTCTATGTAGCCAAAAGGCACACCTAGCACAAAATTATTTTATTATTCTCATGGTCAGCCATGTTTTGATGCATGTAGTGGAAATAAGCTGTGGACCTGTCTATAAAATTGCACAAATAATTATTACTTGGGTCATTATTTAAGTAAGTTGTTTAACAGAAATTATTATTTTATAAATTATTCCCAAACATTTGGAAAAGGAGAGCTAAGTACAACAAATACAGTATGATTGAAGTCAGAATTTGTAAAAGAAAAGCAAACCATATAGTAATAATATAAACCACTCTCAGAAGGAATATGATTGTTCCCTTACAAGGTATATTTTTAAGTATCTGTATGTGTAAAACTAGAAATAAAATCAATTGGTCTTTGAATTAATCTTTATAACACTTTAGAGAAGGTGATTTCAAAGAACAAAACCCAGCAACGTTTTCCAGTGCCTAAGGGGAAGGTGTTTCCTATTTGATTAGTGCTTCCTTTTGATAATGTATTTAGCTGATCTGGAGCCATCATTTTACAGTGCATCTTTCATCATATAAAGTGCAGAGCCTCACTATTTGGGACATTAACCCTTCTTCTCAGAAACCCCAGGGTTTAGAGATAACGTGAATATAATTTTCCTCTAATTCTATCTAAGTTCTATATTATCATTAAATCTCTCCATTGTATGTTAACATAAAATCTCTTACATAGACATTATTACTGGAAAGTTCTGGATTTCCTATAAAGAGATTTCTGCTTACATTTTTCTAGAGAATTCATGAATTTTATATATGTTCATGCGCATGTTCATACATAGTATGTGCAACTGACTACATATTGGATTTTATGAGTTGATAGATTGTTTCATGCATGTGAAATGACTAGATTATAGGTGAGTCAACTTTCATATTGGCTTCTTTGTTGATACATGAGGATTACCACATAAGTGGATATCTGTGGTGACTAACATTGATCAACAAAAGAATTATGAAATTTAGCATGCCTTTTGCAAATTTAGTCACCAACTGGAAACTTCATTTCAATTAACATGTTGCATTTAAGCATAAAGACCCCAACTAAAATGGAGATGAGATTGTTTTAGAAGGGGTTAGTTAGCATCATCCTTCTATAATGAGATATATTTAATTCATTTTGGTGGATAGTATTTGTAAACAAATGTGGCCTGGGGTTGAAAAACTTTCTATATAAAGTTTTAAATATTAAATAGATCCTTAATGTTAAACATTACAACATAACAGGTAGCCCCCTCCTTCTGTCTGTTTCTTCTTATAGCTTGAAAACGAGTTATCTTAGTCTATGCAGGAGAATGTTTTCTCATGCTAATATAAGGATCTCACTGATCTCATTAAAGAAAAGAGCATGCTGAATGTATTATTATTCCTGTACTTCTGCTCAGTTGAGTACTCTGAAAGCATGCTGCCTATTCATCAAAAGACACTGACAATTCTAATTTGGATTGTCAGTGACTATGGACTGAATTGTGTCACCACAAAACTCATATGTCTAAGCCTTACCCCACAATGTGTCTATATCTGGACACAACATCTTTAGGGAGTAATTAAGTTTAAATGAGGTCAAGGGTCGGGCCCTAATCTGATAGGACTGATCCCTTATAAGGAGAGATTCTCTCTCTCTCTCTCTCTCTCTCTCTGTCTCTCGCTTTCTCTCTCTCTCTCTCTCAATGTGTGTGTCCCTGTCTCTCTTTCTGCCATGTTGGACACAGCCATAAGCTGGCCATCTGCAAGCCAGGAAGAGGGCCCTGACTAGAAAAAGAACCCTGCTGAACCTTGATTTGGACTTCCCAGCTTCTGGAAAAGTGATAAAATTATTCTTTGTTGAGCTGCCCCACGTATGATATTTCGTATAGCAGCCTGAGCTGGCTAGTACAACGGTTCAAAATTAGGGTACTTTCATAGAAGGTCTGTTGTCACATTGAACAAGATGCCTTACTTATTTAAAAACTAACTGATTAATTATAAATTATAATGAATTAGACAACTGCTACAGAGAAAAACAACACTTTTCCTTATAATTATAGGATAAAAAAAATCTTTTATAATGTCACTCCTGTATTTAACAAAAGTTCTAAAATACTATGGTTATTATATGTATGTCTGTAAGAATCTTGAAATATTTGTAACAGTAGTTACAAATCCTTAAGTTCAATAATTGTATAGTAATAACAAAGATACATCATATTTATTGAGAACTTACTATGTTCTAAGAGACATAATTACATGATATGTTTTAAACTCAACACTATGAAGTAGATACTGTATTTTTCCCATTTCACAGATGATGAAATTGACCACAGATATGGGAACACAAGGATTTCATCAAATAGTCTTAATGTCTCAATAAACCACAGCGCCCAGTGCTGCACCTTGGCCATGGAGATACGTCTGCAACATGCATCATAGCCTGGTATCCATGGGACAAGGCTGCCCTAGATAACTCTGGAGATAAGTTGCCAGTGTTTCCACTGTTGTCTCCCTTTTTGCTGATGGTGTTTAGACCATTTTTTTTTTCTCATGAACACATTTTTTACTTTAGACAGAGAAAAAAAATTACCTACATAAGAGCTTCCTCATTTACCATCACTTTACAGTTTTGCATCTTCAAGCTTATACTCAGGATTAGTTTGAATGAATATGAGGTATTACCAAACACTTACGACATCTCTTAAAAAGGGCTAAACTTATTCCTTACATATTGAGCCTTTCTAATTTCTTCTCTGAGTGTAATCATAATTTTCAATTTTTGAAATGTATTATTTATATTCCTACTTATGGAGAAAAAGTAAAAGAGAGGATGGAGAGCTCTCTTTGGAGCCCAGTACATTTCCAGAGCAAATCAACTCTCTCCACTTCTCTTAGATTCTATCTTTTGTAGATTCTTTTAGATTATATCTTTTTATTGGGTCCAGGCCCAATAAAAGTTTCTCAAAATTTTTGAGAGCCACCAAATAAGTGAACCAATGATCCTTTTCAGGATAATGTCCTATCTCTCCCGCTTCTCCTAGACCATTAAAATGAAAGGGAGAGGAGGGGGTCAGATATACACCCGGAGAATTCTCCCATGGACCTGTGGAAAAGGGAGGAGAGTGAAATTGCTAATAGATAATCAGTAAGCAGCAAATGCATGTACTTTCCTGTGCTTCCTGCTGTGAATGTCTGTTGGGAGGATCAGTACCGCCTGGTCCCTCATCATCTAGATATGAGTTTCCTAGCCAAAGCAGATTGTTATCACATTTTCCCCAAAGCCAGTGTTTATTATGTCACAGAAGAGGCATCAAACAAACACCAACAAACACAAGCTCATCATGTAATGAAATGAATATATTTTAAAATATTGCTATTTGATATCACATATTCAATATATTTAAAATATTGCTGTTTGATACCATGCCAAATATTACCAAAATGTGCATTGAGGGAATAATTTTCTCTCTAAGAAATAACCTCTTGTTCTTAAGCGTTAGTTAGGGACTTGTGTGGTTAAGCATTCCTTGAAAGGATAGGAAATCTATCTAGATTGTCAAACAAGTTGCTACAGAGACAGCTGAATCAGAGAAGGCTTCCCATGACTGATTTGTGGTGTGGATTTTGTCCATATGCTTCACATATGGCCATAATTATTGTGAACATCATAAAACAATTTATGAAATACACTACAATAGGCAAAAATATGAAAAATTGATACAAATTAATAAATGGAAAGCAGTTAAGAAAGGATTAAAATGAGAAAAAAATAAAATAGTTCAAAATAAATTAGTGTATTTTAAAAGAAGTGCCTTTTTTTAAAAAAAGTGAAAGAATTAGAAAACAGAAAAATAAAAATTTAGGAGTAAAAAATAGTGATAAAATTACATACAAAATAAAAGATAAAATGCTACAAGTAAAAAGTTTATAACATGTAAAAACCTGCATAAAATACATCTCATACATTCTGCAATCATAAAAGCACATAGATTGTACAATGAGAATAAGAATTAAGGATTGAAAATATTGAGTACAGATTATAATACAAAACTATGGAAATAAATGAGACCAAGAAAAACAAACACAAAAACAAAAGTAATAATTATTAGACAACTAGTTAGTAAAATTAAAAAGTCATAGGGCCGGGCGCGGTGGCTCACGCCTGTAATCCCAGCACTTTGGGCTACCGAGGTGGGCAGATCATTTGAGGTCAGGAGTTCAAGACCAGCCTTGCCAACATGGTGAAACCCCATCTCTACTAAAAATACAAAAAAATTAGCCAGACATGGTAACATGCGCCTGTAGTCCCAGCTACTTGGGAGGCTGAGGCAGGAGAATGGTTTGAACCCAGGAGGCAGAGGTTGCAGTGAGCCAAGATCGCCAAGATCATGCCAAGATCATGTGCCAAGATGCACTCATCCTGGGTGACAGAGCTAGACTCTGTCTCAAAAAAAAAAAAAAAAAAAAAACTATAAAAATTAAGATGTCATAAATCAAGATAATTTTTAAAACTTTTAGAAAACATATCAAGATATAAATTTGGGTGTAAATTTGGATATAAATTTGGATATTGGATACATTTGGATACTGAGATATGTGGATCAGCAAAGTCAATGGCATGACCTTAGTATGGTGATCAAAATAATTCTTTATAGTAGAAATTACTAATTCCATAAAAGAAGAAACTAGTTTACACCTATCTGAATACACTTATCTGTCTATATTTTAAAGGTTAACATTTGGAACTACTTAGAAAAAAAATCTTTATAAACTCTTGCAGTGGAGTGGAAAGAAAAACATTATTTCCATTTTAGTATAAAGTGAAGTATAAACGCATGATTATGCACGTCAAGATAAACTATCTCAGTTTGGATTTTTTTTTATGATTCTGTTTTAGAAACCAAGAATAGTCTTCAAGAACTAAAATAATGAACTCTGTGAGTCAAACAAATGAACATTTTTATTATGATATGACCTTTTAGTCTGTTTGGTCCTGATACTGGTGTGATGTCCTTTTCTGGATAAAGAATAAATAGGTCAGCTCAGTAATTTCTGAATACCAAATTTAGCCTTCCTTTTGTTTTTAGTTCAGCAGAGGAAAATGATATGGCAAACAGCCTTGAGAAGGTAGGAGGATGAGTCTGTGTGTGCTATTAATACCTACATTATTTTGTCCATACAAGAGTCAAACCTAAAGAGACAGCAGAAGGAACAGTAGGTTGAGTCATAGGTGAAGAGGTTCTGGGGTACAGCTGGGGACACAGAATGAACCGATGTCTGAAGGATGAGATGTGCGGATCCGGGAACTGGTAATCAGGAAACTTCAATGTTGTTCTATAGAAGATGAAGAGTTGTAGATGAAAATGCCTATTTTGCGCTTCAGTTGTCCCCTCAAGGACTTGTCCCCTAGGGAGACATCAGGAGGGGACAGACTGGCTTTGGCTTTATCCTGCTTTTCGGTAGCCAAGGTCTGTTTATAGCACTCTCCTCTCCCCTGCCTTGGTGCTGCATGTCTTTTTACTGTCCACAGCCTCCTGATGCACCAAGAACCCACACACACAACCACCTTCTCCGCTCCCTTCAAAGCACCATGTGCTAAATCTTTGATCTCTGCTCAGATTCCCAGTCTTAAACTGAATCTGATGTCAGCTGGATTGAAAAGAAAAGCAATTAAATTATACTAATTCATATGAGAAGTGTGAATAACTGATAACCCCACCCACTTCCAATCACTTTGAGAAAAATTTGCATTGTAAAATAAGACATGTTAATCCTAATAAATATTCAATTAATAGTTCAGTCAATATGAGAAAGTAAGATAAAGATTAAAAAAAGTCAGGGATTGTGAAAAAATTTTTGGGCAGAAGGAACATATTTAATGACTTCTAAGTGTTTATATACTTTATTTCCAAATTCTGTTCTTGAATCCTGGGATATACTTTTTAGTGCCTGGTCAGATATAGTCTGTGATTTTTCCACCTTTCTGTGTATTAATTAGTGTAATGTTTTAGGTACCAGATCCATCTTGGTTACTTCCTTGATGAAAGTTTTAGTGCTTTTTGACAACACAAATTATGAGTATAATCCTTGTCCTGCTCCAATTTCTTTTTAAGTCATAAGAATTGAATTCTTGCTCACTAGAGCAATTGGTTGTTTTTTACTTTTTGGTAGAACAAGTTCTATTTTGTTAAATGCACAGCTATAAACAAGGGTTAAACGACCTCTTTAGATGAAACAAAAACAAAGCCATCAACAGAACTATCCCCCTTGTAAGAAAGATATATGCTTGTATAACTTCTATTGACTGAAGGTTATAATATGCATATATTTGATACACATATTTATCTCTAATCTTTGAACATCCCCCACTAAATTATGAAGAAACTCTAGTACACAGCAGAGGTGAGATGTTTCATGCTGATACCTCTTGTTCTCCAAGTTAATCTTTTCCTAGAAATAAAGACACTGTCTAGAGTGTCAAATCCAAAGAAATGAACACAAAATTGGAAAGTTACTATATGTGAATTTAAAGTGCAATGAGAAAGATGCCCTGGAGAGAAAAGGTGACACTGGGCAAACAGGTATAGAAGCAGCCTGAAGAGAATTCTGGAAGCAAAAGCTCTAGGTTGCAAGTGAATGATGCCCAGTTTCTACTTTACAAGCCTACCTGTTTCCTGCTTTTGTAAGTGCATCAAAGAAAGTAAAGTATATTACCCATGACTGGGCCTGAATTTTAACTGTTTTTCTTACTTGAATGTGACTTTAGACAAGTATTTTTAACTCTCTGTGCTTTAATTTTCTAATATGTAAAAATAGGTTTAAATATGTTTACTCTGATTAATTTACATAGTCTTTGGAAGAATCAAATAAGATGATAGATATAAAAGTTATTTATATGATTAACTTATTTAAGTCCAAGATTGACATTCCTTCATAGAATTTCTCTGAAGAAACATTCATAGCATTACTATTTATATTGTTAAATTTTTACACCCACTAATGTGTTTATATCTATAAGAACTGCCAGAACTGCCAAGTCCAGTGAATAATGATATAAGTAAGAATATTTTTGTTGTTGTTGTTTTATCAATAATTCTTTTTTTTTTCTTTTTTGGAGACAGGGTCTCCCTCTGTCAACCAGGCTGGAGTGCAGTGGCACAATCTTGGCTCACTGCAACCTCCACCTTCTGGGTTCAAGCGATTCTCCTGCCTCAGCCTTCCAAGTAGCTGGGACTACTGGTGCCCGCCACCATGCCTGGCTAATTTTTTGTACTTTAGTGGAGACGAGGTTTCACCATGTTGCCCAGGGTGGTCTCGAACTCCTGAGCTCAGGCAATCTGCCAGCCTCGGCCTCCCAAAGTGCTGGGATTACAGGCGTGGGCCACTGTGCGCCTGGCCCATCAATATTTCAATAAATGACCTGTTTTACTGAGTCTATATGGTGAGCTAGTGTGCGGATATTCAATTAATGATTCACTGCTTTTGTACTAAACAGACAGTATTTTGCAAATATAGTTTATAAAAATAGCTTGCAGTAAAGTATATGTTATTGTTATGGACTGAATGTTTGTTCCCCCAACTCCAATTTATATGTTGAAGTCTTAACCTCCAAAACAGTTGTATGTGGAGTGTGGAGATGTGGTCTTTGGTAGGTAATTAGATTTAGATAAACTCATGAGGGTAGGGCCCTCATGACCGATGAGCCTTTACAAGAAGAGACATCAGAGAGCTTGCTGTCTTTCTTTCTCTCTATATATACATTCACAAGGAAGTCGCGTGAGCACGCAGTAAGATAGAAGCTGCCTACAAATCAAGAGAAGAGGCCTTAGAATGAAGCCCACCTTGTTGGCACCTTGATTTTTGACTTTACAGGCTCCAAAACTGTGAGAAATACATTTCCGTTATCTATGATATTTGACTACAGCAACCTGAGCTAAGACACTTATACAACCCTATTTTGTTAAATATCCTAATGTGTGTATACTAAGAAAACAAAAGGAGGAATAGACACCAATCTTCTAACAATGGTTAGCACTAGAATTTAAGAATTTAGGGCTCTTCACATTTTACACTATAAATTTGTGTATTATAGTAATATTTTTAATATGCATGTAATACCCTTCTGATTTAAAAAAGAAAAAAATACATTTATTTAAGAAATAAGAATAAAATCTTAGAAAGAACACTTAAGTTTAGAGTCAAATGACTGATATTTTTCTTGATTGTTTTGCTTAAAAACTATATAGGGAAGATACTCAAGTTGCATAAACCTCAATCCCTTCATCTGTATGTTATATATAACAATATTTGCCATAGCCAAGGTCTGCAAATTTTGTGGGGAAATTTTGTGAGAGATAAAACATAAGAAAAATTTTAAAAACTATGAAAGTACTTTTCGTAACTTATTGTAAATAAGTTAGTCATTAAATTTCTAAAGGAAACATATTTCTGAATAAGAGAAAAAAACTTCTAGACATGAGAATTTTAAGAACTAGCTAGCAATACACAAAGATGCTTTTAAAAATGTTATTCATCCATATGAAAAGGAGTGGAAATTGAAACTGTTAACATTTTTAACCACGTCTGGAAACAAAGAGAACTAGCCTATTATTCTGAGATGTCACATATTTCCAATGATAAGGTTCTTATCTTTTTTTATTTGAGAAAAAAAGCATTATTCTGATATTCTCTCTCTGCTAAGCTTATCTTTTTTTCTTCTTTCCAATTTCTCTGCATTTCTGTCTTTGAATGTGTATTTCAGAAAATTGAGAGAGTTAACATCCTTAGCTCTGACCAGACTAGACTAATTCAAGGTCTGTGTTTCCTCATTCTTTCAATAGTTCAGTAAGACTTATTGACCAAGAACAATACTCGGAGTTTTCCTATGAAAAATAATATGTGCTATTAAAAACAAACAAATGACTCATTTCTGTCTGCTGTGTTGATTGATGGTCAATTAACTTTAGCAGTGCCTGCAGTGAGATATCAAAAACAAGCTAAGTTTGACTTTGAGTGGCTTCACTATGTATTTGACAGATCTTTCACTTTGAAAAAAGTAGTCCCATTTTCCTGTCACTTGCCTTCATTGCATTGTGGGAGTAAAAACCTTGGTGAAACCGAGGTCATATATAGTATTAAATTTAAAAAATATCTGACATTGCTATCTTAGAGGACAAGTTTTCTATGGAATAACTGGCAACCACAGCTAAAAATAGGTCTGTTCTTGGTGTCATCTTTTACTCAACAAATAAATACATCACCTTGTTAGAAGATATATGGATACTCCGTCATACGTACATGATCACAAACACCTAACACTTCATATTTTCCATTTGCGGATTAGGATAGAAAAATTTCCAATAAAGAAAATTTTAATGTTACAGGCTTTGAGTTGTCACTGCCATTTGTTTATTTGTTTGTTTCTTGTCTGAGATGGAGTCTCGCTCTGTCACCCAGGCTGGAGTGCAGTGGTGTGATCTTGGCTCACTGCAACCTCTGCCTCCAAGGTTCAAGTGATTCTCATGCCTCAGCCTCCCAAAAAACTGGGATTACAGGTGCACACCACCACACCCAGTTAATTTTTGTATTTTTAGTAGAAACGGTGTTTCACCATGTTGGCCAGGCTCATCTCAAACTCCTGACCTCAAGTGATCCCCCCGACTCAGCCTGCCAAAGTGCTGGGATTACGGGTGTGAGCCACTGCACCTGGCCTGCAGATTTAAAAAAAAGTATGCACTGTTTCACATTAAAGTATAAAGTCGATCTGATATTCTATGAAATTTCTTTAGTCTATGCTTCTTTTAGAAAAAAGCAAATAAGGGCAGAATTCTCTCTCTAGGTTCTCTACATTCCAGATTAACTGAGAGTTCCAGATTAATTAGATAAGAAGTATATATATAAAACACAGGTTCCATATAAAATTTAAAGTAGTTTTTTTCTGATTCTGTGAAGAAAGTCAAGGGTAGCTTGTTGGGGATAACATTGAATCTATAAATTACACAATAGCAAAGACTTGGAGCCAACCTAAATGCCCATCAATGATAGACTGGATGAAGAAAATGTGGCACATATACACCATGGAATACTATGCAGCCATAAAAAAGATGAGTTCAGGTCCTTTGCAGGGACATGGATGAAGCTGGAAGCCATCATTCTCAGCAAACTATCACAGGGACAGAAAACCAAACACTGCATGTTCTCACTCATAAGCGGGAGTTGAACAATGAGAACACATGGACCCGGGGAAGGGAACATCACACACCAGGGCCTGTTGAGGGGTGGGGCCTAGGGGAGGGATAGCATTAGGAGAAATACTTAATGTAGATGACAGGTTGATGGGTGCAACAAACCACCATGGCACTTGTATACCTATGTAACAAAGCTGCACGTTCTGCATATGTATCCCAGAACTTTAAGTATAATTTAAAAAATAGAATGTTTCTACTACAATACAAATTTCCTGAGTGTGATGTATTATTTAACCTTTTCAGTAAAATGCAACATCATATGGGACTTCTGTAAAACAAGTATCTGTGCCTAGAATAGTTTTTGGAAAAAAAAAAAAACAGGAAGATGTGAAAGTCTAAACTGATAATGTAGAAATGAAAATGGAGTTAAACTAGACTAGTTATTCTTTCAAAATGAGAATGCTTTATTTTAAGAAAAAACAATTTTCTAAAAGGTTATTTGACTGCTTAGTGGATTTATTTGTTGAATTTTATTTTGATATTAGTGTTGAGATATAATTCACATACCATGTAATTCACCCATTTAAAGTGCACCATATCAGGCCAAGCCTGGTGGCTCATGCCTGTAATCCCAACACTTAGGGAGGATGAGGTAGGAGAATCATCTGAGGCCAGGAGTTCAAGACCAGCCTGGGCAACATAGTGAGACCCTACAAAAAATTTAAAAATAAGTCAGGTGTGGTGTTGTGTACCTATATTCCCAGATACTCAGAAAGCTGAGGTGGGAGGATAGCTTGAGCCCTGGAGGTTGACGCTGCTGTGAGCCAAGTTCATGCCACTGCACTCCAGCCTGGGCGACAGAGTGAGACCCTGTCTCAAAAAAAAAAAAAAAAAAATTTAAAAGGTGTACAATTCAGTATTTTTTCATATATTCATGCTTTCACAACCATCATCACAATCTAATTTTAGAACATTTTCTTTCCTGCTAAAAGAAACCCTGCATGGATTAGCAGTCAATCAGCATTATCACACACTCCCATTGTCCAGCAGGATCCATTGTTAATCTGCATTCTGTCTCTATAGATTTGCCTATTGTGGATATTTTATGTATATGAATCACACAATATGTGGCCTTTTGTCACTGGCTTCTTTATTTACCGTAATGTTTTTCAAGGTTCATACATTGAAAATAAAAGTCATTCCATGTACCAATATGCCATTTCTTTTCATTGTTAAATAATACTTCATTGTATGGATATGCCACATTTTACTGATCCATTCATCAGTTGATAGACATTTGCATTGCTTCTACTTTTTGGCTCTTGGGAATAATGCTGTTGTAAACAGCTGCCTATATCCACAATAGGCAAATCTATGGAGATAGAATGCAGATTTACAATTGATCCTGCTGGAAGATGGGAGTGGGTAATAATGCTGATTGACTGCTGATCAGTGCAGGGTTTCTTTAAGCAAGAAAGAAAATGTTTTAATATTAGATTGTGATGCTGCTGTAAACATTTATGCACAAGCTTTTGTGTTTTCTATTCTCTTGAGTACGTAAATAGGAGTGGAATTGCTGCATCATATAGTAACTCTATGTTTAATTCCCAGTAAGAATGTAGTGACCTTACTGTTATGGGTTCAAGACACAAATTGACTCTTGGAATCAAGTGGAGAGTCCTTTCTATACCAAGCTCACATGATGGTTAATTTTATGTGTCAACCTGGCTAGGCTATGGGCAAACAGCCTAAATGTTTCTATATTGTACTTGTTAGATGTGATTAGCATTTTAATCAGTTGACTTTGAGTAAAGCAGATTGCCCTTCATACTATGAATGGGTCTCATGTAATCAGTTGAGGGCTTTAAGAGCAAAGACCGAGGTTGCCCAGATAGAAGGAATTCTGCGTGAGTTTCCAGGCTTTGCACTCAAGACTGCAACACTGACTCTCAGACTTTTCAGCCTACCAGCCTCCTCGCTGATTTTCGACTTGCCAGGCCCCACACTCATATAAACCAATTTCTTAAAATAAATATCTCTGGATATATATCCATCCTCCTGACCTGTTTCTCTGAAGAGTCCTGTCTAATATACCACATGATTTAAGATTGAGGGAGATGTGGTTTCACACAAGACATCAAGGTTCTGGTAAAAAGGACAAGAGGTACAAAATACATGTTGGATGATAAAATCAAAGTGGATACTACTAAAAATCTTCTAATGTTTTAATCTAATATCCAACTTGCTCTGAAAAGTTCGCTTGCAATGTCACTTTCGATATTAATACACACAATAATAACACAAGTATTTTATTTTTTTGAGATAGGGTCTCACTCTGTCACCCAGGCTGGAGTGCAGTGGTGTGATTTTGGCTCACTGCAACCTCCGCCTCCAGTGTTCAAGTGATTTTCCTGCCTCAGCCTCCCTAGTAGCTGGAATTACAGGCACCTGCCACCACACCCAGCTAATTTTTGTATTTTTAGTAGAGACGGACTTTCACCATGTTGGTCAGGTTGGTCTCGAACTCCTGACCTCAGGTGATCTGCCCACCTCAGCCTCCCAAAGTGCTGGATTACAGGTGTGAGTCCCCATGCCCGGCCAACACAAGTATCTTTTAAAAGTTGGAGGAGAGCTATGATGAATATATTATGTTTTCTTTCTCTGCTCTATTAAGATATTATTAGCATCTATTACTTATTTTCCATCTTGGACATTTTTGAAGAAACACAGTCATTGGACAGCATAGAACCAATGTGTTTTAATGTATAAAATGATTATGGTGTATGTCAGATCTACGAGTTTGGGTATAAGCACTTCGTAGATGTTGTCCAGAGTGGGAAGTCTGGGGTGCAAGTAAAAATAGGCATACAGAGAGAAGTAGCTACAAGGAGCAGTCAAATACTTCTCTAATACCAATCTCACAAAGGTTTCCATTTATTTTATAGTTGTACAGATTCCCAATGAATCCCAGTATGTGAATTTATTAGACATTGCAATAATTATTATCTAAAAATAACTAGGAGCTCGTCTACTAAGTATCAATATACATATGTACACATAAACATATACACACATTTGGTCTGAGTCTTATGGGATCTGGCAAGTGCTAGGTGGACATGTTCAGAAGTGTTTCTAGAAGATACCAAGAAATACGGAAATATAGGAATAATAAAGCATAGTATATAAACCTATGCAAATTACAGTAAATTTTATTAAATTCCCCTTATGGGCAACACTTTGGGTTTGGCACTTAGGTTAAAAAGGTACATGAGACTGATGACATCTCCCACAGATGTAAAATTCTTGTTGGAACAGACAACAGAAGCATTGTTTCAATCAGTCTGCTTTACTTTGCAAGTAGCCACACATCCAAATCACTTTGAGTTAAATAAAAAATAAATATATCACAATGTCACATCCTAAGGTAGGGAGGATAAAGATAACTTAATTGGCAAGTCCTGCCTCTGCTTCCCTTGACTCTCTTCACTTTGCTTGTTCTTATGTGCAGTGGTGTGGACCTCATATCCAAGGTTTAGGATTTTTAGAAGAAGGAGAACCCGATAATTCTAAGTTTTAGCCTTCCATGTCAGAGTCTTGGATAGTACCTGTCATTGAAACTAAAAACAGTCTCTGAAACCACAAGGTTGCTATACAATAAAAAGGGAGAATGAATTACTATGGAAAAAGCATCAATTTTCTTAATAAATATAAAAACACAAATCATGTGTGCCAAATTTAAGAAAGGAAACATAATTATTACTACAATAACTCTGAGAAAATAATGAACAGATTTAGAATTAATGGGAAGTCTTAATGGAAGATGTATGTGAAACTGTTACAGTAAAGGTAAGAGTTAGAAAAGAGAGAATTTCAGATATATATATGTATATATGTATATATACGTATATATGTATATATGTATATATGTATATGTGTATATATATGTATATATGTATATGTGTATATATATGTATATATGTGTGTATATATATGTACATATGTATATATATGTGTGTGTGTATATATATATCCTGAGCAAAGACACAGAGACAGCCTTGCACAGGTGTGTTTAAGAGACAGTGAATAAACCGGATTGTCTGAACACCATGTGTGGAGCATTTGACAGAACCCAGATTACAAAAGGTCTTATGTACTTGTTTGAGGAATTAGTATTAATCTTTTGACAGCAAATTATACGATTGTACAGAAAAATCAACTGATGCCATCTGAAGCCTAAATTCTAGTTTGCTACTAACTTTGCAACCTCTGGTAAACCATGTAAATTGCCTAGGTTTAAATTTTCTCATTAATAAACTGAGTAGGTTGGAATATGTGATTCCTAACTTACTTTCCAAACTTTATTTCCTTTTGACTCTATAAAACTCTGAAATGACATCAATATGAAAGTTTTCAGCAAAGAAGGAATACAGAAAGCACTGGATTAGAAAGGCAGGACTTACGAAAGTGTTTGAACCACTTTGAATGTAAAGGATGTAGCTTCAGGGGGTTCAGGTAGGAGACAATTATTGTTTGGTATCATGAGATAAGAACCCTAACTAGAACTGAAGCTCTGGGAATAGAAACAAAAGAATAGTTGATTTTGAAAAGAAAAAGTTTCTGGAGACTTAAGACTTTTGACAGACTTGATGATAGGGAATAGGAAGGTGAAATAAATCAAGATCAATCTAGGAACATGAGCCTGAGTAAGGTATAAAACATAAAAAATATGGAAACTAAGCAGGAGACGGTTTGGGGAAAAGATATCATTGAGCTCTCGAAATAAAGACAGCCATCGGGCTTTAGAACACATACTGAAATGTGGCTGATAATGGTGGACATGAGACTCATTCACAGAGGGGGCAATGAGTGATAAGACAAAAATAAAGATAAGATCAGAAACAGTACAGAACAAAATGGAAAGAGGCAAAATGATAATTCAAGGCTATGTCCATATTTAAGCAGTCAATATGAAGGGGAAATTTAAGAAGGGAGGAAAAGAGAGCTGTGTTCTGAAACTGAAGAAAACCAAGTCGAGGCTGCAAATAGCTCACAGAGAGCAAGAATAGAGACATGGATATTAAATGTGGCCAAAAGGAGACCAAACATAGGTGACCCTGAAAAAAAGAGTTTGAGTAGGGTGAGAAAAGTAGTACTACGTAACAAGGAGTAAGAGACCGGAAAGTGGCCAATGCAGACTCATATTTAGAAACTTTGGTTTTGCAAAAAAAGGTCATGATAGGGCTAAATCTCAAAACAGAAAAGCGTGTTTGTTTGTGCTCAGGGAGGAAAAATCAGTACATAGGAAAAGAAGTTTAAAAGAGGGATTCATTAATAGAGAAAAGTAGCAGGTGATGCGATAGAGCTTAAGACAAAGAACACAAGTGTGGGCGGAGCCTTCAAGAGAACCTGACACAATTCTTATAGGGACATACTGAGGTAGGGAGGGAAGTTGCTTTTGGAGAAATTTTGGTTTTGGTTGCAGAAAATATCGAGTAGCTAATTGAATTATCATTGTTACTTTGACACCTGTTAAGCATGTATTATATTCCAGGAACCATGATAAGTGCTTTCTGCATGGAATTTAATTCTCACAATGATCTTATGAGATAACTAACATTTCGTGGGATAACTCACATTATATAGATGATAAAATGTAAGGCTTAATGTTTAGGCAACTTACCTAATATCACAGGACAATCAAGGTATGATGTAAAGCCAGACCTGTCTAACTCTGCTTTTAACCATTATCCATGTCCTTCTGTTATGTTGGCCTTAATCTTTTTCATAAATTAAAAGAGAACATCAGCCGGGTGCGGGGGCTCCCAGCATTTTGGGAGGCTGAGGTGGGAGGATCACTTGCGCTTAAGAGTTTGAGACCAGCCTGGTCAACATGGCAAAAACTTGTCTCTACAAAAATTAGCCAGGCGTAATGGCATGTGCCTGTAGTTCAACTATGAGGGAGGCTAAGATGGAAGAATTGCTTGAGCCCAGGGGGTTGAGGCTGCAGCGAGCTAAGATCATGCCACTGCACTCCAGCCTGGGTGACAGTGAGATCCCATCTCAAAAAAAATAAATAAATACAATAAAAGAGGACATCATTTGCTGACATTTAGAGTGAGTGTGGCATATGTTTGTGGACTAGATTTGTAACCTATTTTATTACTTAGAAACATAGTCTAGGGTGGACATAAAATATGAAAGCTTAAATATACCTGAGCCCTAAATTTCTATCTTGAACAGAGCTGGGAAAACAATGATAAGAAGACTCGTTGTTGCCTTACCCATGAATTCATGACTTTGCTATTCTCCAGTAGGGAGCAGCACACAACCACCTATGCAACCATTTACTCTACCGCAAACAATACAAGACAAAGAAAACCTTTTGAAGATTCGACCGTAAGTAGTGAAGAAACTGAACCTCTGATAATTGGGTCCTGCCTTCAGAAAGCATTTAATGAAATACGTAGATTATAGTTTTGCCCTTTATTGCATTATATATGCATTAGTTAAAAGAGCTATTTTGTCAATCCTATTTGAGAATCGTAAGAGAGCTTCTTAGAAATGCTCTTGATTATAGATTGATGTAAAGAGCAAATAAATTTTAACTTAATATCAAACATAATTCTTAAAATTCAGAGTAATGAGAAAAATACTGTAAAGTCAATGCTTGGACATTGATGCATAAAAGATATTTCAGCATTTAAAACTTTGAAGTATAAGAAAGTACTATTTGTCAATGATTAAATAAAAAAAGACACAATAATGCTATAAAATGAAGGTTTTATTTTTTGTTTGTTTTGCGTTTTTTTTTTCTTTTTTTTTTTTTTTTTTTGGTTAGAAGGCCACTGGGCCATGCCAAGTTTTTGTTATAAATATGATACATCCTATGTTTGTGATTTTATGAATTTGGTTCATAACATTGCTATTACATTGAACACTTTGTTTCAAAAATTATTTTGGGGTGTTGAAGGTACAATTACTACCAAATGGAAGAAAAATCATGGTTGTTGCTGAAGACACAGACCAGAAATGTAAAAATGGAAGAGAAATTCAAATCATCTAGTGACTAAGCTTTTTGGTTTAAGATAAATATTATGTTTCTGGACAATCTTACATTTTTTTACTCAATGAGCACAACATTTTAAAATTAAATACACTAGTTCTGGCTTTAGAATGTTCAAAATTAACCGTAAGAAATAAGCTTTGTTGTGTAGGGGTCAAGGCCTTTGGCCCTCTGGAGGTTCAAAAATTCCTGACATGAGGCAGATTAATAGGAGAAAAGGCATACACATGTATTTGACATGTATACAGAGGAGCCTTCAGCATGAAGACTCAACCCCCAGTAAGATACTGAAGCTTATATACCACCTTGAGGTTGTAGAAAGACAGTTGGTTCAGAGCATGGGAAGAAACAGGTTATGCTGTTAAATCAGGTTTTTGTGGCAAGATAGGTGATGGGAGGGGCAGAATAGGAGGCTTGCCTAGCAAAGGTGGTCTTGCTGTGTAGACGAAAACTGTTATGGGAAAGGGGTCCCGATCCAGACTCCAAGAGAGGGTTCTTGGATCTCACATAAGAAAGAAATTAGGGCAAGTCTTTACAGTAAAGTGAAAGGAAGTTTATTAAGGAAGTAAAGGAATAAAAGAATGGCTACTCCATAGACAAAGCAGGCCCGAAGGCTACTGGTTGCCCATTTTTATGGTTATTTCTTGATGATATGCTAAACAAGGGGTGGATTATTCATGCCTCCCCATTTTAGACCATTTAGAGTAACTTCCTGATGTTGCCATGGCATTTGTAAACTGTCATGGTGCTGGTGGGAGTGTAGCAGTGAGGATGACCAGAGGTCACTCATGACCATGTGGGTTTTGGTGGGTTTTGGCCGGCTTCTTTACTGCAAACTGTTTTATCATCAAGATCTTTGTGGCCTGTATATAGTGCTGTCCTCCTATCTCATCCTGTGACTTAGAATGCCTTAACTATCTGGGAATGCAGCCCAGTAGGTTTCAGCCTCATTTTACCCAGCTCCTATTCAAGATGGAGTTGCTCGGGTTCACATGCTTCTGACAAAACCTCAGAGGTAGAAGCCCTCAGAGAGATTAGGTGGTGTCTCTTTTTGGAACATTAAAGGTGTCAGACTCTCGGCTAATCTATCCTAGATCCAGGAAAGGGCCTAGAAACGGATCTAGGAAACATTAGCTGCATTAATGGAGATTCTCTACAGATGCAAATTTCTGCCACAAAAGACTGCTTTGCAGGGCCACTTCAGTCTGCTGGCCCTGTGGCAGCCATTTCAAAATACATCCAAGAAATATATTCTGCGGTAATAAATTGTGACTTCCTTCAGTTTAGCAACCAAACATGAGTTTTATATATTTTATTGTTAGAGTAGGTAGCTAGTCAGACATGAGCACCGCAGGAGAGGGAGCCCCCCTACCCCCCACCAGAAATGTCAGGTGACCATCAAGTGATGGTGAAGTGGTTGTTACCTGTCTCTCTAAGATAATTGGCCACAGCCAACACCAGGAAAAGGCAGTCTCCCAATTAACACAAAAAACCTGAAACTAGGGATCAGCAGCTTCCTGATAAGATCTTAGGAGTTAGGCAAGTGGGCTCAAGCACACACATTAAGAGGCAAAATGGTAGAGTTTAACTGGTGTATGGCCTTCTAGTGATATTCAGCTGGTAAGGGAAGAACGCCTCAAATGAGCATGCATATAGTTTCACTAAAAACACTGTGCATGCTCCTCTCCCAAGTGCTGGCAGGACACTGTGCATGTGGACAGCCCACCCAAAGGGAAGAATCAGGGGAGAAGGGACACATGACCCCAGATGAATGCCAACATATAAAACCCCAAGTCAAAGGTCATACAGGGCCCTTGACTCTCTCAACTCACCTGCTCAGCCCTCTTTCAAGTATACTTTCGTTCCTGTTCTAAACTTTTTAATAAACTTTCACTCCTACTCTAAAACTTGCCTCAGTCTCTCCTTCTACCTTATGCCCCTCAGTCAAATTCTTTCTTCTGAGGAGCAAGAATTGAGGTTGCTGCAGACCTGTATGGATTCACTGCCAATAACATCGTTGGTAAATTCTTCTTACTACCTGTGATTAACCATTTTCTGTTGCTGAGGCTCTGACACCTCACCTGGAACCAGTGACACAGCCTCAGGAGGTCCTGACACGTGCTCAGGGTGATTGGGCTACCGCTTGGTTTTATACATTTTAGGGAGATATGAGACATCAATTAATACATGTAAGATGTATATTGGTTGAGTCCAGAAAGGCAGGACAACTCGAAGCAAGGGCTTCCAGGTCATAGGTGGATTCAAGAATTTTCTAATTGGCAATTGGTTTAAAGAGTTAAGTTATTGACTAAAATCAATAGGAAGGAATGTCTGGGTTGAGATAAGAGTTTATGGACAGCGAGGTTCCCATTATGCAGATAGAATCCGTGGAAGGGAATATTTCTTACCAGTCTTAAAGAGTCTGTTCTATCAGTCTTAAGGCCTCTGTTTTCATGTTAATGTTGGTCAACTGTGCTTGAATTCCAAAGGGAGAAGGGTATAATGAGGCATGTCAGACCCTCATTTCCCATCATGGCCTGAACTAGTTTTTCAAATTAACTTTAGAATGCCTTTGGCTGTGAGGAGGAGTCTGTTCAGTTGGTTGGGAGGCTTAGAATTTTGCTTTTGGTTTACTTCTAATAAAGTTTTTGGATTTTTTATAATTTAGTTGAGGTGTAATTGAATTGAAATACAATAAGCTGCATATATTTAAAGTATATAATTTAATTTGCTGTGACATCTGTATATGTCTGTGTAACCCTCACCTTAATAAGGATAACAAGAATTTCCATAACTCTGAAAAGTTTCCTTGTGCCCCTTGCAACTCATCCCTTCTTCTGCCTTGTCCCAAGGCAATCACTAACTTGCTTTCAGTCATTACCACTTTCTTCACAAGAATTTGTAAGTGGACTCACACAATTTGTAGAAGGTATAAGAATGGTGAATAAGCAGATGAAAATTTCAATGTTTGTAGTCATCAGGGAAATGAAAACTAAAACTACAATGAGAGTAATATATGCTTATTTGAATTAATAAAATGTAAAAGGTTGATGACCAAACCATGTGTTGGCAGGGTGAAGCAACTGAAATTTTCATACATGGGTGTGGGAATGTAAAATGGTACAGCCGCTTTGGGAAACAGTTTGACCATTTCTTCAAAAGTTAGATACACCTGTCATATGACCCAGTCACTCCACTCCAGAGCATTTACTCAAGATAAGTGAAAACATGTCACGCCAATACTTTTACATGGATATTCATAGCAGCTTTATTTGTAATAGCCCCAAACTTGAAACAACTCAAATGTCAATCAGTATGTGCATGGATAAATAAATTATGGCATATCAATACAATGGAATATTGCACAGTAATAAAAAGAATGAACTATTGACACATGCCAGCAACAGGGCTGAATCCCAAAGTGTGTACATTTTTAAAGCTTTCCTGCCTTTAAATCAGAGGTTTTCAGTGAGGGAGAGTGAAGAGGCAAAAAAGGAAGAAGGGAGATCTGGCTTATTGTAATCATGTAAAGACTTTTTCCCTAAATGTACACACAAGATTGATTCCATGGAGTATATCAGGCAGAGAAAAACAGAAAGAATGCTAATATATTTGCAACTTCTTTCCTTGTCTCCCTTCCTCCATGGAAATGTCAAACATGGGAAAAGGAGAACTAGATATATTTAACTTTCTTGGCAAGTCTTTTGTCAAACTACACAGCTTTCAGCTTTTCTTAGGCCAAATGAATCCTAGATATTGACAGCATGAAAATATCCATGATTTTTAAGTATTTCTCCAAAATAGGAGAGACCCATGATGAATAATAGATAGGAAACCCTATTGAGCAAATAGATTTACTAGAATTTCCAGGCCCACATAGACCAAGCAAACCTGAGAGCCACAGTCCATTTTCTTTTAAGTAATATTACTTTGTAGTTGTTCTAGGAAGTAATATTACCCAAAAGAAAAAAGAAGAAACATCATGAGTTAATGCAACTTTGAGCTATCTAAGGGATAACAAAATCATTCTAGTCTTTTTATTAAGACTTTTACTTCCCTATAGCATAATTTCTTTATAATTGGTCATCCTGATAGTGACAGGAGGCAGCCAAATGCCTAGGCAGATAGGGGCAGGTACCCGGTGAAACCTCACCTCCAAGCTGAAGACAGTTTAAACCTGAAATCCAAGCTACAAGCTAAATCCTGGGACTAGATTGAGAACTTGTCCTCCTGTTTGGTGTGCTTTCCTCTGATTAATCCCCACCCTTCACCTATTTTACATATACCTACCCTTTCCTAATTGGTTTTCTATGCTTTTGTGCCCACCTTTGACTGGTGTTTTTACTTTAACCTTTGTTACATACTCACAAACCAATCAGCATACACTCCCCATCCTGTGCCTATAAAGACCCCAGACTCAGTCAGTGGAGGTGGAAATGAACTGACTTTGGGAAAAGACAACCTGATTTTTGGGAAGATTACCAGTATACCTTTCCTGTCCCTTCTCTAGCTCCCTCTCCTCTGAGAGCCATCTTCATTGGTCAATAAAATTCTCTACCTTCACCATCTTTCAACAGTCCATGTGACTTCAATCTTCTTGGATGCTGGACAAGAGCTCAGGACCCACCGAGTGTGGGTACCCAGAAAGGCTGCCACACCAGCCCTTTGCCCTCATTGGTGGAGGGCAGCTGCCCCATGTGCTGAGGCAAAGAGCCAACAGAGCTGCTAACACACCACCATCCATGGACAGCAGAACTAAAGGAACACCGTAACACCCCTTTCTGGGGCTTCAGGGTCACAGTCACCCTCGCATGGTCGCTGCCACATTCCCCTTGAGGCGACATGCCTAGTCTGGCTATGGGCCCTGCATAGAGCTTGTTCCTGTGTCGGCACCCTGCACAGCCAGCCAGGTCCTGGACTGACTCACTCTGATGCTCCCTCCCACAAGGGGTTGAGTGCAGAGGGCCAAGTAGAGGAGGTGCCCCTGCCATGAGTCCAGCAAAGGGACCAAGAAAAATCCTGCATCAATCCTTTCATAAAGCTCTTCCAATTTCAGTTGTCCTCTTACTATATATTCAGTCATAAGTTTTCTTTTTGCAATTCATTCTGAGTGAAATGATTGCTGTTCTTGTTATTATGGAAGGTTCTTGATTATGGATTTCAGTGTGGTATGTTTGTCTAGATGCTTCCAACCGGCTCATGACTACTGTGACCTTTATTTGTTCTCCCGAAAAGCAATCCCCCACTCATCTCAGGTTTGTAATTAGAGCCATTAAACCTATGTTTTTCTTTACTCTTTTCCTTTTCCCATTTCAATTTCATCTTTCATTGTCCAATAAACAAATCTGCTCTTCTTATTTTTCAAGTTGATAATATGGCACATATTCAGTGAATCCCATAGCTCTATGTATGACCTAGACAAGGGCCCCTGTCCCTCAAACTGACCTTCCACATTTGCATGCATTCCCTATGTCTTGTTCCTATATTTTTGTTTTCTCCAGATGTTTTATAATTGCTTCCATTGTCTCTCTTACAAAAGAAGACCCCCCCCCATAATAGTAATTAAAAGCAATCGTCTGCTTAGATCAGCTAGACCAACATATGACAAGCAAAACCTCTTAGATAATAATAGGACCAGTATCTTCCTCCAGACTTGAAGAAGGCAGATTTTTGGGAAAGTCATGATCAGCATACACCTATCACAAACTGAAAGACATGTTAGTAATTGCAGAAATTTGATGAAAAGTAGAGGGAAAACAAACAGCTTCATAAACTTTGCAACAAACAGGAAGATAATTATATTTTGCATTTTTTTTTAATGTGGGAAGCATTTTAATCTCATTGAAGTATTTATTTCTGTAAAACATACTATCAGAAATTTGTAATTTAGATTTAAAAATTAAGTTTTTAAATATCTGTAATCAAATCCAATTAATGCAAAAGAGTGATTTTAGTGTATGAATTAATATATATCAATTATAGTAATAAATTAATTACTATTAATAGGCATAATGACTCAATCTTTCACACAATCCAAAAATATAGGTTCTAGTATTATTAGAAATCTACACATAGGAGACTGAAGCTCAGAAAAAATAAAGTAAATTGGAAAATATAAACAAGGTAAAGCAGCAACAAAAATTCATTGTGAGAGTATTCTTATGCAATCAAATGCATAACAGTGCAAATCCCCTCCCAGAAGGGGAGAGAAATGTCTCTAAATTATTGTTCTGGAATGTTTCTTGGAAGAAAGATTTCTCTATCCATGGAAGTAAATTAAAGAGTATAAATTTTCTACAGAGGAAGTCTGTCTCCATCTTTCCCTGGCTCTCTGTTTATAAAAGCCTTCCTAAAAAGATAGTCGTAGAGCAAATTGGCTGTTATGCCTGAATGTGGAATAACGTAAGAGTTTAATGGAGAATTGTCTCTCAACAAAAAGCAGTTGGACTATCCTCAATGTATCTATAAAGGTGACTAAGTTCAGAAAATTAAGGAAGTTTATAGAGTTTGTGACATAGTTTGGATATTTGTCCCCCACCAAATCTCATGTTGAGATGTGATCTCCAGTGTTGGAGATAGGGCTGGGTGGGAGGTGTTCCGGTCATTCAGGCAGATCCCTCATGAATGGCTTGGGACATCCCTTTGGTGATAAGTGAGATCTTGCTCTGAGTTCACATGAGATCTGGTTGTTTAAAAGTGTGTGGCATCCCCCACCCCCCACCTTCTCTCTTTCTTGTTCCTGCTTTTGCCATGTGATATGTCTGCTCCCTCCTGCTTTGCCTTCCACCATGATTGTAAGTTTCCTGAGGTCTCCCTAGAAGCTGAGCAGATGCCAGCACCATGCTGCTTCCTTAAAGCTTGCAGAACCATGAGCCAATTAAACCTCTTTTCTTTATAAATTACCTAGTCTCAGGTACTTCTTTATAGCAATGCAGGAACCACTTAAGATATTTTCAGTTATCTGAGAGTTACCCTTGAAAATGTATAACAGGCTCAAGGTGATAGTTCCGAGAATTTAGCAGCACTAGTTGCAGGACTTTGGAGCATTAACAGATACAAAGACTAGTTCAGGTGATACTGAGGCGATTGCTAGTTTTCAGATATTACAAGAAGGGTAGGTATTTCATGAAGCATGAGAGAAAAAAATAAATAAAAGAAGTGTCTTCTAAAAGAAGGAACACAAAACAAGAGAGGGAGGAGGAAGTGGAGAAAAAAGAAAGAGAAAGAGACAGAGAGGGAGAAAAGGTAGCATAAACACCCAATGGGTTAATTTTGCCCACTGCCCAGATAGATCTGATTCATTAAGACAGGAAAATTGCAATAGAGAAAATGTTTAATTCATGCAGGGCTGGCTGAACTCTTGGTGTTGTATATTCTATGAGTTTTGACAAAATGAATGACTTCTACCCATGATTATAATATACAAACTAGTTCTACGGCCCTAAAAATCTTCTGTGTTTTGCCTGTTCATCCTTCCCTCCCTCAACCTGGCAACCATGGATTTTTTTACTGGCTCCAGAATTTTGCCTTTTCCAGAATGCCATATACTTGGAATCATACTGAACATAATCTTCTTAGATTGGCTTGTTTCACTTAGTAATATGGATTTAAGTTTTATGCATGACTTATCATAGCTTTATGGCTTTATTTTTAAGAGCTGAATAATATTCCATTGTACCTCAGTTTGCTTATTCATTCATCTACTGAAGGACGTCTTGGTTGCTTTCAAGTTTTGGCACTTATGAATAAAGCTGCTATAAACACTTGTGTATGGGGCTGGGAGCAGTGATGCATGCCTGTAATCCAAGCACTTTGGGAAGCCAAGGTAGGCAGATCACAAGGTTGAGACCATCCTGGCCAACATGGTGAAACCCTGTCTCTACCAAAAATACAAAAATTAGCTGGGCATGGTGGCGGGCACTTGTAATCCCAGCTACTTGGGAGGCTGAGGCAGGAGAATCACTTGAACCCGGAAGGCAGAGGTTGCAGTGAGCTGAGATTGTGCCATTGCACTCCAGCCTGGGCAACAGAGTGAGACTCTGTCTCTAAAACAACAAAACAAACAAACAAACAAAATACAAAAACACTTGTGTATAGTTACTTACGCCCACATGTAAAAGTACATTTGTGTATAGATAGTTATGTCCACACATAAGAACTCTGATGAAAAAACCAAATAACTAAATAAATAATGAGACATTCCATGTTCATGGATAGGAGTACTCATCAATATGTCAGTTCTTCCTAGCTTGCTTTATAGATTAAACACAATTCCAGTAAAAACCCTAGCGAGTTATTTTGTAGATAACAACAGATTCTAAAATGTATATGGAGAGGAAAAAGTATCAGAATAGCCAACTGAAACTTTACTTCTTAGGATAGAGTGACCTCATCCAAGCTCCTTCAATGTCAGACTGGAAACTGGGAATCTTTCAGAGGCTTTTCAGTGTACTTTTTGTCACTTCTGTGTTTGTAAAAAGGCTGCAGTCACAAAAATAACAGCTAGTTTGATGTTTAATATGTACCAGGTATTGTGTTATGTACTTTATATACATTAGTATACCTCTTATAACAAATCAATGGATTAGGAAACCATTATTAGGGTCATATTAACAATGAGGAAACTGGGTCAGGCATGGTGGCTCACACCTGAAATTCCAGCTGCATTGGGAGGCCAAGGCAGGAGGATTACTTAAGCCCAGGAGTTTGAGACCAGCCTGGACAACATGATGAGACCTCCTCTTTACAAAAAATTGAAACATTAGCTGTGCATAGTGGTGTGTGCTTGTGGCCCCAGCTACTCAGGAGGCTAAGGCGGGAGGATTGCTTGAGTCTAGAAGGTCAAGGCTGCAGTGAGCCATGTTTGCACCACTGCACTATAGCATGAGTGAAAGAATGAGATCCTGTCTCAAACAAACAAACAAACAAACAAACAAACAATAAAGAAACTGAAGCTCAGCATTTAAGTCACAGAGTTACAGAGTTAGCAAGTAGTAAAGCTTAGGTTTGAACTTGTAGTAGAGCCTGGGTTTGAACCCAAGGAGTCTGGCTTCAGATCTTACATTCCTGAGCAATAGGCTGAGTTGATTCATATCACACAATATTACTTCTTTCAAAGGTAGCAGGTGGGAGAAGGAAGGAGTTAATAACAGGATTTCTCTCACTTAATAGTGTCTATGATTCCTCTAAGGGTTTCACTGAATAAAGGCACCTCTCTTATTGCAGTTTATTCATCATAAGCAGAATTTCATAATTTTTCTCCTTATTCTTATTTATATCATGTTGTACTAATCTGTAGAATATTAAAATCACTGTCATTTATTACTCCTGCCTCAAATTTTTTTTCTGAAATCATTGCTGCCATCTTAGAAAACTTACAAATTTATAGCAAAAAATAAATGAGAGTCGGTGGCTCAAGCCTGTAATCCCAGCACTTTGGGAGGCCGAGGCGGGTGGATCACGAGGTCAGGAGATCGAGACCATGCTGGCTAACAAGGTGAAACCCCTTCTGTACTAAAAAACAAAAAATTAGCTGGGTGCAGTGGTGGGCACCTGTAGTCCCAGCTACTCGTGAGGCTGAGGCAGGAGAATGGTGTGAACTCGGGAGGCGGAGCTTGCAGTGAGCCAAGATCGCGCCGCTGTACACCAGCTTGGGTGACAGAGCGAGACTCCATCTCAAAATAATAATAATAATAATAAACAAATAAATGAGAGTGTAAAGAGAGGTTCCTTTCATTCTATTCATTTTGACAGGTCACCTCCTTCTTGTTTAATTCTGTTTGAGATATCAAAGGCATTTATTCACAGCAATGCAAAAGGTATACACTGGGTTTTGAAATTCATTAATAAGTCTTCACCCTCCTTTGGTATAATGGCCCTTGGATTTTATCTTCTGCCATTCATCTATCCTCCAGCTACATGCTTGTTTTTCTCTTTTAATTTGCAGACTCAAAGGAGTGAGTCACAATTTTATCTCCTTTCCTATGAGTAGAATATTTTTGTCCATCCTTAATATAAAAAGTAAAAGTGATAAAGGCAAATTACATGCTTTGATTGTTTTGCATCTCTGCTTGAAAAATTATTTTTAAACCCTTCTTAAATGAAAAATGTTATTAACTAATTTAACACAGAGATTATTTTAAAGCCAGTACACTCCACCTTTCAGTAAATAATGATAAGAATGTTATTGCATGTTACTTGAACTAGTGTACCTTTACTTGGGTTAAAATAGCACACCACGTTTAAAGTAATCGGATGGGGATGATTATAAAGTTTAGAGCACTATATCTTCATGATTTTGAACTAATCTGAATTTCTATTCAAATTTTAATTCTTTCTCCTGCATTTTATGTCATTCTCATTGATTTTTACATGTAGATATGGAGTGGAAAGCCATTATGCTCAGATAAGTCTCATTCAAATTTATTTGATAATCATTGAGAATTGTGATGTTCGGGAACTCTAATGAGCACTTTGGATTCACTATTTCATTCAGCTTTCATAGAAATCCATGAAGGAAGGTATAGTCTTCCATTTTAGTTGAGCAAATTCGGTTTAAAAAAAGTTAAATTTTTTATTGGTGGTTAAATTTTTAACTAAATGGGAGAACTAGGGTGAATCATCTGGTGAAATTAAATCACACACTTACTGAATAGAGGGGGAAGGAGAGACAACTTTCAACATGCTGTGGGGAGGGACAGGACTTATGAAACCTTGGTAGAGAGTGGTGTTAGAGCAGGAACACTAGCTTCATTGATGGAGAGGCTCAGGGTGTATTTAACAGAAAATAAATAAACGTAAAAGAAGTTTAAAAGGACAAGTAAGAAAGTAGAGATGATTGTTATTTTAAATTTGGGACATATAATAGTTGAAGCGTTGAATGTCATTTGAATTCAACACTTCCTTTATCTCTCTCATCTAAAAAGGAAAAGGTGCCACTCACTGCTGCCATCAGCCTCTTAGTCCTTAACTTAATTAACTCATGACTATTATTTTGCCATTACTGTCAGCTGCATTGCTTTGCCAAAGCTTTGTCAGTGATATCTGCATCTTTAATTCCAATGGATATTTTCCAGACCTCAACTGAATTGAGCTTTTTCCATACTTACTACAATTAATTGCTCTTCTCTGATTTCGAAAAATTCTTTCCTGTGTTGCATCACTTCACATCCCCTAGTCTGAATCTTACTTCTTTTATTGCTCTTTCCTTTTCAGTTTCCTTTGCAATATCCTCCTCTTTGCCAAGTAACTATTACAGTTCTAAGGTTATATCCCATGCTCTTTTTGCTTCCTATTCTATGTCCTTAGACAGTCTCATTTGCACCAGTTTTTATTACTATCTACCCTTGATGAGTCACAGATGTCTGTCTCCAGTCCAGATTTCTCCTCTGAGCTCCAAACCAGAATTTCCAACTGCCTGCTCAACTCTACTGGGATATATTGAAAGCCTCCAAATTAATCATGTTCAAAACCATTCTCATCTGCTCTTCCTCCCTTCCTCAAACTCGATCCTCTTCTACTGTTCCCTACCTCAGCAAGTCACAACCATCTCCAAAACGACCCACCATCCCCTACCACATCTTATGGTAATGAATTATCAACAAGATATGTTAATTTGGCCTCCAGAATACATCATACTTCTGTCTGCTTTTCTTATTCTCCTCCCTTAGTGCCCTCATTCAAGTTATTATTACACCCTTTAGAAGCATTTTGAATAGTTGCCCAGTCATATGTACAACCATACTCTTTCTCCCTTTAGTCATTTTCCCACAGGACAAAGTTATCTTCTCAAATTTCAAATCTCATTATACTATCCACTGAGCACTTGTTTTTAAACTAAAGACAAAATTTCTAATGTATCTTAAAAGGCCCTGCATAGTCTAATCTTTCCAACTTCACTTCACTCTATTCTCTCCCTTCCTCTTTGAGCTCCAGCCACTGCAGATTTTTACACGCTCTGTGATTTTTCTCACCTCAGGGCCTTTGCACATGCACTTCTTATAGCCTTGAATAGTTCTCTTCTTTGATATCATAACTGAAGCCTCATTCCCAATTCAAATTTACTTACTCAAAGAAAACTTCCTAACCCCTCTGACTAGATCATCACTTATGTATTATGTACATATAGGATAATATCTATTGCTTTCATAGCAGATAGTGCATTTTATATGTATTATGTTGCTAATTTATGCAATGGCTTTCTTCCTCTTAGACTAGAAGCTCCATGAAGTTGAACTCATACTTGTTTTTGCTCATCATTGCAGCCCTCTAATTTGGCACGGTGCCTATTCTGTATAGCACGTAATGCATATTAAGTCTATGAATGAATAATTGAATGACTTAACATAGTCAAAGTTAGAAAGGTAACCTTTATCCTACAATTCCACTTGAGATACATAGTGTATACCCCTTACTACAGTAACTATTTTAAGAACAGACACTAGTTTTATCCACTCATATTTCCTGCAACTGTCTAAGTTTGAGTACAGTAAGTGCTTTGTTCACAGGTAAACTGAAATAATATAAGTGGAAATAAAACAACACAAACCAGTGTTTTGTTTAGATATTTAATGTTAAAAGCAATGTCTCCCCTACTGCCTAATCATAAGAATCACAAATTCTTGGGTGTTCTTCAGAGCAACAGAATCAGGGTAGAAAACCAGTGAATCTGAATCTGTAAATCTGAGAAACAGCGGTTTAATAGTGCTATATATTTATATTAATAATAGACATAGTGATTAGAAAAAACTGACATCGTTCACACATGTCTTAAGGGAAGCTATGTTCTTCTTTTCTTCTTACCTTCCTTTCTTTCTTCTATCCATTAGTTTATATTGATACAGTCCAAAAATAAAGTTTATTTATGACAGACCTACAAATGTTCTCTTCTTTTTTCCTGATTCATATGTACATTTTGTATTTTATCTGACCAATTTTTTGCTAAGGGCAGAGATATGTTTGTCCTCCTCTGTGATAAGGAAATTATTACTCATGTCTTGAGGTAGGAGAGACACTAGTTAAGGTTGAATGCTGATAGTGTGGTTGTACCTGATAATATATGATTTATCCTAATCCACAATGGTGCAATTGTGTCCCATACATTTTACTGCATATTCTTTTGGGAAATCTTAACCTAAGTACTACCATTTTTCTAGGTTCAACTGTGTGGGCTAAATGGTCTGGAAAATAGCTAGGCTGAGGAAGCCAGGTTAAGATTATTACAACAGCATTTTAGTGAAAAATTAGAGTGTCAAGGAAGAAACATGCTCAGACGAATAACCTCATATTGATTTTTTACAAAGGGACAAGTGGTTTCCAAGAGAAAGGGAGAGAGAATCTTGTCTTTTGTTTGGCATGTTAAAATGATGATAAATCAGATTAATAACATTCTAATGGTTCCAATTTTGGAACAATCAAGATTTCTGCCTGTGTGGGATTTGGGTTTAAACATTACAATTTCATATTTTAAAGATAGCCATCTTTATCTTTTGTAACTTAAAGATAGCCGTCTTTATTTCATGCTCAATTCACCACGTAGAGTTAGGATAAAAGTCAAGTCCCTGAAGAACACTAAGGACTTCTCCTTACCCAGTGCTTTTTTTCCATAAAGAAAATTGCAGTACAAAATCTCTTCCTATATTATCTAAGCTCTATTCAGAAAAGAAGAGTGCTGGCTGCTGGCAGAAGCCCATTATCCAGAAGGTGGCCTTACCAGGTTCAGGACAATACTCCCTCCCTGCGAACTGGCCTTTGTCAGTCATCAAAGCTGCCCTTAACTGTGAGAAAGTCTGTTTCCCACGTATGTGATTTATCTAAAGGGACACAAGTGGTCCCCCATTTCATTGAAATTTAGTTTGGGACCACTTTATGCTGAACAGAATTGAAAATGAGGAAGTAGAAAAGGTCTTTTCCAAAACCACTCACAAAGTCCATGCAATAATGTTATTGATGTTAACTTATGTAATATTTCCCAAACTAAATTTTCTAAAATAAGAGTTGCATAAGTACAAGTTCAAAAAAGAAGGAGTTCTTATACTGTGTTCCTTTTTTGAAGATGCATAGCAGTAAAGAAATATGTTGAACTTTATTTAACCTTGTATGTCAAAATCTTATTTGAGGAAACTAATCCCTTGCAGATTACCACAGACTGGGCGGTTTATAAGTAGCAGAGGTTGATTTCTCACAGCTTTGGAGGCTGGGAAATCCAAGATCAAGGTACTGGCGGATTTGGTAACGCCCAATTCCTGGTTCATACTAGGGCTGCCTGCTCTCTGTGTCCTCACATGGTGGAAGGGGTGAGGAATCTCTCTGGGGCCTCTTTTATAATGGCATTAATCCCATTCATGAAGCCTCCACCCTCATGACCTCATCACCTTCCAAAGACCTCACCTCCAAATACTATCTCAGTGGGGATTAGGCTTCAGCATATGAATTTCTGGGGAACACAATCACTCAGTCTACAGCATGTTAGGTTGAATGTTTGTTGTCTCAATATGAGGAAAGACACCTCATATTGAACCTTAATCATTACACAGTAACTTTTAGGGTGCCCATTCATATAGTTATTTACTAAAAATTGAATGAATAAATGAATGGATTAGTGGATGGATAGAGGATAGATGAACAAATAAATTAATGAATAAAAATAATCCATAGGCCCAACACAATGAATATAATTATCAAATATAATTATGGTAAAGATGGAATAAGAGTTCCTAAAGTCAGATGTTACTGGTAAGATTAACCAATATTTGCAATAGATACAAAAATTCTGTCAGATCATTCTTTTAATCAATATGTTAACCTCTTAGAGGATGCTTCTTCTGAATCTTTTTCCATTTTACCTCTATTTTCTTCAAATCCCTTCCCCTTCCCCAACCACGTCATCTGCTATACTACAAAACCTCTTTATATTTTGGCTGGGAGTGGTGGCCCATGCCTGTAATCCCAGCACTTTGGGAGGCCGAGATCGGCAGATACCTGAGGTCAGGAGTTTGAGACCAGCCTGGCCAAAATGGCAAAACCCCATCTTTACTAAAAATACAAAAAATTAGCTGGGTGTGGTGGTGTGCACCTGTAATCCCAGCCACTCAGGAGGCTGAGGCACAAGAATTGCTTGAACCCGGGAGGCAGAGGTTGCAGTGAGCCAAGATCACACCACTGCACTCCAGCCTGGGCAACCCAGCAAGACTCCATCTCAAAACAAACAAGCAAAAAAAAAAATGAACAAAAACCCCCCACAAACCTCTTTATATTTTTATCATACAACATAATAATTACATGTTAACTGCCCCCTGCATTAATAATTATTAATCTCTACCACGTACCAGGCACCAGGCACTCTTCTGAGCATTCCACACATATTATCTCATTCATTTCTGTATTCTGAGCAGTAGCTGCTATTATTTTCCTCATTTTATAGATGCAGGTACTGAAGAGTTAAGGGCCTCACTCTAAGCTGTGTAGCTAATAAGTGAGAAAGCTGAGATATCAGCCCAGATGTCTAACTGAAGAACCCTTAATTGTCACTACTCTTCTCTATTTATAATCTCTCCACACTGGAGAGGATGTTCCTCTTATTCTTTTTGTCTTTAAAAGCAAGGGCTTTTTTGCTCCTGTTGACTAACATTAGCTTCTCATATACATAAGTTCCTATAACAATGAATAAAATGAAACCCACATGCCTACATTGAAACTCCGACTATTATTGCATTACATAGTAACTATTGTTCATCATAATGATTACAAGACACTAAGAAAGGGATAAACAATGTTGAAAATATTCTGCCTCAGAAGACAGAATAGTCTATAACACAGTTAAACTATTCATTATGCTTTAAGATACCAGGGTTTAAAAGAAACAAATCCCCTTATAGTCTAAAAACACCCTATTTAGTAAAAAAAAAAAAATCCCATGTGTAGTCAGGTGTTAAAAATAAATAATGTCCTTTGAGTTCTGGATCCCAGTTTTATTATATTCTACTTACACAACTTGCATATCTACACAGAGTTTTTACTGTCAAAATTTATACTCAGTTATACTTCCTCGCTTCATGACGTCTCTTATTGGAATTTTAATAAAATATGGCCCTACATGAGCTACTCGATGAAGTGATTTAAACTAAAACATGTTTCCCATGCAACCCTAACATCCTCCGTCAGTTGATGGTTAGAGATTAATGTCACAATTAGTATGTGGGTATTTAATATGCCAACCTCCTGGGTTTGGAACACTCATAAAATGCTATGAGCTCAGCTGGGCATTTTGTTATCATAGATCACAAAGGTAATATAAACAGACATCTGCTGGGCCTCTGCCGAGACAGAGTTTGAAGATAGTCCTCTCATGGAGTAAGATTTTATTTAGGCTTAAAAAAACAAAAAAAAAAAGGCTTTCAAAGTGGAAACATTGTTTCAGCAGGTAAATATCACAATGCATTTTGTAGACTATTACATGATCATAAGAAAGTCAAATTGTGTACATTCACCATTCATGTTCTGAGTTCAATAAATTCCAAGCTGGTTGCAATTTGGTCTGGTTATTACACATGGGGAAAAATTTGCCTCTTCAAACCTCTTTTAAAATAGAAAGTGACACTAACCACATTTTTGGAATTTAAATACAACTAAGAGATAGCATAGACTGAGTATAGGAACAGTAGAAATTTATTGAATCTGTGAGAAGTTTTTAATTCAATTTTTCAGTAATGAAACTCCATGAATTGTGTACAAAAAAAGGTACAACCCTCAATCAATTGGACTTAAATTTGTGAGCTTGAAGAGGACTAAGTAAATGCTAGTCTTCACTAGTTAATTTTTTAGAAAACACTTATATATTTGGCAAAAACGTTTTAGATTTTCATGAAGCATGAGCTGACGTAGTTGACTATATTCAGCAACTTGATGCTTTACAGCTAGAAGACAAAACCCTTGAAGTAGCTAGGCTTGATGAATTTATAAGTTTAAGGAACAATGATAGAAGAAACTTGAAAATTTTATGATGAGTTCCCTAAGTTACACACACATGCTAGGCGGAGGTTGCAGTGAGCCTAGATCGCACCACTGCACTCCAGCCTGGGCGACAGAGTGAGGCTCTATCTTAAAAAAAAAAAAAAAATGTATATATATATATATATATATATATATATATATATAAAATATGTAATATAAATGTGAGAAATTCAAAGGAAAAAATACATTCATATTACAAAAAACTACAAATAAGAGTTCCCCTATTATCTACTTATAATTGTAGACATTAGAAAGTCATTAACCTGTTTATTAGTTACCAAAGTTATATTGCAAGGTTTGAAGTGTAAGCATTTTCCAAAGCTCTGTGATAAAACTTTAATCAGGTATATATGCCTTGTTATCTCTTGGAATGTTACAGACAGTGGTCATTTATAGTAGAGGTTGTTACTAGCTTTAATTTAGTACTGATATTTTGGTGAAAATATGTTTTAGGTTTGTAAAGTGGTTGAGTAAACAGTTCACAATCTGTCCTGACATTAAAGAGACAAAGACTATCCTTGGAAGGCTCAAAGATAGTAAGGGAAAAAGACTATTAAAAATAGAGTTGTATATTTAAATAGGTTACACTGTAGTTATTGTAAAAATATAATTTAAAAGTTGTAAAACAAAATGTTTATGGATTTTGAAGGTTGGTTCCTTTACTATTGTATTTTGTTGCTCCAAGGACAGTGCTTCATATGTCATAAATCTGCTTTTGCAAGCAGTTAGACTGAAAATAATGCTCCTAAACACATTTCAAGATTCGTGCTTTTTTTCTTTTTCTTTTTTTTTTTTTTTTTTGAGACAGAGTCTCGCTCTGTCGCCAGGCTGTGCAGTGGCGTGATCTCGGCTCACTGCAATCTCTGCCTCCCAGGTTCAAGCGATTCCCCTGCCTCAGCCTCCCGAGTAGCTGGGACTACAGGTGCACGCCACTGCGCCAGGCTAATTTTTTTGTATTTTAGTAGAGACGGGTTTCACCATATTGGCCAGGATGGTCTCCATCTCCTGACCTCGTGATCCGCCCGCCTCAGCCTCCCAAAGCGTTGGGATTACAGGCGTGAGCCACCGCGCCCGGTCTTGTGTTTCTTATATAATGGACAGATAAATAGTTACAGACCTTTTTGATGTGCTGCACTTTTGTTATCAAAAGACTAAAAATCCACTTGACTTGTGTGTCAGCCCTCAGTTCAGCAGTCTTACCTCAACGCTTTGAGACACTGAGGTGGATCTCTGTTTACAGAAACATCTATCAGGTGGCAAAGGCAAGGGTTGTGTTGCTTTCTTTAACATGGCTTTAGGATTCTACCATTATTTCTTTGAATAGTGAAGGGTCTGATTTCCTCTCTACAAGCATGTATAACTTTTGTTGACACCAATGAAATTGGGTAAATGGCTTTGGGAGAACAGAGATTGCTGACATTTATGTAGCATTATTTGGAATATAAAATAAATGTGTAAAGCTTACCAATTGGAAATTTTACCAAATGTACTCAAGATTTTTTAAAACCTTGAATTGGGTAGAAAAAAAATGATGGCCTTTTACTCATAGTACATCACTTTCTTTAGACATTTTTATTATTCCTCCCTTTCCCACCAAAAGCATTAATACAGAACTGGGAACCTTAACACCTACATACATACACATACATACACATGCTCTGTTACACATGTGTAATATTATTTAAATGTGGATTGTCTGTTTTGCGTACTAGTCACAGAGATTTACCTGACGTTGTTATAGTGATAAGGCCTATGAAGAAGGAAGTACAAGTTGTTCAGAGATCACATAGGACAGATAGTCAGCCAAGAACTGGCTGGTAAAGGAAGCACTTCTTAAAAAAGTAAAAACCTAAAAGTTGAGTTAGTTAGTCAACCAACAGGGAGAAGAAGAATGTTCTGGGAGAGAGGATGTTTGCAATTGTATTTATAAAGGTAAAAGATTGAGCTAGCAAGGTAAAAAGATGCCAGGTAGTTAAGAACATTTAAACAGTATGGCAGCTGGACATTGTTATAGGCATTAGAGTACCATGGAAGCATTTGAAGTTGTGTCATGTAGTTGCACTGCATTTTAGAAAGAGCATCTGGCAGTTGGGTGAAAACACTGGAAGTGGCAAGAGTGGAGGCCACCACAGTTTAAGAAGGTGTTTCAGGAATCTCTGCAAGAGAGATGAACAAGACAAGGGGCAGTGATGATGCAGAAAAGCAGATCATTAAAAAAAAATTTAGAATGAGAATGTAGAATAAACAAAACATGTTGAATAATTTGAAATGTGAAAGAAAAGAATACGCCAGGCACAGTGACTCATGCCCCTAATCCCAGCACTTCGGGAGGCAAAGGTGGGTGGATCCCTTGAGCCCAGGAGTTCAAGACCAGCGTGAAACACAGTCTCTACTAAAAATACAAAAAAAAATTAGCCAGGCATGGTGGTGCACACCCATAGTCCCAGGTACTTGGGAGGCTAAGGTGGATCACCTGAACCCGAGAAGTCGAGACTGAAGTGAGCAGTGATTGCCCAACTGAACTCCAGCCTGGGCAATAGGAGTGAAACTGTGTCAGTTAAAAAAAAAAAAAAAAGAAGAAGAAGAAGGATAAAAACTAATCCAGCTTAAATAACTAAGAGGAGGGATAGACTTGGAGGTAATAAATAGTGGTTTGTTTTTTTTTTTTTTTTTGAAATGTTGAGTTTTATTTGTCTGTATATGTTTGAAGAGACAGGAAGATATGCATGCAGGGATCAAGAGACTAACCTTGTCTAAAAAAAAATGAAGCCATGAAAGACTTAAGATTTCTCAGAATGTATAGAATGAGAAGAGAAGATGGCCTAGTGAATATTAGTAATACTAACATTTACACAATGATCAGGGAAGCTTGAGGAGAAGAAACATGAGATTCAGCAGAAAAACCAGGGAATTATGGCATTCTGGAAGTCAAGAGTAATAAGGACGCTCTCCAGGAGACCTCGGTAAACAATCATTGGCTAATTTTTTTATTAATTCACATTCATTCATTAAGTTTCTATTTTGTGTAAAGAGCAGGTGGGGAAAAACCCATATCTGGTCTCTGCTCTCAGGGAGTGCATAGTAATATGAAGAAATAAAAATAAGTTGAAAAATTACACACATAAATATTTCTTTGTAAACTTTAATAAGTTGTAAAGAGTAAAATTATGGGCTAGATGTGGTGGCTCATGTCTGTAATCCTAGCATTTTGGGAGGCCGAGAGGGACAGATCACTTGAGGCCAAGAGTTCGAGACCAGCCTGGCCAATATGTTAAAACCCCCTCTCTACTAAAAACACTAAAATTAGCTGGACATGGTGGTGTGTGCCTGTGGTTCCAGCTACTCAGGAGGCTGAGGCACAAAAATCACTTTAATCCAGGAGGTAGAGGTTGCAGTAAAGCCAAGATCAGAACACTTCACTGCAGCCTGGGTAACAGAGCAAGACTCTTCTTAAAAACAAAACAAAACAAAACAAAAAAAAACAAGAGTAAAATTATGAAGACCCGTAGAAGTACATACAGGCGAATGAACTTCTATTCCGTGAAGTTTGAGAACCTTGTCTTAAGAAGTGAACTCTAACCTAAGATTTGAAGAATGAGTAGGCGCCAACAGGGCTTGTAGGGGAGAGGGCAGTCCTGGCACATAATCCTGCAAGTGGACTTTGATCCTGCAAAGGACAGAACATGTGAAATCAGGGCCACTTTCCCTGAGTAACTGCACTCCTGAAACTTTATTTTAACCCAGAAATTATCTCAGCTTCTAGGAGTTTTAAAAAATAAAATTTAACTATTACTTTTAGGCAACCAGCTATGCAGGGAATGTAGACCTATATTGACAAGGATATTGAAGTTTGGGACATTTCCACGTCCCAGTGGAGGTCACTATGGAAAATATGGACTCATCATTTATTAATTTATGAAATACTTTTTAATTCTCTTACGTAGGTGAGATACTATGGGTATGAATGAATGCCACTTTATTCCTTTCAAAATCACCTTTATTATTTTTGTTATGATTTTTGGGAGCTAACATATATTGGCCCATTTTATGTGTTCAATTCAGTGATGTTTGGTAACTTACCAAGTTTTTACATTATTCTTTAATAAAATGTTTATACATTAATTCATTTTCCCTCCCTTGGATGACACGAGATGTTCTACCAGGCTTAACAATGAAATGTTGCCCTTGTGAAATCTTTCCTAGGGGCAACATTAGATATCTGGTTCTTTTCCCCAGGAATAAATAACACTTTTAAGCCTTCAATTTAAACCTAAAATGAAAAGGAAATCACAATTTTTAAACATAAAAGTCATATTTTAAATGTTCATTAAAAATCTTTTGCATACCATTCCTCTTCCTCATTTTAGTAAGAGTTAAGACAAGCTTACTCTGGTATCAGTTTTCAAAAGAAATTGCCGAGTCACAAGCTGAGGTTATGTTGGTCTGTGGTGGTTGTTTAATCTACTCTGTTCGTTCATAGGTAAGAAAAACTACCACCTAAAATAAACGACTGTTCAATGTCTCACAGCGGATTGGTGCTCAAACTGGGATTTAAAATTAAGTCCTCAAACATAGCCCACGCTTCCCTACAGTGACTGTGTCACCCATCCTAGGAGGGAAAATATAGTTCAGGGGAACTTTTTGCCACAGATTTACAATGAAATACCGGCTTAGTGATTTGCTGTTGGAGTCTAAGTTTATTGAAGCCTTCTAGGAGTGCAGAGTCCAAAGTATAACTGCATATGTGCTTCCACTACTATTTTAAGGTAAAGAACATCCTAGGAAAAACAGCAAAGCAGCATGGCTGTGGCTTTAGATCATCAAGCAGTTGTAGGGGAGAAAAGCAATATCTTTTCCTCATCTGTAGCTAGGTTCAAGGCTGAAACCCCTATAACAAAAGACAGGGTAGCAAGAGAAAGGCATGCAAATTTAGTAGAAGATTTATGTGACACAGGAGTCTTCAGAAATTAAGACCCAAAGAAGCAGGGAAAACTATGTGTTTTAATGCTTACATTGAATGAAGGCTGGACAGTTGATATGGTTTGGCTGTGTCCCCACCCAAATCACATCTTGAATTGTAGCTCCCATAATTCCTACGGTGTCGTGGGAAGGACCTCGTGGGAGGTAATTGAATCATGGGGGTGGGTTTTTCCCATGCTGTTCTCCTGGTAGTAAATAAGTCTCACGAGATGGTTTTATAAAGAGCAGTTCCCCTGCACATGCTCTCCTGCCTGCTGCCATGTGAGATGTGCCTTTGCTCCTCCTTAACCTTCTGCCATGACTGTGAGTGCTCCCCAGCTATGTGGAACTGTGAGTCCATTAAACGTCTTTTTCTTTATAAATTACCCAGTCTTGGGCATTTCTTCATAGCAGTATGAAAAATGGACTAGTACAACAGTCTTGTGGAAGTATGATTGAATGAAAGAGGATATGATCTAATGGTAATAAGCTATGGGGACGTTAGCAAGGCCTGTTCAAATTATTCTCGGTTTCTCGGTGTCTTTATTTCTTTCCTTTTGGTATAGGAAGTATCCCTCTAGAATGAGGGCTTTCTGACCTACTTTAAAGGAAGGTCAGAGAATTCTTTTATGGCTTGCTTCAGGGAAGAATGGTGAGAGAAAGTCAGAGAGATCTTCTTCTTTAAGCTGTCTTCTCAAATGCCAAAGTGCTATATTTTGTGGTACATGTCCTGAACCCTGTCACAGTATTATTTGTTCTTTTTTAAATATGAAAAGGAACACAATTGTGAAGATGAAATAAGCATTTGTGTCTGTTTTTTATACATTTATTTATTTATTTTTAAGACAGGGTCTCACTTTGTCTCCCAGGCTGAAGTGTGGTGGCACCATCATAGCTTACTACCACCTCAAACTCCTGGGCTCAAGCTATCCTCCCACCTCAGCCTCCCAAGTAGCTGAAGACAACAGGCACGTTCCAACATGCTTTGCTAAGTTTTTGTATTTTTAATAGAGACAGTGTCTTACTATGTTGCCCAGGCTGGTCTTGAACTCCTGGGCCCAAGCAATCCTCCCGCCTTGGCCTCCCAAAGTTCTGGGATTACAGGTGTGTGCCATTGCACCTGGCCTATGTACATTTTTATTATACAATTCTCTGCCTTTTGTTTCCAAAAGTGTAGGTGATTATGCTATTCTGCCACATGTATCATTGTAGTGCACACCATATGTGGGAATAAAAATGCTAAGTGATTATTTCTTGAATAGAGGCTAAGCATTTGTGGATTCAGGTGGACTGACAGACTCACGGACCTCTAACTCCTAGGGAAATTAAATTGTTTCTTTTGCTGGTAAATTATCTCACCTACCTTGTGCTTTATATAAATGTACACTTGTATACCAATATTTTAAGTGTAATAAAATATTCAGACTTTTAATGAATAAGATGATTGTAGCCCAGATTATCTTGTTCTTTGGCATTCAGGATAGGGTGCTTTATATGATAAACTTTCTTATGCTAACTCTAAGCGCAATCATCTAGTTCTTTTCTCCCAGGTAAGGCTTTTAATGTATTAAACATAAATATTCTCCATTAATTTTGATATTGTAATGCAATTAATACTTGATCATTTTTATTTTTCAGAGGAGAAAACTTACAGCAGTATACTTTGAAAAAACAATTTTCAATTACATATGTGTGCTTGGTTTTGTCCCAAACTGACCACTTTAGAAAATATAAATGTCTTTCACATAAAATACTGGCTTTGCCTGTGTCTCATATGTTATTCCTTATCTGAAAGGTGTAATAATTAGAAGACCATTACTGTCCCCCATGAATTAAATTAGGGTCTTTTTATTTCCTTTTTCTTTCATTTGACTCTATTTATTACTTAACTAGTGTGACAAATGTGGCTTAAAATAAAAACGTTGCTATTATTAATGAAAAATGTGCTGGTCGCAGCAGTGGTGATAAAGAAAAATGTGACAGAGCACTCATTTTCCTCTTGATTTGGTGGAGTGGTCGCTGGGAAAAAGTTGTAATAAACAGAATAATGGAATGGTTAATGTTTTAGCAGAATGGGATTTTACTTTGATTTGCTGAAAAGATATACATTAATAAGCAGTCAATTGATTACAACTCACAAAACACAGTTGTCAGGCATCAAATTATATTTCTCCTACTAGTCTCTGTGAGCAAATCAAGATTTTAAACACAATACAGATAACTGAAAGACACACTTTACAAAATTAATAATTACTTAGACTAAAACAAAATGACCAAAAAAGTAAGAAGATCCTAAAAGAACGATGTATCTGTGTAACACTACAAATTTGGAGCAGCTTCAGTAGCTTCCTTAATCATAAACTAAACTTGACTAAAATATTACATATTATGTTTTCAGAATGTTATAATATACTACTGAGTTAAAGTCAAAAAATATACTATGATTCTTAACAAGATTTTATTATTTGTTTCACTAAAGTTATTGGTCATCTAGATGTATTGTTTTTAATATTTGGAGGGAAAAACCTGTGATGTAAGTGTGCCCCCATGTGGCTATAGATTGGTTTGTAAGAATGTCTGAAGCATTAATGGAAAGGGGGCTTCAATTGGTTATATTAATATTATCTTGTTAATATTTACTCCATCCCAAGCACAGAGTTGTTTCTCCTGTTTTTAAAGTTTTTCTAAGATACAGGATTCTCAGTTTCTTCCATAATTCTTACAATCATATTATTTTTAGTAGTCATACATTTTAACCAATAGGTCTGCTTCTAATTCTGAAGTGTATAACATAGTAAAGACACATAAATCAACACAAAAGACGTATGTTTCCTCATGTCTAAAGTATTTGGTTAAGTCAAGCCTAAGTCATTCTCTCCAAGTGTTTAAAAATACATTTTATAAGTAAATAGGAAGACGTATCTGGTAGGAAATTGGTATTAGGACAGGCCTATGGCCTGAGAAAATAGTTTGCTATTTATGTGATATTTTAATAAGACTATTATTAAGTCTATTATTAAGAGTATATTTGTTCATAATTTTTTTTAACCAATAGGATATTGGATATTCATAGTCAATGTTGGCGATTCCACAGAATTTGAAACCCCTTTTCCATACAGCATCTTTGTGGAGTTGATTGCTTCCATAATATATATGTGTGTGTGTGTGTGTGTGTGTGTGTGTGTGTGTGTGTGTGTGTGTATTTTATATATATATATTTTTTTTTTTTTTTGAGACAGAGTCTCACTCTGTCACCCAGGCTGGAGTGCAGTGGCGCAATCTTGGCTCACTGTGACCTCCACCTCCAGAGTTCAAGCGATTTTCCTGCCTCAGCCTCCCAAGTAGCTGGAATTACAGGTGTGCGTCACCATGCCCAACTAATTTTTTTGTATTTTTAGTAGAGACGGGGTTTTGCCATATTGGCCAGGCTGGTCTGAAACTCCTGACCTCAGGTGATCTGCCCACCTCGGCCTTCCAAAGTGCTGGGATTGCAGGCGTGAGCCACCACTCCCGGCCACTTCCATATTTTGACACAAAAGTATATCTTTATTTAACTCACTAGTCACTAATCCCAGGATGCAAAGTCTAACTTATTGGCCAGTTGATGCTTCTGGAAAATTGCTGTGAGGGTTGGTTGTTAATGACCCCACTGTATATAAGCCCACATCTTGTTTCTGAGGTAGTGCAGTGTGTTGGCATTATAATCATGTTTGAGCGAGTTTGAATGGCATTCATTTTTGTTTGTTTGTTTGAGCATGTGACTGAGCAGCAACCGCAAAAAGCAAGGGCACCGACGGCACAGATAGAAGCCTGAGCCTCAGCTTGAAATGCATGTTTTCATTTTAACCAACATTACTGTTCTCAGTGGAAGTTTCTTCAGGGTAGAAGCAAACTTTTCCATATTTTATTTTGTTATATTTAAAAACTAGCCCCAAATGCTGTGCTTCTACTCTAACTTTTTGTATTAAACTTTTAAAAGTGAAATCTGAAATAATTAAATTTTAAAGGTTGCAATCATTAAAGAATTAATACAAACATCTATTTAATTTTTTTCTTTACTAAAAATTCTCTTTTCTTAATTAGAATTCATTATTTAGCATGGCAATATTTGTGATGATGAAGAAAACTTCTTTAAGTGAAATCATAATATTGGGAGGAATTTAACGGTTTTCTTTTTAAAAATAATTCAAGATAACTTCCATTTTCATTTTGGTCATTTAACGTACTGTTTAATGTTCTCAGAGAACAATATTTCAGAAGTAAATATTTATGCCTGTCACTTTTGTGCACAGGGCAAAATGAGTTATGTACTTTGTTTGTTTGAGATGGAGTCTCGCTCTGTCACCAGGCTGGAGTGCAGTGGCATGATCTCAGCTCACTGCAACCTCCCCACCTTCCAAGTTCAAGTGATTCTCCTGCCTCAGCCTCCCAAGCAGCTGGGACTACAGGCATGCACCACCACACCCAGCTAATTTTTGTATTTTTAGTAGATACTTGGTGGTTCACATCTGTAATCCCAGCACTTTGGGAGGCTGAGGCGGGCAGATCATGAGGTCAAGAGTTATGTACTTCTGAAAAGCAAACTGAACCATTTCTGACCCCACCCTTTCCACCTACATTGTCTAAAAAATGAATCCTAAACTTAAGTCAGTAACATTTCAAATGATATATTTTCCTTTATGGAAGAGTCTCTTCACACTTATGGAAGAAAACAGGTTGATGTAGAGTGGGAAGGGAGGAAAGACAAAGCGATGAATGAAATATAGTATTTGTAATATTTATTTAAAATCTCATAATATTGAACGTCTTCTAGCAAAACGTTGGATGGTTGTCATACAGATAGTGATTCTTAGCTAGAAAACTTCATGGAATGCCTGAACTAAATGATTGCTCATGCTTTTGTTCATGTGTGCTTGATATCTTGGAATTTCAAATTAATTTTTTAATATAATTTTTAAAATTTGACTGTATTTGTTGATAATTGCTCTTTGTTTTTGGGAAAAAAAGCCACAGGCACTTAAGTGAAGATTATTCATTGAGTTATGATTATCTTTATGTGTTTAGAAGGAAAATACATCATAGAAAAATGAAGTAGCAACACTGAGAGACAGAATTATCTAAATCCACCTAAACCGCAGTTTGGCAAATTGTTTAACTTATCTTCCCTGCAACTCACCTAGCTTATAAGAATTTAATTAAATATTTTTAAGAGTCCTAGCTGACCTAATATTCTGACTATATATCATTTTCCAGAAGTATAGAAGGATAAATGATAGTGAGACATGCTTTTTTTTTTTAGATGGAGTCTCACTCTGTTGCCCAAGCTGGAGTGCAGTGGCGTGATCTCAGTTCACCGCAACCTCTACCTCCTGGGTTCAAGCAATTCTCCTACCTCAGCCTCCCGAGTAGCTGGGACTACAGGTGCATGCCACCACACCCAGCTAATTTTTGTATTTTTAGTAGAGATGGGGTTTCACCATGTTGGTCAGGGTGGTCTTGATCTCTTGACCTCATGATCCACCGGCCTTGGCCTCCCAAAGTGCTGGGATAGGCATGAGCCACTGCTCCTGGCCCAGACATGCTTTAAAAGTATGTTTTGCAGGGCCAGACATGGTGGCTCACGCCCGTAATCCCAGCACTTTGGAAGGCCAAGGTGGGTGGATCATTTGAGGTCAGGAGTTTGAGACCAGCCTAATCAACATAGTGAAACCTTGTCTCCACTAAAAATACAAAAATAAGCCGGGCAGTAGTGGTGTGCACCTATAATCCCAGCTACTCCGGAGGCTGAGGTGGGAGAATCACTTGAGCCTGGGAGGCAGAGGTTTCAGTGAGCTGAGATTGGGCCACTGGTCTCCACTCTGAGCAAGAGTGAGAACCTGTCTCAAAAAAAAAAAAAAAAAAAAAAAAAAAAGTATTGCAAATGGTAGACAATTTATAAAAAGAAAAAAATCACCTGTAATCTTCATAGATAACTTGATTTAGTTTGTAAAGCACCAACTTGGTTTTTTAAAAAGGAAGACTTTGACCATTAGAATAAAATATGATAGTCAGAATGGACCATGCAGAACCAAGGGAGGAGCTCAACATTTACCTTCTAAAAATCTGCTTGTTCTTCCTTCCCACTTCTTATTCACAAAACAAAAAACATATGAGTGCTAAAACATTAAATTATTTTTCTCTCTTGAAGTCCAGAGTTGTCATCCCAAAGCCCATGTGGTCGTCAGTTGTCATAATGTTCCATGCCAATCTGGAATAAAATGTGGGGAATGGGCGTTCCATTAAAAACTATTATTCACTTATAAAGCCTTACATTGTGTATGTGACCATATACTTCCCCCTCTCTTCAACCAGGGTAGTGCAAAAAAAAAAAATTAATAAATTATTGAAATTTTCAACTCCAAGAGTAAATTCAGCATTAATGATTTTTTTAAAGAAAATAATGTAGGAGATAAAATTGAATATATTTATTTTGCAAATGTAATTTCATATTAACAAAGAAATGTATAGAGAACATTTCATTTGCAGCTGCCTAACAGAGGGGTAATTGACTAATAAATGCCTCATGCCCTTTTAAAATAGACTTTCCAGGCCAAGAGCCGTGGCTCATGCCTGTAATTCCAGGGCTTTGAGAGGCCGAGAAGAGAGGATCACCTGAGGCCAGGAGTTCAAGCCAGGCTGGGCAACATAGTGAGACACTGTTACTATAAAAAAAACTCACAAAAAACAAAAAACTTAGCTGGGCATGGTGGCATGCATGTGTAGACCTAGCTACTCAGGAGGTTGTGGTGAGAGGATCGCTTGAGCTGAGGAGTTAGAAGCCATAGTGAGCTATGGTTGTGCCACTGTACTCCAGTCTGGGCAACACAGTGAGACCCTGTCTCTTAAAAAAAAAAAAGTCTCTACAGTACTGGCATGGCTACATTATCAACAAAAATGAATGCCTCTCAAAATCTGGCCAATGGAAATAATATTATTCCATATTTCTTCATTATTCTATGATTACAAATAGTCTGCATGTAGAGGTTTATTTCCAAGAAAATCCAGTGTCATTGATATGTACTGTTACAGTTACCAAAATATATCAGTTTTTAGATATAAGGACATCAAAGACACTCCCATTCCCCATGTTCCAAAGAAATTTAAACTTATCCAGATATAGATGATAACACATAAATATTTTTGTGGGAAAACTTTTTGCTTTACAATGCTAGTTATATGTCTAGATAAGTTAATGTCTATTCAAACTAAACACGTCATACAGCACCTTTTCTTTTATATTTTGAAAAGCATACATGAGCAAGAGTGGAAGAGAAAATAGTTGATTAGAAAAGCCCACAGTCTTTTAGATTCTCTTTGATTATTATATCTGTAACTGCGTCAAACACAAACTTGACATTTTGGGTGTCAGTAGCACAGGTCATGTGGGAATAAATTTCCTTATCTTCTTTTTTTAAATTCAGGTCTAGAAACTGGTTCTTGATGTAGTTTCCTGCATCTTCAAATGTATTTGGCCCTTGTTAAACAAAATATTTGAAGAAGTAAAGATTAATCATATGTTACAAAGAATAGGCTATAAATAATATCAGCAAATTTTAGGATTTTACTTTGATATACAAAGTATTGCAAAATCATAAAGGCAACGGTCAATTATCAGGGTGCTGGGAACTATGCTCACCCCTTTGGGAGCTCCCGGTGGCTAAAAGGTAAACTTTGCATCAAAAAGCTCAAAATACAGTAGAAATCCCAAAATATTTATAAAACAAAGTGAGTGATACAAACTTACGTATACATCAAACACTGTGTGTGTGTTTGTGGGTATGGGTATGGGTGTTTTTATACAAATTAAAAGAGAAAAAGAATGGAAAAGGTAGATGACTAAGGCACAGAAGGAGATGGTATTTGAGCTGGACTTTGAGAGGTAGCTACAACAGAGAAAAGTAAGTGAAAACAAAAAAGTGAAAGTGAGAATTGTAGCACTAGACTTGAGGGTAGGGTCGGGAAACAGACTGAGCTTTGAAGAATCTACTTCGATAGAAATGAAAGATTTTTGTAGAGGAATTGTAGGAAATCAAGTAGAATAGATGTTATGGGCTAGATTATAGACTATGTTACTAACAAAACAAAGGAGTTAGGATGCGATATAAAAGGCTATAGAGAGGTACTCTTCACTGATGTGTTATATAGCAGTAATACAATGAAGGCTCTGCTTGAGAAACTTTAGTCCAATAGCAGGATGTGCAATGAATCAGTTGAGAAAAGGCAGAAATAAAACAAGTAGGCTAAAAAATACAGGACTACTAAAAATGACCTGTTGATGGGCTTTATAACAGAATATGCTTTAAGGGGACTTGACACAGAATAGAGCAGTAGCATAAAGACTTTCTAAAAAATAAGTCTTTGTTTCCTACTTTATTGTAACTAGAAACAAAATTCCTTGAAGGACAAGCTTTAAAGCCATATAACATGGCTAAAATCCAAAACACTGGCAATACCAAATTCTGGTAAGTGCATGGAGTTATAGGAGTTAATTGCTTGTGGAAATGCAAAATAGTGCAGTCACTTTGAAAGGCAATTTGGCAGTTTCTTACAAAGCTAAAGATAGTCTTACCATACAATCCAGCAATCACACTTCTAGGCATTTACCTAGAAACTTATGTCTACACAGAAGCTTGCACATGGATGTTTATAGCATCTTTTTCCATAATTGCCAAAAATTGAGAGGAACCAAGATGTCCTTCTGTAGCTGAAAGGATAAACTGTGGTTCGTTTAAGGAACAGAATATTAATTTAGGAATAAAAAAATTAGCTATCAATCCATAAAAAGACATGGAGGAAACTTAAATGCATATTGCAAATGAAAGAAGACAGTAAGAAAATGCTACATGTCATATGATTCCAGTTATATTACATTCTGGAAAAGGCAAAAGGATAGAAACAATAAAAAGATCAGTGGTTGCCAGGAGTGTGAGGAGGGAGGAGGCATGAATGGGGGAACACAGGGGATTTTTAAGGCAGCGAAGCTGTTCTGTATAACACTGTAATGCTGGATACATGACCTGCATGTGGCAAAACACATAGAACTGTGCAACATAAAGAGTGAACCCTAATTAAATGATGGACTTGGCCGGGGACGGTGGCTCATGCCTGTAATCCTAACACTTTGGGAGGGCGGATGGATCATCTGAGGTCAGGAGTTCAAGACCAGCCTGGCCAACATGGTGAAATCCCGTCTCTACTAAAAGTACAATAATTAGCCGGGCGTGGTGGCGTGCACCTGTAATCCCAGCTACTCGGGAGGCCAAGGCAGAAGAATAGCTTGAGCCCAGGAGGCAGATGTAGCAGGGAGCTGAGATCGTGCCACTGCACTCCAGCCTGGGCAACAGGGTGAGACTCCATCTCAAGAAAAAAAAAAAGATGGACTTTAGTTAATAATGTAAAATGTGTTAATATCAATTCATCAATATAATTCATCAATTGTAACATATGTACCACACCAAAGCAGTTCTCTAATAATAGAGAAACTGTAGGAGGGGATGGGAAAGAAAGTACATGGGAACTCTTTGTACTTTCTGTTGAAACATTTCATTTCTCTGTACACTAGAAACTGCTCTAAGAAATAAGTCCTGTTATATATATAATATAAAACCTTTAATTATGAGTTTATATTTAATTAGTAATCAATATATTTGAATATTATTTGTAATATGCAAAATATATTATTATACTTAATCACATGATAAATGTATGAATATATTATAAATATTTATAATTATAGAAAAAAGATATAAGCCCTAATTGTAGGTTGACCAATGTAAGTATTTGTTTTGATAAAATGCCATGGTCCTAGTAACATCTGGGCAACCTTACGCACCTAAGTGGTAAAACTGGATTTGTATTTTTGTTTAAATCATAAATATGGCTGGGTGCAATGGCTCACACCTGTAATCCCAGCACTTTGGGACGCCAAGGTGGACAGATCACCTGAGGTCAAGAGTTCAAGACCAGCCTTGGCAAACATGGTGAAACCCCATTACTACTGAAAATACGAAAATTAACTGGGTGTTGTGGCGTGCACCAGTCGTCCCAGCCACTCGGGAGGCTGAAGCAGGGGAATCATTTGAACCCACGAGGCAAAGGCTACAGCCTGAGCGACAGAGCGAGACTCCATCTCAAAAAAGAAAAATAAATATTTTTCTTATGTAATTTTATTACCAATGGAATATCCAACTATTTACAAAAATAAATAAATAAATAAATAAAATTCTTTCTGAAGGAGAAACAGCCCTTCTGTGGGATTTCACACTTACAATCGCTGACTAACAGGATTAGCACTAAAATTCCAGGATCCACGAAAACCGGAAAATGAAGATGTCATTATTCATTCTCAAATTCATTCATGCTATATCTCTAGAAACAACTCAGAGATTGAAGAGCCTCTGAGATCTACTACAGCATTACAAGGTTTCAGTAGGAGATACATTAAAAATGCCAATTTCGAATAAGATTTGCATTCCTGTTATAATTTTGAAGACAATTCAGGTTCCAATGTCATTTGATAAAGTCTATAGAGTAGCAACCCTGGTCCATCTAACCCCTTCCAGTTTATTTTATTAGGGTTTTGCTTTAATGTACACAATGTAGAGAGGGTTCTTCTTTATTTGTAAGATTTTTTTTCCAGTTTGGATCATAAAGATAACTCAAAAATGATCATAAGCCTCATCCTCATAAGTATTAAATGTCAAGATCCAGATAGGAAATATATATTTATACAAAAATTTATTTCTATGGAACTAAAAGAAAAAAATCTTACCAGTGTATTCTGGAAAGCAGATACTAAGATGCACCTTGGTTACCTTTTCTTGAAAGATATCTTTTTTGTTGAGGAACAGGACAATGGAGGTTGTTGAAAAATACTTGTGATTACAGATACTGTTGAACAGGTGAAGGCTTTCATGCATTCTATTCTGTTAGGTATCAGAAATGAGAATGGGTAGGATTATTATTTGCAAAATGTGAATGTTGAGCATCATGAACAAGGATCTAGAACTAACATAAATCTTTGGCAAACCTTCATGAGTTGGGCAATGTGGTAGTACTACTGAAAAGCACAAAGATTACTTTTAACCCTGGCTTTGTTTTTCCTTTAGACTTACCACTTCTTCGTCTTCCACGAGGACCATGTCATAGGCACTAAGTGCAGCACAAAATATAATGCATGTAACTCCTTCAAAGCAGTGAATCCACTTCTTTCTCTCAGATCTCTGTCCACCTACATCAAACATCCTTTAAGAAAACATCAAATGAATAATAAATCTTGCAAATATCCTCCAAAATGTGCATTGAGGTTAACATTTAGAGGTATAAATGGGTGATCCCCTATCTTCAAAAGGTATTCTTTTGACTTTTATTGATTATAAAATTAAATTTATTTGGTCAAATGGCTGCTCAAGGACTACAGAGAAAAAACAGTCTTTTAAAATTGTCTCCGTGCAAACTAGAATAAAATAATTTACACACTGACTTTGAGAAACTGGGAAGTTTAAAAGAGTTTAGAGTTTTGGTAAAACATTCATTAGCCACAGAAGATTTTGATAAAAGTTTAGACATATTCTCTTGAATGAAAAGAAACTGCAAGAAGATTGGAAGTTACTGTAGTTCTGATGTTATGATTCTTGCCTATTTTCTTAAGTCTTTCTACATTCATTTACTCAAACAATTATTGTTTGCATTCTATGTACTAGACACTGTGCTAGGTCTACTAGCACAAAGATGAAAAGATATGGTCCCTATCTTCGAAGAACGTTCTGTCTTGTAGAGAAAAAAACAAATAAGTTACTATAATATTATGTAAAAAATATTCTAATATACAAGGTAAAATGTGAGCATACAGAAAGACTTAAGTTAGCCTGAGGGATCATGACACTTAGAGAAGGTGTTTGAAAACTCAGCCTTTCCTCTACTTTTATATTTTGGTAAGAGATCATTGTGGATCGAGGACTCAATTTTAAAAACTAGGAGCTAGGCAGTAAAAAGTTAGGTTGATATCAAAGGAGCTGTTTAATGTTTGCTGCCTCAGGGCTTTCACACACAGTCTCTTTCCTTTTCCTGTGACAAAGATTTCCTTCTTCCTTCCAAGGTTGCTTTTTTTCTCAACTATGAAGTCTTAGCATCAATATCTCCTCCATAAAGAAGCCTCCTGGAGCGTCCATTTAAATTACACCTCTCTCCACCCTCCATTTACCTTCTATAGCATCACTTTCTTTCCTTTATGGTAATCATCAATATCTATCATCTCCCTAATACAATAGCAGCCTCATGAGGTCAGGAACGTTATCTGTATTAGTAACTGCTGTATTCCTAGTTCCTGGCACCATGCCCAACACATAACAGGCATGCAAAAAATATTTGCTAAGTAAACGAATAGATTCCATGTTAACTGAATAGAGAGGCAGGAAACACAGCAAACATGCTATGTTCTCTCATGCCTTGATAACTTACACATGTTTTCTATAAATATGTGTAAGTTATCAAGGCATGAGAGAACATAGCATGTTTGGGGTAAGCAAGCAATTTATAGTTTTGGGAACATAAAGAATAAGGTAAAAACACTGAGCTATATGGCCTAATAATTATCAATTTATCCACTCATTCATCCTTTATTCAATAAATATTTACTAAGCACTTATTATATGCCAGGCACCAAGGATTCAGCCTTAAGAAGCTTTTAAACTGGTGGTGATGGTGGTAGTGATTGGTGTGTGTGTTTCAAAATAGACTTTAGATATCCTATAGGATATCCAAAATGGATTCAGATATCCTATATGGATATCTGAAAATAGACTTAATAGGAAATATCCATATGAAAATAGACTTCAGATATCCATATAGGAAGTGTAGGGGGTGGGTTGTCATTTGAAATGGAGTGATCAGGAGTTGTAGAAGATAGCAGAAGTGTAAAAACCTAAGGAGATGAGGGGTTGAGCCAAATGGATATCTGGAGCAAACAATGTTATAAGCAAAGGTGACAGAGGAAACAGCAAGAGCAAAGTACTTCAGGAGTGAGCCTCATGTGATCAGCCAGCAGTGGATTTACTGGTCCTTTCATGTTACATGAGAAATGTAGATTTCATATTGCAGACTATAGAAGACTATGGGTGATTTTTAGATAGGGAATTGACATTTTTTGTTTGTTTGTTGTTGTGTTAGATCACTTTGATCTGAGTCCAGAAGTTGGGCTTAATGAGGAAGAGATTAGAAGCAAAGAAATAAAGTATGGGGCTATCATAATAGTTTACAACCAAGGTATTAAGTACCAAAAAGCATCCAAGTTGTACAGACTTCACGGGTAATAGTTATATTTGGAGTAATAAATGTCTACCGATCTGATTATTGAAAATAATCAAAAGTACAATATATTATACTTCGTATTTCACATATGAACCAAGTAAAGATATATATAACTAATATTCCCCAAATAATGTACTAATGCAAAATCACTCCATTAAGCAGTAGACTAAAAGAGAAGATGCTCACAATATTGAAGATAATGGTTAAGAGTTCAATAGTTAATAGTGTGGAAATTTAAATTTGGTGTGTATAAAGAATATTATATGTGCTACTAATTACCAAATTGCAGTTTCAGGCTTGCAAAATAAATGGAGGAAGGGGACCAAAGTTTGACTTTACGGTTATATTATGTGAAAATTAACCAATACATTTAATTTTTAAAAATTAAACAACATTCTTACAGAAACAAGGATGATAAATATGCATTCAGAAATTTAAATTGTTCATGAACTGTTTTGTTAGTCCATAAAAACAACCTTAGTGTTTTTCAGACTTCGTAAACTGGAGTTTTATTTCTTTCTTTGTTGAAATTACTTTTAAAGTATAAATTACATTTAAACTATAAAATGTGGTGGAAATAGAAATAGTTGAGATCATGACTTTCATGTTCCACATCACCAGTTGTAATGGATTAATCTTAATTTAACACACCTAATAAGAGTTTACTATTTGTCGGGTATATAAGCACCTTACAGCAATTAACTCATTTAAACCTCTTCAGGAACTTGCAAGGTAGGTAAGTTTAGCATTCTTATTTTTTCAGAGGGACCCTTAAGCAAATTGCCTAAGAATTATTATTTCAGCTGATATTTGTTGAGGCTGCTATGTACCTGGCTGGCACCACGATAGGTTCGATAGATTCCGTGGCTATGATAGCTATGCTGTGAAAGTTGTTAACTTGCTAAGTCTATTTACTTAGAACAGAGGTGCACAACTAGTACTAGTGCCTGCAGTTGGCTCTCAAACCTTCACTAGTGGACAGAAATTATCTTCACTGTGGAGTCTATCCTTCTCCCAGGCCAGGCAGTAGTTCTATGTTGTCAAACAGGTCACTGGGCAAAAAAATTAAACTCCCTTCTTCTGGGAGGTTTCGTTCTTTTCTTTTAATGAAGATAATCACCTAATGCATTTCAGATGTAGTACATATAGGCTCCATTTGGTCATATATGAATATATTGTGGATCACTTTTTGGCAAAGAATTGTGATGCTGTGATTGAACAATGATGATTAACTTATGGATTTGGGGGACCTGAGGGTAGAGTATACATTACTAGGTTTAAACTCCTGGTGGGCTTTTCAAACTGAAACCACCCTTTCTAACCCCACCCACGGGGTTTTTAACCCATAAGGATTTCCATAGTCCTAATCTCTTTCACTCTAATCCCCACCTCAGGGGGGGAAAATAAAAAACCCCTTTCCATTGCTTAATGACAAACCAGTCATGGAGCCAAGACAAAGAGTAATGGAATGTTTGTGCTAAGGGAGCCCGATGTGCCATTTCCACAGCAGTGATGGCAGGGCTGTAGGAATCGAATTCTAGGATGCCTCAGGTAAGTTTTCTCCACTAAGCAGAACTTGCATTAGTCTTGTCAACCTTTGTAGTCTCCTTTTCCCTGCTTTTATGCCCAATTATGCCATTTTCTTTCATTCCGATTGATATTTGTATTCTTTTAGTCACATTTTCAATTAGATTATATATTGTTAGATTCTATTCACATCTTAAAAGTCTGAGAAACTCCTCTCTTTAAGGTGACTTTGTAATTGCTCAGATTTCCTGCAGAGTGACCAAATATTTTACCTCAGAGAAAAATCATCTTATTTCTCTCATGCTAATAGTTTTGTTTTTTGGTGTGTGGGGGGTTAATGATAAAAATAATAGTAGGAATTAAGATATGGGAACTCTAATTTGTGGGTTCTATGGGGGACATAAACTCCCCAGGAGGAGGAAAAAAAGGGAGCCTCATATACTTCCTACATATTTTATTTTCTACAACATAATGTTTTCAAATGGCTTTTCTCCAAATCTGAAACATCTGAAGCATCTCTGAGATGAAAATCAGAGTAACAGCAAACTCAATGGCTATGTCTTAATTTGCTCTGATGAGTCAGCTTCTTTGCAGCCTACTAATGATGTGTTAACAGGTGTAAGAGGTAGCTATTCTCCTCTTCTGATAAATATGTACAACTGTGATAAGTAACAATTGCAGGAATAATACCTTACGGTTGAATAAAAGTCATATTGGAATTGTGTGCTCTCCCTGAAAAATAAATTCTAATCCATGGCCTTATGTTCCTCATAACAATTCTTTGAAGGGAAAACAGTATTTACCCATTTCTTTACCAAAATGAAGAAACTGGCCTTTGAGAGGCTAAGGTGGTTTGTTCCTAAACTCACAATTAGTAAAGGATAGAACTCACGTACTATGACCTTTAGCCCAGTGCTCTTTCAGCATATCATGCAGCTTCTAATAAACATGTTTTAAGTGGCTTGGCTTTCTCCCAAGGAAGAGAGGACAAAGATTGCTCAGTCTTAGCATTTTGTTCATATAGATAAAATGGATTCTGAAAGTCTCTCTTAGGTTGAATGCTTATAATCGTCTCATTTTATGACTCATTTGATAAACAATATTTTTGTGTGTGCAGATTGACGTAGGAGACATAGGTCCAGGGAGCACTGCACATTTCTCTAATGCCATCTGCTATTATTGAACTGAAATGCTCATTAGCAAATCAGATCAATAGCCAGAGTTTTGTTTTTGTATTGATTCTCTTGGACACTATGTTAGCTCTAAGACTAGTTACATTTTGTTTTGCTAATATTGTAGTCATTTATTTTTCATACTTTTCAGTTTTAGCTTTTCCCCAAATTTTAATTTAGTCCTTATTTTATGGAATTGTAAAGTATTACTACCTATGAAAACAATTTGGAGATCCCCAAAGTGAAGTAATTGCTTATATTTTTGGCCGAAGGAATATTCTCCCTTATGCATAAAAATGAAATCAAAACAAAAAGCTTTATTGTGACCATTCTGTGAGAGACAAAATTAAAATCAGAGAAAACATGTATATTTGCTGCCCGGAGTTTTGGATTGGTCAAATATAATAGATTATTAATGAGGGAAATGGACATGCTTGAATACTCTTAACTCCCTGAATAAAATAATAAATCTTAACTTCCACGATGTTACATGGAACTTACAGTCCTCATTTGGGATTTTGTGTGGGGTTTTTTGGTCTTATTTATTTAAGTTTTTTTTTTAAGGAGGGATAATATGTATTTTGTTATTAAGTCTGACACTTGATGGACTTCTTAAAGTTAAAAAATTTAAATAACTAAAATTTATGATGTAGCTAAAAATTGACAGGCCAGGCTTTTAAGTGACAGTCGAACACTGATTATTTGTTAAATTGACCAAGGCATTAATACAGGGCAAACCATCAGAGTTTTACGGCTTTATATTAAACAGTTGACTCAACAGTTGAGTTTTACAGTTCTAGTAAGCAGTCGGCAAAGCTTTGAGCTTTACGGTTTATGTTAAACAGTTGGCTAAATATTGGATCACATGAGATTATTCACATTTCATATCAGAATAGATTATTATAATATAATCTGCTTATAATTCTTGTAAAATTATTATATAATCTAGAGTAGCTAAAAATCAACAATGCTACTGCAGGTAATTTATTTGTTAGATGTCTTTGCTTATCCTATAAGCATGTACTTATCTTTGAAAAATCACTTTCTGACATTCTCTACTATGTATATGATTACATAAAAATAAAACTCAATCTGAGTAGGAATTTATTTTAAGGTATTCTATTGAATGGGATTTATTCAAGATGTTAGTCTCTATCGCAGTTGTTATAATTTCTCATCATGGTTACATATGAGACCAGGTGGATCTGTGTCTTCACTACACACCCATAGCAAATGGTCTAACCAATCTTTCCCTTGTTTCTGGTCTTGAAAACAGAGAATGGTAGATACTTGCAGACAGGAAGGATGTGCACAGATGTCTTACTAAGTCTCTTAAATCCTCACAATTAAAAAACAGAATCAAAAGAATTTATAACTGTAAGGGAGCCAAGCTCTCCAAATCATCAGAATCATTAATACCATTATATACTTTCTACTAAATGTGTGTGTGCATTTGAAACTTCAAATGCCCACTAGATAATTCTCCGATTATTTAATAATGTAATTCATAAAGCCATCACAATAAATTCTGTCACTAGAATCAATTAAACATCATATTTTATAACTTATTATTTTGGTAATACTAACCATAAACATGCCTGAAACAAATATATAGTATATATGAGTTATTGCTCTATGAGATCTTATAAAGACTAGGAAAGCCAAATTGAAATGTAGCTGCTGGATGGACAGCCAGATTCACTCCTATCTGAGATGATTCATATGCCACACAAATGACCACGATATACACAATTCAACGTCATATCTCAGGAAAACCGTAGTTTCTTTTATATCATAGATCTGCTCAAACATTCTTATAAACAGTTATGGTAATTTATGAAATCTAAAGCTCTGTGTTGTAATAATTGTTAACCTTTTTTCCTTAGCTCCCATATAGTTTTAAGTCCTTTCAATTCTGTTTTTCCATCATGGAAAAATTAGGGAGAAAGTTTCTTCTCTATAATTGTCTGCTAAATCCCTGTAAATACATGTCTAAGTTATTTGTTCTGAGGAATTATTCTGTAACAATAGGAGGGCTCACATTTGCTCTGCATTTTCCACTTACATAGTACATTAATGTCTATAAAGATAATTTATTTTATCAGTTTGACAGTTGCAGTTCTGGTTTGATAAGAACTCTACAGTAATTTCCACTGAATTAGATGATACACAATTATGATACAGTACATTGGCAGAGATAATTTTTCATTTTGGTGTTCCTATGTAAAATTTTAGAGTTATCTAATTTAGTATGTAAATTGAGCCTTTGGTTTTAAATAGTCATAAGACATCTTATGCTATGTGAATACAAATCAATGCTAATGTAATATATTTTAACACCTGGGCACTTGCTGAAAAAAAGTTGGAAGGTACATTATTTTTATACTTCCTATTTTGAAATACTACAGAATTGTACACTCTAAAACCCTGTGCACTTTTGGACTATCCTATTTAGCACTTGAAATAAAAGCTATTTAATGGTGAGAATTTATTAAAGGATTAATATATCTTAATTGCTCTAACTAAACTTAAAACTGTATTTAAATAATTTTAAATAGCTCCTCAAGAAAAAGATATTTTAAAATATTTTGTAACAAAATTTAAATATTTCCAAATTTTATTGTTTAAATAAAGACTTGTTTTTAGAAAAATTCCTTGCATTGGAGTAAGGAGGTACTGTATCTTCCATCCTCTTCCTCACTGAAAATGCCTTTAATAACATTGTCTTGAGTCAGAGGAAAAGCAAAGGCTCTTAAAAAAACAAGCTTGATACCTGTTTTAGTATATAGCGAAGAGGTGGTAGTTGCACAGTAAAGAGAATGTTCTTTTTTTTTTTTCTTTTTTTGAGACAGAGTCTTGCTCTGTCACCCAGGCTAGAGCGCAGTGGCGCGATCTTGGCTCACTGCAACCTCCGCCTTTTGAGTTCAAGTGATTCACCAGCCTCAGCCTCCTGCATAGCTGGGATTACTGGGGTGTGCCACCATGCCCCGCTAATTTTTGTATTTTTAGTAGAGACGGGGTTTCACCATGTTGGCCAGGCTGGTCTGAACTCCTGACCTCAAGTAATCCACCAGCCTCGGCCTCTCAAAGTGCTGGGATTACAGGTGTGAGCCACCACGCCCAGCCAAGAGAATATCGTATCAAAATAATTTCTAGCTGGGCTTCACAATCCAATTCACAAACACCTTACACTTTAGCATTCATACTGTAATAGAGAATTAGCAAAACCCTCCTCATTGCTTCATAAGGATCAATAATATGCAAAAGCAAAATAGCTCACCTTCCTATATGATTTAAGATAGTGCTTCACAAAATCACAAAACTACAAAAGGACAGAGGAAAATGACTATGTACCAAAGGGGGTCTGGAGGTCTAAACTGAAGAGTCCTATTGTAAGAATAAAATGTATTTTAAAATTAATATTTTATTTTAAACATTAATGCAAATGTTATATTCTACTCTGTGATGGTTAATACTGGGTGTCAACTTGACTGGATTGAAGAATACAAAGTACTGATTCTGGGTGTGTCTGTGAGGGTGTTGCCAAAGGAGATGAACATTTGAGTCAGTGGGCTGGGAAAGGCAGACCCACCCTTAATCTGGGTGGGCACAAGCTAATCGGCTGCCAGCACAGCTAGAATATAAGCAAGCAGAAAAATGTGAAAAGGGAGGCTGGCCTAGCCTCCCAGCCTACATCTTTCTATCTCTGGGAGGGCGGCTGATGTGGTGGCAGTACCAGCTGAGGGGAACTGAGGCGGAAGAAAGATGTAGGCTGGGAGGCTAGGCCAGTCTGTCTTTTCACATTTTTCTGCTTGCCTATATTCTAGCTGTGTTGGCAGCTGATTAGATTGTGCCCACCCAGATTAAGGATGGGTCTGCCTTTCCCAGCCCACTGATTCAAATGTTAATCTCCTTTGGTAACACCCTCAGAGACACACCCAAGATCAATACTTTTTATCCTTCGATCCAATTAAGTTGACACTCAGTATTAACCACCACATACTCATAATTTTCAAAATTTTATGATTGTTTATATTACTTTGTTCAGAGTGAAATAGATGTCTCAGAAAATGACCATGATTTTCTGAGGATTTACGTGTTTATTGGCAGTTGTCTCGTACCCTGGTTTTAGAAGCACTGACTTATAAAGGACCACATGACCCTCCAACTTAAAGATAGTTCCCCAAAAGGCTGTCATTTTATCCTCCCTCCCGCCTTCTCTCTGAAAGAGATTATAAATGACCAACAACACTGAAAACAACACTCTACAGAAAAATGGTTTTCACCCAATTTATCTAACAACTCAGTGCCATACAGTGTAAGGAGTGTGGTCTTTGAAGACAGAAAGATATGCATTTTAATTCCATCTCTAGCACTTCCGTGAAAGACCTTGGGGGAAATCTTTTATCTCAGTATAGCCTCCAGTTTTTGAGGCTATCCAGTTAGCCTCAGGATAACCAAGATTGCTTATCCTGAGTATCGATAGCAACACTCAGCTCATGGTGTTACTGTGCAAGTATAAAGATTGTGTATGTAGAGTGTTTGGCATAGTGCATTTACTCATTCAGCAAAAATTACCTTCATTCTTACTCTATGCTAGCCACTATAATAAGCACTGGAAGTAGAGCTATAAATAGACATGGCCCCTAGCCTCCAGGAGCTCGGGGGCATATGAGATAGAAACAGAAACAAAAAGAGAAAACTAATAAAGAAGCAAGGCAATCTCATATATTGATAATTTTTTTTAAAAGGAAAGCAATGTGATGTATCAATATTGCAGTGGCTATGGCTCACCCTGGCTTAGCTAGTGAGAGCTGTTTATTTGCATTTCTCCTCAACTCTGCATTTAGTGACATCACCTTGGTTGACTGAAATTGACCATGGTGGGGTTATTTGCACCAGAAAAATCAAGAGCTACAATCAGCCAGCCCTCCATCGCCTTACTGCCCCAGAAACCCTGCTGTTAAACATTTATGAGCATGCTGCAGGGTGTATAGTGACAGGGATAAGCATGGATGGTACATAGATAAGATGGTTATGCCTCCATGAGGATATGCATTTGATTTTGGAACTTAATCATAAGAAGGAGATGTTTCTTGCAGATTCAGGGGCAGAGCACTTTAGGCAAAGAGACTAGCAAGTACAAAGGCTTGAAATGTTAAAGAACAGATACATAAACAAGATAATTTTTGAGAGTGATCATTTTTGAGACAATACCAAATTGGTTGGTGTTGTAGGGAGTGACTTGGGTAGTGAGCTTTTAGGTATTCAACAGGTAACATCACTTGTCCAAACCCGTTTATGGTCCAGACAATCTAGGACACAGAGAGTTCTACTGGCTTATGAAAGGTAAGCTACATCAAGTTATAACTCTCTACTAGGACTTTACTTCATCTAATCTTTACAACAAACTCATTAGGCAAGCAAATAAAGAAAAGGTTAACTGTGTTTCTTAACTCCTACTGCTAATTATTAGGTAACCTGGAATTGGAACTTTGGTCTGGGCAGCCTCAAGGCCCACACTCAGTTCTAGTCTGTTTCAGTGAGACATCTGGAGAAAAGAAAGAGTAAGACAGAAAAGGGACAGTGTCAAAAATGTTTTCACTGGCGTGGGAGGGGCAGAGGGGGAGAAACAACTGGACTCAGGGCCTCAAAGGAAAACCCAGAAACTGGATCAAAGGTGAGGAGTCTGAAGAAAGTAGTTGCCAAAAAGAACTATACAATAGTGAAGCCAAGACTGACGACAAACTTTTCCTACATTTGCCAAGAGAGGATGTTGATCCCAATCGGTGCAGTCCCTTTACCCTGGTTTAATCTTTGGCTCATCTTTCAGAAAATTAACTATTTGTGGGCCTAAAATTTAGATACGAATTTTGAAGAGTTTTTCCGTATTAGTTGAAAATATACTATCTACATAATAGGTATTCTACTTAGATATTATATATAACACATACTTTAAAATATTTGAAGCTTTTATCTTACTAAAATAAATTTATGATGTTGATTAATTACCATTTTCTTTTTCCTCACGAATGGATATGAATAATTCATGCCACTCTATCTCCAGTTTTTTACTCTTTAAGATTATTCTCATTGTTTGATACAAGAGTAATTTTATTAGTTATATTTTTATTGATTTTTGTCATTACTAAACAATGCAGCTAGAACCTGCTATTAATGTTTAATATTCCATATTGTCCACAATCCATACAAAAAGGTATTTAAATATTAAGGGATATTTTCTAACATTATAGTATGGGTTTCCATTTCTTGGTATAGTAAATGAGTGATTTTGCAGTAGAATTTCTAGGAAGCTCTCGATAATATAACCGCAATGAAAATAATGATTCATTTTCATACTCAAAACATGGTTATAAAATATGCCTTGTTATTGCAGTAAATAGTATCATATTCAAATAATTCTCATCTTGGTAATTTGCATTTTTTAAAATTAAGGAAACAGATGTTATAGGAATATTTCAAGCAAATAGGAAAATAGAAAGGCAAAGGAAATAGGATTCCTGGCACCCATTTCTTGTATGTTATTTAAATACATTTTCTTTTTTTTCCCCAAAGTACAGTGCCAGTTTTAAGCATGAGGAAAGTAAAATCTAGTCCCCACCTGCTCAAGCCAGAAGCATTTTAGCCTGGAAGGAGGGATGAGGCTCAGGATGAGAGGCTGGGGTGAGAGGCTATAGAAGGACAGTAAAGGACAGCGGTACTGAAGGTAAACTAGAGCTAGTGAGTACATCCAAGGATTATTGAACCTGAACATGGGCTAGAGCTTTTCTCCATGAGGAAATATTAAGCCTGATGCATACTTCTGTCTACAGTTAGAAAAGATATTTGATCATACCTGAAGTGCAAGTCTTTAAAGGAGAATTGAGTTTCAATGATTCCAGTCGTTTTCACTCGAGAATGGAGAACATCTTGTTCATTTGGCACATACCCAGATGCTGTTATTCTATCTAAATCATTAAGGTAGCTAATAAAGACAAAACAAAATTATATATGTGTATATATAATACATAAATACATACATATATGTATATATACACACATACATACATATATATGTGTGTGTATATATATATATTTTTAACTTTGCGTTTGAAGAAACCAGGATTCAGTAGAAATGAATTTTTAGCGTAGGTTCTATGAAAAATGATAAATTCTAGACAGGCGCTTTCCAAACTATGCTCATCGAATTAAAAGTTTGGTAGCTGGAATGTTGCAGAATGCAGAGTGCTGAATGTGGCACACAGCTGACCCCCAGCGTCCTCTTCTAAAGGCACCTAAATCAACATTGCCTTAACCTGTATTTTATGTGGTTTGTGTGATAAATTTGCTTGTATATGGATAGGAGTATGAAAGAAAATTTCTCTTTATAGTGCCTGGATCATTACAAAACTAAAAGTTGCCTTATAGTGGTAGTGGCTAGATTATCCTCGAAATTCTGTAGTTTGAATTTAGGCATTTTCGGTTTTATGAGAGTGATTGGTTCGAATGTACTAATTTGAAGGTTGTTTGTTATTTTTGCATGAATTTGCCTCATCAAGACTCAGCCATTTCCATTAAATGCCATTGCAATATCTAGTTAGCGCAATAAAAGAAGTACCATTTGTCTCTCTTCCTGGTCTATGCTGGAAGTGACTCATGAATTTGCAAACCCACCCTGACCTGGCTCTCCTGGGGACAGAAGGGTGAACGTACCCACTGTCCCCACTCCCACCTCCTCTTCCATCAATGCATCACTGTGTCTTTACCCCTTCCAGGAAGCTATATTAAAAATTGTTAGTATTAACAGGCTGAATATGGTGTTTTTTTCCCCTCACAGGATCTAGGTGTGGTGATGAACAGGAATAAGTCTAATTAAATTGTGTATGCTATAACAGTCTGCTAAATTAGAGGAAAAAAAACCTGCTCTCAGCTTCCTAACTCTTGAAACGAGATAATGTCTTCATACTAAAAAAAAAAAAAAAAAGTGTTTTATTGCTTTAAAAATAATTTGAAAACCACTGGTCTAGACTTTTGATACTAAGCTTTTAGTGGCTTAGCAATATCACTATTTCTGTAAAACTTTCAGATACAAATAGTAATAGCATGGTAATGCCTTTATGACAAATTTCGCCATTACACTGAACCACATTTATAGAAAGATAAGATTCAAGTGCTTCCATCGAGACAGAATTTGTGAGGTAGAATCCAGCTGAATGTTAGTCAGTGTTAAAAATTGTTTGTTCAGTGATTAAGCTGAGAAGCTGTTACGCCTTAGCACCTAGCACAAAGATTGAAAAAACAAAATTATTTTATTAGTTAAAAAAATTCATTATTAATATAGGTAATTTATTCTTGGAGGATCTTTTTCCTTTTAAGCTGAAACAAATTAAGGTTGGACAAGTGTCCCAAAGGGATTTCGGCCGAGAGTAAAAATCACACCTCAGAAACACATAACATATATAATATGAAAATTTGTCACCATTGTTTTATTCTAAAAAAGCTTAAGTTTTCTTTTGAAAAAAGAGTGAAACATTAAGATGTAAATGTATTGGAAAAAGTACTGGCAGGATTTGCTAGTGTATTTATTTTCTATTTTGGCAAGCAAATCCCTTTGTGAATTTTCTATTAATTAAGTCTGCATGTGTGGTAGGTGTGTTGTTGGTCAGTTAGTTCACGCAAGAGTAAAAAGAAAACAAAAAAAACCCAAAAATATACCTACCAAAATAAAGATTAAATTCATTTCATGATACCTAAATGAAAACCTTGGTAAGGACACATTTATTTGCATGTATGAATGATTTCAAGCAAAGCAGAAGCATTAGCAGACTGACAAATTTGCATTTAAAATGCTTGTTTAAATAAACAAATATGGAATGTGGGAGTTCAAGTCTATAATCTAAAGCTTAGACCAAATAGAGGCCCTTAACATATATGAATCTAATCATTTAAAAGTACTAAATTCTTTTCCAATTATTTAAACTAGTATTTTTCCTGGTGAAGTCTATGGTAATTCTTAAAGCACATGGAATTTTAAAGGCACACTAGATGGCTGCAATTAGCAAACCATGCAGTCAACTAAAATGTTTCCTCTGATTATCCCTGCCATACCCCTCTTCTTTCAATTTGCTAGAACTGATGAGGTTATGTTGCCAACTATGGCATTCCTTTCCCTTATTCTGATTATATTCACTTTTTTGTTAGCCTTAACTTGAAGGATCTCTAGATTTGAGAAAACAAGAAGTATCTTACTTTTACCAGAAAAAGAAAAAAGTGTTAGAGACCTTGCTCTATATAATGTATATGAAATAGACACACATTATAGTACCAATCTCATTTTATATCTAGTTTTCTAATGTAATTCAGTGTTTGGAAAAAAAAATCTGCTCTTAATTTCTGGAAGAAAGCAATGACCATTCAACTACCTTTCTCAGCAAGCTTTCCTTTTAAGGACACCTAAGAGCAGAAAAAAAAAACCACTTTATTATTATTATTACTTTTTGTTTATGTATGAAATTTCTCTAAGACCCAGGGAAAATGAGCTTTTCTGTTGTTGTTCTATTGCACCTGCAGTAATCTGGGTAGTTGAAAACTATTACAATATGGGCAACATTTACAAAATGAATGCAAATTGATATTGTTTAATTGTTTTTAACTTGATGAACAGATTTAAAATTTTACTATGAATCTATAATGGAGTAGATAGTCCCAGTGTAAAACATACTTTAAGTATTTAAATAAAGGAAAAAGCTAAAATTAAATACTAGAAAATACAATAAAATGCCATTTATTTGCCCATTTTAACTATGTGGTTTGTACAAGACTAAATATATTAATGAGAGCCCACTTTAATCTATCTTTCTCTCTAGCTCTCTACCCAGAGCTTTACTAAGCAAGATTTTATGGAAATATTCCACAATTCAGCTTCTTACTCATTGTGACTACCTTTACCAATGAATAGTTTAGAAAAGCAATGTTTTACTCCACTGCAGAGATCCCTTGTACTATTAAAATGTGGTAGGTGCTGAGACACTTATGAAAAGTTATTCAAGTTGATATAATCACAAAATGAGACTCATTCTCTCCATCAGAGAGCTAGGAAAAACTCCTCCAAAAGCAATGTGCCCTTTGAAATTGGGGTCTAAAATAAAGATGAATGAATAATTACAGAAAATTTTTTCTCTAGAGTTTATATAGCTTATTTTCTCTCCCTAATCATTCTGTCCATCAATGATTAAAAATCTGAAGTGTCATGCAAGCTTCATTGTTCTGTCCTTAACCGATCTTTTTCATTTGTTTCACTTTTACATTACTGTTTTGCTTTTGTTTAATTAAACGATGCTAGCAGCTTCTGTTGGCGGGGAGAGGGGGAGTTCATCAAAAGAACTATATTTACACTTTTTCACACATATGCATGAACAGAAATAGAAAATGAGTAATTAGATTGTATTTACATATGCACACATCTTGCAGGCATATAGTAAGGGGCTATGTTAGGAACCACTTGCTAAAATAATTGTTTTTTGGGGTTAATTTGGTGACAGGGTCTTGCTCTTTTGCCCCAACTGGAGTACAGTGGTGCAGTCTCTGCCTACTGCAGCCTTGACCTCCTGCGCTCAAGCAATCCTTCTGTCTCAGCTTCCCAAGTAGCTGGGACTACAGGCACATGCCACCACACCTGGCTAATTTTGTATTTTTTTGTAGCAACTTGGCTTTGCCATGTAACCCAGGCTGGTCTCAAATTCCTTACTTCAAGCTGTCTGCCTGCCATGGCCTCCCAAAGTGCTGGGATTACAGGCGTGAGCCACTGTGCCCAGCACTAAAGGAAAATTTTAAATCACTTTGATAATGAAATTATAAATAGTGTCACAAGCCCCTAATTTCCTTATGGTTAATTAATGCTAAATGGATGATACAAGCAGTGAAATTTATAGAATTTTTTGAGACTCCAAAAGAATCTCCTAGTATACAAGTATTTTGGAAATCATTTCATTAATTTCTTCTAGAATTTTGTATCATGGTCATCAACCCAATGAGCCAAGGCATGTGTCATTAATGAAATTAATCTAGGAGATGATTTCACTAATATGGATAGAGATGAAATGAATAGCCCAAAACCTCAGTGTGCATGTCACCAGTCTGTGTTAGTGTGAAAGGCTATGCATAAAGGTTAACACTTTTTAATCAAGAGAAGATATTTGCACCATAGAATCTTCTCAGGCAGTTTCAAACTTAGTTATTTAAAATGCTCCCCTGGTTATATTTTCTTAAATCTCATTATGTCACCTTGTTCATTTTCATTTCTCTTTAATTGCTTTTTATTTTACTCTAATAAAATGTAACACCATTTATTTTCCTCATTTGAATTTACAAATGCAAAGTATGCAGAATTATAATTCTTAATTTTAAATGTTTTACCTCCAATTCCCCTTAAAGTGAATTCACTTACTAAGCTGCTGAGTCATTGAGCTGATATTCAGATGCCCTTTCAAAGCAGGCCTGAATTCCTGGATCTCTCCACAGCCGTTTTATTACCTCAGCCAGTTGAGGTGTCATGCCACCATCTTCCAGGGTATTTGCCATTGCATAAAGTTGTCGTTGGTCCTCCTAGAACAATATTTTGGTGAGAATAAGTATGTATTATTTGGAATCACATATTCTATTTTCTAATAGAGTAATTTACTGGGATAATTTTAATCTTATTCTTTTAGCTAATAATTCCACCAAACATCTTTTTGAACTATATTGAGGTAAATAGAACTAAAGTTTTTCATGGCTGGATGATGCCCAGAAGAGTTCTCCTTTGCAAAAACTATAAAATATTATGTGAAGAAATTAGCATATTTTGAAATATGTCACTGACTTCTGAATATGATATCAAGGAGGATAATAATACTTTGCTGTAGTCATACTAAGTTTGCAAAAGGTCTACATATTATACCAAGGTAAAATAAAAATTAAGCTGATTTAATCTGGTATCTTCTTCTTTTTTTAATCATCGCCATGAATTTTTCTAGAAAAAAAAAGCCAAGTAAAAATTAGAGTAGACCGGGCATGGTGGCTAACGCCTATAATCCCAGCACTTAGGGAGGCCGAGGTGGGTAGATCACTTGAGCCCAGGAGTCTGAGACCAGCCTGGGCAACATGGCAAAATTTTTCTCTACAAAAAAATTAGTCAGGGATGTAGTACATGTCTGTAGTCCCAGCTACTTGGGAGGCTGAGGTGGGAGAATTGCTTGAGCTTGGGAGGCAGAGGTTGCAGTGGGCAGAGATTGCACCACTACATTTCAGCCTAGGTGACAGAGCCAGACCCTGTCTCAAAAAAAAAAAAAAAAAAAAATTAGAGTAAAAATGGAAATAAATTCATTATTCTAAAATTGTATTGTTTCAAAAAATTAATATATAATGTTTTTTTGTCATCGGGTTACTGCCTCGTAATCATATAAAGAATGGTAAACATTTGGATCCACATAATATTTTTGAACATCCCTGTAGGCATTGTTGATTGCATATGCCTTTGGAACAAATCAGTAGGACAGAGGTGAGAGTTTTTTATGCAAAGCAAGGAATTATTGTCTTAGTCCTGTTGGGATAACATTTGGAGGTTACCAGCAAAGAAGGAAATAGAAGTTTACTGAGTAAATACTATAGTCTGCAATTTATTTAAACAAATAATCAAAATAGCTTTATGACAAATCATTTTTTAAAAAATTAAGATGTTGAGTTTCAGAATAACTAAATTGACTGTGGTAATAGCCCAGGCAAATGGAGAAGTCTGAACTCAACCTTGTTGTCAGCCTCTAAAACTGATATCTTTTTTAGCTCATAACCCTCCTAGTGCATATTATTACAATTTACAAAACTGCACATGCAATATCACACATAATCCTCACAACCATGAGATAGACACTATATTTTCTCCATTTTACATGTGAGGAATCTAAAACTCAGAGTTTTAGAAACGAGTAAACCAGTAAATACAATAAGTATCAGAATAAGAGTCAAATACAAGCGCATTTTGTGCCATGTCAGGCTGTTACTGTTACAGGAAAGGGGTCCCAATCCAGATCCCAAGAGAGGGTTCTTGGATCTCACACAAGAAAGAATTCAGGACGAGTCCATAGGGCAAAATGAAAGCAAGTTTATTCAGAAAGTGAAGGAATAAAAGAATGGCTACTCCATATACAGAGCAGCCCCGAGGGCTGCTGGTTGTTCATTTTTGTGGTTTCTTGATGATATGCTAAACAAGGGGTGGATTATTCATGCCTCCCCTTGTTAGAGCATATAGGGTAACTTCCTGACATTGCCATGGCATTTGTAAACTGTCATGGTGCTGGTGGGAGTATAGCGGTGAGGACAAGCAGAGGTCACTCTCATGGCCATCTTGGTTTGGGTGGGTTTGGGCCAGCTTCTTACTGCAGCCTGTTTATCAGCAAGGTCGTTATGACCTGCATCTTGTGCCGACCTCCTTATCTCACCCTGTAACTTAGAATGCCTTAACTGTCTGGGAATGAAGCCTAGTGGGTCTCATTCTCATTTTCCTCAGCTCCTATTTAAGATGAAGTTGCTCTGGTTCAAATGCCTCTGACACTACCAGTGAAGTATGTTCAATAAGAACTTGCTGCTTTTCTGATACAACTCAGCTTATTATTATTTTGAATTGACTACAGTTTTTTTCTACCATTTTATCAAAAATCTGTTCTTTGTATAAAAAATAAGGATATGTCACTTATTGTTAAAGAGACACTGGTAAGGGTAAAAAAAGAAAATAACTTATTCTATCTTTCTTCACAATCAGCTTTTATTGTTAAAAGTAAACTGATCAGATGGTCATTGGTCCACATATTCAATGTGTAAACCAAAAACAAAATTCTAAGTCCCCCAAGCAACAGAATTCTAAGCCCCGCAACCAACAGAAATCCCTCTTGGCCAACAGAATTCCAAAGTAAACCTGAAAAACTAGGTCAGGCTGTGATAGGAAGGGTGGGGTCAGACATGCCTCATTAGGCCCTCCTCCCTTTGGAATTCAGGCATAACTCACCCGCATTAACATTGAAACAGAGATCTTAGGACTGATAAAACAGAATCTTTATAGCAATAAGATTCCAAATTCCAAACTGACTCCAGTATAGAGCAGGCCCTGAAAGAAATTATTTTACCCCCAAATATATTTTTTTGGCATATATAAAAGAATAAAAGAAAATAACAAGAAAATAAAAGCTGTCTTTTGTGGGGGAAGTTTACATTGTGTAGAGAAGCCCCTTCCCTTTTCAAGGCCTTTTCTGATCCTGGTGAGATTAGCTGAAAGTCTAGCACTTTTTAAAGGTCTACATAGGAAATATTTGCCATCTATTGCCTCTAAGGGTGCCACCTATGAGGCTTCATCTACATAATAAGAACCTTGGTCTCCACAGACTCTTAACCTAGAGACTCCTTTCTACTGATTCTAGGCCTTTAGACAATAACTTAATTCTTTCAACCAATCAGAAAATAACTTAATTCTTTTCAACCAATCAGAAAATGTTTGAATCCACCTATGACTGGAAGGTCCCGCTTCAAATTGTCCTGCCTTTCTGGACCTTGCATGTATTGACTGATATCTGCCTGTAACTTTAATCCCCATAGAATGTATAAAATCAGGCAATAACTTAACTACCTTGGGCATATGTTCTCAGGACCTCCTGAGGCTGTGCCATGGGTCATGGCCCTCACATTTGGCTCAAAATAAATCTCTTCAAGTATTTTACGGAGTTTGGCTTTTTTGTCAACAAATGGCCATATCAAGTCTCAACCTGATTTTCCTGCATCAACACAGGATAGATTTTTAAAACCCCATTTCTCTGTTAAATGGATATGAAAGAGAACTGCAAGTTCAGTGAAATATGCTCTGGTCACTTTCACTAGCATCATGCTATTGGCTCCTTCCACTATTAAAGTGCTGTTTAGGAGGAATGATGCCATAAAACAACCACTACACAGTTTTATCCCTAAGGAGAAAAAATTATATATCTTGTCAGCATAGCTTTACAAACCAAACAAATATACTGTTTCATTTCTTTCTGTTTTTCTTTCTTATTTTCTTTTTCTTTTTTCTTTCTTTTTCTTTTTTGTTTTTTTGTTTGTTTGTTTGTTTGTTTTTTGAGACGGAGTCTTGCTCTGTCATGCAGGCTGGAGTGCAGTGGCACAACCTAGGCTCACTTCAACCTCCACCTCCCACTTTCAAGCGATTCTCCTGCCTCAGCCTCCCAAGTAGCTGAGACTACAGGTGCACACCACCACACCCAGCTAATTTTTGTAATTTTTTTTTTTTTTTTTTTTTTTAGTAGGGTCGAGGTTTCACCATGTTGGCCAGGATGGTCTCGATCTCTTGACCTCATGATCTGCCCACCTCGGGCTCCCAAAGTGCTAGGATTACAGGCGTGAACCACCATACCTGTCCTTCCTTTTTAAAAAAATATTCTATTTTTAATTTCAATATACTTTATTTGTAGAGGTATCATGAATATAGTTCTAGTTTAAACACTTCAATGTTACAAAGTCTCCCTTGACCACTTCAATCCTACTACCTCCTACAAAGGCAAGTTATCCTATCAGGTTGGTTTTTGTGTCTCCAGACCTTTTACTTTTTAAATTTGTGCGTGCATAGTTGGAGCCTACGGTAATGATTTTCAATCCAGGCTGCACATTACAAGCATATGGTGTACCCTTAAAAGTACTGATAGCAGAACTGCAACCCAAACAAAATGAATCAGCATCCTTGCATGTCAGGCCCTGCAAAGGTAGTTTTTAAAAGCTTCAAGGTGACGCAACTGTTCTGACTGCATTAAGAATTTCTGGCAATATACAGTTGTTATTTTTTTAACCATAAATAACACTTTATTGAACATAGTGTATTTCCATTCTTGATGTTCTTCTGTGCTTATTGAAAAGCTGGTATAATTTAAAGAATTACAATTCTTTAAATTTAAAATTCCTTAAAGCTTTTAAAGGATTGAGCCTACCCATCAAATGTGAATTTTTAAAATATATAACACCAAAATGTATAGGTATTATGAAAACTTAGCTTCCTCATAACGGCCAAACTGATCGAACACTTAACTCCTATTTTATTGTTATATTTTAAAAACTCTAGTAATTTCTCACCAAACTCAAAACTCAACATAAAACCCAAATCCCTTATCCCTTACTGTGACTCACAAGGTTCTACATGTTTTGATCCCCTCTTTCCCTCCTTTCTCCCTTTCTCTCCCTGCCACCAAGACTCAAGATGCACTGAACAATTTGTTGCTCCTTGAACTCACCAAGCCCTCATTTCAGCGCATTTCAGTGGTTGTTGCCTCCATGTCCTTCGGTGGTTCACTTCCTTTTTCACTCAAGTCTCTTCCCAATACCACCTCCTCAATGAAGCCTTCTCTAATCATCCTTTCTGCCACATTTTTCAAATAACACCCTGTGGATTTGAGTGGCATCCCAAAGAAGTTTTATTTCCCTATGAGGTATTTGGAAAAGCTTGGGAATTACAGTGGGCCTGGAATGGCTCATTCTCTCTCTCTCTCTCTTTAAAGAATATTTATTTTATTTACTCATCATTTTTATTTTACTTTAAGTTCTGGGATACATGTGCAGAACATGAAGGTTTGTTACATAGGTATACATGTGCTATGGTGGTTTCCTGCACCTATCAACTCATCTTCATTCTCTTAAGATTGTGTAACTTTGGGACTACATTGTATAGAAAATAAAATATGTGTTTTCCCTACAGATTACTCAGAACTTCATCGTTAATATTAGGGATCCCAGGTGGTCTTAGAACTTTGTGGAACTTATTCTGAACCCTAGAGTCATATTTCCAAATATCATGAAAAAAATATCAAAAGAAAGGAAGACTATATAGTTTACCTAGTAATTGTGAGAAATGCTGAGTTAAAAATACCATGTTTTGTGGCTACTCGGTTTTCAGAATCTTTGAGTAGTAATATTGGTTGAAAATTTCCAAGTTATTGGACGCATATATACCAAACAAATCTAATCACAGAACTTCAATTGTAGAACATCTTGAGGAATCAGTGCTTTTTGGTTCATATTGTAGAGTTTACTTTGTAGGGTTCTATGTCCAAGATGATTACAACAGTGCTCAAATTATGTAGTAAAAGTGTTACAATTTTCAGCATTCTTTTATGTCAGTTGAGTGGATTCTATATGCTCCAAAATAGGATATAATAATATTCAAAAGGATAAGTAGATATTTACTAAATATCTTCATTATTTCTCCTTTCCTATTTCTTCAGGATATGAAGGTTTGTTACATAGGTAACAAAAAAAGAGGGTTTGTTAACCCTCTTTTCAAGTTCTATGCTTAGGAAATTCTAAGCCTATCAAATACTAAACCACAACCAATAAGAACAATCCCGATTTAGCTGCTTCCCCTCTAACTACATATCCCATCTCTCTCCTACTCCTTGGCTATAGGTCCTGAAATATTGTCCTTAACTGTTCCAATAGCCTATTCTCATTTCTCCACATATTCCACAGGAGTAGGAGTCCACCATTCTTCTGGAACCTCTCTCACTATATTCCCAATGGCTCCATATTTCTAAATCCAATAGATTCTATTTAATAGTTTCCTTTCTTGACCTCTCAAGACCTTTCAATGTGGATAATTCCCTTTGGAACACTTCTCTTGAATTCTGTGATTTCGCATACTTCTGATTTCCTTTTACTCTTCTGTCCTCTCCCTTGAAGGTTCTTTTCCTAACAAATGAGCAGAAAATATTGTGTGTTTTTTTTTTTTAACACTCTTCCCTAGACTCTGTTATCCCTAATACCCTTCCCTTCTTAATCTAAGTGCTTCCTTCACCTATTCCATCCTACTTTCTTAGTATGAATTATATGCCATAGTATAATGGCATGCCAATAACACCTAGATTTAGATCTCTAGACAAAGTGTCCATTTTGGGCTTCAAATGCACATTTGTAATTGCTTACATATGTAGATATCAAATAGAACTTACAAACTCATTCCAAAACCAAACTAATTAGTTCTTTTCCATCCTCATTTAATGTTAGTGTTCCCCTTCTTAGTAATTCCTTCTTTAAGCAAGGATTGAGCTCCACATATAGCTGCACAGCCTTTTTGAAATAGCATATTTGTAGTTACTTGTTAAACATCAAGCTCTCCTCTCCTGATGACAAATATTATTTCCATCTCAGTTACTGCTGAGCCCTCACTACATCCCCGGTGTCCAACTAAATGTCTACCACATAAATAATAGTTTAATAAAAAATAATTTTTTCAAATGATGTTGGATGTATAGATTTCACTACCTAAATTTTAATGATCCTATATTCAAAATAAATATTGAAAAATAATACCTAATATTTACTGAAAATGTACATTCTATAATACTCTGTATATAGTGGATTTCTTATGTTTTTGCTTCCTTCTTTAATAGTCATTGTAACTCAAGGAGGAAAGCCATAACATTCTGTGGAAGCAGACACTGAAATTTAGAGAGGTTAACTTGTCCAAACTTATAGACCCAGTGACTAATAAAGCTCACATAAATTTTCTATCAGAACTTCTCTCTTTGGCAATCTGTGTGATGATGTGCAAATGGCTATATAAAAGTATATGCACTTGTATAAATAAATAATTGAGAGCTAACCAGAACTCTGAAAGTCACATGTAGGTAGTGTTTAGCAATCAATCTGTTAAATAAACAATTTTAAACAGGTCAAGAGTATATTAATCTCAAAACCAAGTACTAGAATGCAGCTGAAACTGATAGAGTTCACATAAGTGGAAATCAAAATATGAACTATGTCGTGCCTGACAACTGTGATGTTCTGATAGTTGAGAATATAGGTACTCTTGAGAAGTTATGACAATGGCTAAGTGCTGCTTAAGTTGATCTGTTTATGCCATTCAATGTACAGTTTGAATGAACTGTACTTTTATTTTTTAATTAGCATGATGGCAGCAATGTGTAGAGTTTATTATTTTCACTTCCCCTATATGTCAACTCATTAAGACTTTTACTAATAAATCTCTCATCTCACTTTTTTTTTTTTCAAGACAGGGTCTTGCTCTGTTGCCCAGGCTGGAGTGCAGTGGCGCCATCACAGCTGCTGCAACCTCAACCTCCCAAGCTCAAGTGAATCTCCCACCTCAGCCTCCCAAGTAGCTGGGACTACAGGTACACACCACCATGCCTAGCTATTTTTTTTTCTTTTTCTTTTCCTTTTTTTTTTTTTTTTTTTTTTTATAGATACAGTGTCTGGTTATATTGTTCAGACTGGTCTGGAACTCCCGGGCTCAAGCGATCCTCTTGCCTCAGCCTCCCAAGATGTTGAGATTATAGGCATGAGACACCATATCTGGTCAAATATCAAGTATTTAGTGATCAGAGCGTCACTGTTTCACAAACTCTGGGTTCTATGAAAGACACAGTCTATTTAAATAAGTAGCAATAGGCAAGATTGTGATTTCCAACTTCTCTGACACAAATGCATGGAATACCGTATTGCATCTACAAATTTAAACATCATTAAATCATTCTCAAAGGAATTCAGAGGGTACGTCTATTTTTGTAACTATTATTGCCTAAGAGGAAAAAATAAATATTTCTAATCATTAAATCCTTGAATAGCAAAAAGCACTATAATGGAATCCAGGAGAAGTGGATTTTTCCATAAACTTGAGCTACTTAATGTAAACCAACTAATCTTTGAGCCTTGTTTTTTTTAAATTAAGGTGGGTATACTATGTTGTTTCTTAAGAGCCAATTTAAAATCCTACGTTCTTAGGAAAAGCCAAGGTCAGATCCATAACTGAACTACACTTAAATAAGAACATGATCACTAAGTCAGAGAGAGATAAAGAATAAAAGGATCTTGGAGTTCGACTCCTCCAAGTTCCCCTTTTACACATGAGAGGGAAACTGTAGCCAGAGAGATAGATTGGAGCAAACTGTGGAGAAAGCTAGAAATGGGAATCAGTAAAATACCTGACTCCTTGCTTTATAAACTATCTGCCTGAAGGCCATACTTAGCATTTCCTTGTTCTTTGAAGAAAAGTGACAGGAAAAAGGGGGATTTCCCCTTTCTTTACATTAAGAGCACAGAAAAGGCTTTGTTTTGTTTTGTTTTTGTTTTAATTGTAATGATTTCTGGTGGTCATTTACAAGATCCAGTGGTCATTTAAAAGGTCCACTAAGCTGGGGGAGGGAGTTCAAATGACTCCTCTTTCTTTATCCTTACTATGCTTTTGCTCTCTATTTTTATTGTTTCTATAGCAAGGTTTCCAAGAATTACGTTGGTAGGCATTCAACTGGCATCCTCTGGAGGTAACCAGATGCCCAGCTGCTCCTGGAGGGGACATATGGAAGTGGGTGAGTTCTTCTTGTGGATTCTACTCCGTTACTCTTTTTTTTGGGTGGGGTCAACTGTGGTTCTTTGGATAATACTGTAAGTTTCATTTGCCAAATAATTTTATATGTCTGCCTATAAACTTTTAAAGTAAGTGGATTTCAAATATAATTTAATGTAAAATAATTAGATAGCAAAATATAAAGTAGGGAGAAAATAATTTTGTTGCTACCTTACAAACGGAACTATGACTACTTGAATATACTTGATATACAGACATTTGCTTACTCCTACAATTTGAATTCTTTTTTAAAAAAAAACTTATCAAGTAATCATTTCCCTGTTGCCACACAGACCTTGTAATCATCGTCAAACATTAATTATAATTGTTATGTTATTAAACATTTTTTAGTCTCTTTGAAATGGCATAACTAAAAAAATTAATGTAGAGATATTGCAAATTGTGTTTATGCCATAAATTCTTTTGTATTTAGCAATCACAAGCAATATTTTTATTTGTTATGGTGTATTATTTGATATTAAGTTTAATCCTCAGGAAAACAACTAATGTTGAATAATATTACAGTATATAGTAAAAAAGTTTCACTTCAAGGAAAATAAGAAATCTTACACAAAACAGAATTAATGTTTCAAAATTCATGTTTCATATTTTTAAATTTTGGATATAGATTAATACTATGAACTTATTAAGTCCTCTTATTTTATGGCTCAAACTCTATTGCAGGACATACAGCTGTCATTATTTGCATACTTACTGCACTTCTGGGATTTACATAATCAATTCCAAGGGTAGTCATGGCTTTCACAATAGCTAGGATGGATTGCAATGTATTACTGTAAATTACTGCTTTGAACTCCATGCATTCTTGCTCACTGTAACCATTCTTATGGATGATCCTATAATTTAAACATGAAAAGTTTCTGTGAGTTGAATAATTGATTGTAACACTAAAGCACATCCAACTAAGTTGCTTGAATAAAATTACAGTATATATTCATTAAAAAGGAATTTTGACCATACATATATGCTAACTCTAAACAATTTTATGCCTTTGGACTTTTATTATCATTGTCATTTATACAGTATTTTCTTTCTGGGCTACCCATGATAAATATGAAAAGACTTAGGATTTGTTATTTAAAAATACTTTTTTAAAATGGGTAAATCATAAGCATTATACTTAGAAAGTCTATTTTTTTAAGAGAAAAATTTCTAGATTCCCAGGACAAAGATATATACAGAGTTTGAAACTTGACCTTGTGTTTACAACCTGATGTCTAGAGGAAGCGAAGTCATTTAGAACATTCATGACTTTTCCTATCATGCTGAAAAATAGGAGTGCCTGCTTTCTATTTACAGCATTAACAAAGGCATCTTTTTTAGTACACGTAATTGCCCTGTTAAATTTCTTGTCAGTTCTCCATCTGTGTACGTGCCACTGAGTTATAAAAGTTGAAATGCCTGACATTTTATTTGGCTGAACTCTTCTCTACCTTCCACTCATTCAGCCAAACTCAAGATTTTACTAGTAGTTTTCGAATAATAGCTTAAAATAGATTTACCTATCAAAAGCTAAAATCGTTAGATATGCCAGTTACGTATTTTTGCATCTTTATTGTATAATTTTTTTTGTTCCTTTCTATTTTCTCTTATTGTCTTGAAGTCCTTTGTATTCATTAGGCATCTTTTTGGATGTCATATTACTAAAGATTTATATTGTGTCTACACGTATAAAGGCTTTAGCATGGGGGGAAAAGAGCATAAACACCTCTTTAATGTCTTTGAAGATATTAGAAGCTTCCTATACAAGAAATCTGAACTGAAAGGAGTAAAGGCACAGCCTATATTTGTTATTTGTTGTTTTTTATATTTGATTACAAATCATTGCTGAACTTCTACTTTAAACATGGTCATGTTTGTCTTGCTGCATTAAACCATTAAATAACTTACATAAGTAAATAAAATAGACAAAGGCTGTAGAAAAAAATGCAGTAAAATGTCTTTATGGATAGATCAAGAATAAGTTTATTAAAGAAATCCCAGTTTTCTGTCAAATTGAACTTGGAAAATTATTATTAAAATGGCAACTGTGAATAAACATGAGGCACTTAGGTTATCTTCATGAAACAAGTTCTGATTACTATGAGAAGATGAAGAAACATTTATCACAAAGAAAAATGATAAAAACAGAAGTTAAAATGTCCAGTTGAAGTGGGACTTTAAACAACATCGTTTTTCCAGGAGATGCATATATAAATTTCAGTGAGATAGAGCACTCCAACTGCAAAGTTGGTTCTGAGGTCTGTTGAAATTAATAAGCTTTTACTGTGCATTTTCTGTGACATACTGTGTTATGTGTTAAAGAAATACATTATACAAGTCTCTCCTTCCCAAAACCATAGACTAGAGCTCCTCTGTATAATACATTAGTCACTAGATGATTAATTAAAATTAAGTAAAATTAAAAATTTAGTTTCTCAATCACACTATCAACATTTCAAGTGGCTACTAAAGCCACATGTGGCTAGCAGCTGCCATATTTCAAGGCAAAATAGAGAACTTTCCTATCATCCCACAAAGTTCTGTTGAAGAGGACTGAGTTATAAGAAGGCAGAGCATATAAAGAGATTTTTAAACATTATGATAATGCATAGGAACAAACTCTGCATATAGTAAGATGCTATAGAAAAGAAAAAGTGATAAACTCTACTAGGTGTAAGGTATCAAAGAAGACATCCCGGAAGCAGTGATAATCAGCTGATTGTTCAAGGATAGTTATTCCTAGATGGTCAAAAGGAGAGAGAATCATTGTAGGAAGAAAGATCAGTATGAGCAAATAGATGCTCACAATTTTCAAGTGTTCAATATGTGCCAAGCACTATTGTAAGCACTTCATCTGTCTTATTTCTTACAATAAGCCCTTTAAAGTAGATACAATTATGATCTACATTTTATAAGTAAGAAATGTCAGCATAGATAAATTAAGCAAATACCCCCAACTTATTCAGTTAGTTTGTGATACACCTGGGCCACAAACACAATCTGATGTACAGTCCATGATCTTAGCCATGATGCTCAGCCTTCTATAGTGTGTTAGTCTACAGACTTATAAAAGGTCAGCATTAGTGAAGCAGGAAGTAGGGGAGAAATTACAGGACAGGAGGATGAAGACATCGGCAAGAACTGGGCTCCAGTGTCTTGTGTGCCATGGCAAGGAGATTGATCTTGACAGCAAGGGTGAAGAGTTGAATTCAGGAGATAAAATCAGCTTTAAATGGATCAGTTCATGGCAGTGTGGATAATGCAATGAAGGGAAGAGAAGGGAGGTAGAAGCTCCTTAGGAAGATACTGAATTAATCTAGGTCAGAAATGATGACCAATGGAGATCAATGACATGTTTGGAGACAAATTGTGTAGATGTGGCATGACTTGGTAAAAGGGTGAAGGCTTAGCATAACTATGCTGAGATTTATTGCGTTGTAGGCTGGCGTTGTTGTAATTAATTTTAGGGCGATAGAGGCCAGATGGGAGATAAGTTTAATGTTTATTCTGATTTGGACCTAGCCAGAGAATATAGCAGTAGATGTATCTGCCTCTCTAGTTTAGACAAAGTGTGTGAGTTTGAAAGAAATATTCTGAAACAGTCAGCTTGAAGATTCTGGTGAAAATCATAGAACTCTAGCAGTTTTCATTTTGATGAAGGTGCAGAGTAAGTAGAGAAGTGCCAGCATCTCCTGGTACAGTAGAGACACTAACATTTTAAATGTAGTCAGAGATAGAGTTAGAAGAATAAAGGAGATAGTTAGACGAACCGGGAAAGAGTTCTAGAAGCTGAAGAAAAGTTTTAAGTGAGAAAAGTGATGTCATCTGGAATTAACATAAGGACTTAAGGAGACTTCAAATAAAATGGCTATTCGAAGATGACATAATAAATAATCTTCGTAAGGGCAACTTCTGCAACTTACCAGAGGCAAAAGTGTGATGAAAATGGCTGAAAGTGGAAAGTAAAGAGAGCTAATTTTGATTATTTTCTACAGAAATTCTACTGAGAAAAGGAAAGACAAAGCAGAACAGGAAACTTGCTCTTTTTAAATAATAAAAGAAGTGCTCATTGTAGAAAATGTGAAAAGCCTAACAATATTAAAAAGCAAAGGTGCTTTGAACTTTAAATTCCACTATTGAGAGAAAATTTATTTGAATACTGGTAAATGCTCTCTCATTTTAAAAAAGTATCTATTTGATCATACTTGAGATTAAAATGTTCATGCACCGGGCACAGTGGCTCATGCCTGTAATCCCAGCACTTTGGAAGGCTGAAGCAGGTGGATCACTTGAGGTCAGGAGTTCGAGACCAGCCTGGCCAATGTGGTGAAACCCCAACTCTACTAAAAATACCAAAAAAAAAAAAAAAAAATTAGCTGGGCATGGTGGCAGGCACCTGTAATCCCAGCTGCTCAGAAGGCTGAGGCAGGAGAATTGCTTGAACCTGAGAGGTGGAGGTTGCAGTGAGCCAAGATTGTGCCACTGCACTCCAGCCTAGGCGACAGAGCGAGACCCTTTCTCAAATAAATAAATTAAATAAATAAATAAAATAAAATAAAAAATAAAATGTTAATGCAATTTTGTAACCTGTTTTTTTAGTAAACATAGCATTTTCTCATATTAAAACCTTCTCATATACATGAGATTAATACATGATTTGTAATAGTTATATAATATTGCAATTGAAGAATGAATAGTCCTGTAACTTTGCAACCTAATTGCTTATGTTTTATTTTAATTTGTGGCACTTTATTCTATCCCATATTTCATTATCTTAAATAGTGATATAAGCCTTTTATACAGGCTTTTATATTATTGAATTATTTTATTTTCATGCCTATGCATATTTTATTACTTTTGACAATTCTCAGAAACATATTTAGATCAATAATTTTCCCAGCTTACTATGTATATTAAAGATATTATTTTTATAAATTCTCTGTAATATATAATTTTACAAATAGCAATTAAAAATATCCATTTCTCAAAATCTCATTATTATTGGGTAATTTTTTAAAATTATTGTTTGTCAATTTACTACAATGAAAAATTACCTCATTAGTGATCTGATTTTTAACTTTTATAATAAGGTTACACTAAAATACATTATCTATTGAATTTTGTCATTTCTATACTCTCTATTCATAGCCTATCCCCATTTATGTATATTGGGAAGCTTATTGTTTTACTTAGCAATCTATGGGCCTTTATATACTAGTCACCAGTTATTTATCATATTTATTATAAATTTTTTCTTGTTCTCTAATTTTGGCTTAATTTTATTTACGGTTTACTATATTTAAAAGTTTTATTTTTTACGCAGCCAAATAATTGGTCTTTTTTTTTCTTTATTTAAGCTCATAGAGAATGGAGAAATGAAAAAAGAGAGGTTCAAGCATGATCACAGCCTGGGAGACAAGAGCAGGCAGATACTGTGGAAATGTTATAAATGAATGCCAGATGACTTAGTTGCAAGGATGGTCCTAAAAACTCAAAAATGGTGCAATCCCAGGGAACAGAATAAAGGAGCTCTGTTCTTCAGAGACAGTAGGAAAGATCAGGTGTTTGGTTGCAGATAAGTGAAGCTTAAATATTGGTTGATATAAAACTTACATGAGATTATCACATAAAAGGAAAACAGTGTCTTAGATTGAAACCAATTTCATTATTGACTGGCAGGCATCACTCCCTTATAAAATATGGCCCAAAGAACAAGATCCTTTAACATATAATTTAAAAATATGCTCAAAAATGGTCCTCCTCCTCTTCATCCTCCTCTTTCCTCCTCCTCCTCTTTCCTCTTCCTCCTCCTCTTTCCTCCTCCTCCTCCTCTTTCCTCCTCCTCCTCTTTCCTCCTCCTCCTCTTTCCTCCTCCTCCTCTTTGTTCCTCCTCCTTCTCTTTCCTCCTCCTCCTCCTCTTTCCTCCTCCACCTCTTTCCTCCTCCACCTCTTTCCTCCTCCACCTCTTTCCTCCTCCTCCTCTTTCCTCCTCCTCCTCTTTCCTCCTCCTCCTCTTTCCTCCTCCTCCTCTTTCCTCCTCCTCCTCTTTCCTCCTCCTCCTCTTTCCTCCTCCTCTCTGCACCTCCTCCTCCTTTCCTCCTCCTCCTTCTCTTCCTGCTGTTGTTGCTGCTGCTTCTGTTTCTTCTGCTTCTTCTTTTACTTCTTTTTAGCCACAATTATCCTTTAAAATTCTCTAGCAGTAACAAAGCCATGAGGTTTCACCCATTTACCTTTACTTATCAATTACCTTTTTATTCAGGTAGACACTGCATTCTTTTGTCATTATTTCCTTATTAAGGAATTCAGGTCTAGTTATTTCATTATAAAAAGGAAAAAGTAGAGAAACAAATGCAAAAATACATCACAATTCATGATAGTAATTAAGCATTTTATTCCCAGGTAGGCAAAATGCTAATGAGGTTAAAAATACTGTTTCCTCAAAAAATCAAATATATGATTGATTGACATTTTAAAATATTTACCGTTAATGATCAGATTATAAAGTCCTTGATATCCCCAGATTAATATGACTAAAATATAATGCTTTAAGCATTTGTCTTATTGAGAGGCACATTTTAAAAAATGGAAATTATAATATTATTCATCTGCTACACTTTCTGCTAAAGGATACAAGGTATATTTGCACAGGAACTATGACCACTCTATGATCCATGATTTAGAAAAGATTGTCAATCAGCATTTACAAAAGCATGTATTTTAAGAATGGTCAAATACATGGACAGACATCAAATATTAAACACTTGAGACAGATGTATACCTACTTCATTTGTTTAACAATAGTACTTTTCCCAGATTCTCCTGCTCCTGCAACATAAAAAGAGGAATATTATTAACTGATATACCAAATTTGAATAGATATTAAAAACTATCACTTTTCATGGATAATCTTTAATTTTTTTTAATAGGTTTAGGGGGTACAAGTGCAGTTTTGTTACATGGATAAACTGCATAGTGGTGAAGTCTGGTCTTTTAGTTTACCCAATATCTGAATAGTGTGCATTGTACCCAACAGGTAATTTTTTTCATTCCTCACCTCCCTCTCATGCTCTCACTTTTCCAAGTCTCCAGTGTCTATTATTCTACTCTTTATGTCCATGTGTGTGCACTGTTTAGCTCCCACTTATAAGTGAGAACATACGGTATTTGACTTTCTGTTTCTGAATTGTTTAACTTAAGATAGTGGTCTCCAGTTCCATCCATTTGCTGGCAAAGACATCAAAGACATGATTTTTTTTTTAATGGCTGAGTAGTATTCAATTATATATATCAGATTTTCTCTGTCCAATTTTCCATTGATGGACACTTAGGTTGATTCCATGACTTTGCTATTATAAATAGTGCTGCAATAAACATACAAGTGCAAGTGCCTTTTAAAAATAATGTTTTTCTTTGGGTACATATGCTGTAGTGGGATGGCTGGACCAAATGGTAGTCCTATTTTTAACTCGGAGAAATATCCATACTATTTTTTCATAGAGGTTGTACTGATTTACATGCCACCAACATTGTGTAAGTGTTCCCTTTTCTCTACATCGCTGCCAGTATCTGTTGTTTTTTGACTTTTTAATAATAGCCATTTTGACCTGGTGTAAGGTGGTCTCTCACTGTAGTTTTTTTTTTTGGTTTGTTTGTTTTTGTTTTTTTTGAGATCGAGTCCCACTCTGTCACCAGGCTGGAGTGCAGTGGCGTGATCTCAGCTCACTGCGACCTCCACCTCCTGGGTTCAAGTGATTCTCATGCCTTAGCCTCCCGAGTACCTGGGATTACAGGCGCATGCCACCATGCCTGGCTAATTTTTTGTAGTTTAGTAGAGACGGGTTTTACTACGTTGGCTAGGATGGTCTGGATCTGCTGATCTCGTGATCTGCCTGCCTTAGCCTCCCAAAGTGCAGGATTACAGGTGTGAGCCACTGCACCTGGCCTTCACTGTAGTTTTAATTTACATTTCTCTGACAATTAGTTGTAGTGAACATTTTCTTACATGATTGTTAGCCATTTGTATGTCTTCTTTGAAAAATATCTGTTCATGTCCTTTGCCCACTTTTTGATGGAGCTATTTGCTTTTTTCTCGTTGAGTTGTTTGAATTCCTTGTAGATTCTGGGTATTAGTCCTTTGTTTGATGCATAGCTTGCAAATGTTTTCTCCCATTCTTTAGACGTCTGTTTACTCTGTTGATTATTTCTTTTTCTGTGCAGAGCTTTTCGTTTGTCCCATTGGCCTATTTTTGTTTTTGTTACACTTGCTTTTGAAGTCTTAGTCACAAATTCTTTGCCTAGGCCAATATCCAGAAGAGTCTTTCTTTTTGAGATGGAATCTCGCTCTGTCACCCAGGCTGGAGTGCAGTGGCAAGATCTCTGCTCACTGCAACCTTTGCCTCCTGGGTTCAAGCGATTCTCCTGCCTCAGCCTCCTGAGTAGCTGGGATTACAGGTGTGCGCCATCATGCCCAGTTAATTTTTGTATTTTTAGTAGAGACAGGGTTTCACCATTTTGGTTAGGCTAGTCTCAAACTCTTGGCCTCAAGTGATCTGCCTGCCTCGGCCTCCCAAAGTGCTGGGATTGTAGGCATGAGCCACTGCACCCAACCCACCCTATTTAAATTTCTAATTCGACTCTCACCCACTCAGTCTTCATTTCCCTATTCTACCTTCACTTCTTTCCTAACACTTTTCTCCTAACACTTTTCTTCTTCTACATGCTTAGGAATAATTCATATATTATTTAAAAATGTTCCTTTCATCACTGCAAAGTAAATTTCACGTTGCAAAGAATCTCTATCTGCTTTGTTCACTGATTTAGCCAAAGCACCTAGAACAGTGCCTAACTCAGTAGAATCTCAATAAAACAAATGAATTCTTTGACTCATACTTCAGAAATGAGATTTTGTCCTTTGTACTGCGCATCATTTTTTCCTCACTGAAATGTTTCTGCATGATTTACAATGTTTTCTTAAGCCTCGATGAACAGATATAGCTACACCTAAATTTAGTTCTATTCAGGACAACTTTTCTTTTTTTTTTTTTGGTCATAGCCATATGTAAATATATCTAGTTTCTGCAGTTGTCTGAAACAGCTGTCCACCTTATGTGATAGTGAGGAAATAAGAGTGGTAAAGCTATGGGAAATTATGTTTCATTTTCTGGTGGTGATATATAGATTCTTTCCCTTGGGAAAACTTCAAGAACACACCTCTCCATGATTTTATGCTAGTTGGCTCTCCATCACTGATAGTGAAATATGACAACAAAGTTGATAGATGCAAAAATCAAAGTAACTTGCTAAAATTTCTTTACATAATCAAACACAAACTGACAGATTGGGTATAACCATCTCATTTACTAGAGGCTGCAATGCCCAAGAATGAAACAGTTGAGAATAAAATAAAATCATCTTGCCCATTTTCCGAAGACAACTGACCCTATCATTTTGCATGGCTGAGAATTGTTTGTGAGAGTGGCAACTCATTCAAAAATGAATGAGCTTTGCACAATAGTCTGGTTTGCTGGCTTTAAATAACTCACTATTTTGCTGTAGGAAGTGCATCACTTTGGGAAAAGTCATACAATAATATTATAAAACTGTCCTTGATAGGTTTTATTTTAAAATCTCTAACAATGGAACTGAATATTCGAAATTCTAGCATCATCCTGTACAAATGACAGAATATCAGAATATCTTGTTTCTCTCTCTATATATATACACATATACGTATATACATATACGTATATACATATACGTATATACATATACGTATATACATATACGTATATACATATACGTATATACATATACGTATATACATATACGTATATACATATACGTATATACATACATATATACACACACACTGTCTTAAATTACAGAGCAGTGGGGATGTGGAAGAAAAGTCAATGGGCTCAGTAGGAACTGCAGTACTTGCTCATGCAGGTATGTTTAATGTTGTATTTTGTTCAACCAAAGTATTCAACTAGAAATGAGAAAAAAGTCTCATTTCTGAATGTCAGTTAAATTTATTTAAAAGATGATATAATTTCTACAATAAAGTGAAAATAATTTAGACCACTTTCTTTTAAATGAATTGTCTATCTTGAGATATTGAGCCTAATGAGAAAAAGTGTGTCAATGATTTTCTAGAATTGTATCAGCATATGTATTATAGAGAAATATTTTATTGATTAAGAACCACTTTTAGGCAGATTAAAAAATCACAACCGAATTTTATTTTATTCACTATATGTTATTGACTAGTTGAAAATTTATAAATTTGTGAAAAAAGTGACTTTTAGACTGTGTCAGTTAATGTACATTCAGAATGGTCTTCTGTACTTCATAAATATGGCCATTTGGTAATCATACAGATAACACTAAGTTGTGGCATTTCCAAAAGTATTTCTAAGGCTACAGGGTATGTTATTGTATAACAATTATTTGTAACTTAGCTGGTAATTCATGCTGTGTTTAAGGTAAGCAGAATAATCAATCACTTTTTTAAAAATGGCATGTACTTTTAAATGAAACTACATATTAAAAGTTAATATTTTCCCTTGAAAGCCTTTAAAAAGGTGTCTGTACCATCCTTGCTTTATGTAGTGACTTCAGTCTTCTATGTAAAGGTCCAGTATAGTCAATTACAGCATTAAGAGGAAAATTCCTAAAGAAAAGCCTATCTACTTAAAATCTCATTTATTATTTGGAACTCTATTGCAAAGTTATTTCAAAAATAAATTATTGAGCCCCATTCTCACAATAATTCTAGGTCATAGTTCACAATAGTCATTTCAGTCTTGTGAGATTAGATCATGTTACAGAGCCAAATATAGACATTATAACAGCATGTTCACATCCGCTGATGGTGTCCTGAAATAATCTCTTCCTTCCAAATTGTGGTCATCGCTAATATTAGTTTCTGGGTCAAGGGGTACCAAGAGAATTTTAACAAGATATGCATCTGTTTCTTTGAAATAGATAATGTTACAAATAATTAAATATTTAAATTTATACTTAATTCATACTTAGATACTCATAAATTATTTTATTTTTAATAAGAATAAGTAAGGAATCCTGTTCTACATTTTTAAATCTGAAAATATTAAAAAGAATTTTAAATCTACCCAATATTTATACATGTAACTGAACTTCAATTGAACACACACAAGGCTTGATTGCTCATTTTGGATGACTTGTTCAAACAGGCAAAATGAGATTACAACATTGTGACTTGTAATCACACATAAGATTTTTTTTTGTAGGTGGTCTTAAAAATCACATAATTGTATAGTAGAAAGAAACCTTAGAAATCAACCAGCTATGCACATCTCTTCAGTCTATGCGTGAGAAAAATGAATCCAATAGAGATTATGATAATCATCCAAAGTTTCAGATCTGTCTTCAAACAAAGAAACTATGTATTCTGACTCTTACTAAAGCTGTGTCATATCGCTTTCTTTTTTAAGTAGGCACTGATAAATACCAAAATGGTTTCAACACTTTAGAAATTATTTTAAATGCATTTTTTATAAATTAGTATGAGAGCGGTGTACTTTTTTTGTTGGTTTGTTTTGAGACAGAATCTAGCTCTGTTGCCAGGCTTGAGTGCAGTAGCATGATCATGACTCACTGCAGCCTTGGCCTCCTGGCCTCAAGCAATCCTCCTGCCTGTCTCACAAACTGCTGGAATTACAAGCATGAGCCCCTACACCTGGCCTTGAAAGCAGTGTACTTTCAGAGGCATACTGGTATTGCTGTGTCAGCTTATCATTCACAGGTAGACTGTTGGTATAAAAGATTTTTAGGGTAGTCTCTTTTGAGCCAACTTAATTTTGTTCCATGTATTATTTCTCCTTTTTATGGAGTGACATCAAAATTCTCTGTCCTTTGCACATGACAGCCCATCACATAGCTGGATTCATCATGTTTTGGAACTAAATAGATATGAGCTTGCACTCATCTCTGACTGTGACTAAGTGTCTTGATCAAATTTGGTCTCACTGAAAGTCAGTTTCCTCTATTATAAAATTGGGCTAAAACTTGGGAGGATTAGATCACAAATATAAATTACCTAGAACATACACTAATATATAGTGAGCTTTAAGTATTTTCTATTATTTGAAGAATGTGCTCATATCCTTTTAAAGAAATATTTCAAGTATAATATGATCCACTCCTTTACTCCTTTCTTGTGGAACATGATTTTTAGATTATTTGTCCTCTGAACCATACCCCATGTAAGAGCCAATGTCTTTCCGAAATGCAGTACTGAAAATTATGCTGTAGATACCAGATTTATGAACAGCACTGACATTCTGCCACCTAGACCTGCCTCACTCCTGGTGGGCTTGTTTATAAATAAGTAATTTTCTTAATAAAGACCATGATTAGTTTGCCTCCTTTTTTTTTTTTGGCCTACACTCAGCTTGTGGTAATTAAAGTTTTTCTACTTTTTTTCACATCTCTTACCAAACAGATCCTCCCACAAACCACGTGTATCTAATTGATTTTGAACCTCAATAAAGATATTTATTAAATTCCATTTTGCTTATTTGCGGCAAGCATTTCTGCTAGTAGAGGTTATTTGGAAGTCTGACTTGGTTTTGTCACTATATCCTTCCAAACTGAATCTCAAGTTTGAAATGCCTGCTTTATCCCCCTTCACCAAAATCCCTGATAGGAGTATTGAAGAGAAGGTCAAGGGCAGGAAACTATGTCATACTCTAGGGTCTATTCTGTTAACAGGAAACCTATTAATCATAAGTCCTTGTTCACTATCTCTAGTGAACAATGCTAAATGTTGGCCATTAGGTATGATAGTTACTGAAGGTTTTTGTACCTACAGTTTATCTGACTAAGGAAATTCTCTTCTATTTCTACTTTAATTGGTGTTTTTTCAATCAGGAATTGATAAGGAATTTTATTTAATTATTTTTTGGCACCTCCTGACATTCTTTTGATTTTTCTCTTTTAATTTGATAATGTAGTAAATAATGTTAATGATTTTCTAGTAGTATTTTAAACATGCATTGTTGGGATAATCCATCTTCCCCCAAAAGTCCCCCCAACCTTTTCTCTTTTTGCATTTTATGTATTGCTGGCATTGGTTGGCTAATATTTGGCTTTGGTTTTTATATTTATGTCTGTGAGGATGATTGACCTGCCATTGTCTTTGTCAAATTTTGTTGTCAAAGTTGTCAAATAATAAATTGAAAAGAATTTTCTAAAAATGTTTATGTAATTTTGAAATGCTCTGCCCATGGACTGTTTGATAGAATTCCCTTATAAAGCAATATGAATAAATTTGCAGATAAATTTGTACATTTTCTTTTGCCAAAAAAACACATTGTTTATTTTTCCCAAACTTTTTATTTTGATAATTAATTTAAAAACTTACAGAAGTTCAAGAATATAGTGTTATGGAAGCCCGCATTTTATACCCTTCCCCTTTCTGAATTATTTGTCCTGTTTGCTTTCTTTCTCATATGTATGTATACATTTACATATACATATATGAACATAGTTTTATGTTTTGTTTTGCTGAATCTTTATTAGACATTTTACCCATAAATATTTTGAAATGCATCTTCTAAGAATAAGACAATTTTTCTACAAAACCAAAATACTATTTGCATGCTTAAGAAAATTTATATTAATTCTAAATGTTATCTAATACTATATACTCCATATTCAAATTTATCTGATTGTTTCAAAAAAATGTTTCCCATACCTTTTTTGTTTCTTGTATTCATGATCCAATCAAGTTTCACACTTTCTTTTGTCGTTATGCTTTTTAAGCTCTTTTAATTTATAACATTTTCCTTGTAATATTTTTGTTATTTTGTTTTGTTGACATTGGCATTTTTCTAAAGTCTAAGACAATTTTCTAAATATATTCAATTATCTGTATTCTCTGATTAGATTCAATGTAAATATTTTAGATGAATATTGTATAAATAATGTGGATTTTCAGTTTGTCATATCAGTAAACATATGGTGTCAGATATACTTATATGACTACAAGTACCTATTTCTGTGATACAGAAAAAATAAGCATCATGAATCTGTAAAATTCCTCATCAGCCAAACTAAGTATGTTTCATTCATGAGAAAGAATATTGTAGCTATATACTATCTTTCCTTTTTAATGATCTTTTATTTAGATATTCCAACTTTCCATTTTATACTTATTTTTAAAATATCTGATAATATTTATAGTGCCTATAGTTACCAATAATGTACTGGATACTTAAAAATTCACTAAGAGGGTAGATCTTATGTTAAGTGTTCTTATAATAATAGTGACAATAAATAAGAGGACAGGAAACAACTTTTATAGGTGACGGAGAAGTCTACTGTGTGGATTGTGGTGACGATTTCACAGGTGTATACTTATCTCCAAGCTCATCAAGTGGCATACATTAAATATGTATAGCTTTTGCATATCAAGCATATCTCAATAAAGTGGTTTAAAAATGTTATATGAGCTTTCTTGGATTGTGAGAAGCATTTTAACAGATATTTCATTTTTCTTTTCTTATTAACATACCTTTTAGGCTAAAAAATGACAACACTAAAATACAAAATTACATGATTTTTCCCACACAGGTCTGTTGCAGATATTTGTCTAAGTGTTCATTAATTGTGGGAATAGTCATGTATACTATTTTTTAGTATAAATACATATTGCAACAACGATTTTTAAAAAGGCCTTGGTTAATCACATGGTTTGCCTATACTGATATCTGGACAAAGGAAAATATAAAATAAGGAAAATGGAGGATTGAATTTATCAAGCATGTAGTTCTTACTAGAGTTATCCCTCCTAATTTTCAGACCCATATGTTGATCTAATAGATATCCATTTGGTCCTGCTAAAAAAAAAAAACATAGGTTTGAATATCCTAAATTATCATCCCTTTCCCTTTTCCCCAGCCTCATATTTATCCTGCATTTCACATACCAGTGAATAACATAATCAACCATAACCAATTCCACCCCAATCACTCCTCTCATTTACCGTCCACATGCAGTCTGCCACCAAGTTCTGTCACTTTGTCTCCTAACATTCCTCAAATCTTATTTTCAAACTTAAAATTTCTGCATTAATTCAGAATTGCATCAAGAATTTGCACAATAGTAACAGTTTCCTAATTGTCCTACCTACCTTTATCCTCCTCATTAAATCTTTGAGCCATAGTATAGCCAGGGTAGTCTTTATTTTTTTTAAAAAAAGCCAAGTACTATCATTTTAGTTACATAGTTAAAAAACCTATCAATATCATCTTATTGACTACAGATACAAAATAAAATTCCTATGCAATAACATATAAATGACTTTCTTCTAGCTCATTTCTACATGCAAAGGTATACCTGTGTTCTAGCCACCATGAACAAATCACAAGAATATTTTAGATTCTGATTCTGTCATTCTTCCATTCACCATACATGCATTCTTTCCTGTGCCATAATTCAATAAAGAACAAAAGCAGATATGTTCTTTGTTCTCATAGAAATTAGAATGCAGACATTAACTTAAAACTGACACATACAAATAAAAGGCTTTGCTTGGCTGTAAATAAACATTTGATATTTGGAAACCAAACTATATTCTTAAGTTGTCATTTTCTTCTTATCTATATCATGAAAGTAATATCTATTTCATAAGATTTTCTCATAGATTAAAGCAATAACAGAAGCAGTAAAGAGAAAAATATGAGATTTATGCCAATAGAGATAGAGCTAAAACTAAATCTTGTGACAACATTGACTTTTGGACAATGGAGAGGGAATAGTCATAAAGCTAAGGAGGATTGAAATATCAAGTGGATATAATGGGAAAGGACATAACAAGGCACCTCATGGAAAACATAAAGATACATGGGCAGCAAAGTAAAGTTGGGAAATTATTTTGAGATCTCCCAAAGTGTGATCAGGTCACTGACAGATACAAGGAATTTATGAATATGGGTCAACAAATTGAGCAAAAGAAAGAATTTTAGAGTCATATCAGTTAAGTTCTGTTATGAGGTCCTCAAAAGAGAGTATAAGAGAGTACAGACTAAAACCCACCAAGGTTTAAGAACAGACCGTGGTAGATGAATCCACTTATAGATGGAAAGAAGAAGCAAGCTTCAATGAAGAGAGGAATACAGGGATATAAAATTGAGGACTGTTTAGTTCAGACTTAGTTTAAAAGTTATCGCTCAGGGTGGAGGCTCATGCCTGTAATTCCAGCACTTTGGGAGGCCGAGACAGGCAGATCGCTTGAGCCCAGAAGTTTGAGATCAGCCTGGGCAACATGCTGAAACTCTGTCTCTACAAAAAATAGGAAAATTAGCCAGGTGTGGTGGCACACGCCTGTAGTCCCAACTACTGTGGATGCTGAGGTGGGAGGATCACTTGAGCCCAGGAAGTTGGGGCTGCAGTGAGACGTAATTGCACCACTGCACTCCAGCCTGGGTGAAAAGACCCTGTCTTTAAAAAAAAAGAGAGAGAAAATTATTGAGATGTGAATTTTGTGAATTGGCCATTATCTGCACTCTGTGAGGGATAACTTTTTACTAGAGAAGAGCATATATACAACTTACATTGCAATTAATGAAAGAGACTAAACAGGATAAGAAAATAGAAGCAGTGAGCATAGCATCCTTTGAGAAGTATTTCAATATAAAAACATTTTAAAAGATATCTATATAAGGTGAATTCAAGGGTGTGTTGAAGTCAAATAAATTTTCTTGGGCTAAAGAAGAGAAACATCTGTATTTGCCATGAAGAAAAAGCCAATAGATAATTTTGAAGATGACAAAATGAAAAATAATTAGTGGAACAAAAATTTTAAGATATGAAAGGTGATAGAATTTATAGCACAAAGGCTGAAACTAATCTGAAATGAAAATGGAATACTGCTTCTTTAAAACTAGTGAAAATATAAGAATACGTGAATGTTTAGTGAGATTTGGAGATGATCATTTATAATTGTTTTGTTGCATATTAGTGATCATCTAGGGTGAGGTTGGGGGGAGATTCAAGATGAAAGTGATGTTGGAAATGTGCGACGAGCTGCCTTTGGAACATTTTAGAAGAAAATGAATAAGTAAAATAATTATTGGCCCAGCTAAATTTAAAACGTGATATGTGTCAGCCAGGAGACTGAAAATGATACACTGTTTTATTCTACAACATCTGGGAATGAAGGAAAGTAAGAATTTACAGAGGGATCAGGGTTAGATCAGCACTAAGAGCTGAAAAAGCTGTTAAACAGCATTACATTCAAGAAAATCAGTTGGGAGAAGTGTATCAGGAAAATGGTAAATGGAGAACTCTGAGGGATTATCCAGGGTTGAGGGTTTGAATGTCAATTAAGGTAGAAGATTACGGAGGTGAAATACTCCTGAATTTTAGGAGGAACACAGCTGAAATGACTGGCCCTGTTTAAAAGGAAGTAGATTAAATCAGACAACTAATTCACTAAATATGGAAAAGTATGAGAGATAATAGAATATAAAATTCTGGTTAGAGAGTGATTTTTTAAATTTATTTTTCTTTATTTTTTGAGACAGAGTCTCACTCTGTGCCCAGGCTGGAGTGCAGTGGCACAATCTCGGCTCACTGCAAGCTCCGCCTCCCGGGTTCACGCCATTCTCCTGCCTCAGCCTCCCGAGTAGCTGGGACTACAGGCGCCCGCCAACACGCCCGGCTAACTTTTTATATTTTTATTATAGACGGGGTTTCACCGTGTTAGCCAGGATGGTCTCGATCTCCTGACCTTGTGATCTGCCCACCTTGGCCTCCCAAAGTGCTGGGATTACAGGCGTGAGCCACTGCGCCTGGCAGAGAGCGATATTTCTAGATATCTTTAAAAAACAATTTTAAGTAGTAAATTTATTCTATTGAAATATACTGAGACAGGAATCAAACCCATGACTTCCCCCTTTTTTATTAGCACTGCATCTTGTAATAAACAGAATGGATATTTTTCATATCTTATGGATTCTTAAACTCAGTTTTACCTTTAATCCTACTTTAGGTTCAAATTCTACATTGATATATTTGCACACCAGTATTTGGAGAAAAATTATTGAAAGCAATGGCAAAAACTGCAATTACTTTTGCACGAACCTAATAAGTAGGGAATGGATTCTGAACTTGGGTCTAATACCTTAAACGGAAGTATATTTTATTTTATATAAAACAGATCATGGAATCCTTACACTATGAAATGTGTTTTGCTACCTTTCCTTTCTAACAGTATGGAGAGGTAAATAACTTGTTAACTGCTCATGTTGCTTATATAAATATTTTTAAAGATAAAATATTTGTCTTGAGTCAATAATTCATGCTCGAATGAAAATATGCGAATATAAATATGTTCTGTAATATTACTAGAGAGCTTGTTAAACTGTAGTTAGCAAGAGTCATTGTCAGCAAGCCAGAATTTTCAACCTCCTTAGCAAATACTATCATTTGGCTAAGTGTGGAATGTTTTACTAAATGGTTTGCATCTTTTACGCGAGTGCCTTACGAGCCTGCTTTTAAGATGTGCTGATCAATTGAGATAAATGCATCTAAAACAATCAGTCAAATATACACAAATTATTTGTCTATGTGCTTTTGCTTGTTGGAAAAGAGGGAAATTATTGGAAACTATTTGATGCTGCCATGGGCCATTCTGATGGATAAATGCAACATTGTAAATATTTGGCAACTTTTCTGAAAACTGTAAATATCGGGAACTTTCAAGTTGTTGTAGCCCTTTGCATTTTGGAGAAAAATTTAAACTCTCCAAGTAGGTCTTTTCTGCCTAAAGTTTTCTTTCCACTTCACTGAGAAGCAGTTTTAAACATTCGCATTAAGAATATTCATGCATCCCAAAGATTGGATACCTCTAGAAACATAAAATAAATAATTTGTTTATTTAAATTGACAGAGAAAATGGTATGTATTTGTTGTGTACAACATGGCATTTTGAAATATATATACATTGTGAAATTGTTAAATCTAGCTAATTAACATGCATTACCTTGCGTAGTTATTTTTGTGGTGAGAACACTTATCCACTCTCAACAGTTTTCAAGAATGCAATACGATGTCATTAACTGTAGCCATTATGCTATATAAAAATATTTTGTAATATTTATAAATATGTTTAAAATAAAAAGGTACTATAGTTGGAGGAAGGAAAGAATGGTTTTAATTTGGATAAATAAGGCAAAACAAAAAGTTGGAAACATTATTGGGAATTTGTTTTACATGTTGTTAAGAAGATTCTTCTTTTTTACCAGTGATCAGAAGGGGACTTATTGGTTAATCCTAATATATAATTATTCCAAAGAATGTGTTTATCTGATCTTATCCATGGACAGGCATGGACTATGTTGGTGTAATAAAATTTCAAAATAGTGTTTCTTAGAGTTGATGAACTTGTAATCTAACCAGTAAGTCAGAAACAACTCTAGTTTCCTGGAATCTCTCCCACTCATATCTAGGGATAATTAAAAAAAAATAAAGACATTAAAAAGCACACATAGAATAAAAATAATCATTTAAATTTAACCTGAGTCTTGAGTCCTCACTTCTCTTAGTTACATGTAAAAGAAAGACAAAGGAAGAATAATGATACACATTTATTGACATTTGATTTATTTCATATTTGGGAATCTCTTATGCCAAAGAATAAACCACGTTTGTCTAGATCTTTACAAGTTACAAAATACTTTGACATCCATTATTTCTCTGAGTTTATGTGGCTAGCCTAAGGTCACTCTGGGAAGTACAAAACGCATTACAGTTGATGAAGGTATTAATAAATCAATTTCCACCTCAGGTGATTTAAAAATGCATTCTGTTCTAGTATTAAATTGTATTCTCCTCATTCTGCTGCATGGTTAAACCTATTTATCTAATTCTGCTGTGTGAGTTTTATTTTACTAATTATTTTGTGACAAGCCTTTAGATAGCATCAAAAATCATAATTCTCCTACTACATACCTTCCAGAATATCCATTTGTTGAATAAGTGAAACCATTTGAAAAGTTTGAAAATGTTAAATACAATAAATATATTACCTTCGAAGTAGTTTTTGATCTCTAGACTCCATCCCTATTCATGTTTCTAAAAGCCAGATAAGTGGAATAATAGTTTAAAACAGTAAAACTCAGATTACATCATTAAAATAATAATAGTGTGACTCTTACAATATAGCACAAAGAAAAAATAAAAATAAAGGGTTTTAGAACTAAAAGAAAAGAACATCTATGATGAACTTCCCATGATAATGCTGGAAATCACTAGCTAAAAGTGAAAAATTGTAGAATAAATGTTAATTATATATATAAATGTGGCAGAGGGTGTTTTGAATATGAAGAAAAAAGAAAGCTAATTTTTTTCCTATGCTTTCCATGGGGCTTCAAATCTAAGCAGCCCATGTGATGGAAATTTGCAAAAAAAACAAACGAAACTGATGCAGCAAAATAAACTCAAACTGAAATTTGATGTAATAAGCATAAAGAGAGGAGAAAGGAAAAATGGAAACATGATCCATATTGAGTTTACAATTAAATAATAGGTATTATTTTGAATAAAAGTACCATTGAATGAAACGTTTATAAAACTTTAAAACGTACTTAGATACAAATGAGAATATTTTATCCGTTAGAATTTGTTTTTCTTATTAAAATGTGCTCTTTCTGGAATATCTTTGCAAGTAAATTTTTTAAAGCATGTGGCATTATTTTCTTGATTGCAGTTATCAAATGTGCTCAGCAATGTATGAGTCATCTCCAGTGTTTCCTAAAAGCCTACTTTTTGCTAAAATAAAACACAGATTTGGCATCTGTTCTGTAATTTTACTGAAGGTCTGAAAGGTGTAATAAAAAAAGGCATCTGTCTGCAAGATGATCCTTTAATTGTAAAGTCGCACTTTGACCGCTCTTCAGATTCAGTGAAATCTTGTGTTCGATAATACCAAATGGTTACATCCGCTTTGCAGTACATGTTAAATGTGGAAAGTTGGTGTTATGAGTTTAAGCTTCTAGAAATTCATTAGATGAAGATCAACATACTGAAAAAAAATCTGTCAAAAGTGTTTTTTAGATTTCTTATTTTTGTAAATGTAGGTATTGACTCAGGAGCTGATCACTACTAAGGTTAAACTGGTTAGTTCCATGTGACATGTACTCACTGATAAACTTAAAAGTGTCATTCAGACGACACTGATGAATGAGAACATCGTTTCAATGATGGGAAAAATTAAATAGATTTCATTGGTGAGGAGATTTGAGGGTAGGAGAGTGGAAAGTTTTGGTTTAGTTCAACTAAGCACTTTTATAATGTCTTAATGAGGTCAAATTGAATATAAAAATTACAGTTTCGAGAATTTGAATTCAATCCAAACATGAGAATGAAGTAGAGCTGTTATAAGACTGTTATGAATTTGATAATTGTATCATCATATGTAGAATTCAGATGGACTCCAAAAGGGAAACTTAGCCAGATGTTTGTAATATAATTGAAATAGGAACAACTTAAGAGAATTTCATTTATTTTGTATAAATAAAATGTGACAAAGGAGTTTAGTGCACATAGTGTTGGAACCAAATAAATCCAAGTATTTTACTTACTAATGATGAAATTGTATGTATAAAATTGTAAACACCTTGGGAAAGTAAAACATGTAATAGTCCCACTAATGATTCTTTTATACTTCTGGTACAAATATTGCTCTTTCTTCTTGATCTAACCAACACTTAAGTCTAAAAATAATTCATCTGACTTATTTTTCATTTGATAGCATTGCATACAATAAGTTGGGTCCCAGTCAATGGCTCTGTGGAGTGGTAAAATTTACTAATTCTGGAACCCTGTATGTATCAGTAGTCCATTGATTTTCAGTTCCAAATTTAAAAAAAATCTTTCTTTTGTCCATCATTACATTGAACCTTTTTGACCCAATTTTCAGTGATGTGTTTTCATTCATCTATATATACTCTTTTTGAACATTTTTAATTTATTTTTTTAAATTGACAAATAACATTCCATGCTTGTGTTGTGTCCAACACGATATGTTGAAGTAAAAATACAGTGTAGAATGGTTAAATCTAGCTAATTAACAAATGTATTACTTCACAGTTATCATTTTTGTGGTAAGTGCACATAACACCTACTCTCTTTACATTTTTCAAGAATACAATAGATCATCATTAACTATAGTCACCGTGCTGAACAGTAGATCTCTTGAAATTTATTCTTCCTATTTAACTGTAATTTTGTGTCCTTTGACCAACAACTCCCTTTCCCCTTGTTCCCCCCAACCACCCTAGCCCCTAGAAACCACCTTTCTACCTTGTTCTTTTCCGTCACAACTGAATCTCTAGTTGACTGGCAGCTCTGATATGCTTATCTCAAGAGTCATTGCTTTTGGCATGTTTAATAGTTTTTGTCTTAGTCTAAATTGTGGTATTAGCTCTTTCATTGTTTTGGCTTTCCATTTGTATTTTTACAAAATAAGAGAATATGTAAAAAAATAGATAATTGGTATATTGAAAACACACATCTATTGAAATGTTATTTAAACACGGAAATTTTTAATACGTTTTATCACCATTCTTATGTCATTGATCTTAGTACAAAAGGAATATAAAAATGAATTTGTAAGAATGCTTGTCTTTCCCTTTTACCTTTCATTTGCTTTTCCTGTGTCCATATTACTTTCACTCTTGCTCAGAAACTAACAGAATTCTATGGTGTGTTAGGAAGCATATATTTCCTGGTGTCATTAGTACTTAACCCACATCTTTCAAAGTCACCAACCTCTGGGTAGTTACTGACAAGTGCTGTGGGCCTGTGTGCAGGCACAGAACCTGTGTGTAAGGGGCAAGGATGTTTCCTTTCCTTTAAGGAGCAAGTGCTGGGAATCCCACAGTTGGCTTCTGAAACACTCTTGCCACTGGGAGCAAATTAGACACAACGAAGGAATACTTAAATAAGTTTAAGTATTTAATTCATTTAATATTAAGTATTTAAGTGTTTAAATACTTAAAATATGAGGAAATTTGTTATGTGAAATATGCACGATTCTGAAATAAGATGAAGTCCTTTTGTGTATAACCAAAATCAGGGAGAAAGTACAACTCATAATTGAATCAGAAGTAAGTGCTTGCTTTGTATTCTTTATATAGGTCATCATTTTTATTTCAAAAACATATTTCTGTTTCAGTGAAACTGCATGTAAAATGTTTTATGCTTTATAGAAAAAATCTGCATATGGATTATTTTTATTCTTTCAATTAATTGAACATTTATTGAATTTATAGTCAAGGTAAAACAGTGCTGAGTTTTGAAAGAAGGAAAAAAAAATAAAAGAGACATAAATCCTGACCTGAATGAATATATAAATGCTCTAAAAGGATTTAGGTAGAGTATTTTTCAAGTGTACAGGCAATATTGCAGGCAGTATTCAGGAGCCTAAGTAATATTGTTAATATAATTTAAAGTACCTTATCATTGTTCTCTAACTTGACTAATTGATTTTTAACTATACAAGTAAATAACAAACATTAACTTCAACGTCAAACAATTCAACCTATTTCTGTTTAAACAAAATAATATAACTCTTTATAACTTGTAGCTAAAGGATTTCTTTCAGTATTAAAAAGCTGACATTCAGAAAATGATTAGGGTGCAATAAAATAATAAATGTATCTGATTTTTATTTTAATAATAGTAAACCATATTACTGACAGAGAAATTAGCTGATAAATATTTGCCTCCTTGCTTAACAAAAAGGTAATAAAATACTAAACAGAAAAATTATTAAATATTGATAGAGTACAAATAAATTTTCCTTAAGTTTCCAAACACATTTTTATAATAAATTTCCCATATGATAATACACTCGAAATTAAAGTCTGAGAAAAGTAAATATATCACAATTGAAAAAAAAGTCAGGTTTTTGAAAGCAAAAGGGAAAAGAAATTACCTAATAGTAGCAGCTTTACGGTTCTTGCATCTCGCTCAGCATCCTCCTGAAGCTTTTTCTCCAGTTCTTTTGATCTTTTGGCTGACTCCTTGCTCTCTGAACTAATTCCACTTCCCATCTTGTGGTGGTAGATACTTGTCAGTTTATATGTTCAGATTTTTCAAATGTTGAGCACAGCTGTGGTTTGGACATAGGAGGCAAGAGTAATGCTCTGCTGAAGTACCTAGCAGTCCATTCCCTAATGCTCTAAGATTCTGCTTTGACTAAGGAGATGCTTTCTCATCTGTCACCTGATCAGGTGGTAAAACCATACCCCCCTGATGGAGGCTAGAGAGGAAGTTCATTATGCTTTCAAATTAAATGACTGCTTCGGGCACATCTTCGAAAACAGGCTTATCTGCTTTATAGTATAAAATAATGTAGAAAGTTGTCAAAATCTATACACTAGAGATGATCTACAATAAGCAATTCAAATAGAATGTTTCTCACTACTGGGCAATTTTTATTACTGTGATTAAAAGTTATTATTACTAATCAGCGATGCTTACATCTTATCTTCAGATATTTGGCCCTTCAATTTCTTTATAATCACTCCTATATCACAATCAGAATATATACATGTAAGTTATCCAACTTTTATGGTCTACCTATGCTTAGATTATTACTTAAAGCTATTGAGCATCTATTAGCATCTGTCAGGGAACAAAAAAAATCTTTTTTTTAACAATGGATACAAATACATATAGTTTTTATATTTGTACATATTGTATTGCTACAAATATAAAATTCAACACAGTTTTCTTAAATTATTGATTTTAGTGTCATAGGATCCATCTCTATAAATTGAGCTTTTGCCGCCTGTGAGAAAGTCAATCCATCAACACTAATTGAGGGCCCACTTGGTGTAGACACTGAACTATGTTCAATTTAGGCAGCGCATTAACTCTTTAGGGCCATTAAGCAACAGCTGCTGTGCTGGAGGGACTCTTACTGATTTGGTACCAAGGGAATAAAAACCAATGTTCTTTGAAACAGCAGGTAATTTGGTTTTTCCTACAAACTAAAAACAGTAATTACACCTAAATAAGTTCCATAGCTTTCAACTACCCCAACAGATACCATGTACTTCTTGAAAATCTTCAGGATTGAGGGCAGAGATTATGTTGCACAATTTTTTATTTATATGAAGCATAAAGTGCTTGGTAGATAGTCAATCAATATTTTCCTTATGAACAGAGTCGGTTGCCTGTGGCACATCTTTCAGTGTGCATTTTGGGATTTGTGAATGTGCTTAACCAGAAAATGCCAGAATACAGTCAATCCACCAACCTGTCAGTGGTGCTCTTCTTGTGGGATCATGTGCAAAGTTTGAACAGGTGAGTTTTTACATATTCATGCAACAAGAAAATAGGCTGCCAGATTAAATACATAGTCCTGCTTTGTTTACTTTTTCCACATCAAAAATATTAGGCTGAAGATACATAAACATAGTCAAAACTTCCTGGGTTCCGTTCTTCCAAAGCCATATTATGATAGTATAAAGATGTGCAGTGGTGGATAGGCAAGGATTTGTGCAAATCATGTGGTATTGCTTTTACAATGCAAAGGGCCTGTCCCAAAGGAAGGAGATTTGCACGGCCTAATGCTCACCTGTGAACACAAAGTCCACTCTGAAAGCAACACTTAGCACATTTAATCTCTTTTTGCCTAGTGCTTTTTTATAGAAATTGAATATAATAGCACCCTGAATAAACAGAATTCTTGCATGTTCTATGGCAGAAACGAACTGACAGGCTACATCATATAATTTGCATACAAGCATAAATATACCTCATAGCTTTTTGGCAGAGACGTACCCTGCTTTTAGGAACATACATGTTTTACTAAGGCTTCCTAATGGGATTACTAACTAAAACTGACCAACTCTTTCAGGAGTAGGAGTATACATTTTCTGCACTGTATAAAACGATGAACTTCCACTTTTCTGTTGTAACCAGTAATGTTCATCAACTTGATGAGATTATCAGGTGATTTTTTCATCAGTGATTAAAATATTCTTGACATAAAACTCTAGGTATGTCTGTGTTACAGAGAGGGAGAGCGGGAGAGCTAGAGAGGAAAGCAAGACTCATTTCTCAGCCTTCTCCCCTGGGTGCCTCGGACACAGCATCATTAATGAGCTGGGCTTAATACAGCTATTAGTTCATATTGCTTCACTTAGTCATATAGCTTTCTGTACGTAAAGAAATGAGGAAAATCAAAATAGTAAACTCCGCTAGCGTGGTGATAATATCTTACTAGCTTGAATGGTCTACATGGTATATGGCACAGTACTAGTTATAGTAAATGTTCAAAATTACTTCTTGCTGACAAACTGATAGAGGCTGGAGGCCCTTTCTTTCCTGTGCTTAGTGACAGTATACTTAGGATTTCTTTTCTAAAATTTTGGAGTGACTCAAAAAAATCAACAAAAAGCCAAATTTTAGTTTTAAATAGTGTCAGTATATACGATTGTAGCTATTAGTCCAATAGTCACACATTTGTTTCCTCAGTCTTAAAAGTAATAGCAGCATCCTCCTTTTCAATTGTTAAGCCCTGTTTGTTCTACAGTAAGGGAAAACTGATAGAAGATGACAACAGAAAAAAAAAAAGCTAAATTAGATGCCGTGACCGTAAATTTTGTTTGTTCTTGAAAACAAGAAATGTGAAGCTAGCCAAAACACCAACATCATGTTAGAGTTTTATACATGCATACATACACACACACAGACATACACACATGTATGTAAGGTCAGTGCAAAAGTAATTGTGCTTTTGGTCATTTTAAAAGTAATTACAAAAACCGCAATTACTTTTGCACCAACTTAATGTATGTTCCAGCTAGGAGAGATGGTTGCCCTGTGTACACACACTTGCACACACAGACACGCACAAAAACGTGAATGCACAAGCCCATGCACACACACAAAAAGCAAGAGATTGTGTTGGAGTGCAGTGGTCTTTTAGAATAATCATTGAGAATGACGTTTAAGAATATTGTTTCTTTATTGCATCACAGTAAAATTGATTTGAGGACAAATACAGAGATTGAACCACACTTAACCTCCAATAGTCACTGAAATACCACAAGTATGGAGGATGAAAATAAATTTTCTGTTGCTATTTTTGGTTAGGATCTCTGTGGAATCTTCAGAAAGCAACATTAGCCTTTAAAAAGTGTGAGTAATCACTATTTTACATCGATGATTAAACATATAGCTAGAGGTGACATGCAATTATTTGCTACCTGCTTTTAATAACCAGATTTCAATCTATGTTTTTGGAGATGTCTCTTTTGCCAGTATCACCTGCGTTTCTACGGTCATCAAGCTGAATTGCTCGTGGGGATGTTACCTGTGGCTGACTTCAATGACTTGAGGTTGCTACGTCTTAGGGATGTCTCAATGGCTCAGCTAATGCTGGAAATTGCCAAAACAGGCTGTGATCAGTGTTACTCTTTATTTTGTTTCCAATCTTATAGGAGGTTTTGATTTCAGGCATTCTATCCCTAGGTGGTTTGAGTTGTGGCTGCCTTAGCAATGACCTTTATCCTTGTATATTCCCATGAAACTTGAGGCAAACCATCTCTCCTTTGCTAATGGTGCTCAAATGTACACTTCAGGGAGCTCCAAGCCTGGTATTTCTTCCAGAGAGTTCATGCCTTTTGGGGCTTCCTAAGAGCAATCTTTTGATCTTGAGGGAATAAAGCAAACCTTACTCTTTCAAGTTAGTACATTCAGATGGTGCAACAAGTTTACATTGCCAACATTAAACAGCTCTTATGTACTAATAGGTAACACAAATATGTATTTTTTTCATTGGAGTTGATTTCTACCTTTCTACATTTTTTTTATGAATTAGGATAGAATTTTATATATGATTATTGGATAAGAGTCACAACTGTTTCCCAGGGTGCCTTTTCCTATCTCAAATTCTGTCTCTTTTAAGATTTTTAAAATATTGCTCTTTAACACATTTCTATTACTAACTCCCATAATCATATTTCTCAGCAATTTCAGCCCTGATTGTTGCAACAGCTTCTCACTTAGGTTTCCTTACTCTAGGCTCCACTCTATCCCAGTCCAATCGGTCTGATTGTGCCAGGCTAAATTCCCTCAAAGGCAAGTTTAATTATTACTCCTTTCTGGCTGGAAAAAACAAATGATTCTATATTTACTACTTCCTCCTGTGTTACTCCTGTAACATATGTTATTACTGAGTACATGAGCATACCATGTACTCAATAATATAGTTAGCACTATCTAACTATCCAAATATATTTCCCAATCACAGGCAGACCTCAAGGATACTGCAGATTCTGTTCCAGACCACCGCAATAAAGTGAATATCACGGTAAAGTGATCACACAAATGTTTTAGTTTCCCAGGCCATATGAAAATTATGTTTATACTATACTGTAGTCTATTAAGTGTGCAATAGCACTATGTCTAAAAAAGCAATGTGCATACCTTAACAAAAAAAAATTGCTAAAAATGCTAACAATCCTCTGAGCCTTCAGCAGTTTATAATCTTTTATAAATCACTGTGTAAATATTAACAAAATAAATGTTTACAGATAAACACCATATATTAAACATCAAGAGGTGCAGTTTCATTGGCCATTGAACATGGTTTCAATACTTTTTAAAATTAAAGTATAGGAATATCGATAACTTGGAAAACAACACAAACTTGATTTTTACATAAAGCCTAACAAGAAAATAGTTACTACTTTTTGTTGTCCTTGTTATATAACTTCTTAGGAGTATTTATATAGTAGTATATAAATAGTAATCTTTTTGTATATCATCAGAGCTCTGAATTACCATGTGCATTGTCAATTTCAATATTTCAAAAGGAATCTTTTATTTTGAGCAGTAAGTCTCAATAGAGGGCTTAACATATTTAGTAAACCAGGCTACAAACAAATGTGCTGTCATCCAGGCTTTGTTTTTCCTTTTATAGAGCACAGGCATAGCAGTATCAGTTTTAAGGACCCTAGGATTTTTGGAATGTTAAATGAGCATTGGCTTCAACTTAAAGTCACCAGCTGCATTAGCCCTTAAAAAGAGTGTCAGCCTGTCCTTCAAAGCTCTGAAGCTGGACATTAACTTCCCTCTCTAGCTTTGAAAGTCCTAAGTAGCAGCTTCTTGTAATATGACTACTTAATGACATTGAAAATCTGCATTTAGTGTAGCCATCTTCATCAATGATCTTAGCTAGATCTTCTGGATAATTTGCCACAATTTCTGTATCAGCACTTGCTGTTTTGCTTTGCACTTTTATCTTCTGGAAACGGCTTATTTCTTAAATCTCATGAACCAACCTCTGCTAGCTTCCAAGTTTTCTTCTGCAGCTCCCTCACCTTTTTCAGCCTTCATAGAATTGAAGAGAGTTAGAGCCTTACTCTAGATTAGGCTTTGTCTTAAAGGAATGTTGTGTTTGTTTTGATCTTCTATCCATGGCCACTCAAACTTTCTCCATATCAGCAATAAGCCTGTTTCACTTCCTTATCAGTTGTGTGTTCACTGGAGTGGCACTTTCAATTTATTTCAAAACTTTTCCTTTATATTCACAACTTGGCTAACTGTTCCAAGAGGCCTAGCTTTCAGCTTGTCATCTCATCTTTTGACCTGCCTTCTTCACTAAGCTTAATCATTTCCAGATTTTGATTTAAAGTGAGAGGCATGTGACTCTTCCTTTCACTTGAATACCTACAGGCCATTGTAGGGTTATTAATTGACCTAATTTTAGTATTGTTTTGTGTCAAGGACTAGGAATGCCGAAGGAGAGGGAGAGAGAGGGGAACGGCCAGTTGGTGGAGCAGTCAGAACACACACGTGCATTACGTTTGTTGTCTTATATGGACACTGTTCATGGTACCCCAAAGCTATTACTATAGTAATACCAAAGATCACATACCACTATAATAGATATAACAATAATTGTAAGTATGAAATGTTGAGAAAGTTACCAAAATATGATACACAGACACAAAGTGAGTACATGCTGTTGAAAAAATGATGCTGATAGACTTGCTCAAAGCAGGGATGACAAAAACCTTTAATTTGTTAAAAAAAAAAAACTCCCATATTTGCAAAGCACAATAAGTGAAGCACAATAAAATGAGTTATGCCTGTACTTCTCATAACAGTCTCTATTATAGGTGGGCTTTTACTCTTTCCGAACTAGGAGTCCCATTTTAGTTTTTACTCATTCTTCTTTTCCTCACTAGGGATATCTTGCTCTTCCACAGATGACTTTTTTTGCATAGTACTCATTCATTAAGAAAGAACCTACCATTACACTTCACATCTACTAACATCCATTGGCTGATCTTTTATATTTTCTTTTCTTTTCTTTTCTTTTTTTTTTTTTTTTTTTTGAGACAGGGCCTTGCACTGTCACCCAGGCCATAGTGCTGGCACAATCACAGCTCACTTACAGCCTCAGCCTCCTGGGTTCAAGTGATCCTCCCACCCCAGCCTCCCAAGTAGCTTGGACTATAGGCACATGCCACTACACTTGGCTAATTTTTAATTTTTTAGGTTTTGTGTGTGTGTGTGAGAAAAGGTATTGCTCTGTTACCCAGGCTCAGTGACACAATCATAACTCGCTACAGCCTTGACTTCCCAGGCTCCAGTGACCCTCCCACCTCAGCCTCCCAAGTAGGTGGAACCACAGGTGTGCACCACCATGCCTGGCTAATTTTTTTGTATGTTTGGTAGAGATGGGGTTTTGCCATATTGCCCAGTCTGTTCTCAAACACCTGAGCTCAAGCAATCTACCCACCTCAGCCTCCTAAAGTGCTGGGATTATTGGCGTGAGCCACTGCACTCTGCCTAATTTTTTAATTTTTTGTAGAGAGAATGTCTCACTGTATTGCCCAGGCTTCTCTCAAACTCCTGGGATCCTCCTGCCTTGGCCTCCCAAGCTGCTGTTATTATAGGTGTGAGCCACCAGGCCCAGCCTGGGCGATTCTTCACTTCTGAGATCTCTCTAGAGGAATCTGCTGCAATTGGTTTGTCCTTCCTCATCACCCAGACAGTACACTTTCCAGTGGCCATTCTCTCTAGTTCTTCTCTTCGATTTGTGGGTTCTAAGCTGGTAGTACATAAAATAAAATTTTGTTTGTTGAAATCATTGGTGAATGGTGGAAGATCAATAGATGTATAGTATTAAAGAGCTCTTTACTCTGTATTAAAATTGCATAATTCTCCTTCCCAAATGATTTCAAATATGAAATTTTAGTTCTGGAATTTTAGGAATCTGTTTACCTAACAATGTTCTCCTGTTATATGTCAGGAATGAGAGTTTCAGCAGTAAACAAAATAGTTAGAGACATGCCCTCATAGAGCTTAATTTCTAGTATTTGTACCTGTGTATGTATGTATCTGTAAGGTTAAAATTTACACAGACAATAAGATACATCTGTAAAGTATATAGAATTATAGATGGTGACAGTTGCTAAGAAAAACCAAACAGAGAACAGAGGTAAGGAGCAGGGGGATGGAGATGAAGATGAAAGATTAGAATTTCACATAACGTGTCCAGAAAAAAAGCTCACTAAAAAAAAATTGTGTTAGAGTACGTTCTCTGAAAACTGACTTTAAGATGAAAAACACATACAGGAATTTTATTAGAAAGTGTTCTTGGAAGCCACCCTTATAGGTGAGTGAGGGAAGCAATATCAGAAGAGAGAGGAATTGGATACACAGCAGTTGCAACAGAGAACTCAGCCAATCTTGTGGGGAGCTCTGAAGCTGAGATAGTTGTACAGATTTATATGAAAGAAAGACAAGAAGACTGGACTGTTGTATCTCTTTCAAGAAACAGAAATTTAATGTATGTTTGCCCTGGAAGAGGATAAAACTGATCCTTTTCTCTGAGGGTCATTTCTGAGCAAGGCCTAAGCTGTGACCTGTCAGCCAAGGGAGTGATTTCTTAATCTTGAAGCGGAACTCTGGGCAAAGTACTTGGGCTTTCACCTCCCGTATTACTTGGATGCAGGTAAGTTTAGTACACTCACTACATCTGGGCATGTCCAAGGGTTGCAATTACTCTTTTTCCTAAGGAAACTTACAAGAAGGTGTTCAGTGAATCAAACTACAGCCCTTGTCAATGCTTGCTGGTCTCAAAACTGCAACTGTTACTCATCATCTCCCTATTCTTCGACCCATGCGAGGTTTCCTTCTGCTAGATTAACACCTAGGGTGATCATCTCTCCAAGTTTTTCCAGGACTGAAAGAATCCCTGAGACTTGGGACTTTTACTTTTAAAATGGGGACAGTGCTGGGCAAATCAGCACTGGGACTGGGACTACAGAATTTCTCAGGATGTGAGATTTTTAGTGCTAAATCTAGGAAAGCCATGGCAAACTGAGAAAAGGTGGTCATCTTACTAACACTTGTACTTGTGTATGTGGCTTATCTGTTGAGATGATGCAGATTCTTTCATGATGAATTGCAGGCCCCCGAGCATCATACCGTTAACAGTCTGTGGCTTCTGCCCTTGCTGTTTACTATTAAGGTTGAGCAGGGAATAAATCAATAAACATCTCATCTGGTCACCTGGGTGCTGAGTGTATGCTGGCCTGATGTGATTGTGTAACAGCAGTCAGTCCTGCTCCTAATGACTAGAGTCAATTGTTCACACCTAGTTGGTGACTCCTTAAGAAGCCTGAAGTGATAAAAAGACAGCTGTAATTTACAGTTTAATAGGACCCTTATTGTGCACCTGGTGGAAGGATTGCTCTTCTGGAAACCAGAACTAGACCCCACAAAGTCGAATTTTGTAGACATAGGAAGCACAGATTCCCCACATGGGACATTGGGAAAGATGGTAAGTGAGGCCATCTCTACTTCCATCCCATAATTCTCAGGTGTGTCCCTTGTGACCTTAGGGACACAAGCACTGTATCATTTTTTAAAATGCATCTAGAATGTATATTGTATCCTGAGGATGGCTTTCATTTGCAAGCTGACAGATTCTGGGTGGTGCCACATGAAATAGGACAAGTAGATTCCCTGGTTATAGGTCCACTGTTATGTCTCCTTTTCTATAAATTGAGTCCATTGGTCCAATGCAATGTTATGGCATTCTGGGTCAGTAGATCAAATAGTCTATAAACCCCAGGAGAGTGATAAAACCAGTCAAAATGGATGTCCGTCTATTCCAGAGTAGAGACAAATGATTGGTATTCTTATGGGATTGTGCTCCATAGGGGAGTCAGTTAATTTTTGTTGCTGGAAGGTAGAACATTTGGCAGAGGCAGTAATTATGTCAGCCTTGGTAAGTGGGAGGTCATGCTGTCAGGCTCATGCATAGCCTCCATCCCTGTCTCCACGGCTACTTCATTCCTAAGCCCATTAGTGTAGCACTGGGGATCTTTGTGTCTGCCTATTGGTTACTCCAAGCCTCTTCCATGCTGAATGCTCATTACTGGGTGTTAACATGCCATACAAACCTTCAGCAGGTTCATTCACTCTCTTCCTCAGACCTCTTTGTCCCTCATCTTCTAGTCATTTCATTTCCAGGACCCAGAGCATCCAGCCAATTCATTCACAGCTATCCATACATATATTTTTACATTGTATTCTTTTTTAAATTCTTTTTTTTAAGACAGGGTCTTGCTCTGTGGCCCGGCCTGGAGTGCAGTGGCACAATCACAACTGTTGCAGCCTCAAGCTCCTGGGCTCAAGCTACCACCCCCCCGCCCCCCACCCCCCACGCTTGGCCTCCCGAGTAGTTAGGACTGCAGGTGTGCATCACCACACTTGGCTAATTTTTAAATTTTTTGTTAGAGATGGGGTCTTGCTATGTTAATCAGGCTGGTCTTGAATTCCAGGTCTCAAGTGATCCTCCTGCCTTGGCTTCCCAAAGTGATGGAACTACAGGCATGAGCCACCACCCAGGCCCATTTTGTTTTAAGAGTAATTTATCTTTTCACACAAAGTGGATAACCAGGTTTATTTACCACAGCTCCACTCATTGGAAGGCTTTCTTTTTCACAGGTGACTTTCAGTTACACCCAAAGAAGGCAAATGACAGAGCAGCTGTATCATTATTGTTTATACTTGTCTATCAAGCTGAGCCACCTGTGAGCTTAGCTTGGCTTTTTTCCTCCTTCATTACCTGGCTATAAATGTCAGCTAAGGGAGGAGCATTGGTGACTATGCCACTTGATTATTCAGATTACTTGTGCCTGCTGGCCGTGCTTGGGCCAAATGCCGGGTATAATACTCTGACTGAACAATGGATTTCTGTTAAGCACACCCAAGTTTATGATTTGGTAGGTCTTATGAAACCTATCTCTTGATGAGTAGCTCTGATCACATGGTCACCTGATGTCCTATTTTCCAACAGTCCAATTCCACCAAAGCTCAGTAGCGTGAAAATAGTGCTTCCAAATGGTATATATTTCTGCTATAGATGGCATTACTTTGTTCCCTATGGTTCTGTCTTATGTTTCTCCAATTGAGCTTTCCATTAATTCTACAAGGCACCTTTTCTCACTGTAGACAACTATAATATAATTGTTTTCAACTGCAGGTGATTTTGCCCTCCAGAGCTCATTTATGAATGTCTAGAGACATTTTTGGTTGGCACAAGTGGGAAAAAGGGGTTGCTATCAGCATCTAGTGTCATCTGCTAAATATTCTACAAAGCACAGGACACTCCACCCCACCCCCTCACCCCTGTGCCACATACAACAAAGAATTATCTGACCTGAAATGTCAATAGTACTGAGGTTAAGAAACCCAGCTCTAGTACTGTAAATCTATTGGGACATAGTCGCTCATATAGCAGAACTTCTCATATGACTTCCTAAACTTGCTGAAATCCCTTTGTTGTTCTGGAAGCCTTTTGCGTCACTTTATCAATAAGGTGGAGCTGGAATATGCCGTCTTTATAACCCAAGGAAATTTACAAGTGGTGTTTCATTAGGTACAAGAGTCAATAATTTGTTCTTTATTTCAGACAAAGGCCCTGGCGTGTTTCATACTACTGGACTCCTAGAAACTCTGCTGATCTGGCAAGGCCTTGAATCTCTTTAGGGCTTTTGACCATCTTCTAGAGTTAATGTGTCTTAACAAGGTTTCCAAATATATTTGTCACTTCTTGCTCATCTTTTCTTATTAACATAATGTTATCAATACAGTGGATCTATACAATGTGCTGAGAAATGTTAAGACAGTTCAGGACTCTTTGGAATATTTATGACAGAGTATGAGAATGTTAATACAAATCAGGACAAGTCCATAAATGCTTACAGCCATTTATCTCACATGAATACAACTATTTCTGTTTCTCCTTCCAGATAGGAATGGAAAAAAAGATTTTCACGAAATCAGTGGCCACACACTATGTACTTGAGGTTTTGTTAATTTGCTCTAGCAAAGATACCACAATGGGCAAAGCAACTGCAATTAATGTTACTACTTAACTCCACTTGTAGCAGTACTTTGTCAACTGCCAGGATCTGTTTGGCTTGTACAGCTAGTCTCCTAAATTAAATAAGATATGATGGGGTCCACTATTCCTGAGTCCTTCATATATTTATGCTGACAACAATGTGTGCCATTTCCTCTATGGTGCAACATAGGTTTCATTTATTTTACTGGATGGTGTATTAGTCTGCTGAAGTTGCCGTAAAAAAATACCACACACTGGGTGACTTAAACAGCAGAAATTTCTTTTTCTCACAGGTCTGGAAACTAAAAGTAAGAGACAAAGGTAGCGGTGGGTTGATTTTTGGTGAAACCTCTTCCTGACCTGTAGATGGCTTCCATTTTATAGACTGGCTACCCTTGGCCTCCTAATGATTACTCTTGATGCTTCTGATTGTTTATATTGAGCAATACTCATGTAAGAAGCTCATTTATTTTGCTCCAAGAACACTGATCATTTCTACTGATCATGTCCATAGGTCTCTGCAAGTCCGGATCTCCTGGCTGCTGCTCTGACTTTGACTTTCATTACCACATTGTATTTACTTCAGTTATCATAATTAAATGCTAGCACCTGGCCTCTATTGTTTGGGGATCTTATTATCCCCATGCTTTGAAAGGATGCTTAGCTGTCGAGAAACACTTTCATCAAGTAGTGTAGTTTCAAGCACATTTTTAAAATTATTTTTTCTTTCCTCCTTTCCCCCAGTCTCAAGATGTAACCTTGAAACAAACTTTAAAAATATTTTTCCTTAGTCTTAAAATATAGCCTTGAAATGTACTGTGAAACTGCACTCCTGTCACTTTCCCACATACACTCCTTTATCCCATGCACATTTATCGAACTGTGTGTTTGTTAAACTTACACAATGCACACATCTAACTATACGTTTAAGAAATTCCAGGGGCTAACTTAAAACAAACCAGGCATGAAGGCCCAGCTGCGGAATTCTCCTCCATGTAAAGATTGGCTCAAGTTGGATAATCTACAGCTCGGTAGCTGTCAGGATGATGCCAGGCCGCACTCCAGGTGGGCAATAACTCAAAATAGGCATTGGAGCAAAACAGACAGCCCCTATACTCTACACAACTTCTGCATGCCTCCCATGTCAAGCTTCTCCTTTTTTAATCCCTGTCCTCAGCCCAAACTTTTGAAATGATTTTTTTGTTATCTTTTTTTTTTTTTTTTTTTTTGAGATGGAGTCTCGCTCTGTCACCAGGCTGGAGTGCCGTGGCTCAATCTTCTCTCATTGCAACCTCCTCCTCCTGGGTTCAAGCAATTTTTGTGCCTTGGCCTCCCAAGTAGCTGAGATTACAGGCACGTGCCACCAAACCCAGCTAATTTTTGTATTTTTAGTAGAAATGGGGTTTCACCAGGTTGGCCAGGATGGTCTCAACCTCTGATCCGTACGCCTCAGCCTCCCAAAGTGCTAGGATTACAGGTGAGAGCCACCGCGCCCGGCCTGAAACGATTTCTTTAAGACAAGAGACTTGACCATTTTCCCACTGCTAGCTCAAGAATAAAATCACTTTCCTTCCACTGCACTTCCTTCTTGTTCACTGGCTTGGCAAGCGGCAAGCGGCAAGCGGTGGAACCTGCCTTCAGCTACAAGAAGAGGTCTGTTACTGTTTTTTCTATTATCAACCCTGGCTGAAATCCCTCTCACTAGTGAATTCCTTTTAAATTTCAGTACACATAAAGCTTTCTGGCAACTTCTTGAAGTCTGATTTATTTTCCAGCCTTATGTATTAATATTATTCTTTCTAATATGTCAACTCTGAGTCTTTTGCCACCTTCCTCTGCCGTTTGTCATAGGACAACACTATATTCAGGCTTCCAAGAGTCTTCGTAGAAAACATTAATGCTATCTCTCAGGGTGTTGAATCTGATACAAAAAAAGGGTTTCTCTCTGATATGTCTTCTTTATCCAACTTTATGTGTTATCTTCCTTTAATTCAGCACTCTTAGAACACAGTATCTTTCCTGAAATTTCACACTGGCTAGCTTCTGCAGCTCTTTTGGTATATGGTGGTCCATGGTCTCTTTCTTCTGTTAGCAGGTCCAGAACTTGCCTGACTAGGTATGGTGTAAGTAGATTACAGTTATTAACTTGTTCTCCAGAAGGAGAAGAAAACATAGATCCCCACTAAGGTTTAAGGTGCATGTTATCTTATGAGACAAGAGCCTGGGCATTGGCTTCATGCAAGAGGGATTGCTAGCCTTTAAAAAGGAAGTATGCCACATCTTCCAGCCCAAAGGGTCCAGGGGAATTTAAGAATTCAAGATCTTTTGATGCATCAGCCCAGGCATCCTTATTCTAAATCTCAAGGTCCCACTCCTTCCCAGTGAAGACCTTGATCTTGTTGTAGTAGATTTAAAAAGCTTGAAAATTCAGTCCTCTCTGGAACTTGCTATCTTTCTCATTAAGTCCTGCACCTAATCATTGTGTTTTCAAGCCATTTCTCCACTCCAGGAGATAAATGCTTGTTTTTATGCAGCCAAAAAGTCCCTCTGGCTTTTACACTTTACATTAAATTAGTGACTAACCACCATTGGCCTTCCGTTGTCTTTCTCTAGTGGATTGGTAGTTCTCAGCAAATAGCCATCAGTGCTATAGTTCTTTTTTTTTTTGTCTATTGATTTTTCTTTATATATATTTTTATTTTTTTTATTATACTTTAAGTTCTAGGGTACATGTGCACAACGTGCAGGTTTGTTACATATGTATACATGTGCCATGTTGGTGTGCTGCACCCGTTAACTCGTCAGTTACATTAGGTATATCTCCTAATGCTATCCCTCCCCACCATGGAATACTATGCAGTGCTATAGTTCTTAAAATTTCCACTTTCCCTACACCTCTCAAACTGTGAAATTTGACCCATCATTGCCTCTTACTCAGATCACATTTTAGGTCACTATCAATGAAAGTTTAAAAAATTGTTCTGCTACTGCAAATCAGGAACTACAAGTAACACACCTACAAGTAGTAATGGGGTCCTAATTGCCCAGCTGGTTGAGAGGTGGGGTTCGGGCTGGATAATCTGGTTTCAATATCCCTTTCTAGAGTCTGCATCCTAGGACCACTCCTGGCACCAACTCTCTTTGATTAGGCTTCCTGGAAACAGAGTCTAGGGCAGATATTTGCATAAAGTGGGAGAGTGATAAGATACGCCATCGGCAGATATACCTGTATAGAATGAAAAAGGCAGGCAGCAGAAACAGTTGAACTACAGTGGAGGTACAAGAGAGTCCTCTGCTGATTCTAAAGGGAGTCTATAGCTGGGAAAACTCTTCAGAGCTAAAACTGAAAGGAGCGTGAACCCTCATGCTCCCATTATCCGAGTCATTGGATGTGGCTGCCCTCAGTTATAACCTTGGCCAGGGAAGTCCTTTCGGTTAAGGACAATTTCTGGAAGGAAACTCAGCTGTTAATACTTCCAGTAGCTGTAAGAATGAGTGTCTTAGTCATGAAAGGGGTTTTAGGTGGTATAGCAGAATATTAACTCCAGTAACATTTGGGCAAAGACATTAAAGAAATTAGGAAATGAAAAACACAGACATCAGGAGAAAGACAAATCTGAGCCAAGAAAATAATAATTGCAAAGTCTGTGAGGCAGGCACTTGCCTAGTGTATTTGGAGAACTGCAAGGGAATCTGGGTGTCTGGGGTAGAGTGGGTATGGGAAGAGTAGTACACGAGGAAGGTGGAGGCTGGGTGCAGTGGCTCACGCCTATAATCCCAGCACTTTGGGAAGGCGATGCGGATGGATCACTTGGTCAGGAGTTTAGACCAGCCTGGCCAACGTGGTGAAACCTAATTTCTACTAAAAGTACAAAAAAAGAAAAAAAATTTAGCCAGGCATAGAGGTGGGCGCCTGTAATCCCAGCTATTTGGGAGGCTGAAGCTGGAGAATCTCTGGAACCCGGGAGGTGGAGGCTGCAGTGAGCTGAGATCATGCCACTGCACTCCATCATGGGCAACAGAGCAAGACTGCATGAAAGAAAAGAAAAGAGAAAAGAAGGAGGGAAGGGAGGGAGGGTGAGAGGAAGGAAGGGAGGAAGGGAGGAAGGAAGGAAGGAAGGGAGGAAGGGAGGGAGGGAGGGAGCATTAGTGGGCACAGGTGTGGGCTGTCCAGATCACTGAGGGACTCTTAGATTAGGTCAGGACTATGGCTTTTCTCTGTGAGAGACTGAAAACCATTGCAGGGTTTTGAGGAGTGGAGTAAACTGATATGAACATGTTGAAGATATACTGAAGTGATCTAGGGCAGAAATAGAAAAATTAGAAAAAATTTGCAATAATCCAGGTGAAGGCAACATGATGTAGGCTAGATGATCACGATGTTAAGAAATGGTGAGATTTTTGGTACATTTGACAGGTAGAACTGGCAGGATTTGCTAAAAGATGTGATGTGGGGTTTGAGCAAAAGAAAGGAGCCTGAGTAATGGTAAGGAAGAATGTGCTATATATTGGGGTGGAAGGAGGCTAGATAGCAGCAAGATGGTGGAGTAGGACTTCCAGTGCTTACCCCTCTGCAGAATCATCAATTTGAATAACTATCCATGAATGAACATGCCTTCGCAACAGCTAGAGAAACCAGGTAGAAAGGTTACAGCACCTGGGTATAGCACAGAAATAAGAAAAGGCACATCAAAGAGATTAGGAAACAGTTTTACATTACTCATTACTACCTCTCTCCTAACCCCAGGCTGCATAGAGTGGAGAGAGATACCCTCCGCATGGGAGAAGAGAAAAGCAAGCAAAAGGCTTTGCTTTGGACCCCCAAATTAGGCTCATGTCAGTAAAATTTAGCACTGGCCAGTCCCCCACCGCCATCCAGGCTGGTACCCTCAGACCAAGCCTCCAGGTCCATTCAATCACCAGGCTGATCCCATCAGCCCCAGCACCAGGCCAGTACCTGCAGTCCTAGTTGTAACCTGCTATACAGTCTCCAGGCCTCCCTAGCATCAGGTCTCGCCCTGTAGCCTCAAGCTCCAGGCCCACCTCAGCCTCCATACCAACCCAGAACAAAGTCAGCTCACATAGCTCCAGGTTTCAGGCCCACTTCAGGGCCAGGTTGACTTGACACCCCCGGTTGGTCTCAGTCACCAGGCCAGCACTCATAGGCTCCAGGCCTGCCCAGTGCCAGGCCAGCTCCTGTAGCCCCACCCTCCAGGCTAGCCCCTGTGGCCCCACGTTCAAGCAAACCTAAGGTTTAGGCCTGTTCCAGTAGGTATTAGCACTGAGCTGGCTCCCAGGAAGTCAGGCTCTAAGACTACCCCTGTAGTCCCAGATTTCAGGCCACTCTCACAACCCCAGACCCAGGCAAGCCATCACAAACCTAGCCTCCAGGCCAGTACCCACACAGCCACCTTCCAATCTGGCCCTCACAGGTCTAGCTCCAGACAGGTCTCAAAGGCCCCAGACTCCAGGCTGGCACTCATGGTCTCAGGCCTCCAACTGGCCTCTATCAACTCAGACTGTATACCCGCCCCAGCACCAGGCTGGCCTCAGGTTCCAGTGGATCCAATGTCCAGACCTGCTCCAGTAGACCAAGGATCTGGTCCACCCCACTAGACTCTAGGGTCAGGCCAGCCCCCATGGACTGAACTTCCATGACCACCCTTACAGAGCCAGCCTCCAAGCCAGCCCCTGTGGATTCAGGCTCATGTCTTACCCTGGTGCCAGGTCAGCCCCTGTAAACCCAGGCTTCAGGCCAATCTCCGTAGAACCTGGCAGGCCCACTCACCTGCTGAACCAATCAACTAAGATTCCAGCAGTAAGCCTGACCACAGACTACATACTACATGACTTCCCCAGAATCTCTGGATAGGATCACTGGTGAAGGATTTTCCCAGACAAAGCCAGTCTGCAAAGACTAAAAATGTTCCTACTTCTTCAAATATGCAGACACCAATGCACAGACACAAGGATCGAGAAAAATCAGGGAAACATGGCACAAACGAACAAAAGAAATCACCAGTAACTAACCCTAAAGACATAGATATTTATGTCTATGTCTACCGCCTTAAAGAAATTCAAAACAATTGAGATGGGAAAGACTGTAGCGAGCAGATTTGGAGGAGAAAAACTGCTATAGTTTGAACGTGTCCCCCAAAAGTCTATGTATTGGAAACAATCCCTCTGCTTCCAAAACAAGCTCTCTCTGGCTCCCTTGCTCTTATTCTCTCACATGTGATGCTATCTGCCATGTTATCATGCAGCAAGAAGGCTCTCACCAGACGTTGATGCCATGCTCTTGGAATTTCTGGTTTGAGAATCACGAGCTAAATAAACATATTTTCTTTTTAAATTACTTGGTTTGTGGTATTCAGTTATAGCAACAGACAGTGGACTAAGGCAGAAAATCAAGACCTCAATTTTGAATATAATATGTTTGAAATAATTACTAGCCAAATTAAGTGTTCAAGCAGGCCATCTCACATATGAGACTAGAGTTCGGAATCATGGCTAGAATGTAATTTTGGAGTCATCAGCAATTGATGGACTTTAAAACTACAAAAGGAGCTGAGATAATCAAGAGATTATGTAAAACTAGAAAAGAAAAGAATTCCAAAGACTGTGTCCAAGATAACTTAAAGGAGCTTAAGAAGTTGCAGCTAATATGAATATTAAAAAGTCAGGAGAATGTACTCTTTTCCTAGAAGCCAAGTAATGAAAAGGTTTTAAGAGAAGGGAGTGATTCAGTCTGTCAAATACTGGTGAATGGTCAATTAAAAAATATATTGAAAATTAATTCTTGAAACCAGCCAGACCTATAACATTTTCAGCTGGAGTATCACTTGAGGGACATGTACTACATTTCAAAATATTTGTTATTAATCAAGCTAACAGACTATTAATGAAATATATTTTTTCCTCTTACTTAGAAAAAGTAACTTCATAATGCTGTAAAGAGCCATGCTGAAATTTAGCACTCTTTGACTTTTAGAGCTCTATGCTGAAGTGTGGAACTGCAAAAATCCTGGCCCATTCTTCCCCCATAGGAATTGCTAACAGCAGCTGTTTGCAGGAGATTAGCAAACTTGCTTGTATAAGAGTTCCATCATGGCAAAGCACAGAATTGATAGGAGGAGAAAGGGGCTCTTGGCCTACTGTTTGAGCTGGAACATCAGTCTTTTCCTGCTCTCAGTAATCCTAGTTCTTAGACCTTCAGACTCTGTCAAGAATCTACATCATTGGCTTTCTGGTTCTCATGCCTACAGACTACGTCAACAGTTTTTCTGGGTCTCCTCCTTGCAGGCAACAGATTGTAGGGCTTCTTAGTCTCCAGAATTGAGTGACTCAATACTCAACAATACATCTAAGAACTTATGTCAATGTATTTAAATTATGTATATATACATTTATCACCCATACTAATTAATAAACTGTAGAGTTTGGAACCAGAAAAATCTGAATTATACTCCTGGTTACATCATTAGTTATAAGTGGCTTAGTGAATACTAGCACCATGCTATGCTTCAAATGTGCCACCACCTGAATTCAGGTTTGGCCAATGGGATAGTATTAAGAGGCAGGTCCTTTATGAGGTTGATATGGTTTGGCTTAGTGTCCCCACCCAAATCTCATTTTGTAGCTCCCATAATTCCCACGTGTTGTAGGAGGGACCCAGTGGGAGATGATTGAATCATGGGGTTGGGTCTTCCCCATGCCGTTCTCGTAATTGTTGATGGGTCTCATGAGATCCGATGGTTTTAAAAACCGGAGTCTCCCTGTACAAACTCTCCCTTTGCTTGCTGCCATCCACGTAAGATGTGACTTGTTTCTCCTTGCCTTCCACTATGACTGTGAGGCCTTCCCAGCCATGTGGAACTGTGAGTCCAATTAAACTTCTTTCTTTTGTAAATTACGAGGTCTCAGGTATGTCTTTATCAGCAGTGTGAAAATAGACTAATACAGTAAGTTGGTACCAGTAGAGTGGGGTGTTGCTGAAAAAAAGACACCCAAAAATGTGGAAGTGTCTTTGGAACTGGGTAACAGGCAGAGGTTGGAAGGGTTTGGGGTGCTCAGAAAAAGACAGGAAAATGTAGGAAAGTTTGGAATTTCCTAGAGACTTGTTGAATGACTTTGCCCAAAATGTTGATAGTGATATGGACAATAAAGTGCAGGCTGAGGGAGTCTCAGATGGAGATGAGAAACTTGTTGGGAACTGGAGCAAAGGTGACTCTTGTTATGTCTTAGCAAAGAGACTGGTGGCATTTTGCCCTGGCCCTAGAGATTTGTGGAACTTTGAACTTGAGAGGGATGATTTAGAGTATCTGGTGGAAGAAATTTCTAAGCAGCAATGCATTCAAGGAGTGACTTCGGTGCTCTTAAAGGCATTCAGTTTTATAAGGGAAGCAGAGCATAAAAGTTTGGAAAATGTGTAGCCTGACAATGCAATAGAAAAGAAAATTCCATTTTCTGAGGAGAAATCCAAGCTGGCTACAGAAATCTGCATAAGTAACAAGGAGCCGAATGTTAATCCCCAAGACAATGAGGAAAAGGTCTCCAGGGAATGTTAGAGGTCTTCACAGCAGCCCCTTCTATCATAGACCCAGAGGCCTAGGAAAAAATATGTGGTTTTGGGGGCCGGACCCAGGGTAGGGTCTCCATACTGTGGGCAGCCTAGGGACTTGGTGCCCTGCATCCCAACTGTTCTAGCTGTGGCTGAAAGGGGCCAACATAGAGCTCGGGCCACGGCTTCAGAGGTTGCAAGCCCCAAACCTTGGCAGCTTCCATGTGGTGTTGAGCCTGCCAGTGCACAGAAGTCAAGAATTGAGGTTTGGGAACCTCCACTCATATTTCAGAAGATGTATGAAGATGCCTGGATGCCCAGGGAGAAGTTTTCTGCAGGGGCAGGGCCCTAATGGAGAACCTCTGCTAGGACAGTGCAAAAGGGAAATGTGGGGTCAGAGACCCCACATGGAGTCCCTACTGGGGCACTGCCTAGTGGAGCTGTGAGAAGAGGACCACCGTCCTCCAGTCCCCAGAGTGGTAGATTCACTGGCAGCTTGCACCATGTGCCTGGAGGAAGAGCTGCAGACACTCAATGCCAGCCTATGAAAGCAGCTGGGAGGAAGGCTGTACCCTGAAAGCCACAGGGGCAGAGCTGCCCAAGAGCATGGGAACCTATCTCTTGCATCAGTGTGACCTGGATGTGAGACATGGAGTCAAACGAGATCACTTTGGAGCTTTAAGATGTGACTGCCCCGCTGGATTTTGGACTGGCAGGGGGCCTGTATCCCCTTTGCTTTGGCCAATTTCTCCCATTTGGAATGTGTGTCTTTACCCAATACCTGTACCCCCACTGTATCTAGGAAATAACTAACTTACTTTTGATTGTACAGGCTCATAGGCGGAAGGACTTGCCTTGTCTCAGATAAGATTTTGGACTGTGGACTTTTGAGTTAATGCTGAAATGAGTTGAGACTTTGGGCAACTGCTAGGAAGGCGTGATTGGTTTTGAAATGTGAAGATATGAGATTTGGGAGGGGCCAGGGTGGAATGATATGGTTTGGCTCTGTGTCCCCACCCAAATCTCATCTTGTAGCTCCCATAATTCCCATGTGTTTTGGGAGGGAGCCAATGGCAGACAATTGAATCATGGGGGTGGGTCTTTCCCATGCTAGTCTCATGACAGTGAATGAGTCTCATGAGATCTTATGGTTTTAAAAACAGGAGTCTCCTTGCACAAGCTCTCTTTTTGCCTAGTGCCATCCACATAAAATGTGACTTGTTCCCCCTTGTCCTCCCCAGTCATGTGGAACGGTGAGTCCAAGAAACCTCTTTCTTTTGTAAATTGCCAGTCTTGGGTATGTCTTTATCAGTAGCATGAAAATAGAATAATACAGTGTTGGGGTGATGAGACCCAACACCAGGTCGTGGGGGCGATGAAGTCCAGCAGAGTCAAAGGATTGAGAAAAAGACAGTTTGAGAAGTAAAGTGGGACCGGGGGCCATCGCGATTGTGGAGGCTGCGAAGGCCCTTAGCTCTGGGAGCCCACACTATTTACTGGTAATCCAACAAAGAAACAGGTTGTAAGAATGTGGAGGTCAAAAGGGCAGGTGCATGATCTACAGCTGTGATGGTTTAGCATTTATATGGAACATGTTCTGCTACTTGAGATAATGGGAATACAATCGATCTCAGAGCCTAGGAGGGCTAGAAGCAAGGAGCCAGCAAGTCCAGACACATTCCAGAGGACATTATGTCAGACAGGCAAGCCCTGCCTCAGTATTTTTCCCCAACACTCAGCTTTTCCCCAACAATACAGAGGTGATTAGGCAATGAGGTCTCCTCTCTGGTAAATGGGATTAAGGCCCTTAAAAAAGAGGCTTCATGCACCTTTCACTTTTCCTTCCACCTTCTGCCAAGTGAGGACACAATGGTCCTCCTCTCTAAAGGACGCAGCCCTCACCAAACAACCAAACCTACTGGCACCTTGATCTTGGTCTTGCCAGGCTTCAGAGTTGTGAGAAAATACATTTCTGTTATTTATAATTCCCTGGTGTGTGGTATTTTGCTATAGCAGCACAAATGGAGTAAGTCAGTCCATTTACATTTGATCCTTTCATGAATTTCTGTAGGCAATAAGATGGAGAGAATATTGTCAGGAGACATAGTTCATACTTCTGCCAGCAATACTGAGGATGTTTGAATTGCAGGACAACCATATTTGCCAAAAAGTAGTATTAAGAAATTCAGTTACTGGTTATGATATGGAGAAATGAATGCTCTTAAAATATTTGGTGGAAATCTAAATTGTTTTAGGTAAATTGACTCTGTCAACTTCAATTAATATTGATTTTAACATAAAGAAACAAAAATACGGCCGGGTACAGTGGTTCAAGCCTGTAATCCCAGCACTTTGGGAGGCCGAGGCGGGTGGATCACGAGGTCAGGAGATTGAGACCATCGTGGCTAACACGGTGAAACCCCGTCTCTACTAAAAATACAAAAAATTAGTCGGGCATGGTGGCGGGTGCGTAGTCCCAGCTACTTGGGAGGCTGAGGCAGGAGAATGGCATGACCCTGGGAGGCAGAGCTTGCAGTGAGCTGAGATTGTGCCACTGCACTCCAGTCTAGCCTGGGCAACAGAGTGAGTCTCCGTCTCAAAAAAAAAAAAAAAGAAACAAAATACTGGCATATATTAGTTTGCTAGAACTTCCATAACAAAATACTACAGACTGGGTAGCTGAAACAATGGGGATTTATTTTCTTACAGTTCTGGAGCCTGGACATCCAAGTTCAAGGTGTTGGGAGTTTGGATTTCTTCTGAGACTTCCATCCATGGCTTGCAGATAGCTGCTTTCTTGCTGTGTCCTCACATGGTCTTTCCTCTGTACCCATCCCTGGATATACTATTTTCTTGGTTATTATGTAATCTTGTGAAAATTTTTACTTTCCTTCCTTATAAAATTAGAGACTTACAAAGCTCTTTTGAATATTAGAAACTCTTAGCATGGTTCCTGGAAGACCAATATAGAGCAGCATTTATGATTTTTCCAGTTGAAGAAAGATACATATCCTGAGATCTGGAGGCAGGAATTTCCACAGACATAGGTGAGATTGAGAGACAGTGTGGTGAATTACCATGAACAGGTCAGTTTGATTTGAGAATTGTGTGTGTAGAAGAGCAATAAAAGACAAATACATATTTAAAAACTGATTCAAATAGGATTGTGGCTGGCATCAAATTCCAAGGTAAGGGATTATGGTACAGGTTGGAAGGAGCTAATAGATATTTTTGAGTAAGGAAATGGCCAAGTAGAAGCAGCATTTTAAGAAAAAAATATACCTGTGCCATACTATATAGGTTGACAGAAAAGAAAATAAAAATAAAGAATCAAGTAAGAGTCCTATTACAATATTTAAAACATTAGAAAATAAGGATGAGAATTAGGGTACTGAACTGAATATGGGGAAGTAATTTTAAAATGTCCAAATACTAGAAATAATATCAAGAAAAAGATAATAATAGATGCTTGATGGGAAAAGAACATGGAATGAAAATTTGGTGCTGTGAAAGGAACACTATTTTTGGAGTCAGAGAGTCTTGGGCTCAAATTGTGTCTTCCCTAGTTTTGTGCCTTTAATCATATACTCAGCTCATCTGTAAAACAAAAGTAATCATGCCAGTGAGTTTGCTATGGTCTTGTAATATAATAAAATAGTAAGGCCTCTCTTTTGTTCTAAATTGGGATAATGTTAACGTAAATGAACAAGATTGGGGGTAAAGGGAAACACATTTGAAATACAAAATAATAAGACTAACACTTATTTGTTTGATTTGATATGATGGCAGGATCTCCATAAGAAAGCATATAATAGGCATTTGAAAATTCATGACTAATACTCAAGGGAGAGATCATTATTTTATTTTAAAAATGAAGTATGTTTTAAGTATGGGGAGAGAATTAAGGCTCAGATGACACCAAAGTTCAAGGTATATAAATATGGAATTCTTCATCTTTAAGTTCAAACCAAGATGAACTCTATTTAGATCATGGTAATAGTTTTTCTAGCTAGCTGCTCTCACTTTTCCTATTCAGTCTCCATAATATGGCTAAGTATATTTTCCTATGCCCCCTTTAAAAACCTCCATAGTTTTGGAGGTTGACATTCTCATCTCTCTGCTATATGACTCTAATACACCCTCCTCGTCCTATATCTTATCACATTTCTGTTATGTTCTTTGCTGTTCCAGGCAAAATCTCCCAGGACTTTTGAATTATTTATCAAAACATACTCTTTGTCCTAAAATGTGAAATGTCATCATAAATCTCATGCATTTTCAGGATATCAGAGTGTATTTATTTTAAAATTGAAAATTTGTGCGATGTAAAATAGAACATTCCTTCTAGGTGTGCATGGATCTAGCAGTCAATTAAATTTATATCTTGTTATTTGTTGAATCAAACAATTTGAGTCAGATGCAAAATATGTAAGAATCAGATTGACCTTCCTTTGTTTTAGCTTCAAGAAGTAGTGCAAACCCAACCTTTTCCTATAATGGGCAACAATGAACCATTGGGAGAATGTAGAGAAAGTCTTTGTTATCTTCCATGGAGTTTGCTTAGTATGGGCAACTGACATTACTGCACAACAATTGGCTTTTATTTTACCTAAAACCAATCCCTTTAAAGAGAGAGTTACCTTAATGTGAAGTGAGCAAAATCATTATTTGCATCATTCTACCTTACTTTTAAGAGTTCATTTCTTCTCTCTCGGCACATTCCTTCTTAAAACTCAGAGGCCTCCCAGAACTTCCCATTTTCAAAATACACTTCATCGAAACTCTTCCACTAGACAAAGCACCATAACTCAGACCTATTCTATATCTGAAGAAGGAAGTTATCAAAGCTTTCTTAGTAAGCATAATGGGGTGATAGACAGAACTTTCTGGGCTTAAGTTTTCTTAACTACACATGATGATATCAAAATCTATTGTCACAAGTGAGTGAACTGGCACATGGCAGTTGTTCAAAATTTTATTCTTCCTTGTCCTGTGACAAAAAGAGTTGTCCCGATAGCACCTGCCTACATAATTAATGATGATTATATCTCCAACACAGTTCTTTTATATTGCGTAGCCTAATGACAGGTTTGTTAGACTTTCCCATCAGTATCCTGTTATGGATGCTGTGCCCAGCCAGACAAGACTGGACTTACCCTCCCTAGTTGCTAGAATGCTAACAGCAGAGAGTTGTCATTTCTCTCTAGAAATTTCTCTCGGCCAAAAATGTCTACCTTACCCATGGTCACACACTTCTATGAGGGATAGCCTATGTCTAATGACCGGTGCCTCAAATTGGGATAAATCTGAAGGCTCATCCCAGCTTCAGAGCTCAGTGTGGAGTTGGCTGAGACTTTGTTACTACTGCACTGAAGCCCATTTGCAGCCCTTCTCTGTGTAATTCTGCCACTGTCACTTCCCCAACAGGTGTTGACCCTAAGCTTCCTTCATGTTAGCTTGTTTTAGAGTCAGCTTCCCACAGAACCACATCAGAAACATACTTTAAGCCAAGTATGTCCAAAGCAGACAACCACCACCACCACCACTACCACCTCCAGCAAACCTGTTCACACCGCATTTTATGAGTTAAATTGTACTGTCTTTGACTCAATTGCCCAATGTATCCTATTCATTTTCACTTTGTTCCCACATTCAAGGAAACAGTCTTTCCATTTTTAACTCTATAATTTCTCTCCAGCCTAAGGCTCATTTCCATTCATATTTCTCCTGCTTTTGTTCAGACAGTTCATCCCTGACTTACTCTAGTAACATATTAACTGGTTTCATATTTTCTTATACTTCCTGTTCAGTATGTTTAAAATATATTATTATCGATTCACATGGAGTATTTAACACACAGTGATTTCACCAAAGCCACATGGACACACTTGTGATTTACAATAATTTTGAGGACAGATTATTAGATTGTCTGTTCAAAGGATCACCATTTCCTCCACACACACAAAAATTAAGGTATTGAGAAATATAAACTTTTAAATAACCTTAGATAAATTCCCCAATGATGTTGTATTCCCAGAAACCAAAGTCATTTGTGTTGTTATTATTCTTTCCACTCGGCAGTGAATGGGTTAAAGATCACTTTCTAAAAGCAAGTCTTGCTAAAAATTAGAGCAGAAGGCCATGAGGACTTAGAAGCATGTAAAGGATATGGAAAGGAGGACACCAAATGGGAGCAATTGGGCAGAAAAATAAACTGGTGTCATAACTGACAACAGTAAATGTCCAGTTTATTGAGAAGTGGCCTTCCTACCACTCATTTTCTTCTGAAACTAATTGATCTTATTTATTGTTACACTCTTCTCATCATCTTCCTTCACTATGACACTCCTTAAGTGTCCTTGGAGAAAAATACATCTATGGTTTTGCTTGCATTAACAGTTTTCCAAGTAACTCACAAGTGAAGAATATCATAAGTTAACTGGACATGTTCAGACACATACCTTGGGGAAGACACACACACACACACACACACACACACACACACACACAGTCATTCATGCAGGCTGCAATATCGAAAGCTTGCTTGACTTGGCTACTCAATTTAATCAGCAGCAGTTTGCCTTATTACTTATTGCATTATCCACCTCTTGCCTAACTTCCAGTCTCTTTTCAGGTCACCATCCCAGAGCTTCTTGTAGAGTTGGCTGAGACCTTGTTAGAATTCTCCATACGTATCCTGTTGTGACACTAACAGGAAGTTCTAACACCACACTCCCTCTCTAGTCACACTAAGCATCTTAACCTCACAGATATACATTTTTTCTCTGCCCTCTAGGATACTGCACAAACTGTTCCCTATGCCTTGTACTTCCTCACTGCCTTAAACTCCCCCAATTTGGACAGCTCTTTCTAATCTTTCAAGTGGCAACTTTGACGTCTTATCCTCTTAAAACAAAAATTTTAAAACCCTCTCTACTACCCTAGACTAGATCAAATATTCTGTTATGTTTTCCCCTAAAACTCTTGGCTTACCATGCTAATAACATTCATTAATACATATAATTGAGTAATTTCGTTTTTAACTCTTCAAACTTAGGCTCCAAAAGGACTAGAAATGTTATTCACCATTGTAGTGGTGGATCTTGACATAATGCCTGACATATCAGAGACATTCAAAATTTTTTGAAAGAATGAGTGGTTTCTGTATTGAAATGAGTATTCTTTTTGCTCTCTTGAAAAAATAAAATTGTTGCTTTGAATGTGGTTAAACATAGTTCTAAGATATGAACATTAATTTTTTGGAATGTTTTTCTCTTGAAATTATTGATTTAATAGAATTGTATGGCTCTGCATCTGTCAAAATAGAACCAGTCATACTTGCATTAACAAACAATGCCAAAACTCAGTGACTTGAAATAATGATTTATTTCTTGCTCACTGCTATAGTCTAAATATTTATGTACCCCAAATTGTATATGTTGAAACTTAATCCCCAAAGCAAGAGTATTTGGAGTTGGAGCCTCGGGAGGTATTTAGGTCACGAGGGCGGAGCCTTCATGAATGGCCTTAGTGTCCCTACAAAAGAGCCTCCAAGGTGATTCTTTGCCCCTATTACTAGGTGAAGACACAGCAAGAAGGCTTCTTTTGGCCGGGCGCGGTGGCTCACGCCTGTAATCCCAGCACTTTGGGAGGCCGAGGCGGGCGGATCACGAGGTCAGGAGATCGAGACCATCCCGGATAAAACGGTGAAACCCCATCTCTACTAAAAAAAATACAAAAAATTAGCCGGGCGTAGTGGGGGGCGCCTGTAGTCCCAGCTACTTGGGAGGCTGAGGCAGGACAATGGCGTGAACCCGGGAGGCGGAGCTTGCAGTGAGCCGAGATCCCGCCACTGCACTCCAGCCTGGGCGACAGAGCGAGACTCCGTCTCAAAAAAAAAAAAAAAAAAAAGAAGGCTTCTTTTACAAGGAAGTGGCCTTATCAGACACCAAATCCACTCGTGCCTTGATCTTGGGGTCACCAGCTTCCAGAACTGTGAGGATTAAATATTTGTTGTTTATAAATCTACCAGTTTTTGGTGTTTTTTATAACAACCAGAATGGATTAAGACACATTATATGTGAATACAATTACACGGAGAGTATTCATAGAATAGGACAGAATGCTGATGATAGAGTTTTGGGGGAATATTTAAAAAGTAAATAAAAATTATCTGTATTTAAGTGTAATTACATGATAATCATTTATATCAGTTTCTCGTCCACAGAAATGCATTTATATATACCGTTACATGAACAAAAGTAAATAATTGGGTGTTTCAGAATATTTAGATATCCAAGCTATTGCCATTAATGAAATTCTTCTATAAAACTAAGTAATTTATCTTTTGCATTATTTAACTATTTTCTCAAAAGAAGTGATTATTTATTTAAATTTCCAGTGATCCTCTAGAATAAACCCGTATAAAAGGATATAGTCTTTTTATGTATATGCATTAGTGAAAATGGAAATCTTTCTCACAGGAGGCTTTGATGACAGTTTGTAAATTGCTTGCAAGTTACTACATTTATTTCAGGTTTCATGTTTTAGATTAGTCCTAGTAAAATTCTAAGACCTTATTTATTTTTTTGAAATATCTCGTTATTACCAGTTTTTTCCAGATATTTGTGGAATTTTTGTCTTCCTAACTGATGTGCTAGTATTCTCTAGATTATTTCTCACAAATACAGATAAAGTCTTACTTTGAGAACTTTATTGTTAATGCTTTTAACTACTGAGAATGCAGATTATGGCATTGTGTTAAATGACAATATAAATTATCTCCGACTATTGCTCAACTTCTTTCTAGTTTAGCCATTGACTTTCTTCTTCTGTAAGCAATATTCTCAAGGCAGGACCAATTCTGCTAATGAGTAGAATAGGCAGATTGATGCATATCTGATAGAATTTAAGTGATTTCAAATTTCTCCTCAGACTCGTCCCAGTGTCTCACATTCCTACATTAGCTATACTTTTAAAAATTAACTATTTTGGTACTTTTATAAAGTTAACTCATTAAATAAATTTGTTTATTTGGTTTCGCTATGTTATTGGTTTCTCTGTGTTGTTCCCCTGTTTTTACTATTCATTTCTCAGAATTTTAAAGAACAGTGTCACATTGTTGAGCTATTTTAAAACTGTAAATAGAAAGGAAAGGAAGAGAGAGACTTCAGTCCCAGGCCAAAAACTATTAGCACAGCTGAAATCAATCACTGTCTTTCTTGTTCCATAGGAATTACTACTCAAGGGACCTTCAGAAAGGGTCAAGGAAAGCTATTTTTCTTCCCACGACTTGGAAATACATCTTCTTTCCTATGATGAAAGGGATGTGGTGTGTGTGTATATATATGTATTTTTTTTTTCAGAATTCTATCGTATCTATTTTATTTTATATATATATATATATATATGTATCCCTCATTCTTACTCCTCATTTCATTCACTTATTTTAGCATCTTCCAATAATTCATCTTTCTAATTGATAAAAAGTAAAAGATGGTAGAAGTCACTCTATTCCATTAAAATTATTGCCACACTGCTTGAGCAAGATTATATGTCTCCAGAATTGAACTGAGGACTTCCTGAGTAGAGTGATTCTATTTTTTAAAAAGCTTTCATAGTACCTGGCACATCAAGGCCTTCAATAAGTCTTATTAGAGTAACGAATGGACATATGAATTGATGAGAATACTTTAAAACATTACATAATTGTTAAAGAGATTTCTGAAAGTCATAGAAAATCTATTCTTTTGAGTGGTTTTAAAGATTTAAAATTGATTTCCCAATAAATGGATGGTTCAAAATACTCAGATAAATTCACAGGACTGTTGTGAGTAATCAAAAAGGTAACAATTAATAAAAATGAACAATAAGCAACAGAAATAAATAATTTTTAAGTAATAAATGTTTTAATATAGGTTAACAAAGTATTTCTCTGTGAAAGACACTAGATGCTCAATAAATGAACTACACTTTAAAAAAATGTTTTCCAAGATCTTCTCAACAAACAAGCCATGATATACCAACTATAAAGGACAGATAATCTGCTGACCAATTCCATCAAGCAAATCACATCCACATCAGTCAAAGTAGGCCATAATGGGGGCACCAAAAATCTCACGTGGGGAGATTAATCACACTTTATGGGAGGCTTTTGTGTATAAAGGTTAATTTGAGGTCGTCTTTTCTGAAGGGACATCACAGTAGCTTCACAGTTATATGACTAATGAGTTTTGCTTTTATTCCTCTGTCCAGTTACTTCTTTAACATGACTATATCTAGTCTTAACTGTCCTCAATTCATCAACTCTGGGGCCCTTAAACACGGTTGAAATTATCTTTGTAAACAAATGCAAAAAATATTTATGAACATGTTCTTTCGCCTTTCTTCAAAGGCATTAAAAACCCTTACGGTGCAGACTAGTACTAGATCTCTAAGACAAAAACGCAAAGGAATCACGTGAAAGATAATATTTAATTAAAATTTCAGTTTTGTTTAGGACACCAAAGGATTCCAAAACCTTAAGCTAATTCACCCTCAATCAGTGATTTAGTCATTCTTATATAAATAGTTGTAGACAGATGAGAATAAAAATGATTCTATTTTTGCTAAATTTGCTTGAAATTTTTGCAGAGAAATCCCAAGTTGTTCATTTATGTCCTTTTGAATACTCCTTACCATAAATTTTCTTGCATTTTATTTTCTTATTAGGCAATGGGCATGCAGAGCACAATACTTGGGCATTATTGGACTGATAAGAATCTGTAAAACATTTTCTTTCCTTGATGAAATCTGCAATTTGCCTATAGCCTGATTTCCTTAAGGCTTTTGCCTATTGACTCATCTTTGACAACCAGCCAAAAGGAATTTCAAGACAAACACAAAGTGAAGAGTCACAGTCAGCTTTTTCTACACTCTTGGGAAAGCCTTTCTCGGTACAAAGTTATTCTTGATTTCATTTAGCTAAAAATCCCAGCTAAAATCCATAGAAAAATGTATGGAATGGGAAATTTGGGGGTTTGGGGTTATAAATTTTTTGAAACCCATTACATCTTCCTAAGGCTGTAATTTCTGTTAGAACCTATCCTTTCTGTACTTCCTTCTCCCTCCCACTGGATTCCAAGAGTCTTCTTTCTTTCCTACTTCTCAAAAAACAAACTATGGAAGTCAGGCCACTTACCTGGAAGATCCTTCTGAACAGAAAACATGTTTAATTTTAATTTTAACTTTTTTTTTTTTGATACTGGGTCTTGCTCTGTCACCTAGGCTGGAGTGCAGTGGCACACTCACAGCTCACTGCAGCCTTGATCTCCTGGGCTCAAGTGATCTTCCCACCTCAGCCTCCCTAGTAGCTGGGACTACAGGGTTACACCACCACAACCAGCTAATTTTTATATTTTTTGTAGAGACAGGATTACCCAGCCATGTTGCCCAGGATGGTCACGAACTCCTGGGCTCAAGTGATCCATCTGCCTCGGCCTCCCAAAGTGCTGGAACTAAAACAATGAGCTGCCATGCCCATCCTGACATGGTCTTAAAAAAGATTTAAAATATTTTTTAAACCTTTATCTCCTCTAGAGTCCCTAAGGAATAGGAGATCCTTAAAACATATTTATTGGCTATCTGACTGCATTCCTAATTAAAGGTCCATATCAGTGAGAAAATAAATGAATACATGAACATATTTATTGCTACAGATAATTTTCTACCTTGCCCTCTCTTATATTATTTCCAGTTATTTTAAGAAAACAGTCACAGTAATTAGCTATTTGCTTATTCTTCACTGTATTTTAAATTAAAAAAAATTCTTAACAGTATTTTAATTTATAACTTAATAATACTTGTTAATTTAAATGCCTTAAATTGACAACTAGGTAAAAAAAAAAGTTACCAAAACACTGGGGATTTTGTCTAGGTCCTGCTGCTCACCACACAGAAAACCAGTCACTGAGACAATGAGTATTGTCAGGGAAGAAGGCTTTAATTGGGTGCTGTGGCTGAGGAGATGGGAGGTCAGTCTCAAATCCATCTCCCTCACTGACTAAAATTAGAGGTTTATATAGCAGGGAAGACATGAAACCATGTGTGGGAAAATGGAAATTAGAGATGGACAAGGCAGAGAAATTGGTCAACAGGCAGCAGGGTGGTGCAGTCATGTTGGGTGAGGAGTCTGGCGTCTCTTTGTCTAGGTGCAGTGATCTGGTAAGTTTCAGCTCCATGGTATAATCTGGGAGGCCTGATAGCTGGTTTCCTGAGAAGGTAACTCAGGTAAGACAAATGTAACTCTCAAGTTGTAAGACTGGGAGGATTAATTTCTATGTTTACTCCAAGAAATTATAAACATCAGTTCTATGGAACAGTTGGTCTAGTTTCAAAACCTAGTGTGCTCTCATAAATATTTGAAACCAACATTGTTTTCTTTTTCTCTCTTTTTTCTCCTTTCCTTTGTGCTTTGGAAATATTATGCTGAAAGAAAACACAATTTATTTAAGTCGAGGAAGTAGTTTTCATAGAGAGTAGAGTACAGTTTCTTATGATTCTTCATCTGCTCCTATAAGGCTTTCAAGAAGGAACATCCAGAAATTGTAAGCCTTAAACAATTGAGCAATGCTTTATTTTGCTTTCTGTCTCATAGAAGGTCTACAGATTCAGTTATAATAAGAAGGAATTAAATCATAGGTAATTGATATGGTTTGGCTCTGTGTCCCCAATCAAATCTCATCTTGTAGCTCTCATAATCCCCACTTGTTGTGGGAGGGACCCAGTGGGAGATGATTGAATCATGGAGGCAGGTCTTTCCTATGCTACTCTTATGATGGTGATTGGGTCCCATGAGATCTGATGGTGGTTTTAAAAACAGGAGTTTCTCTGCACAAGCTCTCTCTTCACCTGTTGCCATCCATGTAAGATGTGACAGTCCTCCTTGCCTTCCACCATGATTGTGAGGCCTCCCCAGCCACATGGAACTGTAAGTTCAATAAACCTCTTTCTTTTGTAAATTGCCCAGTCTCAGGTATGTCTTTATCAGCACCATGAAAATGGACTAATATAGTAAATTGGCACCAGTAGAGTGGGGCATGGCTGAAAAGATATCCAAAAATGTGGAAGCAACTTCAGAACTGGGTAACAGGCAGTGGTTGGAACAGTTTGGAGGGCTCAGGAAAATGTGGGAAAATTTGGAACTTCCTAGAGACTTAGTGAATGGCTTTGACAAAAATGTTAATAGTGATATGAACAATAAGGTCCAGGCTGAGGTGGTCTCAGGTGGAGATGATGAACTTGTTTGGAACTGGAACAAAGGTGACTCTTGTTATGTCTTAGCAAAGAGACTGCTGACATTTTTTGCCTGCCCTAGGGATTTGTGGAACTTTCAACTTGAATGAGATGATTTAGAGAATCTGGTGGAAAAAATTTCTAAGCAGCACAGCATTCAAGAGGTGACTTGGGTGCTCTTAAAGGCATTCAGTTTCAAAAGGGAAACACAGCATAAAAGTTTGGAGAATTTGCTGCCTGACAGTGCAACAGAAAAGAAAATCCCATTTTCTGAGGAGAAATTCAAGCCAGCTGCAAAAATTTGCATAAGTAATGAGGAGCCAAATATTAATCCTTAAGACAATGGGGGAAATGTCTCTGCATTGTGTACAGCCTAGGGACTTGGTGCTCTGCATCCCAGCTGCTCCAGCCATGACTGAAAGGGGCCAATGTGGAGCTCGGGCTATGGCTTCAGAGGGTGCAAGCCTCAAGCCTTGGCAGCTTCCACATGGTGTTGAGCCTGCGAGTGCACAGAAGTCAAGAATTGAGGTTTGGGAACCTCTGCCTAGATTTCAGAAGAACCAAGAAAATACCTAAATGCCCAGGTAGAAGTTTGCTCTAGGGGTGGGGTCCTCATGGAGAATCTCTGCTAAGGCAGTGCAGAAGAGAAAGGTGGAGTGGGAGGCCCCACACAGAGTCCCTACTGGGGCACTGCCTAGTGGAGCTGTGAGAAGAGGGCCACTATCCTACTGACCCTAGAATGGTAGATCCACTGACAGCTTGCACCATGGGCCTGGAAAAGCCACAGACACTCAACATCAGCTTGTGAAGGCAGCTGGGAGGGCGGCTGTACCCTGCAAAGCCACAGAGCCAGAACTGTCCAAGACTTTGAGATCCTACCTCTTGCATTAGCGTGACCTGGATGTGAGACATGGAATCAAAGGAAATCATTTTGGAGCTTTAAGATTTGACTGCTCTGCTGGATTTCATACTTGCATGGGGCCTGTAGCCCTTTGTTTTGGCCAGTTTCTCCCATCTGGAATGGCTGTATTTACTCAATTTCTGTACCCCCATTGTATCTATCTAGGAAGTAACTAAGTTGCTTTTGATTTTACAGGCTCATAGGCGGAAGGGACTTGCCTTGTCTCATATGAAACTTTGGACTGTGGACTTTTGAGTTAACGCTGAAATGAGGTGAGACTTTGGAGGACTGTTGAGAAGGCATGATTGGCTTTGAAACGTGAAGATATGAGATTTGGGAGGGGCCAGAGATGAAATGATATGGTTTGGCTCTGTGTCCCCACCCAAATCTCATCTTGTAGCTCCCATAATTCCCAAGTGTTGTGGGAGGGACCCAGTGAGAGATGATTGAATCATAAGGGTGGGTCTTTCCCATGCTGTTCTTGTAATAGTGATTGGGTCTCATGAAATCTGATGTTTTTAAAAACGGGAGTTTCTCTGAACAGTCTCTCTCTTTGCCTGCCTCCATCCACGTAAGATATGACTTGGTCCTCCTTGCCTTCGGCAATGATTGTGTGGCCTCCCCAGCCACGTAGAACTGTAAGTCCAATAAACCTCTTTCTTTTGTAAATTTCCCAGTCTCAGGTATGTCTTTATCAGCACCGTGAAAATGGACTACTACAGTAAATACACTTGTCAGGGGTACCAATTTTAAAATATGAAACCTGGAGGATATAATGTTAAGTGAAATAAGCAAGGCACAAAAAGACAAATACCACATTATCTCACTCATATGTAGAATCTGAAAAAGTTGATGTCATATAAGCAAAGGGTAGAATGGTGTTACCAAGGGCTGGGGCAGTTGAGGAAAGGGGTCTGGGAAGATGTTGGTCAAAGGATATAAAAGTACAGTTAGATGGGAGGAATAAGTTCAAGAGCTCTATTGTACAATATAGTGATACTATTATGTATTACAATATGATTAGTAATATATAGAACTCTTGAAAAATGCTAAGAGAGTGGATAGGTGTTCTTACTACAAAATATATAACTATGTGAATGAATTCATATGTTAATTAGCTAGATTTAGTCATTTCACAATGTAAATACACCTTGAAACATGTTGTACATGATAAATACATACGATTTTATCTGACAATTTGTAAAAATTGACAAAAGTGATAAAAGAAATAAACAAAATAGAACTATAAGAACTATACTATAAGGAGAATGAACAAAATGGAAATAAAGATATTGTGAAGTAAGGTATTAAAATTAATGGTATAAATATCTGAGAAAAGCCTGGAAGTTTATGAAATATGTGGAAAAATAGAAGCTTGAAATTTTATGCCTAGGAGATATTTAGAGATTATGTAAAAGTACATATAAACATTTTTATGTCATGGATCAAAAATCTGGATATTTTTCTCAAATAAACCATCAAATTTAGGGCCAAGACAAAATTAGAATCCAGGTTTTCCTACTTCAAGTCTAGTGGAAGATCACTTTAAAAAGATCTTTCAGGCCATTAACATAAGCTCTCTGACTACAGAGATTTTGTAGTCACCTTCATTGTGGTATCTCTAGAGTCTAGAACTAGACCTGACCCCTGGATTCGGCACTCAACTAATGTTAGCGAGATACATGAATGGGCAATAAATACATTAATTCATTAAGACCTAATTTTTGAAGGGTTTGTGATAAAGCTCACATGTTAAATAATCAAGGTCCAGGTTATGAAAGCCCTATAATATGTGATGTTATTCTCTTTAAATACTTGTAAAATTTTAGTAACTAGATTGAAATATATGTTAACTATTGATATTTTAATGTTTGAGATATGAAAATGACAGTTTCTTGTTTCAACTTAAAAATCACTGATATAACTTTAACAACAAATAATTCTAAGAATGTGAAGACAATAATAATGCTATATCATTTTAGAAAAATAATCTATAAGCCATACTATTGATGTCTGATAATGGCCAAAGGGTTCTTTTATTTGATTAGGCTGGGTAGTTTAGCATATGAATCATCCTGAGAGCTTGTTAAAATAGAGATTTCTGAATCCCTACCAATTAAGATTCTGGCCTAGAAAATCAAGTCTAATTCCTTGGCCTGGCATTCAGGTCCCTTGTATCAGGTCTTGGCTTTCCTATCCAGCACCATCTCCTCACCAGCCTGCTCTGTCCCCTTCTCTCCCAATCATACATTTTTGCATTCTTAAATCTCTTAATTCTATCTGAAATGCCATACCAGTTTGTCAAATTAATAGACTTATAAGCCCTTTCTTCATAAATTTATTATTTATTTATTATCCATCTCCCCCACTAGCTAGTAAAACCCTCTGTAGCAGTACCATTGCACTGGCATTTACCAAGACCCTGGTACATTTTTCTGGTAAGTAGAATGTGACCAATAATTATTTGTAATATGCATAATTGAATGGCATTTGTCCACTTTGTTTAGTATAAAGCCAAGTAATATAAATATGAAATAGAAATACATATTCTATGCAGAGGAACTGCAGAGAGTATATTTGTTCTACAAGAATGAGGGGTAGTTTTAGGAAAGGTGTTATTGAATTGGTAACAAGTCAGGCTTGAGTTTGTGACTGAAGGCTAGGGATTTTGTCCAGAAGCAATTACTCACTAAGGTTCTTAGTTTTAGCTTTCTCTCATTCTTACTCTCAAATTGGTACATGTCATAAATATTTTTTTCATTAACTTCCCAACTATTAATGTTGGTAACTATCTACCCCTTATCATTGTACAAAAGCTCATTTTTATTTTCTTAAGTGGTAGTTCTGTCTGTTCACTTGTTCCTTTAACACAACTAGTTTACTGTGATGAGTCTTGTTCTCTTTCATAATGAATTCCTATTAGTTATCCATAATTATCCCAGAATCTGTGCTCAGTATAAGAGGGAGTTGTCTTTTGGAAGCATCCCAGAACCTTTGACTTGCAATTTATAACATTTACTTAGTGACACAAAAGAAAACAAACAAAAGGACATTTTTGAATAACCCCAGAAACTTTCCCCATTAATATCTAATTTTAGATTATATCAGTTCCTGCTATTGGAGGTCTTGGAGGCTGCCAGTTCACATAGTGTTTTCAAATTTACAGCACAAGGCAATGAGAACATATGGGACCAAAGTTCTGTTTTTCATATTCTCCATTTTAACCTTTCCCTTTGAAATTTAATCAACATGAAAGGAAATAAACACTTTTTGTCTTCCTTGTACAATGGGAGTGATATCCTCCTCCATTTCCCCAGTGATAGTCAGGTTCCAGATAGCTGCCTTTAATGGCAAAGTTTAAATCACATTGACTCCTATGAGCAATTTGGCAAGTATTTTTACCAAGCACAGGACAACTGCTAGAGCCAAATGGCTAAATACTTCTCTAAGGCTAATCATAGAATTCACAATTCAACTTTGGAGTAAAACAGCTGTGTCAAAGAACTATTTGACATTTCACCTGCAATGTAACCCAGAAGAAAAAATTAATTACACACAGAAGACTGAAATTCGTGGAGCATTGTTTAGATATCAAAAACTGGGATTTGCATTTCAGAATATTTTCTGAACAATTATGAGCATGTTAAATTGGAAAGGGAAGTCAACAGAGAATTGTAAGAAATCCACTAATTTTTCTGAGCTGTTTCTCCTGCTTCCTGGGAGATAAAGGACTTCTGAAAATCTACACGTCTCAAAAAGTTTACTCATTTCTTTGATTTGTTAAAAAAACCAAAAATCATTAAATATCTATTGTTCCATTCCGATTTTGTGTGAAATGGTATTGCCTAGATATTTACTCCCTAGAGTGTTTACACTTAAGGGCTCTACATTTTATTGACATCAAAATTAAAAACAAATGTTTTCATTCTTTAACCTTAGAGGGGAAAAACTATGCTAAATCTAAGAGAAGGAAGTTTTACCTTTCTATGATTCTATTCTTTTAGTGAGTAATGTCTTTTGAGTCTCTGTTTTTTTTTTCAAGGAAGACTTTATCAATTTACATCAATTCCTAGTTCAATAAGTCTTAAGGCAGATATAATTATTGTTTTCCTTAATTATTTGTTGAGATATTTTCATTCTATCCAAATGTTTTGTCAGTCGTCACATTCTCTTTCCAAATAATTTCAGCAATTAGATTATTGCATCATTTAAGAAACTTTTCTTCCCTATATAATGTAAAATACAGAGACATTATTTTAAGTAGCAATTGTTCTTATTTATTGAGACCACTTGTGTATAAGGTACCATGCTAAGAACTTTGGATACGCTATCCTCAACTCAGTGTTTTCTCATGTAAAAAGGGGATAATAGAGGTGTTTACCTCACTATTTTGTTGTGTGAAATAAAGCATTTTGAACAATACTGACCATATAGTGATTTCTATGCATTAAATATTACTTAAAATTATACATCAATATATTACTTAATAGAATTGTCCTATGAGGTAGGTAATTCTTAACATTTAAATATTGAGGAAATTGAAGCTAAGCAGTTTAAGTAATTTGCTCAATTTTACAAAGTAAGTAGAGGAGCCAAAATTAGAATTCATGTCTCTCTAACTCCAAAGCCCAAGTTTGTAATCTGCATCTCCTTTTGCTTCAGTATTCTCCACCCCACATACCTTCTCCCGGCATATGCACAACATGAATGTGAGGAAGACACTACACCTCCACACATGAAGCACTTGTCTGAATTATGCTCCACACATGGGATGTTTCATTCCATTTTGTGTTAGTGGATGCTACTCCTCTTTTCAAGTCTCACTTCTGTTTCAGGTTTGTTGCTTTCTGACTCTCCTGCTCCATTCTCCTTCCCATTGTGTCTTTCATCTGCAAGCTTAGAGGAAGAAGGATACTCTTTTAAAGTAAAGCCATCCAGTCTCTCCTAGTGAAAACCAGAAAGTTTTCCCTCTACAACTTCATAGGCATGGCACAGTGCTTGCTTCATGTAGTCTCAAAACCCCTTCTTAATTTAGTTTGCAATTTTAAGAGAGGTTAGGAATATCTCAAATGGCTCTTAAAAGATTTATATCTTTTTAAGGCTTTCTTAAGCTACTGTGTAAATTTATATCGAAGAAAAGAGACACTAAAACATTTTTAGTGAATCTGGTGCTCAGAATCAAGCAACACATGATCACTATTGAGGAAGAAGGCCTCATTCCTCCACAGGACAGCTGGCAGAAAAGCATTTCATTTCACTGCTTGATGCATCACATAAACTTTATAAAAGTAAAACCAGGGCCGGGAGCAGGTGGCTCAAGCCTGTAATCCCAGCACTTTGGGAGGCCGAGGCGGGCGGATCACGAGGTCAGGAGATCGAGACCATCCTGGCTAACACGGTGAAACCTCGTCTCTACTAAAAATACAAAAAAAAAAAAAAAAAAAAAATTAGCCGGGCGTGGTGGCGGGCGCCTGGGAGGATGAGGCAGGAGAATGGCGTGAACCCGGGAGGCGGAGCTTGCAGTGAGCCGAGATCGCGCCACTGCACTCCAGCCTGGTTGACAGAGCAAGACTCGGTCTCAAAAAAAAAAGAGTAAAACCAGGCAGAAAGGTGTAATTTGTAGGCAAAACCCCACAAATCAGGGAGAGATTTTTTTGTAAAACCTCGTTTGAGTATTAATTTTCATCTTCGATGTTATAGAAATATTTGCTATCTAGGTCAAGAGAACTTTCTGCATCTTTAACGAACAGCTGAACAACTGTAAACATGTAATTACTGGGATAAAAATCAAGAGGAAAAGTCACTCTGCTACTTCCTGCCTTTCAATTAGGAATATAGAAAGACCTTCTGTTTATCTTCCTGTTCTCTTAGAATTAGCCTTCATCCCACTGGCCCAGAGATAACCTTTCCTGATAATAAGTTTTTCCAACAAGAATAATTCAGTAACAATTTCTCCTATAAGGACTGAGTTGCTATGAAATGGGGGCTACTGGTATTGACATTTCTCAAGATACTACTCTAAAATGCTTACTTTCAATAGTTTAATGCTTTAAATATGCTAAATAATCTATCAGGACATATAACTTATAGTTATAATGTATAAGACATCCAGAAATCAATATGGTTCCATAATATAGGAAGAGGTCTGTTTTTTACTGCTGTCACCAACTCTGGGTCACAAATCCCTGAATGATTTCATCATGTCAAGCTGACAGTGTGGCTAACTTGGGACTAATTCAAGGAGTCAATTATTTCTTCAGGGTGACTGAACACTTAGTTTGACATAAGCATTTTGTAGAACTTAGGAATAGTTTTCATGCAAACAAAAGTACAAAAATAAAGTTCTAATTCAACTTCCAAGTATTTCTCCCATGGTAACTTTTATTTATGAGACCAAATGTATTCTTAGATAGCTTAGTAATTCATCTAAACACTACTTTTCCTATGCATCCATGTCTCTTCTGTTCAGTCAATTTCCACAACTCCAATAAAAACCTTTTTATTTTGCTCAATTTACCAAATTTTATGACCTTCAATTCTCTGCATATGACTCAGAGTCCTATGACATGCACGTTTAAACATGTGATCTATGTGGCTTTGGAGTTTGAGGATATATAAATGTTGATTCCACTTGGCTGAAAACTCATATTCAAATCTCAGTAGATACTTTTTGGATAACAAAGTAATCTGCTAGGGAATAATGCTAATTGACAAATTTTTTTCAATTCTCTAGAAAATTATCAGTAATTTGTAAGAATTTTTCATTTTCCTTTCCAATTTTTTCACTTGTTTCTCATGTCGAAACATATTTTCTGATAGTGTTATATTTTTGCTTTTGCTGTTGACTAATTTTTTTGTTTGTTCGTTTGTTTTTGAGACGGAGTCCTGCTCTGTCGCCAGGCTGGAGCGCAGTGGCGCAATCTCGGCTCACTGCAACATTCGTCTCCCAGGTTCAAGTGATTCTCCTGCCTCAGCCTCCCGAGTAGCTGGGACTACAGGTGCCCCCCACCATGCCCGGCTAATTTTTTGTATTTTTAGTAGAGACGGGGTTTCACCATGTTGGCCAGGATGGTCTCGATCTCTTGACCTCATGTTCCACCCACCTCAGCCTCCCAAAGTGCTGGGATTACAGGCATGAGTCACCACACCTGGCCTGTTTACTGATGTTTTTATTTAGCTTCACTAATGCTTTTTTTTTTCTTTTCATTATTTTATTTTATTTCTATTTCAATAGCTTTAGGGGTTTTGTTTACATGGGTTAATTGTATAGTGGTGAAGTTTGAAATTTTAGTGCATCCCTTACCTAAATAGTATACATTGTACCCAATATATCATTTTGTATCCCTCATCCCGCTCCCCCTTTCCCCTCTTCTGAGTCTCCAATGTCCATTATACCACTTTGTATGCCTTTGTGTACTCATAGCTTAGCTCCCACTTATAAGTGAGAACATACAGTATTTAGTTTTCCATTCCTGAGTTACTTCACTTAGAATAATGACCTCCAGTCCCATTCAAGTTGCTGCAAAAGACATTATTTTATTTTTATTTTATGGCTAAATAGTATTCCACAATGTATATAAACCACATTGTCTTTATCCATTCATCAATTGATGGGCACTTAGGTTAGTTCCATATCTTTGCAGTTGTGAATTGTCCTGTGATAACATATGCATGCAGGTGTCTTTTTTATGTAATGAATTCTTTTCCATACCCAGTACTAGGATTGATGGACCAAATGGTAGATGATATGGTTTGGCTCTGTGTCCCCACACAGATCTCATCTCAAATTGTAATCCCCACATGTCAAGGGAGGGACCTGGTGGAGGTGATTGGATCATGGAGGGCGTGTTACTCCTTGCTGTTCTCCTGATAGTGAGTTCTCGCAAGATCTGGTGGTTTAAAAGTGTGGCACCTTCTTTCTCTCTCTCCTGTTGCTGTGTAAGATGTGCCTTGCTTCGCCTTCGCCTTCTGAAATGATTGTAAGTTTCCTGAGGGCTCCCCAGTTATGCAGAACTGTGAGTCCACTAAACCTCTTTCCTTTATAAATTACCCAGTCTCAGGTATTTCTTTACAGCAGTGTGAAAATGGACTAATACAGTAGATCTGTTTTTAGTTCTTTGAGAAATCTCCATACTGTTTTCCATAGAGATTGTACTAATTTACATTCGTAACAGCAGTGTATAAGCATTCCCTTTTGACCACACATAGGCCAATATCTACTGTTTTTTGACTTTTTAATGCGATTCTGGCTGTAGTAAGGTGATATCTCATATTGGTTTTAATGTGCATTTCCCTGATGTTTTGTAATGTCAAGTATTTTTTCATGTTTGTTGACCATTTGAAATTCTTCTTTTGAGAACTGTCTATTCATGTATTTGGCCACTTTTTAATGAGACTTTTTGCTTTTTTTCTTGCTAATTTGTTTGAGTTCCTTGTAAATGCTAGATATTGGTCCGTTGTCAGATGCATAGTTTAGAAATATTGTCTCCCATTGTGTGGGTTGTCTGTTTACTCTGATGATCATTTATTTTGTTGTGCAGAGGCTTTTTAGTTTGAGTAGGTCCCATTTATTTATTTATTTTTGGTTTTGTTGCATTTGCTTTTGAGGTCTCAGGCATAAATTCTTTGCCTAGTCTAATGTCCAGAAGCATTTTTTCTAGGTTTTCTTCTAGAATTTTTATGGTTTCAGGTATTAGATTTAAGTCTTTACTCCATCTTTATTTGATTTCTGTATTTGGTGAGAAATAGGAATCCAGTTTTGTTCTTCTACGTGTGGCTATCCAGTTTTCCCAGTACCTTTTATAGACTAGGATGTCCTTTCTCCCATTTAGGTTTCTGTATGCCTTGTTGAAGATCGGTTAGTTGTAAGTATTTGGCTTTATTTCTGTGTTTTCTATTCTGTTTCATTGATCTATGTCTCCACTTTTACACAAGTACTATGCTGTTTTGGTAATTATAGCCTTGTAGTATCATTTGAAGTCAGGTACTGTGATGCCTCCAGATTTGTTCTTTGTGCTTAGAATTGCTTTGGTTATTCAGGCTCTTTGTTGGTTCCATATTGATTTTAAGATTGTTTTATCTGATTGTGTGAAAAATGATGTCAGTATTTTGGTAGGAATTACACTGAATATGTAGATTGCTTTGGGTGGTATGATCATTTTTATGATATTGATTTTTCCAATCCATGAGCATGGGGTGCATTTCTATTGGTTTGTTTCATCTATGATTTTTTTCAGCTGTGTTTAGTAGCTCTCCTTATACAGGTTTATTACAACCTTGGTTAAGTATATTCCTAGGTATCTTTTGCAGCTATTGTTAAAATGATTGAGTTCTTGATTTGATTCTCAGCTTGGTCATTACTGGTGTCCACTGATTTTGTAACAATAGACTTTACAGAATTCATTTATCAAATCTAGGACTTTTTTGGAGGAGTCTTCAGCGTTTTCTAGGTATACAACCATATAATCAGTAAACAGAGACAGTTTAAGACTTCCTCTTTTCCAATTTGGATGCCTTTTATTTCTTTCTCTTGCCTGATTTTTCTGCCTAGGACTTCCAGTACCATGTTGAATAGAAGTGGTAAAAGTGGGCATCCTTGTCTTGTTTCAGTTATTAGGGGGAATGCTTTCAACTTTTCCCCATTCAGTGTGATGTTGGTTGTAGGTTTGTCATACATGGCTTTTATTATTTTTGAGGTATATAATTTGTATGGCTAGTTTTTTGAGGGTTTTTTAATCATAAAGGGATACTGGATTTCATCAAATGCTTTTTCTACATCCATGAAGTTTGTCATATAGATTTTCTTTTTAATTCTGCTTATGTGATGAATCACATATATTGATTTATGTATGTTGAAATATCCCTGCATCTCTGGGATGATAGCCACTTGGATCATGGTGATTCTTTTTGATGTGCTGTTGGATTCAGTTTGCTAGTATTTTGTTGAGGAGTTTTGCATCTATGTTCATCAGAGATATTTGTCTGTAGTTTTCTTTTTTTTGTTATGTCATTTCCTGGATTTGGTATCATGATGATACTGGCTTCATAGAATGAGTTAGGGAGGACTCCCTCTTTCTCAATCTTTTGGAATAGTTTCAATCGATTGGTATCAATTCTTCTTTGAATGTCTGCTAAAAATCAGCTGTGAATCAGGCCTTCTTTTTTTGGTAAGTGTTCTATCACTGATTGAATCTCACTGTTTGTAACTGATCTGTTCAGGATTTCTATTTCTCCCTGTATCAAACTAGGAGGGCCATATGTATCCAGGAATTTATTTATTTCCTCTAGATTTTCTAGTTTGTGTGCACAGAGGTGTTTATAGTATTTTCAAATGATTTTTTGTATTTCTGTGCTGTCAGTTGTAATGTCTCCTTTTTTTTTCTAATTGAGCTTATTTGAATCTTCTCTCTTCTTGGTTAATTTAGTTAATGATCTTTTAACTTTGTTTCCTCATCTTCAAAGAACCAACTCTTTGTTTCATTACCTTTGTATGTTTTTTCTTTCAATTTCATGAAGTTCTGCTCTGATCTTTGTTATTTCATTTCTTCTGCTAGCTTTAGATTTGGTTTCTTCTTGTTTCTCTAGTTCTTGAGGTGTGATATTAGTTGTCAATTTGTGATCTTTCAGACTTCTTGATGTAGGCATTTAGCACTCTAAACTTCTCTCTTAGCGCTGCTTTTGCTGTATCCCAGATGTTTTGATAATTTGTATCACTGTTATTCATTCAAATAATTTTTCAATTTCTATCTTGATTTCATTGTTAACCCAAAAATCATTTAAGAGCAGATTGTTTAATTTCCATGTATTTGTATAGCTTTGAGGATTCTTTCTGAAATTGATCTCTAGTTTTATTTCACTGTGGTCTGAGAAGACCCTTGATATGATTTTGATTTTTAAAAATGTATTGAGACTTGTTTTTGTGGCCTGTCATATGGTGTGTCCTGGAGAATGTTCTATGTGCTGATGAAACAAATGTAAACTCTTCAGTTATTGGGCAGAATGTTCTGTATATAACTGTTAGGTCCATTTGTTCTAGAGTGAAGTTTAAATCCAGTGTAGCTTTGTTGACTTTCTGCCTTGATGATCTGTCTAGTGATGTCAGTGGAGTGTTCAAGACCTCACTATTTTTTTTTATTTGACAAATTCCTTTTACATTTTATTTGAAAGAATGAAAGACCAGGAATAAACAAACTATTACTGAAGAATATCAAAGTAGAGAGATATGCCCACACAAATCAAGATCTCATAGAAAACAATAGTAATTAGGATAGTGGAGTCTTGACATAGTGATAAATAAGTCAAAAAAGAAAATAGAGAATCAATGTTTTTAATTTACTAAATTATGTCATGGTATATGTAACATTTGATAATTACTATTAAACATTGTGTTTTTGAGACTTACTCATGTTGATACATTTAGATGTAGTTAATGGATTTAATCTATATAGTATGCCATCTTGTGAACAGACCTTAATTTTTCCAGTCATCCCATGATGTTCCTTTAGGTTGGTCTCACTTTTCCACTTACACAATAGCTTGATGAACCTTCTTGTTCTTTATGCACAGACATGAAGTCATGTCAAAAATAATGTCTGTAGGTAAGATATATTTTTCTTCAAAATTATAAAGTAGTACTAAGGTGTTTTACAAAGGAATTACAGTAATTTGCATTCTGATGAGAGTTCATCTTAACTTATACCTTCACCAATTTTGTATTTTGAAGATTTTTCATTCTTGGCTGCTTCATGGAATAAACGTATATTTTATTTTTGCTTTAATTTTATTTATCGGGTTACAAATGCAATTGAGTATAACTATCAATTATTCAGAATCCCCCTTAGTGAATTACCTTATTGCTACCTTTTGCCCTTTTTTCTATCTTCCCTGAATGCATATCCTTCTTGTCTCTCTGTTTTTTTTTCATTTTTATTATAAAATAATCAGATGTAATTTTATTTTTTCTAACACATAAAATCCATGATTTTTTTAACTTTTAATTTTAGGGGATATATGTGCAGGTTTGTTACATAGGTAAACTTGCATCATGGGGGTTTGTTGTACAGATTATTTCATCAGCCAGGTATTAAGCCTAGTATCCATAACTTATTTTACCTGATCCTCTCCCTCCTCCCACCCTTCACACTTCGATAGGCCCTATGTGTGTTTTTCCCTTCTGTGTGTCTGTGTTTTCTCATCATTTAGCTTATACTTATAAGTGGGAACATGTGGTATTTGGTTTTCTGTTCCCACTTTAATTTGCTAAGGATAATGGTCTCCAGCTCTACCCATGTCCCTGCAAAGGACATGATCTTGTTCTTTTTCATGACTGCATAGTATTCCATGGTGTATTATGTACCACTGTTTTTTTAATCCAGTCTATCATTGATGAGCACTTAAGTTCATTTCATGTTTTTGCTATTGCGAATAGTGTTTCAGTGAACATACACGTGCATGTGTCTTTATAATAGAATGATTTATATTCTTTTGGGTATATACCCAGTAATATGATTGCTGGGTCAAATTATATTTTTGTCTTTAGGTCTTTGAGGCATCACTATGCTGTCATTCACAATGGTTGAACTAACTTACACTCCCACCAACAGTGTATAATCATTACTTCTTCTCTAAAACTTTGCCACCATCTGTTGTGTTTTGACTTTTTAATAACAGCCATTCTGACTAGCATGAGATGATATCTCATTGTGGTTTTGATTTGCATTTTTTCATGATTATTGGCCACATGTATGTCTTATTTTGAAAATTGCCTGTTCATGTCATTTGCCCACTTTTTAATTTTGTGGTTTCTTTTTTCTTATAAATTTAAGTTCCTTATAGATGCTGAATATTAATATTAGACGTTTGTCAGATGCATAGTTTGCAAAAATTTTCTCCCAGTCTGTAGGTTGTCTGTTTATTCTGTTGGTCATTTCTTTTGCTGTGCAGAAGCTCTTTAGTTTAATTAGATCACATTTGTCATTTTTTGCTTTTGTTGCAATTGCTTTTGGTGTCTTTGTTATGAAATCTTTGCCCATGCCCATGTTCTGAATGGTATTGTCTAGGCTGTTTTCCAAGGTTTTTATAGTTGTGGGTTTTACATTTAAGTATTTAATCCATCTTGAGTTGATTTCTATATATGGTGCATAAAAGGGGTCCAGTTTCAATCTTCTGCATATGGCTAGCCAGTTATCTCAGCACCATTTATTGAATAGGGAATCCTTTCCCCAGTGCTTGTTTTTTGTCACATTTGTCAAAGATCAGACAGTTGTAGGTGTGCAATCTTATTTCTGGGTTCTCTATTTTATTCCATTGGACTATGTGTCTGTTTTGTACCAGTACCATGCTGTTTTGGTTACTGTAGACCTGTAGTATAGTTTGAAGTTGGGTAGCATGATGCTACCAACTTTGTTCTTTTTGCTTAGGATTGCTTTGGTTATTCAGGCTTTATTTCTCCATATGAATTTTAAAATAGCTTTTTCTAGTTCTGTGAAGAATGCCAATTGTAGTTTATAGGCATAGTACTGAATCTATAAATCACTTTAGGAAGTATGGCCATTTTAATAATATTAATTCTTCCTATCCATGAGCATGGAATGTTTTTCCATTTGTTTTTGTCATCCCTGATTTCTTTGAGCAGTGGTTTGTAGTTCTTGTTGTAGAGATCTTTCACGTCCCTAGTTGTTCTAGGTATTTTATTTTTTTGTGTGTGGCAGTTGTGACTGGGAGTTCATTCCTGATATGCCTCTCAGCTTGACTGATTTGGTGTATAGAAATGCTAATGATTTTTGCACATTGATTTTGTATCCTGAGATATTGCTGAAGTTGCTTATCAGCTTAAGAAGATTTTGGGCTGAGACTATGGGTTTTTCTAGATATAGGATCAATGTCATCTGCAAACAGAGATAGTTTGACTTCCTCTCTTCCTATTCGGATGGCCTTTGTTTTTTCTGTTGCCTGATTGCCCTGGCCAGAACTTCCAATACTATTTTGAATAGGAGTGGTGAGAGAGGACATCCTTGTCTTGTGACAATTTTCAAGGGGAATGCTTCCAGTTTTTGCCCCTTCAGTATAATGTTGGCTGTGGCCTTGTCATATATTGCTGTTATTATTTTGAGGTATGTTCCTTTAATACCAAGTTTATTGAGAGTTTTTAACATGAATAGCTGTTGACTTTTATCAAAAGTCTTTTCCACATCTTTTGAGACAATCAGGTGGTTTTTGTCTTCAGTTCTGTTTCTGTGATGAATCACATTTATTGATTTGTGTATGTTGAACCAACCTTGCATCCCAGGGATAAAGCCTACTTGATTGTGTTAGATAAGCTTTTTGATGTGCAGCTGGATTCAGTTTGAAGCACTTTGTTGAGGATTTTTGCATTGATGTTTATTAAGGATATTGGCCTGAAGTTTTCTTTCTTTGTTGTATCTCCGCCAGCTCTTGGTTTCAGGATGATGCTGGCCTCACAGAATGAGGTAGGGAGAAGTCCTTCCTCCTCAATTTTTTGGAATAGTCTCAGTAAAAATGGTATCATCTCTTCTTTGTACATCTGAATGTATCAGCTGTGAATCCATCTGTTCCTCAGCTTTTTTTGGTTGGTAGGTTATTTATTCATAGCACTTTATTGTTCTGTTCAAGGATTCAGTTTCTTCCTGGTTCCATCTTAGGAGGATGGATATGCCCAAGAATTTATCTATTTATTTTAAATTTTCTAGCTTATATGCATAGAAGTGTTCCTAATATTCTCTGATGGCTGTTTGTATTTCCATGGGGTCAGTGGTAATATCCCCCATGTTGTTTCTGATTGTGCTTATTTGAATCTTCTCTATTTTCTTCTTTTGTTAGTCTAGTTAGCAGTCTATTTTATTCATTTTTGCACCAAAAAAACAGCTCCTGGATTCATTGATCTTTTGAATGGTGTTTTTTTTTTGTCTCTATCTTCTTCAGTTTAACTCTGATTTTGGTTATTTTTTGTCTCCTGCTAGCTTTGGGATATGTTTGTTCATGGTTCTCTAGTTGTTTTAGTTGTGATGTTAGATTGTTAACTTGAGATCTTTCTAACTTTTTGATGTGGGCATTTAGTACTATAAATTTCCCTCTTAACACTGCCTTAGCTGTGTCCCAGAGATTCTAGTATGTTGTATCTTTGTTCTCATTTGTTTCAAAGAGCTTCTTGATTTCTGTCTTTATTTCATTATTTACCTAAAAGTCATTCAGAATTAACTGGGTGTGGTGACACATGCCTGTAATCCCAGCTGCTCAGGAGGCTGAGTCAGGAGAATTGCTTGAACCCAGGAGGTGGAGGTTACAGTGAGCTGAGATTGCACTACTGAACTCCAGCCTGGGGAACAGAGCGAGACCCTGTCTCAAAGAAACAAACAAACAAACAAAAACAAAAGTCATTCAAAAACAGGTCATTTGATTTTCATGTAATTGTATGGTTTTGAGTGAATGTCTTAGTCTTGATTTCTAATTTGATTGTGCTGTCCAAGAGACTGTTTGTTATGACTTCAGTTCTTTTACATATGTTGAGGAGTGTTTTATTCTGACAATGTGATTGATTTTAAAGTATGTGCCACTGGCAATGAGAAGAATGTATATTCTGCTGTTTTTGGGTGGTGAGTTCTGTGTGTCCATAGGTCCATTTGATCCAGAGCTGAGTTCATGTCCTGAATATCTTTGTTAATTTTCTCTCTCAATGAAGTGTCTAATATTGTCAGTGGGGTGTTAAACTCTCCCACTATTATTAGGTGGAAGTTTAAGTTTCTGTGATGGTCTCTAAGAACTTGCTTTATGTATCTGGGTGCTCCTGTGTGCTCCTGTGTGGGAACATATATATATATTTAGGATATATATTTAGGATATATATTTAGAACATATATATTTAGGATATATATTCAGGATAGTTAGGTTTTCTTGCTGAATTGAACCCTCTACAATTACATAATGCCCTTGTCTTTTTTTTTTACTCTTTTTTGGTTTAAAGTCTGTTTTGTCAGAAACTAGGATTGCAACCCTGCTTTTTTCTGTTTTTCATTTGCTTGGTAGATTTTTCTCCATCCCTTTATTTTGAACCTATGTATGTCATTGCATGTGAGATGGGTCTCTTGAAGACAGCATACCAATGGGTCTTGGTTCTTTATTCAGCTTGCCACTTTGTGTCTTTTAATTAGGACATTTAGCCCATTTATATTTAAGGTTATTATTGATATGTGTGGATTTGAACCTGTCATAATGATGTTAGCTGGTTATTTTTCAGAGTTGTTTATGTGGTTGCTTTATAGTGTCACTGGTCTTTGTACTTCAGTGTGTTTTTCTAGTGGCTGGTAAAGGTCTTTCCTTTCCATAATTAGTGCTTCCTTCAGGAGCTCTTGCAGGGCAGGCCTGGTGGTGACGAACTCCCTCCGCATTTGCTTGCCTGAAAAGGATCTTATTTCTTCTTCAATTATGAAGATTAGTTTGGCCACATGAAATTCTGGATTGAAATTTCTTTTCTTTAAGAATGTTGAATATTAGCCCCCAATCTCTTCTGGCTTGTAGGGTTCAACTGAGAGGTCTGCTGTTAGTCTGACAGGCTTACCTTAGTAGGTGACCTGGCCTTTCTCTCTAGCTGCCTTTTAACATTTTTTCTTTCATTTTGACCTTGGAGAATCTGATGACTATGTGTCTTGGGGATGATCTTCTGATGGAGTATCTTACTGGGGATCTCTCCATTTCCTGAATTTGAAAGTTGGTCTTTCTAGCTATGTTGGGGAAGTTCTCATGGATGATATCCTAAAATACGTTTTCCAGGTTGGTTCTGTTCTTCCCATCTCTTTCAGGTACACCAATCAGTCATAGGCTTAGCCTCTTTGCATGATCCCATATGTCTTGGAGGTTTTGTTCATTTTTTTTTCCACTCTTTTTCCCTCTTCTTGTCTGCCTGTCTTATTTCAGAAGGACAGTCTTCAAGCTCTGAGATTCTTTCCTCTGCTTGTTCTATTCTGCTATTAATAATTGTGATTGCATTATGAAATTCTTGTAGTGTGTTTTTTCAGCTCTGTCAGACTGCTTATTTTCTTCTCTATACTGGCTATTTGTCTGTCAGCTCCTGCAATGTTTTATTTTATCTTTCACTTCCTTGCACTGGATTATAGTGTACTTCTGTAGCTCAGTGAACTTTGTTCCTATCCATGTTCTGAATTCTACTTCTGTCATTTCAGCCATCTGAGCCTCAGCCAAATTTTGAACCCTCACTGGAGAGGTGATGCAGTCATTTGGAGGAAAGGAGGCACTCTAGCTTTATTAGTTTTCAGCATTCTTGTGCTGATTATTTCTCATCTCTGTGGGCTTATCTACCTTCAAACTTTGAGGTTGCTGACCTTTGGATGGGTTTTTTTTTCTTTTATCTTATCTGATGACCTTGAGGGTTTGATTGTGATATAAGGTGGATTCAGCTAACTGGCTTCATTTCTGGAGGATTTTAGGGAGTGAACTTTCAGCTCCCAACTCCTGGACTGCATGCTGTAATTCTGGGGGACTTGTATTGAGCCCCGACTTTGTTTTCTGGCTCCTTGAGGTTTGAAGTTTACTATGCCAGGGGGACCAAGGTGACCAAGGTGCAGCAGCCACAACCAAGTGTTAGTGGGTATAGGGGTGCCTGCCTCCCTGTGGGCATTCACCACAGTGGCAGATGCAAGGCAGTTGGAGGGGGAGCGGGTGGTGCCCCGATGGAGACTGTATGCTGTTGCACAGGATGTGGTGTTGGTTTGGGATGGGGTGCTGACCACCTGCGTGGGAGGATCCCCTGTTCTCTGTGCACCATTAGCACAAAAGCAGGGTGCTGGCAGGGATGGGGCTTGCTGGCTGTATGCTCACCAAGGCTCCTTTTGCAATGCTGGTCGACAGGAGTCAGAGGAAATATTGCACTCCCATGTACTGGTGGGGCAATTAAAGCAAAACCCGCCTGTACAAACTTGTGCCAGCAAAGTGATGTGGGGAAATGCCATGGGCACAGGGGAAGCTGCAGTCTGGGGAGAAAATGTGAGGGCTGGTGCATGGCCTTAGGGGTTGCCTTGCTGGAACTCTTCACTGGTCAGGCATGGTTCACTAGCACAGAAGCTATCTATGGTATGGGCCCCCAGGGCACCCAAGACTTCCTTGTAAGTAGGCGTGGCCAGGCTGGGGCCCCAAGAGAGGCCAGCAGACTAAGGAGTTCTCAGGTCAGACCAGCCCTATCTGATGTACAAGACTTCCCCACAGAGATCAGGTTTGATAATTCCCCAAGGGCTAATGTCTTTTATGGAGCAAGTCGAGCCTAGGGGGATGGCCATCCCTGGCCACTTCCCAACTACAAACTCTCCTGCACCAAACCCTCTGGGCACAACATGAGCTGGCTTGCTGATCCATCACTTTACTTGTCTCCTGGGGGCTCAACCCCAGAAAGACACAGGTTAGCAATCGCTCAGTGTAATCAGCCCTGTTCTGTGCTGTGGGCCCAAGCCAGGGGTTCCCTCTCTGGTGACAAGAATTGTGGGTATGTGGGACCCTACTGTGGGAGATGGACTTGCCTTGTCTCTTTGGTTCGACTGCAGCCTATTGGAGGTGTGGACAAGGTACTTAGGGTCTTCGCTCCTTTATTAATTCAAGGGTAGCAAGAATGTTTCCACTGCAGAGGCAGTGGCAGAGAGGCTTTCACTTGCCTCTAAAGGCTCTGTCTGGGGAGCTGCTGAGTTGCTACTGGCTCAGTCACTCTGGCAGAAAGTGGCTAGAGGCCCAGACCTGGAGGACCTGCCTGGTAAGGAGACAGGGGAACAGGTATCCATGTAACAGTCTGGCCACTTTTCCTTAGGGCTGCTGTGCTATGCTGGGGGTCTACTCCAGTCCCTAGTCACCTCAGATTTTCTAGTACCTGGAGATATCATCAATGAAGGCTGTGAGACAGAAAAGATGGCAGCCTGCCCCTCCCTCTGGGAGCTCTGTCCCAGGGAGGTATGGGCCTGTTGTCAGCACAAACACACGTGTAGGAGGTAGCTGGAGACCCAAGTTGGGAGGTCTCACCCAGTCAGGAGAAATGGGGTCAGGGACCCACATAAAAAGGTAGTCTGGCCATGTTTTTGTAAAGCAGCTGTGTTGTGCTTAGGGTCCTCTTCAGCCCCCAGTCACCTCAGACACTCTGAAGCCTGAAGGCTGGAACGGCTAAGTCACCCAAACAGCAAGGATAGAGGCCCACCCTTCTCCCTGGGATCTCTGTCCCAGGGAGGCCTGAAACCTCTGTCAGCTGGAGAAGACTGGTGGGGATAGGTGGAGACCCATTAGGAGGGTCCACCTAGCGATGAGGAATGGGATTGAGGCCTGCTTTAGAAAGCAGTCTGGCCACATTTTTGTAGAGCAGCTGTGCTGTGCTGGGGTACCACTTCTAACCCTGGTCAGCTTGGGCTCTCCAAAGCCTGAAGGCTGGAAAGGCTAAGTTGCCCAAACAGCAAAGATGGTGGCCTGCCCCTCCCTCTGGGAGCTCTGTCCCAGGGAGTCTTTAAATCTCTGTTGGCCAGAGAACACTGGTGCGGGTGGCTGGAGGCCCTGGTTGGGAGGTCCCACCTACTGAGGAGTAACGGGATTGGGGACCCACTTAAAGAAGCAGTCTGACTATGTTTTGGTAGAGCAGCTGTGCTGCACTGGGGGAATCCCTTTTGCTCTCAGTTGGTTTGGACTCTCCAAAGCCCAAAGGCCATAATGGCTAAGCCACCCAAACAGCAGAGATGGCGGCCTGCCCCTGCCCCTGGGAGCTGAGTCCCAGGGAAGCACAATGCTGTTACCAATGGCTGGCTGGAATTCCAAGCCAGCGTGTCTTATCCTGCAACATAAGGTTCTGTTCCAAGCAGAACCTGCAAACCATCACTGCTCAGCCCCTTGGATTCAGCCTTTTTCCTAGGGGTATGTACAGGGGTCTAACCTCCCACTTTGACAAAGTTGCAGCTAATTTTGCTGGGATGCCCAGAAAGCCAGAGTATTTAAAGCTCCCGCGTCTCCATGCATGCATGAGTGGCTCCTTTGCTGAGACAGATAGCTCTTTGTGTCAAACTGAAGGCCCTGGTGGGCTGGGTTCATGAGGGGACCTCCTGACCTGAGAGTTGCAAAGATCCATGGGAGAAGCATGGGTTTCCAGGGTCGCACATTCTTTTACTGCTTCTCAGGGCAGGGGAGCTTCTCTTTGGCTCCCTGCGTGGGCCTTCACCCAGCCTTGCCTTTCTCCATTCTCCTTGGTCTGAATTGTTTCCTTGATTAGTTCCAATGTGAGTACCTAGATGTTTCAGTTGAAGGTGTTGTATTTACTTACCTCTTCTGTTCCTCTCCATGAGAGGCACACACATTAACTACTTCTAGTCGGCCTTCTTGGCCACTCTTCCCCAACCCCACTATTATTATGTTGCTGTCTATCTCTTTTCTTAGGTCTAGTGAGTTTTCAAAAAATCACCTCATTAACATAAACTCAGATGTGGTTAAAAAGGGATTATTATGAATAATAGAAAATGCTCCTTTACCTTTATTGCTCTTATCACTTAGGAAATTCTAAGTGTTTTAGAAACTCTGCGCCAGAAATGGGACAAAGACCAAATGTATATTTTTTAAATTATAAATCACAATATCACTGTGTCTAACTAGGCTTAGAATACTTGTACTTTATACTTACCTGGTCCAATTTGCATAATGTTATATTCTCTTTCACTGTAGACAGAGTGACATTCTGCAGAATGTAAAGATGATTATGCATCCTGTGTACTGTATTATGAAAGAGACAGACAGCAAGCAATTTAACATAGCCTGGTCCATGATCATAGCCCGCTGCCCTTCCTATGTAAGAGCATAATGATTTATTTATTGTATTTATTGATGGGGATTGCCATATATATATATAAATACATATATATATATATAAATACATATATATATATATATATATATATATATATGCCAGATCAATAGATATACACTAAGTATCATATGTTGTGTTCATGTGTTCAAATAAAAACAACACATCCACATTGCAGCTGCAATGGAGGCCACCCGGTTAAGTCTGTGGTAGACCATTGCCAGCCATAGAGTTTTTGCAAAAGCCGTTCAAATGAATTAAATGGGAATGTCAGGATAACCATCACACGTAAATTTTTGAGGAGGGTACTAAACCTTGCAATTCTACTCAGAATATGGTTTTGTTTCTGAAGTCTCAGAAGTGAGAAATTCTATGGGCATTCTCTTGTTTTTTCTTATCCTATGCTATCCGATTCTCTTGTTTTTTCTTATCCTATGCTAAGTCGTTAGTATATGCTAACGACTCATTCTACAGGCCAAGAAACCAATATAAAAATTTTGTCAGCTGCAGAATGTATCCACCCCAGTTCAGCACTTAGAGATCAAGGAAATAACCACAGAGTGTCTTGGACTTGGGCTTTAGAGTCTTTTTTATCACCTGTATCTACTTCAACCCATACCCTAACTGGGGAGTCATGCTTCCTTTTATGTCTCCAGGTTATCAATGACAAATTATATGTTGAGGCCCTGAAAAGGTCTAGGTAATTTCCCTACCTTTTGCACAACTATTCTGGTAAATGGTTTGAGGTCCCCTTGGAGAAAGATTGGTGGAGTATTTTATTGTACATGCTTGCTGCAGCGTTGCAGTCTCTCCCTTAAACACAGTCACCTCAGAAAAATAAGTCACCATGTTCAGCCCCCACACCCAGGAGGAAAGGAATTAAGATCTACCTCTTGAAGGCAGAAGTATCAAAAACTTGGTAGGCAAACTTAAAACAAACAAATTGTCTGATTTTAGTTGTTTCAGAAAATATCCCAAAGGTACTCTTTAATGTATATACTCTCTATTATCCTGTTTGTTGTTTTATTTCTCCTAGAATTTATGGAAACAGCACAAATAAAGTAAACTCCTGACTTTTTCTTTTTGGCTGGATATTACACTTTTTGTATGTTTAGAATAGATTATTATTTCCAGCAGGATCACCAGATTATTTCAGGAGGAAATAATCTATTTTAAACTTAGATACTCCAATAACCAGATCAATGTTTTAAAATTCTAGTTGTCAAGGTGTTTTTGTTATTGTTTATTTTATTTTTGTCAATCTCTCTGCAGCACACTTAGCCTACTAAACAGAGTCTCCAAGTAATGACCCAGCCATCTGTATATATATTTTAAAACTTCATACTTAATTTTTGCTGTACTTGGTTGAAAACTGTTGGAGTTTATTAATTTTCTCTTTGTTTTAAACTATCACTTTCAAAGTGTTGTTTTGATTATATTTTCCTGGTTCACTAAAACATGTGAAATATACATGGAGATGATGGCTTAGGGGCTTTGTAAATAATACTAATTTCAATTTAAGTGATTATTGTTTGTGTTACATAATTATCATCTCTGGGACTCTGTGGCCTTCACACAGTGAGGTCATCAATTCCTGGTGTTGATTGCTTTACATAATGAACTTTTTTCTGTATTTTGTTCTTAGAAACTAAGTCTGTAGGGGAAAGGAGATAAACGTTACTGAGGGTTTGAATTGTATAAACTCTGTGATTTTAAGTTATGGCTTTTTAGGCCTAAGCTTTTCATCCTATGAATACTTTAAAATATTACCCAGGGTAGTCATAGAAATATTTGAAGCTTAAAAATATGAGTCTGTTGATTTGTGGAGAATCACTTTGTATTTCTGTAAAAGTTTTTGTAAAATTTTTGAAATTAATCTTTATGAACCTAGAGTAGAAACTAGGAAAAAGAGAGAAAAGTTTTCATGTATTCTACATTAGGCCAATCTGACTACATTAATATTACTCAGTATTATTCAATGCTTGTAATATCCTGGGTTTTTTATTATATTTGTTTAAGTCTAAGGAAAATTAGCAAATGTTTAAAAAATAAGATAGCATAAATTAATTAATTAAAAAAAAACAGCATAGACCCTTTAAAACAAAGGTGCAAACTCTGTCTTATTTCTGCCTGCTCCTACTCCCATCTCTCATAGCCTCCTTTAACTATTTCTAGTTTTGTTTATTATCGTAGTTACCCTCACAATTTATGTACAGGTAGAATAATGTGATAGCTAATAATGTGGAATCTGGAACTAAACTATTGGACTCAAATCCTGGCTTACCCATTTGTTAGCTTGACAACTTTGAGCATAACTTTTGGTGTTTCCATTTTGTCATAAAAAATAGAGATGAAAGTATCAACTTTAAAAGTTCTAGTACTTTAAAATATTTTAGAATAGTGTTTGACATGTAGAATAGGTGTTAGCTAGTCTCATTACCTCCAGATTTCTAAATACTATAGTTATATCACTATTTTTTGAATTATATATTTAGAATATTTTCTACTGATAAATGAAGATTTAACTCACATAACCCAGCTTGTCTGGCTGCTCCCTGCAGCTATTTCTATGTATATTCAGGGCATGATTCCCCGGGTTCTACTTTATTTTTCTGTAATTTCCTATCCCTTTACCACTTTCCAGAAGTGTGTTGAAACCTTCCATAAACTGAAAGTTCTTCTTTTGTTCATTTTATTAGCTTTTAAATAATATGAAATATTGAAAGATTACCCAGTATCTTGAGTTTACAAGCCATAAATTTTTTTAAAGAAATCAAGGGTGAGATAGAGGGGTAAATGATGTGCTTTAATTTTTTTATTGGTATATAATAGTCACACATTTGTATGGATTTGTATGATTTTTTTTACATGCATAGAATTTGTAATGATCAACTCAGGGTATTTAGGGTATCCATCTCCTAGAACATTTATCATTTCTATATGTTAGGAACATTTCAAGTTCTCTCTTCTAGTCGTTTTAAAATTTCTTGAATCATTGTTAACTATAGTCATCCTACTCTGCCATGGAATATTAAAACGTATTTTTTCTATCTAACTGTATGTTCATACACATTAACCAACCCTTCTTCATCCTACCTCCTCCAAAGCCCCTCCCAGCTTTTGGTAATTATTGTTTTACTCTCTACTATTGTGAGGTCAATATTTTTAGCTTTGACATATGAGTGAAAACATGTGATATCTGTCTTTCTGTGCTTGGCTTATTTCACTTAACATAAAAACCTCCAGTTCTATCCATGTTGCTGCAAATGACAGGATTTCATTCTTTTTTATGACTGATTAGCATTCCATTATGTATCTATACCAGATTTCCTTTATCCATTCATCTATTGATGGACGTTTAGGTTGATTCCATATCTTTGCTACTGTGAATAGTGCTGTAATAAACAGAGGGAATGCAAGTATTTCTTTGATCTACTAATTTCCTTTCCTTTGGATAAATACCCAGTAGTGGGATTTCTAGATCATATGGTAGTTCTATTTTTTAGTTTTGTGAGAAATATCTATACCTTTATCCATAATGGTGTACTAATTTGCATTCCTGCCAACAGTGTACAAGAGTTCCCTTTTCACTGCACCCTCTTCAGCATGTTATTTTTTGTCTTTTTAATAATAGCCATTCTAACTGGGGTAAGATAATAGTTCATGTGGTTTTGACCTGTGTTTCCTTGATGATTAGTAATGGTGAGAATTTTTTCATATTCATGTTGTCCATTGTATTTTTTAATAAATGTCTATTCATGTTATTTTTTGTCTTTTTAATAATAGCCATTCTAACTGGGGTAAGATAATAGTTCATGTGGTTTTGACCTGCGTTTCCTTGATGATTAGTAATGGTGAGAATTTTTTCATATTCATGTTGTCCACTTGTGTTTTTTTAATAAATGTCTATTCATGTTCTTTGCTCAATTTTTAAGAGATTATTTATTTATTTTGTTGATTTCCTTGAGTTTCTTGTATATTGTTTATTTTATTTTATTTATTTTTTGAGGTGGAGTCTCGCTCTGTCGCCCAGGCTGGAGTGCAGTGGCGCCATCTCAGCTCACTACAAGCTCTGCCTCCTGGGTTCACACCATTCTCCTGCCTCAGCCTCCGGAGTAGCTGGGACTACAGGCGCCTGCCACCACGCCTGGCTAATTTTTTGTATTTTTAGTAGAGACGGGGTTTCACCGTGTTAGCTAGGATGGTCTCGATCTCCTGACCTCGTGATCTGCCCGCCTCAGCCTCCCAAAGTGCTAGGATTACAGGCGTGAACCACCACGCCCAGCCTATTCTGTTTCTTTTGTTTGTTTGTTTTTGAGACGGAGTTTTACTTTTGTTACCCAGGCTGGAGTCTGATGGTGCAATCTCAGCTCACTGCAACCTCTGCCTCCTGGGTTTAAGAGATTCTCCTGCCTCAGCCTCCTGAATAACTGGGATTACAGGTGCCCAACACCACGTCTAGCTAAATTTTGTATTTTTACTAGAGATGGGGTTTCACCATGTTGGCCAGGCTGGTCTCGAACTCCTGAACTCAGGTGATCCACCTGCCTCGGCCTCCCAAAGTGCTGTGATTATAGGCCTGAGCCATCACTCCCTGCAAGTTTCTTGTTTATCCTGGATGTGAGTCCCTTGTCATATGAGTAGTTTGGAAATATTTTATCCCATTCAACTGGTTGTCTCTTTATTCTGTTGATTGTTGTCTTTGTTGTGCAGAAGCTTTTAGTTTAATATACTCCCATTTGTCTATTTTTGTTTTGTTACTTGTGCTTTTGAAATCTTAGCCATAAGATCTTTGCCTAGATCAATGTTGTGTAGTGTTTTTTTCCATCTTTCTTCTGGTAGTTTTATAGTTTTAGGTCTTAGGTTTAAGGCTTTAATCCATTTTGGGTTAATTTTTGTATGTGATGAGAGACAGGGTCTAGTTCCAATTTTCAGCAAATGGGTATTTAGTTTCCCCAGCAACACGTATTGAAGAGAGTATCCTTTCCCCAGTGTATGTTCCTGGTGCCTTTGTTGAAAATCAGTTGACCACAAACATGCGGATTGTTTTCTGGGTTCTCCGTTCTATTCTATTGATCTATGTGTCCATTTTCATACCAATACCATGCTCTTTGGGTTATTATGGAGTTGTAATGTATTTTGAAGTCAAGTAGTGTGATGTCTCCAGCTTTGTTCATTTTGCTTAGGCTTGCTTTGGCTCTTTGAGCTCTTTTTTGGTTCCTACAAATTTTAGGATATTTTTTCCTGTTTTCGTGAAAAGCGTTCAATGGCATTTTGATGGACTCCATTGAATTTGTAGAACTCTTTGGGCAGTGTGGTCATTTTAACAATATTAATTTGGGTTCATGAGCACAAGATGCCTTTCCACTTGTTTGTATCCTCTTTGATTTCTTTCATCAGTGTTTTGTAGCTTTTCTTGCAGAGATCTTTTACCTCCTTGGTCATATTTATTCCTAGTTATTTTATTATTTTTTATAGCTATTATAAATGGGATTATCTTTTTATTTCTTTTTCAGTTTTATTATTATTGGTGTACAGAATGCTACTGATTTTTGTATGTTGCTTTGTATCCTTAAACTTTACTAAATTTATTTATCTGATTTAAGAGCTTTTTCATGGAATCTTTAGCTTTTTCCACATACAAGATTATCTCATATGCAAAGAGAGACAATCTGACTTCCTCTTTTCTAATTTGAATGCCTTTTACTTCTTTCTCTCTCTTGATTGCCCTGGCGAGGACTTCCAGTACTATGTTAAATAGGAGTAGTGGAAGTGGGCATCCTTATGTTGGTCCAGTTCTTAGGGGGAAGGCTTTCAGCTTTTGCCCATTCAGTGTGATGTTAGCTGTGGGTTTTTCATTTATGGCCTTTATTATGTGAAGGTATGTTCCACTCCACCCGATTCTTTGAGAGTTTTTATTATGAAAGGATGTCAAATTTTATGAAATGCTGCTTCTGTGTCTATTGAGGTGATCATATGGTTTTTGTCCTTCATTCTGTTGATGTGATGTATTATATTTACTGACTGCATATGTTGAACCATCTTTGTACTCTTGGGATAAATCCCATTTGATCATGGTGTACTATTATGTTTTATGGGCTGTTGGATTAAGTTTGCTAGGATTTTGTTGAGGAATTTTGCATATATGTTCATCAGAGATATTGACCTGTAGTTTCCTTTTTGTGTGTGTGTGTCTTTGTCTGGTTTGGGTATCAGGGTAATGCAGACCTTACTGAATGAGTTAGGAAGAATTGCCTCCTCTTCAATTTTTTGGAATAGTTTGAGAACTGGTGTTAGTTCTTCTTTACAAGTTTGGTAGAATTTGAAAGTAATCTAGTCCTGGGATCTCCTTTGTTGGGAGACATTTTGTTACTGATTCAATCTTTTTACTTGTTATTGATCGGTTTACATTTTATCTTTCTTCTGGATTCAAAACTGGCAGGTTGTATATATCAAGGAATTTATGTGATTTCCCTAGGTTTTCCAATTTGTGAGCATAGAGGTATTCAGAGTAGTTTTTGATGATCGCTTGTATTTCTGTCATGCCAGTTATAATGGCTCCTTTTTCATTTCTGATTTCATTTATTTAGATCTCTGTTTTTTTTTTTCTTGGCTAGTCTAGTCAGTGGTTTATCCATTTTGTTTATCTTTTCAAAATCCTAACTTCTCATTTTTTTAGACTTCATTTTGTTTAGCTCTGATCTTTATTGTTTCTTCCTTCTATTTCTGAGTATGGCTTTTCTAGTTCTTTGAGGTGCATCATTAGGTTGTTTACTTGAAACTTCTCCATTTATTTGATGTAAGCATTTATTGCCATGTAGTTTCCTTTCAGCGCTGCTTTTGCTGTATCCTATAGGTTTTGGTATGTTGTATTTCCATTTTCATTTGTTTCAGATTTTATTTTTATTTTTTTCTTTATTTCTTTATTGACCCAGTGGTCATTCAGGAGCATGCTGTTTAATTTCCATGTATCTGTAGTTTCCAAAGTTCCTGTTTTTCACTGATTTCTAGTTCTATTTCATTATGCTCTGAGAAGATTTTGGTATAATTTTGATTTTCAAAAATTTGTTGAGACTTGCTCTGTGTTCTAACCTATGATCTATCCCGAAGAATGTTCCATGTGCTGATGAAAATAATGTATATTCTGCAGCTGTTGAATAAAATGTTCTATAGATGTATTTTATGTTCATTTGGTCTAAAGTATAGTTTAAATATAATGTTTATTCATTAATTTTCTGTCTAGATAATCTATCTACTGCTGAGAGATCTCTCCCTTTAGATCTAATAATATTTGTTTTAGGTGCTCCAGTGTTGGGTACATGTATAATTAGAATTTTTATATCCTCTTGCTGAGTTTATCCCTTTGTCACTATATAATGATCTTCTTTGTCTCTTTTGACTCTTTTTAACCTATAATTTGTTTTACTTGATATAATTATAGCTACTCCTTCTTGCTGTTTGCATGGAATATCATTTTTTCAAATCCCTTTACTTTGTTTATATGTGTCTTTACAGTTGAAGTGAGTTTATTGTAAGCAGCATATAGTTGGGCCATTTTAAAAAACACATTCAGCCTATCTATAACTTTTAAGTGGAAAATGTAATCTATTTACATTCGTGGTTATAACTGATATGTGAGGACTTGTTCCTGTCATTTTATTCATTGTTTTCTGTTTTTTTTGTATATCTTTGTTCCTTTCTTTCTGTTTTATTGTTTATAATTGTGATTTGATGGTTTTCTGTAGTGGTAACAATTGGACCTTTCTTTTCCTCATTTGTGTGTCTGTTCTGTGGGCAGCGTGCTCAGGCATTGTGGTAAGTAGTGCCAGGCTTGGAGGGCCAGTCTTCAGAACCCTCAGTGGTGTGCACAGGTGGAGGCTGTGATGTGCAGGGTGAGGTGATACCCAGGACCCCAGCAGAGTACTCAGGTGGTGGCAGCAGTGGTGGCAGTGGGTAGGGAGAGCCTTTCCTCAGGGCACACGCAAGTACACTCTGGCCCTGCTGCTGGGGTAGTGGGGCAGGGTTGTTATTAGTGATAGCAACCATCAACAGGCAGTTCTCAAGTTTTAGGGAGCATGTGCTTCGTCCTCTAGCAGTGGTGGAAATGGTGGCAGCTGCAGCAGCAGCAGGGAGAGCAAGTTTCCATGGTATATGTAAGTGCCCTGCAGTCCTGCTGATGGGGAGATAGGGTTGCTGTCAGAGGTCCCAGTCCCGGACAGGCAGAATACAGTCTCTGGAAGAGTATGCGCTTTGGTTCCCTTTCTCTCAGGGTCAGTCTCCCAGTGTACCACACTGTTTGTTACATGGGGTGTAGGACACTGTGTGTGCCAGAACACTAGAGACCCTGATGCTATGCTGGGTCCAAACATCATTGTGCCACTGCATCCCTGTAGGTGGATATGGGGAGATGTTAGTTGGGCTCCAGGAGTGTGGAGATGCAGAGGCTGTTGACCCCCAAGGGTGTGGAGATGCAGAGGCTGTTGACCCCTACCCAAAGGGCAGGATGCAGCCTGGTGGAGTCTGGGCTTTCAAATGGTGCTGTGTTGCAGTTGCTTAGGACTTTGGAGGTGTGTGGGACCCAGCCTGTGCTCCCTCTATGAAGCAATCCTATTGCATGGTCTCCAGGAAGCTCCCTAAGCTAGTCTCAGGGCCTGTGAGGGTCAGGGCCCTCTCTCATGTCTAGGGTTGCAGAAGTCTGCAATAGGAATGTGGACTGCTGCAGATCTCTCACTTATACTTTCCCTGAACTAGGGAGCCTCTTTGAGCCCCCAGCCAATCACAGGTAAGCTGGCTGTCTCACTTCCATCTCCTTCCGTGTCTCAAATATTTCTTGTCACTTCTCTGTTGAATTCCAGTGTCTGCTATTAAATGCTCTATTCAAAGTAGAATTGTCTTCTTGCTCTTTTGGTTCTTCTTTGTGGAGGAGATGAATGCCAGATGTCTCTCTTCAGCCATCTTGAAGCCCATTCAATGTGTAATTTTAAGTGAATAGGGAAAGACAGAAAAACTTGTGCAAAATTACATTAAAAGTAATTTAAAGTAATTTTGATGCTCAACTTCCATATGTAAAATGAAGTAGTTGAACAAGATGACTTCTAGGATCCTTCAAACTGGAACATTCCATCACTATAAAATGGGCGTTATTTTCCTTATCAACCTCTAGTTTTTTCATTAACTATGGTAGCCTAATCAGTTTCAATAAAGCACAGTCTATGCATACTGCTTTTCCTTTTGTTCCGAACGGAGGGACCGACTGAAGCCATGGTAGAAGAACATAAATTGTGAAGATTTCATGGACATTTATTAGTTCCCCAAATTAATACTTTTATAATTTCTTACACCTGTCTTTACTGCAATCTCTGAACATAAATTGTGAAGATTTCATGGACACTTATCACTTCCCCAATCAATACCCTTGTGATTTCCTATGCCCGTCTTTACTTTAATCTCTTAATCCCGTCATTTCGTAAGCTAAGGAGGATGTATGTCACCTCAGGACCCTGTGATGATTCTGTTAACTGCACAAATTGTTTGTAAAGCACGTGTATTTGAACAATATGATATCTGGGCACCTTGAAAAAAGAATAGGATAGCAGCAATGTTCAGGGAACAAGAGGGATAAACTTAAACTCTGACGGCCGGTGAGCCGGGTGGAACACAGCCATATTTCTCTTCTTTCAAAAGCAAATGTGAGAAATATTGCTGAATTCCTTTTCTCAGTAAGGAACATCCCTGAGAAAGAGAATGCGTCCCTGAGGGGAGGCCTCTGAAATGGCTGTTTTGGGGACAGCTGTCTTTTATGGCTGTAGCGGGTCGTAGCGGGTTGTAGCGGAGGGATGAAATAAGCCCTGTCTCCTGTAGCGCTCCCAGGCTTATTAGGACGAGGAAATTCCCACCTAATAAATTTTGGTCAGACTGGTTGTCTGCTGTCAAACCCTGTCTCCTGATAAGATGTTATCAATGACAATGCATGCCCAAAACTTCATTAGCAATTTTAATTTCGCCCCAGTCCTGTGGTCCTGTGATCTTGCCCTGCCTCCATTTGCCTTGTGATATTTTATTACCTTGTGAAGCATGTGATCTCTGTGACCCACACCCTATTCGTACACTCCCTCCCCTTTTGAAAATTGCTAATAAAAACTTGCTGGTTTTGCGGCTTGGGGGGCATCATGGAACCTGCCGACATGTGATGTCTCCCCCGGATGCCCAGCCTTAAAATTTCTCTCTTTTGTACTCTGTCCCTTTACTTCTCAGACCGGCTGACACTTAGGGAAAATAGAAAAGAACCTATGTGAAATATCAGGGGTGAATTTCCCCCAATAAAGTAGTCAAACAAGATGACTTCTAAGATCCTTCAAACTGGAACATTCCATCATTATAAAATGGGCATTATTTTCCTTATAAACCTCTACTTTTTTTTCATTAACTATGGTGGCCTAATTTCAATAAAGCACAGTCTATGCATACTGCTTTTCCTTTTGTTTCCTTACTAGTATTCATGTCTGTACACTAAATTTGAAAGATAACATAGCCTTCTACACTAGTATCTTAGCTGAGTCCCTTGCTTCCACTCTTTCTCTTATATTGTCCTACTTTGAAATTGCTTCCAAACACTCATTGGATAAAATCACAACTCTTACCATGGCCTACAAACCTTTTCTAATTTGATTTGTCTTTCTTCTATTTCATCTTCTATCAATCTCTTCTTCTTTACTACATCCTCATAATACTCGTCTTCTTAGTCTTTAATGTCCAAAGCTTTTCCAAAGGTTTCCAAAAGCCTTTTCCTGGGTATTAACCCTTGTAGTGTCCTCTGCCTAGAATGGTCTTCCAATCTTTCTAATTGCCTGTTGAATCATGATGATTTGTTAAGGCAGATGATTTACTTTGTATTAAAGAATATTCTTAAGATAATTCTAAAACCATGCTTAATGCCTTATATTATTCAGTAATGTTTATACAAGTGAAATCAATTTGTATTTTAAATTAACAAACCATACCTTCAGTGATGGTCACCACCCAACCATATCCACTTATGTACTACATACATATTAATTTTTCCAACTGTGTGTTTACTTTTCTAATACTTCTATTCTTCTAGCCATTTTTAGTGGTTTCTCCTGAATTAAGTTATCCAAATTTTATTTAGTGTAGAAGAACCCAAATTTCAAAGGCAGGACAATTAATATGATTAATAGTGTCCATGAAGAAGTTCCTTTATAAGACATTAATGTTCTGCTCACTAATATTTGTTGCAACCTAAGTTTTTTAGAAATACCAAAACACTGGTGATATATAGTATGAGTTTTACCAGAAGCTTATTAGTTGGCAGAAATAAATGTGATAGGTTCCATATTATGCTTAGGGAGATGCGCTTTACATTAAAACAAAAGTTAATAACAATATATTGTATCCTTGGAAAATGCAAAAGAGCAGATATTAACTGTTCTTGCCACAAAATAATCATGTGAGATATGCTGCATGTTAATTAGCTAGATTTAGCCATTCCACAGTGTGTGTGTGTGTGTGTGTGTGTGTGTGTATGCAACATGATGTGCATCATGTAAAACATGTTTTGAAGTATATTGATATATATATTTTTGAAGCATAGATATACTTCAAAACATCATGTTGCACATAATATATATAACTGTCAATTTAAAACAAACAAAATTGAGCAAATATTTAAAAGTAAAACCAACAAAACCAAAAACCTATGCCACTATTATTGTTTCCTTTATGTCATTAAATTGTTTTGGTTTTATAGTGTCATCTGTTCAGTCTACAATGCTTCTATGTCACATCAAGTAATAGTAGCAGAATATTAGGAGGAGTGGTTATTCAGTTTTAGTTTCAAAGCTTAGAAGAGAAGACGCTGCATTGTACTGCAGGTCAGTATCAAGGAGATCAGGTTGAGTCAAGAGTACAATAATAGAAAAGGCTGGTGGAATTGAGGATCCGAATTGTAGGGCTCTCTGTAGGCATAAGGCAAGACGTGAAAATGGATATCCTGGAAGCAACTGAAATTTCAGGCTATCAATAATTGTAGAAAGGATAGAAATGCACAAAGATTGAAGAAAATAGTGAAGCTCAGGAATGGGCAAGGCTGGTTAAATCTTAATAAACATGACAGTGAGAAGCTTGGACCCCATTATCAAGAAAGAGGGGGACTCTTTATATTCACCGAGGAAAGGAGCCTGAGTTTAAAAGGGGAAGAAAGAAGGAGCCCTTGAGTTATGAGAGATTGGTGAACATTTCATTACTCTCTGGGAGATTTACTTACTAAGTCCTTACCTCCTAACCACCTGGTAGGAGTTAGCAGAAATAGGGCTCAGATAAGGTGCCTTCAATGTCAGTGGGTATGTTTGTAGTAAATATGACCTTACGGCCACAAAACGAAGAATGCAAAGGAGGCCACATTTCTTTATATTAACTCTAATTATATTCTGAGTACCCATGCCCCTGGGCTGGAGGTTAATTCAATCTCTGTGATCATGAAGGTTCTTTTCCTTCCTGTCCAAGTCACGGATAAGTCCTGAAGTTTAATCTGCACTTAAACCCCTGGAAGCTGCTCTTGTCTTCACTTCTTACTGATGGTTATTAAATGTTCAATGACCAAGTCTTCTTGGTGCTCTGAGTTTCTGGAATTCTGTTGCTTCAAAAATCCTTTATTGAAACAAGGAATTCTGATGCTTCTCAAGGCTCAGCTTGAAACCATTTTGATCCTACCACTTCCCCCAAGGGTAATGAAGCTAGAGGAAGGTTTTCTTTTGGGGCCTTTTGGAGTCCTGACCCTCCACCCTCCACCAAAGTCAACTTCTCCCCTTTCATCTTCATGATATCAGGAATGTTTTCTCTTTGAGAGAGGGCAGTGCTCTTTCTTGCTGAAGACTTTCTCAACCAAGTTTCTCATCTGATCCACAAAACAATTCTCCAAAAGACAGTGTAGTAGAAATACTATTCTAGATGTATAAGAAAGAAATTATCGCACATAATGGATGAAAATCAGGGCTTGATTTTCTCGTGCAACCTCAGGACACTGTGTGTGCCAGAGCACTAGAAATAAAACCTAATAGTCTTTTTCAGGTGCAAAAAGACTATTAGAGATCTGGTGGTTTCTTCCTTTACATCACACTATCTGTGCACATCACAGGGCCCCACGTTGATGGAAGACCCAGGACTACGCTTTTCCATTTTAAATCAGTTTCCACCATCTTGGCAGCCTGCTTTCAGGGAGTCTGAAGCCGTGTCATCTCTCTGCCTTTCCAAAAGTGTTCAGTGGCATTCAGACTTAACTGTCCAACTGAGAGGCCTGAGGCTATGATCATAAAGTTGTTTCCATCAGTGCGAGCCACCACTACCTGCTCCTGTGGTTCTTTTATCTTCTATTCCTTCTGTAATGTGTCTCCCCTTATTAGCGGGAACCCAGGTCTTTGTCATCTTACTAGTCTCATGTCTCCTTCCTAGAAGCTGGAGATTGTTCCCACAATTCTCACTCTTAAAAATATTCCATACTTTTAAAATTTTTCTCCAGGTCATTAGCATCACTTTTTCAATGAGCATTAACTTTTACAAAAGACAGTAAGAGCAGTTGGCCTCAAGCAGCTTTTGTTTTTATCCCATAAAAATGAATATTTTTGACAAGGAAACTCAAAGGCCTTAGTATCTCCTTGGAAGAGGGATAAAAGGAGATACAGAAGGGACAGATAAAAATTAATATCTCAGAAAATTCTGTTTCTACAAAATTTGGAGCTTCATATAGGCAAGGAAAAGAGAGAATATGCTATTCTGTGAGTTAGTGGGGGACCAGGCCAGTAATGGGCCAGGATTTTTGAGTTGTGATGATAGCACAGAGAGTTCTGAGTCCTTACATCATGGTGCCTGATGCCAGAGGGCAAATGTTAGAAAATCAACCAAGATGATTTACGGGTCAAAGTATTATAGTGTGTCTGAGTCTAAGGATTAAAGCTAGTGCTCTTAAGAGAAAAATTTGAATTGAAGAACCAAGTAAAACAGATATCAGAATATTAACAGTATGGTATAGTTGGTTGGAACAAAAAAATTCCAGAGATATAAGGTTAGTGCTGATGAAGGCAGCAATCCCATTTTCCATTTTTATTATGGAAAAATTTTTTAAAAGCCCAAGGAGAAGGGAGCCTACTGTGCATTTGTGTCTTGATTTCATAGGGTTCAGTAAAGCAAGTTACCCCATTTGGTTGCAATGTAGGCCCCTGATACCAGGTATATCACAGTGGGTATCAAACATGTAGGTGTTAATGGAGTTGTGAGTCCCTAGATGGGACGTACCAAAGAGTAAGGAAGATCTGACTGGTAAATATCAGCCTCAAGGCTTGCTCTCTTGTGTGAGCCTAACAACAGCCCCTACCATCAGCTCACATAAGAAATACTCACGAGTATTTGGTTTGAATGGTATTCATTGGATTAGATAAAATATTCCAAATGAGATGGTCTATGTAAAGCCGTCATATCTGGTGCAAATAGATAATCAATATTCTTATATTAGGCATAGAATGTATTAGAGAATGTGCAAAGCAGCTGTCTAAGACCTTGTTAGGAGAAAATAAGTTCAGGAACTTTAGTTCATTGAAAGTGATTTTTCTGGTACAGAATCTAATACCTAGAAGGATTTATGAAGACAAAATTATGGACCCCAGTACTCAAAACCAGAGTACCAAAGTAAAAGCAACATCAACAGCAAGGCCTATTACAGAGGCAGCATAATTGCTCCCTGATCCAGAACATGGGACACTCCTGTGACCTAGAGGTGTGAGCCAGCCCAGTCCAGCATATTGGAAGTGACTAAGCCTCTGATGAAATAAGTGTTCTCACCTACAAATGCTAGGGTCACACGGTGTGTGAGAACCTGGAGAACCAATCTAGTCACATACAGTTATTTTGAGGAGAATGGAGAGTATCTCTTGGAGCCTAAGAGTGTTGATATGCCAATTTAAAAATAGTTTTGTCTTACACTAAAAATATCTGGATTCCAAAAGGAATGTGATTTTACTTCTAATCAGAAAAACTTGACAGTAAAGAGAAACACGCATGTACTCATATACACAATGGCAGCTATGCTTCTGATAATAAAGTCCTTAAAAACTTTTTTAACTGAATTTTTAATGTTGTTAACTGAGATAAGTGAACACAATGTGAAATTCTCAGAAAAATATGTTCTTACAAATTATCTTCCCAGACAGTTACATTGAATACATTTATCTTGCACAAAAGTTGCCTGATAGAAATATTGGGGCATGTATAGAGGGCTACATTAAAATGAGGAAGTAATGACCCCATCTTCTAGAGTATTTTCACTTTTACGCAGCCACATTTGTTCGTTTATACAGATGTGGAATCATGGATTTTCATCTAGCAAAATAGACAATATTTTCATTTATCCATTTATTCTAGAAATACGCAGCACATTTTATATTCCAGGCATGGAGAGTACAAGAATTATAGTCTACATTTTTGGCCTTTAAGAAGTTCACTGTCTGGTGGAAAAAAACAGGCCCAGAGAGAGAGCAGCATTAATACAAAATAGCACGACAACTGCAGGAACAGAAATACGCACAGGAAGCACTCAGGACAGGAAGATCCCACTTTTAGGGGTCCAGGAAGACACCTTTTAGGAAGTAACACTTGAGTCTAGAGGGGTTAGTAGGACTACAGCTGGGAAACTAAAGACTCTTTTGCACATCAAAGCATTATTTATAGAAAACAGCAAAATAGCAAGCATATTTATATTGTTTTTTTCAATATTAATATTACTAAACTGAAGTCTCTTCACACAACAGATATTCACAGGTGGTAATTACATGCAATCAACCATGCTAAGTGATGTTTTAAGTATTCCAAATTAAAACTGTTAAAACATATAAATTATTGCTTGGAAAACAGAGAGTCTCTAAGGGCTCAATCTAACAATAAAACTTGGTCATAAATATATAAAGTCATACACTTACTAGAATTATAGAATATTTAACATTGAAAAGAATATAGCAGAAGAAGCAATGAAATATATGTATTTTGCCATCATGTTCACTTATCTCAGTTAACCACATTAAAAAATTCGGTTTAAAAGCTAACAATTGAGATGAAACACATCACAATCCAAAGAGCGTGAAAGAGCCTCATTGAATAATGAAGTTTATGATGGCTTTAGCCAAACAAAGTAAACCTACAGGTAACAATAAAATAATTTTCAAGTTCTTCCAGATAAATAGCAGAATACTTCAGCCACCCATGAAGAACATCTTAAAACCACATGGTTCCATTAAAATAGAAAACATTCCAAAATGTGTGGATCTTGATAATATGGGTTAAAATAATTAAAATATAAGTGATATGTAACTCTCAAAAGGTAACTGAATGTCTTAGTTAATACAAAGTAATTAAATCAAATTTATACAAAATTAATTTACCCCCTTCAAATCAAGAGTATGTAATTTGTAATATACTATTGAGAACTGTGTGGCAAATATATAATTTTTAATGAAAGTAGTTCTCCTACCCCTGTGCCTGCCTTGTCCCCATTCCCACTCACACAGACCTTAAAAAAAGTTTCCTGGATTTCGGCCTGGGCTGCATCAGGCTTTAAATATTAGACAACCCAAGGAAACCTGAATGCAGAGTATAGAGTGACATTGTGTCTTCTGTGTGACTGTTTTCCTTCTCTGCATTATAATTCCAGCTCTGTACTTTCCTGCCTTGAAATCTTACCTTCCCAGCTTCTTCCCACACAGTTCTCTTGGATCACTTTTTTTTTTTTGCCATTAACACCTGATCTCAGTCCCTTTGTCTTCCTTTGAATTGAGCAGTATAGTGCTATAATAATTTAAAACATGGCTTTAGCTATGAAATAAAGAGAGCCCTTTCTCTAAATAAAACTGAGCCTTAACATACTAATATCTCTATGACCCATGATTAAGTTTTGCCTACCATAAAAATTAAATAAACAGTGTAAGTGTATCTTTTCAAAAGAAGAACAAATGGAAACGACTCAAGAGCTCCTGGTCATGGGAGGGGGGAAAGGCCGATAGTAAAACAGTGAAATTTCATGAGAATGGGAGGCAAGGAAGTGAAAATAGACTTCCATTTATTTCAGATTTCTTCTTAGGAAGAGCCCTGGGTGTTTGAGTCTTGCAAGGCTTTCATTCTGGGTGTTCACAGCTGTACTGAGCTCCTGCTCAGTCCCACGTGTTGTTACAGGCACTGGCCATGCCACAGTGAACAAGGCTGCAAGATCAGCAGGCCAAATATATTTATTTCCATTTAACAGAAAAGAGAACCCAGGGAGCTTGCCCAAGTGATTTTCCTGAGGTTCTTAGGGATGGTTTTGACAGAACTGCATCAAGAATGAACTTGTCATTTCTGACAGCATGGATAAACATGGAGAGAACTGTTAAGTAAAATAAACCGGACACAGAAAGACCAATACTGCACAATCTCACTTATATGTGGAATCTTAAAAAGTTGAACTCAGAGGTAGAGAGATTAGAAGGGTGGTTACCAGGGGGGCTTGGGGAGTTCTTGGTTAAAAGATACAAAGTGTCAGTTAGACAGGGGGAATGTTTGGGACTTATATTATACAGCATGTGGATGATAGTTAATAACAATGTATTGTATTTTTGAAAACTGCCCAGAGAGTAGATTTTGAGGGTTCTCACCACAAAACATGGATAAGTATGTGCAGTGATGGATAAGTTAATAGGCCAGATTTAATCATTCCCCAATGTATAAATATATCAAAACATCATGTTGTACCTTATGAATATAGAAAATTTAAAAAAATAAATACTTCACTATATACAATAAAAAATAGAATTCAGAATTTCTCATTGCTCTTTGTGAACAGTAACTACAATTTAGACCTTAGACATATGATTTTTATAAGACATTGTCGTATTTTCTTCCATCTTGTATCCATTTATCTTTGCTTCTGTTACTGCTTCACCATTTTTCTCTGTCCTTTCCTCTATTTTCAAGCACTTTTTGCACTTTGCTGCTGATATTGTATGTGTTGCTCAATCATTTTAAATACATAGACCCAGTCAGAAATTCCCATGATAATCTCTACCTTAAGTATGCTGACCACAGTGCCAGGAAGGCAGGAGGTGTGTCAGTACATTGCCTAAGTGCCTTGATCATGTGATCAGATACTGTGGCACAGGACAAAGGGAATAGAAGAAGCCCAAGGAACAAGGCAAAGTAAAGGGGAAAAGAAGAACTCACAGAACAGCTACCACATTGCACTGGAAGCCCAATAGATACAACCATGCTGTTATAGTTTGCTGATAGAAAGAGGTTTCAATAACACTCTGAATCTAATCATGTCAGAAGTTATTAGGCCACTTGATCCATGATCAAAAGCAAGAAATAGGTACATATTTTGCAACATAGAGCATGCACCCTGAATTGTGTGTGTGTGTGTGTGTGTGTGTGTGTGTGTGTGTGTGTGTGTGTGTGGAGGTGGGGGGGTTGTCTGGTGAACTCATTGATATTGTTTGTACTTCATTTTTATCTGAAATTCATTGCAGGTTTTGTCCCAAAGAATTATAGGAGGATTGGGAAAGTCTTAGAATGTTCTTTCATAAAATCTCTGACATGTCCCTTTTAAAAAATTGAAAGGAAAGGGGCTCCCCATTCATATTGGATTTTTCCTATTTTGCACACCATTGTCTTCTGATCACCTCCAAAATCACTTTCCATTATCTTTACATATTTGGCAAAAAATGGGCGATCAGTACACTCTACTTTTATGTACAACAAACATTAGAAAATGGCTGTGCTGAGGGATAGTTGAGAAAAGCACTAAGGTATCTTATCTGTCTCTTGTCAAAGAGCTAAACATTATGACATTTTAAAAAATAATCTCTGTTGTCAGAAGCTTTAATGTTATCAGTTACCTGTACCCAAGACTTTGGAAATAGTGTTAGTATTGCAAAAAGAGACATTCTGGGAATGAGGTGTACAAAAGATGTCGGAATTTAGGATATAAGCTCATTCTGTTTATTTGCAGCTTGATTTCTCTAGGAAGGAAATGTATTCTCTTTTCATTTACCGAATCTTCCAGATAAAAGACAATTGTTCGTAAGCCATTCTGCTTGCTCTCTCCATCAAGTTCTTGGCCTTTGAAACTAGATTTTTATCAAAGCTGTACAAATCTTGGATTTTGTAGATGATTTGGGAGAGGAAGGTACAAGAAGGAAAAAAACTGATCCAAGTCTATGAAGTCAATGATTTGAAGTACTATTTTGTATAAGTCTGTAAGGAATCTTCAATTGCTTAACCAATTCCCCCCAAATTGAATGAATACTAATTTTAAACTGAAGTAATACTCATAAGATAACTATAAAAACCAATTTGTGAGACAGTTTCTTATACTAACATATGTAAATAAACATTTGCATTTTTATTGCTATACTCTTACATAAACTAAAAGTGTAAATATAACTCTGGCAGGTTATAATAACTCTGGCAGGTGTAACTATCTAAAGTGATATTTCCTTGGAACAATATTCAAACCGTTGTCTTTATATTGTGCTTCTAGTCATGATTTTCCATTTTACATATTAGTAGTTTTTGTTATTTTCTCTATAAAGCTGAACACACTCTTTATAGATAATTAGGCAAATAATTAAAATGGAAAACATATATATATATATATATATATCATTTATTCTGCTATCTAAGGATAATCACTCGATTTACCTTTGTATCTTTCTTTCCAGTGAGATACTTATTATTACTTGAGAGTGGCACTTCGCAAAGAGCAACTATTGCATAGCATCAAAAAATTAAAAAAGAAAAAAAAAAAGGGCCGGGCGCGGTGGCTCACGTCTGTAATCCCAACATTTTGGGAGGCTGAGGCGGGTAGATCACCTGAGGTCAGGAGTTCGAGACCAGCCTGACCAACACGGAGAAACCCTGTCTCTACTAAAAATACAAAATTAGTGGGGCGTGGTGGTGCATGCTTGTAATCCCAGCTACTCAGGAGGCTGAGGCAGGAGAACCGCTTCAACCCAGGAGGCGGAAGTTGCGGTGAGCCAAGATCGCGTCATTGCACTCCAGCGTGGGCAACAAGAGCAAAACTCAGTCTTAAAAATAATAATAATAAAAATAATAATAATAAATGTTATTAAAATTTTAAAGGGATCATAGATTTAACATAGTTGTACTTCCTAAATTCATCATGACAATCTAATCCTCTTCATTCATTTAGGCTTTGCTTCTGCTGGATTCACTTTTTTATTTGGTTGGGGGAGAATTTTTCTGATTTTCCAAATACCTTTTACTATATTGCATTTTGTCTGCTATTCCTAGATATTGATGATAGCAAATATCTGCAGAGCATAGTAAAAAACTTTGACTCGAATTTCAGGCCTTTTGTGCATGTCAAGTTCAAATTTATATAGTGATGAGTTCAAGACCAAGTTTAGAATCCATATAATTACAATCTAACCTTTCAGGGCCCAGGATTCTAACACCTTTCATTCACAGATGAGAAAATGTGACTTGGGTGTGGTGGGTCATACCTGTAATCCCAGTGACACAGGAGGCTGAGGCAGGAGGATTGCTTGAGCCCAGGAGTTTGAGACCAGCCTAGGCAATATAGTGAGACCCCATATTTACAAAAAAGTAAAAATAAAACTTAGCTGAGAATGGTGGCACATCATGTCTGTAATTTCAGTGATGGGAGTCTGAGGTGGGAGGATCACTTGAACCTAAGAGGTTGAGGCTACAGTGAGCAAGATTGCACCACTGCACTCTAGCCTGAGTGACAGAGTGAACCCTATCTGAAAAAAAAATGGGGCCTTTGATCTCAAAGGTTAATTGAGGCAGCTGAGTATTGAGAAGTCATTTGAGTGACAGTGTTTGGAAAATATCTGACAGTGTATGACAGATTCATGGATAATCTATTAGACAATTATTCTCCATTCAGAACTGAAGTTGTAAGGGTAAAAACAGCTGATAACCAAGATAAGGGAGGATATTATAATCAAACAACGTTTTGACATTTGGTGTCACTTGGTCTGGGAACAAGGATAAAGAATAATACCTGGATGATAAATAAGATAGCTTCCTCATCTAGTCAATAATCTGCACTGTAGTGTTCTTTACATGAGAGATTTAATGAGGCTTAAATGAAATGGTTAATGTGTTAGCTCTCTGACTGCTAATCAGATATATTATTGGGTACTTACTACTAAACACAATGATGACTGCAAAGCCATAATCATTTCTCTCCAGGGGCTTCTAATTTGTTGGCTAATGATAACTATAATCTGTAAGGGAGGCGTAGAAGTAGTGGTGGTACAAGAATAGGTATAAACTGCACAATGAGGGAACATAAGCCCTAAGTTATGCTTTGGACATAAAAGCTCAATGTGGTCAAAAGACCAAGAGTCTGATGGAGTCGGCTTCTAATTGCCGTAGAATCCTGAGCAAAGCATTTAGCTTTGTGTGTGACTTGAGGTGGCTCTATTAATTTCCATTTGTTTTGAATTAGTTACTTTATGCATGTGTGTGTCAGTCTGATTTTCATAATCACAATTCATCCAAAGATTTTCTCAAAAGTCAGACTTATCTAGAAAATCTATACCAAAGAAGTCACAAAGAATGGCTCGACGTTGGAGAGAATGCTGAGATCTAAGGGAAAAGATACAACAGATCACAAGAAATTATTATGAACAATTATACGCTAGCAATTTGGAAAAACCTAGATGAAATGGATAAATTACTGAACATGTGCAATCTACCAAGATTGAATTATTAAGAAATCGAAAATCTGAACACATCTATCTCTCAATTGCCTGTACTGGTACCTAGAAATGTGTTTTATTGCATTCCGTATTGAAACAATTCATTCAGTCAATTTCATGGAAAGCCTTCAATGTAACAGGCCCTAAGATGAACAAGGGTAAACTGGCTAACGCTGAGTCATGACCTGCAAATAACTGCCAGACCTCCAAGGGAATTTATATTGTAATGGGCCAAAGCTTCTATTTAGCATTAAGGCAATGGAATAGAGTTTTTATTTGAGGTATCATCAAGAAAAGTAGATGTGACAGTTTTGGATTCAGTGTTGTATATGATCTCTTTGATCCTGCAGATGTTTTAATACTACAATTAGCACACAGTAGCTAAATAAATCCAATCAGTTCTGTGTTGTGAATTAGCATGCATGTAATACAAACATAAAATTTAGCGACTGTTTTTTCCTAGTGACTTCGGACCTTGGTCATTGCAATTCTTATCTAATCTCTGATTTAGCCTCCAAATTCCAATATTCAAATATCCGTTTATATCATGTCTGTCCTTTATGTTAAGGTTTTTAGACTGAATATCTAAAAGTGATTTACTGCCCAAATGGCAAAATGTGGATAAACATTGAAGCTGAGGTATGATCACCTGGGCTCTATGTTATACCATTATCTCTACTCTCTAAGATGTCCACAACATAAAGTTAAAAGACAAAAAATAATAATAAAAGATATTTTTAGATATTGTCCTTATGAACAAAATGAGTATAAAGTTGACTTGTAACTGTACAGGAAGAAAAGTTTACAGAAAGACTGAGTAGGCCTAACTGTATCTGCTGTCAATCAAAAAACACAAGTATCACAAATATTTTCTGCTTTATGAATTTTGCTTGCATTTAATCCTTTACATGAAAGACAATCAGTCTCCTATGTTTCTAAGTTTCCTGGAAGGGGTAATGTCATATAAACCTTAATCAAGAGTTAGACCTTGAAATCTTAGCTGCTTAAATCACCCATTTCTATATCGTGTTCATTGTTATTAACTTAAAATTCAAATCCCACAGTTCTGTGTTTCATTTTTAGCACATCACTTCTGGTAGGGACCAGATGTTTCCTTTAGACTAGGTTATGGCTTCTTATTTGCTTCTCTTTTTTATCTTAAAATTTATACCTACTAATAGCTTCCATGAGGTCATTTGCAGGACATTACAGTATAGAGTCCTTGAGCTGGCAGCTTGGAATAATGTTTTAGGGACAAGGAAGGAAGCTCTAAGGGAAAAGTGTGGAAAGGGAAAGAGAAGGAGACAGACACAGTATATGGAGATACCAGATGAAGCTAAGAAAAAAATAGACAGCACACTCCAACTTGCTTAACTGTGATCTCCATGCAAAAAAAAAAAAAAAAAAAGTCTTACGGGGAAACATTCCAATTTGCATTGTAAGTGTATCTTAGTATTCAGGTAAACTTTTAATAATTGTCTTTAAAATACAGCTGAGTATTTCCATGGCTTAATATTCTCCTTATAATATTAAATTTGTCTATTATGTATCATTTAAGGGGAAAAGCAAAAACACAGACAATGTTATTCTCTGTACTTCTTTTGATGTAAACAAAACAAAATATATAACTTCTAGATAAAAAGCGAACTAAAAATATTAGTGAAAGTCCCCAACCCTAATTTTAGGAGCTTCCAAAATTGCTTACAAGTGTGCTCTGTAATGCAAAAGATGTTCAAGTTTATGGATCAATTAGGACATTAAGATAATAAACCAGAATTAAACCAAGTATTAGCATATACTTTACATACTAATTTTGGTCAGAAACATTCCATCAAAGATTAAAATTTGGTATTACATCTACAAACAGTAAGGCAAGGGTTAATGTCACTATCCTGAGCTCACTTCTTTCAGGAATCTATGACTACAGTCCCTAATTTTGATAATATATCAAACAAGTATGAACAGAAAATGTATAAGTTTTCTTTATCATCGAAGAGACTATAGCAATGAGTTATTAAATGGCTATTTGAAATGTATCTCACACACAAATATAAAGATATCTTGTTATATAATATTAGGTCTTAGGTTTTATGCTAAAAATGTTTCAATTTTGATAGAGATGAAATCTCTTCTCCTATACCCTCGTATTTATGACTGATTTCTGGCTATATGTTGTGTCACCTCCTGAACCATGGACATGACCACTGATTATAATCTGAATTTGGTAATAAGATACATGAACTTGACATGCCCACCACCCCGTATCTTCCTCTAATTGTAAATTGTTCTAAAGGATATACAATATTTGCTAAAATAAAAGTATTTCTTAGAGGTACCTAGATCATACCCCCAAAATAGTATGGCAAAACATATTCAATTTATACACTTAGAGTTCCAAAGTAAAGTATACAAATCTGGCAATTTGATGCCAATTTGTGAATAAGGAAATGGGAGATCGTGGAAAATAAGGAATTGCAAAGTTTAAAATAATAATAATAACAGAAACATCAAGGCAAAAGATACCACAGGTATCTTGAATATCATTCTAAGGTTCTTTTTTTACAAATCTGAGACACTTAGGTTTTCAAGGACAGTTGAAAATAATGAAGCAAAGAGCAATTATAAGCCAAGATATGCCAAACATGAAGAGAATAAACCTTTGCACTAACCTTCCATACCCTTTCAGTGTCTCCTCAATTCCTACTGAATGGATACCTTGCCCAAGCATTTAACATTTTCTGTGATATTTCCTCAGTTTTCTTTTTCTTTTTTCCCAAATTTGAAAATTATTTCCTACTTCTTGAGTTGGCAGAGCTTCAGGCAAACTTAATGCCTCTCTGCTTCATGTACATATCCCATATGTTTAAGGGCCTCCAAGTCTTTTTTTAAACTGTTTGCTCTGCCTAGAAGCTCATTTCTTTCCCTTTCCACATGTTCATATCCTATGAATTTTTTCAAAGTTTTACATAATATCCTATTATCTCTGCATTTCCTCATCTCCTTCTGAGATGTCAAAGCAAATTATTTATGCATATCTTACAGTTTAATAATTAGCTACTTTCTATTATAACTATCATCTATCTACTATTGTACTACAGTTTTTCCCAACCACTAGTTTCCAATATTCAGGGATTAACAATAACAAAAATGGTAAATGTGTCTGTTTCCATTTCGATTTTAAAATCAATTTGGACTCTAACTGCTTGAAAAGGAAATCAGCAGTTTCAGATCCTCTTAGTGGTTGTCAAATGAGCACACATTCAACTTATCAAACTGAGCAGTCCTAGATATAAGGAGACCTTCAAACATTATTCAATTTTAAATCTTTATTTTTATAAAGTTATTTTAGATATCATTGGTTAAAGGTATTGACAAATATAAGTATATTGAAAACCACAATTGAAAGTAGAGAAATCTCTATCTGTAAATTTGCAACACCATCTTTATCGGATTTGAAAATTACATTCAGTTGATTCATATTCCAACAAAGCAAGAAGCGTTGTCTCTGGTATTTCAAAACCAATTATCAGAAAGAAAATGTATCATATATATATATATATATATATATATATATACGCACACGCATATATATACACACACATATATATACACATATTTAATGTTTTATTAGTATAAAAACAATTCACATGGATGGAGAAGTATATTTATTATATTTATTAAGCAGACTGCACCTTCTTTCTTACCTCATAATTAAGAAATTAAATACCCAAAATATGAAAAACAAAATAATATAATTTAAGATGTGAAATACAAAAATTTAAATAGCAATTAATAAAAGAAGTGTTTATCTATATTCGATGACCAAAACGGTAGTTAAATTTCAGGTTACTTTTCACTGTATATTTGGTACTAAAACACAATACATTAAAACATAATTTATGTGTTAACACATTATCCTTTTATTAGCTGATTATTTTAGAGTAAAATTTATTTATTAGTATGAAAGAATCAAATTTAGCTCTTCATTGGGGTATTATTAACGATACATAATCCTTAACAATTTACTAATATAATTAAAAATCTAACTTTATCTTATAATGTAAAAATTAATAATATTTTTAAGAACTGGAGGGTTTATGTATAAATATAAAAATGGGCCACAGGTCAGAAAATGTTTAGAAATATTAATTGAAAATAAGAATAACAAAAACTAAATATAATAAATGCTTTACACTTACTGAGAAACGTAATATATCAATCAATCAATAGATGAGTAAATACATAAAGTGGAAGGAGAAAATAGCCCCTGAGGTCATCCTCTAGAAGTTGAGGACAACATCTCGCTGATAGCCAGCAACGAAGGAGAACCTCAGTCTTACTACCTTAAGGAACTCAATTCTGTCAACAATCTTGTGAGCTTAGAAGAGGACCCTAAGTGCCAAATCAGAATTCAGCTCAACCAAAACTTTGATTTTAGTTTCGTGAGACACTGAGAAGAGAATCCAGCCATTCCACGCCCAACTTCTGACACACAGAACTATGAGGTAATTAATGGGTATGACTTTAAGCCACTCAGTTTGTGGTAATTTGTTATGCAGCAACAGAAAATGAATACATTAGGGTTGCTATTTTATTTTTTTTGCTATTCATTCCTATCATTTTGTGTATCATGACAAACAATTTTTTTTTTTTTTTTTTTTTTTTGAGACGGAGTCTCTCTCTGTCACCCAGGCTGGAGTGCAGTGGCGCGATCTCGGCCCACTGCAATCTCCGCCTCCCGGGTTCACGCCATTCTCCTGCCTCAGCCTCCCGAGTAGCTGGGACTACCGGCGCCCGCCACCACGCCGGGCTAATTTTTTGTATTTTTAGTGGAGACGGGGTTTCATCGTGTTAGCCAGGACGGTCTCTATCTCCTCACCTCATGATCCGCCCGCCTCTGCCTCCCAAAGTGCTGGGATTACAGGCCTGAGCCACCGCGTCCGGCCGACAATTTTAAGCTATGTATCGGACTATAGATTTTTCATTCTTCACAGATATTATTTCATAGAATTAAGGTTCATCATTAAACTGTGAACATTTTTCATTGTGAGTTAATGTGATAAGTAAATATACGAGAAATAGTTTATTCAACTGGCCAACAGATATTTCTGGTGTGTTTTCTATGTGCTGAGTAGTCTTCTAAGCAGTGTGGATATGGCAATGAACAGGACAGTAAAACTTCCCTGGCCTCAAGGAGCTGACATTTTCATGTGAAAGATATTAAAGATTTTTAAAATACCAGACAAACTAATGTGCAATAAAATCAGGTAGCATAAATAAATAAATGCAATAAAGTGGGTTAGATGATAGGGTATGACGAGAGGTTATTTGAAATAATGGCTAAATGAAGACAGGGAGCAGAACAGGCACACAAGTGTCTGGGGGCAAAGGATTCTAAGTAGACTGAACAGCCAGTGCAAGGTCCAGAGGCGGAATATAGTTTGGCATTTTCCAGAAGGGGCTGTGTATTTTGGTAGAGTACATGAAGTGAAATATGGTAAGAGATAAGGATAGAGAACTAGTCAAGGGCCAAATCATGTGAAGTGTTATAGATTCTGAATATCTGAAGATAATCTCTACTTCCGAACCCTGTATTAGAATGCTTTGAAGACATTTAATATTTTAATATTTACTCTTTCCTTTTTTTGAGACGCTCAGTTGCCCAGGCTCAAGTGCAGTGGCGCAATCATAGCTCTCTGCAGCCTTGATTTCCCAGGCTCAAGTGACCCTCCCATCTTAGCCTGCCAAGTAGCTGGGACTACAGGCACATGCCACCGCATCTGGCTGCTTTTGTTTATTTTTTGTAGAGACAGGTCTTGCTATGTTGCCAGGGGGCTGGTCTCAAACTCCTAAGCTCAAGAAATCCTCCCACCTCAGCTTCCCAAAGTGCTGGAATTACAGGCATGAGCCACCGCACCCTGGCCTAATGTTTATTTTTTATAAAGACAAACATAATGAAGTTATCTTAGAGTTTAGTGCATGAAGAAATATGATGTCTTCCGAAGGACTGCTACATTTTCCTGTATCTGATGAGAGCTTTGAAACACAAAGCAGTTCCTTCGTGGTCCTGGCTGCCAGGAGACACCAAGCTTGAGCTCCAGTGAACTAACAGTCCTTAGCTAAGGTTTTGGGGAAAATTCATCTCCTCTCCTTCATGACTATTTTCTTTGTTATTTATTTTATGTCACCATTGGTTTTATGTTGTTCACTGCTGTTTCAAATACCTTTGGAAATAAGTACAGTTTTTAAAAATCCATAAAATCACCACATTTGCCAGTCTGGAATGTTTCTTTCTAAAACTATGATTCACATGAAATCCATTTATTAAATAATTGTTCAGTATCTGGGAACTGTCTGTTAAATTAAATGAATAAGCCCCCAATTACACCAGTGAGGTTAAATACGTTGCTAAGTATGATAAAATAAGATTTAAATGTACAGGTAAAATAAAGCCTGATATGCAATATTATGAGAGGTCAATACAGGAAGGGTTTTTACTGCCTAAGGGGAAATGAAGAAGACAGCACAGAGATAAGGTACCTCCACTGAATCTTAAGGTAACACCACTGTGTGCTACTGAATATGGTAATGCTTGCTGTACACTGCCCAGTACTAAAGGGTGTCATTCATATTATATATTATGAAATAGTATCCAATTTGGTACAACTTATTATTAACATATTAATACATATATTATGAAATATACAATATTGTACAGCAAGCATACTTATAAATATATATCATGTATGATGCATCATATATATACATCATACGTTATACATGATATATATGATATACATGTCCTATATATAATGTATATACATGTTATGCCAATTTTCTTGCAGGGTGCAGTAAAATGCCATGAAGAAATGGCTTCTTTTATTTGCACAGTTATCCTATGGGCCAGTGGTAGCACAAGCAGTAATTTTTAAACATGGAAATACCCATTAATTTAGATTTGATTTGACCAGGTTGTATATTGGACATGTTATTATTTTTTCAATGCTTCAAGTATACACACCTTGTTAAGAATCACTGAATCTGGAGAGTAACATTTAGTAGAGAATGGAAAATTCTAGATATAAGAACTATTTGAAGCAGTGAGAGATGAAAAGTGAGAATGCAGGGACAATTTCATTGAAGAACAGATGATTCAAAATAGAAACAATAGGTGAGGGCCTTAAATACTGAGGAGTTTGAAGTCCATTATCTGGGCAATGAGGATTATTAATGTTTTATTTTAAATAAGTCAAATAATCAAGTTTGGGACTTAGGAAGATTAATCTGATAAATGAGAAGGGAGCAAATCTTCATGCAGGAAGATCAAGTAGGTCACGATGGCAGTGGTCAACATGGTGGTGATTAAAACCTGACTTAAGTGGATGCAGTGAAAAATAAAACACAGGAGACAAATAGAAAAAAATATGGTGAAGTTAAAACTGTTAGAAATTGGAAGATGGTTGGGTGTATGGGTGACAATTTCAAGCTGAGTGACAGTAGGTATGGTGATGAAATTTATGGAGATTGAGAACACAGACTTAGGGAGGGGGAGATGTGTGTTTAAGGCATCTGAGAAGAGACAGCCACAAAAGGTTGACATGCAGTTACACCACAGTGAGTCAATCACACCAGAGTATCCAAGAGTTCAAGGCCCAGATCCATGGAGATCTAGGTCCAAGTCTGGCCATGTGGGGCACCATAACAGTACAGTAAATTACTTAACTTTTCTAAGCCTCTATTTAAGTTGTAAAGCAAATATTAGTATCACCCCAAGAGTTAAAAAATATTGAGATAATAAACACTGTACCAGTATGTAGAAAAGTCGTAACAATGCTAACTAATCTTATAATTAGGATAAAATTTAGGGGTCAAAAATTAAAATTTGGAATTAATTGTGCAGAGGTGCTAAATTAGACCCACAGAGAAAAATGCATTATCAAGGAAGAGAAGATATAGGAAGAAAAGAAAAAAACATAGCCTAGACCTTGATAGATCCCTATACTTAGAACGCAGGTAGAGCAGTGGGAACCCAGAAGTAGACAGGGAAACAGCAGCCAAGAAGGTCACTTTCTAATCTTTACATTTAAAAATAGGCAAAATTGAAAGAGTGGTATATGAACTGTATTATAAGGGCTGGAGGTCTCAATTGCAGAGCTTTGCTAGAACTTTTCAGTCTACCTCAGAACCATAGTACTTAATCCTTCCATGTTTTGCTCTAAGAAAGAGGATGGAGCTATAGTTCACTAGATACAGCCTTGTACCATGCTTGTCAAAAAATTACAATAAGAATTGTTTGATCGTTACTGATTACTATCTGATAACATCAAAACAAAGTTTCATAAACATAAGTGCTACAGCATGGAAGTAATAATGATAACAAACCAAGGCTCTCTGTCTGATTTAAAAAACAGTGGGACATCTGCTTGGCTGCTACCATAATTGGCTACCAGCCTGTTGTTTTGTTGTGCTGGAAGAGGGACTTTATGTCCTATGGATATTATTTGTTCTTGGTCCAGGGGGACCCAAGTTTCCATTAGATTACAAGCTCTATGCACATAGCCAGATGTGTGCAAGACTCTTGCATAAGTTCTGTAAATCATGCTTAACTTTATTCCTTTTAGTATTGGGTTTCTTTTAGTTTCCTTTGGTCCTTTCTCTGTGAGAATTAACTTGTATCTCCCTGGACTCATAGTGTCTACGGTGTCACTTGGTGTGTTGTAACTCTCCCTGCCATAGCCTTTTGAAAGCCTCCTATGATAACCAAACTAAACAGATACACTGACGTTTCAATATCACTGTTCGTTCGTGCTGACATTGGATTCAATTCTATTCACTCATTCATTTATTCTTTCATTCAGGAAATATCTTTTCAGCACCTGCTGTATACCAATCATGTAGCTAGATGTGTTCTCATATGTTATCCAAAGAATGAGTGTTCATGGTAGGATACAGAATGATTTCTAGAATAGCTCCCATTTAAAGACTTCTTCAATTAATCTCACTCTCATTTCCTCACGCACCACTACCACCACTAAACCTGTTGATATTACTTTCTAAATATGTCTTAAATCCATCGTTTTTTCTCCACTTTTTTCTGCATCCTTTTTAGGCCATATTACCATTACAGTCAAGCATAATTGCCTTACTGGTTTCTCCACCTGAATTCTTATCTCTCTTCAACCCATTAACCATGCTGCTGTTGGAGACTTTTTCTTTTCAATGTAACTCAGATCCAATCGTGAATCTTTCCAGATTAAAATACTTCAAAGACTTCTTGTTGTTCCTGGGATAAATCCTTACAAACTACTGTGATATCTGGCCCATCTCTAAACCTTCTGCATCATCTCTTATTTTCCCTGTTCTCTGTCATCCAGGGGCATTGGCCTTCTGCTTTCTGCTTTCAGTTATTTAAACCTGCTGTGCTCTTAGCTGTCCCTGGCAGGCTCATTGCAGTTGCTGCTCCCTTACCTTTGAATGCTTTCCTTAATTCTTTGCCAGTTAAAGCTGACTCATTTTTAGATATTGGTTTATTTAGCTCAATGTACATAAAGCTACATTAGCTAAATAAACTAATATCTAAAAATCTTGTATGTATATGTACATGGGAATGTATGTATACATATTTGTGTGTATATGTGTATGTATGTGTATATGTGTGTATGTGTGTATATACATATATGTACATACGTATATACATACATATGCACACACAAATATATATACATACATTCCCATATACATATATCCATACATATCCATATATTTACATACATACATTATATATCCATATACATACACACACATATATATATATGCGTGCATCTATTAGGGAAGCCTCTCTGATCTCTCAGTCTAGCTTATCACATTGCAACTTTTTTCCCTTCACTAAACAATAATATACTTGAGAGCACAAATTTTGGCTCTTTACCACTTTTTCCCCAAAGGAGTAGCACAAAACATATATGTAAATAGAATTGCAATATATCTTGCTTTTGAATGAAAAATGATTAACTGGTAACCCAACCATCTTAAAAGGGAAGAATGCTGCTTTGGGACTATACTGTTTCTTGCAAATTCTTGTCAAGGCTTTTATAATTAATGAAGATGACAATAGAATGGAGGAAATAAATAAGGATACTAATTTAGCAATAATTTTAGGCTTCAAAGATTTGAAACATTACTCCATTAAATTATTTTAATAGCATATATTTCCATTAATCTTCATTATTTTTGAAGACCAAACACAGAGTAAGCATTCTTCCCTAAAGTCAGCTTTTTCAAACATGTATAATGTTATTTTACTTTTAAATTGGCAGATAAAATTGTGAGTATTTATTGTATAAAACATGATGTGTTTTGAAGTATACATAGATTGTAGAATGACTAAATCTAGCTAGTTAACATATAAATTACCTCACATAGTTATCATGTATGTGGTACAAACACTTAAAATTCTCTCTCTTAGCATTGTTTGAGAAAACAAATATATATATTAAAGTCAGTTGTGAGCAGCAATGGCAATAAAAACTTTACCTTAATCTGATGTTTAGAATAAGGACATTTCACATATGCTAGATTAGAGAAAAGCAAGTTAAGCTGAGAAGATTAATAGTAAACCTTTGTCATAGCTCTCCTGTAGAAAAATGCTCCTAATGAAGGATGTGTTTGGGTGAAATTGTTTATTCCATGAAAACAAACAAGCAAGTAAACAAAAAACCTTGGTAATAAGAGTGCACTAATAGAATCACTTACAAATTAGCCCTCAAGTATTTTTCAGAGCCTGAATTTATAGTTTAGGCAAGCTAATAATGATACAAGGGCATTTTTTCAAATATATTTTTCCTAAACACAAGGTAGCAAGGTTAATGTGTAAGCATCTTGTTGAATAATACTCATTGTTTTCAAGTGGGCAGAGGGGTTTATGCCAGAATTTCTCTAGAAGGCCACAAACTGTTCCTTCCCAGTTGCGTTTCAGAGCCAGGGGTTCAAAAACAGTTCACCATTAACTTTTACACAATGGACTATTAATTTTAAAAGTCCTAAACACACTCAGCATTACATACACAAGGATGAAGTAAATGTCATTAATAATACTTCAAGCACATTGGATGATGGCAATGGAATAGAGAGAATTATCTGAAAGAGGAATAGCACTCAGAAGACTTCAGAGAAACAGGACATGGGAAGTGCTGGGTAGGAGTGAAAACATGAATCCTACTACTGCCTGTATATTGATGATGCTTTGCATATGTACAGATGAGCTTAATTACTTGTTTTGAGAAAAAGATGTTCACACAGAAATGGGAAATTCTATGATACTGTCTTGTGAAGGACATTCTGGCAACAGCTGGAAACAGCTACTATTAGCAACAGGATTGTTGGTTCAACTTTAATGGCTTAAAGTTAGGCCAGACAACCAATTGGGGAAAAAAAAAAAGTCCTAAGTTTCAATGGACATTCTGTGATGAAATGTTCAGGTTTGAAGACAGTTGGTGAAGAAAACTTCTAGGGATTCCCTAAATGGAGGGAGTCAATGGTCTTGTCTCAGTGATTTACCACAGAGCCATCGTGCTTTTTAGCACAATCTACCACAACTTTTCCCTCTCCCTCACCACCTATCCCTATAAGCTCATGCCCAGCAGGGAGTAAACAATTTAATGATAATGCATATATGATTCGTGGAAAGGAAATACAGGATTTCCTGTTCTTATGGGACATAATCCATATTTGAAGATAACAGTGCTTACAATGTCAGAGGCAGTCTATGATATTTACTGTGTTCCTAGAAAATATGCATAGCTGTGTTCACTGAATTTTTAACATGCCTTCTTCTTTGATAAAATAATTTGTTTAAAAGTTCCTAGTTCAAATAATAGAGAAACCTTTTACACATAGGGAACAACATTTTTTTCCTTAATTAAAAAGTTCACATTCTACAATATTTGGAAATATGTGACCCTACTTTTCACGTAAAGACCATCTGACCTAAAGGGCCAACTCCTTGCCACCTGATTGTCCCTTTCTCTGTCACATATCAGACCTCTGACTGGCTGAGAGGTAGCCATCAGGGCTGGCCTTCCAGGATCTGGAAGATCAAAATCTGCTCATACAAACTGGCAAGGAGAACGTGAAAAGCATAAATGCAAGAAATGAGAAATCTCCGTGGCTGGAGTGGTGGCTTATGGATCCTCTCTCTTTTTCCTGTCTTAGGGACATAATGCTTCTGGGAATGTCCTGGTGTCATAGCAATACTCTTTAGGGACCATTTCTGTGCTTTCTGTAACTTTGTTTAAGCAACAAAAAAGCAAAAAAGCTTTGGACTTGCTCAAAGGGTGGCTAATCTGATACAGATAAAGTGTGGATGAAACTCATTTTTAGCCTGTAACTATGTTGTAGGATGGAAAAGAAAACTTGCTTGTGGGTCAAAATTTTGTGGGTTAGACTCTCAAATGAATCAGTTATTCACCATGTGTCCATTGTCAAAACTTATCCTTTTAGTTGCAGTTTCTTCTCTGGAAAGTGAGCCTAAAATATTAATTTGAAAGCTTATTTTGGGATTAGAAAAGGAGAGTGAATTAGATGGTATCTACGTCGTAAAGGGTCAGGCACGTGAGCAGTGCTCAGTACATAGGACCTATTATTAAAATATGATGAAAATACTGGTTATGGTGATTTGACAAAACAACCTTCTTTTGTGGATAGTGGTTACTACTTGATACAGAATAGTTTCATTTAAAGAGTGGTAACTCTAGTCTATCATTTCCCTTTAATGTGATTCTGTAAAAGAAATTTTAATTGAAAATATTTAACTATCAGGAGAGAAATATGACTTTTCCAGTTTCTCTGTTCACTTCGTTTTAGTATAGAATTAGAGATTCTTAACATATAAATCCTAGAAAGTAATTTAGAAATCTTGTCATTATATCTTCAGAGTAATAACTTTCATCACAGGGTCTGTTTGGGCTGAGAGTAGAGCTTTATTCATGTTTACCAGAAGTCCCAAGCAAAAATTTTTTAAACCAAGTACATTCTACAACCCTTCAAAAAGATTCAAAAAACAATAATTTAAACCAAAGAACTCTGGCAGTGCATGACATTTTCTGCCTCATTAAATGAGGCAAACAAAAAATGACCAAATGACTACTGAAAACATAGAGGAGAAAAAATACTAAGAAAGTTTACAGAGACTTTCCAGTAACAAAAGTTACTGGAACAAAAATCTGTTTTGTTGACTCAATAGTAATCAATATTCACTTTTATGTTGTTTTATGCTTAAGACAGGAAAACCTGAGCCTTCCTCTTTACTATCAGAGCAAATGGTAATCATGAAGTGAAGCAAATTGATTATTGATTACTGATTACTTGAATTTCTATGTTTTATAAGTAGAGCAACCATCTGTTAACAGGAATAACAGGTTTTAGCAGGGAAAGGATTAAGGGTTTTATTTTCCTCAACTGAGGCCCAAAATGAGTGAGATTTTTCAAGTTAACTTTCATTCCATTTGGCTCAGGTGTCAGGGATCTATATTTAACTTGTGTTAGGCATGCGTCCGAAGAGCTGGAAGGCTGAGGATGTCAATGGCTTTCAGATGTCAGGATAACCTTAAGGATAGATGAAGGGTTGAGAGCCTGTGCCTCATTTCTGAGTTCTCAGCTGCTATGCCGTGGAAATCCTGTTTACTTTCTGCATCTGCTCCTGCAAGACTCTGGAGCCAGTCTTGAGGTCCTACATCTCCGAAAGCAAGCTCTTCTAGAAGTTGGTGAGCAGAATGCTTTTTGTTTAGAAGTGTGGCTATAAATGTCTTTGTAGTTGATGCACTCTCATCTAGTAAGTAACTATTATTTTTGGGCTCTCTAGAAAGGTAATTATTATCTGATATAATAGTTTAGTCTGTGATGCTTCTTTTAACATATTTGTAAGTTTTAACCAAATGGTTAAAGAAATTTGCTTTTTAACCCTTAAACCTCACATATCCACAAGTCTCTAAATTCCATAGGATGCTATGGATTTCTAGTTGCCTAGTTCATGTCTTTTACTTAGAAAACGTCAGAAAACCCAAACTTCTCGTGACTTCAAAAAGTGTAATTGTACCTGAAACTTCTTTTCCTTCAGATTTCTTATTTATGTTTTCTGATAGGTTTTTAAGATTAATCTTTTCAGAAGGATGCTCTAAAAATCTGGCCAATTTGATTATCCTCTTCCAACTTGGAAAAAATATGTATTTAAAATGAGACTAGAATTTGAATGACCTTCTTTCATGGAACTCTGAAAATGTTTTTTGGCTTGCTGTCACAACTGACAAATATATTTAAGAAATAACCTAAAAGACCAATCTTAACAATTTGACTCCTAGACAGAAGAAAACAAAAATCTTTTTATACATAAAACTTACTAATCATTAGTGATCATAGAAATTTTCTTGAGTGTGGGTGCCACATGTCTTATTTGTGGGGTGGGGGCAGATTTTGTTACATAGCAGAATTTTTATTATATGGTGTGTTTCATAATATGGCTACATAAGATCAGACAACACCGCCAGGAATGACAGAGTCGTTACTTATACAGAAAGTCAACTTAAGTTATGCATATTTCGAGACACAATTAAGGTTGATACAAAAAAAGAAAAGCAGTTCCTTCTGTTTCTCCATGCTATTCTGCTATTCTACAAGCCCTGGAAAAGAATTAGATAGGCTTCTTTGCCTTTACAAAAAAGGTCACTTTCTTTTATTATTTGGGGAATGGTTGGTTGGTGCTAGACTGAATTCTGGGGAACCATTTAAGGCTAATACTTCCAAAGGGGTAAACTTGTTGACACTCCTTGAGAGAACTCACAATTCAGATGGGATCTCTATCTCAAAGAGAAATAGGCAACCTATCTTGTTTTCAGGTGTAACTGACTAAATAATAAAAGTGGATTTGTGGGGCAATATATGAGACTTCTGTAATCCTGACAAGAGGAAAGGAAAAATATTTTCAAATGATGTACTATGCAAATACTAATTATTTGGAATCTGATACTTTTGTAAAGGATAATGATAACTGTGTAATTAACTGTTCTAAGAGTTCAAGAAAGCTAACACCTGAGGATAATAAAACAGTTTTCACCTGGGGAAAAGATAAGCTCTGGAACTCAAGAATTACAGTCAGGCAAAAAAAAAAAAAAAAAGAGTTTTAAACTGCTGAGAAATGATTGAAAAAGACTGCTTAAGGTTGTAGAGTGGGATGATTAAATGGAAGGAAATGTTTCAGAGCAAAGAAATATAAAGTTCTTGATGTGACTGCGGCTCATTTTGCTTTTGGCACAAATTACTGATTAAGATGACTACTTAAGGAATTTAATCTGATATTCTTAGTATTTACAAACAAAGCTTCAGGTTAAATTGTTTTGAAAAATAAAGAAATGCTATAAAATGAGTGAAGTGCACTTCAGATAAAAATTGTGAAGTGTGTGCAACGCGCTTCACAACAGGTTACTTTATTGCCACCTGTGAGGAGCAAGAGGAGGTACTAGAGGAGGGGAATGAGGTTGGGTTTCCATATCATGTGACTAGAATCCTCAGTCATGTCTAATCCACAGTGGTTCAATCACAAACAATAAATGCTCATCAGGAAAAGTAAATGATTGCAAACAGATATAAGTGTGCAATGAATATAAAAAGAATATAGTTGAGTAAATAGTTTTAGTGTTCTGTTGTATATAGAAGTACAGTAATTGGCTAAGCCACTGGAATTTTTTTTTTTTTTTTTTTTTTTTTTTTTTTTTTTTTTTTAGCAAAGTATGCCATTGGTTCCACAATAAGCTTTCAAGTCATTTCTTTATGGAAAAGGGTAAAGTGAATTCTGATTTGTATCTTCTGACAAACCACGTGGAGAAGTAACACTTTTAGATACGTGCTTGTTGGTACCCTGCTAAATAGCTAAAGATGTTTTGAAACATACTCAGAGACCTTTGTCACACAAACACTATAGTACAAAGAAGGAAATGACAGAAAATTGGCAAGCATTAGAGGGGACATAGGAGACAGCTTGGCTCATTCACCAAGGACTCCAGACTGTGCTCAAATGGAAAACCATTGTTTGCCCTTCAGTGCTTGTGATGTTTAAAGGTGAAATGAGGATAGTTTTTAAAAATAAATTATTATTAGTTTCATCTCTTCATTAATGTTGTTCCTTCTCATTAAGTCTTATAAATATTACTTTTCTCATTTAAATTTTTAGAAAATTAAAAAAATATATATTAGTCATGTCATGTTTTACGACCATGACTTAATAAGAACACTTCAGTCTAATTGAAATTCATTTGGAGGTTCCTTTGGTCCCATGTTGGAACTTCACTGTAACTTTATGTAAAATGTAGCAAATGCCATTGCAAGATCTACTTCTTGTATCTCATTCTGGTCAGTTTTAGAAGTGAAGTAATAAAAATTAGTGTGTTCAATACAATGGTCTCAGAAAATAGAACCCAAAGCATCCTGTCTTTCCAGAGAAGATACAAAATTTTAAGTAAACTGGATATCTACTTTAAGACTGAGCCCTCAAACATGAAATACCTATTTTGTTTGAATACATGATGGAGTTGCTATCTTTCACATACCTTTATTCATTGACATACTCTTTCAAAAATATTTAATGAACACCTACACTGCTTTAGGAAATGCTATTAGAAGCAACATTGTGCTAAACATTTATAAGAATCTAGGATCATTTTACAGGTGGTTTTCTGAACCTTGTTCATATAGAATGAAACTTTTGATGAAGGTTAACAAACAAAAACTGTTAGTTAATGGTGAAAGCATATTCATCATTTTATGGACACTTTTCCCCATGACCCCACAACAACAGCTCCCTTAAAGTGTTATCAGTCTCTGGGGGAAAAAAAATGGACCAAATGAGTGACAGTTATATTTCCAGAAGGACTAGAAGGAAGATACTGTCAGAGTTGTTTCCATTGCTTGCTCTAAGCTTCTCGTTTTTGCATCATTTACTCTTAAAATGCTAAGTAACTTCACACAACATAGGAAGCCTCTCCAGAATAAAATATCTGTAGTATGGACTCTAAGCTTTAGGATTGATAACTTCCTAAAATTATTTCTTCTTGAACTATTTCATCTGAAATGGGGAATAAATACTAGTCTTGATTTTATCTTGGTCTCCTGGGAAGACCTTTAATTTCTATTAGCCCCATCCTTTTAAGAGCTGTTTGGGCAATAGGTACATCTAAGCAGATGCATAGACAAAGAATTACAGTGCAGAAAGGTATGAGCTGTGATAAGCTTAATATACAGGGATAAGAGCATTCCTTACAGACCTTTGCTATTGCCTAGAGTTGGAGCATCTTGCCGGCATATAAACTCCATAAAGGTAATGGAGCTATTCCATTTGTAACTACTTGTGTTAGTAACAGCAATGTCCCAGTACCTGACTCATACATAATAAGCACTCAATAGAGAGATTTTATTCATTTATTTAAAATATTGTCTAAATATTTCCTAAATCAAAATATTCATCTTCTACTAAGGACTATGACTAAAATTTTAAGAATTTTGAATCACGTAAATAACTTAGATACATTTCTTTCTTATGTTTAGCACTTTTTCTAAAAATATCCAAATTGATGTAGAGCTCTACTGTAACATAATACGTAGATCTGTGCAACTTTTTTTTTTGTATTAAATTCTCAGGTAGGTAGTTTAATGGAATGTTACTACTGCTGTTCTTCCCAGCATGTCTGGCTGGGTTTGTTTATTTTTACAATATAGGACAGATCCTCTACTCACAAAATGAATTATGGGATTTAATAGAGAAATATTCTATAATTTACAAGACGCTAAATATATAAACTCACAGATGCTGAGAATGTCTCAGTGAATCAATTCATGAAGCTCATTCATTTCACCTAATGCCTCTCAATGATGTCCTAGTCCTTTTCCCCAGTCTGCATGCAAAACTTAGATGTGCTTGCTACTGTGCTCAGTCTCTTAGATGTCTTTGCCGCATGTACTGAGTTTTGGATGAAGCCAGAGAGAAACATTTAGCTCAGTCCATTTCACTCTGGGTCCGAGGGTCATCTTGGAGATTTGCTAATCTTTCCTCCAGGAAAGGGTTGTGATTTCTCCACTTTTCACTTCATGAACAACCACAGCATGCACAGTACTGTTCTTTGCTAGCCTAGTCACGTATCCCCTCAAAACCCTCTCTGAAATTGGGGGATGGTTACCAGCTGGTGGTAAAAGTACAGGCATCACCCATTTTCTTTCTCCATCCCTTAGTTCCTTTCTGACCTAGACAGCTGCTTGAATGTTCCTTCCCCTTCAGTCTTCCAATCTTTGTGTATTTTATCCTTGTACTGCAGCTCTGTTATAATCATTCAACAAAATTCTATATGGTTTACCAGCTGAAGTTGGGAAACACAGGATTAAACAAAGTGAAAAATAAATCCTATTATTAAGAGGCAAACAGGATGCTTACTATAATTCCTCCCATTATCTTCTCCACTCCATTAATATTCCTCTTGAGTATTAAAGGTAGCATTTTGTTCTGTCAACTCTCCCATGCAAAACTTCTGTACATAGTAACAGCAAGAGAGTTTCTGAAGCTGAAATCCTGTAGAATAAATAAAAGCAACTGAAACAATCTGAATGGTCCTTTGAAAAAAAGAAGAAAAAGAAAAGCACTTAATTATTTACCATGGCAAAGCAACAGCTATGAAGCTTGCCTTTTCTTTTTTTCTGAGGCTTAGGGCTGGACGTCTACTTTCAGCTGCTCTGCCAAAGTTTACATTTTTTTCATAGCAAAAGCTACAAATAGGAGAAGTGGGGATAGTTTTTAGCACACTCTAAAACTAAGATCTACTGATTTTTTACAAATAAGGACATGGAGGCTTGTAGAAGTTAGTGACCTTTTATGCCTTTGTCTAGCCATATTGCTTTCCTCAGTTTCCATTTCTGCAGATTTTCTAGGTTCCCATTCCCCATCCCCCACTTTCTAAGTGATATTATCAATTTTCATGACTTCACCTGTAATCTGAATGTTGAGGAGACCCCAATCTACATCTTAGGGCTCCAATCACTCTTCTCAACTTCAGACCCATGTATCTCCATGCCAGTAGGTCAAGTTCTCAAGCTGAAAGTATCTAAACTCTTTTTGTTGTTGTTGTTGTTGTCATTGTTGAGACTGAGTCTCACTCTGTCGCCCAGGCTGGAGTACGGTGGTGCAATTTCGGCTCACTGCAACCTCCTCCTCCCAGGTTCAAGCGATTCTCCTGCCTCATCCTCCCGAGTGCTGGGACTACAGGTGCCTGCTGCCTCGCCCAGCTAATTTTCTGTATTTTTGGTAGACATGGGGTTTCACTGTGTTAGCCCGGATGGTCTGCATCTCCTGACCTCGTGATCCGCCCGCCTCGGCCTCTCAAAGTGCTGGGATTACAGGCGTGAGCCATATAACCTTGTTAATGTGTTCTGATTCAAGATGTACATTTTTATGTTCAAAATTAAATTATAATCCCCAAATGAGTGTCTTTTACTAGGCTTGAATTTATCCCAGCATTCAATAATATATATGCATATAACATATCCCCTGCAAATTATTTTAAAATAAAATGGTTAAATTTTAATAGCTATTTATTATCTATGTGGTACCTGCAAAGCACTCTAAAAATAATTATGCAAAGTGCCTAGTATTTAATGAGAAGTAAATTACTGGTTGAGGCATACTCTCTAGTGTTAGACTGCATATGTTTGAAACTTAGATCTCTAACTTTCCAGCTCTGTGACCTCTGGCAAGTTAGTAAACTTCTTTGTACCTCTGCTTCCCTATCTGTAACACATGGATAATAAACATGCCTACCTCATAGGGTAACTGTTCAAGATAAGCAACTTAATGCATATAAAATACTCATACAAGTGTCTTGCATATGGTAAGTTCCATAGAAGGGTTAAATATTATTTAAGTTTTACAATAATTTTAAAGTAGATAGTGTTATCTCCATTTTACAAATGAGTAAACAGACTTGGGGAGATTAAAAAATTGGCTCAGGATCTTGCAGCCAGTTAGTGAAAATGTCAATATTAAACCCTGACAGGACTAACTTCACACCACCCCTAAAACTGGTCCTATGTTTCCCCTCCAGGTTAATAGTACCTCCTTTTGTCTTGTTACTCAAGCGTAAAACCTGAGACTTACGATTTTTTCCTCTCTACCTAACTAATTAGTCACCAAGCCGTAGCTATTCATGCTAACTTCTAAATATCTTCCATATCCACTAAGTATTTCTGAAATCTTTCCCACATTTCCCACCCCCACCCCCATAGCCAGTTTTTAAGTTCAACTACATAATTTCCTTTCTAGATTATTTTGATAGGCGTCCTCTGGCCTTCCCTCCAATCCATTCTTCATGCTGATGCCAAGGCCATCTCCTAAACCCAAATTTTGTCATGCGCTCCTTCTCTAAAAATCCTTGAGTAGTCCTATGTTGCTTTCAAGATAAACCCACGAGAGAATGAATTCCAGGTAATCAAGGCACACATACAATATAAAGTTTGGTATAGTATGTGTTACATTAGGGCTTCACGTTTGTGGTCATTTGTGGCCACTTTTCTGGTGTCTTGTTCTTCCAAAACTCATACACTGTACCGAATCCTTACTGAAACATGTTTCCCCAGTTGTATGTTTATTATTTTGTATGTTTCTTTATGTATCTGTATTTGGGGAAATGCTTGTGATCCACTATACCCTCTCCCACTCTGTACCCGGAGCTGTACAATGCAGTCCTGGCATAAGGAACCACTTCCTCCACCACTGTCCTTTAACACCTTCTCTCCCTCACCATTCACTCTTCCTACCTGAGTGTAGATGTCACGGCCTATTAGAATTGTCTGTTTATGAATCTGCCTTCCTAGACCTGCTGGGAGCTACCTAAGCGGGGTGTCAGGTTTTTGTTTTGTTGATTCTCACGTTTTCTCCCAATCAGAAGTCCAAACTAAGAATACTTTAGGAATGTATTTAAGTTTACTCTTGCAAGGGCTACTGATTGATAAAATATTTGCCAATGTAATTGGGGGGAATAAAAGCATGTATAAATAAAACAAAGTTGATGATTCAAACTATGATAGCAGAATAATTTCACACGTAATCTGAAGATTTCAACAACAAGAGCTTGATAGGAGACATAATACAGTATTAGAGTCAGAAAAAATAGTTACAAAAAGCCTGAGTTAGTATTTGCCTGTCTTTTGGCTTGTGATCTGTTGGTGAAGGGAGCCAGATGAGAATTTGGTTCAGGTTACAAGTATGATCACCCAGCAGGTGCTTGCTATGTAGGCAAAGGGTTGAGGACAAGATAAGATTAGGAAAGGACATGCGCTGTGAGGGGTGAGCCAAGCTGTGGGTCTGATCTAGGTTTAAAGCCTTCCTTGGAAAACAAGGACTGGCAAGTGAATACTGGAAACTGAAGAGTGAGAAGTATTATCCAAAAGCACACAGCTCACTTTTAACAGCTGATTAAATGAGACTAGATTTATCACAGTAGTTCTCAAAAATTGGCATGAGAATGATAAAAAATGTTTAACTTGGTATTCACAATGCCTTTTTAAAAATTGTTACTATATTGTCATTGTAATTATCATCATCATTACTCTTATTTTGAGTTTTCCTGATCTATATTTGTGCTCTGTATGTCTCACCTCAGACTACCTAAGATTTTTAGTCCCTTCTAGGAAGTTATTTAAAATCTACCCACAATTATTTTGGTAGCCATTTACTGAGAGGGTAATTTAGCTTCCTAATATTATGGTATTTTTATGTCATCTTTTGTAAATACAAGAATAGTAATATCTTCAGTGTAGTCGCTGAGGCTTCTTTCCTTTAGTGAAGTTTTAGCGAAACAGAATTTTCCTCTATCTTCTTTTGAACATATTTTAAACAGTTATTTTAATTTTATTTATTTATTTATTTTTTATCTTTTATCTTTTTTGAGACGGAGTCTTGCTCTGTCTCGCCCAGGCTGCAGGGCGGTGGCGTGATCTCGGCTCACTGCAACCTCTGGCTCCTGAGTTCAAGCGATTCTCCTGCCTCAGCCTCCCCAGTAGCTGGGACTACAGGCGCCCGCCACCACGCCTGGCTAATTTTTTGGATTTTTACTAGAGACTGGTTTCACTGTGTTAGCCAGGCTGGTCTCTATCTCCTGACCTCGTGATCTGCCTGCTTCAGCCTCCCAAAGTGTTGGGATTACAGGCCTGAGCCACGGCACCCAGCCAGATTTTTTTATTTTTTAGAGACAGGGTCTGCTCTCTCTGTCAGTCAGGCTGGAGTGCAGTGGCACAATCATAGCTCACTGTAATCTCAAACTCCTGGCTTTAAGTAATCTTCCCCACTCAGCCACCCAAGAAGCTGGGACTACAGGTACACACCACCATGCCCAGCTAATTTTTGTGGTTGTTTCTTTCTGTAGAGGCAGAGTCTCTCTATGTTGCCCAGGCTGGTCTCAAACTCATGGCCTCAAGCAATCCTCCCTCTTGGGCCCCACAAACCACTGGGATTATAGGCCTGAGCCACTGCGCCCTGCCTTGAACAAAATTATAATAAAGCTCTTGAGTGTTTTGTGGCCTTTCAGCAGATGCTCTGCCCCCCTGTTGTGACCTGGCCATGTTTCTTGTCTCAGCCTGCTTTTTTCTCCCATACATGACACAGAGGCCCTAACCTCAAAATCGTCGTCCCGTGTCATTTTGCACACCCATAATAATCTCTCCTATTTCTTATCACTGTGGCATCTTCTAATTTTTCTTCTTTGAGTTTCTCTTTAGTCATCTTGAAAATTCTGAGAGATTGTGCTAGCATATACATGAGAGCCTCCTGATAGCACTGGAGTTAGGAGCCAAGTTTCTTAGATGCTTTATTACTGCCAATGTCCTTTCTTTAACCAAAGACCAACAGGAACACACCTGTAGTGAAACAAGTTCATTACTCATTGAAAAGAGAGGAAAGTGTACCATAGGGAACTGACAGTGACCCGGTAAGAAGATGTTAGGAAAAATCTATTCTAGAATTTGGACTTCGGTTGGTTGGTTGGGGAGGGTCGAGGAGGTGATACTGAAGGAAATAGAGATTTGCTCTGAATTAGATGTTGTCAGGAGGCAGGATAATTTTATGATTGGGTGTCTTAATCTTGGAGGAGGGAAGACTAGACTGAAGCTAAAGCTGTAATTGATAAAGAAGCAGAGTCACTCATAGTAAGTGAGAAGGGAATGTGTAGTATCTGTGGCTTGGACAGTGTTGATAATCGTTTTGGGTTCAGACATAAAAGGTCTCATTTTGTCTTGACTCATCATGATCACAGAATGATTTTATCTAAAGTAAATGCTCTATGAATTGTTTGTGTTCAGCAGAACAAACACCAAGGCCAAGCAGTGAGTGCTGGGCCTGTGCCCAGAAACAGCAAGACCTAGCTAATAATATCAGCCCAGCTCCTGGGTGATGGGCTGTTTTCTCTTTACAGTACAAAGTTCTTTGTTACTTCAGTAATTAAACGTGCACACCTGAAATCCAATTTCCACTACTTTGATGATTGTTGAAATGAGATTCTTTTGAATGTCCTTCTTAAGTTCTATAATATGCTCAATACACTGAGTCCTGTAATATAAAATATCATTCCTGTTATGCTAGCAACCTGAAAAATCACAGGAGATCAGTCCCTGTATAAAAATGATAATGTGCACAAATTGTTTGGGGGCATTTATTCTTTTCTTTGCACATATACCATAAAAACTAATTTGTTATATAAATGAAAAAATTATGCCTTTGGCATATATAAAATACAATGAAATGAAATTTTAATAACTCAAAGCTTCTTATGAAGAAATTAAGGGGTCTTTCTACTTACTATGTAGATGAACAGCATGCTAATCAGATTGTAGAATCCTGCAGTTGGGAATTATCTTAAAAAGTATTTCTGAAAATATGCACCTCTGTGGAACTTATATAAATGTGGTTAAATATATATACTCAACTTTCTATTTAGATATTCCAGATACCACCTGAAATAGAAGAGATAATCTGACTTTTTCTATTATTCAACCATATACTTTCTTTTGTTGTTTTTATTTCTTTAATTTTCCACATTGACAGATATAATTGTATGTATTCACTGTGTCTTAAATGTATAAGCATTGTGGAATGGGCTCAATCTAGCTATTTAACATGTGTGTTATATCACATAGTTATTATTTTTGTGGTGAGAACACTTTATATCCACTAAGCATTTTTTAAGAATTCAGATAAACTTTCATCATAAGCTTTGCTTAAATAAAAAATCTAGTAAGTGATTCAAGTCTGTGATTGAATAATATTCCATATATTTAGGTAGTATATGGATTCAAAATGAGTAGAAATATTGACAAACATCCCATGCTAATAATCTACTTTGTAACTTCTCATAAATCTGTAGAGGAAGTAGTAGTAGAGAGAGGAGGGGAGATAAGGCTATAAATAAACTTGATTCCATGAGTCACACAAAGAAAAAGTATCTTTTCTTTATGGTAATGTAATATTTAAGACATTTGTAATATTCATAATTGTATTACTTTCTTTACATTATACATATATGCTTTTTAAACATGAGCTGCATGATAAATTCAAAGTTTCAGTGCCATATGTAAACTTAAGTTTCTCTATTTTTTCTTTTTGCAGGGAGGTGAGGGTTGCTCTTAAAATATGATAAAGGCAATACAAGAGAAATAGTGTGTTTTAACCACTGCTGTATTTATCATAGTATCTTGTTAATAAGCTACTTTGATTCTACTTTATGGAGATTTTTCCTTTAGTTACTCTTGAAGATATCATCTAAACCAAGAAAGATATTCATTCTTCTCTTTCTCCTTAAGGTCTATCTTTTCACAAGATCCTACTTCATCTTTCCTATTTTGGAATAAAACATGCAGCTCTGTTTTATGTGAGCCAGAAATAATTTACTGAACAGGAAACTGTAGTTAAGAAGTAAAAATCACAGTGAAAAATTTTAACTTTTAATGGGACAAAGAGGCTTGAATCTTTTACGGATGAGAGATGCTTGTCAGGGGCCTAAGAGATGGGGTTTATTTAAGTCTAGTCAGCAGTTTTGATTCTTAAATTTGAATAGTTCAAAAGTCAAATTAGAGTAGGATCCTGATAACTGAGTTGATTCCTTGTTAACAGTAATAAAAGGTAAATATTATCAATAAATATAAAATATCTACCAGTTACTTGGGAAGTTAATATAGTACTTTTGGAGTATATTTTATACAGAACCAAATGCATATAATTAGCTAATGTGCTTTTGGGTGTCTATATTTTGTAATAATACTATCTGAAAAGTTGTTACAGATAAACATTTATTATTTTTCTGAAAGTCAAAGGGATATTTTGTATGCCCGGCTTAGCAGCAGTTGTCTATTTGAAATGAAAATAAAAGAGCATTAATGCCAATCAGCTTTCTTACTAGAAATATTCCTGTACTTGATGTTTTTCCACAAACTCTTAACACATCACAGATATTCTTAAACTACTTGTATAAATTATACCAGAATAAAATGGGCATCATTCTCTTTTTTGTTTACATCGAATGTTTGTTTCTCCAGAGCACATCCGTATTGTGGAGAAACAATGGTGACTGTTTTTAATTGCAAAAACTACCCAGATTCTTTCTTGGAGAGCCTCCTTGTTTTCCACTGGGTTTAGACATAGGTTCTCTTTCACTCTTTATCCTACATTTTTAGACCATCATAATGTATTTATATTTTATACACCCACTGGCCAACAAGAGAATCTATATATATGTTCACTAAAAAGCAGGTTTATACAATTAGTTTACTCATTCCTTCTTCCTAGTAAGGTTCTTCTTTACTTGAGTCCAGTTCCTGACTCCAGAATAAAAATGAAATTATCAATGTCTCTTGTACATTAGTCTGTGATTTTTTTGCAGGGGTGCCCTCTGTATCTTAATCTTTGCTTCTTCTTCGCGGCTCCATCTTTCCCTCAAATTCCCCACCATGACACTGAAGTACTTCCCCGATTCTGCCCTTCCTTGGAAACCACATCTGAGTTCCTGACCCCAATTCCAATACCCCAGTTTATAATGTGAAGTGGGAAATTGGGGGATTAAATATTTCCTGATATCAGTTGAAAACTGTGGGTGCCCTTGTTATTTGCTCTGCTACTTGTTAGCTTTATACTGTATTTGTCGCTTCAACGAATGCCAATATAAAAGAAATGCTAAGTCCTTTGTTCCTTTGACCTTTTGTGTTTTTTTCCCCTCTGCTTGCATAGGGGCGTATCCAGTTTTCATTACTTCTCTTCTGTCTACCCCTGCTGTTATGTTCCAGAATGCCACCAAGATGAAAGCTAACCAAAAGTATTTCTCCCACTTGTGATAATGACTCTTAGGGCTTGCTTTCCAGTTTTACAGCCCTCTTTGCCATGGCTGCCACTACAAACTGCAAGCACATTCCCGTTAATCCAAACTCTGCCTAGAATGAGACCACATTCCCTTCATCAGGCTGAATACAAGTTTTAGTTCAGGGCCTTGTGTCTTTCCCGCATTCATTTATTAGTCATCGAGCTGAATTTCTCAACCCAATTTATTGCTTTTCATGTGACCTTTTAAAAGTACAAACTCGTATCCTGTCACTCCTCCAACTTATAATTATTTAATTGTTCTATTCTGCTTACAGAATAAAGTTCAATCTCCTTAGAATATCATGCAGGGGGCTTCAAGGTCTGGTATCCACCTGTTTTCCTCACTTTTTGCAACTTCCCTGAAAACCATTTTTGTACATTTGCAAGCATATCACTTCCTTTTTGCCTCTGAATTTATGCATGTTGTTCTTTCTGCTTCTATTGCCCTTTTTCCATCTTCTGTGATTAGAAAATATCTATTCATCCATTGAAGCCCTTCTGTTATTTTACAATCTATCTCCTATCAACAAAATCACAATCTATTCAAGACCATATTTTATTCATCTTTGCATGCCAGCGCCATGCTCAAAGCCTGGAGTATGATTAAAGGTCAGTTAGTGTTTGAATGAATAAGTTAGTTCTTTAGTACGTTTCCTTTCTCTTAACTCACAACTTGAAGTTGTATTATTTCTTTACTCTTCAGAATTTCTCCCAAAATATTCTAAGGCGGGAAGCTTCATGAAAACTCTTGGAGTTTTCTCTAATAGTCTTACCAAAACAAATGGAAGAGTCTTTCTTGGTTTCCATGATAGCTTTCTTTGTTTCAGATTGGTTAATTTTATAGTTCACTTTTCATTTGTCAGGATAATTCTGTTTTTAGGAAGGATAGAAGCTTGGACTTAATTTTATTTTGAATTTTGATTTAATTTTGATTTGATTTTATAGCCTTAACAGATAACACTTTCTTCCTTTAAAGAAATCTATCTTTCCAGGCAATAGGAGATCTTGTTGTATTTCTTTGTTCTTTAGAGTTGATTCTATAGATATTCCTTGACTTTTTGTTAGGGTTATATCCCAATAAAGCTAGTGTAAGTTAAAAATATGAAAATATCATTGTAAAAATGCATTTAATACATCTAATCTACTGGATATCATAGCTCAGCCTAGCTTATCTTATATGTGCTCAGAACACTTACATTAGCCCACATTTGGGCAAAATCATCTAATACAGAGCATATTTTAGAATAAAATGTGGACTATGTCATGTAATTAATCAAATCTAGCATTGAACTATGGTTTCTACTGAATGTATATTGCTTTTACACCATTGTGATGTTGAAGGGTTGTAAGTTGAATCATTGTAAGTTGGGGACCATCTGTGTGTGTGTGTGTGTGTGTGTGTGTGCCTGCACGCACACACACACACACACGCAATTTGAGCAGATAATTGTGTTATCAAGATGGTATGACAGTCCAGTATTTTAAAGTGATTTCTCTAGAGGAAAGTTATTATTTGACAAATACTATGAAAATAAATCTCAAACATTTTCTTAAGTCTCCAGTTGTTATCAGTTGGGATGATTTTGCCTGCAAGTAACAAAGTCCAAAAGAAGCAGTTTCTTGGGTACTTTTTATTTTGTTCATATAATAAGGAGTCAACAGACTGAATTAACCAGCTTGGAATCATCCTTAGGCTCACTGATATTACTTAATTCATAGGGCTCTAGGTTGGTTTTTCTTACTGTTACCCTACAAGTGCAAAGTGGCTACGGCGATTGTAAGGATCATGTCTTTATATAACAATGCCTAACAACAGTAAGAAACAAGTTTCTGTCTTGTTTCAGTCTTTTAAAACAGAAAACTATCACTACAGCTCTGTAGCTGACTTGTTTTTATGCCTCAGTGTCAGCATTTTGTTATATGCTTGCTATACATCTCATTATCAAGGAGAATTGTGGCTAAAACTAATCAATATTCAACCTCTGTAGCTTGGGAGAGGTTTTATAATCACATAGACATGAAATATCTAACACAAAATCAGAGCTCAGTGAGGAGAGATGAGGTGGAAAGAGTGGAAGTAAATTCTGTCATAGTAGGTCCTATTCTAATTTACATGAGTTCAATTTTTGAAAATTAAAATATATGTGTCCTCACACACAGGGGAACAACACACATGGGGGCCTTTCAGAGGGTAGACAGTGGAGGGAGAGAATCAGGAAAAATCACTAATGCGTACTAGGCTTAATACTTGGGTGACGAAATAATCTATAGAACAAACCTCCATGACACAGTTTACCTATGTAACAAACCTGCATGTGTACCCCTGAACTTAAAAGTTAAAAAAAAAATAAAATATATGTATCCTCAAAATAATTTTTAAAAAGTAAAATTGCTGTGAAGGGCCAGGCACGGTGGCTCACACCTGTAATCCCAGCACTTTGGGAGCCTGAGGTGGGTGGATTATCTGAGGTCAGGAGTTTGAAACCAGCCTGGCCAACATGGCAAAACCCCATCACTAATAAAAATAAATAAATTAGCCGGGCATGGTGGCAGGTGCTTGTAGTCCCAGCTACTTGGGAGACTGAAGCTAGAGAATTGCTTAAACCCATAAGGCAAAGCTTGCAGTGAGCTGAGATTGTGCCACTGCACTCCAGTCTGAACGACAGAGCGAGACTGTGTCTCCAAAAAAAAAAAAAAAAAAATTGTTGTGAGAAAAACAAGCTCTTCAAACGTACATTGGATGCTGAAGTTTCTATTTCTCACTTGACTATGATATTCTTTTCAATTACATCTGTGCTGCGGTCTTCTAGGGGTTTGTCATTAGAGAAAGGTCAGACTGATAAGATAGTAAAGTGCCAAAAGTTGGTCATGCCTAAATTCATTGGAAAAATTACTTAGTTTAGGACAGAATTTTATTCCATTTATGTAAAGATGATTACTATTTTCTGTCATGCACAGTACAGTTCTTTCATGAATATTGTTAGGAGAAATTTTATAAATTTCATAAATGCTTTTGGTTTTTTTTACACTGTTTCATATGGATAGTAATAGATTATAGTGTGATATATATATTTAGACCCTGCATTCAGGGTCTGAGTGCAGCAGCCAGCATTTAACTCTTAGCTCAGCACTGTTTGACTTTGAGCAATTTAGCTAACCTCACAGAGCATCATTTTTGCCATTTGTAATACTGTGAAAATAGTGACACTTAAAGAGTGTTGTGTATTGTTTGTGTTCTGACTGCTACACTGTTCCCCTTTCTTGTTCCCTTTCCTGGAGCCACCGTAGTCCCTGAGACATGACTATATTGAAACTAGGTCAATTTATAACCCTACAATGGCCTCTAATGTTCAAGTGAATGGAAGTGTCACACATCTCTTTAAATAAAAAAACTAGAAGTGATTAAACTTAGTGAGGAAGGCATATTGAAAGCTAAGATAGGATGAAACCTAGGCCTCTGACACCAAACAGTTAGCTAAGTTGTGAATGCAAAGAAGAAGTTCTTGAAGGAAATTAAAAGTGCTACCCCAGTGAACACACAAAGGATAAGAAAGTCAAACTGCCTTATTGCTGATATAGAGAAAGTTTGAGTGGTCTGGATAGATTAAATCAGCTACAATATTCCTGTAAGACAGAGCCCAATCCAGAGGAAGGTCTTTACTCACTTCGATTCTGTGAAAGTAAAAGAGGTGAGGAAGCTGCAGAAGAAGAGTGTGAAGCTCACAGAGGTTGATTCATGAGGTTTAAGGAAAGAAGCTGTCTCCATAAAATAAAAGTGCAAGATAAAACATCAAGTGAAGAAGCTGCAGCAAGTTATCTGGAAGATCTAGCTAAGATCATTAGTGAAGGTGGCTACACTAAACAATAGATTTTCAATGCAGACAAAACAGCCTTCCATTGGAAAAAGGTGCCATTTAGGACTTCCATAGCTGGAGAGGAGAAGTCAATGCCTGGTTTCAAACCTTCAAAGGACAGGCTGACTCTCTAGTTAAGGGCTAATGCAGCTGGTGACTTTAAATTGAAATCAATGCTTACAACCATTATAAAAATCCTAGGGCCCTTCAGAATGATTCAAAGTCTACTTTGCTTGAGCTCTATAAATGGAACAACAAAGCCTGGATGCCAGCACATCCATTTACAGCATAGTTTACTGAATAATTTAAGCCCACTGTTGAGACCTGCTGCTCAGGATAAAAGGATTTCTTTCAAAATACAACTGATGATTAACAATGCAGCTGGTCATCTGAGAGCTTTGATGGGTATGTCCAATAAAATTAATGTTGTTTTCATGCCTGCTAACACAACATCAGTTTTATAGCCCAGAGATCAGAGTCATTTTGACTTTCAAGACTTATTACTTAAGAAATAGGAGGTGGGTGGTCACTTAAGGTCAGGAGTTTAAGACTAGCCTGGCCAACATTGCAAAACTCTGTCTCTACTAAAAACACAAAAATTAGCCAGGCATGATGGTACATACCTGTAGTCCCAGCTACTCGAGAGGCTGAGGCAGGAGAATCGCTTGAACCCAGGAGGCAGAGATTGCAGTGAGCCTATTTTGCACCAGTGCACTCCAGCCTGGGTGACAGAGTAAGACTCTGTCTCAAAACAGAAAAAAAAAAAAAAAAAGGCTATAATTTCCATGGATAGTAATTCATGTGATGGATCTGGACAAAGTAAATTGAAAACCAACTGAAAGTAATTCACCATTCCAGATGCCATTGATAATATTTGTGATTCATAGGAAAGGTTGAAATAGCAACATCAACAGGAGTTTGGAAGAAGTTGATTGCAACCATCATGGATGACTGAGGGTTACAAGACTTCAGAGAAGGAAATAACTATAGATGTGGTGAAAATAGCAAGAAAACTAGAATTAGAAGTGAAGCCTGAAGATGTGACTGCATTGGTGCAATCTCATGATGAAACTTCAGTGAAGGAGAAGTAGCTTTTCTAATTGAGCAAAGAAAGTGTTTTTGTTTTTGTTTTTTTTTAGATGAAATCTCCTGGTGAAGATGCTATGAACACTGTTGACATGATGTGTAGGGAAAAACTTTCTAAACCATGTTTTTCCTCTGCCTCATGCCACAACAATCATCACAAAAGCAGAGTTCGATGACAAGAAGTGTGGGGGTTTTCCACACACACACCAAGCAGCAAACACCAGCTGGATGTCATCCAACTCAGTTCCGACACTATCTACATGGAAATAGTTAGATCCCACAGGTTGCGAGCTTAGTCCCCAAGATTGCCCCCTTCTTTCAACACTAGTCACAAGTCCAAGTCTCCAGGACTACCGACAAGCTTCAAGTTGGGGTTCTCATTACCCCCTCTTTGGGTTTGATTAATTTGCTTGAAGCAGCTCACAGAAGTCAGGGAAATGCTTATTTATGTTTACCAGTTTATTATAAAGGATACAAATGAAGAGATGGATCAGGTAAGGTATGGGGGAAGGTGTGTGGAGCTTCCATGCCTTCCCTGGCATGTCACCCTCTAGGAACCTCCAAGCATTCAGCTATCAAGAAGCTCACCAAACCCAGTCCTCTTGAGTTTTTATGGAAGCTTCCTGACTTCAGCATTCCTTCCCCCAGGATGTAGGGTGGGATCCTGTCTGGGGAGAGTCTTGAGACTAACAATCAGAAGGGAGGGGAAAGATTAGGGTCCTGCCTTGGGGCAAGTGAAAGGAGGGCTAGAGGGAGATTCTGTTTTCTGAGGCCTGATATACATGATAACAAAAAGTCTGTAACTAGGGTTAAGGGAAATAAGAACCAGAAAAGGTGGACAAAAACCAATATATATCATAACACCACACGTGACAACAAAGAATTTATAATATTACATAAAGTTGGTTGATGAAGCAGTGGCAGGGTTTGAGAGGATTGTCCCAGTTTTAAAAGAAGTTCTACTTTGGGTAAAATGTTATCAAACAGCATTGCATGCTATAGAAAAGGCAAACAATTTTTCCAAGTGATGTGGCAAACTTTATTGTCTCATTTTAAGAAACTGCCACAGCAACCCTGACCTTCAGCAACCACCACCTAGATCAGTCAGTAGCCATCAATATCCAGGCAAGATTCTCTACCAGCAAAAAGATTATTATAATTGTTAGCTTTTTTTTAGCAATAAGGTATTTTAAAGTATGTACATTTTTTAATGGTATGGCACACTTAATAGACTATAGTATAGGGTAAACATACTTTTCTATGCAGTGGGAAACAAAATTTGTGTGACTCAGTTTATTGTGATATTCACTATATTACAGCAGTCTGAAACCAAACTTCCAGTATCTGCAGAGGATGCCTATATTCTGGGCATGTTTACATTTATCTAATTTTCTTAACATTTTCTAGTGTTATCTCATCTGTAAACATGTGACTAGCAATAATTTATAGAATGCTTTGGGACAAATAATACATGGAAGCATTTAACATGATAGCTGACTCGTGGTAATAGGTGAATAAATATTTGTCCCCTTCTGTATCATTTGATAGAATTTTTCAAGTTGTCTCACATGTGAGGGACAAAATAAATAAATGTTTTAGAACAAAAATAAGGTATTATGTCTAATAATTCAAATAATTTAAAGGTCATTTATATTTTTTTAAAAAAATCCAAAGAACACTAGAGAATCAAAATCATTTTAAAAATTAACTTCATACTAGTAACAGGCCACTAGTAACAGTGTATGGAAATGAAAAAGAGGTATTATTCTAGTTATCCAAGAGCTTAATATTAAGTTAACTAGCGAGAGTGGCAAGAGGCAGCCAAATGCCTAGGCAGATAGTGGCAGGTCCCCACTGAAATCCCACCTCTAGCCGAAGACAGTTTAAAGCCTGAAAGCCACACTACGAGTTAAACCCTCAGACTGCATTGAGAACTTGTCTTCCTGTTTGGCGTGCTTTCCTCTGATTGATCCCCACCCTTCACCTATTTTATATATACCTTCCCTTTCCAAATTGGTTTTTCACACTGTCGTGCCCACCTTTGAGTGGTGTCTTTGCTTTAACCTTTTTTACAACCAGCATACACTCCCCATTCTGAGTCCGTAAAAGGCCCCATACCCAGCCACATGGGGGACTTTCCCACCTTCAGGTGGGGGGACCACCCCTGCATCTCCTCTCTGCTGAAAGCTGTTCCATCACTCAATAAAATTATTTTCTGTCTTCCTCACCCTTCAATATTCACCATATCCTCATTCTTCTGGGGCACGAGACAAGAGCTTGGGAAACGCTGAATGCTGGTATAAGCTGGGACATGCCAGTGTGGCCAAGAGAGGCCCAGGTGGGGCATGGCTTGCCGAGGGTCCCCGGCTTGCAAAGAGACCATGAAGAAAAATCTTACCTTACTAGCATTGCTGAAGGAGAACAAAGAAGAATAATGGCATCCACCAAAAATCAAAGCAATACTGTCTCAAACATTACAGCAGAACTTGGAGAAAGGTGTTAAAAAGAGATAAAAAGTGGACACAGAAAAAAGAGCAAAACAAAGCAATATTCTAGTTACATTTTTAAAAATAATCATTAGGATGATTTAGAACAAGTGTTTGTAACTCTGGGGGTCTCTGAACCCTCATTTGTAGGACTAGATGTCTGCAGTGAGAAAATAAGAAAGGAAAGAGAAGAAATGTATTCTACACAGAAGTAGGGGAAAGTTCCTTAAACTATGAGTCACAGCTATTTATATCCGAACAAATGTGCATTTCCTATTAGTCCAGGAGATTCTGTGGTCTTCTACCCATGCATTTGTATAAAGAATTGTCCTCTGTGTATAAGCTGCATCTCTAGAATATGAACTCCTTGAAACTACCTAGCAACACTTAAGTACCTAGACCAATTTGGACAGACAGCATTATTGGGTTGTCTTGGTAAATATTGGTAACTTCAATAACCAAGAATGCTCTAAAATCTATAGCTAGACAACAGGCTATCTCTGAACTAAACTTTAGACAACAGTCCTTGGTAGACTTTTTTTTTTTTTTTACTCTATTATGTAAAAGTAGAGACTTATCTAGTAATAATTCTAGCTGGTTCATAAATCTCTGATACCATTAATTTCTCTATTGAAGATCTCATTGTTAGTATTTATTATACCAATCTTCTGTTCTAAAGAGATAAAAAATAACTAAATTTTGGACTTCTATTAAAGGCTAGGGACCAGCTCTAGAATGAATGTTCTCGACCAGGGTGACTGTCCACTTCATGAAAGTAGACTAAAAATACCAAACTCTCATATATACACAATAATATATATCAAAGTATTTGAAGTACATTATAGAAATCCTCACAGTAGGGGTCACATTTTCTTCCACTTTGTGGCAGAGTTCTGAGCACATAGTGACCATGTGATAAATATTAATTCAGTATGTGAGTGTATGAGGATGTATGTCATCAATATTCTTTGACTGCCTTAAGTGTTCTGGGAAAAAGCCATATTTTTGGTCTCATTTAGCATATACTGTAATTCTTATTTTTAGGGTGTATTTATTTTTGTTTTAATTTATTTGATTTGTGTTGCATATACAATATTGTACCCATCAAATATTGCTTAATTCTTTCATATTGCAAAATAAACAGCTATTATAAGCCTGAACTTGTTAGTCTTGCTGGGCCCTGCCCAAGGTTGCCCTCATCTCCAGCTTTCCACAAACTGGAATATTCACTGATGCTTTGTTTCTTCTCCCAGACCAGGATACATGTTGTTATGTGGTTCCTAGGAGGACTGTAAAGTCCTCTAACAAAGACAAAGGATGGAATGAATCAAGGGAATTACTATGAGAAAGTAGGGATATCCCTGGAGAGGGGACTGTTTCTGTGTGCTTTTAGACATCACAGAGTAATTGTTTCTTTTTTTAAAGGAAGGAACCAGGGTGAAGAGCAGCTCATTTTTAAGCTGGAGAGGTTAACAAACACTGGCTGCAAGATTTACTTTGGTTTAGGAATACCACTGTCTCACAGGAGTGTCAATCAAAATTCCACAGCCATTCTTCGACACTAGGAGGTGGGACTGACTGATGTACAGCAGTGATTTGACCCAGCACTTGGGGCAAACACAACCAGAGTCTTCGGTGTTAATTCCCTGGTCTTCCCAACTAGCATTCTGAAAGTGCATTAACATTTGTGGCCTTGTGCTCTTTCATCGGACTTCTAATGGTAATTATGCCTGTGTAATCACAGTAAAGTTACCTAATCTAAATATGTAAGATTTCACACTTTGCTTGCAATACTTAAAATTTCCTACTTTGATCTGACTTTTGCTTTGTTCTTGTCCAGTTTAATATATATTTGCATTTCTCTCTCTTCTCTCAGGGCGTAGAATTTATGGAGTATTGTAGGCATTTAGGCAGCCTGTTTCAAACTTTTAAATAAGAAGTTGTATCTAAAAGAAAGTAGAGGGATAAGTCAAATGATTTTTACTATGAGTTCTCAGTAATTGTTATGTTAATAAGTGGTAAGAAGGCATTCAAAAATATTTGAAATAATCTAAGTGCTCCAATATACACATGCTTATATGCATGCAACAGTGGAGGAATATCTTAATAGGGCAAATTCGTGTGTAGCCATCTTTTATTCTTAGGAATATATATATCCTGCCAGACATGGTCATCCCAGCACTTTGAGGCCAGGAGTTCAAGACCAGCCTGGAAAACACAGCAAAACCCTGTCTCCTGTCTCTACCAAAAATACAGTAATACAATAGTAGGATATACTTCCTAGTATACCCTAGGAAGACTGTTAAGTTATAGATAGTCATTTTTTAGCCAAAGATGTATTATAATGAATATGATTATAAAAATTTAGATTCTCTTATATTAATATTGTAAGACAGAGTGGTTGACTTCTCAATGTTGGAGCAAGCAGAATCTATCCTCCCCTGCTTTTGATGTTCAATAGTGACAAGTAGAGGTCACACGCAGTCTCTGCTGCTGGCATTCCTGGCATGGTCACAGTGACTACTGTGACTTGTTTGAGAGGTGACTTTGAACATTTATTTTACTTTCAGGTTAGATAATTTAGTCATTGTATTGGCTTGGGCTAGTGAATCTTTGTTACAACAGCCAATAGGATATATGAAGTAGTGTTTTAAAAAATTAGCCATTAAAGACAGTTTTCAATTTGCAAACCATTTCTAACATGTTTTCCATGGTAAGAATTAGCTACACGGAATGATACTGGGAAATATAGAAAAATGGGGGGTACTGGAACTAGCTAAAATTTTACAGATTACAGGTATAATTGTTTTGCTGGTCACACATGATTATTTCTATTGGTTACATTTTATTTGGACTTGTATTGTGATACATTGTTCTATAGAAACAAACTATGCCTTAACTTTGTTGTGATGATCTAAAACAGTTGGAAACTGAGCCTGATGTATTAAAAGAGAGTACAGGAGGCCATGGTTTGCCGCAGTGGGCATTGTGTGAAGATAAGGGACTGAAGAAGGTGTTTATAGATATGAAATGCTAATGCATGCTCATTCAAAAAATCATAACCTTGCTTGTATTTCAGATCTGTGCAATTCTATTTGTCATTTGGATGGCTAGTATTGTGACTCAAGTATTCTAGACAAGCTGTGATTAAATATTTCAACAGAAGACCTCAAAGAATTACTGATTTATAATTACCCACGTTACCTATGCTACAATAATTAGAAATAAAGAAATTGAAGTGATGTACTGTATAGTAATGCTACTAAACAGATATATGTTTATATGAAAAGGCAAGGAATTTATGAAGGCTAGTATTATGTAAATGACTGTCTCTAAAGAATTGGATGATATATTGCATTTTGTTCATTGATTCAACAAATATTTGTCTGCCCAATACATACCAGGCACTGACCATTTTCTGTAACTAACTTCATCCACTTAGCACTGCGAATAATCCAATAATTCCCCAGGACAAATATTATTATTCAATAAATTAAATGAGTATCAATACAGGGGGGTATTTTACAGAAATCACTGTTCTCCTGGGTAATCAGGGGATCTGCCATTGAGTTTGGTAGCACAAATTTTTGTATTTTTCCTTAAGGGATGATGAAAGATCAGTGGACTCCTAACTATCTGCAGTCTGTGGAGTCTCAGGTTGCTTAGAAACTCAGCGACTATGGGCTTGCTATGGCAACCCAATTTATTAGTGACTGCAAAACTAACTTAGCTGGCATTGTGGCAAATCTCCATATTTTGCTGGTAAGAATATTCAGATAAGTTCTTCTATCATACTAGTATTTATATTATTTACACTATTGAGCTAAATATTTATCAAATTTTGAAAATAATAAATTATGATTTATAATGGTCGAGAACTACATGAAAATGAAGCTTAAATTCTGAATGTATTTTTAGATTTCCAATTTACACTGTCTGCCGGTTACCAGGCCATTGCCTTAGCTTAAATCTACAGAATGTGATTTATGATTTGTACTATATTTAAAGCATGAGAAAACAAAACTAGTACAGTCTATTATCTATGTGCCAATAAAAATGGTCTGCAAATTTAGCTTTAATACTTCTATCCAATTAATAGATAAATTTATGTATGTATAGTATAATTTAATAATTTTGTTTTACATTACAAACTTCATATATAATTGTAAGATTTTACAGTATTATGTATTTTTAAAATCTTATGTCTTAATATACCATGTAATCTGATACACAAATGTATTAGAAAACCACTTTACTTGAAAAGTACATTTTTGCAATTGTGGGAAAGACATTAGGGAACATATTCTCAACCTTTGTTTGAGTATTTGTTCCCTGTAGTACATTTACAAAAATTTTGCCCTTTCTGATTTTAGTCATGCTTTTAGGTTCTGTTGTTTTACATGCTAACGAGTTCTATTGTTTTACACTGTATATAAACTACAATCTTCTCTGTACCTCTTCATATGTAAGTATTGCATTCATCTTATCTCCCTATTGATTCCAACTTTTTGTTTTTATCACAGTCAATAGCAGAAGCAGAGCCAGCATTCTCTCCTGAGACAGACTATTACAAGGTTCTATTTACTGTCCTTTTCTCCTGGGTTTTGGCATTTATGCATTTTGTTTTGATACTTAAGACTTCATCATATTAAAGGTTCTCTTGAGATTGAAAGAATCAGTCTGACTCAGGTTTTTACAGGACAATGCTACATTTGATTATATTTTAAATTTTTTCTTTATATTTTATCCATTGCCTTGTAATTCTGCAAATGATGAAGTTATTTTTGAATCCTCTAGTACATCAGTTCAACTAGGCTATGCCCCTGTGGTTGACGATATGTCTCATCTCACAGACGGAAACAAGTACAAAGAGAGAACTTAGGTTATTTTCTTGGAATTAATTCTCATTGGAACAGAAAAGCCAATTCCCAGGGGTCCTTGCTTAAGCCTCCAATTAGTACACCATATTGACCCCCTCCCTTAAAAGAGGGGCTTTTTTTTTTTCACTTAGACTACAGACCCACTGCTCTTTAACAGAATAAATGAGCAGTCCAGAACACTAAACAACCCAAAGGAATCAAACTCTTATCAAGGGATCATGTGTGTTAGCCTTTAAGGAGATAGTAGATTGGCATGTAAAAAAAAATTAGGTGGTAGAGTACAAATATTCAGAAGACTTGGAGAGGATTTTCAACAGGCAAAAGCAAAACAATACAACTATTTCATGATACACATTTAGTGTTTAATCATGCTTTTTGGTGTGACTGAATTATTTTAATACATTTTACAAAACTTTATTTTAATCAATATGTCTGTTTCTGCCAATGGATACATAAACACAACTGGTACATTGCATCATTTAAAATATTTGGGAAAAGCTCATTGTGTAGAAGCATGTCATTCATTCTTGTATTATAGTTAATAAATACCTGTGAAAGGGAAGAATTAAATCCCTTTATAAGAATATTTTCTAATGTGGAATAATCAAACTATTTACCTGTTTGCTACTTGAGATTTTTGCTTAAAAAAGAGTACATCTGTTCTTTATTCCATTACATGCATGATGTCTATTAAACATAAAAAAACGCACATCTGGAAAATCATCAGTGCATTTAAACTTGATCAGATACTGGAATAAACAAAGGTACTTCCTCTCCTACAAAAGTATTTAACATATACATGCATTTCTTTTAAAAATCTATGCTGTGATACATAGAGTTACTGTTTATTCAGCATCAAATAAAAAAAATTTGAGCACCTATTAGGTATCAGGCACTATTTAAAACTCTGGAATATAATGCTAAACACTACCAGCATGATTCCTGGTAATATGTTATAGGGAGTTTCATTGTGACCTACTCTCTTGCTACTTATGAATGAACAGATGATGAATTGAGCTATTTTGGAATCCTTTCTATAAGTGGAACACTAAAATATTCTAAAGCTATATAAATGAGTAAAATACAGTCACATGGTATATGTGCTTCATGTTATATTAATATCTATATTTGTTACATAGAGTGTAGAAAACCATATTGCAGAAACACTTTTTTTCTCCTCCTTTAAGAGACCTGGTTAAGCCATGTTTCTTGACTGCACTCATGAGCTAGAAGTTTGATTAAGTGTTTTAGTTTATTAAAAATACCTGTGATCTAATGCCTATGTTTTAAATAGAATCACAAGGTATCAGCTTGGGTGCTTTCAACCTGTGAACCCCAAATACCTAAGACAGATCCCAGTTAATTTAATCCCATCTACCCACGGTAGTCAGAGCACAGTTTGGTTTTATGCATTTTAGGAAGACCTGAGACATCAATCAACATATGTAAGATGAACATGGATTCAGTCTGGAAAGGTGAGACAACACAAAGCAAACACAGGACAACTCAAAGTTGGCAGGGGGTCCCAGGTCATAGGTAGATAAGATACAAATGGTTGCACTCTTTTGAGTTTCTGACTAGCTTCTCCAAAGAAGGCAATCAGATAAGCTTTTATCTCAGCGAGCAGAGGAATGACTTTGAATAGAATGGGAGGCAGGTTTGCCCTAAGCAGTTCCTAGATTGACTTTTTCTTTTAGCTTAGTGATTTTGGGGTCCCAAGATTTATTCTCCCTTCACAAACCTAAATTAGCTGAATCAATAGGAGGACAGGTTTGCCCACAGAATTGAAAACTCCAGTGTTAGCACTCTTCCGGCACAGGTGGATCAGATTGCTGGCTCTTCTTAACTTTCTCTGCTCTCTCCTTATTTGGATGGTAGGTTTGACACAGGCTGGCTTTCCTTGAGGTTGTAAGAGGGCCTCCAGCAGCATGGCTGTAGGCTTCCTCCTTATACATAAGCAGTGGGGATTGGAATAGAGAATAGATGATGATAGAAAAATCATTCCCACTGCTGTTCAACAAAGGAGCACATTTTCATGAGTTCTGGGCAAATGTATGTCCTATAACACTCTCTATTTAATTAAATGAGAATATTAAATAGTACCTTGACATTTTTAGAGGCAATACCACATTAATAGCTCCACATCAACATATGGAGAAACTTTCGAATCTTTCCCTCTGAACTTAGTGTTAAAGGGCATCTCTGGAAACTAACCAGCCAAGCAAGACTTTCTGGAAAACAAGGTACTCCTCACTACACAAGATGAATTATAGATGTGGAGTTGTGAAGTCTTGAAATGTTGCTTTCTTTCCTCTGGAAAATACTTAAGCATATTGAATTAGCCCTTAGAGGTTATAATTCAGTTAACTGAGATGGCTCAATTTTGTCAGATTTATTCATTGTTCTTCATGTGTAGAAATAGAAGCAAATCCCTCAACATACACCTTAACACTCATGTATTGGATTATTCTAAAATAAAAATTGCCTATTTTTAGTTTAAATCTTATTCACCTAGATTGTCTGGAGACTGATAAATTCAATAGTAGCCTTTTTTTTTTTTTGGTATCATGAAAAAAAGTATTCTAGGTAATTAATTTGCATCAAAAGACTTAGAAAGAAAACCACTGCTATATTTCTTTTATTTTTCACCTAACCTAGATGACATGGCAGATAAGCCAGGGAAAAATTAGTAAATAGCACAAGTTTCATCTTCATTTTTTGAATTTTAATAGTTTGAAGAATTAAAATATTTAATACTTAGGGTGCTAAATGTGAGGTTAAGAGACTAAGTAGCAGAATAAGGTTTAGTTTTGGCTGAAATATTTTTTGATGATATTTGCAGACCCATCATTGTGTGTCAAACTGTCATCGGGGTGGTATGCCCATCAAAACAAGGATCTGTTAAGTGGATAAAGTGAGCACATCCTTAAAAGGAGTAGAAGAGCTAATGAACTTACAGTTTCTTCTAATTTAGAGATATTTGTGTTTTTCTTTGTGGAATTGTATGAAGTTGATTTGGAGACAGTTACAAATTTACATACCTAAAACCAGGTACCATTTTGAAAGAAAATTAAGATAAAAATGAGATGTCAAATAGCCAAAAATCAACAGAACAGACAAATGTAGGATAATCAAAGAAGAAAAAATTAAGAGAAAAGTCTATACTGAAAGCTTATTATAAAAATCAATCTTTTGGGATGTGCTTCTCTATAGCATGGGAAGTACTTGATGCTTTTAATTTGGGATTCCAGAAATGGTGTGGTTTCCATGTTTTTATGGATTTATTTCACCTCAAATTTTTGTTCACTGCAGGCTCCTTTCCTCCTGCCTATTTTGATTACCCAATTTTCCCGGAGGGGTTGTTGAAAATGAGAGGAAAACAGGCCTAGCAATGATCTTGGATCAAGTCCAGAAAATGTTCTTAGTCCTTGGAATACATTACATGGAGGATGCCACTCCAAGCCTTGTAAATGCAGCTTGGGAAAATAAATACGCTTAGAGTATTCACTCTGAACACGAAAGCACAGTGTGGTTAACAACAGGAGAATTGCAGAGTATGCCGAAACATAGAAAACATAAACATTTCAGTTTAGATTTATTATCTTCACCCATGAACTGGGGCACTGTAGAATAGAACAGTTTGCATACCTACATAACACAGCTGAGAGACCTTGGGCTCCAAAAACCAACAAAACATCGTGTCCGAGAAGTCTCTGAGGATCTAAGTGCAAATTGAGCAGTGCAAAAGTAGCAGGGCTAGTGGTGTCTTTTGAGAGTGACATTCTGTAGCAATTAAGATTCCATACCTACTATTGTTTACTTAATTCACAACCCCAGAATACAAAAGAAAAGTGACATTCAGAATCTGAAATGGGATGATCACAGTAAATATGTTTGAGTCCTTCGTTGTTTGCTGGAGAACAATGAGGATGATAGACACTTTCATAAAGGCAGGGCTCATGATAACTAAACCTACATAGGAGAGTTAGAAGGATGAAAGATTTCTTTCTGCATAACCACAAGGTAAAGTATTTTATCAAGTCCATTGTAACTGCTCCATAATGTGAAGCAAATTTTAAATGCTGCTACTTAAGTTTCAGGGCTAAAATGAAGTTTAATAGGTAAGTTAGACTTCTCTATTATTCAAAGTTTAAATGTGGAAATTCCAAAGTGAAGGTTTTACTCTACTGCTGATAAGTTTGCAATTTTTTTTTTTTTATTTCAAGAAGATAACCAGCTATCACAAAGACACATACAGGACAGTTGAAGGGTTTCAGTGTTTTAGAATGATTCTGAAGTTCTAAGATATTTGTCTTATGTATTATAGAATAGTAGTCTGCCACTTTTCATTATCTGAATTCTAATATTTTCTAGAATATACTCATGTAAACATGATATAAACAAAGTGATTTAAATAATTCATAACATTTCCAGAAAAACATTTCTGGAAGTTTTATATATATTTTATATATATACATAAATGATATAAATAATGTACAAAACACACATATTTGTATTTGTTTTTTACAAAGTATTGTATAATGCTTTGTTAAAACCAAAAATGCATTTAGTGTAAGATGTTCCCACTGTTAATTCTATAGATGCTTAGAAATCTTAAGAATATGTGTCAAGTTATTGCAAGGTATTCATTTGAGAAGTAGCACTCCAAACTAAACCTGTTGGTCTCTTGGAAGAGCTTCAGAAAACTGAAGCTTGTCCGAGAGCAAAACCTTCCCTTAAGGTTTTTGAGAACCAACCTGGAAAATGATGTTATGATTTCACTATAGGATTTGATAGATTGTTTTATATTCCTTTGAAATTATTAGCAGAAGCTGCTGTGCCACTCAAGTGCAGGGTTTGTGCCAAATAATTCTGTGAAGTCTCAGGGCAGAATGATCACTTCTCCATTTAAAAAAAAAAAAAAACAGAACAAGAATGGTATCACAGATGTATTATTTCCTGTGTTTCTTTTAAATTATTTTTGTATGCTTCTTAGAAACTTCACCCCACAAGCTTTAAAAAAATGTAATCAGGCATGCTTCTGTGTTCCTGGAAAACGTTTGTGTGTGTATACACATGCATATCTGCATATGTATTTCAGTCTTTTAGGAAGCTAATGCCCAAGTGTTCTGTATCTTTAAACTTGAGGTAACAGATGATCAGCTGGTGCAGATGTCAATATAATTTTTTAAAAGATAGATTTGCCAGCGTGGTTTAGTGTGTTTATTTATTAAATGGAACAAAAAATCATTTTATGTCATCCTTCATCTGATTTCTTTATATTTTTCTGTTTTAAGATATTCATCATGCTGATCAATTTTTTATGGTTTAAACAAAATAAGAAAAACCTAATATTTTAGCATTTTAAAACACATCATTATGGCCAAGCCTAGAGCCAATGCAAAGTTAAATTATTTCTCTGAACCTTCTCAAAATTATTTATTTTATTTTAAAGACTCCACTTTAGGGACCACCTTTTTAATCCAGGGCTATTATAATATTTCTCAGAACTAAAATTTGTGGTACCCTTAATGACAATGAATTTTTTCTTTCTGCCCGGTAAAAATTCAAAATTCATTAATTGCTATTTTTTTCTCAACGTTTAAAAAACTAGGTGCTCATCAACTAAATGCTTGTTTTGGCTATGAATTATTGATTTTTTTCCTGCTATTTCATCACACCATGCTTTGAGACCTAGTTATTCTTTTGCCTAAATGTTTCTGTTTTTTCCTCGAATAATTTCCTATCTACTCTATGAACACAGTTTACCTAACTATGCTGATCATGGCATTTCCTTATGTTTCTTACCATCATTTAAATGTTGACTAATTTTTTTTCCTACTTAGAGAATTGTTTTTGCAAGCTGTTCAAGTAAGAATTAGGTCTGCCAACATTTTTAGATGGCCTGTAAAATTTACATAATGATTTGGCCATGCCCACATGAGAACTACCTACATATACAGAAGTGCTCTCTTTAATCTGTTACAAGCATGACTTCTATTAAACCTATAGGTAAGATTATTTTCTACTTTTAATGCAGTATGTTTGTTTTTATCCTGACTTTTGATTCATTAGGCCATGTGGTTTAAGTCTAAACTAAGTTACTCTGATATTCGGAATTTCACCTTTAATAATTTTCTGGAAATTTTCTTTTAAAGGTGATATTAGAAATCTCCATTTCAGTCTCAGCATTTCACTAGCATTACATGATGCTCTTGTCTTTTGCAATTTAATATTCAAATTACATAGATATTTTTTATTACTGCATGTGAAGTCCTTCCTCAACTTATAAAGCAGTTAGAACATACTAATACTTTAATACTTCTATAAGTGACGAGCTGGCAACTGAAAAATGTTCATCTATTATACATATATAAGCATAAGTGTGTGTATGCCTAAATGTATGTATGTATACATTTCCATGATTAGTATTCCCTAAAGATTAAAGTGATAAAATAAATGTTGCCTGGTTTTACATTGGTAACTAATGTTATGAGATAGTTCATAGGTCAATAGAATGAAATTTTATGTTTTATTTAATCTAAAATAATTCTGTTGATTGCCACCTACATATGTTCACTGTTCATTTTCTATTGTGTCTAGACATTATTTTGCTCTTAATGTAATATCAGGTTAAAATTATTCAACTTGTGCAAAGATTTTGAGAAAAATATGTAAAATTAGATTTTGATCAAGGATAAATGTATCTTTTTTTTTCTTTGAAGAAAAGAGTATAGGCCCTTCAGTCAGTCAGTTTGGGTTCCAGCCCTTGTTCTGCCAAGTACTAGCTGTGTGAACTCAGCTAGTCATCTAAAGAGCCTAGTAAGGAGAGATGATTATTCAGCAAGGTAATACATGTGAAATACTTAGCTCCACACCTGGCAGGTAGTAAGCTCCTACTATGTGTTGACTATGTTATTGTATGATCATCTTCATTGTTCTTTGCTCTTCAAGTCTTTGTTCACCCATTCAATCTAGAATTACAATGCAAGTTATACTAAAATGCTTCTTTTCATTTGCTGAACTGTTAAAAAAAATCGCTTAGTTTTCTTTTAAATGGTATCTACTACTATAAGATATTCTTGTATCTGCATATAGCCTTACATTTTAAAGTTTAAATCTACTATCTGATCTTCAGCTTAAAGGTAGGTAGACTTTATAGGTTATCCCATTTAACAAGAAAGGACAACAGGAATACAATGATTATTACGTCTTGCCTAGTTCACAAATCCTATTGCTAATAAAGGAATCACACGGGCCATGTGATTCCTCTTCCAGAACTCTTGTTACCCATCTGTCATTTGCTTCTCAAATATGTTGCAATATTTGTTACTCAACTTACTGTACTCTTCCTCTTTTATTTCACAAGTGTTACATTCCATGAATCAGCTTGTCCAAAAGTACTGTTAAAAGGATTTTTTTTAACTATACAAATGCTAAAAGAAAGTTTATTTTTTTTTTAGTATGCTCAAAGTGGATAAAGGCTTTCAAAGCATGATACAATCCTCAAAAGGAAATGACTCAAAGTTTATGGAATAAAAATGTAAACATTTCTGTAAGTTACACATACAAACAGAAAAGTAAAAATTGTCAAATTAAAAAAAAATTGTCAAATGTCCAAAGACTATTTTCCTACTAATTATTAAGAAAGGGACAAAGCAATTTATGGAAAAAAAGGTGAAAAGGATATTGTTACAAATGTTTTAAAATAAAAATGGCTAATATACTTTAGAAAATTATAAAATTACTGGGGGAAGGTTAACACACACTTAACATTTGTTACTTCTGAGGAATACAATTGGGGATTGAGGCCTCTCATTGTACACTTTTCTATAATTTTCAATATTGCTTTCTCTCCATACTTAATACATTTTCTAAAATAAAATTGTGCGTGATAGCCAGTGATGGCCATGCAATTATTTGTTGTTGTTTTTGTTTTTTGAGACAGAGTCTCACTCTATTGCCCAGGCTGGAGTATAGTGGCACAATCTTAGCTCACTGCAAACCTCCGCCTCCCAGGTTCAAGCGATTTTCCTGTCTCAGCCTCCTGAGTAGTTGGGATTACAGGCATGCACCACCACACCTGGCTAATTTTTGTATTTTTAGTAGAGAGGAGGTTTCACCATGTTGGTCAAGCTACTCTCGAACTCCTGACCTCAAGTGATCCGCCCACCTCAGCCTCCCAAAGTGCTGGGATTACAGGTGTGAGCCACCAAGCCCAGCCACAATTATTTGTTAAACAAAAACTATGTCAGGCTCTGTGCTAAATCCTTCATATTATCACTTTTAATCTTGACAGCAATTCTGTGAGGGAGATATTTCTACCATGTTTAAGAGAGGTAAAGTAGTTAGCAATAAGTCATACACTTAGGAAGTGATGAATTCCAAATTCAGACTCGGATTCCATTCATTTTCCTAGCAGATGTTCTTAATCTGAATCAAACCATTACATATCCATGGTATGAAGAAGCAGCATAATAGTCTCTCATTTCCACTCATTCTCACTACTTGTAAAGCATTATGATGGTTATAATAGTCTTGTGTGTGTCTGTTTATTCAACTTATTACCAACTATGAGCTTATTCTGTACTATAGGGGTTCAGTGGTGAATTAAACAGACAAGCATCCCCCTCCTCAAAAACGCAACATTCTAGCAAGTGCAAAGGCAGGTGCAAAGTTCAGTGGTGAATTAAACAGACAAGCATCCCCCTCTGCAAAAACCCAACATTCTAGCAGGTGCAAAGACAGGGCAAAAACAAAAGTCAATTGGCAGAATTTCTTCGATGGTGATAAGTGACCTGTGGAAAATAAAGCAGAGAACGGAGAGGGGAGGAGGCTTGTAGGAAGTGGGGGTGATGAAATGGGGAGTGTTGAGTGCCTAGAAATTTTCAGGCTCCTGTCAAGTATTGTACACTACTCATCTCTTAGCTCTTATTATTACTCTTTTATTTAGTTTTCTCTATTCTTTGATTATGAAAATGAGAGCAATGAATGTTAATTAACTTGATTATGGCAATCATTTTACAGTGTATACACATGTCAAAATGATTCATACCTTGATAAATCTGGAAAAAGAAGAACAAGCAGTTAACTTCCAATTACAAGTCAATATAACTAGGGCCCGGTAGCCTGAGGATTTAAACTTACATCCTTCCAATTTCTAACCCTATGTGATCTCTTGCAAAAAAAAAAAAAAAAGAATTTCCAAAGAATTGTCTAAACTGACTGAAGTAGATTGAAAATTATATCCTGTCATTCTAATAAATTAATCCAGTGTTATAGTGGATTTACATAAAGCAAGGTATATGCTCACATAAAACACATCCCTTCAAAATATGGTGGGTGCATAGTCTTTAAAAAAATGAAAACCCCAACACTCTTTACTTTAAAATGGGTACAGCATTTTGCTATGTTATTGTTTAAGGTCTATATTTTTCTAAAAATCCACAGTTGCAGATTTGACTCAGCTGTGTGCTTTCAGATCTTGTATGCTAAGCTACTCAGGAACTGTTGTCTATGGGATTGAACACTTAACAGCTGTCTCTGGGAATGTAAATTTGATTCTTTGGACTGCTCATGGGACTCTGTGACATTTTCCTCTCCAGTGACAGCAGATTTGAATGGCATTAGGCTACTGATTAAATAATACCCAAGTAAGTTTAATGTCAACTTAGGCATCTATTTTGCATGTATTTTTTCTGAAATAATCTTTCTCTAATTGCGATCATATTTTCATTATACTTTAGTCTTTTAATATCTTTAAAATATGCTCTTTTAAACAGGTCTTATCTGAACCCTTTCGTTGGTAATCTTTTTCTGAATTGTCATATTAGAGTGTGAGTGTGTGAGAATTAAGGTTGAGAAATAAATTAGCTTAAATACAAAACAGCTATCTACAAAATAGATATTCTTAACCAAAATAATATGTCTTTATACTACCATTTTATATCGTGCCACCAAGATAAAAGGTCGCAGTTATTTAAGGGAATTACCTTCTTAAGTTTCATGAAATCACTGTGAGTTATTCTTTTCTAACTGAAAGCATAAATTATAAAGAGATTGCACATGGTCATTTCTACTTTATCCTAATTAAGTGGTCTGAGATTTGAAAAAAAAGTAATAGACTTACAATATTTTTATGACTTATTTTTTAAATAAATATGTCAGTAAAAACTTCCCTGGGGAAAAAAAATTCTTGAGGAGAAAAGAGTGTTTGGGGTTTTTTTTTTCAGTTGTATGGCACTGCTTGCAAATGAAAGGATTCGTTGTGTGCCTCACATGCCCAAAAAGGACAGCACGAGCATTCTAACTTAAGGACTGGTTTAAATATGACCTAATGAACTAAATATATTTCTGTCTGGTATTCTTAGGTTACTTTACTTCTAAGGTTGTTTGAATGCATTTATCCAGCTCTCCTATCAAATACATGCCAGGTTAACCCTGTGAAGGTTTTCCTGTATGATTCTGAGAATTTCTTTATAAGAACAGGGTCTTGATAGTGAAGGTTCTTTCCCCAAAGTGCAAGGCCTTCTATTTTGATTCAATATCAACATAATGCTTTTTTTTTTTTTGAAAGTGACTTAAGTACTAAAGATTATCCTCAATAGTAATTCTACTTAGACATATTTTGGTTGAAGAAATTTAAAGAGTTTATTTTTTGTAGGAGCACTGTGCTGTGATCATGAAATTTTTGCAAAACTAACAGAAAATGATAAACAGTTAAGAACTTCCAGCTAGAACAATAGGCTGTTTCCTTTTTTTAAGTCAGTTTGTCATCCTTGCTGATTGACAGTCTCCAATTGTTTTCAGAATTATTAGTCTCACAGTATTTCAGAATTACGCTGTATAAAAAAGTACATTAAATTTAAACTTAATAAAATAAGTTTCGCAAGCTCAGTCAAGACAGGGAAGTGAGAATATGATTATTCTTCCAAATTTACTATTTCCACCAGCGGTCTCAGTTCAGCATCTGAGAATATGTTAGGGGAAACTCAGCAAGTCAGTTCCTTTTGTTTTTCTGGCCTCTGACTTACTTGGATGGGAAATAGCCAAAAAAAAAAAAAATGCTGAATATCTCAGATATAGGTAATGGGTCTTCACCAGAACATAAAAATAGACCCTTATTAGCCATATCAGTAATGTGCTGTGTGGGGGATTTTTTTTTTCTTTCAATTCCTCTGGCAACAAACCACACACTGGGATCTGACACTGTAGAGTGCTTTCTCTTCTCTTTTTTTGGGGGGGGGAGGGGGTGTGGTTGCATATTTAAACTCTCACGCATTTATGTACTGAGGACTGCAGTGTAGGACTTTCCTGCAGAATACCATTTGATCCTATTAAGAATTGTCCAAATGTTGGAGCATTTGATTGAAAAATCCTTCTTAGCCATTTTAAAGGTAAGTTGTATGATTTTTCTTTAAATAAAAAAGATTAAGGGATTTTTCCCATCACCCAGATGACGGGAGGTGACACTACTGTATAAATACTCCTAAGAAGTTATATAGGAGGACAGGAAAAAAGGTAGTAACTGTTTTCTTAGTCACTAGGCTTTATCTAAAAATCAGGTTTGCATTATTTTCAAGTTATCAACCTTCCTATATTTTATGCTTAAACCATACCCAATGGCATTTCATGTCGTATGTATAAGTTAATATTTAAAGTGATTTATAATCCAATTTGGATTATTATAAAACTTTCATTTTATACTTAGGCTATTTATACATGATGTTTAAATGATGAAGATCATTATACTGCAGACCAATATAATGAGGTTAGATGTTATAAATGACTTACAGCTCTTATGTCAACATGTTGTCTAATATGCAATTATTAACTATTACTTTACAGAGTCATTAGCTTGTTTAATTTTCAATCTGAATTGCACAACTTTTGGTATACCTGACTTGCTCTACATGATCAAATGCAATGTGTATTTTGGATATGTGCTTTTTAAGTTCTTTTCTGTAATGAACAAAGATATTGTCATTGTTACTGGGAATAGCAAAGTATATTACTTTTAAATAATCTGAAATTTAATTAGTGTAAATTAGTAGAATAAAAATAAAGTTAATTTTTTTTCGATTCAGGAAGCTTATTACAAATAGTACTGAATTATTAGATGATGATGCCAAGTTGAAGTAAAGGAGAAATCAATTTGGAGGAATTAAGTAAAAGCCTCAAATTAATTATACATTAACTAAAATTATAAATAACTGTAAATGGCATAAATTCTCTAGAGTACATCCCAGTTTCTGAAATCATCAAGTAGCATATTGAAACCTGTTTTGTAAAGATTTGCATGTACTTTTTAGTCTTTTTCTGTGTGGTTTGAAGTCAGTAATGTGTGTTGAAGCTAAAAAATATTGCTTTAAATATTGGTTCACAAGGAAGCCAAAATGAAATATTTAAAAATGTTTGTTATATAGAAAGTCCAGTGGTCCTTTGGAATTTACAAGAAAATAAGAACTAAAGTAGAAATCATTTAATTTCCCAGACTCATTAGTGAACCAGAACAATAAACCAAACAGAGAACCATCAGATAATGGGTTAGCCTGGGAAGAATATTAATTACAACTGGAGGTACTTGCACAGAGTGTACTGAATTTGGAATTTACCTTGGAAGTTATAGTTGCCACCCTATTTTTTTAAGGAATTTTTTTAACCTTGTTTACTTTAACACATTTGAACCCTGCATGTGTGTGTATTTCCTGTGTGTTTCCTGAAAAGGAAAGTTTAAGATAATTCTGTAACTATCAGATACTTAATTCTGTAAGTATCCTTGCATCTAATCAGAAGATGTTTTTGTTCACTGGCCCAAGATGTGTCTGAAACTTGCAAGTAGCATTGTTCTAAACTAGTAGCTGTCTTTCCATTTGCATATTTTAATTCCATACATATATGATCACATTTCATTATAATCTAACTATTTTGCAAATACTCATTTCTACTTTTGTAAAATATACACATTTATTAGATTTTTAAAACACTTGGCCAATATGAAATAACACTTTACTGTTATGGTTTGAAATGATACTTCATAGTAATATTTCAAAATAACAATAACATTTTCTACAATATAAATATATATTATTTTACTTCATTTAATACTTGCAACCTTATTTGATGTAAGTAAACTCATTTTAGAGAAAACTGTATCACAGACAAACTTCAATACTAACACCCAGAACTGAATCTACATTTCTTGGCTTCAAGGTCCAGCATTTTTGGCATTACAAACTTTATAGTGTCTGTTTATAGTAGAATTTGGGGTGTGGAAAAAAGACATTAGCATTCTTGTCTAAGGTTCAAAAATTAAGAATGGGTCTAGATAATACTCTTTAAGTCAGTATGAACTTAAGGGAATAATTTCAAACCTACAGTAATCCCTGGTTCATAAGTCTTTAAAAGACGGGACTTGTTTCTAGAAGGATCCCAAGTATAATATATAAAGTCCAATGTATTTATTGCATTAGTTTTTAAAGACTACCATCAAAACAAGTTACAAATTGCAATATTTGAGAAGTATGTAATTATTTTATATTACAGATGTCTATCAAGTTTTTTCCTATTTTACATTTTTACCATCATATATTCTGATAGGATAGAAATGGACATGAGATAATTTCAGTAAGATAAGATTCTGGAGATCTCATAGTCCAGTTATTTGAAAATTACTTGTGGAGCCCATGGGTTCTTTGGAGATGACTCAGAGCCCAAGTGAAGCGTGACTGGGAAAGGGAAGAGGCACAGTTTCTGCTCCTTTCTTTTACCAAATAACTCTTCTTTGAACTATCTTTTATATTGGTATTGTGCATAAAATTTACCTTGAAAGGAGAATTCTATCTCTAAACATGATTTTATAAAGAATGACCTAATGACCTTATGTTGATGAAACATAATCATAGTTAAATGATTGTTTTACACCCATTTCTACTACCTTGAATTTGAATCTACATTTTTACTCATGTATAGGGAACTGTGTCTTTATAAACATACATAGTTATGATAATGTGAAAAAAGTAATTTTAAAAACTAACTTCTATACTCATGCAAACCGTTGAATGAATTCCCCCAAGTCCTCCAAAAACTAGATTTTATGGACAGATGCTGTATTTTTTAGGTAAGGAAAACTCTCTGTATCAAGAGAATGGAAAACAAGAGTGTGGTCTGGTTTTCTATCCTAAGAAAAAGTGGGAGGAAGGCTTATAGATAGAAAAAAAAGAAATTTTAGCAATCTACTGATCAGTAAGAAAATGTCATTTAGGTCTGGCAAGTGTCTATGGTACAAGTACCCTGGAAATCTAAAACTTTTCAAATTTCATAGTTTACATCCCAGCAGATGTTACTTCAGGGCCATGCCTTTTCTGGGTGGAGTTTCCAAGGGAACACAGCTTTATAAACACAAGGGATTAATTATAGATGCTCTGGGGACTTGCTCTAATGTTCTAAACTGTTTACTGAAGAGGCTTCTTATATCTCAGTCTAATGCAGGCTTTGCAAAAAGCTTAGTCTCTGTTTCTACTGGGTTCCCAATATAGTGGGAGGGTATTTTGCTTAAAAGTTCATTACAGAAACACTGTTGACCTGATAACCAAAAAAAAAAAAAAGTTATATTTTTCCTCCCTCTTTCAAAGATGACCCAACGGAATAGGGTCCACTCATGAATTCTACAAAAGGAATAGGATTTATAATCTATAAACTGGACAGAAGGCAACTGAGCTGCCTATAGAATCAAGAAAGGCATGTAATTAGTTGCCTATTAAAACACGTCTTCTTATTTTCCCTTTCTTCTTTATACAAGTCTCAATTAGTTTTCTGTATCTTGGCTTTCTAAATTTAAGTATTTTAAGCAGGAAGTAAATTATTACCGATACAGTATCAATATCTTGTCTGTTTCTTATAAAGGACAAGTAACAATTAGTAAAGAATAAAATTTAATCTACAATTAGCAAATGAAATTAATTACCTATTTTCATATATAAGGAGTTGTGTTATTAAGAAAACTGAGTAAGCATAACCCAAATTTTTTTATGCTTTAGACAGCTAAATTTGGTGGAATGGTGGAGACAAACTACATTCTTTCTCTGAAGATAAATATAGGTGGAAAAGCTGTGTGACTACATGTGCTATTTAACATGAACTTTTCTCTTTTGTATTTGGTGCACGTCTTACGTAGTATGGGTGGTTCTCCTTTGCCTCAGGTGAATAAAACTAATTATAATTTTGTCATATGCAGCTTAAGGATAGAGTATGATTATAATAACAATACTTCATTACTCATGGTGTCAAGGCACCGAGTGATAATAAATGAACCCAACTAGTGTCACGTATTTTGCCTATTCTTAGGAAAAAGGTAGAAACTTAAAGTAATAAGAGGCAATCAATCAGTTGAAAATTTGAACAAATAGACAAGTTCAGTTTGTCTAGCTCTTTTTTCAAAATATCAGCACATGGATTGAAGTTTTGTTAGATTAATACTTGTAATTTTGCTTGTATATCATCCTGACCAATGTTAGATTGAGAACTGTCTAACCATAGAATTCAACAGAATAAATTACTTGATACTTCTGTTTTCTAATGTATGTGACTCTACAGCAGTGGGATGTGTACACTATCTCACTTCAGTTTTAAGTTCAAAGCAGACAGAGCTAGGCAGTACCCAGGCCTGTCCATTGCTCAACATATCTAGGCTCAGAGTCCATAGAAGTTATACTAATCAGTTTTCAGGTCTAGAGAGGGAGCCATTGGAGCGCATGCACTACTCCCTGGTTTCTTCAGTGGTTACTGTTGGAACTCTTTACCCCTTGCAGAAACTCTTCTCTGTAGTGCATGGAGCTACTTGATTGAATAAAGAAGAATGATTTGGGAAAAGGCCAGATAGATTCACAACTAGGTTGTGGCATAGAATCTGGAGAAGGGCTAATATATGCACATATACCTATTCTAACAGCAATAGAGTTATAATTTTAAATCATTTTGTATCACATTTGTCAGAGTTGCAAATGACATTAATATTGAATGAGTAATTTTTAGTGAAGTTTATGTGGAACATAAAATAACTTTTCCAGAGAGATAACTTAATCCTTGAGTTATACATGTTTTAAATAGATTTTCATACTATATTAACAAAACTGGAATGTGACACTGGGGGTTTCCTGCTGCATTTTTTATGTGGGCTCATAAAGCTGTGGGTTTCTACAGAGGTTCTCCTAGAGCTTCCTAACAGTGAGGATAAAGAGTGTCAGGCAGGAACAGGAAGACAAAGTTAAGAAACAGAGTCTCTGGGTTTCTTAACTGCTGTGGAATCAGTCATTTTACCTAATGCACTTCCACGTAAGAATTGAAAAACCAGTTCAGCCGCTTAAATTAAAAAATGCTGATCTCATTTTATCATCTCATTTTACGCATGAGGAAATTGAGGTGTAGAGAGATTATGTGGCTTGTCTGCTTTCATTTAGCAAGACAGTGACAAATCAGTCTTTGGTTTAATCTTGTCCCTTCATCTCAATTGAACCAGCTGGGATCGCTATATTTTAATTGCTTCGTTAAGTATAACTTGCAGAAAATATTTGGGGATGGTCTATGAAATGGGCATTCAATAAAATATTATGTACCTAATAAACTACCCTAAATCTCATTATCAGTTCACAACATACAGAACACCAGCATGACATTCTCTAGTTGGCGATTACTGTGGTTGCTTAAAAGATGGTTTCAAGAAAAGTTTCAAGTGCTTTACAATTATGCATTGCAAAGGAAATTCTATTTGACAATATCCAGTCCTGATTACCAGCATTAAATTACTCATTCCATTGCATTAGGACAGCCATGGACAAAGCCATATGAGGTAGCATGGTATACGATTTCCAAGGGCAGGGAAAGCTATTGTTACCACTCCACCCTGAACAATTAATAAAAAGCCAGCCCTACTTGCTCAGTGAGACAGAAAATTCCACAGGAAAAACAAATCACTTGTTTAGACTTATGTGCATTCCCTTTACATTGGAGAAAAATGACACTAAAGAACTAGTCAGTCTTCTTAATCACCAAGACCTTGATGTAAATGAAGTTTATTGCATCCTATGGTTTATACTGGAAAGTATCCTATGTATAAGGGAATAGGCAAAGGGGAATCCCAAAGGTTAAGGGAACATATGTAAATAATAAAATTGCCAAGAAAAATATTTGTAACATTTATTCCTACATTTTGGGGGAAAATATCATTTTCTTATTCTTTTCTTAGCTCTACAGGTAATATTTTTGAAAAACTATATGATTACTAAAGTGGAAGTAAATACTAATAAAATCATAAGAGTGGTACCTCTGTTGCAAGACAGCTGTGGAGGGAAAACCTGAAATTATAACAAACCACAATTATTAATACACTTACAACATTAACAACAATATTCTATGTGCCCTTTTTTGACTGTAGCCTTCATTCCGTTGGCACATATGTTTTCTTTGGCCATGAGCATTTCAAAGTAGAGAATAATTGTTTATAAACTATAAAGCGCATTCTGACTATAAATGACACGCCAACCCCATTATTGACAAAATGTCATTGCAACAACAAAGAAGTTCAAATAAATGTGTTTTCAAATACTAGTTAGAATTAACTCTGATTATTACAGTAGGATCCACTCATTTCACAAACTGTATTCTTTCTTCCAATCTTTTTTTTTTTTTTTGAGATGGAGTTTCACTCTTGTTGCCCAGGCTGGAGTGCAATGGCATGATCTCGGCTCACCGCAACCTCCGCCTCCTGGGTTCAAGCGATTCTCCTGCCTCAGCCTCCGGAGTAGCTGGGATTACAAGCATGTGCCACCAAGCCCGGCTAACTTTGTATGTTTAGTAGAGATGGGGTTTCTCTGTGTTGGTCGGGCTGGTCTCAAACTCCCAACCTCAGGTGATCCACCCGCCTCAGCCTTCCAAAGTGCTAGGATGACAGGTGTGAGCCACCACGCCCGGCTCTCCCAATCTTTATATAATAATCACATACTATGGCTGGGCATGGTGGCTCACGCCTGTCATCCCAGCACTTTGGGAGGCTGAGGTGGGTGGATCACGAGGTCAGGAGTTCGAGACCAGCCTGACCAACATGGTGAAACCCCATCTCTACTGAAAATACAAAAATTAACCAGGCATGGTGGCGTGCACCTGTAATCCCAGCTACACAGGAGGCTGAGTCAGGAGAATTGCTTGAACCCAGGAGGCAGAGGTTGCAGTGAGCCGAGATCGTGCCACTGCACTCCAGCCTGGGTGACAGAGAAAGACTCCGTCTCAAAAAATAATAATAATCACATACTTTATGAAGACACCAAACATTAGATTGACAAATATATACTAACACAAACTACCTAATTTTAACAGAATTAGCATGAATCAACTGCAAATGACAAACTATATTGTAGTTGAATGTGTAGGGAAAAAATTCTTCAGTAAGAGAGCAATGCCATGGTTGAAACAAGACATCCTCTACATTTTATATTTGCTTCAAATTCTTTATACCTGTAGTCTATCCAAAGTCATCAATAAAACTGAAAGTAAGATACTCTTATTTTAAAAATTCCATGTTTTAAACAGTTTTTAGGACAAGCCATTCAGGCCTGAACTCAGTATTCATGAAAATTAGACTTTCTTTTAACAGTTATTTTAAGTATGGTGATATTAGAGAGTGTCCCAGTATAAAATTTCTGAGAATTTTTTTCTATTTACCCATGCTTTTCTTATTTTCACAGATAGCTTTCCAATGATTAGACGAATTGATTCTTTCTGTGACTCATCAGTTCATTTCCTGTAAAATTCATGTCTTGCTGTTGATTTGTGAATAAGGTATCGTAAATAAAACATCTGTTACCATACTTGCTTATCATTTAATGGAAAACACATCAGTCAACCCACATTCTGTTCGCAGGAGAGCTCCAGAAGGGGTGTGGAAGGTTGTGTTGGGTGGAGAAACCAGATAGTGAGGATGCAACTAAGTTGCTGAGACAAGGGAAGAGAGATGAGGGTGAGAGTTCTCCTTAGATAAGATTTCAATATGTTAATCATGTGTAGAAAGAAAATTAAAAAGGAGGAATATGAAGAAATTCAGATATGACATTATTAGTTCTGCCACTGGTAGGCATTAGAAGCAAGAAAAGGGAGACGGACCGAGGAAGCCACTTTGGTGAAACAAAAAGAAAAGCATTTGTTTATTTAGAACGGGCAAAATGATACGTTTCAGTGGGTGTTTTCTTTGTACTTTGATCTTTTTGTACTGATATTTAAGCTTCTGTTTTATGATCTCTTTCTAATGATAGAACCAGAGCTTGTAGAAACCACTTTAATCATATCCAGGAGTTTGCAAGAAACAGGTGCTTAACACTAATTCACCTCCTGAACAAGAAAAATGGGCTGTGACCGGAACTGTGGGCTCATCGCTGGGGCTGTCATTGGTGCTGTCCTGGCTGTGTTTGGAGGTATTCTAATGCCAGTTGGAGACCTGCTTATCCAGAAGACAATTAAAAAGGTACAAGTAGTCCAAAGAATATGCCTTCTCATTTTGATTGATTCTAACTTCTCTTTTTTTGCTTTGTATTTACCTGCTTTATATTTCATGGTAACTGCTAATTTTGTATCTTTGACATAAAGGTAATTATGAACCACTGCAACTCTATATGATGCGACTTTATGTGAAATGTTATAAGTATAATGTATATTTAACATGACTCCATTGCTGTCTTAAATATAAATACCAAATTCTATTAAAAGCTGTCTACAGGTATGCATGTTAGTAGAAATAATTGTTTTAAGTTATGTCCAAAGAGCATGTTGGCATGCTTTTGAGTAGGAAATAAGTGAGTATATTTTGTAAAAGCACATTTATAAAAGAAGTTGCACTTTAGTTAATACTGAGAAAAGTAAAACTGTGTGTGTGTGTGTGTGTGTGTGTAATGTGTTTAATATTGAAACATAAATCCTTATTAAATTGTAGGTAAACTTGTTTGGTAATACACTGTTTAGTAATCCACTATTTTTATATATGTGTAATAATCTCATCTCATAAATATTTTCTATTTGTGAAGCTTCATATTGGAATCTTAGAAAATACTTTCAGAAATATGCAGAACATGTCTTAGTATAAAACAAATTGACTGTAGTGTGAAAAAACAGAATGATTGAATAGATGGGCTTTGCACAACAACCTAGAATTCATCTCCCACCCTAGCTTATTCGAATTAGCTACACACTCACTCATCAGAAACGTTGATTGATAGGGGGAAGAAGAGAATAAAGGGAAGCAGTTCTGCTGAAGTTCTAAATCAGGGATGGCAAATTCAAATGGCTGCAGGAGTTTGGATACAGGGGTTAAACAAAATTTAAGGTGCCAAGAACAAGATAAAATGAAGAACAGGAACTGCTGTGAACTAGACTGTGTGTTTACTGCCTGAAGGCATAAATGTTCATTTTATTAAACATAATACTGGCCAAATAAAACGAGTTCTGCCTTCAACTCTCTACCTGGTTAGGATGGCAATGACCTAGACAAAGGGTTAGTAAGCATAGTGCACGATGGAGAACAGGAGGAATTGAATTTTTATTAAATTTTTATTGCTATATTGTTAGTATTTTTAATATTTTTGATCCACAGTTGGTTGAATCTGCAGATGTGGAACCCATGAATACAGAGGGCTGACTGTATTGTGTTTATTGCTAACATATTGCAGAACTTCAGCCTCATGCATTTAACTGAAAAAACATATGTAAATTAGTATCCCCTGCCTTGGAATTCTTAGTTTTCTTGATAGTATTTTTAATACAGGCCAATGGAAACAGACAGGTAATAGTGAGGTGTGGGGCTTATCTAATAGTGGGATGGAGTGGCCATTGATCTGACATCCTTCCTACTCATAAACTATGTTCTCACCCAGATCTTATGCAGAGAAAGTACAAGATCAGTGTCTGTGTTAACGTACAGACTACAACATCATTTGGAAAAGTTTTCCAAATTCAAAAATCACAATAATCTTCCAATGCACAGCGATTTAGACTACTTTTTTTTGCTGACACATAATTATTGGTCAATAACTGAGTATTGATGATTTAATTTTTTTCTTTGTCATGCAACAAAACTGGTACATGTAGATTCTTTTGAATAGCATGTGAGGTGCTAGCATTTATTTTAATTCTTTAATATTTATCTTTATGCTTATAATAGTTAACCATGAGAAAGTAAGTTTTCTGACATCAAAATGTGCTTTTGTATAATGACTAAGAGAATAATATAATCTCATCTATTGTAAGCTATAACCAGGGGAAGATATATTATAATAAAAAATACCGAGACCTATGAGACTCTAGAATTGAATTGGAAAAGTAAATGCTGTAATACTTTGAAAGAGAAATCTCTCAGAGTATTCAAGAAACTTCAGGAAAAAGGTAGGACTTGATTCAGATTTTAAAGAAGTGTAGAATTTTGAAAGTCTCAAATAACTGCAGTAACCATATTAAAGGACTGATTGATAGTATGAAAAACCCTGTGAAAATGCTACCAAATGCAGTGAAGATGGAAGGAAGAAGGTAGAGAATGTGCCCATAATACTGGATTAACAGCAGAAAAGATTAGAAGTTAACATGGGGTTAGAGTTAGGAAGCAAGCTTAGAACATCAGGCAGAAAAATACTTAATTGATGATACAATACACAATAGTCGTCGGTATGTTTTTCAGCAAGTGTAAGATATGATAAAACCTGAATTTAGAGATTAGATGGCTAACATTTAATTCTTACTAAGAGTTTCCTATATACTAGTTCACTTAATCTTCAAAAATATCTGTGAGAAGTTGCTGTTATTTTACTCATCTTACAGGCGCAAGTCCTTAAATCAACTTGCCAACTCACCTAGCCAATAGGGAAAGAAGTCATTCTCCAAATGTAAGCAATCTGTAGGAAGAGCCTAGATGAAAAACCTGGCCTTGTATACTACTCTACAGCAGAAAGGTTGCAAAGTGAGGATACCAGAGATAGGAAAACAAACAAACAAAAAACTGTAGGATATGACCACTTTCAAGGAGAATATAAGATTCCCTTTTAGAAAGATATTTGCATAATCTGCACATTATATAACAAAAGGCACACTGGTCTGGCATGGTTGAGTATATAGAAAAAAAAAACTGATAGATAATAGGATGAAATGGAAGCTTGGAGAGACAGATTAAATTAGAGGAGTAAAAGCATCAAACTCAAGATGTCCAGTGAGTTATTGATAGAAGGTATGTATATACCTTACAAAGTAAAACAGAGGTTTTATAAGTGATGTTTTATGAACATCAGTCTGTGTTTCAAAGGTCAGAGTTCAAATAGATTTGATCATTGCTATAAAGATTAAAAATAAAACTAAACAGTAGATTTACTTTTAGAGAGTTTTAATGGAGAGAGGAAAAAGCAGAAGAATTATTACAGAATTTGTAATAATTCAGAGGCAGGAAGACAAAAGTAGAAAAGGAAAAGAATGATCTTATATGAAGAAACAAACAAAGAGTACAATCCTAGAAGTTAATAGGAGGCCAGAACTCAAGGAAAGAAAGCATAAAATGTTCTCAGGCAGATGAAAATTAAGAAAATAATGATTAGAACATGGTCACCAATAATTTTGAAAGTATACTTTGAGTAGGGTAATAAAGAAGGGGGAATTAAATCAATGGAGTGCTTTTCCTTCTTGTTTTTGAAATAAGAATTATCCGTGCAATCTTTTACAAGGAAAAGAGAAGATTCAGACTTCCTAGTGTAGATTCAAACTCAAGGAGGTGGTACAACAGAGACTCATAAAAACTGTCAAATGACAGTGCACATTGTAAGCCCCCTACATGTCCATAGACTAAGACTCATCATCAGAATCCTTATATTGGTCAAGATGTATGGTACATTTAAGGCTAAGCTTCTTTTTGCTCTCAGATTCCTACACAACCATGTTGACCTTGTTAATTTAGTCATATGAAGTAGGTGGAATATTGTTTGAATAGACTGTTTCTTTTTTCTTCAGTTTACAGACTATTTTTTAAATGATATTGGCGTATGTATATCTTTGGCATAGAGTAGGAGTCAAATATTTGAATTTTGTGTAAACCTAGAGAGCCAAGTGTCTTACTGCTGCCTCAGAAATACTTAGAGTAATGCTATTTCACAAACATATGGGTTTTGGTACTGTTGACTTCTTATTTGTGTACCATTAAAACTCATTTAATATTACTTTGTTTAGCTGACTAATAGCAAATTAAGAAAGCTATTGTATACAAGTGATATTTGGAAAAAAATAATTAAACTTCTTAATTGAGAATGATGAGAAAATCATTTCATATTTAGTGTAGAGTTGCAGTGCTGTGATACCTTCCAATTCTGAAAGATGTCATTACCATTTGAAGTAGTCTAAAACAGTTTAGCAAGCTTATTTGTACTTTATTTTTGCTCTTTATTTTCAAGGGATGTCTCTGGTATCCTCATGCTTTTTATGGATTATAGCTGCAATCTTTCTTACCAGTATTTTTGACCGTGATTCTTAATAGAGTTGTGTGCAGCCAGCAAGTTTATGCAGTCTTTCAAAAAAAAAAAAAAAACTAAAAATCAATAGCAAGAGCTGCCATGAAAGTAGAAACTACCAAAGCACTGTGGAAAAGGGTCAAAATTCTACCACCATTTACAAAAGATAATTTATCACTTGACATTATTAATGTCAGTTGATAAAAAGTTTAGTGAATATTGTATAACATAACATAGGTAGTTGTATGCTAAGCAGATTAATGCAGGAACAGAAAACCAGATACCACATGTTCTCACTTGTAAGTAGGAGCTAAATATTGAATACACGTGGATATAAAGAAGGGAACAATAGACACCTGGGGCTAATCGAGGGTGGGAAGGGGGAGGAGAGCGGAGGATCAAAAAACTACCTATCAGGTACTATGCTTATTACCTGCGTGAAGAAATAATCCGTACACCAAACCTCCATGACACACAATTTACCTATATAACAAACTTGCACATGTACCTCTGACCCTAAAATAAAAGTTGGAAGAAAAAAATAAAATTTAAATAAGTTCTATAGTTCTAACTATAGAACACCAAAAAAGGAATTATAGGTTTCTTTGTTCCTGTTAGAGAACTAATATTAAATATCATCATTCAATTATACCATTTTTCCTTCTCCCATTCTTGAAAACAATGATCCTTCTGTAGCTTGTAAGAAATGCCTTCAGACAAAATAAATTGAAATCATGATTCATTAAAATGGTTATACATGGCTGGGCATGGTGGCTCATGCCTATAATCCTAGTACTTCGGGAGGCTGAGACGGGTGGATCACTTGAGCTCAGGAGTTTGAGACCAGCCTGGGCAACATGGCAAAACCCCATCTCTACGAATAATACAAAAAAATTAGCTGGATATGGTTACACATGCCTGTAGTCCTAGCTTTTGTGGGGCTGAAGTGGGAGGATCCCTTGAGCCCAGGAGGTTGAGGCTGCAGTGAGCTAAGGTCGCGCCTCTGTACTTCAGCCTGGGTGACAAAGTGAGACCCTGTCTCCCCCCGCAAAAAATTATGTTTGAATTAATAGTCCATATTTTAAACATATAATTTGTTTATATTACCTTTATAATGTATGCTTCTAGTATTTCCAGATATAATAAAATAATTTGTACTTTTTCATAGTATCTAAAAGCTCAAAAATAAATGACTAAAAATATTAAAGATGGTAAAGTTTGTTTTATATTTAATAACGTAAGAACAACCCAAAATATTTAAATTAAAATAGCAGTATAAAAACGAATTAAACACTATGTATATGTGCATATAGCTGTAATAACAAATGTCACTTAAAGACAATGTTTCAAGAAATAGACAAGCATATATGTTTCTTCTACTAGTCCAATTTAATATCAACATAGTTTACTTTTCATGCCAAACACAACATAGTTTACTTTTCATACCATTTTAGGTACTTACATAAATTCTTGGAGGCTAATTTCTAGGTTTCAGAAACATATTAAAGCTTACTACTCCAATACATTTCACCTAATTTTATTCTGGGTTTTAGTTGATGATGATGTTCTGAAACTAAAGCCATTTTCAGATTCTCTGCATAACTGTCACTACAATTCTAATTCATTCTCAACTTACACACACTTGCATAATGCAAAAACATTAGAATTTCTTTTAACATGGGGAAATGATTCGTTTTAGGCCCAATTACAAGCAAATGGTAGCAGCTAGTGGGAAGGATGGAAGTATGCTTCTGGTTTTTAAGAAAGTTTTTACTTTACTAGAAAGAGAAATATTAAAATGATTAAATAACAGAAAAATAATTGTCACAGGATATTATATAAGTTATTGGCACATGACTGGCTTAGACAGTAAATGCTATGAACCAAGCAATTAAAGCAGAATGGAGAAGTAAATGGTATTAGAGTTCTTCCTCTAAAGGATGGATAGAATTTGTAAAATACTAATAGCTGACATTTATTGAATGTCTGGTTTGTACTAACACTGTTCTAAGTGTTCACGTTTATTGATCCCCATAACAACCTATGAGGATAAATATTTAAGCCACATGAAAATGCCAAAATTCAACTTTTTTTGATTTTCAAAAATACTAAGTCTATATGGTTCAATCTAACATTACTGTTATAATTTCACAGATAAGGAAAGTGAGGTACAAAGAAATTAAATAATCTGCTCAAACTTCAATGATGATGATTATTATTAAGTGATCAAACTCATAGCATCTAATTTCATTGTTGGCCACTTCAGTCTATGCTTTAGGGAAGAAGCCACTATACCTTGTTAGGGTGGGGATAGGGTAAAAAAATCTAACTCGTAGATTAAAATCTGCTAAACATACTTCTGTCTCTTGGTAGAAATGTGTAAAGTCCTTGAAAAGTGAAACAAAATATTTTCTACATTTGTACTCTACTCCATGCGTAGCAAAGTATGAAGGGCATTTTAATAATGAAAGTTGTCAGTTATGTAGATGATTATTGCTGTTGCATGAAAACAGTATTCAAGTGAGTGCATGACTACATATAGGATATTAAGGTCCCAACAAGCATCTGTTTTCAAATTAATGTAGCAGAATAGAAGTTTCAAGGTCAGTGCTTTCAACCCAGCTATAGAACATGCTATGTGAGAGTCACCAGGTTGAAATCCAGTTGTTGTTGGGGCTTGGTAGTCTGCATGCTTAGAGTCAGGGACAAATACACACATACACATTAGCCAAGTGAGAAAATCTTATATCACTTTTTCTGTGTACATACTTACCAGCTTTGTACTTCAAATTTAGTAAAATATTTGCAAAATAGTCTAGACAGTCCAAATTCAATTTAAAATCAAGTTCTTTTAAATTCACAAAGGACATAACATCTTTTGTTTCTTGTGACATATTTAGTCTTGGTATTCAAGGAGTGACTACAATTTAATACATATAGTAGTGGTAGCGTCAGAAGCATATTATTACTACTTCGACTACTTCAATATTTTTCTCTATGTCTCTAAACAAATCATGATGCTATGGAAACTATATAAAATTGAAGTGAAAGGACCTGATTTTTCTATTATCTGCTAGTAAATTTGTCACATAACATTGAGTCAGACATCTCTTTTCTCTAGAACCCATTTTCCACCTCTAAAAAAATGGACGGGGTTAGATAGTCCTGATTCTAACAGTTGATAATTCAACACATTCATTTCAACCCTGTGTTTCACGTTTGCCTTATTTGTCGCTAGAGATATTTTTTAAGGGAAAAGTGATTTGTGGCCTTTAGAAAAAAAGGTCTCATACACGTACAATGTCTTTTGGTGTTTAGATGGACACTCATTGTAGAGTTAGGAAGGCATTCAATCCTGTCAAGCACATTCTGTCACAGACTCTCTTCAATTCTATAAGAGTTTGTTGAGTTTCTTTCATTAAGAGATATTAGGTCGGTACAAAAGTAATTGTGATTTTTGTCATTAAAATCGCAAAAACCGTAATTACTTGTGTACAAACCTAATATGTACCTTGAGAGGCACTTGATGAATAACAGGTATTGTTTTTGAGCATTAAGATTCTAATAGTGTGAGGAGAATAATGTTTGTGTTTGTGTGTTCTCCCTTGTTAAGTCTCTTGAAATGGAGAAATCAACCGTTTTCAGCTTCTATTTAGCTTTGAGCTTCAACATCCTCACCAAACATATTTACATTTAGAAGAATATCCATAATGCTTTAAGCAATTTTGTCTTAATATTAGACTTAGTATGGAAATAAGCCTTTTTGGGAGCAAATAAAAAGTTTTTCAAGGACAATTTGTTGTAAAAAGTAATAAAGATTCCATCACTCTAGCAGGTCCAATGTACCCCGTATAAGTGGATTACAGCAGCGTAGGATTTTGAAATTCCATTTTAACTTGGTGCCCAGTTCTTCTCTAAGGAATTCGCTTATTCCCTACATTAAGCAATAAGTAAAATATCATGAAGATATGAAACTTAATTTGACTTCTACCAACTAAGTGCAGAGGGTGACGGAAAAAAAAAAAAAAAAGACAGTCATAGCATGGTGTAAAGGAGGACTAGTCTAAGGGTCATGGATGAGGATTTTTGTCATGAATTCACTACTGTTTGCCTAGGCTGTCCTTGGGCCAGCCACCTGGTTTCTCAGAGCCTCAGTGTGATCCACTGGAAAATGTGATCATGTTCAATGTCCTTTCCTAATCTGTCATTCTGTGAAGTGGTGCTTCCAGGTCAAGGAAACAAATAGGTCAGAATGTTCCTGTGGTCATTGTTCTCTTTAGGCTCATTTTCCATGAAATAGTTGTATTCCTCTTCCTGTAGCACACTCAGGTTAAGTTGGAGCTCTTTAACCTGGGCATTCTTCCCAATACTTCATTAGAAATACCGCCTGCTTCAAAATCACCTTTGTTTGCACTATCTACTACAGCGTAATAGACTTCTGGCTCAGAGAGTGAAAGCTGTGGAAGAAAACTAGAAGAATATTTATGTTAACTCCCTTATTTTACAGCTAATGAAGTTGACCCTAGGGAGGTTTGATGACTCTCCACCCAGTCCCAAAGCTCCTAAAGCAAGGAATCGAGTTCCTAATGTAGGATTTTTAATTCTCTTATTGGTGTATTTTCCACTTGTCTATCTTTACCAAAGGAGCATCAGTGATTTTTAGTGGATTTCACAAAGGAGTAATAGGACAGCTTCCTTGTCCTGTTTTTTTCTTTAAAAACTACAACCCAATAATGATGAGTGAGGCTGTTGTAATTTTTGGAAACATGATAATGGGTTGTTGCAAATATATTGAAAGTTAGGGGCTGTGTGCAGTGGCTCACACCTGTAATTCCAGCCTTTTGGGAGTCCAGGTCAGGTGGATTGCTTCAGCTCAGGAGTTCAAGGTCAGCCTGACCAATATGGTGAAATCCTGTTTCTACTAAAACTACAAAAACTAGGTGGGCATGGTGGCACAGGTGAGAGGATCACTTGAGCCTGGGAGGTCAAGGCTGCAAGGAGCCAAGATTGTACCACTGTACTCCAGCCTGGGTGACAGAGCAATATCTTGTCTCAAAAAAAAAAAAAAGAAAAGAAAAAGAAAAAGGTTAGGGAAGCCAGATTGAGCAGGATTTTGAAGACACGGTGTCAAATTTGTGTTCTTCATGTAGATATTTTTATTTTCTTAATGTAGTGAGTGTTAAGTACCATCCTCTGAAGTGTCCAACTCTTGAAGGAAAAGAAAAAGCTTCCAATACCATTAGATTTTTCACTCAGTTTTTGTGTTTTGTTTCATCAGTCCAACTTAGGGGCAGAGAAGAAGTTCAACTCAGTAAGAACTTTTTTGAACTTCGGTAAAATTTGCTTAATAAATTATGTTGACTGTTGCAATATTTTCAAAGCGTCACTCTAAAGCTTGCCGAAGGGTCACTTTAAAGTTTGCCTTAAAATCAACAGTCGTGTCTTCAGTATTACACACTGATTCTCTTTGTAAAAGGCTAAAAAGACTGCTGTAATAATAATTTGTTGAAAACATTTCTGCTGCAAGTGTATGGTAAGGTTGCAAAGGTTCTCATGAATGAGGTACTTGGGCTTGGTCCTTTTATTCTGGCTGACTCAAGGCTGCAAACAATCTTCCAGAAGTGCCTGTACTTACTACAAAGACATAACCCAAACTTATTTTCTTTTTCATAGCAAGTTGTCCTCGAAGAAGGTACAATTGCTTTTAAAAATTGGGTTAAAACAGGCACAGAAGTTTACAGACAGTTTTGGATCTTTGATGTGCAAAATCCACAGGAAGTGATGATGAACAGCAGCAACATTCAAGTTAAGCAAAGAGGTCCTTATACGTACAGGTGAGTGAGTCCCCACAAATATGAGACACTCTTACCTTGACCATGTATTTCTGAGAAGTCTTCTACTTGGCAAATGTCATTGTATTGAAATGTACTTATTATTTTCTTGCCAAAAATATACTTTAAAATATTTTTCCTGTCTGTATAGAATCCTAATCTAAGAATTTAATGATTATAAGGTATTTATTTTGAAAAAAGTGGAAGATATATACATTATCCAAATATTTATTAGACAATATATAGAAAAGATAAACAGATTTTATTATAAACTTACCAGTATCAAATAACTTCCCTATGTTTATGAAGTTAGTGTTTTGTTATTGTGGCATATATTCTCAACAACTCTGAAATATTCCTGCTGAGGAAAAAAAAATCAGTTTTCACATCTTAAAATTTAAAGCATATTTTAACAGTGGTTCTCAAAGTGTAGCTGGGCCACAGCAAAGTGCTGGGCCAGCTGCATCAGCATTAACAGGGAATTGGGAAACATGCAAATCCCTCCACCCCATCCCAGACCAAATGAATGAAAGAGTTGAGGCCCACTAAAGAGTTTTACAAATCCTGGGTGATTTGAATACACAATTTTGAGAACCACCGTGCTAAATTCATTTTTCCTAACTGCGGTACCTACTCAAGATTTATATTCAAATTAACTTCTGGGTCATATAGATGTTTACATTGATCTATTTTAGTTTCACTCTTATATTTCCTCTAGTGTTGAGACAATATTTTATATCTTTCCTCTGCCTTCCCTGATAGTTTAACACACTTTTGAACAGAATCTTAGAGTATTAGAACTAGAGGAAATGATCAGCCAGAATCTGTCATTTTGTGAGTTAAAAATGCCTGATCCAGTGGATGTGAGGTCACTTGTCCATGTTCACACAGATGTAGGTACTGGTAGCTCCTAGATTTTTGTATACCTTTTCTTCCATTTCAATTATAGACACTCTGTCTTTTTCACTAAAAAGGGAAAAAAGGGGGAGATTGAGGTGCCAAAAACACTACCTTAACCAAGGATTAGGAATATATTTATGGTATCCATATGGAAACATAGTTATGTTCTGCTATAGAATTTGTTACCTAAATGTGTATTTTCCCTCATGGATAATCACAACTAGTTATACACCATGATTAGTTCTCATCACAAAGTTTTGTATTTCTAATGATTTTTTATAATTTGTAGTTTTAGCATCTTATCTGTTTTGGTTATCGGATGATTGTATAATTTTCCTTCTTCCCCAAAGCATTACTATGCTTCCAGATTGAAAATTCACACCCAAAATAAAATGAAATAACAGGCATGGTGAGGGTGGTGCCTACTACCATAGCACATGACATATAAGCCCCAGAGGGCCTTGGTGCATGTCCTGTCTTAGCAGTTTTACCCGAATCGGGTGTCTCTGTGCGCATCTGTGACAATTCATAATTTTGTCAATGAAGACTTAGTTTTTATGGGTACAAAAACATCTTACCTTAGAATTTTCTTCATGGTCTTAAAGTTTTTATATTATTAGCAAGAGTCTATACAAGTATCTTGTTGCAAAGAATGTTGTTAGGTGTACCATATATATATACACACATATATATATATGTATTCATAGGTGTATATATACTTATGAAAATCTAGAATTCACATATGACCTAAGGAGAGTATCAGCATAATTGTTTAAGAAATAGAACCTAAGTGAACTGAGTAAGTGTGAGGAAAGAAAATAGTTGTTAGAATTTGAGAACTCATCATGATTTTTTTTGTTTGTTTGGGGGAAGTTATATTTTTCACTTCTGTTTTTAATTTTGTTTATTTTTTGAGGCAAGGTCTTGTTCTGTCACCCACTCTAGAGTGCAGTGGCACGATCACAGTTCACTGCATCCTCAACCTCCTAGGCTCAAGTGATCCTCCCACCTCAGCCTCCTGAGTAGCTGGGACCACAGGCGCATGCCACTATACCCAGCTAATTTTTATGGGTTTTGTTTTGTAGACAAGGTTTCGCCATGTTGCTCATGCTGGCCTCAAACTCCTGGGCTCAAGCAATCTATGTGCCTTGGCCTCGCAAAGTGTTGGGATTACAGGTGTGACCCACCATGCCCGACCATATTTTTCACTTTTAAATATATTATTTGGGATATGAGAAAACATATTATTGAAATAGTTCTCCTCTGGTAGTTGACAGCTGATCTATATTTTATTCTTAAAGCCTTTAACCTATCTCTCTAAGGGACAAAAAGGGGATGTGTTAGATATATTTGGTTTGCTTAGAGAGGCAATGGAGCAAAGACTGGAGAAGAACAGTTGCATTTACAGCTAAATTTTAGAATCCATAAATAGCTCTTTCTGTAACAATTTTAAAGGGATTCCTGATTATCTGTAGGTCATCTTGTCTCAGCATGTCACCAAAATAGTCTTTTATTGTTTGCCTGAGTGCCTTAAATAATGGAAAAACAACCAGTACCTTTTAGAAAAAAAATTAACACTTTGATAGTGCATGTGTTGAGCTAAACATGCTTTTTCATAACTAATTATACCCTAAATCCATCTGACATTGGAAGTATGTGAGAATGTCCCTCCTCAAACAGAACCACAGGCTGTATTTGGCCATTGTCTGCTAAAGTAAGCTTGATTACACTTTGACAAGATATGACCTGAATCAAAGCACGAAATTGCTTGGGTTGAGATCTTATGTGTGTTTCTACCTACACCATCTCTATGAAGATGCTGTAATTCCTTCAGAATATTCTTAGATCTGTAATTCATTTTTTGAGTTACTTTGCTTTGGAAAGAATATAAAAAGTAATCTTGAGAAAAGCATAAATTCCTTCCCTTGACCTTATAAACAAACACGTTCCAAAACTTCCATACAGTCTAACTTTTAAACAAAAAATTCAGTAATTATGTTCCCTTTTTAAAACAACATTCTAAAGGCAGGGCTGTTTTAAGGATTTTTCTTCTAGTGACTGCCATCTACTGGTATAATGTTGTCAGTACACTTTAGGTAACGTGACAATTATGTTGCTATTGTTTTAATATATGGGCATATTTCTGAAAATTGAAGTACTTTGATTTGAAATATTAGTAATATGCACACTAATTTAAAATACAATTGTCCTGAGTGCTGTTTCAGATTTTTATATTCTTTGTGTGTCTGCAGTACTTCAAGAATAGTAGTTTTAATAAAATTATATTAAAAATATATTTCTAGCCAACTTTGAATCCTCTTTTTAAAGAATCTGAGACATTTGTTTAGTAAATACATTTACTGAGAACTCATTATATACCAGGCATGATGCTTAGAGATACAAAACACTCATAAACCCCTACCCTGTAGGAATTTACATTTTTATTATAATGGAATAAAATGGGTTTTTAAAAAATTCAGTCCAATTGCTTAAGTCTTTACCTTGGCTATCTACTCACTTCACAGGCATTCAAATATGACAGTGCAATTATGATATATATCTTATTTCTTCTCAGTGAATATCTTCCACTTGTGAAATGTATTTTTCCTGTAATAATCACCCTTCACCGCGTTCCTAAAATGTAGTTGGTACTTTGCAGCCTAGATATGTTAGAGTCAGGAGATTAGAACTAGCAAAAGTATTCAATATACTTGAGGGGCTGGGGAAGTTAGTCTATAACCCTTAAAAATGGAAATTATATTCTTATCTCTAATTCTCATTAAAGAAGTCCTGAAAAAGGGAAAAAGCAGTGCTGGATAGGCCTTGTATTTTGATCATTCTTTCTAATATAAGAAAATGTGCTCTAAATATTCCCCTGCTGAAGCCCCTGTACTTTTTCCTCCTTATCCTCAGGATAAAGTCTCGTTTGAGTATTAGATGCAACTCTTTTATGTTTGAGATCTTACTTGTTTCAATAACTTTATTTCCACTACTCTCCTCACCTCTTACTCTGTAATCCAACCACACTCAAATATCTGCATTTCCCAAAACATATTATGTTCGTTCTTATGCATGCTACCATCTGCCGTACTTTACCTAACTAAACTTGTATTTGTTACATAGACCATTTATGTAGACTTGTACTAAAAAGTGTTTTAACCCTCACCCCTACCCTGACCATTCTAAATCTGGATCTGGATCTGTTTTGTGTTTTCCCATGGAGTCTCCATTATAACAATATTCCTTCTCTCTCACTATTTTAATTTCCAGTTTGCCAGTTTAAGACCCCTTCTCGTTAGTTTGCTAGAGACCCTGGCTGATTTCTCATTTTAACACCATTGCTTACATACTATCTATCTGGCATATTCTGTGTGTTCAAAAATCATTTGTTGAATGAATGACATTTGAGATCTAATGTTCACATATGACAAATGTTTTGAATTTTGTTTACTGCTATTTCTTTAGAGTTCGTTTTCTAGCCAAGGAAAATGTAACCCAGGACGCTGAGGACAACACAGTCTCTTTCCTGCAGCCCAATGGTGCCATCTTCGAACCTTCACTATCAGTTGGAACAGAGGCTGACAACTTCACAGTTCTCAATCTGGCTGTGGCAGTGAGTAGACAAACAACAAAGTTATCTATTTTAAAATACTCTAGAACTCATGTAATTAATCCTATCATTAGAATTATTAGGTTTTACTTGTTTTTCCATTTTTATCAAAACGTATTCCTATATCATTATTTTGAATGGAGGCATGGTCATTTGGAAAGTGACAAAATCATAAGAATCGACTGCATTAGAAGACCACTTTATTTTTTTCATTATTTTTTGTCGAAACATTCTCTATATTTAATTTCAATTTTATAACAGATTACAGGAAGATGCTTAAGAAACAAGTACAACATTTGTTTCAGTATGTCTTTAAATGAAAGACTTTTAAGTATGTAAGCAACTATATAATAAAAGGTTTCCAAACGCAGCCTGTAAGAAATCAGGCAAATTTTACTATAAGCAATAAACCATTCCGAGCTTTCCAGACAGTGTACCAGTAGCTGTACCAGTGGGCAATAACCTTTAACCAAACAAAAACAAACAAACAAACAAACAAAAGCACTTTGCAATTTGTTGCTGCAAAATGGGGAGAAAAAAAGAGTATATAAACTTGATGGAATCACAACTGTCAATATAATTTAAGGGAAAATAAAGTCGATAAGGTTGATGGTGTCTATTGTTTGGAAAGTCGAATTCGGCTATTTGCTTGGGGCTCTAGAGACCACACCACTGAATAAACAAAACTCTGCAGAGTCTAGCTATCCGCCAACAGGGGGTGCCGTCCAAATTCATGGCAAATAAAGGGCATTTGGTGCTCACCATTCACAACAGGCGGGCATTTATGTGGATGAAGTACAATTTCTTCAGCAAGCTCAGCAAAAACTCTTAAGGGGCAAATATGAACTCTGCATTTTAAGAAAAATAGAAAACGGAAACACAAAATCCTAAAAAGTATATGAAGGCTCTGCATTAGCACACTGGCATCAAACCACACATCCACAGCACATCCTAATTCTATGGGAAACAATCCTTGCTTATCGGAGGTGCATATCTAAATTCAATAGCTTACCAATATATTCTTGGGAGTAGGCCAAAAGGAAACAGAAAACCCACATTAAAAAAAGAAGTTTCTTTTCCTAAACATTTTCCTGAAGCTGAAATTGAAGTGGAGAGGAAGTCAGTTGTCCTCGTCGAAATCGTAGTCCTCCTCATCCTCCCCAACCTGGGACACCGGGGTCTTCACCCTGGAGATGCTGTACTGAGACCTGTTGGAGCTTGTGGCCAGCATTTCATCCGCACCATTGGTCAGGTCACTGGCAGAGAGCCTCGTGCCGTTAGACGTGGAACCTGCCGTTGTGATGAACACGCCTGCAACAATTGTCTGCGCCATTTCTGTCACGTGTGGCTCCAGCGCCTTTGGGACCAGACTTATGGCTTTTTTTTTTTTTAAGTTCTGGGATACATGTGCTGAATGTGCAGGATTGTTACATAGGTATACATGTGCCATGGTGCTTTGCTGCACCTATCAAACCATCATCTAGGTTTTAAGCCCCGTATGCCTTAATGCATTAGATATTTGAGAAGACCACTTTAAGTGTATCGTTAAATAAATAGAGCTTAACTTGGAATGTCGTCTTCTTGTGGCTGGCACTGAGGCAAAGAAATGTAATCATCTAGGAATTAGACGAATTGCATTTTGAGTTTTGGCAGGATCTGGCAGTAATTTTAAAGATAAGCTTTAAAAAGTTTTGTATTAAGCTCAATATTAGCATTTAATCCATTTATTTGTTAAAATCTAATATTGTATTCTTGTCTTAAACAGTGACTTTGTTTTTGTAGGCTGCATCCCATATCTATCAAAATCAATTTGTTCAAATGATCCTCAATTCACTTATTAACAAGTCAAAATCTTCTATGTTCCAAGTCAGAACTTTGAGAGAACTGTTATGGGGCTATAGGGATCCATTTTTGAGTTTGGTTCCGTACCCTGTTACTACCACAGTTGGTCTGTTTTATCCTGTAAGTACCAAATATGAATGGCAATATTATTACATTTTAATTTAATTAATTCAATGGCATTGGCAAGGCATAATTTTATAATTTAGCTCATTAGTCTTATTGCTGATCTGGAGACATATATCCTAACTTTTTAAAAAGTCCACTTCTCATTATAGCTTCAGCTTTCCTAGTTGGGAAATTCATCTGAATTTAACAATTAAATTTAAACCTGAAGAATAGATTTAATAAGGTTTCTACTCATTTATAAATACACAATTTTTTTTAAATTAGCCGGTAAGCTAGTCTGTAAATCTTTGAGCACTGTTTTTGGCTTTTATTTCCCTATTCACATAATCAAGTTTAATACCATATTTTTATTTGTTTTAAATATACTCCTCATTCCTCCTTTTCTAGACCTCTTACAATTTTAATTTATATTTAAAAGTTAGCCTAATGTTCACATCTCAATACTGATAAGGTAATAGACTTCATTTTAATGGGATTTGTAAATAAGAATTTTTAGTAGTCCATAATGTCATGAAATGGCAGCTTGAAGATTAAGGAAAATGTGAACTTGATGGTGTACTTGATTACCGCTTAATGTTTTGAATTACAAATAGGATAAGCTAACTACTGAATTGGAAGTTGGACTATGACTTCATTTGGCACTATATGTGAATATTATGTTCTCTAGTTCATTGTTTTACTTTTAGATACTGTTAGGATTACAAGGTTATATATCAATTATAAATGAATGTAGAAAGCCATAATGAATCAAATTCATTCTGATTTTAACTCAATACTCATAGCTCTTTCTTTGGCTAATGCTTTAACTTTTGGATGTCTAATTTTTATCATTTTAGTAACCACTTATTATCATTTTAGTAACCACTTATTAATGACTGTAACATTTAGAATACCCCTAGAAATCATTGTTCTTATAGGTTTGTTCAATGTCCCTCACCTCAACATAGTAAGAATAGTGATCAAAATGCCCTCATTGGCTTAATTATGACAGAGTGCTAGAGTTCACATCATGTCAGCTTCTGATATGTATCTTCTTTGTCACAGCATCTAGCACTTATTTCTAGGCACCTTTCACAATTTTTAAGGCCAATAATTTAAAAAAATGTATTGCAGATGTATTTCAAGTCATTTGAGTAACCAGTGATTGAGAAATGTGAAAGTGAGTTATGTATTGTACAACTTTGAAAAAATGACTTGTAGAAGTAACATTTTCCCATACATATATTTCAGTACAACAATACTGCAGATGGAGTTTATAAAGTTTTCAATGGAAAAGATAACATAAGTAAAGTTGCCATAATCGACACATATAAAGGTAAAAGGTAAGTATTCTGGTAAAATGTGCATGTATGTTACTAGGGTACTCTTAAGCAGGAATAGTATTCATTTAACATCTCATAAGACATAGGCATCAACCTATAGAACAGACCTGGTTATAATTCAGCTCTGGAAACTCCTGTTCTGCTAGGTATTAACTCTTTAGTTGTGGTAACTGGTGAGTTCACACCAGTGCATAGCTGCTGACTATCAGCTCCACTTTAAGGTTTGGTTCACCTTTCTGCACAGGTTATGGTTGTGTTACATAAATCCCCAAAGGGACTATTTTTTCATCTCTGCTACTTATCCAGCATTACAGTATAATTATTCTTACAATTAGATAACCATAAATGAAAAGGTAAAAAAAAAAAAAACAACACATCAACTGATTGTGTAGTAGATGGAAACTTTTTTTTTACTTTTTAAATCGAGCATATCGAATTCCATATTCCAGTGGCATGACCTAAATGTGTCTATAAAGATGGAAGCTTAATGAATCCAGGCAACTGCTTTCATGACCTTCCCCCTGCAAATAGTCTTTAATAATTTTCCATATTGATAACTCAGCTTTTTTAACTTTATCAATGCAAAAATAGAATGAATATTTCAAGTGCAGTTCTACAATGTAAATACAAAATGTGAAAATGAAGACTTTGCCAACTTTAAAGTGGTAAAATAACAAATCAGCTTCCTAAGCCATTATTTCCTTTTTTTTTTTCTAGCTCCAGCCTATTCACCTAAAGAATTTATAATTTATCATATATGTAAACTAGGAAGAACCCTAATAAATATCAGAGGAACAAGCTTTCTTCTCCATAAAATTAACAATTGTGTGTTTGACTAGTTTTTTTCTGAAAAAGAATAAAGTGATCAAAACCAAAAGAGATGAAATGTTTTTATTAATATAAAGTAACCCCTACCTCAAACTGAGTCTATCTAATGATTGCTTTTAACAGCTAAATATTACTAGTGGAGTACTTTTTCTTCTAAAGAGTCCACAGTTACATATTTTTATAGAAAAAGTCAGTAGAGGGAAAAAAACACTTCTAAGTATTCACTTAAAAGGAAATCACAGCAATTTTTTATATTGAGAAATAACGAGCATTTCACTCTAATATTACAGAGAGATGTGGAGGGGAGTTGCAAAGCACTCCTAGTTAGAGTAAGAATTTCACATCATTTTAAGATTGTAAGGTTGATTTAACTCATGGCAAGACTGAACATGATTAACCACTTATTTTGTTTAAGCAATGGCTTGTCTTGACATGTCACTGTCAGGAGTGGAAAAAAAGTTTTTCCATCACCAAAAAGTGAGGATGCAGGGAAACTATTACTATTGTTTTTATCACTTCCAGATATATATAGCTTATTTAGACAGCAAAGTATAAGTTAGTAAACTCTTTCCTACTTTAACGCCAGTCCATGGGAGAATTAAAGGGAGGAAGGGGCAAGAATATAAATTAATCATCTACATGTTTTGAATGTTTGCTGATCCAAACATCTGCTTCTTTCCTCTTCCCTGCTTCTCTCTTCTGCCTGCCTTGTACTTAGCTTATATCAGTTACCCACTTAACACTTTCCTTCTATTCATTCTGAACACTTATACTACTGAGTAATTCATGTATCCCATTGGAAAAAAAAAAATTTCCCCTAAGTAGAGATCTAAGTTTCTGATAAATGTTTTTAATTTTTTTCTTATTCCAAGATGTTTCTAATTAACACCTGGCAGTTTTTATTTTATGATCTGGCTACCTAATGGCATCAGGTACATTGCAATAAGATAAAAGGTTCAAACAAAACATAAACAGAATTGAACATTTCTTAAACTTAGTACTTGTCACATTTAAATGCATCATATTAACAGAAGTATTGAATTATAATAGAAAAAGTAATGTAAGAAAGGTATTCTTTAAATAAGAATGTTTATTCATTGTCTTTTTCTATTCCTAGGAATCTGTCCTATTGGGAAAGTCACTGCGACATGATTAATGGTACAGGTAAGAATATTTGTTTTGTGGTCATCACAGTTAATCCACCTCCCTTTCCCACAAATCCACCGTTGTACTGACAGTGTTCTGAAAGTTGAGGGTGTGTGTTTACTTGCCTTTATATCCCCACAACAAAATTCAGAGTCACTATTTGTATATAGGCTAAAGGTCTGTTCAATGTGATGGGATTTGTAAAGATTAATCATAAAAAATTAGCCCTTACTGCATGATTCAGAGAAATGTTTGCTTTGTAAAAACTTTACTGCCATCCTGGCAACAGAAGTAAATGGTAAAAAACAAACAACAACACAAAACACTTTAGTTACATTTCAAATATTTTATAAATAGTATACAGATAAGTTAGAATTGAAAGAATTAAAAAAAGCTAATTACAAAATAGAAAACATATCTAAGCAAGGCTTATAGCTGAGATAGAATAAAGTTGCAAGACAGAACCATCCATTTTTGGATAAGGTGGTCAGAATGAGAGAGAAAACAATAACAAAGTCAGATGTCTTCTTAACTGTGAAAAATATATGTAAAAAATGAGCATTCATAAACTTAGATTTAAGGTATGGTTAGATCAGGCTTATTCTCCTTCAGGAAAAGCAAAGTACAGATATGCCTATTAGTTTAAGAATTAAGATTTTTAAAAAGCAATGGGAGGCTGGTCACAGTGGCTCATGTCTATAATCCCAGCACTTTGGGAGACCAAGGCAGGTAGACTACTTGTGCCCCGGAGGTTGAGACCAGCCTGGGCAACATAGCAAAATCCCATCTCTACAAAAAAAATACAAATATTAGCTGGGTGTGCTGGCACACGCTTTTAGTTCCGGCTACTTGGGAGGCTGAGGCAGGAGGATCACTTGATTCCAGGAGGTGGAGGCTGCAGTGAGCTATAATTGTGCCTCTGCACTCTAGCCTGGGCAATAGTGTGAGACCCTGTCTCAAAAAAAAAAAAAAAAAAAAAAGTGGTGGGAATCGAATACCATGAAGTAATTAATATCCAGAGGCAAGCTTTCAACTACTAGGAAACAAAAGCATGAAGTTTAGAAAATTAGGGAATATCCCATAGGAAAATGATATAACAAAGATAAAGACACTTAAGTAAAAATGAAGTACAGAGAATGTTTACTTTGCCAAAGGTATGATTATTGACTTCGTATGCGTACTTGATTCTATCATTGCCTTGTAGGAAATGATAAACAAAAAAAGCAAACAAAAAAAACAGCAAAAACACTGTTGGATTTGCAGGGGTTTTCTTTTGTTTTTTTTTTTTTTTTTTTTTGAGACATAGTCTGGCTCTGTTGCCAGGCTGGAGTGCAGTGGTGCGATCTCGGCTCACTGCAACCTCTGCCTCCTGGGGTTCAAGTGATTCTCCTACCTCAATCTCATGAGTAGTTGGGACTACAGGCATGTGCCACCACACCCAGCTAATTTTTGTATTTTTAGTAGAGACGGTTTCACCATGTTGGCCAGGATGGTCTTGATCTCTTGACCTTGTGATCCGCCCCCCTCGGCCTCCCAAAGTGCTGGGATTACAGGCTTGAGCCACCACACCTGGCCAAGGCTTTGCAGGGTTTTGAGCCATAGGAGTGGGCAAATAAGCTATTTTCTAAGTAAAGCATTTCTGGAAATAAATTTTCAAGTCCTCAATACTACCAATGCTAGTAGTTGTATAAGCGGAATACTTAGTCCTTAGATGCAGAGATAAATATACTGTGTTAATCCTAGTAAAGGATTCTTTAAGGAGAAAAATCTTTAAAAAGAAGATTCATTGACAATAATAGAAATGCATGAGCATCAGGCATGATGTTAAAAATATCTATGGGGAAAATAGGGCTGATACAAACTAGGAAAAGAGGGAATTTGGACAGAGCAGGGGATGATCCCTGTGAGAGAGATTCTTGCTTATGGCACTAGCGAAAAGAAAGTAATAAAACAGTAAGGTTCTAATGTGTTTTCATCGTAATTTAGAAGTGCATCCTCTTTACCTTCTTCAGTAAGTTTGAAAAGACTTAAAATGAAAGTATTGGTATACATTTAGAATGTTTCTTTTGGGAGGACAGAAAAAAAGCTCTGCAAATATCAACTATGTTGCAGTCATTGTCCATGGTAGTTGCTGGGTATAATTAGGACATAATCTTCAATGATATTTTAGATAATGATCTTAAAAGCTTTTCAATGCATTTTTCTTTAATTATTAAGGAAATGGAAAAGCAGTTGTTGTCAATGTCCATATGGGGGCTTATATTTTACTTGTCACAAGAGTGTAAACTAATGAAAACAAGGTCACAAGGTTGACACACTTGCCAGAGAAAGAACCTACAATGCATAATCAAAGATGAGACTTACCATTTAAAACTCATTCAATGACGGCTCGTATTAGTGATATTCATGTGAGAAGTACATGGAGGAGTTAACTATTTCTTCATATATCCAATGTTTGCCATGGATCATAGCTGTAGCAAAAAGTAAATTCAATAAATGACTTTTTTATACACTTTCAAAGCATTTGAAGTTCTGTTTAGTGAGAGAACTTTAGTAAATATTTTTAGAAGTAGTAATCAGCCATTAGGACAAATGAGAAAAAAAATCACTACAAATAAATGTGGACATGGCAGGAGATCCAAATGAACTTCACTGGAAGAAAAGTGCCACTCTACTGGTGGGGTAGGGCATTTCAAAAAACAAACACAATGTTAGCCTTAACATTTCATGTTTAAGTTTCTTTTATTTTGTACCATTAAATATGTATAGTATGTAGATTTGTTGTTGACAATAGCAGCCGCCAGCCATATGTAACTGTTAAGGACTCAAAATCTGGCTAGTATGATTTGAAATGTGCTGTAAATATAAAATGCACAGTAGATTTTGAGACTTTAAGAATTTAAAATATTTTATAATGGTTACATGTTAAAATATTTTGGATATTAATAAGTTAAATATAGTTTTGTTTTGTTTGAGACAAAGTTTTCCACTTGTCGCCCAGGCTGGAGTGCAATGGCATGATCTTGGCTCACTGCAGTATCCGCCTCCTGGGTGCAAGCAATTATCCTGCCTCAGGATAGCTGGGATTACGAGCGCCTATCTCAGGATAGCTGAGGCAGGCCTATCCTGCCTCAGGATAGCTGCCTCCCAAGTAGCTGGGATTACAAGCGCCTACCACCACACCCAGCTAATTTTGTGTATTTTTAGTAGAGATGGGGTTTCACCATGTAGGCCAGGCTGGTCTCAAACCCCTGACCTCAGGTGATCCACCCGCCTTGGCCTTCCAAAGTGCTGGGCTTGCAGGCATGAGCCAGCATGCCTGGCCGGTTATTTCTTTTTACCTTTTAAAAATGTGGCTGCTAGATAAATTACTTAGGCAGTTTGCATTACATTTCTATGGACTACACTGGAGGAGAGATTTCTAGGTTTTTTTCTAGAACACACATTACATCTAATCATTTGCCACTCGATTTTTAAACAGATGCAGCCTCATTTCCACCTTTTGTTGAGAAAAGCCAGGTATTGCAGTTCTTTTCTTCTGATATTTGCAGGTAAGACAGATACTGAAGTATAAGTATGTCTGAGTCAGACCCCAGGTGACAAAATGCAGACCAAGAAACTTAAACACAGCATAGGAAATTCATCATGTTTATTAACTAACTCTTTGCAAAATGTTCTTCTGCATCTTCCAATTTTTAATAGTACAAATTTTTTTTTTTTTTGCCATTTCTATCTAAGCAAGAACCATTTTGCCTTTTAAAAACTAAACTAGTAGTCTATTAACGATCAAGTCCAGAAGGGCGTGCCCAATCTTTCTAAAGACATACAGAGAAGATGATGCAAATGTAACAGAACTGTGTTAATGTGCTCTGCTCAGATTTGTGGGGCCCAGTAGATAACACACAAGCACTGGAGCCTTTACCACTACCCTTGAGCCCAAGCTCTGTCCCTAAAGACTGTATGCTTGTGGGTAGGCATTTAACATCTCTGAATTTTTTTCTTATCTGTACAATTTAAGACAGCAGTATTTCTTCATATACGTGTATCTGGGGATAAGAAAAATATGTGTATTGAACCCTATGATAGACACTTGGTAAACGATGGAAATGTACCAGGTATATATCCAGCATGTATATGCATACACTCCAGTGAGTGGTCTTTCTTTCCAGGATTAATTAAGCCGTGAAAGAAACTATTTCATTTAAACTGATCACAAATAAAGTATTTGAAGGAAGTCCTATAAATATTTACTCTATTGGATAAATTGCCTGTGAGAAGTAACTTGAGTATAAATAAACATGGTACTTCACAAACAAGAATAGTTCATGCTTGGCTATTGAGTTTTAGTATGTGTTAAAATTTCCCAATCACTTTTTTTCTAAGAATGAAACAAGAATTTAAAAGAGTATATGATGTTTCTAAGTTAAAACAAGAATAAGAAAAAATGAATCTCCAGAATGTAAGTTCAGGTTCCTGGAATGCAGCTCTTTTTTCTCTGTATTTAGGTCAATCTATGCTGTATTTGAATCCGACGTTAATCTGAAAGGAATCCCTGTGTATAGATTTGTTCTTCCATCCAAGGCCTTTGCCTCTCCAGTTGAAAACCCAGACAACTATTGTTTCTGCACAGAAAAAATTATCTCAAAAAATTGTACATCATATGGTGTGCTAGACATCAGCAAATGCAAAGAAGGTGAGTAAATAACCTCAGTAGCACAGTCCATACCATAATTTGTGATATTCTTTAAGATGAGAACTTTACCATAATCCTTTAGCAACCAAAATTTAAAATATATCATAATTTGTGATATTCTTTAAAATGAGAACTTTACCATAATCCTTTAGCAACCAAAATTTAAAATTAAAGTAAGAAAGTAATTAGGGCAGAAGAAAGAATGGTGGCAGAAAATTTTAGTGCTGATTTTGTATTTTGGGAAGATCCCACTTGTGTTTCAGTATTACAAAATTTAGTTAAAACCACACCAGTATTTCCTTGTGGCTGCTTTTAGATTTAGGGTGAAATGAAAATAATTCCGAGAACACATTAAACATCCTGTTATTCATCTGTCCTAACTTTTTTCACTAGAAAATGGTACAGGTAAATGTATTTTCAGTATGTATCTAAAGCTAGAGTTAAACATAAAATTTGGAGACTAGCTTATCCTGTACATATTTATCATACTAACGTGGGTGTGGAAGAAGAAAGAAAAAACTAGTGTTAAATAAATTCTTAGTCCATAGACATATTACTGCCTGAAAGCTTTACATATTGAAAATTAATACTGAAGGAGTTTATAGTAGAAATCAACTGACATAATTCTTCCCCACCCATGTTAAAAACCATGTATTTTTTAATGCAAGAAGCTTTAGTTTTGTGGAAATATTTTTTGAGTTATATGTGAAATGAAGGAAGTTATTAATTCCAATTGACTCTTAAAACTTGTCTTCAGGGAGACCTGTGTACATTTCACTTCCTCATTTTCTGTATGCAAGTCCTGATGTTTCAGAACCTATTGATGGATTAAACCCAAATGAAGAAGAACATAGGACATACTTGGATATTGAACCTGTAAGAAAACACCTTATTGATCTGATTTGGTTGATATTTTTAAAAATACAATTGAAATAAAAATAATCTTGTCGATGATTATTTATTCAATAAATAATCATATTTATTGAATCACATTCTTGAAAGTTACTGAAACTTAGGTCGATTTCTTCCTATGGTTTATGAAGTGATTCTAATTGGCTTAAAATAATTTTATATAAATATTTATGTTTAGATGAGGAGTTATTGTATATTATGCAAAAGTCAAAGAGTATATGTGAGTTTGACTATACTTATTGTCAAAATCTATAAAATTGTTGTAGCGCAACAGTTTTAATCATCTTTATTTTTGTATTTTCCTTTTCAAAAAGTAAATGAAATTCTAGGATTTTAGTAGTTATGTTTTAGTTTAAACAATGACACATGGATTCTAACTGAATATATATTTGACCAGGAATTATCTGAGATCTTATATTTTGTTGCTGATTTTTGATTTTTTAAAAACCATTTCAAGTAACTCACAAATCTAACTAACTAAAACCTTGACATTCGATTGGGCAAATAAATTGTGTGTATCTATATGGATGCATGTGTATATAACTATAACTATATATGCAGTTTTAAAAGTTTCAATTAGTCCTGTTTAACCTTAAGTTACTACCTTCTCTTCTGCTGTAAGAAAAATAAGTTTTGAATAGTATAAAATAATGTTTTTAAAAGTTGGTAATTATTTAGTTGTTCTCTTTTTAGATAACTGGATTCACTTTACAATTTGCAAAACGGCTGCAGGTCAACCTATTGGTCAAGCCATCAGAAAAAATTCAGTGAGTCTCTTGAAAATGGTTATTTTGATATGATCTGTAGTATCGTAGTATCTTCTTGTAAGAACATGAGTAAATCTATGTAAGTAAGTGGAAATAACATCTGATATCAACTTATCTTTAGCTTAATGTCACCAATCATTATTAAATGCTTATGACTAATTTCACAGATTTTGGAATGGTTTTATGGTTTTATTTGAGCATTTGATAGCATCTCTTATTTTGTTAGCTGCCCAAATATTTCTATGACAATAATTAATTTTTGGAATTCATATTTCAGTTCCCCGAGAATTTATTGAAAGGAAAAATCCACACTTGTGAAAAAAAATCAATGTGATTAGAAGACATATAAGAGCAAAGGAAGTCAAAAACAACTATATTAAAATTTAAATGAGTCATTACAGGAACAAAATCAAATTAGCAACAGCAACTAATTTATGAACATTTATTTTAAAGTTTGTTATATATAAATATTAGTTTATATGTTCATAATTATTTTCAACGTATATTACAGAGTATTAAAGAATCTGAAGAGGAACTATATTGTGCCTATTCTTTGGCTTAATGAGGTTTGTATTTGCAGCTGTTAGTCATTAAAAACAACCTTCTTTGTATATAAACAAGCTCTTGATGTTTCAAAAGAATGTATAGTATTTAAAGCTATATGTATTTCCATTACCCATATGGATGAGTATACATTTATTTAACCTATTTGAGATGATCCAATTGAACAAAAACATTTCCTATCATTTAAGATTTTCTTCAAAAATGCATCTATTAAACACATTTTCTTGTTGTAACATTTGTCTTCTATTGCCTGACAAGGTATTTTTACTATAAATCCATGCATTGATAGCTATAAAAATAGGAAAAACATTGAATAAGTCTTTGGAGCAAATGAAACTGTTGACCCTTTGATAGTTCTGAAGAGCAAATGAATCCTAGTACATTGAAGAGTACCGTACTCTATCTGGCACTTAATTGCCTTTCTTGACTTGCAAAAGGAATTCCATTAACTTGCCTTATAGATACTGATGACTAACACCAATAGAGGTGTTAGAAAAAAGGGTGATAGGCAATTGAAGGGTTTATTTTGTTTTACTAACGTACCCAAATAATGTTGATTATTAACTTGATTACAGACTGGGACCATTGGTGATGAGAAGGCAAACATGTTCAGAAGTCAAGTAACTGGAAAAATAAACCTCCTTGGCCTGATAGAAATGATCTTACTCAGTGTTGGTGTGGTGATGTTTGTTGCTTTTATGATTTCATATTGTGCATGCAGATCGAAAACAATAAAATAAGTAAGTATGTACCAAAAAATATTGCTTCAATAATATTAGCTTATATATTACTTGTTTTCACTTTATCAAAGAGAAGTTACATATTAGGCCATATATATTTCTAGACATGTCTAGCCACTGATCATTTTTAAATATAGGTAAATAAACCTATAAATATTATCACGCAGATCACTAAAGTATATCTTTAATTCTGGGAGAAATGAGATAAAAGATGTACTTGTGACCATTGTAACAATAGCACAAATAAAGCACTTGTGCCAAAGTTGTCCAAAATTGACTGGTTCATTTCTCAATTATATAGCTAGTTATATATTATCTGATACTTAAAAATAATTGACTAGGAAATGGTTTCATAAGACCAGGATTGCTGCATGTAGACATGCTGGCCGTGCATTTTCCAAATCCAGAAAAGTCCTGAACAAAAATTTGAATATAATAGTATCAGGAAATAGGGGAAAATAGTGTTCAACATAGTAGAACCAAGTACTCAGAGTGGTGTACAAGAGTTTAGGCCTCTATGCTTTAGATATTAGTGTCCATGCACTCTTAAAGATGAATGAATGCCTGACCTTTCCTAAAGGAAAACCTTTTTTTAGTTATCACAGGTAACATTGGTGTTGCCTGTGGGGGAGAATTTTTTACTTTCTCCCTATTTTTCTTCAGCCCACCTCAAGGCAATGTAAATAAAAGCAGTATGTGTGTTATAATAACTTATTTAGTTGTTTACTGTGTGCCAGTACCATGCTAAAGAAAGATTCTTTATCTCACATGATCCCTAATACAATTTCATGATTTTCCAATAGCCTGGATTCATCAGCATCCATTCTATCTTCTAGAGATGTTCCATGAAATCATACATTTTAATTGTTTGTGACCAAAGCATAAATCAGTGAAAGTGGAATTTGGGGACCAATAATTTCCTTTTGTGAGATGGAGAGCTTGTGTTTGAAAAGGCAACCTAATTTTTGGTTCTAATCACTTCTACCACTATTTAGTCACCAAAAAGACAATAATTCTGCATCCAAACTATTTGGACAGAATGGCTTCAAAATGCTAGCCTAAAATGTTCACATTATAAAAAGTTAAATATTACCTTCAATACCTGTCAGTAGCCTACTGACAAATTATGACTAAACAAAGGTATTTGTATGACTATGTAATAGATCATCCGCTGAAAAGTAAAACAAAATAACAAAAAAACTTGTCCTAATGGGAAAGCATGCTTAATAAAAGGAAATGCAGAAGTTATAAACATGTTTTGTAAGTAAGTATTCAGAATTAAAATTATGTGATACATTTTTATGATTGCTTAATGATCCTTGGATGTCAGATTCCTTGGGTCTATTTATAGCTAAATTATAATGAAAAATTCAAGGCTTGCTGGAGCAACTTTGTCAACAAATATATTAGTTTTGCTTATATATTTGATTTTTATGTGGAAAAATTACTACCCTTTTTTACAAGCAGAGAATAAACTGTTGATTACTTGATTTACTAGATTTAGAAGAATCACAAAAGATATGTAGATTTTCTTAAGCAAAATTCAGCTCTTAATATCATAAAAATTATATCTTTGGGCAGATTTGTAAACAATAGGAACAAGTAAGAAGACAGGTATGTAAGAAGTAGCAAAGTGTAAGACGGTGGAGCTTTAATGTGTGGTTTTACTCAGGGGGTCACAAGAAAATAACCCAATGGTCCTTTTGAAAGTAGTACATACACCTTTAAATGGAACTTGGTCTGAAGGGTGTGGAAATGCTGGTCCAGGGCAGATGCACTTCAGCTACCGTTCCTTGCCTGGTGTGTGCTTGTCTTGAAGCACCCTTCTTATGTGCCTTTCTGGAATGGGAATGTGTTTTGCCCTATTGGTGAAGTCCGTTAGAGAACTTCTCTCTGCAGCTAGAGAAACTGAACTGATTAATAAAAAGTATGATATCTAAGATATACTGCCACTCTACAGGTAGTAAATGATTCTTCACATTTGTGCGCCAGCTACATCATGACCCTTGGTAATACCGACCAACAGGATGAAAATTGGATATGCTTTACTTTTACAAAGCACACCTTATCTTTTAGTTGAAGAAATGGTGGCACTATTTCTTTTTTTGCACTAAGCAACTGCACATTTCAAAAGGATTATTGAGATGTTATGAAAATCTCTACCTTGCACAAAAAAAAACCCAGCAGCTTTTAAAATTCATCATTTCCACAACTGAATTGATTTCCGTTTCTACAGACCTGGCTCAAGCACAAACCAATTTGTGTTGTTCTGATTCAATAATTGGTTTCTGGGTGGCCAATTCAGAAGAAGAGTGTACATGCTCAACAAATCCTAGGCCCTGCATTCCTGTCATCCTCATCCGGGGGAAACACCATCATCCCAGTAGCTGCCCTATTCAACTGCAACAGTCTCCAGGACCATCAGTATACTGCATTTCATGTGCACCAAATATTTTGAAAGACATTTATAAATAATTGGCTTATGACTCATATTTCTCTATGAATACCTTCATACAGCAGGTATAACTCTTTTCTTTATGGGCTTAAATATTTTGTCACTGATCCTGCAAATGGACATCATTTTAGCACACTAGCGGTTTATATTTTAAGGACCTTCATTCTCTGTTCTGCACCTCTTCTGGAAATTGAGTAAATTTTGCTTTTTTTTTTTTACTCAGTTGCAACTTACGCTTGGCATCTTCAGAATGCTTTTCTAGCATTAAGAGATGTAAATGATAAAGGAATTATTGTATGAAATATTACAAAGCGTAGACTATGCATTGTTATTCATTATAATATTTTTTGCTGTCATAATCGCCTCATAAAGACAGGTTTCAACCATTAAAATATGTTCTTCCTTAAATTCCTGTGCTTTTTCTAGTTCCTCTTGTGTCATAAAATGTTTATCCTAATTTTCTCTCTGAAGTATATTTTATCTGAATCCACATTTCTTTATAAATCCATAGTCCTTGCTGAAATATGCTTTCTAAATTTCTACCACTTTGTTCTAGGCTAATTTTTTAAGCTAATTGGATGAAGAACAAAAAGACATTTGGTTTCATCCTTTACAGCAGTAGGACAATTGCAAAGGTTTTTCCTTTTTCATAAGGAGACACATTAATAGGTAACTCTGTTTCTTGAGCAGGGGTTCACTTATTCTGAGAGCATTAGTTCTCCTAAAAAGCTCCAGCATAGAAAGGGAAGATAAACCAAATTCTAGCTTGTGTTTTACCCACAGAAGGATACAGGACAAAGGAATAGTAACTGGCCTGTTTGGATACTAAAATCGAAAATAACTTTTAGCCTCCTCCTTATGATAGCCGCCAGAGTAAATGTTGAGCATTACTACAGAAAAGCCACAAACCAAGAATCTACCTGTTTGGAAAGATCTTTTGCATCTCTGAAGGTGCTTAAAGCATACTTAGTGCCTTTCCTTTTAACTGGGAAGATAAAAGAAGTATCTGTCCAAGATATTAATATGTAAGATAACATTGTAGACATGTTCTTCTGATAATACAAGGTTTATTCTATTTGCATTAGGATATTTGTGGACATGTCCATCTAATATAAAGGAAAGTTTTTTAATCATTGAGGCATGTAGGGCTGAGTTATATAATGTAGAAACTTCTAAAGATAATTGGATGAGAATATACATATTGACCTGTATATTATGACTAATCATGACTCAGATCTTAATACAGGGATGATCTCATAGCATTTAGATATCAGAAAAGGTTTTGACCTATATGTCTTTAATATTGTTTGAATACATGTATAATCTTTATCATTCCTCAGTGTTTCATTTCTCAAATTCTGTAAAAGGAATATAAGAGGAAAGACAATTCATATACAAAGACAACGAGATTAAAAATATGCAGTAGGAAAAATAATTACTTAAGGGGAGATTTTTTTTACATGAAATCTGGGCTTTGGATGTGTGTGTGTGTGTGTGTGTGTGTGTGTGTGCACATATGCACTGTGGTGGGAGTGGGGCAACTTGGGGAATATGTTACATGTGTGACTTTGTTTTGCCCTGGCGAAGTTAATGTTGTTCAGAAAGGGTAAATGTTTGGACACTTGCAATTGCTCATGGATGAATTTATATGTTTTAGTCATAGAAAAATTGTACCCTTTGATAGAAGCACATTTTCTTTCCAAAGCTGGTTATTAACCACAGAATTATAGCAGGTATTCATAACTTAAGTTTGAAAATCAATAGCGTCTGCAAATGGATTAACAGATTAGAGAATCAACAGCATCGGAAAATAGGTTAATGCATATTGCTTCTAACAAGTGCATGAAGAAATAGAAGAAGCTATGTAGCTTTCAGTTCTGACAGAAAAGGGTGAAGGAGGGTATCATTTCAAGAAAAAAAATAGCTATCACGCAATGGTTATCTCTGAAAATATTTGTATTAAGATGTGTATACATGGCCAGGCATGGTGGCTCATGCCTGTAATCCCAGCACTTTGGGAGGCAGGTGGATCACGAGGTCAGGAGATCAAGACCATCCTGGCCAACATGGTGAAACCTCATCTCTACTAAAAATACAAAAATGAGCGGGGTGTGGTGGCCCATGCCTGTAGTCCCAGCTGCTCGGGAGACTGAATCTCTTGAGCCTGGGAAGCAGAGGTTGCAGTGAACTGAGATCGCGTCACTGCACTCCAGCCTGGTGACAGAGCGAGATTCCATCTCAAAAAAAAAAAACAGTATGCACGTACAAATTTCTTAACCTGTTATCAATGTCTGAGCTACATAATTATCTTTCTAGTTGGAGTTTGTTTTAGGTGTGTACCAACTGACATTTCAGTTTTTCTGTTTGAAGTCCAATGTATTAGTGACTCTGTGGCTGCTCTCTTCACCTGCCCCTTGTGGCCTGTCTACAATTCTAAATGGATTTTGAACTCAATGTCGTCGCTTCTGGTTTCCTGCATATACCAATAGCATTACCTATGACTTTTTTTTTCCTGAGCTATTTTCACTGAGCTGAGCTAATGAACTAAAACTGAGTTATGTTTAATATTTGTATCAAATACATAAAAGGAATACTGCTTTTTCCTTTTGTGGCTCAAAGGTAGCTGCATTTTAAAATATTTGTGAAAATAAAAACTTTTGTTATTAGAAAAATGATTTTGCTTATTTTTATTTTTGAATGTAGTTGACTTCCATATTGTTTGATATTGTTACTATAGTTTTATATGAGCTATTATCCTTTCATGACTTATTTACATATCACTCCTATTTCCTTTTTCCAACTGTTCCCAGATGCTAGTAGTACAATCTACACATTGCAAAACGTTTCATTCTGCATACTCATGAAGGGGGCTGTGACATAGGATAAATATAAATATTTTAAAATTTTCCTTTAATTACATGAATCTTAGACAAACAGCCTCAACATCACCTGGGAACTTGTTAAAAATGCAGAATCTCTGGTTCTACCTCAGACCCACTGAATCAGAATCCACAGTTTAACAGGATCTTTAAGAAATTCATAGACACTCGAAATTTTGGAAAAGCCCTGATTTAAGTCACTGAAGTTTGACTAGCTGTAAGAGTTTTATTTGACCTGTTGCTGGTATTAGTTTGATGTATTAACAGAAGGACATAAACATACTGAGATGAGGGGGAAGTTCATCAGACCTGAAAATGTTGCTATAAATATCCCACTAAGTTTTATAATTTGCCCTGTTGAGCTTGTAAATATTTTCAAACAGTAATAAAGCTAATCTATATGGCAGAGTAGAGGGTGAAGTGGTATTAAACTTTATACTCCTTTGATTTGCTGGAATGTGTTATTTGATCTACTTGACAGTATTAACGACAAATATATATACTGCATGTAAAGTAATGAATAGGTTAGGAGCAGATAAGGGATACTAAAATTGGAGACAGGTCCTAGACTTTATCTGATATAAAAATTATTCATCTGAATAAAGAGATTCTTCAGGATCCAGTAGCTTTCTGTTTTATAAATGTATACTGAATAATAGCACTGGAGTTGTACTATGAGCACAAAACTGGGCTAGACTGCTAGATGGCCTGCTTGCCACATGTCTGCAGTGGAGTAGGGAGCAGGAGCAAGGGAGGGGATAAAGAGAAGAAAATTCAAAGAGTATTTACAGTGGAGAAAGTCTATACTGTTATATAGAAAGTGAATGAGGAAGGCTGAGCACAGTGTCTCTTGCCGGTAATCCCAGCACGCTGGGAGGCCGAGGTGGGAGTATAGCTTGAGGACAGGAGTTTGTGACTAGCCTGGGCAACACAGCAAGACCCTGTCTCTACAAAAAAAATTTAAAAATTAGCTGCGTGTGATGGCATATATCTGTAGTCCCAGCTATTTGGGAGGCTGAGGCAGGAGGATCCCTTGAGCCCAGGAGTTTCAGGCTGTTGTGAGCTACGATCACACCACTGCATTCCAGCCTGGGCAACAGAGTGAAACCCCGTCTCTAAAACAAAGAGTCAATGAGGCCGGTATGAAAGAGCTGAGCTTGGAACTATCTAGGCTTAAAGTGACAGTTTGGCAGCTGTTCCTCAGCCCTAATCTTGTCTTCATTCTACATGGTTGAGGACTAGGGCATTTGTGGAAAGAGGAACCTACGTAACAGAGAAGGCTCTGAAGTAAGTGGTGAGTAATTTCACATACTCTGCCACATTAGCATTAAAGAATAGAATTCAGTTATTGGAGACTTCTGTGGAATCATCTTAGAATGGAAATACACACGAAAAGGATTTATATATCTTTGGATATAGACTAGGGAGCAGGACTCTATTTGAGAGTAGAACCAATTTGAAATACCAATGTAGGTTAATGTTGGATATGTCCTTGTAGATACTTGAAAAATTATTTTTAAATGCTGCTGTGATGAGTTTGTGAAACTATATCTATACTGGCTAATTTAGGAATGTTTCTTTATCCACTTTCATTGCCTTTCCATCTTAGCCCTGCAGCCAGCATATTCACAGTTTGTTTAGTAGAAGTACAAGTCAGCCACAAGGGCATCAGCAGAGTAATCAAATGCACAGTAGGATTACTTGGATTCTGAAATTTCTCTTGCAGATAATCTCTTGCCAGAAAGTATTGCTCTTCTATTTCTGTTTTCCATATTATTTAAGGACATTTAGCTTTGCTAATAAAGGAAACAAATGACAAACATAGATGAAACTAAGTTTAAGGAAGTAGAGTACCATGTCAGATATCAAGGAAAGCATTTATTGAACACAGGAAGAGATGGAATTGTCAAATATACTTAAGCCACTAACTGTACATAACATACTACATTTATATGGGTCAAAGAGGTGTCCCACTAGTCCCCCTGCTGGCAATATGAATAAAACAAATGACAGACATGTCTGTTCAGCAGGCCTCTGGTTCTCTACAGCTGTGGCCAGGTATACTTTCCCCTGTGTCTCTCCAATATAACAAGAATTAATTTTGACACCAGTCCCCTTCTGTATTTTGGACTCCCTTGCTTATACTCCAAATCTGGTTTTAGTAACCCCACCATTAAAAGAGAAAGTTGATGCAACAGAGAGACAGAACATATGAATATTGTGTACTTCAGGATTCATATATAGTGGGACTTTTACCCTCCTTAGTACTCTGTCCTAAACTTGTAAATCTATCTTTTCTCTTTGCCCTAGCTTCTCACTGTGCATTTGAAGTTGATCAATAAATTGTGATATTTAATAATCTTGAATTGTTCTACAATTTTTTTGTTCCTTTAGGACAGAGCTCTCGGATAGTGCCTGGTAGTGTACTTGGAGGCTAACATTCCCTTTAAGTAATTTACAGTGCAACACTATGGTTTCCATGTTGGGTTTAAATACAAAAGGTTTGTTTATAATAATTCAGCATGCAAAATATGAAGTTCAGCAGGCTTGCTAACTAAATAATGAATTATAAATATCATATGCAGTCTAAGACCTGAATGGCAAATACATTTCTTTTACCAATCATTTGATAATTGCTTGAAATCATTTAGTTGAAAAAGTCTTGAATTGGTTAAGAATTATGCATAGACAGGTCTAAGATCTGTGTGGACAAAAGGCCAAAAGAATTAGCAAGGTCTGTCTTGGGAAATGTAATAGAGAAAATCTATAGTCCTTATGGGAAGGGAAGTCTCTAAAGGTAATTATGAAATGGGCGAATTGATGTGAGGGTTTAAACATTGATACCATTAGATGAGTTAAACTTTTATAGTCAACTATTATCATTCATTGCCAGACTGTAGAACTGTCTAGTAACAAAAACTCTGTAAGTTCAATATGTATTAATAGTAGGGTTCACTTCTAAACATTAAAGCTACATTTGACTCAGTTTAATACACACGTTGAATAAAATATTTATCTGATAAAAATGTAACTAAGCAAGAAAACAGTTATTGGCAAATTTTCTGTAAAGGACCAAATAGAAAATATTTTAGGCTGTATAGGCCATACAGGCTCTGTGACAACTACTTGGCACTGTCATTGTGGCACAAAAAAATATAGCCACGGACAATATATAACAAATGGTCATGGCTGTGTTCCAATAAATCTTTATATATATATGTGTATATACACATACGTGTATATATACGTGTATATACGTGTATGAACACATACGTGTATATATACGTGTATACACGTGTATGTACACATACGTGTATATATACACGTGTATATATGTGTATGTACACATACGTGTATATATACGTGTATATACGTGTATGTACACAGGTGTATATATACGTATATGTACGTATATGTGTATATATGTGTATATATGTGTATATATACGTATACGTGTATATATGTGTATATACGTATACGTGTATATATGTGTATATACGTATATATACGTATATGTGTATATATGTGTATTTATACGTATATGTGTATTATGTGTATATATACGTATATGTGTATATATGTGTATATATACGTATATGTGTATATGTGTATATATACTTATATATGTGTATATGTGTATATATGTGTATATGTGTATATGTGTATATATGTGTATGTGTATATATACATATATGTGTATGTGTATACATGTGTATGTGTATATATACATATATGTGTATATATACATGTATGTGTATATATACATATGTGTATGTGTATATATACATATGTGTATGTGTATATATACATATGTGTATGTGTATATATACATATGTGTATGTGTATATATACATATGTGTATATATACATATGTGTATATATGTATATATGTATATATACATATGTGTATATATGTATATATGTATATATACATATATGTGTGTATATATGTATATATGTGTATTTATATATGTGCATGTGTGTATAAATATGTATATATTATATGTGTGTATATATACATATATGTATGTATATATACATATATACATACATATATACATATATACACACATATACGCACATATAGACATATATATGTATATATACACACATATATACATATATATGTATATATACACACATATATACATATATATGTATATATACACACATATATACATATATGTATATATACACATATATATGTATATATACACATATATATGATATATATGATAAGCTGTATTTGGCACACAAGACACAGTTTGTTGGTTCCTAGACCAGAAAGTGCTGGAACTTTGTAGATTTTGATACAATGGATAATTATTTGAGTGACTGGATTAGTCTGAAACTTTCCTATTGTATTAGCCAATCATAGCTATATAAAGGATATGCCATTCAGAATTGGGGCTACTAAAAAACAGATGTTCTTTAGTTGATTGAATTTCCTTGCCATGTCAGAAATGGAACTCTTCACTTTTGGGGATTAAAGTCCAGGTTACCATCCAAATGAAGCTATTCTGCTTAATATTATCTCAATGATTAAGAACTGTTTCAGTCATGAAGTCCTTGCCCATGGCTATGTCCTGCATGGAATTGCCTAGCTTTTCTTCTAGGGTTTTTATGGTTTTAGGTCTAACATTTAAGTCTTTAATCCATCTTGAATTAATTTTTGTATAAGGTGTAAGGAAGGGATCCTTTCAGCTTTCTACATATGCCTAGCCAGTTTTCCCAGCACCATTTATTAAATAGGGAATCCTTTCCACATTTCTTGTTTTCATCAGGTTTGTCAAAGATCAGATGGTTGTAGATGTGTGGTATTATTTCTGAGGGCTCTGTTCTGTTCCATTGGTCTATATATCTGTTTTGGTACCAGTACCACACTGTTTTGGTTACTGTAGCCTTGTAGTATAGTTTGAAGTCAGGTAGTGTGATGCCTCCAGCTTTGTTGTCTTGGCTTAGGATTGTCTTGGCAATGTGGGCTCTTTTTTGGTTCCATATGAACTTTAAAGTAGTTTTTTCCAATTCTGTGAAGAAAGTCATTGGTAGCTTGATCTGGATGGCATTGAATCTATAAATTACCTTGGCAGTATGGTCATTTTCACGATGTTGATTCTTCCTATACATGAGCATGGAATGTTATTCCATTTGTTTGTGTCCTCTTTTATTTCGTTGAGCAGTGGTTTGTGGCTCTCCTTGAAGAGGTCCTTCACATCCCTTGTAAGTTGGATTCCTAGGTATTTTATTCTCTTGGAAGCAATTGTGAATGGGAATTCCCTCATGATTTGGCTCTCTCTTTGTCTGTTATTGGTGTATAGGAATGCTTGTGATTTTTGCACATTGATTTTGTATCCTGAGACTTTGCTGAAGTTGTTTATCAGCTTAAGGAGATTTTGGGCTGAGACGATGGGGTTTTCTAAGTATACTATCATGTCACCTGCAAACAGGGACAATTTGACTTCCTCTTTTCCTAATTGAATACCCTTTATTTCCTTCTCCTGCCTGATTGCCCTGGCCAGAACTTCCAACACTATGTTGAATAGGAGTGGTGAGAGAGGGCATCGCTGTCTTGTGCCAGTTTTAAAAGGGAATGCTTCCAGTTTTTGCCCATTCAGTATGATATTGGCTGTGGGTTTTTCATAAATAGCTCTTATTATTTTTAAATACATCCCATCAATACCTAGTTTATTGAGAGTTTTTAGCATGAAGGGCTGTTGAATTAAAACACCAAAAGCGATGGCAACAAAAGCCAAAATAGAAACATGAGATCTAATTAAACTAAAGAGCTTCTGCATGGAACAAGAAACTACCATCAGAGTGAAGAGGCAACCTACAGAATGGGAGAAAATTTTTGCAATCTACCCATCTGACAAAGGGCTAATATCCAGAATCTACAAAGAACTTAAACAAATTTACAAGAAAAAATCAAACAACCCCATCAAAAAGTGGGCAGAGGATATGAACAGACACTTCTCAAAAGAAGACATTTACACAGCCAACAGACACATGAATAAATGCTCATCATCACTGGCCATCAGAGAAATGCAAATCAAAACCACAATGAGATACTATCTCACACCAGTTAGAATGGAGATCATTAAAAAGTCAGGAAATAACAGATGCTGGAGAGGATGTGGAGAAATAGGAACACTTTTACACTGTTGGTGGGAATGTAAACTAGTTCAACCATTGTGGAAGACAGTGTGGCGAATCCTCAAGGATCTAGAACTAGAAATACCATTTGACTCAGCCATCTCATTACTGGGTATATACTCAAAGGATTATAAATCATGCTGCTATAAAGACACATGCACACGTATGTTTATTGCGGCACTATTCACAATAGCAAAGACCTGGAACCAACCCAAATGTCCCTCAATGATAGACTGGATTAAGAAAATGTGGCACATATACACCGTGGAATACTATGCAGCCATAAAAAATGATGAGTTCATGTCCTTTGTAGGGACATGGATGAAACTGGAAACCATTATTCTGAGCAAACTACCGCAAGGACAGAAAACCAGACACTGCATGTTCTCACTCATAGGTGGGAACTGAATAATGAGAACACTTGGACAGAGGGTAGGGAACATCACACACTGGGACCTGTCGTGGGGTGGGGGCATGGGGGAGGGATAACATTAGGAGAAATACCTAATGTAAATGATGAGTTAATGGGTGCAGCACAACAACATGGCACATGTATACATATGTAACAAACATGTGCACACTGCACATGTAACCTGGAACTAAAAGTATAATAATAATAATAATAATAATAATAATAAAAAGGACTGTTTAAATCTTGAATTGGCAGGGCACTGCCATCTCCTCAGATATTCTATATACTTCTTGGACACTTAAAATTTTGATTTACTTCTCTTTTTATAGGAAGACATTTGCAAATTTAGGTTTTTGTATTTTAAAAAATGCTTCCTCAATTAGGTCTTTTATTATTACATCTATAATAATTGTTCTGGTTTCTACATTGACTAAATATAAAATCCCTAGGTTACATTTCTTTTTTCTTAGTGTGATGGATACAAATATATTTCTTGTGGCTGGGTTTGAATTCCAGGCCCACACCTCACTATGTACTTTTGAGAAAGTTAACCCCTCTGGTGTCTTAGTTTCTTCCTCTGTAAAATGAAGATACTAGCACCTTCATTACAGAGTGGCTTTGAGGATTAAATTAGTTAATGCATTTAAAGTGCTTCTAACAGTGAATGAAATAGAGTAAGCACTCAAATGTTAAGACCATGCAACTTTGATGAATCATAGCGACTATGAATTGATTGCTTAATAACCCACATTTCTCCTTTCCCCAAATCAGTAGCCCTAGAAAAATTGCTCATAGTGCTCAATCTTCAGGAAAGTGGTGAATATTGAATACTACCATGTTGTGATGATAATGGATGTCCCGGATTTGAATTTACCCTACTAATAAGTTAGTCTGCACTGTGTCATGGATGTTGGCAGAATACACATGATAATCCCGGGACAAAAACAGAAGACTTTGTTATTTACAGCACAATAAAAACATGAGTATCAGAGTCTTTTCCATCAGTTGCCCCCACTTTAAGTCTTGCAGGGGCTGTGCAATAGGGCCCAGGTGGATGCTCCACACCTTGTGGGTTTGTATCACAGCTGAGGAACACTGAGGTTCCAAAATCCACCACTTTGAGAAAAAGCAGTAAGCAAACCATCCTCTTGTTTAAGAGTAGGGCTAAGACATTGCTTCATCCCTCCTAGCTTGTCACTAGAAACATATACCTAAGAGTAGGCCCATGCAAGGAGAAATTAGGACCTTCCTTTATGGGCATACCCAGCAAGACATGTAGGAAAATAAGCCCAGGGACAACTGTCTTTTCCAACAGTATTCCAGGTGTGATATTTCATTAAAGGTTAATTTTTTTGCCCTTTCTAGATTTATGAAAAAAGTTTAGTAAATTCAGTTAACAACATTAAATTGATGTCTTCTTAGAAGGCTTCTCAGCGCCTTTACTGTATTATAAATATCTAAGAGGAAAAGTTAATGTTCAGTGTTTAGTAAAGTTTTATGACCATGGATTCCTTTTCCTTAAGAATAATTGCTTAGGAAGGCAGGGTACATTTTTTAAAAGAACAGTCTTGCTGTTACTATTTTTCTTGCTTCTATTTCCTGACTTCTCTTTTTAATCACTGTAAGATAGCCACACATTTATTCGATGCATGATTATAAAGTACCTATGCCAATAAGGGTACATATAAAATACCCAATATTTGAAATGCTGATGGTGTTCCCTATTCCGTGGCTTTCACTGACATGCTTACCTTAATCATCTGACCATAGTATTGACTGCATTGTTTTATCTTTGTGTACCACATGATACATTTCTGGACTACACAGATACTCTTTGTAAACAGAACACCAAACTTTCCTTTAATTGTCTGCTATACTATTCTAAGATTCTTCTCTCACTCTTATATGTCAGATATCTTACTATTTAATCTTTCTTTATATTCAATACTTCATTCTCTGGCAAATTTTACTCAACATCTTAAAATGTTGGTGTTAATCTATCATTACTTACAGGAGTCATCTGTTAATGCCATGAAAACTTTGCTCATAAAAAGAATTTAAGTAGGACTGTTGGCTGTTGCAGAGACAGCGGTTGTCCTTAAACATCTTTTCTGCCCCCTGCATATTTCAGACCCCTACAATTAAAAAGAATAATGCTATAAATTCTGGCCAGTTTCATGTGGATGGAAGTATCAGGCAATGAACATCAGGAGCATTGAAGAGCTTTCACATCTTTGTCAACTGTTGCAATAACTGACAGTACAGAAGAGATCACAGACTGCCATCAGCTTGGCTTCTTGAGTGACTGTGTAGAGGGCACCGCTAGGTCACACATTTGAGACATGAGATATGAGAAGAAGGATTTTCTTCAGTTTCGAAATGAGTCAGAAAAAAGGAAAAAATGAAAAAGAGTAAAGACACCTATGGGAATTACAGAACACCATTAAGCAAACACATATTCATATTACAGGATTTCAAGAAGCAGAACAGTTAAAGAAAAGGACAGTCAGATTATTTAATGAAATAATTGCTGAAAACTTTCCGTCTTAGGAGAGATAGGGCAACCGGATCCATGAAACTCAAAGGTGCTTGAATAGATTCAATACAAAGCTGTCCTGAGATGCATTATAATCAAACTGTCAACAGTGAATTACAAAGAGAATTCTAAAAGCAGCAATAGAAAAGTATCAAATCGGGCACTTTGGCAAGATGGCCAAGTAGGAACAGCTCTGTCTGCGGCTCTCAGCAAGATCAACACAGAAGGTGGGTAATTTCTGCATTCCAACTGAGGTAACTGGCTAATCTCATTGGGACTGGTTAGACAGTGGGTGCAGCCCACAGAAGGCGAACCAAAGCAGGGTGGGGCATTGTCTCACCCAGGAAGCACAAGGGGTCAGGGAACTCCCTCCCTTAGCCAAGGGAAGTCATGAGGGACTGTGCCATGAGGAACAGTACACTCTGGCCCAGATACTACACTTTTCCCATGGCCTTCACAACCCACAAAGCAGGAGATTCCTTCAGGTGCCTACACCACCAGGGCCCTGGGTTTCAAGCACAAAACTGGGCGGCCATTTGGGCAGACACCGAGCTAGCTGCAGGAGTCTTTTTTCATACCCCAGTGGTGCCTGGAACAGAAGCAAGACAGAACCGTTCACTCCACTGGAAAAGGGGCTGAAACCAGGGAGCCAAGTGGTCTAGCTGGGCAGATCCCATCCCCATGAATCTCAGCAAGCTAAGATCCACTAGCTTGAAATTCTCGCTGCCAGCATAGCAGTCTGAAGTTGAGCTGGGATGTTGGAACTTGGTGGGAGGAGGGGTGTCCACCATTATTGAGGCTTCAATAGGCAGTTTTCCCCTTACAGTATAAACAAAGATGCCTGGAAGTTCGAATGGGGTGGACCCCACCACAACTTAGTAAAGCCGCTGTAGCCAGAGTGCCTCTCCAGATTCCTCCTCTCTGGGCAGGGCATCTTTGAAAAAAAGGCAGCACCCCCATCTCCCTGGGACAGAGCACCTGGGGGAAGGGGTAGCTTCAGCAGACTTAAATGTCCCTGCCTGCCAGCACTGAAGAGAGCAGCAGATCTCCCAGCACAGCATTCAAGCTCTGCTAAGGGACAGACTGCCTCCTCAAGTGGTTCCCTGACCCTCCATGTATCCTGACTGGGACATGCCTCCCAGCAGGGGTTGACAGACATCTCATAAAGGAGAGCTCTGGCTGGCATCTGCAGGGTGCCCCTCTGGGATGAAGCTTCCAGAGGAAGGAACAAGCAGCAATCTTTGCTATTCTGCAGCCTCTGCTGGTGACACCCAGGCAAACAGGGTCTGGAGTGGACCTCCAGCAAACTCCAGCAGACCTGCAGCAGAAGGGCCTGTTAGATGGAAAACTAACAAACAGAAAGGAATAGCATCAACATCAACAAAAAGGATATCCACTCAGAAACCCAATTCAAAGGTCACCAACATCAAAGACCAAAGGTAGATAAATCCACAAAGATGAGGAAAAACCAGCGCAAAAAGGCAAAAATTCCAAAAACCAGAATGCCTTTTCTCCTACAAAGGATCACATCTCCTCACCAGCAAGGGAACAAAACTGGACAGAGAATGGGTTTAATGAAGGGACAGAAGTAGGCTTCAGAGGTGGTTAATAACAAACTCCTCCGAGCTAAAGGAGCATATTCTAACCCAGTGCAAGGAAGCTAAGAACCATGAAAAAAGGTTAGAGGAATTGCTAACTAGAATAACCAGTTTAGAGAAGAACATAAATGACCCGATGGAGCTGAAAAACACAGCACGAGAACTTCGTGAAGCATACGCAAGTATCAATAGCTGAATCAATCAAGTGGAAGAAAGGATATCAGAGATGGAAGACCAACTTAATGAAATAAAGTGTGAAGACAAGATTAGAGAAAAAAGAATGAAAAGGAATGAACAAAGCCTCCCAGAAATATGGGACTGTGTGAAAAGACCAAACCTACATTTGAGTGGTATACCTGAAAGTGACAGGGAGAATGGAATCAAGTTGGAAAACACTCTTCAGGGTATTATCCAGGAGTACTTCCCCAACCTAGCAAGACAGGCCAACATTCAAATTCAGGAAATACAGAGAACACCACAAAGATACTCCTCGAGAATAGCAACCCCAAGACACATAATCATCAGATTCACCAAGGTTGAAATGAAGGAAAAAATGTTAAGGGCAGCAAGAGAGAAAGGTTGGGTTACCCACAAAGGGAAGCCCATCAGACTAACAGTGGATATCTCTGCAGAAACCCTACAAGCCAGAAGAGAGTGGGGGCCAATATTCTACATTCTTAAAGCATTTTCAACCCTGAATTTCATATACAGCCAAACTATGTTTCATAAGTGAAGGAGAAATAAAATCCTTGACAGATAAGCAAATATGAGAGATCTTGTCACCACCAGGGCTGCCTTACAAAAGCTCCTGAAGGAAGCAGTAAACATGGAAAGGAAAAACTGGTACCAGCCACTGCAAAAACATGCCAAATTGTAAATACCATCAACACTATGAAGAAACTGCATCAACTAATGGACAAAATAACCAGCTAGCATCATAATGACAGGATCAGATTCACACATAAGAATATTAACCTTAAAGGTAAATGGGCTAAATGCCCCAATTAAGACACAGACTGGCAAATTGGATAAAGAGTCAAGACCCATCAGTGTGCTGTATTGAGGAGACCCATCTTATGTGCAAAGACACACATAGGCTCAAAATTAAGGGATAGAGGAATATTTACCAAGCAAATGGAAAGCAAAGAAAAAGCAGGGGTTGCGATCCTAGTCTCTGATAAAACAGACTGTAAGCCAACAAAGATGAAAAGAGACAAAGAAGGCCATTACATAATGGTAAAGGGAACGATTCAACAAGAAGAGCTAACTATCCTAAATATATATGCACCCAATACGGGAGCACCCAGATTCACAAAGCAAGTTCTTAGAGACCTACATTAGACTCCCACACAATAATAGGGAGACTTTAACACTCCACTGTCAATATTAGACAGATCAACAAGAAAGAAAATTGACAAGGATATTCAGGACTTGAACTCAGCTCTGGACTAAGAGGACCTGATAGACATCTATGAAACTCTCCACCCAAAATCAACAGAATATACATTCTCCTCAGCACCACATTCCACTTATTCTAAAATTGACCACATAATTGGAAGTAATACACTCCTCAGCAAATGCAAGAGAACAGAAATCATAACAAACAGTCTCTCAGACCACAGTGCAATCAAATTAGAACTCAGGATTAAGAAACTCACTCAAAAATCGCACAATTACATGGAACCTGAACAACCTGCTCCTTAATGACTACTGGGTAAATAACAAAATTAAGGCAGATATAGATAAGTTCTTTGAAACCAATGAGAACAAAGACACAACTTACCAGAATCTCTGGGACACGGCTAAAGCAGTGTTCGGAGGGAAATTTATAGCACTAAATGCCCACAGGAGAAAGTGGGAAAGATCTAAAATTGACACCCTAACATCACAATTAAAAGAACTAGAGAAGCAAGAGCAAACAAATTCAAAAGCTAGCAGAAGACAAGAAATAATTAAGATCAGAGCAGAACTGAAGGAGATAGAGACACGAAAAACCCTTTTAAAAAAAAGCAATGAATCTAGGAGCTAGTTTTTTGAAAAGATTAACAAAATAGACCGCTAGCCAGACTAATGAAGAAAAGAGAGAAGAATCAAATAGGCACAATAAAAAATGACAAAGGGGATATCACCACTGATCCCACAGAAATACAAACTACCATCAGAGAATACTATAAACACCTCTATGCAAATAAACTAGAAAATCTAGAAGAAATGGATAAATTCCTGAACACATACACCCTCCGAAGTCTAAACCAGGAAGAAATTGAATCTCTAAATAGAACAATAACACGTTCGGAAATCGAGGCAATAATTAATAGCCTACCAACCAAAAAAAGTCCAGAACCAGATGGATTCACAGCCAAATTCTACCAGAGGTACAAAGAGGGGCTGGTACCATTCCTTCTGAAACCATTTCAAACAATAGAAAAAGAGGGACTCCTCCCCAACTCATTTGATGAGGCCAGCATCATCCTGATACCAAAGCCGGGCAGAGACACAACAAAAAAATAAAATTTCAGGCCAATATCCCTGATGAACATTGCTGTGAAAATCCTCAATAAAATACTAGCAAACCAAATCCAGCAGCACATCAAAAAGCTTATCCACCACGATCAAGTCGGCTTCATCCCTGGGATGCAAGGCTGGTTCAACATATGCAAATCAATAAATGTAATCCATCACATAAACAGAATCAATGACAAAAACCACATGATTATCTCAATAGATGCAGAAAAGGCCTTTGACAAAATTCAACACCCCTTCATGCTAAAAACTCTCAATAAACTAGGTATTGATGAAATGTATCTCAAAATAATAAGAGGTATTTATGAAAAACCCACAGCCAATGTCATACTGAATGGGCAAAAACTGGAAGCATTCCCTTTGAAAACTGGCACAAGACAGGGATGCCCTCTCTCACCACTCCTATTCAACATAGTGTTGGAAGTTCTGGCCAGGGCCAGGCAAGAGAAATAAAGGGTCTTCAAATAGGAAAACAGGAAGTCAGATTGTCTCTGTTTGCACATGACATGATTGTATATTTAGAAAACCCCATCGTCTCAGCCCAAAATCTCCTTAAGCTGATAAGCAATTTCAGCAAAGTCTCAGGATACAAAATCAATGTGCAAAAATAACAAGCATTCCTATACACCAATAATAGACAAACAGAGAGCCAAATCATGAGTGAACTCCCATTCAAAATTGCTACAAAGATAATAAAATACCTAGGAATACAACTTACAGGGGATGTGAAGGACCTCTTCAAGGAGAACTACAAACCACTGCACAAGGAAATAAGAGAGGACAAAAACTAATGGTAAAACATTCCATGCTCATGGATAGGAAGAATCAATATCATGAAAATGGCCATACTGCCCAAAGTAATTTATAGATTCAATGCTATCTCCATCAAGCTACCATTGACTTCCTTCAAAGAATTAGAAAAAACTACTTTAAATTTCATATGAAACCAAGAAAGAGCCAGTATAGCCAAGGTAATCCTAACCAAAATGAACAAAGCTGGAGGCATCACACTACCTTACTTCAAACTAGACTACAAGGCTACAGTAACCAAAACAGCATGGTACTGGTACCAAAACAGTTATATAGACAAATGGAACAGAAGAGAGGCTTCAGAAATAACACCACACATCCTCAACCATCTGATCTTTGATAAACCTGACAAAAACAAGCAATGGGGAAAGGATTCCCTATTTAATAAATGGTGTTGGGAAATCTGGCTAGCCACATGCAGTAAAATGAAACTGTACCCCTTCCTTACAACTTATACAAAAATTAACTCAAGATGAAATCAAGACTTAAATGTAAGACCTAAAACCATAGAAACCCTAGAAGAAAACCTAGACAATACCATTCAGGACATAGGCATGTCCAAAGACTTCATGACTAAAACACCAAAAGCAATGGCAACAAAAGCCAACATTGACAAATGGGATCTAATTAAACTAAAGAGTTTATGCACAGCTAAAGAAACTATTATCAGAGTGAACAGGCAAACTACACAACGGGAGAACATTTCTGCAATCTATTCATCTGACAAAGCGCTAATATGCAGAATCTGCAAAGAACTTAAACAAATTTACAATAAAAAATCCCATCAAAAGGTGGGCAAAGGATATGGACAGACATTTCTCAAAAGAAGACATTTATGCAGCCAACAAGCACATGAAAAAAAGCTCATCATCACTAGTCATTAGAGAAATGCAAATCAAAACCACAATGAGATACCATCTCATGCCAGTTAGAATGGTGATCATTAAAAAGTCAGGAAACAACAGATGCTGGAGAGGATGTGGAGAAATAGGAACACTTTTACACTGTTAGTTGGAGTGTAAATTAGTTCAGCCATTGTAGAAGACAGTGTGGCGATTCCACAAGGATCTAGAACCAGAAATGCCATTTGTCCCAGCAATCCTATTACTGGGTATATACCCAAAGGATTATAAATCATTCTACTATAAAGACATATGAACATGTCTGTTTATTGCAGCACTGTTCACAATACCAAAGACTTGGAACCAACCCAAATGTCCATCAGTGATAAACTGGATAAAGAAAATGTGGCACATATACACCATGGAATACTATGCAGCCATAAAAAAGGATGAGTTCATGTCCTTTGCAGGGACATGGATGAAGCTGGAAACCATCATTCTCGGCAAACTAACACAAGAACAGAAAACCAAACACCACATGTTCTCACTCACAAGTGGGAGTTGAACAATGAGAACAATGGACTCAGGGTGGGAAACATCACACACCAGGACCTGTCAGGGGATGGTGGGGTAGGGGATGGATAGCATTAGGAGAAATACCTAATGTAGATGCTGGGTTGATGGGTATGGCAAACCACCATGGCACGTGTATACCTATGTAACAAACCTGCACATGCTGTACATGTATCCCAGGACTTAAATTAAAAAAAGGTATCAAATAAAATATGATGAAGTCTGCATTAGACTATCCGTAAATTTCTCAGCAGAAACCTTGCAGACCAGGAGAAAGTTGGATGACATATTCAAAGTTATAAAAGAAAAAAAAAAACCTTTCAGCTAAGAATACTATACTCAACACAACTGTCAATACCGATGAGAGCAAACTGAAGGATTCATTACCAGTAGAACTACTTTACAAGAAATGCTTAAGGGAGTTCTTATAGTGAAAACAAAAGGACAATAATTACTGTAATGAATACATATGAAAGTATAAAGCTCACTGGTAGAGGTAAATACATAATCAAATCAAGAATATTTCAATACTGGAATGGTGTATAAATTATACATTTCTGTAATATAAAGATGAAAAGTCAAAGTGGTCAAAAATAGCTAAGACTATCATAAGTTGTCATTAAATACACAATATAAAAAGATGTAAATTTTGACATTAAAAACAAATTGTGATGGGACGGAAAAAAGTCTAGAGCTTTTATGTTCAACAGAAATTAAGATGTTATCTGCTTTAAAAAGTAGATTATAAGGACGGGTGTGGTGGCTCACACCTGTAATCTGAGCACTTTGGGAGGCTGATGCAGGCAGACCACCTGAGGTCACAAGTTCAAGACCAGCCTGCCCAACATGGTGAAACCCCACCTCTACTAAAAATAAAGTTAGCTGGGTGTCGTGGCATGCACCTGTAATCCCAGCTACTTGGGAGGCTGAGGCACAAGAATCACTTGAGCCCTGAAGGCGCAGGTTGCAGTAAGCTGAGATCATGCCATTGCACTCCAGCCTGGGTAACAAGAGCAAGACTCAGTCTCAAAAAAAAAAAAAAAGTAGATTATAACTACAAGATTTTATACATAAGCCTACTGGTATCCACAAAAAAAATAAAAGATAGCAGATATACAAATGATAACTAGAAAAATCATAGCTTAACACTTCAGAAAATTATCAAATCACAAATCACAAGAAAGGAACAAAAAATCTGTAAAACAAAATCAAATTTTAAAATGTCAGTAAGCCTTTACCTATTAATAATAACATTGACTGTAAATGGATTAAAATCTCTAATCAATAGAGTAGATAAATAAATTTTAAAAAGATCCAGTTATATGTTGTCTACAAGATATCCACTTAAGATTTAAGAACTCACATAGCCTGAAAGTAAAAGGATGGAAGAAAATATTTCATGAACATGATAATCAAAAGAAAGCAAGAGCGGCTATATTTACATCTGAAAAAAAAAATTCAAGTAAAAAACTTTTGCAAGAGACAAAGATGGTTATGATTTAATGATAAAGGGTCAATTCATCTAGAAGACACTCTCAGTGTATGTACATGCCACAATTAAGCACCTACAGACATAAAGCCAATATTAATGGACATGAAGGTAGAAACAGATACAATACCATAATAGTAGGGGAATTTATTATCTCACGTTCATCAATGGATATATAAACAAGACAGAAACTTAAGGAAATACTGGACTTAAATTGTACTTTTGATTAAATAGACCTCACAGGCATACAGAGCTTTCCATCCAACAGCTGCAGAATATCCACTTTTCTCCAGTGCACATGGATCATCCTCCAGACCAGATCACACAGTCCACAAGACAAGTCTTAACAAATTTAAGAAGATTTAAATTATATCTAGCATCATCTCAGACCACAATGGTAAGGAACTAAAAATCAGTAACATGAGGAATCTTGGAAAAGTCAAAAAATATGTAGAAATTAAAGAACATGCTCCTGAACAACCAATGGATCAAAGAAGAAATCAAAAAGGAAATTTATAAATATCTTGAGACAAACAATAGAAATATAACATATAAAAACCTATGGGATACCAGCGAAAGTAGTTTTAAAAGGGAAGTTTATAGTAATATATGCTTACATTAAAAAAAGATTCCAAATAAATAGCCTAGCCTTACACTTCAAGGAACTAGAAAAAGAACTAAACACCAAATTTGCAGAATAAAGAAAATTTTAAAAATCAGAATAAAAATAAATAGGAATGGAAAAGCCATAGAAAGAATTGATAAAACTAGGAGTTTGTTTTTCGAAAACAAATTGACAACCATTAGCTAGTCTAGAAAAAAATAGAGAGAGAGACAGAAAACAAAACAGTGGTTACTTCCACTGTAGGGTGTGAATAGAAAGAAGGAAATACAGAGATGTAGGTCAGAGGATACAAAGTAGCAGATACTTAGGATGAACAAATCTAGAGAACTAATGCACAACATGAAGACAATGGGAAATAAAGTTGTACTGTGTTTAAGGGATTCATGCTATGAGATTTTTATCATTCTTGCCACAAAACAAAAATGGGTAACTCTGAAATGAAGAATGTTAATTTACTTTACTGTAATAACACTTTTACTATGTATATGTATCCCATAAGATCATGCTATATAACTTAAATATATAAAATAAACTTTTAAAAATAGCAGAAGGGGACATCAGAGAGGAAGTGAGAGCATTTTATGCTTGGTTAACTAAGGTAAAGAGTTAAAAATAATTCCTTTATGACAGCACCTCTCATTCGTTATGAGAATGTGCTGAGAATCTCCATGAAGAAGCTATGTTATGCAATATTTTTCAAACATATTTTTGCAGAGCAACTTGCAGGACTGGTGTTCTGCAGGGCAGACTTTGGGAAATGGTCCTCCAGACAAATTATAGTCCATACGCCATATGTAAGGGGGGAAGTGCTATTAAAGAGCAGAAGACCAACAGACAGGAGCTTCAAATTTAGTCCTGTCGATAATTTTCTTATTGGACTTTATTGCTTCATCTATAAATTGAAGGAACTGAGCTAAACAAAGTGTTTTGATCTTGAAAATTCTAAATATTTTAAAAAGCTTGAGCTAGTTATAATACACTGTCATAGAAAGTTTTCCCTAAACAAATAAAATTGTATTGTTGCTCTGGAAAGGCACTGATTATATTTTCAAGTCTGAAATTATTCAAGACATTTTAATATTTTGCATATAAGATTTATTTTGAAATTTGTCCTCTCACTTGAGACGTTTTGCCCTATTTAAGCTTCTGTTCAGATTAAAATTGAAACTCTCCTCCAATATTACACGACTGGCTTTTGATATCCTGGGCTCAACTGATGCTTCTCAAACTTTAATGGACATCCTATCACCTGCGTATGTGGTCAGAATGCAGATTCTGATTCCATAGGTCTAGAATACTGTCAGATTCTGCACTGGCCACAAACTCCCAGGTGATCATGCTGCTGTGGGTCTGCACCATAACACCAACCTGAGTTTTAATTCATTTTCTACAACTGCTCATCACTATGAGATTGATCAAGTCAATAAATATTTCTGTGCCTCTGTTTACTCATTGTCAAATAGTGATAGCACACTTGCTTTAATGGCCTCACAAAGCTATTGTGAAGAGGAATTAGATTTTATGTGATGATCTACTAAAATTTATAAACATATCCACGTTGTTCTTTTTTCTTTTTTTTTAAACACAAATTCAATGGTTCACTCAATGGGCATTTTCAAATCTTTTTTCGCATGACATATGTGATATATGTCATTATTTTCTGATTTTTTAACATAATTATGTCACCCTAGTAACTCACTGATCCATAGGAATGCTCTGATTAGGGGTTTGGAATAGTTAGATGTGGGGGAATAAAGGGAAAATATAGATGTTTAAAAATCATAGTGATTTTTACTGTATTAAATAAATACTGTATTTTACTATACTATAAATACTTTACTATAATAAAGGTAGAGTCAAAAATTTCATTGCTGAAAGTGACTTCACTTGTGCTATCCCATATGTAAATGACTTCAGTGTGTGATAGAGAAAACAAAGTTTTTAAAAGATAATTTTCCTAGGAAAAGATAATTGTCCTAGGTCACACAGCATGTTAGTCAAGAACAAGCTTGTACCAAATTCAGGATGACAGAAAACTTACTAATTTTTGAGAAAAGAAAACATCTGCCACATAAACGTGCTTAAATAAGGTGAAGATGAAGACTTTGATTATATTTCAGAAACAGTTTGGACAACCTGATGCAGGGAATACGATTTTAACATGTAATTTGTGAAAATTCCACTAGATGGCAGATGAAATCCAATGTTAGATACAGGAGCGTGACAAGGAGGAAAAATGGAAACGCTATTTCTTTATTGAAAGACTGGGCCTCTGACTTTGGCACATTTATTCAGTGTATTAATATAGTGCCTATCACTGATTTAACATATAGAGATATGCTTCATATAAAATATTTCCTACACATTTTTTAAATTGAACTAATGGCATGGCTACATACGCATGTTACTAAATGGGAAATTGTTCAATATAGTGAGAAAGCATGAAAAAAGACTTGAGTCCTGGTCATAGTTTTGACACTAAATAAAGAAGTGACCTTGAGTAAGTTATCTCACTTGTCTGAATCTCATCTTCTCACCCATAAAATGTAGACAATAAATAATAATGCACTACTAATTTGTAGGGCAGTTGAGGTTGTATGGAAATTGGCTTTATAAACTACAAAGCACAACACAAGTGTTGGTTACTGTTATTTCAAAGCCCCTTTTCCCTTTCTTGACTGAGGCGGTGGGACTGTGAGCCTCAAATCAGGTAAGCCCTCCTTCACCAACCTTCCACTCTGCTAAGCCCTCTCAGTGCCCTCAAGCTCCGGGAATCAAAATCTTTCACTCATTCTGGCTAGTGTTTATTTTGGCTCCTATATGCCTTTGGACTTCTGCAAGTTTCTCTGCTCTGGTTAAAACAGTCTGCTGTTCTATTACTGTGTGTCACAAGGACTTTCATTCCCTCTGTGGGTTAAAGTGTCACTTGGTGCTCATGGGAGAAAGATGGGGAAACTTCTTCATTTTGCTGGAGTCACTTAATTTTCAAATCTATGTGACAGAAGCCGCATAGTGTCCTACTTGTTCCTTCATACTTCCTCTGCCCTTCTAGGATTTTTAACAGCAAGTTTATGCCTCTCTGCTGGTACAGTCTAAATTCCAGTAATTCAAAGATTCATCAACAGTCCAAACTCTGTTTATATCTCCATGAATACTATTGCAAACCACATCCCAGCAATAACGTTTAGTTTAAGATTCAAATTAATGACTACAGTCTGAGACTACATAGAATATCTATTGCAGGCAACACTTGAAGAAAATTTGTGCTATCCCATATTTAAGAGGGGATAGCATGTGACTTGTCAGATCTGTAGCTGCTTAACAGAATCGCTGTAGAATATTTCCCAACGAAGGGTGTATCCAAGGCTTATTATTGGGGGATAATTCGTCACATCCATTAATCAGAGGTTGATCTAGAGACTGCATGCAGAAATAGTGAGAGTCTTGGATGATCTATGTAAAAACATATCTGCCACTTACAGGCTGTTAGAAAGGTGTGTTCTATTGTGGAAACTTTCCCCCTTCCTTTTGCTAAGAATTGTTCACAATGCAACTTAAGATCCTCAACTGTGAACATTATTATAAACACATACTTGCCCTCATTTTTGAGGGGGTGAAGTTGATCCACTGTGATTTCTCTCTGGTAGCATGCCATTCCCAGTTTTCCAGGAGTGACCCTGTATTCAAGCTTTCCACTTTTTCCTACCCATCAAATTCTACCTCCTGAACTTGAATTTACACTGAAGCATAAATACCTGATAATTTCAGAGTAAATTAATTACTTCTACCAAAGCTTTTCACATTTCAAAGCAATCAGAACCGGAAAAGGCAGGAAGAAAGGTAGAGGTTTTAACTGGCCTATAAGGCCCCTAAAATTCCTGCTGCCCTCCCTCCCACCTCCCCCAGTCCTACCCCACCATACACAGAAGACTGAGGTTTCCTAGCATCTTCTATTCATCTATATATAAACACATTAAATTTATTTTTGTTACTAAATGGTGACAAATAATTAGACAGAGTTGCAAGAAACCGAACGATTATGTTTGGAATGATTCAGTCTGAAACATAGGCCATGCTTGTACACTTAACTTTAATGGCTTCAGGAACACATCAAGGATATAAGTAGCCAGCCTTCAGAGCAGAGGCAAATGGGCTACAAATAAAGGCCCATATGATTTTCAACTGCACACAGTGCCCCATAAAATTTAGGACACTACAGCCGGGCGCAGTGGCTCAACCTGCAATCCCAGCACTTTGGGTGGCCGAGGTGGGCGGATCACGAGGTCAGGAGATCGAGGCCATCCTGGCTAACAAGGTGAAACCCTGTCTCTACTAAAAATACAAAAAATTAGCCGGTGTGGTGGCGGGCGCCTGTAGTCCCAGCTACTCGGGTGGCTGAGGCAGGAGAATTGTTTGAACCCGGAAGGTGGAGGTTGCAGTGAGCAGAGATCGTGCCGCTGCACTCCAGCCTGGGCGACAGTACAAGACTCCATTTCAAAAAAAAAGTTAGGGCACTCCATATAACAAACTGTGCTTTTAATTGAAAACTCTGAAGTTGAAAATGGTAAGAACAGATCATCTAAAATGCAAGGGCTAATATGTTATTAAACAGCTTTTCCCTTGAGCAACCCTAGAATGAATGGCAGCAGAATCATTTACATAGAGTGAGCAATAGAGAAGAGGCTAGGTCTTGAATATAGGTGGTTATATATTAATAACCTTGTCTATTACAATACTACTTTCAAGCTCAAGTTAGAGAAATGCTTTGGGAATACTCTTAAGTTTAGCAGGGTCTAAAGCAACATAGAATGGGGCTTCTAATAAGTTGAGAGAGAACCTTGGCATATTCTGCTCACCCCTCTTAACATCATTGTTTGGAGACTGAAGGACAGCTGTCATCCTGTCAGGACCATGCCCAAAGAGCCCACAAGTTTCACCCTGTAACTCACAGAGCAAACAGGCTACCCTGTCAGCAATTTCTCAGATTGCTTTTCATCCACCAGCAGGCTTATTTTCATGTATTGCCATCTAAATCTCTCCAATTTTGTGTCAGTGCAGAAAGTATTATCCTTTTTATCTAAGGTTAATTCTTCCACCTAAGCAAATGAGTGTGCTAAAATATTTTCTATCCTTAAACTAAAACAAAAATCCCTCTGCTATTGGAATTCTAGGCAAGTGGTCATAACCACCACTATCATTCTTATGTGGAAAGGATGTTTCTATCTTGCCACCCTCCTCACCCCCTACACCACAGTCTATTCTCAACCCAGCAGTGAGTGTCCCTGTTAAAATATTGTTCCATGTCACTCCTCTGCCTAAAACCCTAACTCAGGGTATAAGCCAAAGTTCACAAAATGTCCTTCAAGATCACAGGTAATTGGTCCACCTTCCACCTTTAACTCTGATCTTACTTTCTATTCCTTTCCCTGTCCATCACTCAGTTCCAGATTCCCTGATAAATTTGTCCAGTCTTGCATATGCCAGGCACACTCCCACTGCGTGGTCTTTGTGTTAGCTTTGCCCCCTGCCCAAAGGGAAGATCTACATTACTATATATACTCATGGCTTTCTTCTTCATCCCATTCAACTTTTTTGCTTAAAACTAACCTTCCCAGGCTGGACGCAGTGGCTCATGCCTGTAATCCCAAAACTTTGGGAGGCTGAGGCGAGGGGATCAACTGAGGTTGGGAGTTTGAGACGAGCCTGACCAACATGGAGAAACCCTGTCTGTTAAAAATACAAAATTAGCCAGGCATGGTGGTACATGCCTGTAATCCCAGCTACTCGGGAGGCTGAGGTAGGAGAATCACTTGAACCTGGGAGGCGAGGTTGCAGTGAGCTGAGATCTCACCATTTCACTCCAGCCTGGGCAACAAGAGCAAAACTCTGTCTCAAAAATAAATAAATAAATAAATAAATAAATAAATAAATAAATAAATAACCTTCCCATGAGGTCATCCCTAATCACTATTAAATTTGCATTCTACCTCAAGTCCACCCTTTCCTCTTTTTTCTGCTTGTGCTTATCTCCCAACAAGGTGTGCGCTCACGCTCTCTCTCTCCCTCTCTCTCTCAATAGATAGATAGATAGATAGATAGATAGATAGATAGATAGATACAAGTTTGCATGCAATTAAGAATTGTGTTTATGTGCTTGTATATGCAGAAAGAGAGGGAGGAAGAACAAGAGAACAGACATTTTAGTCTATTTGTATATAAGACCCAGCTCCTATGGCAGTGATAGGCTCATAGTAGGTACTCAGGAAATATGTGTTGAATGAAAGGAATAGTGATATTGGCATAGAGTAAGAGAGCTGACATTGGAGATGGAGAGGAGTGGATAGATTTGAGCAATATGAAGGAGACAAATGTCAGGATTTGCTGAGTAACTGGCTATGGTATGTTAGAAGGTGATGAGCTGGAAAGCAGACTGAGAGGAGACAGAAAACCCGGGAGAGGAGTGATGCAGTGGGAGTCAAAGGATGGACTCCTCCTGGGGTTTAGGGTAATGGTTAGTATTAATAGTATCAAAGTGAGATAAGGACTAAAAAAGCATTTCATTGGATCTGGTGGCTTGAATAACACTGTAAGAATAAGTTTGATATAACTCAAATGTTCTATGATCACTCTCCCACCATGCTGCTTCTTACCCAATAAGCCTCCTTTTTCCTCCTCTCTCTGACCAGCACCCATATAAATGCAGGCAGATACTTCTAACTATTAGTATGCAGCAGAAGTGATGTTGCATGACTGCCTAGCCAGGTCATAAAAGGTGACGCAGCTTCTGCCTGGCTTTGTCTTTCTATTCAGACTGTCCCTTTGGAGCACTGGTCATTATGTAATCAGCCTGGCTATCTTGAAACCACCATGCTAGACAGGCCATATAGAGGTAGAGAAATGCCTGCAGAACCCCATATCTGGTCTCCAGCTGTATGAATCTTCTCAACCCACTTCAACATGTGAGTGAGGAAGCTTTTGAGATGACTTCAGCCGCAATCACCACCCCATTATAACAACAGACTCCTGTGCTAGTCAGCTCAGCTTCCATAACAAAATATTATAGACTGGGTGGCTTAAATAATATATTTATTTTCACAGAGTTCTGGAGGCTGAAAGTCTAACATCAGGGCTCCACCGTGATTGGGCTCTGCGGAGGGCTGTCTTCCTGTCTTGCAGACAGCTGTCTTCTCTCTGTGTCCTCACACGACAGAGGGAGAGAGCTAGCCCTGGTGTCTCTTCTTATAGTCAGTACTAATCCCATTGGACCAGAGTCTCACCCTTATAACTTCAACTAACCCTAATTACCTCCAAGAGGCCCCATCTCCAAATACCTTACATTTGGGGGTTAGAGTTTCAATTATGAATTTGGGGGTGAGGGATGGACACAAACATTCAGTCCATAAACAGAAACTCCCATCTGGAATACCTACCTGAGTCCAGTCCACACCAGAACCATGAGAGATAATAATGATAAAGGATCATTGTGGTTTTATGCACTAAATTGAGGATGCTTTGATATACAGTAGAAAACCAGAACTCTTGCCAGGCATGGCAGCTCACACCTGTAATCCTAGCACTTTGGGAGGCCAAAAGGAGAGTACTGCCTGAGTCCAGGAGCTCAAGACCAGCCTGGCCAACATGGTGAAACCCCATCTCTACAAAAATACAAAAATTAGCAAGGTGAGGTGGCGCACGCTTGTAATCCCCGCGACTTGGGAGGCTGAGGTGGCAGGATTACTTCAACCCAGAAGGCAGAGGTTGCAGTGAGTCAAGATCATACCACTGCACTCCACTGTCTCAAAAAAGAAAAAAGAAAAAGAAAAAGTAAAACCAGAACTGCTGTTCATCTTTCAGACTTCTGCCAGCTATTTCTGCAGAGAAGAACTTTCTGCCCTTCCCCACTTCTTTCACCCAGGTACAAGGTAACTATACATCCTTTGTGTTCCCCCAAACATTTTATTTTGCTTTAACATGGAGTTTTCACAAATGAGAACAATTGTCTCTATTTCCTACAAGAATTGCTGGAGGCAGACAATATAGAAGTCATAAAAAATGTTGAAAAGATAAATAAGCGTTTAAAACCTACACATATCATGTCTGAAGAATAGACTTGTGGGTCTATTGCATCAGACGTGGAAGGGGCAATAGGGGCAATATTTTATACCTAAAGAAAATCAACATCAGTTTTACCCTTCACCTTCAGCCAGCCCATTAAGTGTGTATGAGAGAGAGAGAGAGAGAGTGCACGTGTGTGTGTACAGGGTTGCCCCACCTAAGAGAGAGAGAGAGAGAGAGAGAGAAAAAGAGAAAGAGAGTGTGTTTACAGTGTTGCCCTACCTGAGAGAGAGAGAGAGAGAGAGAAAGTGTGTGTGTGTGTGTGTGTGTGTGTGTGTGTGTACAGGGTTACAACTAAACTGACCCACAAGTCTCTGAATTTTAGTGAGGCACAGACCTAAAGGAGAGCATCATCAGAGTAGTGTGCTTGCTTTTCATATTATATAATGATTTAATGGAACCACAGATGGTGATTAACACTGCAAACATTAAACAGAAGAAAGATTCCAAATGTATTAACTTAATCAAAGCATATTTATTGAATATCTGCTATGTGTCTGGAACTATCCTATTTGTTTTAGGAGAAATGAGAGATGTATAAATAAGGAAGTCTTCAAGGAAGTAATTTTCTAGTTAGTGAGATAAGACAAACACAAAAGAAACTTAATAGAGGAGATAAATGGCTTATTTGAGCATATTAAGATATAATACAACCCAGCAGGAAATAATACATGTAAATAGTTTCCAAGGCTATGTTCAGAAATATTTTCTCAATGTAGTTACCAGGGGTGGGGGAAGGCAGGGGTGGGCAATGGGGAGATGTAAGTTAGAGGATACAGAGTAGCAGATATTAGGGTAAACAAGTCTAGCAATCTAATGCAGATGAGGTTTAGAGTTAATATATTGGCTCACGCCTGTAACCCCAGCACTTTGAGAGGCCAAGGCAGGCAGATCACCTGAGGTCAGGAGTTTACTACCAGCCTAGCCAACATGGTGAAACCCCATCTTTACTCAAAACACAAAAATTAGCTAGGCATAGTGGTGCACGCCTGTGCTGCAGGCTGAGGCAGGAGAATCGCTTGAACCCGGGAGGCAGAGGTTGCAGTGAACTGACATTGGGCCACTACATTCCAGCCTGGGTGACAGAGTGAGACTCCATCTCAAATAATAATAATAATAATAGTAATAATAATATACTGTATTCAGAAATTGTGCTAAATGAGTAGATGTTAGCTGCACTTGCCACACACACTGAAAAAAGGGTAACTATGTGAGATGATGGATATGTTAATTTGCTTCACTCTAGTAACCATTTCACTGTCTCTATGTATCCCATATCATGTTACATACCTTAAATATAGACAATAAAATTTATTAAAATATTTTTTTCAAACTTGGGCATTTAAGACTTGGTAATATGAGTGATACCAAGCTGAAACACAAAAGAGATTGTTATATTTACAAATTTTTAAAATATCACAATTACAAAAACAAAGATATTCCAAAATAAGAACTCTCTTGAATTTTCTAATTAAGAGAAACAGCAGTGTTCTCCTATGGGCTCTAACAACGCATCTGCATACTGATTTTCCTTTCTCAGCTTTTATATTTAAAGGACATGTATCGGCTTCTCCTTGGTGTTCTTAAGTCCCCAACACTTTCAAAAGTTGTATGTGATCTATGGGGAAATATGATTGATACCAAATTGTATTCAGGCCATCAAGTAAAATCTCAACATTTCTTACTGTTCCTTCTGAAAGTCACAATTCCTATTCCAAACAGTTATTTCTTATTCTTTTTTAGGCTTTGAGGCCCAACTTAATAACTTTGCTCAATAAAAATTGTGCTGTTTTTAGTTTTCCATAAAAAGTTAATATAAAAGTAGAAGCATAAAAAAATACACCAGAAGCATAATGGAGTATAGAAATGTGTAAAATGAATTACTTTTCTTTATCCTGTTCTTTTTATTCTTTATATTAGTGGATGGCTCCTTCCCTTACCCAGCTGTGAATAAGATCAACTTAAGTTGCTTTCAATTTAGTGGGGATACAAACAAGCAAGTAGGAAATTGTGATACACTGTTATAATCAGGGAAGGGCAAGAAGCCTGTGGAAAAATCAGACTGAGAAAATTGAAAAAAAAAAAAAAACAGGAAACATCAGAAAAAATAGTTGTTAATGAAACCAAATCAGAGGGAATTCTAAGCAGAATTAACATAGTATGAAAAGACTTAGAGAGGAGTGAGATTCACTGGAGGAGCAAAAACAAGTTTCATATGGCTGTAGTTTCCAGCACAAGTTAGGGACTGGCAAGAATGAAGCTGAGATGAACAGTGGGGTGAACAAGGAAGGATTCTGTAAATCAGGCTAAGAATCACTGAACTTGTTGAGGATGAGGTGTAAACATTGGGGGTTTTAGGAAGGAGGATGACACAACCAGATAATATTTAAAAGATCATTCTGGCTATTGTGTAACACATTTACTGAAGGATGTTATAACAAGTTCCATAAAATATATTAGTGATCAGAACAAAGGCAGTAGAAGTTCACAGTGAAAGTGGACAGTAATCAAGAAACATTGAGGGAGTTGAATTGACAGGACTTGTTGATCGATTTGTAGGATATAAGAGGATTTTTATTTAGATAGATTAGATATTTAGATAGATTAGATAGTTGGGTAACATGACATAGGCAACACAGAAGTAGACATGGTTTTGGCTGGGTGAAGTGATGTGTTCAGCCTTAGAAGTACTGCTAGGTGCATATAGAATGTAGAAGTATAACTCAAGAGAGAAAGAGACAACTGGATAAAGACATAACTGAAGCCATGGACATGAATGAAATCATGCAGGGGAAGAATATAGCATAAAAAAATAAATAAATAAATAATAAAACAGTCTAAACAAAGTCCCAAGGAGCGTTAACTTTAAAGATGGGGCTGGAAGAAGCAGCATTTCCAAAGGACTTAGAAAGAATGCCAGGAAGAGGAAGAGGAGAACAGTCACAAAAGGTAAGAGAAGAGTGTGCTTTAGGGAGAAGCATTGGTGATGAGCAGCCCCCATCCTTGTGAGAGACTGTGGAGGGAAGCAATTGCAGTAGAGTCATGGTCAAGGAAACCAGATTGCTAAAGAGTGAGTGAAGTGTTAAGTATTTAAAACATATATGAAACTCTTTCAAGAAGTATGGCCACAAAAGGGAAGTCATCAACTAATTTTCATCATATATGTAAATTAAAACACTAAAAGAAGGTATCCAGGATATTGTGACATGGAGAAAGTCTCCTAACTGTTCCTCTTTAAGGGCAACCTAAGTGAGCACACTTTATCTTATCTGCAAGCAGACTATCTTGATGAGCGTTAGAAAGCCTAAAAACCCAACTTAGCACAACCATACAAGAGTATGCTCCCACACTGTGTCCGTCTCACCCTTACCCAAGTGAAGCTGCAGTTTCTAATACCTTTGTTTTTCCTCTCCACTCATAATCAACGTAAAATTGGATCCTCCATTGTGACTGAGGTGAGGTAGTATGTAAACAGAGATCATTCAACCTAGGGGTTGGTAAGAGTCCCTCCTTTTCTTTCTTGTGGCACCAGATAGGAGGAATTTGGACTTGAACTTCTAGAGATCTCAGGACAATCACCAGAAATAGACTTAACGTGGCCAGTGCTTCATGGCATTTTAGTACTTTGAAAGCTGCAGTCAAGAAGGGCGGTGATCTCTTGATGAATTTCAAGGTTCATTTTCTGATCAGGTTGAGTAGTATCTTTTATGGACACAACTATATCTATTCCAGGAGCTTCCTCAATTGAGTTTCCTTCCTATATTTTCTTCTGGATGTTATGAAGGTGATATGATTAGGTTTTTGTCCCCATCCAAATCTTGTCTTGAATTGTCTCCATAATCCCCATGCATCATAGGAGAGAACTGGTGGGAGATGATTGGATCGTGGAGGCAGTGTCCCCATGCTGTTCTCATGATACTGAGTTCTCACAAGATCTGATGGTTTTATAAGGGTCTGACAGTTCCTTCTATACACACGATCTCTCCTGCCACCATGTGAAGAATGTCCTTGCTTCCTCTTCACCTTCCTCCATGATTGCAAGTTTCCTGAGGCCTCCCCAGCCATGTGGAACTGTGAGTCAATTAAACTGCTTTCCTTTATAAATTACCCAGTCTCGGGTGTTTCTTTATTGCAGTTTAAGAACGGACTAAAACAGAAGGCAAAGCTACTTTGGAATCATAATGTATTCTGATACTATAATCACTCAGGATAACCTATCACTGAGACAAACGTGTGCAGTGACCCTGTCTTTTCTGGGATGAGTCCACCTTAATCATTTTGATTGAAATGACTACCTACAGTGGCATTTTACCAGGTGGGAAAAAAAAAAACTATTCAAGATTGTTAATCTCCTTACAGATAACAGAAGTTTGATATCTCAAGGACATAGAAAATGAGCCTAATTTGAGGTTCAGTCACAATATCTCAATTTATTTAAAAACCAGTCAAGTTTCAGTTCTTTTTTGATGAACACTCTGTGTGATCTGATATACTGCTATGCTTGTGTAAATGTCCCTTCTCAACTTAAAAGCTTTTCTGGCCTGGCATAGGTCACCAAAATAGATGGATTTACCAGAATTAGCATCTTTTTCATATCTTTGACCAACATCAGAATATTTCTATTGAGAACATACAATCAGTATTGAATCTTTATCTTATAAAACACACACACACACACACACACACACACACACACACACACACACACTCAACTCGAAATGGATTGAAGACTTAAACATCAGACCTGAAACCATAAAAATCCTAGAAGAAAACATAGGCTAAAAGCTTCTTGATCTTGGTCTGGGCAATGATATTTGGGATATCCTACCAAAAGCTCAGGGTACAAAAGTAACAATAAAGTGGGACTCCACCAAACTAAAAAGCTTCTACACAAAAAAGGAAACAAGTACCAAAATGGAAAGACAGTCAAGAGATTGAAAGAAAATATTGCAAGCCATGTATCTGATAAGGATTTAACATCCCCAACATATAAAGAGCCTACACAATTCAGTAGCCAAAAAAAAGAACAAAAGAAAAAAGAAAAGCAATCTAATTAAAAAGTAAAAAATGGACAAAGGATCTGAGTAGACATTTTTTCAAAGGAGACAAAAATGGCCAACAAGTATATGTAAAGGTTCTCAACATCACTAATCATCAGGGACATGCACAGCAAAACTACAGTGAGCTATCACCTCACACCTGTTAAGATGGCTGTTAATGAAAAGATAAGAGATAACAAGTGCTGGCGAGAATGTGGAGAAAAGGGAACTTTTGCATGCTCTTAGGGGAATACAATTATGGGAAAAAGCATGTAGATTCATCAAAAATAAAAAATTAACAATTAATAGAACTACCATATGATCCAGCAAGTCCCCATCTGGGTATATACCAGAGGAAATGAACTCAGTACCTCAGAGTGATATTCTGCACTCCCGTGTTCATTGTAGTATTATTCATGTTAGGCAAAACAAGAAAACAACCTAAGTTTTGTAGACAGGTGAATGGATAACAAAATTACAGTATGTAATGAATATAAATAAAACTTATATAAGTTTAAGGCTACATAATACCTCATTTTGTGTGTGTGTGTGTGTGTGTGTGTATATATAAACTTGTGTGTGTGTATATATATATAACTTGTATATAACATATGTAACTTATATAACATACACACACACACACACAAAATGAGGTATTATGCAGCCTTAAGAAAGGAAATTCTGCCACTTACAACAACATGGATGAACCTGGAGGACATTATGCAAAATTAATAAACCAGACACATGGAAATTTTCTAAGAGAACATTTCAGGTGCTCTCATGACAATAATAAAGTAAGTGAGGAAATGAATATGTTAATTTGCTTATTTTATTCCATATATGTATTAAAACATCATGTTGTACATGTTAAATATACGGTTTCTACAAAAAATAAAAAATATGTGTTAAGCAAAGTGAATTATTTCAGAACCTCAATTGGCTTACATCATAATCGAATTGCACTTCATTGAGGATAAACTCCTGGAGGGAAGAGTTCTTTCCACATGGTTATCTCCCGTTTATTGTCTGGCATGTTTGCTTGTACACAGTAATTTCTCAATAAAGTTTTATGGATTTTAAATTGCTCCATAAGAACAAATGCCTAGAAACTATTGGAGAATTAGAACAAGAGAATTTTCTAGCTGTGTGCCAAAGAAGATAATATTGTCTTCTTAATATCTTAATATTATCTTATTAATATGGGAGGTACTGCAAGAATACAACTTTAATAATTGTACCATATAATTCTGATAATTTCTAGTCAGAGCTGTACTTTTTATGTTAATAGCAAGCATTTTCAAATGCTGAAAGTATAATAAATGCTGCAGTCTTGTCTGTTGTAAATGCATGTTTGTTATTACCAAGCAGCTCTAGTTTACAAATGAATTCTTACAGTGATCTAACTTCTTATATGCACAATTAACTCTGATTGGCTCCTCAAAATCCCTGGGGCACCCGTTGGCTCTCTGCTCACACTTGGTCCCCCTGTGGTGTAGTCATCACATCACACACTTCATTGTTAGGCAAACCCACATGAACCCTTTCTTCCCCTGAATCACATGCAATACTGCCAACCTCTGTGTCATCTTCTTGAGTCGCTACTCCCTAGTGGTCTTGCATCTGGAAGAGGAACTAGGAGAATCAGCAGTCAGGCCCAGAATTCCTGGATATCTCTTGTTGCCAACTGGGATTCACATTTGGGTTGGACTAATCATGTTTTTGCCATCCCTGAACTAAGTGCAGTGGACCTAACTGTATCCTGCCAACTAAATCTTAAATCCCCAAGCCTCCTGCCGTACACAGCCAAAATTTACAATTCCTAATTTTTATTCCTTATTCCATTGTACTAGGTCACTCCCATTTTCTTTATTTTAACCATTATTCAATAGGGGTAACAATACTAAATGTATCTCAAAGAGCTTTATCTTGTCAGAGGATTGAAAAGTGAGGTAAAAGAATTTTAAGGCAATAAAGAAGCTTTATTTTTTATTTTTATTATTATACTTTAAGTTCTAGGGTTACAGGTGCACAACATGCAGGTTTGTTACATATGTATATATGTGCCATGTTGGTGCGCTGCACCCATTAACTCGTCATTTACATTAGGTATACCTCCTAATGCTATCCCTCTCCCCTCCCCCCACCCCACAACAGGCCCCGGTGTGTGATGTTCCCCACCCTGTGTCCAAGTGTTCTCATTGTTCAATTCCCACCTATGAGTGAGAACATGCGGAGTTTGGTTTTCTGTCCTTGCAATAGTTTACTGAGAATGACGGTTTCCAGCTTCATTCATGTCTCTACAAAAGACATGAACTCATCCTTTTTTAATGGCTGCATAGTATTCCATGGTGTATATGTGCCACATTTTCTTAATCCAGTCTATCATTGTTGGACATTTGGGTTGGTTTCAGGTCTTTGCTATTTTGAATAGTGCCACAATAAACATATGTGTGCATGTGTCTTTATAGCAGCATGATTTATAATCCTTTGGGTATATACCCAGTAATGGGATGGCTGGGTCAAATGGTATTTCTAGTTCTAGATCCTTGAAGAATCGCCACTGTCTTCCACAATGGTTGAACTAGTTTACCTTCCCACCAACAGTGTAAAAGTGTTCCTATTTCTCCACATCCTCTCCAGCATCTGTTGTTTCCTGACTTTTACTGATCGTCATTCTAACTGGTGTGAGATGGTATCTCATTGTGGTTTTGATTTGCATTTCTCTGATAGCCAGTGATGATGACCTTTTTTCATGTGTCTGTTGGCTGCATAAATGTCTTCTTTTGAGAAGTGTCTGTTCATATCCTTTGCCCACTTTTTGATGGGGTTGTTTGATTTTTTTCTTCCTTTCTAACTTTGCAAGGCCAATTTTACTTTGGATGTGACTGAATTTTAAATTGTCAAAAGCAGGGGGAGGAGCCAAGATGGCCAAATAGGAACAGCTCCAGTCTACAGCTCCCAGCGTGAGCGACGCAGAAGACGGGTGATTTCTGCATTTCCATCTGAGGTACTGGGTTCATCTCACTAGGGAGTGCCAGACATTGGGCGCAGGTCAGTGGGTGCATGCACCGTGTGCGAGCCGAAGCAGGGTGAGGCATTGCCTCACTCGGGAAGCACAAGGGGTCAGGGAGTTCCCTTTCCTGGTCAAAGAAAGGGGTGACAGACGGCACCTGGAAAATCGGGTCACTCCCACCCGAATACTGCGCTTTTCCGACGGGCTTAAAAAACAGCGCACCATGTGATTATATCCCGCACCTGGCTCGGAGGGTCCTACGCCCACGGAGTCTCGCTGATTGCTAGCACAGCAGTCTGAGATCAAACTGCAAGGCGGCAGCCAGGCTGGGGGAGGGGCGCCCGCCATTGCCCAGGCTTGCTTAGGTAAACAAAGCAGCCGGGAAGCTGGAACTGGGGGGAGCCCACCACAGCTCAAGGAGGCCTGCCTGCCTCTGTAGGCTCCACCTCTGGGGGCAGGGCACAGATAAACAAAAAGACAGCAGTAACCTCTGCAGACTTAAATGTCCCTGTCTGACAGCTTTGAAGAGAGCAGTGGTTCTCCCAGTACGCAGCTGGAGATCTGAGAACGGGCAGACTGCCTCCTCAAGTGGGTCCCTGACCCCTGACCCCCGAGCAGCCTAACTGGGAGGCACCCCCCAGCAGGGGCACACTGACACCTCACACGGCAGGGTACTCCAACAGACCTGCAGCTGAGGGTCCTGTCTGTTAGAAGGAAAACTAACAAACAGAAAGGACATCCACACCAAAAACCCATCTGTACATCACCATCATCAAAGACCAAAAGTAGATAAAACCACAAAGATGGGGAAAAAACAGAACAGAAAAACTGGAAACTCTAAAAAGCAGAGCACCTCTCCTCCTCCAAAGGAACGCAGTTCCTCACCAGCAACGGAACAAAGCTAGACGGAGAATGACTTTGACGAGCAGAAAGAAGAAGGCTTCAGATGATCAAATTACTCTGAGCTACAGGAGGACATTCAAACCAAAGGCAAAGAAGTTGAAAACTTCGAAAAAAACTTAGAAGAATGTATAACTAGAATAACCAATACAGAGAAGTGCTTAAAGGAGCTGATGGAGCTGAAAACCAAGGCTCGAGAACTATGTGAAGAATGCAGAAGCCTCAGGAGCCGATGCGATCAACTGGAAGAAAGGGTATCAGCAATGGAAGATGAAATGAATGAAAGGAAGCGAGAAGGGAAGTTTAGAGAAAAAAGAATAAAAAGAAATGAGCAAAGCCTCCAAGAAATATGGGACTATGTGAAAAGACCAAATCTATGTCTGATCGGTGTACCTGAAAGTGACGGGGAGAATGGAACCAAGTTGGAAAACACTCTGCAGGATATTATCCAGGAGAACTTCCCCAATCTAGCAAGGCAGGCCAACGTTCAGATTCAGGAAATACAGAGAACGCCACAAAGATACTCCTCGAGAAGTGCAACTCCAAGACACATAATTGTCAGATTCACCGAAGTTGAAATGAAGGAAAAAATGTTAAGGGCAGCCAGAGAGAAAGGTCGGGTTACCCTCAAAGGGAAGCCCATCAGACTAACAGCAGATCTCTCAGCAGAAACCCTACAAGCCAGAAGACCGTGGGGGCCAATATTCAACATTCTTAAAGAAAAGAATTTTCAACCCAGAATTTCATATCCGGCCAAACTAAGCTTCATAAGTGAAGGAGAAATAAAATACTTTACAGACAAGCAAATGCTAAGAGATTTTGTCACCACCAGGCCTGCCCTAAAAGAGCTCCTGAAGGAAGCGCTAAACATGGAAAGGAACAACCGGTACCAGCTGCTGCAAAATCATGCCAAAATGTAAAGACCATCGAGACTAAGAAGAAACTGCATCAACTAACAAACAAAATAACCAGCTAACATCATCATGACAGGATCAAATTCACACATAAAAATATTAACTTTAAATGTAAATGGACTAAATGCTCCAATTAAAAGATACAGACTGGCAAATTGGATAAAGAGTCAAGACCCATCAGTGTGCTGTATTCAGGAAACCCATCTCACGTGCAGAGACACATATAGGCTCAAAATAAAAGGATGGAGGAAGATCTACCAAGAAAATGGAAAACAAAAAAAGGCAGGGATTGCAATCCTAGTCTCTGACAAAACAGACTTTAAACGAACAAAGATCAAAAGAGACAAAGAAGGCCATTACATAATGGTAAAGGGATCAATTCAACAAGAAGAGGTAACTATCCTAAATATATATGCACCCAATACAGGAGCACCCAGATTCATAAAGCAAGTCCTGAGTGACCTACAAAGAGACTTAGACTCCCACACATTAATAATGGGAGACTTTAACACCCCACTGTCAACATTAGACAGATCAACGAGACAGAAAGTCAACAAGGATACCCAGGAATTGAACTCAGCTCTGAACCAAGCAGACCTAAGAGACATCTACAGAACTCTCCACCCCAAATCAACAGAATATACATTTTTTTCAGCACCACACCACACCTATTCCAAAATTGACCACATACTTGGAAGTAAAGCTCTCCTCAGCAAATGTAAAAGAACACAAATTATAACAAACTATCTCTCAGACCACAGTGCAATCAAACTAGAACTCAGGATTAAGAATCTCACTCAAAACCGCTCAACTACATGGAAACTGAACAACCTGCTCCTGAACGACTACTGGGTACATAACGAAATGAAGGCAGAAATAAAGATGCTCTTTGAAACCAATGAGAACAAAGACACAACATACCAGAATCTCTGGGATGCATTCAAAGCAGTGTGTAGAGGGAAATTTATAGCACTAAATGCCCACAAGAGAAAGCAGGAAAGATCCAAAATTGACACCCTAACATCACAATTAAAAGAACTAGAAAAGCAAGAGCAAACACATTCAAAAGCTAGCAGAAGGCAAGAAATAACTAAAATCAGAGCAGAACTGAAGGAAATAGAGACACAAAAAACCCTTCAAAAAATTAATGAATCCAGGAGCTGGTTTTTTGAAAGGATCGACAAAATAGATAGACCGCTAGCAAGACTAATAAAGAAAAAAAGAGAGAAGAATCAAATAGACGCAATAAAAAATGATAAAGGGGATATCACTACTGATCCCACAGAAATATAGACTACCATCAGAGAATACTACAAACACCTCTATGCAAATAAACTAGAAAATCTAGAAGAAATGGATAAATTCCTCGGCACATACACTCTCCCAAGACTAAACCAGGAAGAAGTTGAATCTCTGAATAGACCAATAACAGGATCTGAAATTGTGGCAATAATCAAAAGCTTACCAACCAAAAAGAGTCCAGGACCAGATGGATTCACAGCCGAATTCTACCAGAGGTACAAGGAGGAACTGGTACCATTCCTTCTGAAACTATTCCAATCAATAGAAAAAGAGGGAATCCTCCCTAACTCTTTTTATGAGGCCAGCATCATTCTGATACCAAAGCCTGGCAGAGACACAACCAAAAAAGAGAATTTTAGACCAATATCTTTGATGAACATTGATGCAAAAATCCTCAATAAAATACTGGCAAACAGAATCCAGCAGCACATCAAAAAGCTTATCCACCATGATCAAGTGGGCTTCATCCCTGGGATGCAAGGCTTGTTCAATATACACAAATCAATAAATGTAATCCAGTGTATAAACAGAGCCAAAGACAAAAACCACATGATTATCTCAATAGATGCAGAAAAGGCCTTTGACAAAATTCAACAACGCTTCATGCTAAAGACTCTCAATAAATTAGGTATTGATGGGACATATTTCAAAATAATAAGAGTTATTTATGACAAACCCACAGCCAATATCATACTGAATGGGCAAAAACTGGAAGCATTCCCTTTGAAAACTGGCACAAGACAGGGATGCCCTCTCTCACCACTCATATTCAACATAGTTTTGGAAGTTCTGTCCAGGGCAATCAGGCAGGAGAAGGAAATAAAGGGTATTCAATTAGGAAAAGAGGAAGTCAAATTGTCCCTCTTTGCAGACGACATGATTGTATATCTAGAAAACCCCACTGTCTCAGCCCAAAATCTCCTTAAGCTGATAAGCAACTTCAGCAAAGTCTCAGGATACAAAATCAATGTACACAAATCACAAGCATTCTTATACACCAATAACAGACAAACAGAGAGCTAAATCGTGAGTGAACTCCCATTCACAATTGCTTCCAAGAGAATAAAATACCTAGGAATCCAACTTACAAGGGATGTGAAGGACCTCTTCAAGGAGAACTACAAACCACTGCTCAAGGAAATAAAAGAGGATACAAACAAATGGAAGAACATTCCATGCTCATGGGTAGGAAGAATCAATATCGTGAAAATGGCCATACTGCCCAAGGTAATTTACAGATTCAATGCCATCCCCATCAAGCTACCAATGCCTTTCTTCACAGAATTGGAGAAAACTACTTTAAAGCTCATATGGAACCAAAAAAGAGCCCGCATCGCCAAGTCAGTCCTAAGCCAAAAGAACAAAGCTGGAGGCATCACACTACCTGACTTCAAACTATACTACAAGGCTACAGTAACCAAAACAGCATGGTACTGGTACCAAAACAGAGATGTAGACCAATGGAACAGAACAGAGCCCTCAGAAATAATGCCGCATATCTACAACTATCTGATCTTTGACAAACCTGAGAAAACCTGAGAAAAACGAGCAATGGGGAAAGGATTCCCTATTTAATAAATGGTGCTGGGAAAACTGGCTAGCCATATGTAGAAAGCTGAAACTGGATCCCTTCCTTACACCTTATACAAAAATCAGTTCAAGATGGATTAAAGACTTAAACGTTAGACCTAAAACCATAAAAACCCTAGAAGAAAACCCAGACAATACCATTCAGGACATAGGCATGGGCAAGGACTTCATGTCTAAAACACCAAAAGCAATGGCAACAAAAGCCAAAATTGACAAATGGGATCTAATTAAACTAAAGAGCTTCTGCACAGCAAAAGAAACTACCATCAGAGTGAACAGGCAACCTACAACATGGGAGAAAATTTTCGCAACCTACTCATCTGACAAAGGGCTAATATCCAGAATCTACAATGAACTCAAATTTACAAGAAAAAAACAAACAACCCCATCAAAAAGTGGGCAAAGAACATGAACAGACACTTCTCAAAAGAACACATTTATGCAGCCAAAAAACACATGAAAAAATGCTCATCATCACTGGCCATCAGAGAAATGCAAATCAAAACCACAATGAGATACCATCTCACACCAGTTAGAATGGCAATCATTAAAAAGTCAGGAAACAACAGGTGCTGGAGAGGATGTGGAGAAATAGGAACACTTTTACACTGTTGGTGGGACTGTAAACTAGTTCAACCATTGTGGAAGTCAGTGTGGCGATTCCTCAGGGATCTAGAACTAGAAATACCATTTGACCCAGCCATCCCATTACTGGGTATATACCCAAAGGACTAGAAATCATGCTGCTATAAAGACACATGCACACGTATGTTTATTGTGGCACTATTCACAATAGCAAAGACTTGGAACCAACCCAAATGTCCAACAATGATAGACTGGATTAAGAAAATGTGGCACATATACACCATGGAATACCATGCAGCCATAAAAAAGGATGAGTTCATGTCCTTCGTAGGGACATGGATGAAATTGGAAATCATCGTTCTCAGTAAACTATCGCAAGAACAAAAAACCAAACACCGCATATTCTCACTCATAGGTGGGAATTGAACAATGAGATCACATGGACACAGGAAGGGGAACATCACACTCTGGGGACTGTTGTGGGGTGGGGGGAGGGGGGAGGGATAGCACTGGGATAATACCTAATGCTAGATGACGAGTTAGTGGGTGCAGCGCACCAGCATGGCACATGTATACATATGTAACTAACTTGCACAATGTGCACACGTACCCTAAAACTTAAAGTATAATAATAAAATAAAGAAAAAGAAAAAAAGAAGAAAAAAAAATAAATTTTGTCAAAAGCAGTTAAATTGTCAAAAACAGTCAACACATGATCTTGGAACATAATTTTCAAAGCATGTTAATAGTATTTACTCAAAGAAATTAAAAATTTCAACAAGGAGCTAAGTGGGCTGTGAGAGTAACTGAGCAAAGCTGGATGGAATACACAAAATTAAATCAGTTGCTTTATTGCAGAATTCTTTAGCCGTTAGTAAACAACAACACAATGTGCATACTTAAGAAGACAGGAATGCAGCGTGCAGCATTTCTTGCTTGAGCTTAGTGGGTGAGATGGGGGTTAGTGTTTCACAGAACATGGTTAGAGGAAATATTTTTCTGAGGGCATCACTACTGACAGGCTCACGTAAGTCATGCATATACATGAACTATCCAGTTGCTCATCATTTTAATTTGCTTTAGCTCCAAGACTGGGGAAGACTATCACCTGCATTATTCTCTGGTGCCTTTATGGACTCTAGTACAATAGAATACTAAGTAGTTAATTGGCTAAAATAGGTCTTGGGTCAATCAGTTAACATGTTAAGATCAATGTCAATTGGCAAGTTCTATCCAGATTAAGATGTAAAGCATTTCTACGGCAGGTTAACTAATAATCTTTTTGGTCCTACCTAGCACTTTAGCTAGTTAGCATTATCATTCAAGTAATCCATGTAAATAGGAAACTTAATAAGGAATATGTGCCTATAGGCCTAAGCAGGTGTAATTTTCTTTAAAAATTAAAAGGTTTGTTTGTTTGTTGTTGTTTTTGAGACAGAGTCTGGCTCTGTCACCCAGGCTGGAGTGTAGTGGTGCGATTTTGGCTCACTGCAACCTCCGCCTTAGGGGTTCAAGCAATTCTCCTGCCTCAGCCTCCAGATTGGGATTACAGGCATGTGCCACCGTGTCTGGCTAATTTTCTTGTAATTTTAGTACAAAAGGGGTTTCACCACATGGGCCAGACTGGTCTCAAACTCCTGGCCTAAAGCGATCCACCTGCCTCGACCTCACAAGGTGCTGCGATTACAGGGATTACAGGCTGGGATTACAGGCATAAGTCACCACACCCAGCCTAAAAATTAAAAGTTTATACTGTATTGTTCACATTGTGATGCAACTTTCCATATGTATTTCCAGAATCAACTATGTATCAAGGAATATTGAAAGCATAAAATGAGATCATGGTGAATTCTCTCCCATTGTCATTCTTGTGGTAAGGGAATGAATGGTGGGGAGAGAAGCTAAGAGGAGAATTTGCTCTGTCTCAGTGCTGTATTGCCTCCTGAAACAGAATATCAAGTTTTCTTATCTACATGTGAAAAGGCTTTCAATACTTATAAATAAGGGTATCACATTAGTTCTAAAGGATGATTTTGAGTGTTCTGCTCATCTCTTATGTTTGAGGAACAGCATTATCTCTGGTTTTGTGAGCACTACTATTTCAGGACCAGGTGTCCTGGTACTAATGAGTTGCCACACTCTGAGCAGTGGTGATATTTAACAGAGTATGCCTTAAAACAGCATCTATGGCTACAAATTGATGAGGGTGTCAATCATTCCTGAAAGCCTAGTATGCAAGGAGTCCAATTTTCTCCTTCCAAATTTAGGGAGTATAATATCAAAGAGATGGGAAGTGAAAACTTTCAGACTCAGCAATCACTGAGGATGGTTTCATCTAGACAATTCATTGAAGCAAGAAAGTGAGGACTAGGAGTAGTAGTATTACGTAAAATATTTACCGATTTTGACAGAAGTCATATAATAAAAATATATCTATGCCATACATTTATAACTTACAAAATTTTAGTGTACTCCTTATAAAATATTTATAATAGAAAATATTAAATATGTAATTCAAAGAAGTGTAAATTGTAAACATACCTTTGGATACAAATTTTAGAAAATAAAGTTAATTAACATAAGGTTAATATGACATGGACCTTTAATGAATCATAAATAATGAAAATAAAATACTATTTGATCATTGTAAAGTTCAACCTCATATATGTACACAAATTATCCATAAAACTAAAAAGTAGAAACAACTCAAATATCCATAAACTGATAAGTGGATAAACTTAAGGTGATACATCCATACAATAGAAAATTAGGCAATCAAAAAAATGAAATACTCCTATGTGCTACATATATGAACATTGAAAACATCATGCTAAGTGAAAGAAACTAGTCACAGGTGACTATATATTGTGTAATTCCATATATCTGAAATGTCTAGAATGAGAAAACCCATAGAGATAGAACATAAGCTAGTGGCTGCCTAGAGTGGAAGAAGGGGAAGAGGATTAAAACTGACTGCTACACAGTACAGGATTTCTTTTTGAGGTGATAAAAATATACTAGATTATGGTGGTAGTTGCACAATTTATGTACATCTACATGGGTGAATTGAATGGCATATAAATTATATCTCAAGAAAAGCTATATATATAACCCCGGACTAGTGTGCCTTTGAGTCATAATATTTGTACGCAATTTTTAATATGCTAATTAAAAGCAATTTATGCCTCTATACCAGTTGAAGGAAGAATGCTGAGGTATTTTAACTCCAACTATTTCCTTCTACCTTTTTATTCTTCAAATAATCCCAATTCTCCTTTGATAACTTTGGGTAGACAATTTTTTTTAAACAAGGATAACAAATTTTTATTGGCAAGAGTTGTATTTTGTTTCAAAGTACACTTTCCAGTTTGTTTTCTTCTTTCTTGGTTCATGCACAGTCAGATGCAAAAGTACCAAAAACAGTTTCTGTCATGTTGAAATCCTGTTGATTTGGTAAATCTAATGTCTAAATTAGAGAACTTTTCTTTCTTTCCTTATACTGCAAGTTACTCAATGTGACAGTACAGTATGACTCATAGAAGCACAGATCTGCCTACGACTGCAGGCTGTGGGTGGATTGGAGTCAAGGAAGAAAAAAATGGAGTAAGAGATTCATATGCTTTGAATTCAAGGCATAAGGGTGAGATTTCCAAATGTCAAAGTAACCTGGCATCACAACAAAATTGTATGTAGTTTGCAATACAAAAATGTTTTAAAATAATTTAACAGGGACAATTTTCAGAATACCAGCCTGGCAGTCATCACTGTTATTGCAACTGCACAGGAATCTGGGTGCTACTCCAGTCAGGATCACTGTGGATGACCTTGTTTTCTAAGCCAGGAGGATTCTTGAAATGAGCCTCTTCTGTCAATCACATGTCTAGTACAGCCAGGGTCTTTGACTGTCTGAAAGCCCCATCATTGTCACCTTCTTAGTCTCTGCTACTCACTGGGAAGCCAGAGAGATTCCCCGCTGCTCTAGGACCAGAAGACTTTCTTCCTTTCCTAGCCTCTAAAAATCTCCTCCCTCATTCTTCCTCCCAGTTATTGCTCTCTTCCGATTCCCCAGCATGGTCCCCTGAAAGAATTCAGGCACTAGAAAACTAAAGCCCAGAGGCAATTTTGTCGAAGCAATTTAATTTTTAATCAAGCTATGCAAAAATCTCAAGGGGCAGGGGAGTACTATGGCCTGGGAGGAGGAGAGAAAACAGAGTGAGAGCAAAGTAAATTATCTCTAATTTAACCTGCCATACTAGGACTTAATCTCTAACAGTTCACTCCAAATACTTCTTAGTTATATAGAATAAACCATGTCATCCAATTTGCTGCTGAATGACCTTTCACCATCCTGGGCTGATATTAGTCAGAGGTGGTGATTGCTTAAGGCTCAGCTAAAGGAGCTCATTTTGCTCCTTTGCTGCGTCTTTCAGTCATTCCATCAGCATGAGCCACTGCACTTTGTGCCAGTGTACTCTGTGCCTCTTCCCACTGGGCTCTGCATTACGCTTTCATCTCATCCCAACCACTGGGCTTCTGTTAGTCAAACTTGCATTCCACATGACACATTTCCCCATCTGTGTCTTACTGTGAATATTTTCTGCTGCTCTCATAAAATCTTTCACTACCCTGGGTTACTCTCATCTCCTTCATTTGTAGACTGCATGATGGTTAATGATTAGGATTACAATACATTTCTGTAATGTTAACATGGTATCTCCAACAGTCATTGTTTTGTGGCTACAATAACACATTCTGGATATATAAGATTGAAGATTAAGTTAATTCACTTTTATTTAAATGGGCTTATTTCTTTTTGACATTTGTAGTCCAGTTGTAGAGTATGAGTATGTGTATATAGGTGTGTGTGATGATAACAAATAATGGGGGAAATATTTGAGTCAATTCTCACTTGGGAAGGGAAGTTAAATCCACAATTGTCAGATAGATTCCTTAAAACCTTAAAAAGCTTAAATTACATGTCTGGATTAGCTCACCTTGGTGTAAAATGGGACATTCAAATTCCTGTCTCATTCAAGCCACATCAGTTACATCTGCATTTTAGAGGTGTTGTTTTCTCTTCCTGAGCTAGTTGTAAGTAATCCTTTAATCAACTGAACATACTTTTTTTTTTTTTTTTTTGAGATGGAGTCTCATACTGTTGCCCAGGCTGGAGTGCAGTGGCCAGATCTCAGCTCACTGCCACCTCCGCCTCCCGGGTTCAAGAGGTTCTCTTGTCTCAGCCTCCCGAGTAGCTGGGATTACAGGCATGCCACCACACCCAGCTAATTTTTTGTATTTTTAGTAGAGATGAGGTTTCACCATGTTGCCCAGGCTGGTCTCAAACTCCTGACCTCGTGATTTACCTGTCTCGGCCTCCCGAAGTGCTGGGATTACAGGCGTGAGCCACCATGCTCGGCCGAGAGATGTTTTTAAAAAGAGTAATCGCAAAAAAGAGTAGGAGAACAGGAGTAAATGCAGGAAACAGAAAGGGAATGAAGCAGAACTGAAAGGGAAAGAATAAATGAATATGAAGCAAGAGAGAATGTCACCAATAAATATCATGCTGTGAAGTTACACCTGTACCACAGAGCCCAGGTTACCCTCCAGAATGAGAAGGAACATGGCAGCTTGAATGGAAACCCAGTTTATGTGAGTGCATCACTTAACTTACCTTAGTTTCATTTTGCTTTTCTGTAAAGAAAGGGACAGAATGACCCCAAGGTTCAACAAGATTTCTTTTTGATTTAAAATTTGAGAACTCTATGAAAGGTCACTCTGTAAGCCAGGTAGCAGCTGGGCAATTCAGTCAGGCATGTGTTTACATTCCAAACATATTCCAGAAGCACCCTGTAGAGTTTGAAAAGGCCTCTGAATTTGTCCTTAAAAAAAAAAAAAATCTTCAACATGAGCTGCTCTTTGGACTTTGTTAAAGTGTTCTTTTCTTCTTTTGTAAGAGACCTCTGTCTGCAAAAGCCATCTGGGAAATATTCACCACAAGTTTTCTTGTAGGATGGAAACACTGCTGCACGCTAGCTGCCTAGAATGAGTACAAATCTATCCGATGGTCACTAACTGCCCTCAAAGCCCTAAATCACTTTCAGCTTTGAGGAGACATATGTGTTGGGATGGGTCCCATTCAATTAGTCTTTTCCAGTCAAACTCCAGAGTGAATCAGGGTTTTAGCCAACACTTAATAAATATACCAGATTTTAGCATCTGGAAGGAAGCCGATCCAAAACAAATTATATGATCCACATAGTATGTAGTTCTGGTGTGGTCATTTGATTCCTGAGTGGTGACCATACCCTGGATGTGTAGGACGAACTTTTAACCCAACAAATGACAATTTAGCAAACAACAGCTGCATAGCCCTTTCACCAGTGGAATGACAGAAACTCATATTAAATGAGTTGTATTTACAGTGATATTAGCACTTCAAAAATGGCTTTTTTGTCAGCAAAAACATAAGAAGGCCTACAGCAATTACAGGATTATGTTCCTCTTCAGGATATAAGTCATGTCCCAGAAAGGCAGATAAAATTAATGTCTCTTCTTCTGCTCAGTTGAATATTTGCTTTTATTTTTACCTCTATTTCGAATCTTTGCTAAGGAAAGGAAGACTTTGTCTTGGATGGTTTAGTTAACAACATGGCTTATGTTATGTTTTATGACTAATTAAAATGGAACTGAAACTTGCAGGATGGTGTTACAAATTAGTATGCTCCCATTTGGACCTCTCGTCTTAACTCAGCAGGTTGTGTCTTAATCCTGGAGCTCTAGGCACTTTCACGTGGTTATTGATTGAATCCACAGATTCAGTTTCATACAGCAAATGACACTATGTAGTCAGCCTCTTAATTACTTAATGCAGTATCTGTGTGTCATGACAATATGCACATTAAAACAAGTAGTGTAAATATAGCTGAAATGAGCCTGGCTGAGGCAATTTTTATAAAAGCTACTCTACGTGAATGGAAGGTGTCTCAAATTCAGTTAGGCAAAGTGTTTCAGTGAAAACGATGCACTATCCTAAAAGCCATTTGGATGATGTAATCTCTTATGACAAAGAGATTACAAAATGACAAAATGAAAAAATAATCCATAAATGTCTGTAGGTTGGGGTCTGTATGAGCAAGATAGTACTTTGCTTTGCAGCAAGTCTCCTTTTTAAACTAGAATGGGAATAATCATGATGTCTAATTACTAAGCAAAGATTGGTGGGTTCTTATTAAGGACTCTCAACATGTCCTAAACATTGAAACACATCTAAATGCTAGATATAGAAAATGAGCAGAATAACCCACAATGTAGGAAACCAACTACATAATCTGTCAGTTTCCTGTGATAGATTTAATCTTTCATTATTCTATAAATCAATTCACTTTTTAAAATTCATTGTGATTGGAGCTGATTGGCTAATTGTTAACCTTTTCTCTCTTCTTTTCCCTTTCCTCCTTTCATCTACTTTTCTCCTTCCTCTTTTCCTCTTTTCCTTCTGTTCTGTCCAAAAACATTTTAAGGAGCCAAGGGTCAAGATTTTTGAAAAACTCCTGAGCTCAGGCAGTCAATGGGTAGGAGTGGTCTTCAGTTCTTAGGATTCTAAGATTTTTAAAACATTCCATGAGTAATTGAAAGTTGTGCATATTTTCTTTTTGATTTATCATTTTATACATATGTTACCATTAGAACTTACATGTATTTTCATTAGGTCTTTTGTCAACTAATGGGTCTTAATTTTTTTTGAACTATTAAGAATTAAAACACAGTGCTATGTCTTTCAATATCCTACCCATTCCTAGTTTTTATGTAAAAAAAAAGTGCTTCTGAAACGGCAAAAAAAAATCCAGATTGTTTTATTAAAGGTTAATTATTCCCAGAATATATGATTGCTTTTATAGTCTCATTAATCCAGCACTTGAAAGTATAATACAGTCTTTTGTTATAGTTCTATTTCACATTGATCCAATGGTATGTGACAGAGGTAAAAGAAAGGGATGTGTCTACCAGCAAGAGTAAGGCAATTACCTCTGAAGGAAACTAACCCAGTTTGTAAGAATGAAAAAAATATACTAAAGGAACTAGTTTTTGATAAGGAATTTATTCATGGTACAGACATAGCCAGCATGACTTTTCAGGCTTGACTTTTGAGTCAAAGACAAGTTTTGAAATGTCTACTCTGTTGCTAAAGTCTAGCAGCTATGCTCTCTTTGCCACGTATTCATCAGTCTCATGAACTCTGAGATCATGAGACTATAACGTTTCTTTAAAAATAAAAGAACTTAAAGAATTCTCTTGTGGCATATGCAAATAATTCTCTTGTGGCATATACAACTTCTGTGCCAGTTGAATTATACTGTTGACTAGTTTCATCTTCAATAGCAGTGACGGACAAGTTCCTCTTCACTGACCCCACTGCCATCTGTCATCCTGGATTCCACCTACAGTGCATTGTATGAGCTACACTGAACAGGTTTCACCCTGGTCAAGGTCACTGCCCAGCCAATCAGAATTGATGGGGTCACTGCAAATATCCAAATTACTTCCAAATGGAGGTGCTGACAGACACTGTTAATGAGTACTGTTTTGTCAGACTTGTTGATGACCTTTGACAACATCCTTCTTCCAGACTGCTGAGATTAGTCTTTTTTTCCCTCCTTCTGACATTTAGGTGGTATCCGATACTTAAATGCACATTCGAGGGTAATCTGAATCTGTGTCAGAAGATGAATTTGCAGAAGTGATAAAACTGATGGTGTTGTTATCAATCCATTAAGGAAATATTTTATTTGCTTAAGAAAGGTCTAAGCCTGCACCTTTGGGTAACTGCTATGGAGAACCGGATGTGAGATGCACAAATCTATATTATCATACAATTACGATAGCAGAGCAAATGATCCTACTTCTAAATAGTATCAGGTACCTTACTTTTCCACTTGTGTCCCATGCTGGCCAATGAGGTGCAGAATACGAAAGAGAATAGATCACTCATAGTTGTACATTGTCATTCTAAAATAACAGTATCTGCTTACACTGGTTGGGTATTATGACAAAATTATCAGGTATATTATCAAAGAGACTCTTGAGATCATTGTCTTGCTTTTTTATATTTCTGGTTATCCTCTGTGATGAATCAGCCAAATCCCAACACCCTCAAGAAGCTACTTAAAATGATGAGGTATTAGAGAGTGTGGGGGACTGTGCAGGTAGAAACCCTATGAACAGGTAGACCAATGGGAAGTCTGCAGTTCAATAAGGGTAGAAAAGTTTAATACATCACTTTGTTCTTTAAAAATTCTTCTATCCAGCAGCTATTTCTGTTCTATATTTTCAGGTACTAGCACCCGAGGGTGTTTTTGTTAAATGCTACTTTGTTCAGCACTTCTCTGTTACAGCAACTGGATTCTTTAATTGTTCACAAACTTAAATTATGTGAAGAGAAGTCCTATCCCTTTAGCTCTATTTCCTTAGCCCCCAAGGAAATTTTTATGAGATTCGTTTTCTCTGCTTCATGGATTAGATTTAATTTCCGTTCATAAGCAGACCCTTACTATCTGTGGTCTCCCTCAGGATTCTATTGTTCACCTTTCTTCCAACCTAAATCTCAAAGGCTGCCTTACAACTAATTTACAACTTCCAGTAAAAGTACTTTAGAAATATAGGCATTTGCTCAGAATATCCATAAGTTACAAAACATTGCCTTTATTAAAAAAACTACAGGTGGTCATCGTAGAGATTTACTCTATTAGTATTCTTATTTTTAATTAACAAGACACACATGTGCTGTCTTTTTTCCTTTAAGAATCATTTTAATGGAGTCAATTTTTATGCTCCCCTCCATTTGCAATTCAACACCTATTTAAAATATTTTACTGCAAATAAAAAGGATCAAAGATATTTAGAACAGTCTTATAATCTAATGTCTAGGAAACAAGTCTGAAATTAAGTATGAGACAAAGATAAATGAAATAGAAGCCTTAATATATATTCAGTGTTCTAGAAGATGATAGAATCCTCAACATACTTTCTCTGTAATTTTTCTTGGATTATGTCATCTTTCATATAGTTTCAACTATCTCTTTGTGGAGAGTCTCTCAGTGGTTCCTCTGGAGGCCAATTGTGTAAATCTTTTCCTAGTTTTGTATTCAATGACCTCTTGTTGGGTAACTTGAACTTAGCCATGAGGGTACTTTTGTATTTATACCATAAAAATGGGCAGATGCTACACCTCAAGACTTCTTTGCCCCTCACCCTTCTCCTGGAAAGCCAGTGGTTAAAGTATTACCAATTCACCACCAGTCTTGACCCTATCCTAATTCAATTCAGGTTAAATCTCACTAAAAATAATTTTATTTTCTTTTCCCTTTGTCTTTAAAATAAGCATACCAAAAAAAGTCATTTTAATTTAGTGAGTAATTGCTATTAAAAGCAAACAAAATTAGGTTTCTTGCATAATTCCTCTCCATATATCACTCTACGAAAGATATGTAATTGTACAACAAAGAAAATTATATATTCTTAGAGTTTGCCTCACCTGTCCCAATTGACGAGTGTTTCTGTTTGCAGAGAAAGGAAATACTCGTTTCACTGTGAAGGATGAGGAGAAAAGAAGAAAGAAATTATTCTCTTTTCTGTCTCCCCAAAATCTACCTTCATCCTCTCTATCATAAATTATACAAGTAAAATAGAACCTTGTCACTCAAAATGTGGCCTGCAGACCAGCAGCCTGGGCATCTCCTAAGAGACTGTTAAAAAAATGCAGATCTCCAAATCAACCTCAGACCTCCAGAATGAGAATCTACCTTTTAACAAGGCTCACAGATGATTCAAGGACACCTGCAAGTTTGAGAAGCTCTGGATTTGCGGAGAAAAAGGCAAGGGGCAACTAGGAGAAAGAAGGGATTTGGGAGGAGAGTAGAAGATGTTGGGTTAGGGCAGAGGTACATCCATTCAGTTATCAGGCCCCAACATGCTTGCTTCTCTACAAAGAAGAGGCACAACGGAGGACACACTTCACCCCTTTAAATGAGTTTATAGATGACTTTTCTATCCTCTTCACCTGTGGCTGGTTGTCTCCTAGCACCTGTTACAAAAGACAGTGATACTGACAAGATAATTCTAAACTACTGCTAAGAAATTTGGAGAAAGTTATCATTATGATCCTGAGGATGAAGCTCTTCATTTCTTCACCAAGTTGAAAATGTGGCTTGAGGAAAAATATTTCTGCTTTCACTTTGGCCTTGTTTGCCCTGAGGCCATGTGTAGCTGAGCACAGCCAAATGAGACTGACTGAAAAAATCTGGTATAGACAGTGCAGTTGAACAACAGCCAGGCCATGAAATGGAGTCCCAGAAATTCAAGCTCTTACTTAGTTGATGCTGACAGCTGAAAAGAATAGTTTTTTTGGTCTTGCATGCACTTTTCTGCACTATATAAACCATATCTCTAGGTCACTTACGTTGACCTGGCTTTGTTACAAAATGTGTGACCTCTTTAAGTGTCTCAGTTTTGTCGGTAAAATGGTTGTGTATGACAGCTCTTGGGACCACCCTGGTCTTTCCACCTGTCCTCACACCTTTCACCCCAGAATATTCTGCCCTGTAAGAGCTATCTAATTAAGACACTTTGTTCTCTGGCTCCAGCTGTTTCAGAGAATCCTGGCAATATGCTGCCCTCATTTTTTTGAATTCTTAAGTCCTACATTTATTAAATTTGTCAGATTTTCTCAACCCTGTACAGACATAGTGAATGTGTGTACACATGGGTGGTATTTTTAACCTAGTCTTAACCACTGATTTTTCTTGTGATAAAAGTGATGTCCTGAGACATTTCAATTGTTGTGGTATCATGCTAGTTAATAAATACTCGGATATCATATGACAAAATTATATTATTGGCAAAGGCAAACATCTATAGATAGGAAGATGATGCTGGAAGTCCTCATTTACACATGTTATGCTAATATTTTCTACCAAAAATTATCACTGACATTGAAGATCACTTGAATCTCAGAGCATTTATGGATGGCACTTCATAATTTCAGCGTCGTAACTTAGAATACTCTATTCTTTTATTAATTTTGAATTTCTTAATATTATTCATCAGTTTCATCATCTGCAAAAGGCAGATAATAATAATACCTATTCCTAGGTTTGAACATGAAATTTAAACAAGGTAATCCATAAAATCACAGTTGCTGGCAATTAGTAAGCATCCCATTAATGTTAGCTTTATTGTCATGATATTTTTACTTATTCTTTTATAAAGTCTTCAAACCACAATGTTGACAATGTTCAAATGCATTCAATAATTGTTTAATTAACATCTAAATATCAATCAAGTTGCTTCTATGTGTTTTAACACATACAGCCTAATCTCAGCATGCCAGCTGAATTACTAAGAAAAGATAAACTCTCTTTATTATTGTGATTTCTATTGTTATAGCTCATTTCTAACTTGGTCTTGAGGCCTCTCTCTTAAAAGTGGCCATAACCAAGATAGCCACTCTTTAGGAAAGCTCTGACTAGTGAAAAGTTAGGCTCAGATTGAAATGTGTTGGTCAGGCAAGACAGAATGAGAAGGTAAAACCAAATGCATGGAACATAAGAAATGTATTACTTACAGGTCTCAGGGAGGTTAGGGGTGCCAACGGGAAGCTGACGGAAGTCTGGAGGTGGTAGGGAACTCAACCAACAAGCGAGGAGTTAGAGGGTGAGAAAGAGCCAGGGAAAGGATCCGTGGAACTGTGAGTTTGTAAGGTCCACGGGCACAATCCTTTAGGCTTTCCTGTGGGGGTTGTGGATTGGCTAGTTTAAAAACAAATGTTTGCACAGGGGGATCTTATTTACATGATTCTAGTGTTAACCATTGGGTTCTATCATGGGCAGCAGCTGTCGGGTATGTTGGGTTTTTTTTTTTTTTTTTTTTTTTTTTTTTTCAGTGATTAAAATGAGGAACAAGTGGCTATTTGTAAGCACTCACACAGGGAGAGGATTTTTTTTACCACACTGAAGGTGACAGGGTACAGTTGCATTTCAAACAACTTAAGTCAGGCCTAAAAATGGATGTCAAGGCAGAAATTATATTAATCAATTTTATGACAATTATGGTTCCACTGCTTTAACCTCATTGACCCCTAATTGTATTTCTCACTTCAGATTCCTTTGCGAAGCAGCCAGGGCATCAATCAACTAATCAATCAAGTAAATACTTGCTTCTCATCTCCTTCTTCTTAAATATATCTACATTCTCAAGACATCTACATTGATCAACTCATCTCAAAAACTAATAGCAGGTGTTTATTTCATTATTTACTGCATTCAAATGCATATATATCTGCCTCAATCTCTGCTATTCCCAAGCTTCAACTCTTGGAATCAATCTGTGGATTCTTTTTTGGATATTATTCATATGTTTCCACCCCCAAACCTATAGAAAAGTCCTTCTTCTACCACATTAACCTTTCACAATTCTATACTACACAGTCCATTCTAGGCTCCTCCTAGAGCAGAAGCCTCCCCTGATTACTACACTGAAGTCTCCATTCTCTAAAGTTCTGACGACTTAGGTGGCATAGGACAAAAAGCAGACGTGTTTTTTTCAGTCCTAAACAAGCTGCTTGCTAGCTGCAGAAACTCTGAGCTTATTTTCCCATCTGTAAAATTCATAGCAATGTCTACCAAATATCACTGTGCGAAATAGAGGTGATAATGAATGAATAGGACTGAAATAGCATCTTAATAGAACAAGGTAGATTTTTCATCACGTTCTCTTGTGGCCATTGTGATAGAGACCAAATTTTTTGACTGTTGTTGAAGTGTCATCTTGTATTAGTAAGTATTTTATATTTGCCTTAGCTTCCTTTTGGAGAATAGATATGATGTTATTCATTTCTTATATGGGAGTACATGGTATAATTTTATTTGCTTGCCTGATAAATTTTAGTGAGTGTTCTACTTAATGGAAATTCTATAGGTATTCAAAGCAATAAGTGTGCATTTTCTAAAATCTGTATTATTTAACAGATGATGCCCTATTCATTACATATTAGTGTCTATAAAGATTCATTATATACTATCAAAAAGGGAAGGCCCCAAACCAATTCCACACAGGCTTATTAAGCAATTAAGCACCTGTTTGGGGGCTGGCACTGTTCTAGATATAAGGCATAAAAAAGCGATTGAGATATGAAGTTTACACTCTACCTGTGCTTTTTTTTTTTTTAATGAAAATATTTCAAGGCAGCCCAAAAAGGGCTTTTATGGTTTCTTTGTCTGATTGAAAATGAAAAACAAGTGCTGACAATCTCAGAATCCGTTAAGCACGCCCCCTGCTGTTCATTGGCTACAAATATTTTTGTCTCCACCCACCATAGCCACCATCGTGGTGGCTATGGTAGCGACAGTGGAGTTTAACACTCTTTAAGGAGAGGTAAAGACATCAATCAACCCTTTCCTCGTTTTTCCTCTTCATCAAATTCATCTTCCATAAGTATTTTTATCCAAAAATATCCATACTTACTCCATTCCTAAGAAGGAAACTCAATGTGCCACCATTTTCAAAGCCTCAATGCCAGCTTTTGATGAAGGCATCTCAGGAGAGTTCAGAAATCCCCTTTGTAGGAAAAGTCTTCCTTATTTTACCTGGCATAGGAAAGCAGTTATCTGTGGTGTAGGGGGTTCCATCGTGAGGAGTTGGAACAGCTCTGGAATCACTGCTTTAATGCTGACCCCATTGCCCCAGTTAAAGACTAAGTTCCCACATAAACTGAATTGTGAATTTCACTCTTCTGAAAAAGGATATTTTACCACAAACTCCATTCTCTAAGCTTTCCTCATTCACTTAGACAGCTTGTTTCTAAATGCGGGATAAAAGTGCCATCATTTTTGCAATAAATAAAATCAGGATTAAGTAATAGAGTCATTAAGGCAGCTGGTCTTTGCAAATAGTTGGTCTTAATCATGTGGCAATTTATCTTTAGTAAGGTTATTTACTGTGGACTCTCATCCATAAAAGCAGTTTGCATCCTCAGTTGTTTAGAGTCGCTGTCCTTATGACCCAGCCTGACTTAATCTAAAGCATCCATGCAGCAGGGTCTTTAATCACTCTTTGATTTTCATCTATGATTGTTTTAGTTCTCAATATTGAAACCTATGCTATTTCTTCTTCTGGACATTACTGGGTAACAAATCCCTTGTTCTGACAGTTTCTGCATATTGTATAATAGCTCCAGCACCACCTCTAATGCTCTCTTCTAGCTTCTATTTGACCTCATTTGGTGTTCTTTTTTCCTTCTGGACCACACTACTCCCCCAATCCGTCCTTGCTGTAAGGGGATGAATACTGCCTTATAACACTCCTTCCCCTTATTTCAGAAATGCACTCCAGGAGGGAGCTATTGCTTATATTTCTGTGTGAATGAAAGTCAATACTGAAGTCTACTAGACTTTAAGTCTAAAAGAAAGTCTACACTTTTAAAAAATATGTTTCGTACTGCTAGTTGATCTTCCTATTTTCTTTATTTCCATTCTTCCTCTCAAAAAGCCTCTAAAATATAGACAGAAATATGTTATGTTGAATGAAAATCGCTCGTGTCACATCATTGGCCTCCAATAGTTTTTATAACCCTTAGAATCAAATCTGAACTTCTCACCACGGCCATCAGGGGCCAAGGGACTTGGTTTCTCCACCTTCTGAATCCCATCTCCTCCATATCCTTTGCTTTCTCACTTATATCCAGCCACACATGTTTTCTTTTCTTTTCTTTTTCTCACATCTGCCAGAATTGTTTTTACCCTGGAGCCTTTTACTGGCTTGTCCCTCTGTCTGGAATGCTCTGTTTCCTAATTTTTGCATGATTCCCTTACCTTTCTTTAATTTTCTTCATAGCACTTTCCTGAACCTAACCGATTACATAATTATTTGTTTGATTCGGTTAACTTAAAGAAAAAATACAAAATTTATAACTTTAGGTAAGCAGAAGGGGATACTTTATTTCTCACCAAGGGTTGCAGCCTGCAGGGTGTCCATTCTGAAAGGGTGGGAAATATAGCCTCCAGTCAGAAGCCAGAATCAGATACTTCCATGGAGGGGCAGAGGGAACAGGAATTTATACCAAGTAGCTAATTTCAGAAGACTGGCTACTGGACCCTTACCTTTTACCATATACAAAAATCAACTCAAGATGGATTAAAGACTTAAGTGTAAAACCTAAAACTACAAAGATCCTGGGAGAAAATCTAGGAAATAACATTCTGGACATTGGCTCAGGCAAGACTTCATGATGAAGACTCCAAAAGCAACTGCAACAAAAACAAAAATTGACAAGTGGAACTTAATTAAACTAAAGAGCTTCTGCACAGCAAAAGAAACTACCAGCACTGTAAACACACATCTACAGAATGGGAGAAAATATTTGCAAACTATGCATCTAACATAGGTCTAATATCCATAATCTATAAGGAACCCAAACAATTCAACAAGCAAATACCAAACAACCATTTAAAAATGGGCAAAGGACATGAGCAGACACTTCTCCAAAGAAGACATACATGTGGCCAAGAAGGATATACAAAAAATGCTCAATATCACTAATCATTAGGGAAATGCTAATCAAATCCACAATGAGATACCATCTCACACCAGTCAGAATGGCCATTATTAAAAATTCAAAAAACAACAGATACTGGGGAGGTTATGGAGAAAAGGGAATGCTTATACACTGTTGGTGGAAATGTAACTTAGTTCACTCCTTGTGAAAGCAGTTTGGAGATGTTGGGAATAACGCTCAAAATCCTAAGGAAATTGAACACTCAAAGGATTCTTAGCACAGCAATTATACTTCTGCGCAGAGGGGTGCTTCTCCTTGGCCAGTTGCCATGAGAGCACCCCTGAACCAAGGGGCATGAGAGCCTTTATTCCTGACGCAAGTCCTGCCCCTGTACCCTTTCCCCATTGGCCGGGGTCGGGCCGTACAATCTAAACTAATTCCGGTTGGCTAAACATTGGAACTTTTTTTTAGATAAGGTCGGCACGTAAGGGAGAGAGGGGAAAACGGGACGGGGTGTCTCCAATGAGCTAGAGAGCTAGTCTTCTTTCCACATAAGGAAAGGAATGTGAGCTGGTACTGATAACGCCTGGTACTGTGGCACGTCTGGGCATGTAACAAAGGCAGAAAGGAAGAAAAAAGAGAAAAAGGGAAAAGGGATGGGGGGTAGTATGAATAAAAAAATAAAGGATTGATCGGGCTATTTGAAGAGAAACCTCATCATATCCCACAGGAGATTTCTCAAAGAAACTACAACAGTACTACCATTTGACCCAGCAATCCCTTACTGGTTATATACCCAAGGGAAAATAAAGCATTCGACCAAAAAGACACATGCACTTATATGTTCATCGCAGCTCTATTCACAATAGCAAAGAAATAGAATCAACCTAGATGCTTATCGATGGTGGACTGGATAAAGAAAATGCGTTAAATAACACCACGAAATACAATGCAGCTGTATAAAAAGAGATCATGGCTCCATGGATGGAGCTGGAGGTCATTATCCTAAGTGAATTAACATGGGAACAGAAAATCAAATCATGTTCTCACTTATAAGTGCGAGCTAAACATTGAGTAGACATAGACACAAATAAGAGAACAATAGACACTGCGGTCTATTTGAGAGTGGAAGGCGGAATGAGGGTGAGGATTGAAAAACGACCTATAGGGTACTATGCTGATTACTTGGGTATCAAAATTATCTGTACACCAAATCTCCACAGCACAATTTAGCCACTTAACAAACCTGCACATGTACCCCTTGAACATACATAAAAGTTGGATAGAAAAAAAGGAATTTATGCCAAGTAAGGTGGCCAAATATACATATTCAATAAGCTATGGAAAGAGTCACGAATACCTGAAAGTAGAAAGGTGCACATGCGCAGTTGAGCTTCCTGCATCTCCATGTTCATAAAATGGTGATGTAAGGGTGGAATTTTTGACCCTCTGACATCCAAAGATGAAGCAGAGGACACAAAATCCCTTACTGTGCAAGCTCTGTTGACTCACCAGAACCACTCCATGACTGTGGTCTCTTAATCAGGCAAAACAAAAGAGAGGCAGCATCAGGTAGTTGGTTGATATCAATAGTGGAGTCACTTAAAAGGGTTGGTTCCTGTTTAGCCCTTAGGGAAGATAGGCTAATCGTAGTGAGTGAGGGAGGGGCCTAACACCCTCATCCCATCAAGACTGAGAATTTCATTTTCAAGTTTACTCTGGGGTCCCCTTTGTCAAGAGATCGTCTGTTTAGTCAGTTGTAGGGTTTAGGATTTTATCTTTATTTCTCATTTCTTTATTTTCTTCTCCTCTAGAAAGGAGGCTTTACAACAGCAGGGACTTCACTTTGTTCCCTGCTATGACCTCAGTGACTGAAATACTGCCAGGTGCATAGGAAATGCTAAATGACTATTTGATGAAATCATGAATAAATGATATTTCCAAAATCAGAGGCATGGTAATAAAAACAGCCAACATTTGTCTGATACTCATATTATGTCAGGTAAGTTCTAAGCACTTTACATGGATTATCTCAATTAATCTTGACAGTAGTCCCATGAGATTGATATTATGATAATGATCTCAGACGTGCAAAACTAGGAAGTACTAAGAAAGCAAGCTAAAGCAAGGTGTTCTGACTTCACAGCCTGAGCTAGATGCTACCTAGAGTCCTAGAAATCCTATTTCAAAGGCTGCTGTATATAGAATCTGTCCAAATGATCTGACTTTCCTAATAGATATTCCTGAGGGGGACTCTTGATGATGAAGTATAGAAGACGCATAAAATTTGTAGCCAGACTCATTGTTTTTCACATTTTTTGGCCTGTAGGAAGTTATTAAACTCAGGCAAAGTCTCCAAATGCTTCCAACCCTCATTTGTAAAATAGATTAATAGCATATCCTTCAGAAGATCCTGTGAAAGAAGATATTATGTATAGTGTGTGTGTTTACATAGAAATGCTCACTAAATGGCTATCTTTATGAGGAGGATGGTGGTGGAATTTGTGGTGGTGCCATGACTGCTGCAGATGAGAGGTGCATAGCACAGTGGTTAGCATCTCTACCAGACTGACTTCGACATGCTTGACCATGCCTGAGGACTGGCCAGGATAGAACTGACAGGAGGCTATGGTATGGGGTATCCAGGAGTCTTAGGAAAAGCCAAGCTCCTCATGTGGAGGATAACAGCTGACATCCAGGATGAATAAGTCTAAGCTCCAGAGAAGTCACCTCAAGGTTTCTAGGCAGATGGAGAAGGAATTCAGCTTGAGGAAGGAGTCAAGAGCCTTATCTTGGTTTGAAAAAAAAAACAAAAAAAAAACAAAAACAAGTAAGACCCACAAGGTTCATGTCCTGATAATGATTATCAGATCATCTGCCTGCCAGTGCCAGGGGGATAAGGAAATAGGAGCAATAAAAAAGATAGCAAATGGTCACTGGAACTTCTGGATGAGCTAAGGGGCTTTGTAAAGCATGTAATAATAGCACCAATTAAACTAATAATAATATCTTAATCACGTGGCAGGAATGTGATTTTATCATCACAACCACCATATGAAGGGAATAATATTATTATCCCAATTTTTCAGATGAGGACCCCAACAGGCACAGAGAAGTTAAGTAACTTTCCCAACATAACTCAGTTAGCAAATGGCTGCTGGGAGTCTGTATAAATAGAAGAAACAGAGGATTATCCTGGGAAAACCAAGGAGATGGCCTCATTGAGCCAGAGAGCCCAACAAAGGCACAAATGAAAATATTGGTACAAGTATTGAGAAGAATGATGATTTTCAAATCTTTCCTTTGAATAATATTGTAAGAGAAACTAATCACATTGCCAGCTCATTAATTAAAATAACATTTGATGATAATGCTGTGAGATATAGCCTTCAAAAGATACTTATTTGGACAACAGCTTTATAATGAAACTCCCATCTCCATTTAATTATGTAAGTACAGTTGCTTACTGTTTTCATATCTACAAAAATTAGAAATAGCATTTTCATTGAATTTAGTTTCATGCTCTCAAGTAAACTTCATCCACAAATAATTTAATTAATGGACAAAGAAAGAAGCTCCATTTATCTTATTAAATAAATATATTTTCATTTAAGATTTTTACTTTTTAATGATTTTCAAAATTTGGAATATATTTATGTCCTTTGGTCAAATTGTGATGATTTATAATTTTAATTCCAAAAAAAATGTTAATACTTAGAGGGTTATATTTCTTTTTTTTTTCTTTTTTCTTTTTTCTTTTTTTTTTTTTTTGAGAACGAGTCTCACTCTTGCCCAGGTTGGAGTGCAGTGATGCAATCTCGGCTCACTGCAACCTCTGCTTCCCAGGTTCAAGTGATTTTCCTGCCTCAGCCTCCCGAGTAGCTGGGACTACAGGCACGCACCACCACGCCTACCTAATTTTTGTATTTTTAGTAGAGATGGGGATTCACCATGTTGGCCAGACTGGTCTTGAATTCCTGACCTCAGGTGATCCACTTGCCTCAGCCTGCCAAAGTGCTGGGAGTACAGGAGTGAGTGAGCCACTGTGCCTGGCCTACATTCTTAAATAAGAATTAAATATGCATATTTTTGTTGTACATATGTATGATAGTAATCAATAAAAGACCTTAAAATATAAGACTTGCTGTATCAGGATAAAAATTTTTGAAGCAAGTAGAACAGAAATGTGAATAAGAATAAATAGAAATAGTATAAAATTTCTGGCTGTTAAAAAATTGTTAAAATTGGATCTTTTTTATTATTTTAAAATATGTTGAGTACCAAATTCCTATACTATTTTGATTTCATTGTTGTCATTTAAAAAGAGATATAACTATGTTATTTTAAAAGTTTGAAATTGATATGTTATTTTAAAAGTTTGAAATTGATATTTTACTGAAAGTTATATTCTTTGCAACTACTGACACATATAATAAGAAAGTTAGTTTTTAACTTAAAAATTATTTAGTGGCTACGTAACTTTTCAAAATTCTCTTTGAAGTACTTGAATGACAAAGGTTGAAATCTTCTCAAGCTCATGGGTGATGTTCAATGGATAATCCTTGCTCCAGAGAACCAAGGCAATGAAGAGTGAGTTGGTGGAGGTGGATGGTAAGCATACAGGGATTTGTGGGTTCTGTTTCTACCTCACTTCTGGGTTTGTGTCCTGGGACGGTACAAGATCTCCGAGGGGCAAACAACACAGACATATCTTGGTGGTTTTAGGCCGGAGAGGCTCAAATTGTCTCCCAGAATGGTGCAGGAATAGCAGAAAAATTCCTATTCCTCTAAAGCGTGTTTGGACATAATGGAAAGCTCACTTGCCCTGAACAGGCTTTCATTAGGAACAAGAGACAGCAGAAGACCTTTGTTAACTGGTGACAAAGTTAAACAGAAAAACCGATGTTATCATAGATGCCAATATGGATAAATGACATGAAATATCAACTGAACTATGTAGATGCAATCTGATGAAAAAGAGAAAAATGCTCAAATGAAAAAAATGGTTTTGCTCTCCTGATTGAAAAATAATAGCATATGCTGGAAGAACTCCACATATATTATTTTATTCTCACAACACAACTACTACATGGGATAGACATTATTATTATTTCCAATTTTAGAGAAAGTGACAATTCATCAAGAAGGATTAAATAACTTTTCCAGTTTATATCATTTATAAGTAGAGAAGCTGGAATGTGAACCTGAAGCAGAAATTGGGGCTCATTTTGGAATAATGTATATACTGAATATAGCTGGTTTGTGAATTTGCGGGCATGTAATCTGTATATACACATACACATACATATGTGTACATAAAAACATCACTGGGATTCCGCTGAATGTGCCAGGCTGGTGTGGCTTGGGTAGCATCTCCTTCATTTTATTGTTTTCTGTGGTCTGCTTTTCCTATACATGAGACAAACTGTCAATACAGAACCACAGCTTACAACACTTCCAGTTCACATCAGCTCAAAAGAAGGTAATTTATAGGTCTAATTTCTCTGTTTGACTATTCATGATTTGACAGAGAGGTAAAGATGATTATAATTTATCCCCAGAATCAGTAATAAATGGAAAAATTAAAACATATAACTTCTTTTTCTTTTGAGAAGTCCTAAGAAAGTGAGAAATTCCTTTTATCTCATGTATACTGAAAAATATCCAGAGAAACAATTGGAATGACCTTTTTCATAATTCTATCATATATTCATTTTGCCTTGCAGAAATAATTTTGTGTATGATCTCATAAAATCTTTGGGTGACTTTCTTTTCTGTGCATAATTCAGAGGAAAAAAAAACACTAAAGGAATAGAACTTCACACTGCTTTTGTACTTGGAGGTTGAGAGGTAACCTCACATAAACAGTTTTAATGTGTTTGTTATAATGTCATTCTTTAATAGCATTTTATGTAAGTAACACTCAAGCATGGCAACATAATAGCCCTGAGAAATACACAATTTAAACTATGTGGAAAGTAGTATTTTATGAGGTGAATAGACAAATACATTAGAGTCACTAGAATGAAGATGGCATTATTGTTATTTTTTTAATCTTGGAGCTAGTTCTTCCACCTCTCAATACCTGTGTACTATGAAGGCAACACTGTTATGAAACCATAAAAATTAAAACATATACCAGAGGTCCCTTAAGGAAAACAACTTATTGACAATGAATTTCACCAATTGGCATGCATGCCAGTAGAATGTGTTGTGGTTTCAATTTTGCAGAGGGGCCTGCATTCCTGTGCAAAAGGTGCTTGGCTAAAAGGATACTAGGATAAACTCTTAAGAAAAAAAAATTCCACAGTAATCTGCAGCTTTGTCATCACGCATGGAATTCAATAAAATTCTCAATGTCTCTGGTTAAATAAACATTTTTTCTTACTTAGTCTGCTTATTTTTTTTGTCTAGACTAAAGCTTTTTAACAGGCTGCAAAACAAGCTGAATGTTTCTTTTGACTTTAGCTAGCAGAATATGTGTAGGAAACTTACCATTTTCTTAAAAAATTTTTCACTTAGTTAAGACATAAATCAGCAGTACATTAAAATTATAAGAAACACATCAAATATTTTAAGACTCAGGTTAAGGTGAAATATAAGCAAGGGAGATACTGAGAAATAATGAAGCAATTAGGGAGTAGTGCAGAATTGTTAAGTTGGAAGACCTGTTAAGACAACTTTTAATTTTTGTGGTTTCTTTTTTCTTCACTGACATTATTAAACATTGAAAGCCCAGAGGTAGCAGAAAGCTGTAATAGGTCTGCCATTCAAATGTGTTAACTGGATTTTGAATTAATTTATGGTTTCTTTCCTCTAATTTATTAAAGGCTCATTTTACATGATAAGGTGTTACCTGACCCAATGACTGCAGTTTCCCCACCTAGATCATTGGCATTTAACTTGCCATAGAACACAACTGAAACATTCCTTCTTGTTCTAGCAAAATGATACCTTCTAAATAAGGCAATTTTAAGACATTTATTGAATACTTACCACGTAAAATGTTCTGTCCTAATGCTTTACTGGTATGAACTTGTATAGCAAAGGAGGGCAGAGAGAATTGTAAAAATTTCCCAGAATAAGACACTTAGCTTGGATTCAAATTCAAGCAATCTGACTCCAAAGACCATGCATTCCTAAACTGTGTATTTCTTCCAACGTAGACACAACATACTCTGAATAAGTATCTATAGATGTGAATGGATGTACAATATTAGGGAGAAAACAAATATGTATTTGTTTGGAAGTATACACAGAAAACAGATAATATTGGATGTCTTTTGGGTTGGGACTCAAATAAATAAGTGCTATTGGTACTGGGAGAGCTTCATATGTGCATTTTTCCACAATTTAAATTTTGAAATAGTGATGCATTACCTTCACAAAAAATGGATAAAGGAATCTTTAAAAATGATATGAATTCAGTAGATTCTATCATGCTAACAAGTAAGTTAACCCTACATTAAAAATAAAAGCTAGAAACATAACTGGGGAATTCAACATGTTTTATTTTGCCAGGCCAATGATTTCATCAATATCCAATTAAATTTTAGTGTGACAACTACATTTAGTTTGTTTTCTTACACAGATTGAACATTCACCATTATGACAGTTTCATCATGCTAAAATCTATTCACAAACTTACACTTTGGAAAAAAGTGTATTTCTAGAAAATTTTATGTACAATACAAATGGAATAGATATTAAGTCACTGAATTGTCAAGCTACATAAAATAAAACCAATCAACCACCAGTAGTATACATTAACAGCATTTTTGAAAAAAAATTTTCTTTTACATTCAGCAGAGTTATGTTCATGAAGAATTTCTACATTTTTAAAAGTAATGAAAGTGTACACAATTTAATAATTGTGAAAATAGAAAGAATTAAATAGCACAAATATAGTATAAAACTAAACACCGTTACTGTCTATCAGTTTGGGCTTATGTGAAATAAAGGGAACTGTGACTCTGAAACAATTTTACTTTTAACTTTGAGAATAGATTGGCCATAAACACAGAAGATGGTTTTGGCTTTACATTGACACATTTCTGTGTGTCAATGTAGAAGAGAAAAGAAGTTTAATTATACCTTTTAAGCAGGCAAACCATTATAATAAACTGCTTTAGAAATTACTTTAAAATTATACACATTTGGAACAACAGATTTTTTAAAAAATGAAGTTTGGTGTTATGTCAGCATTTTAACTATTTTTGCTATAGCGAGGCCTCCTCATATATTATCATAATTTATCATAGTTTAAATAGTGAATCATATTCTGATATTCTGATTAATAATCATATTAATTTTGACAATGATTTTAGTTTTTGAAGTTTTAGACTGCAATACTTAAAAAGGCCATAATCTACTTTAATTACCTTCATCATAGATTATTAACTATAAATAAAATGTTTATATGATATTTGGATTAGGTACATGGTACAATATCTGTTTTTACCTGGAAGCATGAAAATGTCTTAAAAGGTAAATAAAAAAGCAAAAGTAGTGTTTTTAAAATATATATGAGAGCATGAATAATTTTTTTCACATTTTTCCATCTAATTTTTATTTGGAGAAAATAATTTCAGTATGAAATTATTCTAATAAAATTATTCTAACATACAATTAGGAGATAATTATTTTATTCATCACAAAATTTACTACTTTTACACTTAGAGACCAGTGAACGTATGTACCATTACCTTTTGAAAGACAGAATGTCTCCTCATATTGTTTTCTTACTTTCTAGACATAACAAGCACCTTGCCATCACACTGAAAAGATCATAAAATATATAGTGTTGACTTAAAAATCAGTATGATATCTGAGACTGGTTTTAATAAAAGGAAGAATCATTGAATTTGAGTACTGAAGTTGAAAACTAGCCATATTTGTTATAAATTCCTCTTAAAAAATTAGTAGTTTCTACTTTGATTTTTCTTTTTGATGATTTCACACCTTATTTAGAAGTCTAATACTTCAAATTTTTCCTTCTTATATTGTTTAATTTGCCACACAGACTAGGGAATAAGAGAACAAACAGTAATAACTGAGTAGTGCCAGATTATATTCTTTGAGTCTAAAATAAATAACTTCCAAAAAAAGTAAGTGCTTTTGTTTGGAAGGTGATAACATAAGAATATAAACCAAACTGCTTCACTGATATAACTCCCACCAAATATCTTCATGGGGTAGGTTACTGATTTTTATCTTCCTGAATAAGGAAACAAAGGTCAGTGACAGATACCAGTAACTGATTATTTTTACAATCTTAAAAAAACCCCAACATATTTCATTGGAACCATAAAAACTCATCATTTTCTCTTTATGAATAACTCATGTTTTTATACAACTTTAAATGCTGTCTTCCTTTTCTATTTCTTTTGATAGCCATTCTGTCATATGCATTTATGACTTTTACTACGTAAAAGCTGTGGATTTGGAACTTGTTTTCATATACAAAATCACTGACAATTAGAATTCTAAAGCCCCAAAGCAGGAAAGGAATACCACAGGGATATGGCCCTCATTCAATTGAGGGATGCAACAATTCTAGTTTTGCAGCCACCATATCGATTTTGAAGAAAAGGTGAATAAAGATATAAATAAAATCTGGGTTAAGTTAAATATATTTATATGCACCATGAGGACCATGACATGTCTAGTGCTAGTCACTATCATACAAGAAAATGCATGCTCATTTCAGTTCGTGTAAAACTCACTTCAGGAGTAATCACCTTTTTCAGTAATTCCCCTTGGTAAAGCACAAGTTTCTTTGCTCAAAATTTGATCATTGAAGACAGAGCATTTGTTAATGGAAGCATAAGACCCACATAAGAAAATATTATGACTCTGGCAACTGATTCCTCCTGTTTCTACTTTTCCGACTATTGATGAGGGCCTTTAACTTGCCATAGTCCCCTCTCATTTTCTGTGATTCATCTCCCTGCTGATGTTGCTGCCGAGTGTCTTTGCAATATTGGTTAATCATCTGCATTTCTGAGTGGCTGAATGCCCCCATGATGTCCTTCGGGTGGAAGGGTAAAGCCCTCACAGAGCTGGCCCAGGTCCATGGGGACCATTTGTCCGTCACAACAGCCACCATTTCTGAATCTAAAACTTTGAAGTTGATCTTGGCTATGGTCTGCTTGAAACTATTTTCTGTAGCAATGCAGTGATAAAGTCCTTGGTCAGAACCCTGAACAGAGCGGATCAGGAGTCCCTGTGAAGTGGCTATTATTCGTTCATTCAGCTTAACCTAAAAGAGAGACAAATTAAAGTTACTGAAACTGAACATTATATTTCCTTAGATTATGACCAACATACACAGAATAGTCTCAACTTTCACAGATTTGGGAAAAAAGTATTGAGCACTACTTAGCATCCTTCTCAGTGGACATGAAATTTTGGTCAGTTCCATTGCCTTTTTTTTTTTAAACATGGGAGATCTTGTCACAGTCACAGGGGTATTGAATCTAATAGAGGGTGAAGATATTATCCATATCAGCAAAAATAGCTTAAAGTGCTTTCCCCTGGATAGATGTTTCTCCATATATAAGCACAAAACTTTGGTTGCCTTTGAAATTGGAATCACAGTCAATATCTGTAAATGAAACTCATAGATACTTTAAAATATCTATTCTATCCTGGTGTTCTAGTCTTTTATATTTATAAAAAATACTCGCCAGTGAAAACATGAAGCCACAATTAAAGGGTGAATTTTATCGTTTTGTTTCAATAAATGAATGGTCTTCTAAATAAAAAATACACAAGCAGAGGTAGAATTTTGAACATTATCAAGGGCCTTTTTCAATTATCCCAAAATAAACAATGTCTAAAAATTAGCTGGAATGTCATCATCTTTTAAGTCCTCTAAGTGGTTTTACTTTACAAGGAAAGGTAATAAAAAGCTATGAATTAATATTTAATTACTTTATAGGTTTTACTGGAAAAAATGATTGTTTACTGGGTATCAGTAAATGCTTGAAACCTTCCTCACAGTTCCACCTGTAGTACTGCCAATGAATAGATAAAAACCTAAGTGGTAAGAGGTTCTTTGACATGTATACTCTAGAATACTCTTTCATTGAAGAAAAAATAAATCTGACCAAAACCAAAATTAGATAATGCACGTTAAATGTTTTCCTAAATGATAAAGTTCTGTGCAAATGGACAAGATATTACTAATAATATCTAAATCAAAGATGAATTGGTTTGTGCACAAAAAAAGCACAAAAAGGCAAGTATAGTATTAAAAGATAATAGAACAGAACTAGAAAAGAGAGAATCACTTGGAGGAAGAAAACAAAATTTTGACATTAATTAATTTTACTAAGTTTAAATGTTCCTCAAAAACAAATTGTGTATAAACACATTCAGAAATTAAAGAAAGAAGAAATTTTATCCTATTTGTGCAAAATTGGGAAAATATTTTGAGTCCAATATGGTAAATCCATTAAACATGTATATAATATTTGGCACAATTACATTTTAGGAATTTAGACTATATACTCTCACATGTGTGCAGGTATTTTTGATAAGAGGAAAACAAGAAATTACCTAACAAATAGATGGCTTTGAAAAAAAACACTTAAGGTATATTCATACGATGGAATATTATGCAGCCAGGAAATATGAGCTGGAATCACATGTACTGATATTGAAGTGGGGTGTGTGTGTGTGTGTGTGTGTGTGTGTGGAGGGGAGGAAAACTATAGAACATATTTGGAGAAATATATAACTCTTGGGAACCTTACTCTGGGCAGTGGGAATAAAAACTGAGTAAGTTTTATTCCATAAGTATTAGTATTATTCAATAGATATTAAAAGTGAGAATAAGTATTGAAGTGGAGGAGGGCTTTCAGTTTTCACTTTATGCTACTTAGTATGAACTATTTGCCTTTGCTCTGTGAGCTTTTATCATTTGTCTTACTTAAAAAAATGATTAATGTTTACACAGTAGTATGAGTGAGAAGCATGTTTTCTTAAAATAGAAAGGATCAGAATAAGTTTAGTAAAATATTAATAGCTTAAAAATAAGTAAAATTGTGCTCTGCTTAAATTCTGAACAAAACAGACTTTCATACTTGTGTTAGAGCTAATGTTATGCCACTATTAAATTATTACATTCTTATGTTTTTGAGATTGGAAAAAAAGTCAAAATAGTAATATTTGAGTCTCCATATTCTTGAGCATTCTGAAACAGAACTTTGGAAATATTATTAGAGAGAATAAATCCTTAACACATTCCATTTTAAATTTTACTATTAATTTATATGGCAGATATTCAAACATATGTATTTATTTTAAATCATAGATGTTATATTCACTTATATATTATTCTATTGAACTTTCTACTGAATAAAAGAAAATTACATTTTAGTTGATCCTTGTTTAAGTATTACTTACCCAATTCACATATATACATATAGGCTTTTTCTGGAAGGATTGTTCACGTCCTTGTGTTCCTGCCCTGGCCTAACAACTCACTTGTATATAGTAATCATCATCACTTATGACTTCTAATGCAGCTTGCTCTGCAAGGTAATTATTATAATCCATATCCATTCAAAATAATTGAAAATTAATTTGACTCTAGAAATGTCAAGACTTCTTTGATAACAGATTTTACAGCAAAGAAAAGAGATCTCAAATAAATAATAATTTTCATTATTAAAATCTTTCTAAAAGTATTGTTAGCATCTTAGGCTTTAGAAGAATGATGGGGCTCTGATGTCCATCTAGCTCATCTTTCCTCCAAATAATTCAGTTTCCTCCTGCAAGTAGTCATCTGCTTATGGTTTAATATTCCAGTAATGAGGGACACACAATTTCCTAAACAGCTCCTAAGATCTTTGGGTAGACAAGTCTGAGAGTCGGAGAGTATTTTTCCATATGAAACCAACATTTATTTCCGTAACACTGATGCAGTATCTGTGTTCTACAGCTTAGGGTGGTACTCAGTCTACATACCCTTAATTAACTTAATATGTAATAACCAAATTGCCCACAACAGAAGAATACACATAAATGCGGAAGGCTCCACTTCCCCCTTGGCTCCATCAACTTTATGCTGCACAAATGGTGGTACATTTTAGACTTCCCTAAGGCTTTATATATACATATATATTTTTATCTTCTCATTTGTCAGGACAACATGACATCAATATTATGAAATTAGTTATTTACAAGGTATCACCCTATGTCATTTTACAATGTCTCCCTTATTTAAAAAAACCCAGCTCTTTCTAATCCACGAAAAGTTTCAGTAAGTGTCTTTTTATTTGAAAATCTAAGGACTTTTTCCACATCACTAAATACAGACAATGCTCCCATAAACAATGATTCCATATATTACCTAACCAAAGCACAAGAGTTATGAATAATAAAACAATGGAAACAGATTACCACACAGCAGAAAAACGCTCTTTGTCATGAAGGTTATAGTTCAGTGTAATTTCTTGCTGAGGAAAACTGAACTTTTTTTTAAAAGCCTCCTTTTATCTTGTGAATCACACAAAGGTGCCGTTGTGTGAAAACTTGGCTTCTGGATTTGCACACATCTTGTTTCTTTTACGAACGTTTCCTCACATCAATACTACCGTCTTAGCACCCAAGCTCTTGTTTCAATCACCATGTTACAGAGGTGAGCAGGCAGAGAGAATTCCTAATTAATCCATCAATTCTTAAGGACAAAGGATTTTAAGGAAAGTGGCACTTGTCATCCCAAAGACGTAAAAGATGATCATATGCCTTTCCTTTTTCCTTTGATCTGAGCCTCGCTGAGGGACAGTGATTTAATGTTCTCTCTGAAGCCCTGATGGATTGCTGCTGTGCTGCTTTACTCACCTCTTTCCTCCTGTCTTTGTCTTTCTGTAACAGCCACTTGATAGATGCCTGCGGAGACTTGGGGGCACACTCCAGAAAAGTGGTGTTATTTTTTACTCCATACTGGACAATTTCAGCTGCATTTCTGTATGCTAGCAGGCAAAAATAAAAGGCGAGAGAGAAAGAAAGAACACAACTGAATTTAGAGCACATTCTCCTGTAGAAATGCTATATACATGTTTATTTTTATACAAAATTGTGAACAACTATCGCAGCCAGCAAAAAACAGTGGTAATCATTTAACAAGCAAAATAGGATACGTTGTTCACCCGTTTTGTTTGTGTAAGGGGAAGGAAAGACTGTGAATTAAGGCAATGTTGATAAGAAAATCATGTTTATTCAAGAATTATTCCACACCAACAACTGTTCTTAATATTACTTTGTTGACTTAATTATTACAATACTCCTGGCCACATTTTCTCAGCTTTTCACAGCTGAGCAAACTGAGGCTGTGAGTTATGAGGAAATACACTTTAGTGAATGTGTCAGGCAATACCGAAGCCAGGTTTATCCCATTCCTAAAGTCCATACTCAATGTTATATAGAGGAAATAGGTAAGCACTGGGAAAGGGCAGAAAGTATTGTGGCCTTGGTGGAATGTAGTGGTTGAGAACACTGTCTTTGGAATCAGAGGAACGTAGGGCAAAATCCTGACCTTACTACTACTGGCTGTGTAACCTCAGACAAGTTACTTGATGTCTCTGTGCTTTAGTTTTACTCTTCTCTAAAACATGGATTATAGCATTTTTACATAGGTTTCTCAACGAAAGTATTAAATTAGGCAAAACATGTAGTATTGCCAGGTGGTAGCTTAGACATGGACAGAATCCTCACTAATAAAGCAGGAATAATAAGACTCTAGTATGGCTTCTTGAGCATTGAGTGAAATAATCATAAAAAAGCACTTAGCTCAGGTTCTGACACAAAGTCAGCATCAATATTTGTTTGATGTTACCTCCACTGCCATTATTCTTACCACTATGACAACTACTACTATTAATGGGAACTGATACACTTTTATAAAATAGCAAATGGAGAAATGGTAACTTGAATTTATTCCCTCAACTAGATGTATGGAACAAGTAAGCAAAATCTGTCTTAATTTGCTCTTTGCAGTTAGAATAGTTAGTAAAAAGAATGCCATTTTTTACTAAAGGAAAGCACAGACTCAAAAGGATTAGAAATAGGAGTCTCACTGTTAATTTTTGAAACAGCACACCTGTAGCACCTTGACGAGCCACAAGGAAGGTCTGCTTGGAAATACTTTTACTTGGTGGGACTGAGGCAGGAAAAGTATTGTAACATGGTAACTTCATGTCAGAATGGGAAGGAAGGAATTAGTTTAATTGAGGGACATAAAGCAGGATTGTCAACAGGCACTATAGTACACCCATGTTCATAGCAGGATTCTCACTATATCCAAAAGATGGAAGCAAACCAAGTGGCCAGTGATGGATGAATGGATAAACAAAATATGGCTTACCTACATACATACGTACATATATATATATATATATATATATATATATATATATATACACACACACACACACACACACACACACATACACACACACACATTATATATATGCACACATGATAAAATACAATTCATCCTTAAACATGAAGAAAATTGTAATATATTTTACAATATAAATGGACCTTGAAGACTTTAGGCTAAGTGAAATAAGCCAGTCACAAAAGGACAAATATTGTATAATTCCACCTATATGAGGTATCTAGAGAAGTTGAATTCATAAGAATTCATAAAGAAGTAGAATGGTGGTTTCTAAGGGCTGGAGGGAAGAGGTAATGGTTAGGTGGTATTTAACGGGTCTAGTTTCAGTTGGGGAAGATGAAAAATATCCAGACGTGACTGGCAGTATGTTGCACAACAATGTAAATATGCTTAATGCCACAGAACTGTAAACTTTAAAATGGTTAAAATAGTAAATTTTATGTTATGTATATTTACTGCAGTAAAAAAATGCTGTTCTAAGGGTTCTTCAGTGGTAAATCTTAAAATGGAAAATAGGTTTTCTTCAGAAAGAAAATAGTAGCTAAGAAAATCTGTAATTACGATCTGCGAGAAAGACCTACCAGCTAACATACTTGAAGTATGCGTGTTCCCAGACATTTGTTTTACACGATTCTCAGTATACATACAAAAAGCCTTTAAGTTTTAATTACCCTATATAAATACCCAGAATTGTTATAATAAATATTTTTGAAAGTGAAACGCCTGAATCTATGACAATGTTTCCCCTTACTGAAATGTGATACGGAGCATTGCTACTGTTCACTGAGATTGGCCATTGCTCACTTTTAATACCTTTTAGATTAAATCCTCTGCATTGAGTCAGTGGGTTTCCATGTCTCACATCTTGTCTTCGGCTCCTCCTGCAAGTGCAGAAATACATAAAAGTGACTGAGAATTATCACTGCCAATTACACCACTCTTAAAACACTGTAATTTTAAACTTTGCACCCTTTTTATTGCTAAGCTTTCATAAAATTTTTTAAAAAGAGTTCTGATTGATGCAGCTATCTCACATTTCTTATACAATTTATCAATAATGAGGGGGGGTACTTATCTTTGCTTTTCAATCTGAGTAAGTTTTCCCATCTACCATTCATGATGAAATGGCTATGAATCGCCTGCTGCATGCATATCCTGAGTAAATGCTACCTTCTCTAATTAATAGTGTAAATTTTTAGTTTAGAGAAATTCAGCCTAAATTTTCTAAAACAATAACATCCAAAGTATAAACTCCGTAGCATTTTCCTTTTTATAATAGCTTGTCTTAAATAAACATACTTGTTTCTTACAAAAGTCAATGTTTTCTGTTTCTAGATATATTAAAACTTTTCTGAAACAAGCAATAGAGATAAAAATAGGGACATTTAATAAAAAGTTAATTTCATTTACTAGAATAAGCATGTTGTCCCCAACTTTTTATTTTGAAAATTTCAAGTCTACAGAAAAGTACAGATATGAGTAAAATGAATACTGGTATACCTAGATTCACAAATTGTTATATTTTGCCACATTAATTTCTTTCTCTCTCACATGCAAATATATATCATGTATATGCTGTGGATCCACACCTATGAAAGCCTTTAGAAAATAAGTTACAGATACAATAATGCTTCACCCGTAAGTGCTTTAGCATGTGTTTTTCAACGACAATATTTCAACATAACAATATAATTATCTAAATATATTGATATTTAACAACATAATCTAATGCATATTCTATATTAAAATTTCTCTAGTTGTTCCCAAAATATCTCTTATGGATTTAAGTTAACCAGCTTCCAGTCAAGTTTCATCCTTTGCATTTAGTTGTTACGTATTATTAGCTTAAGCATTTCAAAAATTTAGTTACATTGGGCCAGGTGCGGTGGCTCACGCCTGTAATCCCAGCACTTTGGGAGGCTGAGGTGGGCGGATCATGAGGTCAGGAGTTTGAAATCAGCCTGGCCAACACAGTAAAACCCCGTCTCTACTAAAAATACAAAAATTAGCTGGGCATGGTGGTGCATGGTAGCATGGTGGTCCCAGCTATTCAGGATGCTGAGGCAGGAGAATCGCTTGAACCCAGGAGGTGGAGGTTGTGGTGAGCTGAGATCACGCCACTGCACTCCAGCCTGGGTCACAGGGTGAGACTCCATCTCAAAAAAAAAAAAAAAAAAATACAATATTTGCAAACTGGTCATTATTTAAATAAGTTCTAAGTTGTATTCAAATTATTTAATTTCGTGAGTCTTAGATTCACTAAGTACCTGACTTTCAGTGGTATTATGTAGTCTAAGAAGTCGACGTAGAGCAGCTGCAATCCTCTGAGCATCACACATTGTTAAAAGTCAGAAGGTGACTCTTTAAATATTGTGAATACCAGCCTAAATCGATTGCTTACTATCAACACCGAAAAGTATACTCGAGTGAGCATATCACTTAATTGGGTTAAATGCTAAGTCTTTCTTCATACTTTTAAAGATAAAATATTCAGCAAGAACAGAAATATTAAAAGCACACAGTAGATATTAAACTTACAAAGAAAAATTAATCACAAAGTCATTGATAGTGAAAAAAAGCTCATTTTCTAGCTAAAGAAAACACTACTTCATGTACACAATGGACTGTAGAAATCTACTTATGGTAGAATAGGTATAAAATTTTGTACCACCTAAGTATTCCTTTTCCAAAGTCACGTGACCCGTACCGATTGTGTATTTCTGTACACACGAAAACAGTGAAAGTGTTAGCCACTTTCATCTCAGGAAATATGATTAATATGGTAGTGTATTCTAGAATAGCTCGCATATCAAGTTTTTACTGCATAACATTTGCTATATTTTGAAGTCCAGCATTATTTTCCTACAGCCAACTTCTGAGTATATATTATATGAGCATCATGAGAGCGTTTTCAGCCATCTAGGCAAGCAATATCATCCACAATGGCTAAATTTATTGTCCTGTGATCAACACTATGTAATGGTTTATTCATGTATACAAACTCTCAAGCTGGGCAATCTCAATTTACAGTATCACATAGCTTCTAGACATTGAAATGCAGAAAAAAACATTGTTATGGCTTGGCTTAAATCATGAGATCAGCAAGGCAGCCATCTGAGCATTTTTTATGTGTAGATTCCCTCCATGGCACTCACATAGCATCAAAAAAACATGCTGGTAGGCAGAGTAATATTGTATTGCATGTAGAACTTGGAATTTGGTTCAAGTTTCCCATGTTTCATCCACAACAGTAAATTCTTTTGGATAAACAATGAAATCATTTTTTATAGAAAAGACATTTATTTGAAAATTGGTCTGATTATCTTGTCTTAATAAAGTTTCTAACTACTTGTCTGAATCCAGAACAAATACTGTTAGAGACTATACTGCAATATTTGATACAAATCCACAAATATTTAAGAGACTTGAGAGTGAAAATGAAAAAAATGCTTTTATTGTTTACTAGAGTTTTGTTTGTTTGTTTGTTTGTTTGTTTTTTGAGACAGAGTTTCACTCTTATTGCCCAGGCTGGAGTGCAGTGGTGCAATCTCGGCTCGCTGCAATCTCCGCCTCCCAGGTTCAAGCGACTCCCCTGCCTCAGCCTCCTGAGTAGTTGGGATTACAGGCATGCGCCACCATGCCCGGCTAATTTTGTATTTTTAGTAGAGACGGGGTTTCACCATGTTGGTCAGGCTGCTCTCCAACTCCTGACCTCAGGCAATCCGCCTGCCTCGGCCTCGCAAAGTGCTGGGATTACAGGTGTGGGCCACTGCGCCCGGCATGTTTACTATAGTTTTTTTTAAAAACGGAGACTATTGAGCCAATGATATTTACCAACTTCATTATGTCAAAGTATGGATTCCACCAATTTCCAAGTATAACTGTATTTCTCTGTTTGTACACAAAGAAAATAGTTTTTTGCTTTTTATTTCTATGAAATCCTCTAAGTGATCTTCGTGTTTTGCTTAGAGAGTGGCATCAGCACAAAACTAGGTAAATTAACACTACTAAAGAAAATAAATGTGGAAAAGTACTCCAAATCCATTATCTTCAAAGGAAAATGAAAAACTCATATGGGAATTTACAAAATAGTTAATTCATTCACTAACATGTTTTGTATTTACTATAAATACTTGCTTAACTAAGTTAGGACATAATTTGGAGAATGTAAATACCGTAGATATTTTTAGTGAAACTTCCAATATGCTAGTCAAAGATAAATACGGGTAGGCTCAGGCATATTTTTTATATATGTAGCATTTTCAGGCTTTTCATGACAGAATTAAGGCACTGCTGGAGATAATCAAGATAGCTGTTTGTTGTTGTTGTTGTTGTTGTTTTAGACAGAGTCTCACTCTGTCTCCCAGGCTAGAGTGCAATGGCGCGATCTCAGCTCACTGCAATCTCCGCCACAAGGGTTCAAATGATTCTCCTGCCTCAGCCTCCCAAGTATCTGGGATTACAGATGCCTGCCACCATGCCTGGCGAATTGTTTTTTTTTGTTTTTTTTTTTTTTGTATTTTTAGTAGAGATGGGGTTTTGCCATGTTGGCTAGGCTGGTCTTAAACTCCTGACCTCAAGTGATCTGCCTGCTTCGGCCTCCCAAAGTGCTGGGACTACAGGCATAAGCCACTGCACCTAGCCAAGATAACTCTTTAAATAGCTACTACTTTCCTTCTCTATCCATTATTCATAGTTTAATATCAGGCATGATATTGTAAATGCAAAGAACTGCATGATAGACTCATTTCTTTGTTTATTAAAAAAGTATGATTAAAATTATAATTTGTGGTGGTAGAATGACAATGTATATTTAAGCACACATCTTAGAAAGGATACCTGGGGTTGTAATAGGTGGGAAAACATGCAAACAAATGAGCTAGCCCATATTGAGCATAAACTTCTAAAATGTAAAAAAGTATATCTAGTATGCAATGACAGTCTATATACAGTATGGACTTTTACTTGAGAAATATTATTTGTTATACAAAAATGCTTGTTGGTCAAAACAAGTCTTTGCTGAGAAGGAGTACTGATGTCCAGTTTCCTTACATTATATAATAACTGGTATACCTATACAACTATGGTAAAAGTCCATTTATAGTCCCTATATCCCTTTCTTCCTTGGAAGGTATAGTGCTTCAGCTTCCTTCAGTACTATATCTGCTTAATAGATTGAAGATTATATTGCAGGTGTTAGAGAGGCAAATTTTTAGAACATCTTGCTAAGTAAATAGTATCACCTTACTAAGAGCTATGCTAATCTAATATCACTACTATCATATTTGGCAGTGAAAAACAAATATGGTTGAAAAATACCAACAGTGGCCACAAAAATCACTTATGTGAGATTACATTTGAAATTTGCCTCCCTCACACTGTCCAGGTTTAGGCCTCCAGCCCCATATTAAGATGAAAGATCACAGAGTAATGATGTCTAGAAATTCTAGATAGACATCAAAAGAAGTCAGGGACCTCCTCACTAGCGCCCAAATTAACATGGAGGAACACAGTCTTGGAACGCATCTACGAGACTCCTGGTTTAAAGAGTGGGAGTTCTCTTCCTATCTCATGCCATTAAGACTCTCAAGTGATCCAGCCCAGGCCACTCCTCTCTACTCCAGATTCATATTTCTAACTGCCTACTCAATATCCGTGTGTGAACATCTTATAGATACCATTCATGTAACATCCTCTTTTTCCTCACAAACCTGCTCCTTTCACAGTCTCTTCTTTCTCAGGAAGTGACATCTACATAAATCCTAATGTTCAGTTCTGACAACTTGGATCATTTTTGACTCCTCTATTTCTCTAACCTCCCACATCCAAATATATCAATAGATTCTGTGAGCTGTCAAGCATCAGACCATTTTTTTTTTGCCACCTCTTCCTTTATTATCCCTCTACAAGCCACCATTATATCTCACCTAGACGAAGACAGTAGCCTCCTGTCATGCAGCTTCTGCCACCCCTTCCCTTCTGCCTCCAACCTCTTCCTACCCCAGGGCTTCAATGCAAGCCAAATCCAACCAGTTATCTTTTGAAACCAAAGCCAAACAGTATCATTCACATGGTCACAGCTCCTCAGCTGTTTTCCATTTCACTTTAAATAAAAACTTTTCAATTACTTACAAAGTCTGACATCATGTGGCATTCTGACCTCATTTCTTCCTATCGTTCCTTTTCTCATTTCAGGGCAGCCTCACTAGCTTTAGGGCTGTTTCTTGAGCAATCCTGACATACTCCAGTATTAGAGATTTCTGGTCCCTCTTCCTGGAATGTTATTCTGCTAGATAACGTCTTGGTGCCATTCCACATGAAGTCCTTGCTCACACAGTATGTCCGCAGTAACGCCCTTTCTGACACCCACCCATTTAACATCACGACCTCCTGCTTACCACTTATTGTACCTACCTTCTCTGCCCTTTTTAAATTCACAGATCGTGTTATTATTTGATATACCAGAGGTTTTCCTTATTTATTTATTATCGATCTTTTCTCTTTAGAATGCATTATCCCTGAAGACAGAGATTTTTGTCTTTTTTCCTGTTATATGCCTAGCTTCTAAAACAATGCCTGGAAAATATATTTCCAGTGAAAATATTTGTTGAACTAATGAATAAGAGGATCAGAATACTTTTAATACACAAAAGCTCTAGGGTTGTTACAATCTGTCAAGGTCCTCAAAGGAATGTAGAGAATAAAAACCATAAAGCACCATCACCCCAGTGCTTTACTTGAAAGATCATTGGTGCTCATGGCTGCTACTATTTGCTCCCTCTGCTAACCCTAATTTTCAAAGGTTTTAGCCTTGTCACCATCATGACCTATGTCACTGTATGACTGAAAATACCTATGACCTTGGTTGACTCTGAATTCTGCATATTCCTTTTCAATTTCTCTACTCATGGTTCCTTCCAACTTGGTACAAGTCGATGCAGTTTCCCACCTAGAATTCTACTTGGATAAAAAGTACCCTGCCTCAGACTGACTTTCTTTCTTAACCTAACCAGTAATCATGCACTCACCACTCCAAGGATAAAGCATGGTCATCAAGGTTTTGAAAGCAAATCAAGGTATCCATGCTGAAATAATACTCCTGTAGCTTGAACTAGAACCAGCATTATAAGATAATTATATTGTATCCTTGTTTACAAGATAATTAAGCAATGTAGAGAAATCCTAGGAAGGTGGGTTTTAAGGCTACACTAAAGCATATAAAATAAAAAAGACGGCCGGGAGCGGTGGCTCACGCCTGTAATCCCAGCACTTTGGGAGGCCAAGGCAGGTGGATCACGAGGTCAGGAGTTCAAGGCCAGCCTGGCCAAGATGGTGAAACCCCATCTACTAAAAATACAAAAATGAGCTGGGCATAGTGGTGGGCACCTGTAATCCCAGCTACTCGGGAGGCTGAGGCAGAGGATTGCTTGAACCCAGGAGGCAGAGGTTGCAGTGAGCCAAGATCGCACCATTGCACTCCAGCCTGGGTGACAGAGCGAGACTTCATCTCAAAAATAAATAAATAATAAATAAAATTAAAAAGATATAAATTAGGTGATACAAAAAATGCAAAAAGCTAAATGCTACTTGAAATATTTGATGAGTCCTAGGGGAGTAGGTGTTACAGAGGAGCTTTGAAGGGAGAAAGGACTCTTTCCAAAGTACTGTACTCTGGATTTACCATATCTGTGAGAATCTCAAGTTATAACACATTACCATTTTCTTCATTCAAAGACTATGTGTGGTGTTAAACATAGCTTCTACCTTTAATGTCATTTAAGGAAACAGCAATAGAACTAATTCTAAAGATGTGAAACACTTCTGTATTGTCTGGTGTCCTACATTTGGATGTTGAGCCGAGTGTTTAGTGCTCACCGTTTCCCAGTTGGGTAGAATCTGGAACAGGAATGGCCATCCCAGGCGCAATAAGGGTCCCGCGCCAGGCAGCAGTCAGCACAGGCTGTACCATAGATGTGGCAGCGGTGCAGAGATACCTGGGAAACCCCTTCATTGGAACTCACATACAACTGTTGCTATTAAAGGAATGATGATGATTTATTTCAGATGTGGAAGTTAAAAGAAGACTTTCAGCAGGAACACATTATAATATATGCCCACAAACCCTTGGATTCATTTTGGAACCGATTAAAAACATGAAGCAAAGCACAGAAGGGTATGAAGCCAAAATAAATAGAATTTTCCTACATTAATATGCCTATAGCATTACCACTTTTCTGTTAAAAAAGAAAAGCTCAAAGCACCATATAGAATGGTAATGTGTTTTAGACATTGGGATTCATTGTTCTCTCAGATTGGAGCTAACATATTACAGATTTAAGTTATGACTTTTTTTCTTTGAATGCTGTATCTTAGCAAAGCACAAGGAAGCATTCTTATTTTTCAAGTGGGGCAACACGTTACTTTGTAAATTTGAGAAAGTCTGGTTTAAAATAAAGGGCATTTTAAGTTTAGAAGGAAAAAATGGTAAATAGTAAGTACTGGATGAAATAAAAAAGAATATTTTGGTCACATGCCTTTGAAAGTTGCATGTTACTCATTAAAACTACTTAAAAATAATTATTTAGAATAATATCGGTATTTATATTTAAACGTCTTAAAATTCTGCTTGATCCACTGATCTTCATCATCCTAAAAACCTCATGGATGAAGATTTCATCCTCCTTCAATTGTAGGATGTCTACTGCTTCCAAGATAATGGTTTGATTCCTTTAGCTGTGCATAATATGGTTCTCAGGAGCTGAAGGAATGAGTCTCTAATTGATACTCCTTACTTTCCAAAGGACTGATATAACTCAAGTTAGCACAGAATCTGTAAGCTGAAACCTGATGCAGTTGTATGGGTGTGTGTGTACTCCTCCATGTACAGATACACACACATGCACATACATATACATTTAAAAATTAAATCTCTGGAGACACCATGGGCCCGCCAGGCTCTGAAACTCTGGAACCAGACTTCCTAGATTCAAATCTCAGCTCACCTACAAATTTGCTGTGTAACTTTTCTGAATCACAGCCTCCTCACTAGTAAAATTAGGATAACACAGCACTTACCATATGGAGTTTTTGTAAGAAATAAATGTTGTAAGGTTTTCCTCCACATAAAATGCTTGGAATAGTTTCTGGCTCACAAGTTGCTCAATGAATGTTAATTAATGGTAAAAAGTACAGTAAAATACCAGTTAAACTAGCAATACATGTTTTCAATTCTAATCAATTATTTGAATCACATCTCACTCTACTACATCTAATAATTTTATTCACATCAATTGACTTTTCAGAAATTGTGCTGAAATTGACTGATCTCCAGTTGAAACATTCAAACTACAAGAAAACAACTGCGTGTTTTCACAATAACCATTTGTCCAGGCACATTTGAAATAAATGTTTATCGAGTAAATTAGTAAATAATACAGCAAATTTATCAGCTTCATTAAAATACTTTAAGGATACTAGTATATTTGAGTGTAGGACACAGGTAGTTTCATTCTAGATAGTATACTTTTTATTAAGCGTACTATTTTCTGTTACATGGAGTAAAAGAACAAATTAAAAAATAAGAGAGCATAAGATGGATAATAAAATGGGAAACACTGAGAAAGTTATTTAAATACACATAAGATGTCATTAACAATTTGTAGTCCTCTCGCACTGAAAAAAATGATGCAGTATGCAGTTGTACAAATGATTTCCAAAAAGTCAAATAATTATCCTTGCCTTGAATCTCACTGTTTTAATGAGACATTTTAAATTATCTACAATTTAAGACGTTGAAGACAGATGTAATACATAACTAAATATAGTTAAAACTTGCATACAGGATTACTATGCCACACAAATGGCTTTGTGTCCATTTTGAATCCTGCCCTGCTACTTTCTCTTTCCATTAACTACTGTAAACAAAGGGCTTCCCTGCTGACTTCAAAGACAATCCTGACTTGAGATCCACTCCCTAGGACATTAGACAAAATGACGAATGGCTTCTCGTTACTTGGGAAAATGTTTGTTATGCACCATACAAACATTTTTACAGATGAGATCGTTAGCTCCATTGTACCTTATTTATTTTCCCTCATAAAATTCAGTGATGTCAAAAGAGTGTAAGACTGACTATAAAATACCACTTCATCTGTAACAAACCAAATATGGTGAAGAGCTCCAGAATCATGTAATCGGTTGTGCTAACACATAAAACCTTTACTGTGTATTCCAAGAAAAATAGGTCTCAGGCTTTTACAGACAGCATTTACTGAGGATCCACTTTATTCTAGGTAATTTATATAAATTAACTTGTTTGTGAGAAGAGCATTACCTTACAAATGTAGAAACTCAGGTCAGTGAAGTTACATGATTTGTTTGTACATTATGGTCAGATTGGGATGCAAATGCATGCCAAGCCTATTTGGAAGCCTACTCCATTCTCACTATATTACTCTGTACCTTAAAATTTGTTTTTTAAATAATACCTTTTGGAAATGGAGAGGTACATGGTTTGCTCATGTATATATTGGAATTGTACTTTTTATTTCAATGATCATTGTATATTTACATGTGTAGGGACAAATCAGACAATTAATTTGAGGATTTCAATTACAATCAAATATTTCTTTTCCAATTCCTGAACCCTTAAATTTGAGACTTTTCTTTTTTTTGACATGTTTAAATCCTAGGAAATAATATTTCCTTAAAAATAAGCATAAAAGAATACACTGTGCATTTCAAATATGTGACAACAGCAGGAACTCAGGATTGATTACTCATTCCAAGCCTCTAACAATGTTGTGATGTTATAGAGTAGCCCAAACTTTATGCTAAATTCTTCCCAGAAAGATTATTTTTATTTCGGTTGGCTTCACACACCGTAATATTTGAGAAAATCAGATATACAAAATGTTGGAATATCTTGCTGTATATATGTTCTGCTCCGACAAACTTTTATACAAAAATAAACCTATTCGGTCTTTCACTAATACCTTGTAAGTTCTACATCAAAATTAAAGGTGACTTTGCGGTATACTTTAAGTAGTACTCTTTATTTTGTTAGTACGATAACTAATTATTCAGAAGTTATAAAATATAATTTTTCATAACAACAAAACATTTCAATAAGCAAAGAACATAAAATAGCTTAGTTTTTACCTTTTTAGATGAAATTTTCATTGTTGTTATAGGAGCATGATTCTAAAATATTAGAAAACAACATGTTAGTTGCTCAAATATTGCTTAAAAGGATTTTACATTCAGATTTTTTTTCTATTAAATCTCAAGAAGAAATCACTTTTCTTTATATATACATCTACTTTAAAATTACTTGTTATATAAAATACATTTGCATATACTTGTCTATAAAGTACACTTCCTCTTTAGAAACTAAGGATAGAGTTGTTACACAGATATATACCTAAAATTTGAGACCAGCCTCGCCAACATGGTGAAACCCCAGCTCTACTAAAAATACAAAAATTAGCCGGGCATGGTGGTGGGCACCTGTAATCCCAGCTACTCAGGAGGCTGAGGCAGGAGAATTGCTTGAACCTGGGAGGCGAAGGTTGTAGTGAGCCGAGATTGCACCATTGCACTCCAGCCTGGGCAACAAGAGCAAAACTCCGTCTCAATAAAAAAAAAAAAAAAAAAAAAAGAGTGGTAATTAAAACACATGTATCAATATAGGCATTAGAACAAAAAATGAAAATCTGAGAAGGAAATTTTTGGAATATTCAATCCGACAAATAATTCAGAATTGGATCCACGGACTCAGGTGGAGAAAGATGTGGAATGGTACACCATCTAATTCCTCCGCAACACAAGCACTCTGCATAAGACACTATTGTTCACCTGCCAGTGCTGTTTCGGAAAGACAATATATTAGGCTGAACCATACTAGTTAATACTCATTGTTGCAAACAAAAAAATATTGTTAGAAAAGGTTCTCTTTTGATAAAATGTGAATGAATGAAAGAACCTAAGAATTTTCTGGAATAGTACTATGCTTGCAAATTATTCATAACTTCACTTCTTAAAAATTATTAGTTACTTTTAATGATTAAAAATTAGACTTCTGGTGGGGTGCAGTGGCTCACGCCTGTAATCCCAGCACTTTGGGAGGCTGAGGCGGGCGGATCACCCTGAGGTCAGGAGTTCGAGACCAGCCTGGCCAAAATAGTGAAACCCTGTCTCTACTACAAAATTAGCTGAGTATGGTGGCGCATGCCTGTAATCCCAGCTACTCAGAAGGATAAGGCAGGAGAATTGCTTGAACCCAGGAGGCAGAGGTTGCAGTGAGCCAAGACTGTGCCACGGCACTCCAGCCTGGGTAACAAGAGTGAAACCCATTTCAAAAAATAATAATAATAATTAGACTTCTGGTAAAGTGATTAAGATTCATGAGCTTTATTTGAATAACTCAAGTGGCAACAAGCTCTCAAAATCAAATGTACCCCCGTTATTTTGTTTTCTGGAGCTGCATGTATTTACCAACATTTTAAAAGGGAAAACAGTGATATCTTTAATTCTCCATTGTGACAATTTTTGATCATCCCTTATAAATATGTACACACACATGCACACACACATACAAATGCTGCAACCTATAATCAGTTAGGCAGCTACTAGTAGTTATACTTCTAATTCTAGTTAAACTCAGCGGAACTAGACTTATTGTCAGAAAATGTGGAACAGAGGACTAAAAGAAGAGATTATGGTCCTGCACTGTATAAAAACAAAGCTCCTGGTTTTTCAAAGTCACATTGAATTTTCTGCAGTACATCAGTGTGACACTTAGCTAAGAAAACTTTTCAATTTAAATGCATTATTTCCTCACATGCTCATGACAGTGTATCATACACACCCAATTATTTTTACCTCACCTCAGAAATGTGACACAAACACCATGCTGAAGACAGTAACTGTATTCAGTAACTGTGTTTCCTGACTTGGCCATATCAATCACTGGCACACACATCAGTAAGAAAACTCAGACTTTTTTTGGTGTCTCATGGGCTGATGTCCCCCACGTGCATTCTGACTGACTCTGTTTTTCCACTGAGAGTTTATTATTCAAGATGATAACACCAGCATAACTCATATGACAGACCATAAGTAGTTAGCATGTGATCAGACTAACTCATGTTTCTTTCCATAACATGTATGTTTAGGTTTATGTCATGCTCACTTAATTAACATTTCCTGATAATCAAAAGGAGATATTTCAGTATTAAAAATGAAGTGCTGCTATATGACATTTTTGCTATCTTCAAGAATACTCCAGAATAAGGCACTTCGTATTATTTTAGCAAGCCAAGTTCTCCCTACTGAGTTGAATGAGAAAAAAAATATGTTCTATATAATGTGATTCTGGTTAATCTAGTGAAATAATCAATTTCTTTATAAAACAAGGCATGAAAAAGCACTTGTCTGAATATCATTGACGTCATTTTATGAGCCCGATTTTAACACACCAATCACAAAGAACCTGTGCCAAAGTTAGTCTAGCATTAAAAATTACAAATTTAATAATATAGTAGGAAACTTGCCAGAGTTCCTCAAATTTATTTGATTCTATTTTATATTTCTTTACATTTAAAATGTATTACCTAAATCTAACAGCACTGCACCCTACCCACTTACGTGCTTATAAAGTCAGTATTTTTGGTGACCGTGGGAATGTCTACTAATGAGTCAATACATTCTAAGTCTACTCAACTAAGCAAAGCAACTTGCTGGACTAGCAAGAGTCTGCTACTGGGAGTTCTCAAGTGCTACTTTTACTCAGTCATAGGCTGACTCTGGTCTTTTGTTGTGTCTGGGCCATTGTTTCTTAATTGGTTTAGTTGGAAATAGTGTTCTGCAGCAGGACTGATTCCATGCCAAACTTTCTTTGCAATTCTAATAGCTCCTCTGCTGCGCTTTACCCATCTTTCCAAATGCAGATAAAAAGCACCACTTGAACTACAGTGACTGACACTGTGAGTAGAGAAGGGCACAGCAGGACACCACAAATCCCCTCTCCTGGCTCACAGATACATAAAGAACATGCACTCTGCCCTGACCAGGTGAGATCTTACAGTACTGAACTTCCCTTGTGTATGTTTTTTTTTCTGTCCTTTTTTTCTTTTTTTATCCCAAATTCAAGGACAAGGAGAATAATACAATGAAATCTCAAGTTCTGAGTGGTAAAGAGACAACATTTGTTTTATTTAACTGAAGTGACATTTGAATTAAAGGCAATAAAATAAGAGAAAACAAAGTCGTTTTTCTTGAAATTACTGGCTAAAAAAATATAAGAAAGCTTATCTAACAATCAATAATGTGAAAGTATTTGGGTTTCAGTGGCTTGTGAAGCAAATGATAAAAGCCCTTTCATGGCAAAATCTTCCAGACCTTGACAACTAGAACTCATTTTTTAAAAATAATGATGACCACAATTCTTCAAGTTGTGATGATAGCTTAAAAACAGAAAGAATCCTTTTATCTTAAGATAACTTGAAATGTAGGAAAATACTTTGCAAAAATATTTGTTCTGTATTTCTTATTTTATCTGGTGTTTTCCTACCCTCAAAAATTCATAACATTCATTTATTTGATCTTTTATCAAATATAGTTTCCTCCCAAGTGGCTGTAAGATTAAAGAATTCCACTCATCATGCATGTTCTGAGATTAATAGAAGAGATGTTCAAACCTTAAAGACTTCCAGCTCCTCCAGAATGAGCTCGCCACTGACAGAGTTGTTAGTAGGAAGAACAACCACTTTTTGCACAGTACCCCGATCTAAATTAAAAAAAGAAGAAATGAGATGTTACAATACTTTTTAAAAGAAAGCTATTTAGACATAGGACTACTGACTTGGACCATTATTTACATAAGTATTTAGTAATCAAAAAACATTGTATGTATTAAGCCACTGCCATGTGCTGAATGTATTCCAAATCTCATAAAAATTGAAACACATACAATTCAAGGGGAACTAATATGAATATCTTATATTTTGCACATATTGGGTGTAGCTACAACTATGAGAGAAGGAAAGAATGTTAAGTCAAAAGTTCGGAACCAAATGTGTATTCTTATAATACAATACATAAGTTTTTTTTGTTTTGTTTTGTTTTGTTTTGTTTGTTTGAGACAGTGTCTTGCTCTCTTGCCCAGGCTGGAGTGCAGTGGCGTGATCTTGGGTCACTGCAACCTCCACCTTCCGGGTTCAAGCGATTGTTCTGCTGCAGCCTCCCGGGTATCTGGGATTACAGGTGCCCGCCACCACGCCTGGCTAATTTTTTGTATTTTTAGTAGAGACGGGGGTTTCACCATGTTAGCCAGGATGGTCTCAATCTCCTGATCTCATGATGCGCCCACCTTGGCCTCCCAAAGTGCTGGTATTACAGGCGTGGTGAGCCAATGTAACCAGCCAATACATAAGTTTAAGTTTGATCATTAATATTACTTTCTCCTCCACACCAACATTATAAAGTGACAATCTCATTTTGTTAACATTAAAACAATGATTTCATTATCTGAAGAAAGATGACTGCAAATGAATTTTTATAATAACTGTATAAGTCACTAGGATTGGAAAATTCACATTTGGTCTGTAACTGTGATGGACTTTCGACATGGTGAAATGTTTCACTCACCATTCAAAATCATCTTCAAAAAAGAAACACAACTGATTTTATTTCAGGTGTGGACACCTATTCATAGAAAAGTTCTACTATTTACACAATTTTATTTGTCAGTTTGTTACAGTACATAGCTAGTCAGACATGAATAGGTGAGCAGAGTCCCCCACCCCCAACCAGTAATGTCAGGCGACCAACAGGTGATGGTCAGGCAGTTATCACATGTCATGTCTCTCTAAAATAATAACTGGTTGCAGCTGGTGCTGAGGCAGGAAAACAGGGTATGGAGGCAGGGAACATAAAGCCGATTCAAACTTCAGCTATGACAGGAAATATCCTCTCCGCAGGCATACGCCGGGTAAATGACTTTGTAACTTTACTTCATCTTCTTCCTTTACATAGGGTGTACCCCAAATAGAGGGTATTTAAACTCCAAAAAATTCTGTAACGGGGCCTTTGAGACCCTATGCTCAGGCCTGCTCCCACAATGTGGAGTGTACTTTCATTTTCAATAAAACCCTTCATTCCTTCCTTGCTTTGTTTGTGTGTTTTGTCCAATTCTTTCCTCAAGACGCCAAGAACCGGACACCCTCCACCGTTAACAGTGCCAGGGAAACACAGTCTCCCAGTAGATGGAAACACCTGAAACTGGTGATCAGCAGCTTCCCAGTAAGATCTCAGGAGCTGAGTGAGTGAGCTCAAGCATGTCCATTAACAGGCAAAATGGGAGAGTTTTACTGGTATATGACCTTCCTTTAGGAATGCTAGACTGGTAAGGGAAAAACGCCTCAAGTGAGCATGGGCACAACTCCAGTAAACACACTGCGCATGCTCTCCTCCCACGTGCTGGCAGGCCACCATGCCTGCGGACAGCTCACCCCAAGGCAGGAATCAGGGGAGAAGGAGTCCAAGACCCCAGAAGTATGAGAACCTGTAACACCCTAAGTCAAAGGTCAAAACTGCAAACTTGATCTCTCAAGTCGCACAACTGTATTTTTCTTCCTTCCATTCCTGCTCTAAAGCTTTTTAATAAGCTTTTACTCCTGCTCTAAAACTTGCGTTGGTCTCTCACTCCGCCTTAGGCCCCTTGGTCAAGTTCCTTATTCTGAGGAGGCAGGAACTTAGGTTGCTGCAGACCCATACAAATTTGCTGCCAGTAACAAGTTGGCAATATGTTTCTTTGGATATCTCAAAATGTAGAGGAAATTTTGAAATTAGATGATCCAAATAAGCTGAATCAAATCAGAAATTTACTCATATGTCCCAATTACAGATAGCCAAAAATTGAGATGCCAAAATAAATATAAGAATACAGGAAATAATATTTATGTCAAGATTTATAAATGGTTTCACAAGTCATGTAAACATTATGCATATAATCATGCCACTCTACCAATCACATAAATTTTAGGTTTAAAAGACACTAGTTTAGATTTAGCAATGTGGGGGTTAAAGCAAATTTGTGAGTAATCTGGCAAAGTAAAAATATATTTACTTAAAATGTTTTTATTAACTAGTGAGTTGGATCATAAATATCAAGTTATTCTTCTTTTAAATTATAACTAAATTTATAATTTGTAAATATGCATTATCATCAACATAATGCACATTTTTAAATTCTACTGAAAATGTCATAAGAAGAATTAACTTGAACTGAATTGTACAGGACTTTACAACCAGAAATCATTTAGTGAGTAATACTATAAATTTCAAATCTCACATCTCAAGTTGGCTTCTATTCCACAGGCACGAGTTACTCTGACATAAAAGATTTTATCTCATGTTTATAGTTTGTGTTTTATGAATCCAACTGAAAGAGTCAAAGTAATTCTTAATAAAAAATAAACTCAACTTTAAAACACAGCAAACTGAAAAATAAAAATCCACTAAATTAAAAATAATGTTTATACAAAAGAGCAAGACAGAGTTTGCCAGAATAATGCCTGAAATTTGTAAGGATACAAAGTATAAGCACATAATCTTAGAAGTTGCAAAGCATACTCTGTAATTTAAAATTCACTTCTTAAGCCACACTCAAAAAAAGTGAAAATAATAATCATCCCAAAGATTTGCAGGCTCTAGTTTTAATTAAAAGGCTCTGAAATATCTGCTTTGCAGCCGCTTCCTTAGAATTACCTCTGATAGCCGGGCGTGGTGGCTCACGCCTGTAATCCCAGCACTTTGGGAGGCCGAGGTGGGCGGATCACGAGGTCAGGAGATCGAGACCATCCTGGCTAACACAGTGAAACCCCGTCTCTACTAAAAAATACAAAAAATTAGCCAGGCGTGCTGGCAGGCGCCTGTAGTCCTAGCTACGCGGGAGGCTGAGGCAGGAGAATGGTGTGAACCTGGGAGGCGGAGCTTGCAGTGAGCCAAGATCGCGCCACTGCACTCCAGCCTGGGCGACAGAGCGAGACTCCGTCTAAAAAAAAAAAAAAAAGAATTACCCCGATAACAACTTAGATGATTTTCTTGGGAGATAAATAATACAAGTAAAGATTAGAAGTGAAAAAACATTTGGGGATGGGGATGCTGTGCAGAGACCTGTCACAACTGAAAATGGATGCATGTGGTTGGAGGTGTTCCTTAATTTCTATTAACAACCTATTGGAATTAGCAGTGGAAACTTCTAGGGAAATACAACATACCAAAACACTTGATCTGAAAGCCATGAAACTGTGATAGCTAGGGCAAGATTTGTGTGTGTGTGTGTGTGTGTCAATGACCACAGGCATGTGTGTGCATATACGTTCCTGTTGAATATTTGTTGAATTAATTTGTAGGCATGAAGGAGAGAAAACTCAGAAGAATACAGATGTAAAATCTTTGTTATATGAGCATGTTATCATAGAAAGCATTTTTTTAACAAGTCTTAACAGTTTTATGGTTCCCTGCTGCAGTTTGTAAGAATCACTACCATTCTATGTGACAGCATAATCTACATTCTTTCTTGTTTGCAACTCTTTAAATTTTTTTATCTTTAATCATTATGGATATATAATAGTTGTACTATTTATGAGGTACATGTGGTATTTTGATAAAGATATACAATGTGTAATGATCAAATCAAGGTAACTGGGGTACTCATTATCTTAGGCATTTATCATTTCTTTGTGTTAGGAACATTCCAATTCCACTCTTTTAGTTATTTTAAAATATACAATAAATTACTCTTAACTACAGTTGCCCTATGAAAAGAGACTGAGTAGAGGCTGTGTATAACACAGCTCCAAATAAAACTGCATAAAAACAGGTTTTGCTTAGAAAGGTTCTGATAGATAAAACTATCAGCTCTGAAAAGAAATAAGTACTCTCAAATGAGACAACTGACTCCATATTCCCCAATGTTTTCACTTACTATGAGAGCAAAATTTTACAGAAATCCCCATTTTCTGACAAGGCTCACAACAAACATACTTTATGCATACCATTTTAAAAATATTACACAAAGAAGGGCTATAAAGATGAGCTAATAAAAAGATAATGCAGGCCGGGCACAGTGGCTCACGCCTGTAATCCCAGCCCTTTGGAGGCCAAGATGGGCAGATCACCTAAGGTCAGGAGTTAGAGACCAGCCTGGCCAACATGGCGAAACCCTGTCTCTACTAAAAATGCAAAAAATTAGCTGGGCATGGGGGCAGGCGCCTGTAAATCCAGTTACTGAAGAGGCTGAGGCATGAGAATCGCTCGAACCTGGGAGGCGGAAGTTGCAATAAGCTGAGATAGTGTCACTGCACTCCAGCCTGGGGGATAGAGCAAGACTCTGTCCCCCCCCCAAAAAAAAAAAAAAAAAAAAAAAACCACAATACAAAAGCTGCTTTTTATCCATTTGCAGTAAAAGTTACAATACCACTTTTAGTCATTTCTCTTTTCCTTTGTTATTTTTGGTCTTGATGGTAATGAGTTCCCTGTATGAGGAATACTTCTGAGGTATCCTTGCGCTGTATCATTTACTAATAATTAAGTAAGTAGTCTTAAGTTGTGTTCTATCCATTTTCACTCATTGATTCAACAAGAAAGTACTGAGTGAGTTGGGCAGTATGGATGCAAACATACATAGGCATTGGACTCAAGAGTTCAGAATCTAGAATTTATGGTTTTCTGAGTAGTAAGTGTGTTCCCATTAAAATGTTAGTCATTGAGAGACAGGCATTCCAGAATGGCCATAAAACTCCCAATTACTTATGTCCACATAAAGCCATCTGCATGCCCTTTCGTTTGAAGATGATAATATACTTATCAAATGTTTTCCTTCTGGGGGTGGTGAGAATGGTATTCCCTGAATGTATTCACAACTATAAATCCTTTTTAGTGTTCTGCAGAATTGGACTATTGCTTTTATATCCTTGGGGAAGGCACCATGTCTATGATATGGTTACAGCGAAGCTGTCACTTCTTTTTTTCTTTAAACCTCACTTTGCTATTGTGTAAAACGTAAATAATAACCATGCTTTTCATAATGGCTATCTAAAAATCCATTAAGCTAAGGCTAAAGCCTAGCCAGAATCACTTCCCTTCTTTTGGCACTAACACCCTGACACATCTTTCGGAAACACCACCTACCTCATTTTCAGTCTACCTGGTTAAGGAATGGTTTACCTCTCTTCCGGCTCCAGGGAGGCCCACATGATGTAAGCCTGGCCAATAAGAGCATACCCTTGCCCCTGTGATTCACAAAGGAACTGACCTAGAAAAGAGTGAGGGCCCTGCCCTTCCTGGGAATGAGGTAAGTGAGCCTCTTCTTCTTTCTGAAATCAGGAGCATTCAAGCTTGTAAATCTGGAGGTGCTGGAGCCATTCTTGCTACCACATACAGACTCCATTTGAGAACAAGCAATGCAGAGGAAGTAAAACTGAAAGGTTGTGAAGTAAGTTCCTGACCACATCATCTTAGCACAAATTCAGCTATGTCTGAGGCTGTGTTCTGGATTTCTCAGTTAAACGAAGAAAACAGTTATTTTGTTTTAAGTAGTCTGAGTAAGGTGTGTGGTCACTTTCAGTTGAAAGAGCTCTGACTAATAAAAATTAAACAAGTAAGACATGGAAATTGCTTAGCATGGTGTCTGGCACATCAATAACGTTCTCAGTAAATGGAAGTTATGTTTTAGTTTTAGCTCCATCGCTGAGTACACTTTTGACACAATTGTAGTCACTTTCTTTGACTGGCCCTCAATTTTCTCTTCTGTGAGGTACAGATAATAGAGATACTCTAAATACATTAAAGCACTGTGGGAATAAGCAAGACAAATCTGCAAAGTCATTTGCATAATGCAACTCTATGCACAAAGGTAACACAGCAGACTCATCAATCCATATGAGATATTTTTATTTTCTTTTGTTTTATTAAATCATTAAAGAAAATTTCCTAGACAGTCTTCCTTCCTGCCTTATTTTATACTATCTAATTTTTTTCTAATATAAGGGAGCACAGCAATTATCCTTAAACCTTTCCACTGTCTCTAGCCAAGAAATCAGCTTGCATTTATAAGTACAGTAAGTGTTGGCTGCCTCATGCGAGTGATCAAACACAGCTCACTACTAAGCAGGTCATTGGAATAGTCATTTGTATATCTATCTCCTGAGTCTTATGTAAACAGTCCTAAGGGGGTTTCCCTGGAAACTCATGTGCCAAACTGTCTGCTTTCCCCTGCGCTTCTGAGGGATTTGGGGGAACACTGCCTCCTTAATGAGATCTGGCCAGTCCCTTCCTCCTGGTTGCTAACCTATAAATGTATTCTAGTCAGGGCCAGCTTCATGGGTGTGTCACCCACAGTCACACAAGTTCCTGTGCTCTTCTTGCTCCTAGGTGTCAGCCTAGGCAGCCCCGTACACGATATTAGGGGTAAATTACTGCAAAATGATTAGTTCTAGTATTAATTTAAAGTACTATTATAAAAGATAAAATCACCATATTTACTAAAAGGCATCTCTTCCTTTTTAATAATTTTCTGAGACAACTTGCTTATTAAAATGAGGAAACATACTTTGAAAGCCCAAGAAAGAACTGCAAAATATTTGCTTGGCAAATGAATGCTTAATAGAGATGAGGGAGGTATGACTAGACACATCAATTATTAATTTCTATAATTACATACTGATAATTGGCTGCCTTATTTTATGTTAAAATACCCATTCCTAATACATTTATTTTCCTGTTAGGTAATCAAACTGCTGCTAAAATCTTTTAATAGTGAGTTTTAACATTTCAGAATAAAACTGAATCATGAGTTTATAAAATCTTTATTAGTTCACTGAATCTACTTTTAAAAGGTAGCATTCTGTGCATGTGTATGCCTTGTTACAAAAAATATGAAGTATTTCTAAACTGACTTATTTAGCACAATTTCTCACGTTTAGCAGGGTTTCTCACATGGTAAGCTTTGAATTGGTAATTGGAAAGCTGTAATGTTGACACCTTCAGCCTCAGCCCTGGGGGTATTAGAGCCCCAGTTGGTCATCGAGGGCATCTCAAGTGTCTGTATTTGAGGGGAGGCCCTTAGAAAGGCTGTCTCAACAAAAGCCATCTAATCATCTTCCCAAGAGTGTTGATGCTAAAGAGTTTATAGGGTCATATAAATTTGGAAGTACTGGGTTAAACTAGGTTAAACATGTTTTTTTTTTTGTTTGTTTTATTTTTTTCCTGCAGAGCCTTTCACAAAAGTTAAAATACTTTGTTGCATTATGAGGAAAATAGTGTACTCAGTGCCTTTCAAGTTTATTTGCTGATACCATTAATTTCACTTGGCTCCTTAGCACCTAGAGTCATGTTCAATTATACAAACAGTTTCTCAGAGTCTGGCTTTCAGATTACCTCACTCAAAGTCACCTTGGGAGTTTACTAAAAATACAGATGCTGGCTCCCACATCACACCACAGACATAATGTTTGGAGGTGCTGCATATTAAATAAGCTTTAGAGAAGAAACATGTGTTTGCTCAAACATTAAAGAATCGTGAGAGAAAAACAGTATAATTTTTTAAACCTATTTCATTTCTTGGTAGTTGTCTGCATTTAATCAAAGAGAAAGCTAACAAATTAGTTTTTAAAATAGAAATGTTACAATTTTTTTTCTATTTTTAGCTAAAATAACACATTTTCTACCACTATATTAAATTATTGACTTACTTGCAATATATTAAAATATTCAGGGGAAGTCTTCAAGCAGAATTATAATAAAGAATTTTCATATGTTTTGAAAATTAGAGTATATACGATTTATGAAATTGTAAAAATAATGATCTTCAGCAAAATGAATGATAAAGCCCAGAGTTGGCATAGAAACAAGGAAATAGAAATTTTCAAACACTTTTGGTAGAAACGTAATCAGGAAAATCTTCTGGAGGGCAATATGACCATTAACCATGATGGAGTAATTGATACTAGAGTACTTTCCTGCAGCAAGCAAATGAAAAAACTGGACAAAATGTATGAGGCCATTCTTTTTAGGTAACAGATAACAGGCAGTGCAAGACTAGAAGAAAGGATACTCACAAGCTAATATTCATGATCATTCCACACTTTCTGTCTGGGAACAATCTCAACAGAGGTTCAGAGAGCTTGTGTTTAAGCATGGTGGTCCCACTAAGATGAGGAGGCAGATATGAAAATGTGGGGCAGCAGAAAGAAATCAATTCTGTGGTACAGAGTGTCAGAGCAAGGGAGGTGTCCAGAAAGTGGGTTTCAGAAATTCACGTGGAAACACTCTGTGAGTCTCTGGTTGAGTCCTGGGCTATATATGCAGGATGAGAGCACCAGAGGCTTACCAGATTGCAGTTGCTACTCGCAAAAACTGTTCAGATAAATTACAGGTTTGGCAATTCTGGAAGAGAAAAGCTGGATGAAGTTGTTCTTGCCTCAGTCAGATCTCATTAACACCTTGTTAAAAACCCTGACATCCAGCTGACACAAGAAAGGCTGAGATTTTAAAAGTGTTGTATTCCAGAGGAAGACCTAATTTAGGCCTGCTCTAACAAAACCCATAACCTAATCTGATAAGATGTGGAAGGGAGAGATTTTGGAGTTTGAGTCCTGTAAAACTGGAGTGACATGCTTTAAGCATATGCATTCAAACAAAGAGTAGTACAAGTTCAAACAAGTGCAAAGTGATCAGCTAATAATAAAGTGCTTGCTATAATAAGAATGAACACCATTCAGAGGAAGAAAACAGAACTCAAGCCCAGGGCATTATCCATAATTTCCAGGATTCAACAACATAATTCATTATGTATAAAAAAGAGAGAAAACAGGACCAAGAGTCAAGAAGAACAAAGTTGAGATAAACCAGATGCTGGACTTAGCAAATAACAGCATTAAAGCAGTTATTATAATTAGTATAAAAACATTCAAATAATAAAACAAATATATTCAAAAACTAAAGGAAGACATGGTTTCAACAAATTAACAGACAGGAAAATTCATTAAAGAAATAAAGACTATCAGCCAAACAAAATGGAAATTTTAGAACTAAAAGTATAATAACAGAAATAAAATATTAACTCCATGGGGTTAATAGCAGATTAAAGTATTGGAGTTGAAAGAGAAAAAAGTCAATGAACTTGAAGACAGATTATAGAATTTATGCAATTGGAAAAACAGAGGGAAAAAGATTGAAGAAGGTGAACAGACCCTCTTGGCCTGTGTGTTATCAAACGGTCAACATATATGTGACTAGAGTTTCACAAGAAGAATAGAGAGATTGGAGAAGAAAAATACTTGAAAAAATGGCCATACACTTCCCAAATTTGATGAAAAACATTACATTACAGATATAAGGATTCATTAATAACCAAGTTGAAGAAATGTTAAGGGAGTCAAACCCTGGCATATTTTATGTAAACTGCTGAAAACAAACCACAGAGAAAAATCCCTGAAAGGAACAAGAGAAAAAATACATTGTCATGGGAACAAGGAACGTAATTATTGGTAAGTTTTTATGAGAAACAAGGGAAGCCAAGAAGATAATGGAATGGCATTTTTTTAAATGCTGAAAGAAAAGACAAAGTGAACCCACAATTCTATATCCACAAAAATACTCTTTTAAAAAAAGTGAAAACAATCAATAAAAGCATGGAAATTTTGTTGCCTGCAGACCTCCTGCATTTGGAGAAATTCTAAAGGATGCCTTTTAGTCTGAAGGGAATTGGTACAAAATGGAAACTCCAAAAGGAATGAGAACCCGGTATGATTCTCTTTTTGTTAGTGCCAACTGGTTTGTAGGTAGAAGTTTTGGAACTACTACAGATATTTGAGAACATGATAAAAGCTGAAATAAGAACAAAGCTGACCCATTTCTGAAAATCTTAGTGACAGAAAAATAAAACTATTTACTCTAAAAAATAAATAAAAAAGCCAAACAGACCTATATGTGATATCTTACAGAGTATTAAAAAATCAGTATTTACAATCTAATCCCTGTATTAAGTAGGGAATTATATTCTATTTTTAATGCAGGCCCATTATCTTTTATCTACAAATCTAAAAATCTTAAGTTTGTTTTCTTTTTTCTTAAATTTCTTTGGTGGCAAAATCTGTCCTGACTTGAACTAATTTGGTCATAAAACCTGACCTGCACTGACTCAGGCTATTTATGGTGGTGCTTTTTTTTACACATGGTTTGAAGATTTCTGTTTCACTGCAGAAATAGTACTGTGCATTATTATAGGGTGTGGTCCAAGGTTCTGCAAGTCATTTTACCTAATATATATGAATACATTACCTTTTCCTATTCAAATACTTCTGAGGCACATTTGGTTTCAAATAAGGGAATATAAACTGTAATTGCTTTTCTTCCTTTTTTTAAAAAAAATTATTTTCTAGATTATTTTTACAATGAGCATATGTATCTTAGGCAATAACAATATAAGAGACATAGTTAAGTGAAGCTATAGACTGAAATATATGTTCCTGTTTTTACTAAAATGATGGAGTATACATCCTCAAAAGCAGATCTACAAAGATTACTTTACTAAATCAGGATACCACTATGACGTCTGCCCAAAAGCAGTTATGTTAGAAGGAATACAACTAATTTGCATTGTTCCCTCACATGCTGAACACCGTATATGTACAAGACCGTGCTCTACAAAGGTTCTCTTTTTGCAGTTATTAATAGCCCTCAGGAGTAGATAACAATTGCTCATTAACAGACCAGTTAATGGCAGTCCCTACAATACTGCCAAGTAAATTACAAAAAAAAAAAAAAGAAAGAAAATAAAATATACCACCTTCTCCAGAATCTGCAATAATGTCCTCTATTTCCATTTTATTCATTCTCGTTTTGCACTTGCAAACAGTATAAACTAGAGTAAAACCTGCCAACTATAATCCTTTCTGTTTCTTTATAAAATCTGAATATAGTATTTGCCCTACACACCTGACAAGGTTGTTCAAGATCAAAGAAAAGAGCCTACGTGAACCTTTCTTGTAAATTCTACAGATTATAACTAATTTTACTCCCCGTAGTCTGAAACTGCCTTTCCTTATTTGTCTCTTCACCTGTTACATAAATTATTTATATACTTTTGTTATACACACCAGTGCTTTACTTTTATCTACAAATTCCAAATGAAAGAAATGCCACCAACATATTACCAACGGATTCATCTATGATGTTACTGAAGTTTTAAAAATATATTTTCTTGTTTTTGCTTTCAGCTTTTCCTAATATAGTGGGTACTCAAATGTAGGTGATGCTGGAAAATAATTGCATGCATATTGTTCATTACCATTTGTATTGCTTACAAGTATCTGAGCTCTGTGAAAGGAGATGCTTTTTTTGGTTTTGTTCACTGCTTATTTCTAGTGAACAGAACAGTATTGGACACGTGACAAACATTCCAAATACTTATTAAATGCATAGCTATATACTAATATATATGATATATATCATAGATATGTGTGATTGATTTCAATAACAGATATTATATAGGTACATGTGTGTATGTCTCTATTGAATGCTTACTAATCGCTAGGTTGTACACTCAGGCTTATACATATTTTATCTCATTTGGTCTTTAAAGTAAATCTATAAAGTCTACTTTAAAATTCTCCTATAAGAAAACTGGGCTTAGAGATGTTATATAATTTCCTCAATGTAATATAACTGATAAGTGATAGAGGGCAGGATTTAAACTTGAATGCTAAAATATATTCCCTAACCTTTCATCCAGGAATGACACTAAAAACCATTCTAATAAATTATTTTTTATTTGGGGTTTTTTTTTTAGACGGCGTCTGGCTCTGTCACCCAAGCTAGAGTACAGTGGCACAATCTCAGCTCACTGCAACCTCTACCTCCCGGGTTCAAGCGATTCTCCTGTGTCAGCCTCCTGAGTAGCTGGAATTACAGATGCGTGCCACCACGCCTGGCTAATTTTTGTATTTTTAGTAGAGACGGGGTTTTGCCATGTTGGCCAGGCTGGTCTCAAACTCCTGACCTCAGGTGATCCACCGACCTCGGCCTCCCAAAGTGCTGGGAGTACAGGCGTGAGCCACTGCACCCAACCTTGTATTTGGTTTTATACAAGGTTTTGGTGAAGTCACAACCAAAATTAGAAATGGTGACTATGGGAATATCTCTTGATCTACATACCACACTGCCATATGTTGATATAGAATTTTACAGGTGCACACACATGCTTGCATCCATCATGGCTGTAGAAAGTTTCAGAGTTAAACCTTTAGGCAGGTTAATTGAAAAATAGATTTCTGGGACAAAGCTGAAAGAGACATCTTAAGGCCAGTGGTTTTACTAAACTAGAAATTGTATAATGAGTGACTAAGTTATGTTTTGATTTAATTGAAGCATACCAAAAAATCAGAAAACAACAAAATGTTCCCTTTTAAGATGTGACTTCATACTTTATTTATTCAACTAAGGTGTCTGTCCTCATAAAAATATCTGCTATATCTAATGTGTCAAAAAGTGTTTAATAAGTTTGTATATTCTGGTTCTAGAAGCAAATTTTCTCTGTGAGGGTTAAAAAAACCCCCATAATATGGTATTGGCTCAAGTGATAATCCATCAAAAAATGAATTATTACCATTATTTCCTGTGATATAGCTAAAGAATATTCACATAGGGCCTCAGCAATCACTAAAATTAATGTTTTAGGACTTTGTGAATTACTAAAAATTACATATCACATTTTAGTATTCCTGTTTCTTTACATTAAGAATTGTTTCTATTTATATTTTAATTTCAGATAAACTGACACACCTTCAATAATGCAGGTTTATTATGTAAGTTTTTACTGATCCTACAAAGGATACAACAACTACATGTCCAAAGATGTAAATTCGGGGCTAATCTTCTCTATTTAATCCTTTACTGTTTGGGGAGAAGAATTACTCATCTGGGATTCATGAATTGTATGGTCACTCAACCTGTTTTCTTGCACCATTTTTTATCATAAGATAGGTTCTTCTGTGTTAGTTTTCAAAGTTTAAACCACATACATAAACTGGCCTTGAATATCTATCTACATTTCTAGGTGCCTGGGTAAGGAAAACATCTTTCCTCTCAGAATGTGGTCATCAAACAACCCATTTACTTGCATTGTTAACCTCTTCCTACTTCTTTCTGTTCATGTCTCAGGTCTTTCCATCTGGAATGGTTATTCTCCTGGCAAATGTTACTAGCATGTAAGAAGATAGGATGAGGAAAATAACCTACTACCAGGGCACTCAGCTATAACAGTGCCACATCTGATGATCTTGACCACCGCATCTTCCTTCCTTTTAGTGTTTGTTCTCAAGGCCACCACAATATCACATTCTTTTATTCTCCTGTTACTTGTATGATCACTCTCCATTTTCTTGGTAAATATTCTTTATTTTCCCACCCCTTAAATGAGCTCCAAGAGTTAAATTCCTTATCTGCATGGTCTCCTAGAGTGACTTCAAGCATTTTCATGGATTCAGCTATCACCCACATTGCTAATGACTCCCAGATCTCCAGCTCCAGCACAGTGCTCTCTATAACACCCTCTTTGACTTATCTGTCTGAATAGTCCACCAAATCTTCAACTTGATGTGAGATGGAACTGAGCTTGAATTTAATTATTGTTCCTACTAGCTTTGCCATCCTAAGCAAGCATTTAATGTCTCAAAGCCTCAGTTTACACAACTGTAAAATGGGGATAATGATTTTCATTGGGTTGCTGTGTGGTTTTAATGAAATAATGTATTTTAAGTGATCAATTTAGACTCTCATGCATAGTAGGTCAAAAGAGGAGATAAGTGTGCCATTTATTTTAAAAAAAAGGAATTCATTACTCTCCAAATCTGATTGCTGATTCTCTCTTACCTTGATCAGTCAATGCTATTTCTTTCCCCCATTTGCCAAGTCATATATCTACCAATCAAGCCACAAATCAATTTTTATCATCAGGTCCTTTCTTTCTCCCAAATACCTTTTAGATCGGATAATGTCATTTCTAACCCCTGTCTTAATTTATAGGCTCTCATCATTTCTTACCTATAACAGAAAAAAAGTCTCATTTTCTTTTCTCTGTCTTTAATGTATCCTCTACATCATCGTGAAAATGATCTACCTAAAAATGTGTATGGGTCATGGCTGACACACTCTTAGGTGACCCTTAATGAGTCATGCTCTTGTATAACTCCTCCTCTTGAGTGCAGGTGGAACATGTGGCTTGCTTTTAAGCAACAGAAAAATATAAAAGTGATGGTATGTCAATACCAAGATTATGATTATATGAGACCCCATCTCAGCAGATTGAAGTGAGAGACTCTACTAGCCTTGAAGAAGCAAACAACCACATTTTAAAGAGCCAATGAGGAGATCTATGTGCAAAAACCTGTGGGTGGCCTCAAGGAGTTAAGGACCTTACTTCTGCAAAAGCAAGGAACTGAATTTTGCCAAAAACCAGGTGGGTTTGGATGAGGACCTTGAACTTTAAAAAACAATGCAGCCTGGCTAAATTTTGATTACAACCTTGTGATACCCTGATCAGAGAGGCTAGCTAAGCAATCATCCTTAGGAGCTCTAAGATAATAAATGTATGTAGTCTTAAGCCACAAATTTTGTGGTAACTTGTTATACAGCAATAGAAAACTATCTCAAATATGTATCAGGCAGCCACTCCCATGTGAAATAAATATTCATTGAATTGGATTAAATTGTCTCCTCCATTGGGTCAAGAGATTCTTAAAGGAAAGTGATGTTGCCATTTTTCTTTATATATCATAAGTCCTGGAGTGCAATAAGCTCAATAAATTCTAATGACTGAATAAATGACATCTTTGTGATATATTACTATGTTATTCTATACTGGTTGAGAAAGAGCTCTAGAACATAACATGTTATCTTTTTGCATAAATCACTAAGGACATTTCCAGAGTTTTAAACATCAGGATTGATTAATCTTTGTTTTAAAAAATTATTAAAAGAAGCATAGATTAAGCCATAACTCAAAAGCTAGTTGTATTAAGTTTCTATTGCTGTCATGAACAAATTATTACCAATTTAGTGTCTTAAAAACACACATTAAAGGCCAGGTGCAGTGACTCATGCCTGTAATCCCAGCACTTTGGGAGGCTGAGGTGGGCAGATGGCTTGAGCCCAGGAGTTCAAGATCAGCCTGGGCAACGTGCAGAAACCCCATCTCTACTAAAAATAGAAAAATTAGCCAGGCGCGGTGGTGTGCACCTGTAGTACCAGATACTCCGGAGGCTGAGATGGGAGGATCACCTGAGCCCAGGGTGCAGAGATTGCAGTGAGCTGAGATCACACCACTGCACTCTGGCCTGAGCCACAAAGCAAGACCCTGTCTCATAAAACAACACAAATTTATTACCTTAGAGTTCTGTAAACTAGAACTCCATCACAGGTCTCACTGCACTAAAAAAAGATTTTGAGAGGGTTCCTTTCTGCATGCTTTAGGGAGAATGAACATACATCCTTGCATTTTCCAGCTTCTAGAGACCACCCGCTTTCCTTGGCATATGGTCTCATTCCTCCATCTCCAAAGCCAGCTAAGTCACATTTCTCTGACACTTCTTCCACTATCACATCTCTAACAATGGCCAGGAAAGCTCTGCTTTTTAAGAACTCATGTGATTAGACTGGGCACACCCAAGCAATTCAGGAAAATCTCCCCATCTCAAAAGTCTGTAACATTAAACATATCTGCAAGTTCCTTTTCACAAGTAAGATAACAAGTCCCCAGTTCCAGAGATTAGGACATAGAGATCTTTTGGGACAGAGGCATTATTCTGCCCACCCCATTAGTGGAAGAGAAGAATAAGAATGCAACTCATTGCAACACATACGACTCTAATACCACAGACTTCCTCAGAAACTCTGTTTTCAGATCTTTTCATTCCAACTTAAACTATATTTCGCATTCTATAATGAAACATTTCCTTCTATTTTCTAGAATTTGAACTTTCCCAAGTTCAATAAAAAATTTTAAAAGCCAGCTTTCTGCAAAAACCGCCACCACAACTGGCAGCTATAGCCTTCCTATGGATATTCACATAGGGAAGGCCTGGCCTGGCTCAGCAGCAGGCTGTGAATTCTTCTCCTTGGGACAAAGCCTGCCAAGTCTGCCTCAGGGAAACTTGGCAGCACATCAAGAACAAAAACTTAGTGTGGCTGTTTATTCTTGACACACAGACAATAGACTGCATCATTTAATGTCTTCAGGCTAGAAAATTTTCCTTACATTCCTATCACCAGAGGGTTAAATAGGGGCAACACTCAGGGATGTGGTCTGACTGTAATTGTTTTCAAGTCATCTAGAGAAACATCAGGGATTCAGTAGTAAATGAGCCAGTGGTGCAAAGTGAATCACTGCCCTCTGTCCTCCTGCTGAGAGCCACTAGGTCCTTGCATGATATTCCAAACTCTCCAAATATATGCAGAATCCATTTTAATTAAGAAAAAAAAATGCCAAAGAGTTTGATGGGTGTTTTGGTGAGCATGCAAGACATTTTGAATATAGATATGAGTCCCAATTTAAAACAAATTTTAAATGGGCAAAAATTTAGTGATACATCAAAAATGAAGGTAAAGTTCTACTCCCTTTCCACATCTTCCCCTCTCACCCCCAATTTTTATCTCCTTTCTTCCTAGGCATAATGTAACTGACATAAACATATCAAATTCACAGGTTAAATTCGAGCACATAAGTTAATTCACACACAAAAATTCAGTCGGTTCCAAGGTGCAGTTCGTCCAAGTCTTCTCTGTCACCTTGTTCAAGATTAATCTTGTTCACATGTAAGACTTGGTAGTAACATATGGATGGGTTAAAATGAGTGCTATCACTCAAACAAAGCAATGCCAATGCTAACGCTGACTGTCAACACATCAGGGATATTATCATGATATATGTGGATGAAACATTTAATTCATAGTAAAATGAGAAAATATAAATGAAATGAACTTCATTTAAGGAAAAAATGTAAAGTAGTTATGGTAAATGAGGTAAAAATGTGAAGAGAATAAATGCTCAATATATGAAATCAGACAGCATGGGTTTATATTCTGGTTGTATTATATATTAACTGCTATCTCTATGATATTAACTTATCTGTGATTCTGCCCAAAAACAATGACAAATAATAAATGCAACTCATTCATTCAAATAATACCTCTTGAGTGCACACTCTGAGTGATGCACTAGTCTAGGTACTAAGGATACAGCAATAAATCAATCAAACCCATATCCCTGCCCTCCATGGCACCTACATTGTTACAATTCTTCATATGATATTTATAAGGGTTGGATGAAATAATTTATTTAGCATTACTGGAAAAAGATAAGCACTGCAGATAAATTTAATTAGCATCATTATAATAGTAATAAAATATTTTAGAAATCTGTAAATATATATTTATTTGCCTAAGCCAGAATACTAAATAGTAAATGGGTAATTTGAGCAGACTAGAACCAATTATCATATATATTAACATATATATGACACATTATATGTCTATATCTTTATACAATCATTACATGAGATTTTACGTTGTCCTTAAAATAACAGGTCTCTGAAGAGTAGCTTAAAGAAAAATAATGCTGCTTTTTGAAACAAATTTTTTCAGCAATGAGCTGTATTTTTATTTTTAATAAGTTCTCTTTTTAGAGTAAAATGTAAATGACAACATTTGCCTCTAGATTAGCATTCACTCAGGGCTATGTTCTTTTCTTTCCCTGTCTCTTCACATACCTCTCTTTGCTACTCTTCTACATGATCAAGTAGTCATGACACCGTGACTTATCATCTATCTCCCATCAATTCAGCCATCGTTCCACTCTGTTCCATTAGTATTTCCTGCTGTGAAAATCCCTGTAGAATCTATGGTAAACTCTCAGAAGTTTCCACATTCTGCTTTGGAAAGCAGTGACCCACGATGTTATTAAAAATCAGTAACTTACAAAGGGTTTTTTCCTTACGCCAAAGCAAAGGAGACGTCTAGACATCCTCAGAGTGACATTCACACACAACTTCTAGCTGACAGTCATCGTTTCTGAACTCACATGCACTGCTCCAGCTATCAAATTTTACATGGGGTATTTTAAGGAGTTCTTTAAAAATCAAAATTCCTGGCTCTGCAGTTCATTAAGTGTGCCATTCCAAGAGATGCAACTGCCAGAACTGGTTAGTTACTATGAAGGCAGTTATCCTCTAATGCTACAAGGCAAGCATTTTAAAGCTTTATTCACATATGTGACACACACTTCAAAACTCCACACTTTCAGAGGACTTCCTGGAACCAATGTTCCAACTTAGTACTCCTCCAGTTAAACGGAAGCTAATAAGAAGCATGAAACAGTATACACTATATAAGAATGTTAGCAGAACACATGTATTGACCCTACACTAAAAAATCATAATAGCATTAAATCATCTTAAACCTCTAACACCCATTCATAAGAATACTCTCACTCTTTCATCAAAAACCACGTCATTCTGATTCATGTATAATGCTAAAAATATAAATTTTACAGAATGTCTCTGAACCTGACCTAGACACTTAAATATTTTCATAACTCCAGAAGCAAAAGGAAAACTGGCAAAAATCTCTTGACTGTGTTACACAGTCTGCTTTGAACAAACAGCCTGGATGTAAGCAGTAGGTGGCAAAGTTAAAATAGAAATGTTAATCCTATGAGAACCCTTGCCTGCTGTTTTATAGCCCTTCCTCAAGATTAAAAAAAAAAAAGAGAGATAAAGAACATAAAAACACCTAGAGCCCTAATGCTACAGAATAAAACCAAGTGCTGATTTTAAAATACATTTTTTCAACCTGTGATTTTTTTTTTATAGACAGTAGTATCAGGAATGGGTGGGAAAATAAATAAATGTAGTTTCCAGCTTAAATTTTAACAAAGTAGCAGCATTTTTTTTTACTCAAGATAAAAGAAGAAATATTAATTTTGGGCAACATAATGAATTACTGTATTATATCTACATATTAGAAAATAGCTTCTTGAAGAAGTATTAATTTTTTAAAAAATTTACAATTATCAACCAAAACAGTGACAAGCAAACTTTTTCTGTAAAAGGCCAAAATATATATATTTCTGGCTTGGCTGGCTAAAAGGTCTCTGTGGCAACTAATCAACTCTGCTTCTGTAGTACAAAGGCAGCCACAGATGAAATGTAAATGAATGGGTGTGGCTATATTTTAATAAAACTTTCTCTATGGACACTGAAATCTAAAAATCATATAATCTTCACTGCTCATGAGATATTCTGCTTTTTACTTTTTCAACCACTTAAAAATACAAAACAACATTATTAGTGTATGTACCATACAGAACATATGGTGGGCTAGATTTGGGCCATAGGTTATATTATTAGTTTGCCAACCCATAGACTAGATACCAGTAATGAAAACCATAAGAAATAAAAGGTCAGAGGACAACGCTCACTTTTCCTTCCTTACTTCCTCTTTCCCTTCCTCCCTCCATTTTTTCCTTTTCTTTTTAAATTAATTAATAATTAATTTTGCTTGATATCTGGTAACACAAAAAATAATCTGATGCAGTTTGATGGGAGTAGAAGGTCAGTATCTCAAATTCAGCCAGAGTTGTACACGATAATGGTATTGGGCTAACTGTAACAGTTACCAGGCACGGAGCCCACACAACTACCATGGAGATTCTGTAAGCTACAAAATCATTCATAATATTCAAAGTGAATATCATTACATGAAATCCTATTTGCATTCCAATGAACTGTCACATAAGTTTCCCCTATGGCATCTTCTTTGACAAATAATATCTTCATTGAGTTCCCCTGAATTTTCCATGATGATACAGAAGAAAAGCCAAAAGAGAAACTTGCTTCACTGTGCCAATAACTGGAGCATCATCATTCATTTATAACAGCTGAAGGGCTGTCTGACACTAGGGGACCTGGAAACACCCAAGAAATGTTTTCTCCTTCCCAAGACAGTTAGATATATAATGCTAGGAAATCCTGGGACAATGACCTGTGATTCTCCCCTAAAAAAGCTATTTTGTCCCTTTTAGTAACAAACAGGAAGAGAGAACTCTCTTTGGGAGAAATTTCACCAGAGTTTCACTCTTGTTGCCCAGGCTGGAGTGCAATGGCGCAATCTTCACTCACCACAACCTCCACCTCTCGGGTTCAAGCCTCAGCCTCCCGAGTAGCTGGGATTACAGGCATGCGCCACCATGCCGGGATAATTTTGTATTTTTAGTAGAGATGGGGTTTCTCCATGCTGGTCAGGCTGGTCTCAAACTCCCGACCTCAGGTGATCTGCTGGCCTTGGCCTCCCAAAGTGCTGGGATTACAGGCGTGAGCCACTGTGCCTGGCCACAGTAAATATTTTATACCAATATACTGGTTGTTAGAGACTCAGGTAAATTGAAATCATTGTTTAAAAATTATAATGCAGCCGGTTATGACAATAAGGTCCAGTGGCTAAGCGCGCTACCATCTCTTCAGTAAGATGCTGTTGGCAGGGGCAGTGTCACAGCACACACTTTCCTATTAGGATGGGATCCTCAAGAGACTCCTGTGGCTTTGTAAGCAATCATCAGTGCAGCTTCCACTACAATTAAAAACATATGCCTAAATATTGTTTTTGAAAATGACACAAGTGTTTAAATACCAAAATAAAAATTCTATGAAATGGTGCCAGAAACTTATGTGGTAAGAAAAGCCAAAGAATTTGTGCAAAAGTATGCTTCTTACTGTCTTCTATGAATAAATACTGCTGAACAGTTCATAATGGCTTAAAATTCCACCCATGAACTCTACATCTTTTATGGAGAAAATACACATATTTCATGTAGATTTTCATGAAAAAAAAAAAAACCAACCAACTTGGCTGTGGCATCAAAGTCCACCTTTAAGACAGGCTTCACAAGAAAAAAAAGAGAAAACAGTCATCTTTTCTGGGTAATATGAGACACTGTGGAGAGGTAATATTCCAAATTAACACGTAGCCTCAGGAAAAAGAAAACTGTTTTTCTAACACAAACTCTAAGTTGAATGATCTGAGCTAAGGCTAAAAGCAAATCTTTGTAGTCACTTACATGAAGGCTGTATCTGTAGAGAACAAACTTTATATGCAAATGAAGATTAGCTTTTACAGTCACATTTATGAATTCATATTACACGAGTAACAATGGACATAGTTATGATTTTCAATTTATCTTGACAAATATTTATTGAGTTTATCAGGTACTGTGATATGCCTAGAGAGAAATTATATAGCAAAGAGAGATTGAACTTTGAGAGAAATGTGCAGTAATGAATACAAATATGGGAGATTGGATTAACTGCTCGGTGGAGAGTTTTCAAAGAGGATAAACTGAGTTTGAAGCATGATGTTTGAAATGTTAATGGGTTATACAATGTGTGTTATCCAACAGTCAACTGTACATGAAAACACTGAGCATAGGAAATGGTAAGGAATAACAATATACATTTGGGATTTGTTTGCACAGAATGGATAATTAAAGCCAAGTGAATGAATGAGATGGACATGGAGTATCTTAAAAAAGGGGACCATAAGGCCAGGCACAGAGGTTCATGCCTGTAATCCCAGCACTTTGGGAGGCCAAGGTGGGTGGATCACGTGATCAAGAGATTGAGACCATCCTGGCCAACATGGTGAAACCCTGTCTCTATTAAAAATACAAAAATTAGCTGGGCATGGTGGCATGCGCTTGTAATCCCAGCAACTTGGGAGGCTGAAGCAGGAGAATATCTTGAACCCGGGAGGCAGAGGTTGCAGTGAGCCGAGATCGTGCCACTGCACTCCAGCCTGGGTGATAGAGCAAGACTCCGTTTAAAAAAAAAAAAAAAAAAAAAAAAAGGTGGGGGACAATAGACAGACCCTCAGGGAATACCCACATTCATGGGCAGGAGGAAGCCAGCTAAGAGGGAACCACTAGGAGGAGAGGAGAATCCTCTGACACATGACTGAAGCAATAGGTAAAGTGAGATTCTCCAATGCCAACTGATGCAAATAGGAGAGAGAGGTATTTCAGTGGTTAAAAGCCTATATTTTTCTTATCATGAGACCATGTAAGACCTTGACAAAATCTGCAATACAGCAGAGGTGGCAGTGGGTGAAGATGGATATTTAGTTTCATAACCTGGCAAGGCTTCTAAGTTGAGGATTCAGTGGAGGATGAAATGGAAGAATCAAGTGAGTAAGAATATAATTGATAACAAAAGTCCTGGAGATGGTAGGATGAGATATAAATTGAGAGCAGAGTGAGGAACAGTTATTCTGGGAAGGAAGGATTATTCCTCAGATGTCAGGCAGGCAAAGAGAGGAATAGTGAAAACTCAGATATGTCCAACCCGTGGGAAAGGATGCCAACCTAGGATGCCAAAAAGGATAACAAATGTAGTAGCACATTTTAGAAGATTCTCAGTCTCAGACCATAAAGCTGAAATTATATGAAAATGAAACATTCAGATATGGGGTTTTCAAGAATAAAAAAAGGATAAAATAAAAACCTTATCTTAGCACACTTTGGAAATTTTATTTAGCCAAGAAAAAGTACCCACATCTTAAACTGATTGAAGTACGAGTGCAATTTATCCCTTGATCCAGAACACATATTCCACCACTGCCATATTTTATAATGACTTTTACAGACGTGTTGTCTCTTTCCTAATAAACTACCTAATTTCATAAAGTATTTCTAAGATTACAACAAGACGTTATTGTAAAGAGTGTTATTGTAAGTGAAGAGATTTCATCAGTTCCTATAAGGTAGTTAGGGATGTTTGAAAATACATTTTAAATTACTGCCCGACCGACAAGCCAGGGTGTGAAAGACGTGAGTAGTGGTTCCTAACTTTAGCGTGCATCAGAATTACTTAGAGGGCTTGCGAAAACACAGATGAGTGGGTTTCATCCCTAGAATTTTGGAAGAAGCACCTCAGAATTTGTATTTCCAACAAGTTCTCAGTGATACTGATATTACTGGTCCAGGGACCACACTTTGAGAACCACTGCTCTATAACATACAATGCTAGTTATTCCCTATCATGTGGGTCTATAAACAAGCACATTTTCATTCAACTTCTATCAGAGTAAACTGATAGAATTTGTAGATGTATTAAAAGAGTGCCATCAATATTTTCAAAAAACCTGTCTATATTTGAGTCACATTCACTTCCAAATGTTATATTGAGTATGTTATCTGTCATTATCATTATCCTTAGAAAATGGCTTCATGTATTGATTAAGAAGTCACAGAGTCTGTTTCAGTTGAAAGGAACACTTACCTCCATGGCTTATTAAATAAGGGCTAAACCAGCTTCGGTTATGTCTAGATGCAACTCTAGTACTTAATCATTGCTTTTTTCTTTTTCCATTGAGACAAGAAGAAGTTTTTCACAAAGCTGGTTCATTTCCAGTTTGGATGGAAAGTGCAGCAGAGAAATCATACAAATATCTTGTAATGACAAATTGCCAAGAAAATCATATAGCCCTACCTACATATATATATTATATAATGTATATATCTCTATATATATTCCTCACAAGAACTCTATAATTTACTTTATTAGCTTCATTTTACAGATGTGAAACTGAGGCAAAAAGAGATTAAATATCTCACTAAGGGCTAGACAGACGTAATTATTGGAGTTTTTCTAGTTTCAAGATCATGGCCCTTACCTACTACCTATATTTAGTACATTCTTTTACTACACATTAAAGCATATCTTGGGCTCAAATATTTACCTGTTCCGAGAAACAGGACATGGTATCTCCCATCAGCAGCGTTCACTCGATCCACAGCTATCTTTGTATACTTGTAGTCAGTGCCAATACGAACAATCAAAGGCCTTTTGTGGATTGGGTAGATGGAATTGTACATGAGAGGATGGTTCCGAATAAAAGTGACAACATCATCTGGGAACTCCTTGGTGGTTCGCATATTGGGTGTAAATGCTCCTCCTGGACACTAGAAAGAAAGTTTTAAAGAACCAAGTTAATAAAATAGTTGTCTTGTTCTAGTAATAATCAAAAACTCTCTACTTTTGAAATCACTTAGAAGCTCCAGTTGTTTTAAGTATATCTGCTACCTATGGAAGTGAAAAGAAATAACATGATTATGTTTTACTATCTGTAGATGATTAGTACAGTGTGTATTAATTTTGAATCAGGCTAAGTCATTGTATGTTATTCTGTTTTCAGAGAAGAGCTGATGCCATCTTGTATATGAGATAACTCTTCACCCTTCTCACTCACCACTTTTCTATTTATTTTGTCCCAGACACCATTTTGTTCAGAAAACAAAAACTAGTGGACACAATCTAATGCTGCCACTTGTTAAAATAAATTATATTATTATCATTAAATTCAGTCAAACTCTGACATGTAAAAGTTTTATTTCATCTGATCTGCCCTCCCAAAAGAGAGCTCAGAAATTGGAGCTTAGGGGCTTAGGTGGCTCAGGCCTGTAATCCTAGCACTTTGGGAGGCTGAGATGAGAGGATGTTGAAGCCAGGGGTTCAAGACCAGCCTGGGCAACATAGCAAAATTTCATCTCTGGGAAAAAAGTTAAAAATTAGCTAGGTGTGGCTGTGCATGCCTGCGATCCCAACTCCTTGGGAAACTGAGGCAGGAGGATCTCTTGAGCCCAGGAATCTGAGGCTGCTGTGAACTGTGATGAAACCACTGCACTCTAGCCTGGGCAACAGAGTGAAATCCCACCTCTATAAAAAAAGGAAGAAGAAGAGAAAAAAGGAGGAGGAGGAGGAGAAAGGAGGAGGAGGAAGGAGAAGGGGAGGAGAGAAGAAGAGAAGAAGAAGAAGGAAGAAGACAGCTTAGATTGGATGTGTTAAATTAAATCTGGTAACTCCCCTCTATCAAAGATCCCATTCATTATCCTTAGAATAAAATACCAACACCTTAGAATGGCCTACAGGCCTCTGCATGATCTGGCCTGAGCCAGCCCCTCCTACTGTAGGTCTTGCTGCTCCTGAGCCTCAAGCATACTTCCCCTCCAGGATCTTAGCACCTGCTCTTCCCTGTCCGGCATACTCCTCTCCAGAACACCCCATTTCTGTTACCTCACATTCAGTTCTCAGTTCAAAAGTTGCTTCTTGAAAGTGATGACATATAAAAGTAGCTCCCCTTCTCCATCTTTACTTTCTGTCTCCTTGGCCTGCTATTTTTCTTCACAGCCCTATTTACCTAACAGTATATTATGTATCAGTTGCTTGCATCTTTATTGTCTGTTTCTCCCTCTAGAACTGCCTGTTTCTCCCTATAGAATGTAAGCTTGTGCTGACTGTAACTGGGTCTATTTTGTTATTGTTTTGCCATCAGACTTATAACAGAGCTGGTTAGTAGATAATCACCAAAGAGTAGTTGAATGAATGCATTATATCATTGATTGTATCTGGCCTGAATGAATGCATTATATCATTGATTGTATCTGGCCTGCAATTTTGGTGCCGGGTCTGTATGAAACAGGGGCCTCAATTCTGGCCAGGAGGGAAAAGTTTCAGAGCACTGAGTCCAAGGGGGCAGGCAGAAAACAAGAACGAGATCTGGAGAAAGGACTGCTGAACAGCGTCAGCAGTTCTGGCAAGGGAACCTGACAGGGCTTCTGAGGAGAAGATTCCATTCGTAGGGCACCTAAGGCCAAACTTAAGGGTAGGCTGGGAACTGCTGAAGCCAGAACTCAAACTCACTCACTAATTGGATCTGAGTGTTAAGTTATATGAGAAAAACCATTGGGTATAATATTTTAATACATACAAACATTATTACTATTAATAATGTTATTAAATACCTGTCAATATTAAATTCCTGTCGATATCTCTACTTCCAGAAACAAAAACACTATATTTTTCTTGAAACACACAGCACTATCGTGTTGGTTTTCATTTATCCTCTTTAGAGAGGTATGTGATAAAAGGAAAGTAACAAAGCAAGCTGCCTGTTTGATAGCAATAGGCACAGCATCAGTCATAAATAGCAGGATGCAATGGGGACTGTGACAAACTGGGGAGTTACGTGTTATCCAAAGATGGCAATGAACACTTATCCAGCTGACTGCTTCTAAGCAGGAATAAAATCCTCGTGCTTCCAGACCTCAGCAGAAGATAGAATGTGGAATTTTATGTAAAATCTGCCAAGTGTTTAATGTTGACTCAGTAAAAAAAGAACAGCAACATGGGGGGCCAAACAAAATATGACAATCTCCAGGTTAAATCCCTGCAACAGCTGTCCAACAGTATTAGTGCCTTTGGGCCAATGTTGTCAGGCAGGCCTCCACGTGCAGCTAGATCTCAGCAGATTACTAATATTATCTCACTCATTTAGACTGCAGCATCATGAGTGCAATATTGAGACTTACTTTGACCAGTTAACATTACCAGACTAGAACTTTTTACAGATCTGATAAATATAGTTCCCTTTTTGTAGAAAGGTACAAGGAGCAATTAAATGACTTAAAAGAGTAGCAGTAATGAGACAAGTAATAAAACGAAACCTCTCATTCTTTATTCCATTAACTAGACTTTCATCTGGAGTTCATATGTTTTTATTTTTTAAAAAGTATTATATTTAAATACACATTTACAAACTGCTCACAACAAAGACCAAAATGAGGACAAAAAATTTAATTTGAGGTTGTTCTAAGCTGATGAACGTGTTCCATACTTCTGCAAAATATAGAATTATGGGTGTTTTCTAGCCTCAATCTTCACACAAAGTGGAAAAAGGGAAATACATTGCTCACTGCATGAAAACATGGAAAGAGCAATGCATGGGTAATTTAAATAGTTCCAGAACTTTATAAAACACCGCTAATGATGGCTTGCTAAACTGAAATGTCTCCTTAAGTATTTGCAAGCATTCTCGTTTCTGAGTTCTGGAAAAATCAAAGTTAGCATATATTACTAAACAATTTACATAATTTCCAGTTAGTACAGTTTGATGTGAGACAAGCTTATTAAATGACCAGTGCCTAGTCTCTGGCTTTTACTTAATGGTAAATGAAATCCAGGTTAACAATTATGTCAAGGTTGCTCAAAACCATAGTTATTAAATAGGTAATCTAAACAAATCAAATAAGTTACTTTGCATTCATTAAAATATTCTCCACAAGACTTTTTTTAATACTCCCATGAATTTATCACCTAGAAACAAGTGTCTCCTAGTATATGTTCAAACTTACCAAACAATTCTTTTTGATAATAATTATTCTATTGATTCATGCCATCAACTCTGCTGATAAGACAGACAATGAGTGCTAATAATGTAACACAAACACAAATTGATTGCCCTTTGTAGACTCTGTCTGCACTGAGTTTGCTCAGTGTCATACTGCCAAGAATAAATCAGATGTGATTAACTTTTCTCTCACCTTGCAAAATAATAAAACATGTTTATTGAAACTTCAAGATAACATAACATCTATGTGCTAACGTAAAATATTTGTCCACTAACTAGGCTGGTGTTTCATTCTTTAGAACATTAATTTTACTCTGCAAATAGTCATTAAGTAATTTTGGTTAAACTTCTCCTTTAAATGTTTTTCCTCAGTTCTTCCAGCTATTTGTTTATCAAGCAGTGATAAGCCCTCCTTTTTTGAGTAAAGACATTTCAAGTGCTCTGATTACTAAAGTGTGATATGAAATGCTAGGAACAATAAGAATGCCATGTTAGGAAAGTAACAGCAATTGTCCTTACCAAACTTGCTTCCTATACTCAGGTATTCATAAATATCTGCTGCCTTCTGAAGTTTCTAAATGTTCTCTTAATCTTCACGTCCATTAGGTCAGTTTTCAGAATATACTTATATGTTAATATACGTATCCATTACTTGAGCATATTTTATCCAAAAAGCACTTTGATGTGCCCAGTAGGGGACACAAGAATAAAAAATTACTGTTATCTTCAGACACAAGTATTCTAGTAAGAAAGATAGACATATTCAAAGCAAAATAACAATATTATGACAAAAAGTAATAATTTGAAACAAATGTAAGATAAACAATCAATTTTGGTTTAGGATCAATTTCCCTACATACTCAAGAGGCAATATTTTTAAAACAAGTTTATAACAGTGGAGAACTTACAGCTGCCAAGGTCAGTGAAGAGGTTTAGGGATGATAAAACAAAATTTAGAGTATTTAGAGAACTGTAATTCGTAGGGCATGGCTGGATCATGGAGCCCAAAGTGAAGGAAGGAGGTAGGAGGTGAGGCTGAAGACAGATTGCAGAAAATAAATGCAAAACTAGGCTGAGAAAGAGTGACTAGCACGGTCGAGGGGATCTTAACCTAACACGTGGGGGATGAGTGGTATATAGATAAATAAAGGGTCTTGGTGGCACTCTAGAATCTATGCTTATTTCTAGTACTGGTCTATGAAATTTGTATACTGAGAAAAACTCATTTTATGTTTCAACCTTGGTAATCCAAGCCCTTTGTCTGAAGCCAAAAAAATTACATAGTTGAAGACTTGTGCTTATGTATTAGCTGACCCTCATCTTCCTTATATTTGCCTCCCCTACATATAAAAGCCCACTGCTCCAGTCCTACTAACCCACACAGAGCTTCGAAAAATCACTTATTCATTTCCATCTGTGTCTTGTAGTGTATGCTGTACCCTTCATCTGAAAACCCCTTCCTTCCTTACTCAATTTATCCACGTCCAATCACCCTAGGGCAAGCTCAATCTCACATTTTTTAATCCCTTTTCAAATCAGACTGTTTTACTACAATCTCTCTCTCCTCTAAACTTTAATAATATTTATTTTAAAAATTTTATTCACGTTTTGAATAATGATGTGAGACGATGTAATTAATTTTTCATGTCTATGTCTTATGCATTCAATTTTCTTAGAAACATTCCTAACTGAATGTTTTCAAACATCTAAGAGAAAGAGAAATACTCTAATGTAAGCACAACCAGAAGACGTATGTAATCAACAAAACTGCCAACAATGAACTTCTCGTATCCTTGCCACTACTGACTATGTGGCTCATCAATTTTCTGTGATCCTTTGCATGTACCCGACCTGTCCAAGGCATGATGATGGAAGCACATGACTCTGTTATACTTATAAAGAGATGTTAAAGTTGAACACTTTCATTAAGTTCTGCTTTAACAGGATATACAACTATACAAACAATCTCCTGCAGAAGCTTTATACATGTTGCAGCAGAATAATGTAATATGTTTGCTCGGCCACAGAGTTTTCATTCTTTGGCTGCCCTTTGCAACATACCAAAAGTGTCTTGTTTCTTCCACAAACTTGAATTACTTACGGAAAAATATAATGACACAATTGGCAGGCTTCTTCCTACTGACTTGGGCTTGCTGGTGGGGTCGTTTGCTAACAGAGCTACCAACCGTGTTTTAAAAGAAGCACCTACAGGGAACATTAGAACGAGGGTATGAGATTTCTGCCAGTCTCATTTCTTTAAGAACACAGCCATATATTTATGGGGTTGACTGGGCAACCATACTACTGTAGGGGGAAATAAAGTAGGAAAATCACAGTTGATCCTTCATTGGGAGGACTTCAGAAGCAACATTCTTAACCTTAGAGAAGAGAGAATACTTTGGATTACTTGGCTGCAGGTGGTTCGGCTACATGAGACGATATTAAACCCTGGAAGTGCAACGAAGAGACAGACACTGCCACTCTTGAGTCAGAGAGCTGACTTCATGGTGTTTTGCTGGTTGAAGGGTGGAGGGACAGAATCTTCAGGGAGGTACGCTTTTCCAGGAGGAGTTCCAAAGGTCACTCCTACCCTGCCTCTTTTATTCTCTAAGGATCACTCATCTGACAATTTTTTGATTTAAAGGAGCTGCTCTGGTCTCAACACCAGATGTAAGAAACCACATTATAGAAATATTTCTCAAATCCTGACTACTCCCTTTTTTCACGGAGTCTGTTGCAGATGTGTGTTGCTAACCCTGGCTTACTCTACACTGCTTTGGAACAGGAAACAAATGGTCATTCTTGAGAGCTAAAAAACAGTGAAAAGTGGGACTGTTAGCAGAATTTTCTAATTTAGCATTGGTTTATTCTGTTTTACTAAAAAGGGTTTAGTATTCCTACATTTTATGTAGAACAATTGCTGCCTGACATGAATGGTTTTCTCACAGTGATGCTCTGAGTTCTATACACCTGTTAAGGTGCCTTTTAAGTTGTCACGTGGGTGAAGAGCCTGATGAGAGGTAAGGTCAGAGGTCACTTTGCATGAGGAAAAAAAAAATCTCCCTGATTTGTAGCATTTGACAATTTCCATGGTGTAGATAGTTCCATGATGGCTGATTTCAAGTTACCACTCTAATGTTCTTAATTGAGAAGAGGTGTACATTATCTGCTCTTGTAACCTGGGTCCATGCTGGCTCCAGCACAGACTGCATGAGGCTCTGAGGCCTCAAACCCTGATTCAAGCAGCATGGCTCTCTTTTATCTTTTTAATATCTTTATTTGAAGGGTTTCTCTTAAGTTTTTTTAGGGGGAACAGAATTTTGTTTAGTTTGCAAATCAACTGCTCCTGTACTAACCCCATTTATATGCTGCTCAAAAGAATCACTGATGAAAGCACACGTAATCACAACCACCTCTTAATTTTCCATATTAAGATGAGTCTATGACTAGGTCAATTTCAAATAGCAAGTCACTCTCAAAAGTATATTTTTCTCTGAAAATGCATAAAATATGTTGAGTAAAATAATAACAGCCTTTGATATATAACGGAATTTGAAAGTTGTTCAGCCTCCCCTTCCTTTTCTCTTAAATAATCTCTGCTTCTTATCCAGCACTCCCCAGTCTTTTTTTGTTTTTGTTTTTGGAGACAAGAGTCTCGCTTTGTCGCCCAGGCTGGAGTGCAGTGGTGTGATCTCAGCTCACTGCAAGCTCCCCTCCCGGGTTCACGCCATTCTCCTGCCTCAGCCTCCCAAGTAGCTGGGACTACAGGCGCCCACCACCACACCAGGATTCCCCAATCTTAAAACGGCTGTATCTGCTGATGCTTTTCCCTGTTTTATACAAGATTAATGTTCTGTCCATCTTCTTTAGAGCTGCGAACATCAAAGAGAGATCATCTTAAAGGATAATATAAATTCTGTGACAGGACTTTGTTGTCACTTATAATTAAGAATGACCTAAAAATTTAATCTTTTTATGAATAAGAAGCAATTCTCATAATTTTTCCAAAGTTAATTAAAGATCAATTGTTCCACACAAAATACATATAAATGATTAAACTTTGAGCTTCCTAGCCAGGAACAAAACTTAAGCTTTAAAATTTTTGGAATAAAATATGCTCTTTAAAGGCTTAGCAAACTGTATCTTCAATTTTCAAAAAATTAACATTGGTATAATTTAAGAAGAAAATAAAGGAGCAAACAATATTGCAAATAAACTCTAATAAGAAAAATAAAATGAATCAACAATTAGTAAAAATTATATGGGATAATTATTTGGAAGAATATTAGCAAAGATAATTTCAAATTCAAGAAAAAAGGAACACCTTGTTTACATAAATGTATCTTTTGATTTTTAAAATAAATTCATTGTTCATATTTATCCATTTTATAATTATAGCCCTATTTTATGAAATACAGAGATATAAGATTATATTTCTCTTAATGTTCAATTATATAACATCTCTCGGTGTACTGTCTGACATTTTAGAAAAAAAAACTAATCAACATTCTAGAAGGCAGCATTATTATAGGCCAGATGAGAAAGAAAGAGTAGGACTGTTATCAATGGACCCTTAGAAAAATTCCGGTTCTAATATTCCAGTGCACTGTCTGTATCTTCAGCTGGAAAACTGAGTTTTCAATGTATTCCTAATACTACTAATATTGCATGATATGGATATAGCTACCAGCTTTAATAACAGTACTTCTAGTTCAGACCATTCCTAATTAGAAAGCTGCCTATAGTTAAATAGTTCTAATCTGTGTTACTTCAGTTACAAATATTTTATTTTAAAAATTACATCTCATTTGTTGTAATTATTTGCTTACACATACATTTTCTTCCTATGAGATATATGTAACACAATTTCTATCTAAATAGATTCCTAGAAATGGAACTATCTCTATGTGAAGTATCTCTAAATTATTTCTCACATGGTTATTCCTTAATTAAAACAGATATTCAGGCCGGGTGCGGTGGCTCACGCCTGTAATCCAAGCACTTTGGGAGGCCAAGGCGGGCGGATCACGAGGTCAGGAGTTCGAGACCAGCCTGACCAACATGGTGAAACCCTGTCTCTACTAAAAACACAAAAATTAGCCGGGCATGGTGGTGCATGCTTGTAATCCCAGTTACTTAGGAGGCTGAGGCAGGAGAATCGCTTGAACCCGGGAGGCGGAGGGTGAGGTGAGCTGAGATTGCACCACTACATTCCACCCTGGGCAACAGAGTGAGACTCCGTCTCAAAAAAAAACCCCAAAAAACCCCACAGATATTCATTACCTGTTAAATGAGTTTTTATAAAGCATCATAACAAAGAATTTTCCCTGGATACTTACAGTTCCAGGGCGAGGATATGGAATTCTGCCCTGATAGGAAATCAGCTGATGATTGGGCCCTTCTTTGTGGGCAAAAGGCCCATTAAACACAGTCTGTATATCAGATAAATGATACACACACACGGCTGATCCTTTGAAAACTGAGCTAAAAAAGAAAACAGAAAAAGGCATTTTCAAATTTTTAAAATTAAAATACAATTTAAAAAATATATGGTAAAATTTATGATAAAAAGTTAATATAATCCACCATAGAAAAGTTAAATGTTATCGAACACATGTGAAAAGCTGAAAAACTTTGAAAAAAGGTATTGATACATAAAGCATTACAATACTCAATTCATCCATGGAGTCAGTAGACAATAAGTTATAGTAAAGTCCTTTTCAATGTTTCCAAAATACAGGACAACTCAAAAAAGTTTCTAACTAGTTCATCTTAGCAGCAAGAAAGTATACTGATGATTTTATTTAAAAATATGAATTTGAATTCCAAATCACTATCAATATAACCTATCACAATTTAACTCAAAGAGATGAATCTCATTAATAATTGAACACCATATCTTTTTGTGTTATGATTATTTTAATATGAGAGTGTTCTCACATGGTATCCTGAATACTAGTTGGAGAAGTCTATGTTGTCACGGTTTAGGTACTTCCCCTGTTGGTCACAGAACAAAAAATAGGGGCCCAAAAAAAATTCATTAAACCATCTTTAGTCAATGACACCTCATAAAATTTGTTTGAATCTTTAGTAAGAAATATTTCCATTGTCCTATGGCAGGTTGGCTGAAATCAGTATTTCTCTGACTCACATATTTATTTCAAATTAGACGTCTAATGAAAAAAGGTGCATTCCCATAAAAACAAGTAAGATACATTGTTAATCATTAGTATCAATAGGCAGAATGATGATTTTGAATTTTTTGATATTAAAGTTACAGGTACTGGAAAAAACAAAACAAGAAAAATCGTTTTATTGAAAACAACATTTTCTTAAGAATTTGATTTTTTTTCTTTGTTCAATTCTTTGTGAGTTAAATCAAGACTACTTAGAACAGGAGTTAAACTCATCCTTAAAGACATCTTTTTAGACATCTTGTGGGGCAACTGCAAATATTTAAAAACAACTTACTTGTAAATTTCTTTTTCTTTGAATAGCTCATTGCAGTTTACAATTATACTATGTTTTCCCATTAAAGAAAAAAAACAGCTAAAACCTTTAGATTTTTGCTTTGTAGTTGATTGTCTAATCAAAGGGACCCATTATCTTCCACAGTGGCTGAGTTACAGCTTAACTCTAAGGAATATGCCTACTATAAAATTAATAAAGAAAAATATGAGCAAGATTAAAAAAAAGATTTTTTATCTTGAAATACGTACTTTAATTAGCTTGGGCATCCCAGAGAAGTGAGAAAACATTAAACTAATTTTCAAATACATAAAATAATCTCACATAGAATAAGAAAATTGGCCAGGCACGGTGGCTCATGCCTGTAATCCCAGCACATTGGGAGGCCCAAGTCAGGCGGATCACGAGATCAGGAGTTTGAGACCAGCCTGACCAACATGGTGAAACCCTGTCTCTACTAAAAATAAATAAATAAATAGAAAAATTAGCTGGGTCTGGTGGCACATGCCTGTAATCCCAGCTACTTAGGCGACCGAGGCAGAAGAACTGTTTGAATCCAGGAGGCGGAGGTTGCAGTGAGCTGAGATCATGCCATTGCACTCCAGCCTGGGCAGCAGAGCGAGACCCAATCTTAAAAAAAAAAAAAAATGGCCGGGCGCAGTGGCTCATGCCTGTAATCCCAACACTTTGGGAGGCTGAGGCTGGCGGATCACGAGGTCAGGAGATCAAGACCATCCTGCCTTGAACATGGTGTAACCCCACCTCTACTAAAAATACAAAAAATTAGCCAGGCGTGGTGGCGGGCGCCTGTAGTCCCAGCTACTTGGGAGGCTGAGGCAGGAGAACGGCATGAACCCCAGAGGCGGAGCTTGCAGTGAGCCGAGATCGCACCACTGCACTCCAGCCTGGGCAACAGAGCGAGACTCCATCTCAAAAAAAAAAAAAAAAAAGACAGAAAAAGAACATTGGTTCAGTGTTTTGTCAGGTCCTAAATAGTCATCACTTTACTTCAGAAGTAAAAAGTATTTTTACTGAAATGCGTAATTGTTTCCAGCTTTCCTAAGGTATAATTGGTATACAAAAAAATACTGTACACAATTAATTAATGTATACAATGTCGTAAGTTCAGACATATGTATACACTTGTGTTACTGTCACTACAATCCAGGTGATAAACATTTATTACCTCTGATAACAGCAACCAAAAAAATGCCAAAAGTTTTATTTGCTCACAAGTGCTCAAATTATTTTATTGAAAAAATCACGTATTTTTTCCTACATTATAATTCATTATTTTGATTTGTTTGATAAAAATATCATGCAATCATTACAAATACTCTCTACAAAAGTATTTGGAAAGCATTAGTTTAGCTCCAATATATTTTGGTAATCAGGCAAAAGTAAATAAAATGGAAGGATTACATCCCAAATGACATGTAAAATTAAAAGTTGCAGAGAAGAATGCTTTTATAATAATTACTGTTACTCCATGAAGTTTATTGTTTAACTCATAAAATGTAACTGTTGAATAATTACCTTGATGTTGTAAAAATGCCATACACTAGTGTTGTCCTCGGGTTATCAGTTTCCAGCAGAAACACATCCTCTATAAAAAGGAAAATATTCTTTTAAAGTTTCTAAATATTAACTTCTTTGTTTTGAAAAATTTACCCTAAGAAAATAATTTCAACTCTGAAAAGTACTCTGCAAAAAGATATTCCTGTACCATTATGGTAATTTGGAAACAAATAATGATAGAAACACTAAATTAAATTAAATTAATACAGATACTAATGGAATTTATGAAAATTTTGTATCCTTGTGAAAACCATGCTAGTAAAATAATATTATGGGGAAAAAGTACAATGATATATTACATAATATGGACTAGAACCATATTAACCTTAAAAATATCCATCAGAATATAAGAATAAGATTAACAGTGAGTGTTACAAGAGGCAAAGCTGTAGAAATATTCTGGTGCTTCTTTCTAAATATCCTTTAATGTTAATATATTACTGTTTTAATTAAAAAAATTACAAATCTCAATTTCTTTTTGATCTAATCTTAGGAGCTGGAAGATGGAATAAAACTTTTTCACGGTAACTCATCTTACCATCAAATAGAACTTTTTGTGGCATATGGTCAAAATTGCTAGTGATACTTTTATTTAATGATAGCTCCTCTAACAAAAAGATGTTTAAAGTGTAGTAAGGCAAAAACAAAAGTATGCACAGTGAAGTGATAAATAACAGAATATGAAAGTAGATTTCTGATAGAAAACTCCAATTAATAATCAATTGCCATGATTATATGAAAGGCCCAGACATAGTGACAATCTTGCTAACAGAATTATTACTGAGAAACACAAAGAAATATGTATTTATTTTAAATTAAAAATGAATTTAAATGACCTCATAAGCAATAAATTTATAACCACTCAAACAACAAATTAACAATCACTAGTCCTTCCATATGTGAATAAAGGCTGACAATGTCTAGCTCTCCCTAAAAAAAAAAGAAAGACTGAAACATAAAATATATTCCCAAACATTCAGGGGAGTAGAATGAGCAAGTAGCCTGTTTCACAAAATGATACTTAGAACTTTTCTCTAGAAAAGCTTATCTAGAAACTTTTGTTCCATAATCAACATAATGGTTTTTGATCAGAAGAACGATATAGTTCATTACTATTAGAATCAGTAAATTTTTTCCACATGGTAACACAGATTTATAACTTATCACCTGTCTCAAAATCTGAGAATGACCATTATTTTACCTTCTAATGAATTAAGGTGAAAGAAAAGTCATTTACAAATGACATTTAGTAAATATGATGTGCCCTGGGATATTCAGATTAAAAAAATAAAAAAACTGTTCCTTGGCAGAGGGAATCAGACTGTCAGTCCTTATTCGACCTGGAAAGTGTAAGCCTCCTCATGTCACATTGAGAATATCTAATCTCAGAGTCACCAAGCAGAACTAAGAAGGGAACACAAGTCTCCAAATTTCTACTCTGACACTTTTTTCCATCCAAACTCTATCCTGTCCATTAGCTACAATAGTAAAAATATATAGCTGTATTTTCACACAAAATCAGAATATTAGATATTCTAATATACATGAAATAAATATTCATTTATAAAAACACAAACATATCATTACCTATACACACATTATACAAGTTACACCCCCAAACACACACATTCATTCATATATTATGGTGAATTCAATGAGCTAAATGTTTCAGCAGTGCACTCATGGGCGTAACAGATTACAAAATACTTAAGAAAATTTATGAACAGTATCTAGATAATTATTTTAAATTAGCATATTATTTATGCTGAAAATATGGAAAGTACATCTTCTTTTGAGACCTTATTTAAATATATAAACTTTACAAGCCTTCTTTCAGAAGCATTTTTCAATCTCATATGTATGTACCTAATTCATCAAAGTGTGTTTCTGGGCCGTCTTCATCTGTTACCGAGCACACCAGCCTCGCCTTTAAGAAAGTGGTCCACTTGTTGACAAGGCTACGCAGTCCACCAGTGTCATTCTAAAACCATTTTGTAAACATAATTCAGATTGCTTAAGTAAATATTGAAGCACATTAAAAATTCGACTTGTACTCTAGTTGCTTGGAGGATGAAAATCTGAAGAATGGATATGTTAACCACTTCTGCACATCAGTTGTCAAAGAGGAATATTTATGACTTATAGTATTTTATACAATAGTTATACTATTATTCTCTTATAGCATGATGTCAGCTGAAAATACATTTATTTGATAAATGTGTGACATAATTATTTCTAATTTTAACGATGTACAATGGAAGTATTTATATAATGTTATAGAAAATAGATCATTTAATCTGCCTTTCCTTGATAATTTATTGTCTTCAATTTGAACATAAATTATTATACACAGTGAGTTTTGCAGATTGTGGTCAGGAGAGTGATTATATCTTTACACAAAATGGTCCCCAACAGTTTTACATTCACTCCTTCATTTATCCAAATTATCACATAATTTTCAGTATTTCTAATCTGATGCCTAATTATACATTATAAGGAGAAATGGCATTTGGATCATTCACAAATAGTCTCCAGTGAAGACATTTTCTTCCTGTGTCCAAAGGCCTTTTACCCCTTCTGCTGACTTCGCTGCCTTGTTGCAAATGACTGAGAAACAGTTGAGCTCCATGATCAGTGGAGTATTATAATATATAAACTATTTTAAACACTAAGCACTTTAAGAAACATTTTTTCACAAAGGATGCTAATCATAAATAAGTCAGGATAAGTCTGTAAAACTCTATTATAGAAAGGACATCACAAATTTTCTTGTGTTGCTATGTATACTTATTGTTTCTACACAAGAGCATTTTGGTTACTGTTTTTAATTAGAATTTTATTAAAGCTTTTCTTAATTTTCACTATTTATAAATGGTTCCTTAATAATCATCTCTTACTGAGATATTTACTGTATTTTATTGACAACAATCAGTTTCTTTAGGTAATATGCAATTTAGCTATTGGTTTGAATACCAATGCATTAAATGAATATGCAAAAATTTGTCAGAAGTGTTTATTTGTTCAAGAACAAAAACAAAATATTTTCTTGAATTAAGATTTTTACTAAAATAGGGTATGTTTATCTCATATAACTTATTGAGGGTTAGAATTTGGGTTGGGGTTATAAACACTATATTCAATATAAAATGATGAATATTAAATATAATAATGATGATGAATAAATGTTACATTAAATGCTTCCCTCAATATTTTATTTATTTGTAATGGTTGATAATAAAAGCACGGAGATAAACCATAATTTGAATTTCTTGGTCTTTCTTCAAATCGGAACAGCATTAATACTTACAGGACATATTCGAGCAATCATGGAATGAATCTGTTTCGTGCTCCTGTTATTGTCAGTCAGTTTTTCTTTGAAGAAGAAGTACACCTTAGCATCATTTGGATCAGTACCATCTGGGATGACATGTGCATCTACAAACATAGGTTCTAGAAAAAAAGGTAAAAGACTAGGTATATATTCATTATGAAAATCCATCTTCTGTCATCCAAGTAGACCACAGGCAGATGCCTTCCCCATCTTTGGTAGAAAAAAACAATTCAACATTTACAGGCACATTTCTAAAAGCAGTAATTGCATTCACACACCATGCCACATTTGGAATGTCGAGTACCACAGGAAGTGCAGGAAATGTGAAAATTATTTGTGCACCAATGAGTTTCAAAAAATTGAAAAACTTTTCTACCAGTTATTTCCTAAGGAATCTGATGGCTATTTTATTGAAAAAAAATATTTATTTTTCAAAGTATGTTTTTCAATCTAGCACATATAAACTCAAATTTGTTGAAGCAGAATGAGGAGTTGGAAGTCCAAACTCTGAAAAACATGACTTTTCTTAAAATGCAACATACGAAATGAAGGGGAAACTTTTCAAGGAAAAACAGCGTCATTAGTCATTTGGAGACATACAGGGTTTCCTTATTTCAAGAACAAAACAACTTTTAGAATATTCTATTTCCAGATGTACTGGAGGAATAATCTGAATAAGTAAATGAACAATCAATGCTTTCTTGTGCTGGCCTATCAGCGAAATAGGATGCTTCACTGTGGTGATTCATGCTTAACTCTGCAATGTTAAATGAATTGCCACATTTAGGGTCAGCTAAAAATTTTCTCCAGGGTGAAATGACAAGAATCTTCGTTTTTTGTTTTTGTTTTTGTTTTTTTAATTGCTCTAAACAACAGCAATTGATTGGAATAATACGGTAAACCAAATGAGCACCTTTTTTGATGTGAATTCCATATGACTCCAAGAGCTGGAGGCAACTGAATATGGATAATCATAGTTATCATTCCTATGATTTCTACTGAATATTAGTCCATTTATGAGAAAATACATACCAGTTTTGTAATTTTAGAATCTAAGTATAAAACAAAAAGAGAGGAGGCCCCGGCTATACTCTGTTCATTGCATCTCAATGTCATACATTTGGGATAATTTTTAGATTTGGTATTGTTAAAACATACAAGCAGATTAAATGAAGTAAAAAGCATATTTAATTGCAATATGTTACAATTAAACAACTGGAGAAGATGCTTGGGTACTGAAATATAAATTATCACTGTCACTTTTATTTATTCATATTCATATGATAACTGTAGGATGATTAATAGAAATAAAGAATCGAAATATGGACTATGAGCTATTCAATTGTTTATTTTCCCCGAATATTTTAAATCATAGGGTACAGAATTACCATTATTCATGTAATAGCCTGCTATTTTAGTTTTTAACCATTTTCCCTAGTTGTTAGGATAGAATTAAATAAGTTAGTTTAACACGATACTAAAAAATAAATGCATCAAATGCTTTCTTACCACTTAGCCATTTGGAATTATGTTGATCAGTTCTGACCGCATTCCTCTTGGTTAAACTTCGAAAAATAGCAGCATCTGTCCCCATGAAATCTATATACATTCCAGAGAAAAGCTCCTCATCTATGAAAAAGAAAATATCAATGAAATGTAAATTTTTAAAGCTATTTTGAAATTCTAGGTGAGTTTATTTATTAGGAGATCACCACAGGTATTACAGTGTTATGATAATTGGTTATAACAAATATTAATTGGTTTGCATTGTCCAGCAAATCAATAAATTTTATAAATTTTAATCTTTTCTCATTATTGCCTGAATGATAATTACTATGTTTTTTAAAAAATCAAACCTCAAAACAACTTTATTCTATGTAAAAGTGAGAGTTCCTCTACCTGTACTTAATTATACTATATATTAATTTTTATATAGAGTCTATCAGAAATGGCAGACGTATAATAGATAACAAAATAGCTTAACTGTTTACCTATAATACATTTAAAAGAAAAACACTGTAAGAGTCAGAAAACATGGTTTCTAACTTTGGTAATCCCTAACAAGCTGGGAACTAGTGCTAAGCTATTGAACATCTAGAGTCTCAACCTTCTAATCTACAATGTATGGGAATTAGATTATGATCTTAAAAGTTCTTAACACATATTAAAATTTCTAAGATCATCCTAAATGGATTGAATATAATAGTTTTAAGAATTATTATTATGACATGACAAGGAGGCCACATTATAACTGTCAAAACATTATCAGTGACTAAAAAATGTAATCACTAAAAGTACATATTTTGATCTTTAGTGCTAGAAGTTTCCTGGTAAGGTAAACAAAGTGCTACTTTTTCAACTGCAACTCAGCCATAAAAATAGAATACGATAAGAAAGAAAAGATACTTAAAATTAAATAAATTTTCACTATTAACAGAATCAGATGTATTAATCTATATATACATAACATTCAACATTTACCTTATTGTTTGAAGATCCATATTACTTTTCATCTAGTAAGGAGCAGTAAGCATTGAATTGGTAACAAACGTGACCCCTGAGTATAAAACAGTAGCTAAATATCTATTATAAAAAGCATGAAATTTATCAGCCTGGCCCACTGAACTGCCATGCAGCTGCGTTCCTTGACTGTTGTTCTAGGATTACTCCCTGGGCTACCTTCAGACCGTGGTCATTTTGGCAGGATTGGAACATTTCAAAGTACTCTAAGCTCACTGTTTAGTAATAAGCAGTACCAGTCGGCCCAGCATTGAATGGAGAATGGAATGTATCTAATATGTGCTCGCCAGGTTATGAACTGGACCCCTACCAGTTAGCAAGCTGGTGTGGCGGGCATTTTGTTGCTCAGCTCTGCTTCCTAGTAGGGGTTCTAGGCCCAGGGAAACAGATTATAGGGAGATAACAAAAATGTGTATGAAGGCTTTTTTTTTTCTTTACCATTTTAGCTTCTTTAAAATTCTAAGAACATTTGTGAGGCTTATATACACACAGATCTAGCTATTAAATTGTGGCAACTTTGTAAATAATTATTTCACATTTTTGTATATTCAATTAACCATTAAACTGTGGATTATACATTCCTGCTGTTCAACAGATTGATTGGCACAGCTATCAATTGTCATATCTGTTTTCAAGCAGAAAAAGAAAAAAAGATACTAAGAAGTTAGTGTATGGCAGAGAGGGCTAATTCTAATCCTACTTCATACCACCTTATTAGTCATGTCTCAAACATTACATAAGCCTGCACATCTAATTGGCTTCATTTCCTATCTTAAATTCGCAGTAATTTTAACAGCAAGTAAGGAACTTTCTGCTTCATTTTATATCAATAAGAAATTTTTGATAAATGTCACTTTGGTAACAATCTTGAGAGGATTTTTTGCATGACCTTATGCAGAAATAAACTTGTGCCTTTTAGCTTTATTTCAAAAACATTTTGCTTTCCAACTGTATTTCTACTGACTAGAAAAACTTCATAAAGTTATGTAGGCTCTTTAAAAGATAACATCTGACTTCGTTGTTGCCTACAGCAGTGACTGAAAATAGCAAAAGCACACTGAACTTGCAAAACTACATCATGAAATTTGGAATTCTAATTCTTCAGGTTTCTGGTCATTTAATAGATATAAATATCTTAAGCAATCTGTGCTTTTATTAGCACACTGCGCTTGAATGGAAATGATAAAGTACTATTACATGGTTAAGGGAGATGACCACAGAAATCACAGGAGATAATTTGAGAGGGATAATCAATTGGATGAATAAAATGATAACTACAATCTTATAAAGCTTTTTGTTCTTTTTACTGTCAGTTTTCAAGGCAAGCAAATTGTTTAGTGACTTTCATTTGATTACAAAATGTAAAGTTACTCAAATGTTAAAAGTAGTATAGGAACATGAGCATAGGAATTCAACTCTCAGGTCCTTGAAAAACAAAGAAGGCCAATGTCTAACTCCTATTTTGGAAACAAATCCAATTCTCTAAGGGCAAGACTATTAAATGACTTAAGATAATTTAGCAAGAAAATTTATAATGCCTTGTTCTAATCCTTATTATTCTAAAGAATATTCAATGAGATAAAACTCCAGTAGCAGCTATGTGAACAGATCCTTGAGGTTTATTTTTGCAGCATTTAAAAGGAAACAAATGAAAACTATATATATATTTAATTACTATCAAACACACCACATGGTTTCTGAAGGTGAATAAAGTTTCCTTCCTAATGGAGAAAAGAATTTCCAAAACACTGCTTCTATTAAATATTTGGAAACATGCCTTGCATAGGTCATAATTGGATAACTTTGTAGTTTCAAAGCTAACTTTATGTCCTAAATGATATACTTTTGGCTCCTCCCTGTCCGACTTGAATGCCGATATTCAAGCAATTCACTGAATAACTTCCAAGGTTTACCTGTCTTAATGTAATTTCCAGATATGAGAAAGAAAGATGAGTTATCTATTTAAATGAACCAAAGCAAGCATTTTGAACACAATAATTATTTTTTACCTGTTCTATGGTTGAAAGATGAAATTTTAATGCTGGCAATACATTAAAAAAAAGCAAAGAGGAAAAGACGTCTACTATACGTATGACATACTAAAATCCAACATTTGTTACTTGGTCAACACATGACAACTCAGAGACAGAGTTTCACTCTTGTTGCCCAGGCTGGAGTGTAATGTCGTGATCTCGGCTCACCACAACCTCTGCCTCCCAGGTTCAAGTGATTCTCCTGCCTCAGCCTCCTGAGTAGCTGGGATTACAGGTGCACGCCACCACGCCCGGCTCATTTTTTTGTATTTTTAGTAGAGACAGAATTTCTCCATGTTGGTCAGGCTGGTCTCGAACTTCCAGCCTTCGGTGATTCACCCACCTCGGCCTCCCAAAGTGCTGGGATTACAGGCATGAACCACTGTGCCCGGCTAACTCAGACATATTTTTAAAGTGTCTCAATCAAAAGAGAATGTTGTTTAAGTGAGTCATAGGTATTCAATGACTGAGGTTTAAAAATCGTCTTGTCAATGTGTGGATCATTAAGCAATTAGGCCCGCTGCTTAACTGATATTTTGTGTAAAGTGAAAAAATGAAAAAATAGCTTTATTACCATCTCCTTTTTGGCATAGCAATTTTTAGACAATCCACAGAGAATGAACTTGGCTAACACGTGCACTTTGTTCATCTTTCCTTTGAAAAAACACCCCTTTAACCATTTCTAAAAGATTACTAAAACACAGGAGTGCAGACAACTCTTTGACATACTGGTTTCAATTCCTTTGGATATATACCCAGAAGAGGAAATGCTGGATCATATGGTGATTCTACTTTTAGTTTTTGGGGGAATGTTCATACCATTTCCCAAAATAGCTGTACTAATTTACATTCCCACCAACAATGTACACAATTTCCTCTTCTCCATATCCTTCCCAATGCTTGTTATCATTTGTATTTTTGATAACAGCCATTCAAACAGGTGTGAGGTGGTATTTCATTGTCTATACTCCCATGTTCATTTCAGCATTATTCACAAAAGCTAAGACATGGAAGCAACCTAAGTGTTCATCAACATATGAATGGATTTTTAAAAACATGGTACATATATACACGATGGAATACTATACAGCCTTAAAAAAGAATGAAATTTTGTCACTTATGACAACATGGATGGAACTGGAGGACATTACACTAAGGGAAATAAGCCAGGCACAGAAAGACAAATAAGGTGTGATCTCACTTACATGTGGAATCTAAAAAAGTTGATCTCATAGAAACAGAGGGTAGAAAGGTTAATTATCAGGGGCTGGAGGACAGAGGGAGGGGCAAAAAAAAAGATGTTTATCCAAGGAATCAGTTTTAGTGATCTACTATACTGCACAGTGACCATGGTGACAGTAAATAAAATTTATTGCATATTTCCGAATTGCTTAAAAATAGATTTTTAACATTCTCACCACAAAAAAATACGTGGGCGAGGTAATGGATATGTCAATTGGCTTGACTGAATTCTTCCATTATGTATACATAGATCAAAACACCACATTGTATCCTATAAATATATACAATTATTATTTGTCAACTAAAAACAAATAAAAAATAATGAAAGGTAAAGAAAAAAATACTAAAACATGAGAAAAAGTGGGTGTAGTTAATACTACAAACAATTACAGAAAACACTGAAAACTACTTTATGATAATATATAAGTATACATATACACACTTATAAAAAATGCTTGGCCTACTCTGGGAATGACAAAACTGTCATAAGTTACATGCTTATTATTTAATCATAAATATTCTTACAAATGAGAAACTGAACTCTCTATTTCTCAGCTCACAACTTTCTTCATATTATTTTACTCACATACTATCATCCACACAACCATCAAGAATAGGTATACCATGTCAAGCTAATTTTCCATGTTATTTTATGTTTAATCCTCCCTCTTTCGTTGTCTACTTACTGATCATAACAGACACCGTGTTCACGTTGGGGTTGAAAGAGCAGCGTCCTTTTCCAGATTCACACTTGGAGTCAATCATGAAAACTTGGTCCTTTATTGTAGATAAAATTTAAAATGTGGCAATGATAACTTATTTAGTGAAGACAATTGTTCATTAGTAAAACAAAGCATCATTAAAATTAATATGCTTTCTAGTTGGTTGCTTATTATGCCTTCCAATTTACTACATTAAGATTTACTCAAACTATGAGAAGAATCGATCTGTAATTACAAGCTAACCTCAGCAGGGCTAGCCCTCTTTCTATTGCACTCCCCAGAGAGCTGATCCAAGAAGTCGTTCTCCTCAAATCAACATCAGCAAAAATCACTTGAAAACCAAGTATTATTATAAATCTCAACTAGATGCGTTGAACATCAGCCAAAAGAAGAAAACTGTCCACAGAGGAACAATCTATGTAAGGACTATACTATTTTCAAAATAATTAAGATTTTTTTAAAAATAGCATTTTATGTTACTGTTTAATTTTATCATATAAAGCATTGTACAAGATTCAACAAAATAATTCATAATTCATATTTAAAATGTGTCATTTACTCATGACTTTATTTAACAAAAATTCACTGAGCATCTGCCATGTACCAGAAACTGACTAAACACTGGGGATATTGCAAACAAAATACACTAAAATCTTTGTCCTCAAGTAATTTATAACCTAGTAAGAAAGGTAATAAATAATTAAAATATGGAAATATGGAATATGTTAGATAGTGCTTGCTACTGAGAAGGAAAGTTAAGCAGGAAAAGGGAAGAGAGAAGACTATAGATTGGGGGCAATAGATTCAATGGTTTTAGCCTCACCAAGAAGAAATATCTTGTCAGTATAAATATGTACCTTTTTCTTACATAAAGTTAGTACAAGCCCCCTACCAAAATTCAAAGTAAAAAAAAAATGACCATTTTAATAAGGTCAAATAAGATGATAAGGAATCTTAATTATCAAGCTAAGATTTTTGAAAGTTATCCTGAAAGAAATATGAAGTCAATAATATTTTTGAGTGTGGAAATGGAAAGATCAAAACCTTGCCCTAGAAAGTTGGACTTTATCTTGAGCTTTAAGGAGATTGGGAATGAAATGTATAAAAACAGGCACTGCATTCAGGAAAATTGGTTAGTTTCCTATTACAAGAGTCCAGAGATTAGGAGGTAATAATCTGACATGGCATGTTTTCAGTGGTCAAGGTAAGAGCAGCAGAGATGTAAGAAAATTTATATAGTCGCAATCAACAGAGGTGGGCATCAGTTATAATTCAGTGGTTCTAATTTCATTGTACTTGTTGTCCTTTTCACATTGCCTCCACATCCTGAAAGGATACATCTATTACATTCTCTGTACATGCCTCCAAACTACTGTTTTGTAAAAGGTAACCTAAAAAGGTAAATCCAAACAACTATATATTTGTGATAATCAATCACAACCAATTTCTAATTGATCATACTCAGGAAAACAAAGATGATTCTAAAGTTTTGACTCCTTGAAAAAATAAAGCTAATACATAGTTGTTTGAGTTTCTATACTACTGCAGGACCTCCCTAAACATAATAGAGAATAATAGAGCCTAAAAAGAATCACAGTCCTCCAGCCTAAAAAGGTTCTTTCTGAGCATCCTAAGATCTTCATCAATGAAGTCACTCTACAGGTGATGAAAAAATATGACTTGTCCAGAAGACCACGTAGTTAAAGGCTGATAATAGCACAATTTGAATTCAGTCTCCTGACTCCTAGTGAATCCGATTTCCAAAAGATCTTCATTCATGTAACCACTAAACTAAATCAATAATCATAAACCAGAAGAAAAACAAACAACAAAAAAAATAGTAAGCCTTGTTGCGGTTCTAGAGCTGGAGACTGATTTGACCAAATAAGTGAGAGTTCGTCTTGCAGGAATTGGTAAGGTTGTTTAGGTACCATTTGCTCTCAACTGACCTACTCCTACATTGCACAGCACTCTAGATCTAGATCACCCCCACCAGGAGCAGATGTGGTCTACCTAATAACTATCTCAAGCACCCTGAAATAATTCCTAAAACTTGTCTCCTGAGAAATCTTCTCTGTTTCTCCCCAGTTCGTTAGGCTTTTCTCTTTTTGACTTTGATTGCATGTTTTTGTTGTTGTTGTTGTTTGTTTGTCTTTTAAAGACAGGGTCTAGCTCTGTCACCTGGGCTGAAGTGCAGTGGTGCGATCTCGGCTTACGGCAACCTCCACATCCCAGGTTCAAGCGATTCTCATGCCTCAGGCTCTGGAGTGGCTAGGACTACAGGGAAGCACCACCACGCCTGGCTATTTTTTGTATTTTTTTTTTTTTTTTTTTTTTTTAATAGAGACGGGGCTTTCGCCATGTTCCCCGGGCTGGTCTAAAACCCCTGGGCTCAAGTGATCTGCCCGCCTTGGCCTCCCAAAGTGCTGGGATTACAGACATGAGCCACTGTGCCTGGCCAGATTCCATTTTTAATTTCAATAAATTTTTTAATTTCAATAAATTTTGACACAACATTCGATTCCTTGAATGTATGACTTTTTTCATTGCATCCACACCCTAAAGGAATACATCTATCTACATTCTCCATACTTGCCTCCAAACTACTAAACATTTTGTAGAAGGCAACCTAAAAAAGTAAATTCAATACATTACAGATTTGTGATCACCAACCACAAGTGGATCCCCTACAATGTACAGTGGCCTTTCAAAGATTCTCTTATCACAACTGGTTCTGTCATCAAAAATTTCAGGCCTTTGCCACTAAAGCCAAATCCTGATTTTTCTGATCCCCTAACTTATTCTCAACTCACATTATTGCTACTTTGCAGAGAAAGCAAAGCCCTTAAATGATATATCTTCAACTCCTCACTACTAAACACACAAATATCATATTTAGTAATGTAATATTATATTGATATATCCACTAATACATGAGACTAGTTCTCTTACTTTGAGGCCAATTCTTTGGATTTCATTGCTTTGGATTTCATCTTATCTCGTCTTTTTAGGCACCTTAGATTTCCATTATTCCTTGTGTTTCTTTGATACATACTTTCATCTTAATAATTGGAGGCTTTATGCCATTATTTAAACAACCCCTTCAGCTCCCATATACCATTCTCCTTATAAACCACACTTCTCAGGGAATTACGTACATCCTCACCACCATTTTCTGACTTGTCATTTTATTTTCAATCCACTTTAATTCAGCGTCTAACGTCAATTATTGCATTGAAACACTTATTGATAAGATCTTTAATGACAATTATGGTACAAAACTCAGTGCTTATTTTTTAGACCTCATTTTACTTGGATTCTCAATGGCGCTTGGAATAGTTGAAAACTTCTATGTTTTTACAATGACTTATTTTTATTTCCCAGAACCAACATAGTCTTTTTTTCCCCACCCCTCTTTCTCTGTTCCTTTTTTTTTTCTTTTTTCTTTTTTTTTTTATTTAAGACAGAGTCTCGCTCTGTCGCCCAGGCTGGAGTTCAGTGGCCACGATCTCAGCTCACTGGCGAGCTCCGCCTCCCGGGTTCACGCCATTCTCCTGCCAGCCTCCCAAGTAGCTGGGACTACAGGTACCTGCCACCACGCCCAGCTAATTTTTTGTATTTTTAGTAGAGATGGGATTTCACCATGTTAGCCAGGATGGTCTTGATCTCCTGACGTCATGATCTGCCCGCCTCGGCCTCCCTAAGTGCTGTGATTACAGGCGTGAGCCACCGCGCCCAGCCCTGCCTGTTCTTTTTAGGCTTGTTTGTAAGTTCATGTTCCTCTAATTGGCCATTAAAGTTAGGAGACCCTCAAGTCTCAACCACCGTCATTCTTTTCTTTTTACTCTAACTCCCTCTCTGCATAATTAAATCCACACTTTTCTTGGGCTCCAGTTACTCTTATAAAACAATGACTCACACGTGTATATACTCAGTCTTATATTTAACGGCCTACTTGATATCACTAATTGGATCTTTCCATGGGATCTCTCATTCAACAGACCAAACTCAGGCTTATAATCTTTACCCTATACATGGTCTCTTCATTCTCATCTCAGTTCATGGCAACTACACAATTAAAGAGGCTGAAAATAACAAACAAGAAAAGTGTCAGCATTTATATCATTTCCTTTTCCTTATCCAAATCCATCAACATCATCTATACTATTTTATACTTCATACCATTTTATACTCTCTGTCACCATTGCTATCACCTGAGTACAACGATCTCTTTTGTGGTCTTCTATGTCAACTCTCAAACTAATCTCCTACAACTTTTCCACCCCCCACGCACCGTGCCACAAATCATCTGTTACCTAACACATAAGTGACAACACAATTCTGTTCCTGCCATTTTCTGCTGAAGATTGTTCCAATTTACTTCTCTGTTGACATATAAGTAGCCTTTAAAGCTTTTAAGGTCTTTAAAGCTTTAAAGTAGCTTCAACATGATTTTGATTCTGCTTTTATTCTCATTAAATGAATATTTCTGGATTGAACAATGAGAGAAAATAATAGAGAGTAGGTGGTGAAAAATTAAAAAGTAGGCATAGCAAAGTGTCCTATGGTCACAGACGTCAATAAAGGCAATGAAAAATACAGAGCATGAATGGTGGAATTTAATGTCACAGATCGTTCTAGGAGAAGGGATACAAAATGAGGGAGTCAATTTGGTCACTGAGGAATCTGCCATTAATTAAACAGTTTTAGTTAATGTGTAGGAGTGAAATATTAGAAAGGATGAATAAAGGCATAGAGATTAGGAGCACAAAAGCTGGAAATTCAGCCTCCTACTCTGAGAAGCTTAGTAATGAAGTAAAAGAGAAAGGAGAAAATTAGAAAAAAGAAGTCACAGAACCAAAAAAAGGATTTTAAGGGAAAGAAACCCAATCCTTTCTTTAAATGGGCAAAAAAAAAAAAAAAAAAAGTAAATGTAGAGGAAAGGGAATGAAGATATAAAACAGAGTGATGAAGGTTATTTATCAAAGAACTTAATACAGAAAATGTATAATTTTTCTTCTGAAACAGAAAAAATCCTACAAAAAGATACTGAAACAGACTAGATTGGTGGCAAATTTCATTCAAAAAGCATAGGGGATAATTTTGATACCTATGACACTCTTGGTCACCTGTGATATTCTTGGTCAGTCTAAGGTAAAGTTATCTGCTTGATAAGGGTCAGGGTCAGGGGAGCTTAATTGGTATCTGGGTGTTGAAACAGATGTTATGAAAACATCTGATGAAATCAAAGATAAGATGTGGTAATATTCCAAGAATTTGTTGCAAAATTAACCAATCACCATTTTTGTTGATGTTTTATTCATTCATTTAAAGTCATGATTCACTTGTATTGCTTTATCTTTTTCCAGGAACAGAAGACAAGGAGTAAAGATAGTAGACACAGGAGAAGAACCGTGGTTAGGTCTTCATGTAGCAAGGATTCCAGGCTCTTTAGGTGAGTGAGTACTGTTGAAATCTCAGAAAGCTCTGAATCAGTCTCGCAAATAATAGAAGAGAAATGGGGTATAACAAAAGCATGTGATGCTCCAAACACGAAGTAGGCTCATCAAATATTCCCCTAGAACCAATGAATATCTATGAACACAGACCAATGAAGGATGGTAGGTAATGTCCCAGATATAAAACTGAATAATTAAAGTAACTCTGCCAACCTAACTTGGTTCACCTTCTATTCAAAATTAGGTTTGAATAGATGAAAAATGTCATCTCTTAATAATAATACAAGAGGGTCAGCAGTAAGTATCACCCATGGTCATTACAAAATACAATCTTAGTGATAGAGAAGAATTCTCTCAAAATAAAACTTTCTGCATCACGTGGTCATTTTATGCTAGGAGATCTTTTATCCTAAACTAAAAGAAAACAAATCCATTGTAAGATTGATTAAACTGTGTAGTTCTATATTTACAATATGGCTTTTATACTACAAATATATAAAAGTGATGTTATGGTGAAACTCTCCGACTAGAGTGAACTATCAAGGACTACATTTTATAAAGCTTAAAAATCATAACCCTGTTCATACCTAAATTGGCTCTTAAGATGTTCACGTATTATTTCAGAGATTCATTAATGAAACTGCTTCTCCTTTGAAACGTATCTTTTGAAGTGAGACTAAAGTAGTTCATATTTAGCAAAGTGATTAAAATGTATTCCATGCTGGTTTTCCAAAGGAGATTATTTTTTTGGACAGAATTTCCAATTAAGCTTTGAAGTGCATAGTGGGCAATTCGTACATGGGAAAATAATTTTATTTGAAATCTGTGCTCTGAAAATGGCTATGCTATTGTTGGCCTGTACAGTGACTGCACAGACTTCAGGGAAGTGTCTGACAGATTGCAGACGTCTAAGGCAGTAGTTTACTTAATCAATTGATCACAGGCATGTGGTTTTAATGACAAGCTCAATGCAGCCAACTGTATTCTTCCAAAAAGCATAACTTTACTTTTCCTGTAAGAATTGTAATATTTCATAGCATCTTGAACCACATTAAAAAATGTCTCATTTTGGGGTCAAATTATAATTAGTTATTTTTAAATGACTTTTTATTCATTAAAAGATACTTATGTATAAATTACATGTCTGAAAAACAACTTAAAAAAACATTGTTCAGTCATATTAGAACTAAAATAGATTAATCCTTGTTAAAGGAAAATAAGCTTTAGATCAGTAGACATATTTATTTTTTTCAAAATTCTAATCTCTAAAATCAAATTAAAATATTATTTAAAAACTGGACTTTCTATATTTAAGTTGCATAATAAAACCAAACCAAGTTTGAAAATTCAGTTTTTAAAATAATTATGTTAAGTAAAACAACATGTTTGACTAAAAGAATGAGTAGTAACTCTCTTGGTGTAATGTACTTTCCTTAGTCAACAGCTGTGGACTGGGATAACAAAGACAGGCTTAAGTAGCACAGGTGAAGTTCAACCAGCCTCATATTTGACTATACATTAGCTATATATTTGACTAGTGTTTAGCAAACATCATACCATAATGCCGCATATCACCTTAACTAATTTAAGAATAAGGCTGGAATAGCCTAATGTAGGATGATGTTGGTCTAAGATAAAAGTATGATTTGTTAATTACATCAAGTTCTTTTCAGCAGACACTTGGCATCCCACTTTATACATCTTTTACAGATATATATTTATAAAATTTTATTGAATTTGAAAGACAAGAAATTACACTAGATTTGAGAAGGTTAAGTTTATGCTACAATATTTCTATAATTTGGAGCAAATATTATTACTGTATTACATTCAAGTAATCTTGAAATTATAACATTTTTCTTTCATCTTTTACAGCTTTACAAATAAAATAGATATACTAAAAATATATACATATACACTAAAACTATATAGTTGCCTCCAACTAAAAGTATACACACACACACACACACACACATATAATACACATAAAAATATATATACTTTTTTAGCTGAAGGCAAAAGGTGATACTTCAAGTAACTTGGCAGACAGGAAAAAATGTAATATAGTTTGTATTTAAAGGGCATGAAAATATTTTATGAATATTGATATGTCCAAGTTTTTACTCTAAAATACAGTTTCAAAAATCCTTGACACTAATATCAAAACTAAGAATGTTAAATAGTTATACTTACCTCTGATCTCCTCCCTCTGTTCAAGTAAGTACAGACAGGACTGAAAGCGCCACTCCCACAGACATACAAATGTGTGCGATTGAAAGTCTGAATTACACGGACAAAGTTCCCACAGCCGTGCTAAAAGAATCAGTAAATAAGCAGTTAGTAACTCAATGACTTTCATTGTTATTTCAGTTAGCTATGTTAACCTGAGATCTTGTATGATAAGTAACAATGAGGTGACATAAACTTTTGATGTATTAGTCCAGGGGCGTCCAATCTTTTGGCTTCCCTAGGCCACACTGGAAGAAGAATTGTCTTGGGCCACACATAAAATACGCTAACACTAACAATAGCTGATGAGCTAAAAAAATAAAAATAAAAATAAAAATCCCCCCAAAAATCTCATGTTTTTAAAAAGTTTACGAATTTGTGCTGGGCCACATTCAAAGCTGTCCTGGGTTGCATGAGGCCCTTGGGCCACAGGTTGGACAAGTTTGTATTAGGCCATATCTTTGGGGAACTATTAGTATATTTGCACCTCTTAAAGGTAATTTGAGAGTACTTATCTAACTTGTAGAAGTAACAAATCAAATATTAAGAAAAACAGTGGCTCAGGAATAGTCAAAACATTATTACAGAAACAGTCAGTCAACAAACATTTACTGATTACCTACTATTTGCCAGGGTATAGTCAAATTCTCTGGGCATCCTTACTGAGAAAAACACAAAAATCTCTACCCTTGTAGAATGCAATTGAACAGAGTTGTCATACATGCCCTGCTTTTTCTATTTCTGTTTTAATCTGGACTAATTCTAATACTTCATTTGAAAATGCTCTCAAATTTATACATATCAATGCAAATATTATTTGGCAATACTTTGCTATACATTTTCCTTTCTGCTCCATTTTTTTATTGTTAAAAGACGTGTTTCCAGAAATATTAAAACAACATGGCTTATTCCACTGATTTATTTCAAGAGAAATATAATCCACCGCAGATAGTAAGTAAAATGCTATATTTCATTATTCTTGTATTACAACACTGTCTAAATTTTTACATCCTGAAACTTTATAAATGTATTCTTTACCTGAGAAAGTTTACAAATTAACACACAGAAGTTATTTTTCCTTAAGTTTTCCTTAAAACATTGAACACACACACATTATACAAACATGTTCTGAATGCACCTGTGCCTATACAAGTTCCATATTACCATTAGTGCACAATGGCAGACACTATTCACCTTAAGAATTGGCAAATAAAACTAATCTCCAACAAAATGCCAGCATAATGATTGCCTTCTATGAGGAATGACATAATCAATCTCTTTGCCCTGGATCTCCTAAAATACTCCTTTCTTCTCTTGTAGAAACTCCTTTCTCACTTGCTCCCAGTTCAAGTAAAGGCAAGGCTGTCATTTATTCACCCAATGAAACAGAATAATTATTGTAATTCTCAATTGACTGTGACCTTGCTGGAGCACAGAAACAGTCAGCCCTAGATGCAGATCTCTGTGACCAAATTAACCACCAAATGTTCCACAGTTACTAGCTTCACTATCCTTTGCTGACTATAATTCAATCAAGCCTGAGATTGAATGACTTCATGAAGTCATTCTCTCAAAGAACATTAATAAAATGATTGTATATTAGAGACAGCATTTTTATAAAAAACTATAAAGAAAGACATCAAAAGTTAACAGTAATTTTTCCCTGGGTGGTCAGAAAATATATGTTGCTTTTCCCCCTGCTAGGTACCATGTATGCTCCTTTTTTTTTTTTTTTTTTTTAGAGACAGAGTCTTGCTCTGTTGCCCAGGCTGGTGTGCTGTGGCGTGATCTCAGCTCACTGCAACCTCTGCCTCCTGGGTTCAAGTGATTCTCCTGCCTCAGCCTCCCAAGTAGCTGGGATTACAGGCATGTGCCACCATACCCAGCTAATTTTTTTTTGTATTTTTAGTAGAGACGGGGTTTCACTGTGTTAGCCAGGATGGTCTCGATCTCCTGACCTCATGAACCACCCGCCTCGGCCTCCCAAAGTGCTGGGATTACAGGTGTGAGCCACCATGCCTGGCCTCTCCTATTTTTTTATAAACCATATCTATTATTTATATTATTTAAAACTAAAACAAAATAAATGTTGCTAAAATAGAAGTTAAAATTAAAGTCAATATTATTTTACATTTTCCATCATTTTTTCCTTTTATATTCATTATTACTTGCCAGCAAATATATACTTTTATTTATGCAGTAATTTTATACAGATGTTTCTATGATAGATTTTTATTATTAAATAATCAATCATTAACTCTAGTCAAAGAAATTAATCCTTATAGACCAGACCATACACTTTATTTTTAAGACATTAAGGATTTTTGTTAAATACACAGTGTCATTTTATCTTGACACCTGTTTATAGAGGTACCTGGAAATTGATTACATAACTACAGATGATAACATGTTTCTGAAGAAAACACACAGATGAGATATGTGTGTTTATAATATGTCTATGTAAAGGGAATCTATGAGGAATGAGACACATGCATATTTTTTTCACATTCAAGTTTAGTCATTCTGGGATTCTGTATACAATATTTCCCCATAAGATATAAATAATTCAATCCAATTCCTTTAATAACAGGTTATGTCTCTCTCATCTTGGGTCTTATGGATGTCAATGTACTTTCATGAATTACTGGTATTGGTAAAATGAAAGAAGTCAATAACATCTCGTTTATATTTCAAATGCCAACTATACTCATTTCATGTATATATCTATCTGCTTATTATGACTAATATTTATTTAGAGTTTATTACATCCTAGACTGTGAAATAATCATATTGTATATTTTACCTTTTATTTTTACCTCTAGAAAGTTTGATTTTTACCTTTATAGCTGACATTTATTTAACACTTACTGTATGCTACTTAGGCACTTTACACATATTCATTCAGGTTTTTACCATAACTCAGTCCCTTTTAGAAAAATAAACTTGAGTTTTTTAAAAAAATAACCTGTTTGAGACCATATAGGTAGTAACTAAAGCAGATTTACAAACACATACGTCTCTAACATTGAATCCTGTACTTTTAGCTGCTTTATAATTTGTCATTGGACGAGAAGTCCACAGTTGTTTTTTTTTGGGGGGGTGGGCGACAGAGTGTCGCTCTGCTACCCAGGCTGGAGTGCAGTGGTGCGATCTCTGCTCACTGCAACCTCCGCTTCCCGGGTTCAAGAAATTCTCCTGCCTCAGCCTCCCGAGTAGCTGGGACTACAGGCATGTGCCACCACGCCCGGCTAATTTTTTGTATTTTTAGTAGAGACGGGGTTTCATCATGTTAGCCAGGATGCACAGTTGTTTTTATAAGTTAATACTGATATAACTTTTTAGTTTTTGTAACATTTATTAATATTCACAGAGCTCTTAATCCTTTGATGTCGATTGCTTAATTCTCATAACAGTGCTCCAATTTATCAATACTCCATTTTAGTGATGAGGAAATTTGAGTCCCAGAGAGGTTAAATAAAGAGTTCTAGTTTTAATAAGTAACTAAACTGGGACTTGAACCATGGCCACTCTCCACTGTGCAGCTTTTCTATAAGATTCTGATTAGCAATGAGCAGATTCCCACACTATCTGTTGCTCAATGTGCTCCCTGCCCCTCCCCACACACAAGACCACAAAAGGAAAAACAATTCAGCTGAGTTAACTATTGAAAATGATTATCCAGGTTCTTTCCATTTCCATTGTGCTGCCTTCGTTTCTGACCTAGACTACTGCAATAGTGTCAATTCCATCCTGCAAATATGTGCTGAAGTCATTCTATGCGAGGCACTACATATGGTACTAGCAACAGTGGAATGAATAGACTCAATCAATGCCTGCTTTTAAAGAAAGGAGAGCATAATGTATCAGGCTGTGGTAGATACTGCAATAGGACTGTATTTTTAAATGTACCGTAGAAGGAAAGAAAGGCATTAAGTAATGCTGATCTAGGGGTAAAGATTTGAGTAGAGGTGACATTTGAGCTGAGTCTTGCAGAATAATTTAGAGATTTTCACAGGCAAAAGCATAAGGAAAGAACATTTCAGCAAAAAAAAATAAATAAATAAAAATAAATAAATAAAAATAAAAAAAAAACAGCATGAACAGAAACACAGACATGAGAGTGCAGGATTTACTTGGGGACTAGTGCCTAGAAGGGTTAGAGGATAACTGTGTGATGAAATCAGAGAGGTAATTACAGTTGGTCTGCCATCCTACCATAGTCTTCAGATAGGCAATAGAGAATATTGCAGAGAAGACAGAGTAGATTTAAGTATGCAGGTCTCAGAGCCAGATGACCTAGGTTTAAACCTTGGCTTCATCTTTTACTAGCTTTCAGAACTGAAGACAGTTACTTGGCCTCTGGATGCTTCAATCTTTGCATTCCTAAAATGGCAATGGTAATACTTGTCATGGACAATATATTAATAAAGCAGTAGAAATCATATCTGGAAAATAATACACACATCCAACTGTCCAATATTAGATTTGTTTTATTTGCATTTTAAAATTGACATTGTCTCTAAACCCGGTGAAATGGTCAGGGCATCTGTCCTGCATAGAGCTTAGTGCAGGTCCTGACCACAGTAAAAATCCACAAAAAGTTTGGAGTATGAATGAAGCCTTAGAGACTTCAGCGGAAATAAATATGATGCATGCTTTCTTTTCATTGTTTAATTCTCTTTCAAAATGATTTCCTGGCACAATGTTAGTGAAATATAAAGCTGCTAACATTATACAGCATATAATAAAATTCTATTTTTATACACATTTATGTCTATATAACAAAACCCTGGAAGAATATACCCTAAATTGTTAAGAGTGATTATGTTTCAGTAGTGCAATTTACTTTCTTTAACAGCGATATAGCATTAACTGTGTACTATGCACTGCTCTAAGCTCTCTGCAAATATTAACTCATCAATCCTCTTAACAACCCAATAAGGTTAAGTGCTACGGATTAGCACATTTCACAGATAAGAAAACCAAGATGTACAGAAAGTTTAAGTCTCCAAGGTCGAAGAGCTAATAAGAGATGGTTTATTTTCTGTTGCTTTCTATGTACTTTTCTAAGTCTTCAAAGATTGTTGTATTGAAAATATATTACTTTTATAATATAAAAATAGATGTTTAAAAAATATATCCTGGAGCACAGGTGAATAGGCCTTTAAAAATATTGACTCATTATGGTCCATAATCTGCAATGACACAAAAATACTTCATACTTTCTTCTTCTTGGTCTATACCTCCTTGATCTAGGGAAATGAATCAAGGTATTTTGAAAAAGAAAATATATTTTTTAGGAGCTTAGGGTTGTATGGTCACAGAAATAGGGAAACTGATATTCTACAATTAATAAATCAAGTTTGACACCATGTGCATGTAATGTATATATATCTAAATATATATAATCCTACTTAATTTTTCAACCGTCTCCTATAGTATTTACATAGTACATCCATTAAGCCCTATTTCATGGATATGTTTGACAGCATGTGCTATTGTTTAAGCTCAATTTATTTAGAGTATGAATAAAATATTAACATTTAGAAATAAATGGAGCATGTAGGAATGTGAGTACATAGGGGCAGAGAGAGAAATGGGGAGTAGGTTATATTCTTTTTAGCCAAGGCAGAAAATCCGACCATGAAAATTTATTTTCTTTAAAAACGTTAGTTTATTACAGAATTATGCTGTATTACTACCTAAGACCAAATTTTAAATCACATTAAATTTTCTTCTTATAATTGTTATCTTGTTATAACGTCAATTAAAATTTGATACAACCAAAAAATCTGAAGGATTAAGGGATGCTTAACTCTGTTTTATTTTTGCTTTCAGTTGTTATAGCAGTATGGATTTTAATTGCTAACACTTTATGTTTTGCTTAGATGATTAACAGAGCTAAAAGCAGAAAGTTTTAGCTTAATGAAAATATACTTCTAAAATATATATATAATAAATGCACTACAAACATAATTAATCTAAAAGCATTAATAAACTCATCATCTACTGTGTCCTACCCGCAAGCCCTGACAATCAGTTGGAACGAGTTCACGTGCTTGTATGCACTGTGACCTGAAGGGGTGAGTAGATATTTCCCAGGCTGAAAACACCGGAAGATAATTGAAGGAAAAGAGAATCAATTGCATGCAGCACATACCAAAGGCTGGAAGAGAGAGAGGGTACAACTTTTTCGAATTTCAGTATCATTGAAATAAAAGGTTAACAGAAGTTCTAATATGATTACTACAAAATCTATCAAACCTTTCTTAAATAACCCAGCTGTGCTTTGTGTGTGTCCCTTAGCATTTATCATTTTCTCTCTGGAGGGATAGCATGTTTTAGTGGCTAAGGGTACAGAATCCAGAGCTGTATGTGACTTAATCAGACAAAGACCATCCCACTTCACAGCAGCACAGCTTAAGTTTCTCACTTTCTTAGTAATGCAGTTATTTTATCTTAGAAATACAGGTGGTGACAATAATGTCCACCTTGCAGTATTGTTATGAGGATTAAAATAAAGCACTTAGAACAGGACCTGGCGTGTTCCATTAAATGTTGGGTATTTTTTCTGAATATCAGTGTATATATGTCTCACCATATCTAGCACATTGTAAAGACTTAAATGTAAGGACTCCATCTAATTCACCTCCAGTTTCTTCACAACAACTAATTTGTGCAAATTGAAAGAATTCCTGTATTTTAAAAATATTAGGTTATTAGATAGTATTTATTCCAACTTTTAAGAAGTTCTTAAGTATGTCGTTTCATTGAGAAATGTAAGAAGGATAGGTTGTTCTGTACAACTTTCAAAGATCTATTTCACATTATTTTTCTGCTACAGGACTTTTTTTTCCCATAGCCTAAGTAAAGGACACTTCTATAAGTATTTCACATGTATGAAATGGGATGGATTTGTCAGACATTCTTTTCTTGCACAGACCAAACATGTATTTTTTGATTAGTATTTCCCAGCACTCAACAATGTTGTATGGACAAACAAAACCTGTCCAGCCGAGTCCTAAAAATACATAGGAAAGAGCACTCCATTAGATATTTCCCTTGTGTATAACTGGCCATATAGTAGAATTTAAAATATCCACAAATTACAGCATGACAAAACTATGGGAAAATGTCAGCATGTATTGAAGATTTTTATCTAATAACGTTTAATTGTCAGAAAGCAAAACAAAAACCCCAGAGGGTTTCTACTTTGACAAAGGAAGTAAGAAACCAAATGACTTGTCTAAGATTCTTCAGAAACTCGGCAGCAATTTTTGGAAATAGAATGTACAAAGGTACCTAAATTCTGCACATTCTGCCTATGGCAGTTCATATGAATGAGAAATGCAAATCCTTTTGAACAAAGGACAATGCAATTCAGTATAGCCACGGGATATTATTGTGGCAAAAGGCAAGGCATGATCAGACACACATCAATGGGAAAAAAATCTCATTAGAGAATAAAAGAAAACAGTTTAATTCATCCACAATTATTAAAATAATAAGGAACAAAACATCATTCTCTGCAACATTATACTTCATTCTACCATTGGTTTCCTGGAATGTCATTGTAATGTATTTGTTTAAGTGTTTCTTCTACATTTTTCTGGATTTTTTCCCCCAAGATTGTGGTCTAACAGATCCCTTGGATAGCAAATATGCCCCTGCAAATTTCTCCTGCCCACTTTTAAATTTTTTTATTGGATAAATCACTCCAAGAACCCTCTAGCAAGGCCAGAGATCCTACCCTCCAGAGTCTTCCATGGCCCTGCCTTGAGCCAAAAACTTTTGCAACTTTACACCTGGGGCTGTTAGGAGTCAATGAAAATAAATGTTTCATTTCCTCAATCCCATATTTCCACTTTCCACAGGATTAGTATTTTTCCCATGTTCGGTCTTGTCTGATCCATCTCTACTTCCAAGACTCAGGGCAGTCTTCACTCCTGAAATCAGCATCTCTTGACCCTACCACAAAATAAATGCTTAGACAACATTTTTTAACACTAAGGTGGTCTATTACTTGTTATGACCTGAGACCTGAATGTATGTGTACGTGTTGACTCGTCTGTCCACCCAATTACCATATTTCCAGCTTATTTCTAAATTAGTTTGTATATCTATGCTCATTTGATTATGGCAGACTTTTCTAACAAGGTAATAAAGTTGACTGGAGTCAGAACTGTTTCTGTCTTTGCACCAATTATGTCTTTGGCAACCAGCTCCATGCTAGATATATAACAGGTGCTGAATCAGTATTTATTGAGCAAATAATGGAAGGAATGAATGAAGAAAGGAACCTCTTTACCAAACTATTTTTGAAAGACAGGGTGATTTTGATGCTTGGCTGTATTACATTTTCATTATTTGAGGCAAAATGGTGAGATGACTTATGTGCTCCATTATAAACATTAAATGACGTGTACACATTAAAGATCTGCTCCACGTATTTGTTTTAGAATATTCAAGAATGGCAATGTATTACTTTCAGCAAGTCATTTGTAGAAATCAATATAGATTTCTTCCTTGATTATTTTGAATCTCACCTAGAGGAATACAATTTGCACAGGTATTGCATACTGAACATATATTGATACTTATATCTGCCTCTATTGCTGTTTCTGTGGCTATTTTTAATTAACAAAGGTACCATTTATCACTGGTGATTTGTATTTATGGAATTTGCTGGCTAACCACTACCCTTTTGCCAAGAATCTTTGTTTGGAAAAGCCCACAGGGTATCTGGGAGCTGCTCCAGACACTTGCATTATCATCGTTTCAGGAGCCTGCTGAGAATTCTGCAGGTTGAATCCACTAGGAACAGAGGTTATTAATGAAATCCATCATGAAATGTATCTGAATGAAATAATGAAAGCAAGGCAAGCAATTTTTACCCAGTTAGGAATTCTGAAGTTACAGAGAGCCCAAGAGTTCCAGTCTCCTCAAGGTTTAGGTTTTTAGCCTGTGTCCAGCAAAAATTTAAAACACCACCATCCTTGTCTCATTTTTGGCTTCCCTCAAAGTACATGGATTCGAAAACCAAATATTTAAGTTAGTGTTTTTTTTTTTTTTTTTTTTTTTAACACTTACTGTGGGATCTTTGCCAGCCATTTTGCATTCTTCAACTTTGATTGTAGATGCTGGCCAGAAAACCTGCTCAGAAAGAAAAATAAAGGTTGCATAATCTCACCTGGACATATGACAGCCCAGTGCTCTTCATTTACTTTTTGTTAACAGATTTATTTAAGGTGATCTTACACTAAGACTTTAAAATTCTTTCTTTTTTATCAATTCATTAATAAAGATTCTATTATTTTAACAATTACAATTATTTTTATTTCTTCCAACAGTGTTTCCTTTCACAAATGCTTTTCAATAACATATGTTCATTTACTAATTGTATATTAAAATAAGATCATTATTAACATAAATGTGAACAATACAATTTTTCACTCCTTTTGACATAGTACACTTTTCCCAACTGCTTATATGACAATAAATCTACACTTACATATCTTTCTCAGTTAGTATTATTTTTGGTAAATCACACAACCAGGCTAGTAGATTTACATAAGATGGGCCCCTGGGTACTTCAATAGCTAAAATAACTTGGATGAAAACCAAGAGATTCCCTCTCTCTGAAATACTGTGCTAGTACTCTAAGTAGTTGCAGCCTTGGGTCCAGTTTGGCAATAATCATTAATTTTTTTTAGTTGTCAGTCCATTGCCTGTGTTAACACTTCTGCAAATGCAGAAGTCTCCTTGTTGTAATAAATTTATAATTAATCTACATGTATTTTTTTCACTACAGTGAAGCTCAATTTTATTTCCTTGTGAAATGGAATGATAAATATAGGCCATACTGGATCAAGTAACAGCGTATTTAATAGCTGTTTTCCTTTCAGGCCCTTCACTGGTTACACAGAGATGACAAAGTAGATCTTCCTTTTCTCTGACCATTTCTTTCATGCACTACCCTATAATCCCTTTTTTCTTTATATATTTATACACAGGTAGTATTTTTTCAGTTAGCTCCAGGTTTTGAATTGTTAAAAACTATGGAACTAGACGATGAGAACTGAACTTAATACCTTTTCAGTCCATGAAATAAGTACTAACTTTCATAGTAACATGGGACCAGTATTTTCTATTGTTCTAATAAAATGCATATTATTTTTTACTTATTTATTTTTTTTAAAAAAGAGACATTGAAAAGGTGGACACTGTCCTCGTGAAAGTGATAAACTTACACTCAAAGCTTCTTGACTTATATTGTTAATATTCAGGGAAAGAATGTGATCTTTGCTTCCCACATATATCCGGTCCTGATCTTCATCCATTAATAAAATCCTGTAGTCTAAAGGATGGTGGGAAAGGCTGAAGTATTCAGAGGTCTTGGTTTCTCGAAGTTCTGAAAGAGTGAACAGCACAAGTGTAGATACAGTATCCTGGTTCTATAATTCTATTATTTTAATAAAAACTATTATGCAAATATTCCAAAAAATGTCAAGGTACATTTTCTTCTACAGTAAGAAATTAATTTTAAAATAGAGTTATGGGCTAGTTCCCTGTAATCTCAGCACTTTGGGAGGCAAAGGTATGATGGTCACCTGAAGCCAGGGGTTCAAGGCCAGCCTGAGCAACATAGTGAGACCTTGTCTCAACAAAAATTGTTTTAGAAAATTAACTGGGCATGGTGGTATGTGTCTTTAGTCCCAGATACTTTGGAGGCTGAGGTGGGAGGATCTCTTGAGCCTAGGAAATTGAGGTTACAGTGAGCTATGATCATGCTACTGCACGCCAGCTCTGGCAACAGAACGAGACACTGCCTCAAAAAAAAAAGTTATGTTAATGGGCATTTTAATTTATATTTGTACTGAAGTAAAACATAAACCACTAAGTGCAATGTTAAAGTTTATGGTAATAGTATGTGATTACAAAATCAGTCACGTTTGCAATAATCTCAACTCTGTTTTATTACTGGACATCATCAGCTCAAAACAAGTTAAAATAAATAAACCAAAAAAAATACAGTGAGCAGATTGAACAGAAAACAAAACCAACAGCAGTGTGATTGTCTTCTTATCCTCTATTAATGTTTTATTTTTGGACTCTATTTATTCATCATTTTAGGATTGTTATTTCCTACTACAAATATTTGCCTTGCTTCCCAACGTAATTCTAATTAGTCCGACTTATTTTTCTATAAATTACTTGAAAGTAGACGTATTTTCAGGAGGCAATGTTATTTTTAGCAGCATAACTATTCATATATCTAAGGAAAATATATGAATTTTCAGGTATCTAAATGTTCATATTTCCAGGATCCTCAGAGGTTAGTGACTCACACTCATTTAACTTCTTCCACATTGCCTAACTGCCTGTATGGCTGGCCTTTGAAGACAATCAACGTATCGTGACATTCATGATACATTCTCTGGTCAAAATGCTCCTCTCAAGGAGCATAACTTTAGACTTTTCTATTCAAATGGTTCAGGATTTATTTGTTCTTTTGATTATAATCTGAAGAATGACAAACTCTAAGAAAGAGTCTGCTTTCTGGGATGACTGCTTCCATGATGAACTGTTTCTAGATTTTTAGGCATTGAATGACAAACACATTTCTAAAAATTCTGATAGAGCTGTAGTTTGACTTAAACCGAAATCAAAATGATACAAATTCTTATAGGAAGTCATGGACTATATTCCATGAGTACTTGGGCCATAGCCCATATGAGAAGATACAGAAGTCACAAATTTAACCTATTTTCTGGGCACATTTGTTCAGAATGTCTGCCATAATATCCTGCAAGTAGTTTCAGCCAATAATCTGAAAATGCCCTGGAAGAAGCAGAGTGATAATGAAACCAGGTTCTGTTGCCAAACTTCCTGTGAAACTGAACAAGTTACTTAACCTCTCTGTGCTTTAATTTCCTCATTTGTAAAATGCAACAATAATAGTAACTTCTGCCAAGAGTTCCCATGGAAATCAATTTAATTGACACATATAAATACGTGAAATGAGTGACAAGAGATAGTATTCAATAAATTCTAATTACTGTTATTAAGTTTGGATCATGATTTTTAAGAAAAACATGAATTTAGATAAAATAGATGTATGTTTTCCTACTTTTTAAAATTTAGGGAGCTAAATCCCTAAAATTATTAGGACATAATCTTATAGCCTCAAATTTACTGTTCATACAACAATAGTAAAATACAGGATTTTTTATGTTGGAAAAAACAATCAAGAGGTTAGAAAAATATTTCAGAAGAATCTTAAAATGTAAGATCATGACAGCATACAAGAACAAAAGACAGGTCATTAATAACAAGGGCCTGGGTGAAAGGTCTTTGGAAACAGGGGGCTTGGGTGCTGAGCATGGTGCAGCCTGATAACCTTCCAGTTACTGAGTCTCCCTAGGAATCATGGACAGAGAGGTGACACAGCTGGCAGGTGGTGCCACAGCCCAAAAACTGAAACAGCTTCCTTCATGAGGAGAGCACGTAAGGGGAGAGGGAAGTCTTTCAGGAAAAAATCAGCCCATGCCAGACTAGAGGTTAGGGCTAATAGAAAAAAATCCAAGAGCTGAGAACATGGGAGAGAATATAGAATCAAAGCAAGTATCACTCAAAGGTTGGAGAGGACACAGACTGCCTTGATTCTGTCTAAAATCCAGGTGTTTTATAACGCTTACTTTTATCTCAGGGCTATGATTCATGGTTGTGTAAGTCTTCTGTAAAACACCAGGGGTAAGATATTGCTTGGGCTGCTGGAATACACATTCAACAAATACCTCTTAATAAATAATTGTGGAGTGACATACACAGACTAGCGCAGTAAAATATAACTGAGTTCATGGCCTCTGGGGTTCAACCACTGGAGTCTGGATTCTGGCTCTACCATTTCACTTCTAGATGTACTTGGCAAGGGCCTTTATCTCTCTGAACTCTAGTGTCCTTATCTTTAAAATCAGTATAATAATAGCATCTACCTCATTGGGTTGTTGTGAAGTTTAAACTGTTGTCAAGTTTAATATACATAAAGTTTTTAAAAGAGTCCCGGAGCTATACTGATGCTGGTTACATGGGTTACCTATTATTATAACTTGGGGCAAGACATCAATCTTCAGCAAGCAAAGTCAGAACAATTTCTTATGCAGGGAGGATAAAAATGACTAGAATGCCTAATTTAGAGTTAATATTAATATATTCAATTTTTTTACAAGTAGCATCTACTCAAATTAATCAGGAGAACACAATAATAAAATAAGGCATTGTTAAGGAAAATAATTTGAGTATGCAGGGTAATTTTTAAAGTATATAAGCTGAAAAGACTAAAAGACATTGTTCTAGTAGTTGAGATAGTATATTGATGAACACCTGATATGCTAAAATGGAAAAGAAAAATTGATGTGAGAAATGCCTAAAACAAAGAATTTGGAATGATTTTATGTAGGTTTTGGCTAGGGGTAGAGGAAAGATTGGCGTAAATTCCCCTTAACATTGTAAGCTAAGTATAGGAGAAATGAATATGCCCTTACTACTTTTGGGAGATCTGAAAAGGAGATATATTTGGTAGAGAAAGTACTTAGGTATGGACAGATTAAATTACATTCAAATCAAAGCAGAAATGTTCCACAAGAATGTAGAATTAGATAATTAATTTAATTTTGTCATTAGAAGTAGCAAATCTTCAGGTAGAGATGTTCAGTTATTTTCATGGATGATTATATGGAATTCTGAGAGTAGATACACTCTCTGGGGAAGAGTATATCTAAAAAGCAAAGCAAAGCAAAGCATAGAGATGACTTGGTTGTTAGAAACAAAAAGGGAGCCAGAAGGTGATTCATGATGTATAGGAAACAGTTTGACATTGTGAAGAGAGTACTCAACTGGTGTCACAGTTCTGAGTTGAATTTCAGTTTCATCACTTACTAAGTATATTATTTTGGGAAAACTAGCTCATTTCTGTTTTAATTTCCTCATCTATACATTGGCAATAATAATACTGAACTCAAAGTATGTTCCACCAGCCCACAGTAGAGGATCAATATATGCTCCTTTCATGAGGAGACACTGTAGATTATCTATCTAATTAGATACTATTCTTTTCTTCCACCTTGACAGGGCTGTTCAATGACAACCATACTGGCCCCATTCTTCTAGCCAGTGAGTGTTTTAAATACGGCCATATGAACAACTTTAGCCAGTGAACTCTGGAGGGAGGCCTTCTGCACGGCTACTGAAAAAGGCTTATTGAGTCTTAAAAACTGGCACACACAAAAGAAGAGGTGATTTCTTTTTCTGCCTCTGGACATTGGTATGTGAGCACATGATGATTGCAGCAATTGCATCTACCAAGAAAGTTCCTTGCTGAGAATGGCAAGCAGAAATGTAGAAAAAAATCTGGATCTTTTAAGAAATCATTGAGTTACTGAATTAACCGGAACTCCATTATTACTGGAATATTCTGTTATATGAAATAAAAAGAAATCCTTGCAGTTTTTAGGCACCTTGAATTGAGGTTTTCTTTTTCTGCTGTAGAAATAAATACTAACTGATATTATCTTTTGAGGGTCCACAAACCCCCATCACGACTTTCTCACACTTTCTATCATGAAGAAAGTTTAGTTTTGATGTTTTTTCCAAACCATTATTTTTTTCTTTTCCCTTTCTTTTTCTAATCTGTACTGAAATAAAACCAAGAGTGTGATCTTAGCTGGGAAAATAGGCTCAACTAAATTTTATGTGCAAGTAACAAGCAAACAATTGCAGTTCTCCTCCTTGCCTGTTTCATTAGAAAATCGTCAATCCAGGCCTGGCACGGTGGCTCATGCCTGTAATCCCAGCACTTTGGGAGGCAGAGGCAGGTGGATCACGAGGTCAGGAGATCGAGACTACACTGACCAACATGGTGAAACCCCATCTCTACTAAAAATACAAAAATTAGCTGGGCATGGTGGCAGACGCATGTAATCCCAGCTACTCAGGAGGCTAAGGCAGGACAGCCTCAATTCTCCTGCAGAGGCAGGAGAATCACTTGAACCTGGGAGGCGGAGGTTGCAGTGAGCCAAGATCACGCCATTGCACTCCAGCCTGGGGTGACAGAGTGAGACTCTGTCTAAAAAAAAAAGAAAGAAAGAAAAGAAAAGAAAATCGTCAATCTATCGCATTAATTCAAATACTGCAGGGAGCAATAGCTACATCAACTTAAGACCTTTCTGGTCCAGGGATTTTTATCTAGTTTTCCGAGCCATAAAGCATCTTCAAATTTAATTACCTATGGCTTACTGATAGTTGACAGCTGTTAACCAGGGAGATTTACTTCAGAAGTGCCCTTGTTGTAAAAAGCCTAGGCTATTTTGTTAAAATGCTATTTAAATTGCTGTTAGTAGTCATAATTGAACTATACGACTTGGGGAGAGAAACGACCATTTTTTTTTTTTAGAACATAGAGATGAGCTCAAAGCAATGAGAATTTTATTTATAAAAAGAATGACCCAAGAATCTATCATTTGGTTTCACATAGATCCAATTTAAGTAAATGAATGATCCAGTGAATTGGCCACGGTTATAGAAAGTGACTGATGTAATGATTTGGCTACAGTGAGAGAAAAACATTACAATTACTAGTCCATCATCTAAACAAGGCAAAGAATGGCATTGTCATTCCTTTAACCTCACAATGATGTCATCCTTTTTGAAGCATATGAGGTACAGCTATTTGTGTTGTTTCTCAGGACATGCTCAATTAACGAATAAGGGACTCTGGCTGAGAGTATGTAGTATTAGAAAATGCAGTGGCTCCACAAAGGGCAGCATAGGTCTCCTGGCCCCTGGGAAAATCTCCCAGGAAACAGCATTAAAAAAAATTATGCATGTTTGTTTTCTACAATCTACATTATTGTAGAGCTCCATGATGGAAAATTACTGTAATGTCTTCTATGCCAATGTTCCCTGGGGTAAAATTTGCTGCACAATATGCTTACCTAAAATTCATGTATCTACATGAACTTTTCTTTGTAATAGAAACCACTGTGAAGCTTTGAGAATTTAACCAAAGCTGGAAGAACAATAGGTTTCCCCAAAATCTAAGCCCTGCCAACAGAAGCTTCTGGAGCTACCTAAGTATAGTCAATATATTGTTACAGCAATTATAATATAGTTCAAAATACAGTAACATATTATGTCCATCAATAACACTCTATTACTATTCATATAAGAACAAACGTTTGTTCTCTGTTAAGCCAGTCAGTGATCTTAATATTTTTGAGTTAACTAAGTCACGAAGAATCTCATTCATGCACTCAAAAATGTGAACTTGATAAAGGAAGGTAGAGAGTTTAGGGTTTTATTTTATAGTTGTCCCTTGGCATCTGTGGAAGATTGGTTCCAGGATACCCTACAGATAGCAAAATCCAGGATGCTCAAATCTCTGCTTCAAAAGGCCAGAGTATTTGCATATAACCTACCCACATCCTCCCTATACTTTAAATCATCTCCAGATTACATAAAATACCCAATACAATGTTAATGCTATGTAAATAGTTGTTATACTGTATTGCTTTTAAAATGTGTATTATTTTTACTGTAGTATTGTTATTTTTTATTTTTTTCTGAATATTTCTCATCAGTGGTTGGCTGAATCCATGGATGTGATACCTACAATTCAGAGTGCCAATTGTATACCTGTCAAACTACACAGTAGGGTAACTCATTCATTCAGAATACTACATTGTCTTCAGCCTTTTATAAAATTCAAAAATAGGTAAAAGACTCCTTGATTGAAAATCAATTCCCAGGAGTCCCTAGATTAGAAGCATATGCAGTAACTACTCATGAATTTAAAATTCATGATGTGTTATTAATTTGTTCAATATACATTTATTGAGCCCTTATCCCAGCAGGCTAGACACTTTGCTGAAATAAGAGGATAGAAATAACGAAGATACCATGTCCTAATTACTATTTCACTGCTTACCTAACATTCTGTTATTCTGTTTGGCTAGTCCATCAAAACATTCTTCTCATCATAAACCTCAGATCTCAGGCAGAATGCACATCTACAGATTTCAAAGTAAATCTGTAGGATATCTTTTACTTCAGAGATATTGCTACTGACAGGATAATTTCCTCTTTTGAATGTCTTATCTCAGAAGAATTTTAAGCAGAGTGGGCTCAAGTGACCCATCCTCTCCCTGAGGCTTATTGTTTTGAAACTGGATTAGAAAGTGAATTTCACCTGTCTGTTTAGAAAAAAAAATAAAGAGCAGTGAAACTTCAGCGGACTGAAACTACAGCTACTAATTCCTAATGTGAACAAAGACAATAGAGACCAGAGGGCATGTTATTAAAACCATATTTGCTCAAAAATAATAGCCCCAAATAGCAGCCACTTGTGGGCTTACCAGTAGCAGCAAGTGTTCTAGGTGCTTTATAAACTTAGTTCACACAATTTCCATTCAAAGTCTTTGCATTCGGTTCTAATATTACTCTAGTCCCACACACAAAGGAATTAAAATTGAGCAAATTTGAGCAATCTACCCAAGATCACACAGTAAAGACTAAAAGAGGCAAGATTTCAGGATTCAAAGCAAAGCCAGTCCTTAATCTGTGAACTCAATCAGATGACCTCTTGCTTTTCTAATCAGACTGACAACTTCGACAGTTACTAGTTGGGTTTCTTTCATGTTCTTGCTCTGGACATGGGTCTGCATAGTATCAAATGTAGTATAAGAAATGCCTCAGCTTCCCAAATTTTCTTTGCCAGTCGGGGACGAGTAGATACCATACTCTAAACAACTCGAGAACTATCAACATCTCAGTGATGCTCTTCTCACTAAAGCATTAAAAAAGGTGTGAGAGGCAGCATGAAAATGGTATCAGACATAGCTTCATCAAGGGCACAGACACAGCTTCATGTAGAAGACAGAAGGTTCCCCTTTTCTTTGCTTTTTGACAGGCATGATGGGATAAATGGAAGCAAAATGCCAAATGGATTAAAGAAGGAATGAGGAAACAACTATACGCAGGGAACCCAGCTAAAGAATGACAGCAGTGCTGGGCGCGGTGGCTCACGCCTGTAATCCCAGCACTTTGGGAGGCTGAGACAGGTGGATCACCTGAGGTCAGGAGTTTGAGACAAGCCTGGCCAACATGGTGAAACCCCATCTCTACCAAAAATACAAAAATTAGCCGGGCATGGTGGCAGGCATCTGTAATCCCAGCTACTCGGGAGGCTGAGGCAGGAGAATTGCTTGAACCTGTGAGGCGGAGATTGCAGAGAGCAGAGATCATGCCACTGCATTCCAAGCTGAGCAACAGAGGGAGACTCCATCTCAAAAACAAACAAACAAACAAACAAACAAACAAACAAAAACAGACAGACAGCAGTGAACACAGAATGTATCTCCCACGCATTGCATCAGAGGGAAGATTTGCAAATGCACAGGTGTCTTGAAACAATGATTCTCGCCCTGGTTTGCCCCAGACAGCCCCAGATTGTGCCCATTTCCCCAGCATAATTATCACTAGTGCCCTCTTTCATTCTCAAAAGATTCATGTTTTGGAAGTTAAATTATATGGCTGCTCTACTTTTAAGCAACCTCTTAATTACCTTGAATGGTTTTCTATTAGTTTTAGTAAAAATTTCAAAATTTTAACCCTTTCCCATTTAGAACAAAAAGTGGAGCATGCTGTCAGTGCTCCTTTAATTTTTCATAAACGCACTGTTTGGGGCTGAAGCAAGTCTGACTGATTTTCACTATGAAATAAAATATAAAACTGTTCTTGCAGTTATTTCTACACAGAACTAGCATCAGAATCATCTGAATCTTCAGAATCATCTATTTCACAAACGTCGGATTAATCAAATCAATCTTTGGCCAACAACTGTTCAAGAAGATGTTAACACATAGGAATGCTAAGTTTTCTGGGATTTGACATTTTCAGGAATCGAGAATTACCGTATTTTGTGAATTGAAATACCACTACTAAAAACAGAATACTATAAATAGAATAAGTCTTTTGTTTCCTAAGTCGATATACTAGAGTGATGCGAAAATAATAATGAAAGCGAGATATTTTGTGGCAAAGTTACCTTGGGGTAAATGCTGCAGCTGCAAGGATTATTGGGGCAAACAGGAAAGGGTTAACATGGCCCTCCAGGCCTCCTATGATCTAGTTCCAGATTACCTTACCACAAATCTTAATCATCACTGTTGGCCTATTCTTTGTTCTTGCTCTGCTGGCCTTCTTTTTAAAACTTCAAACTTGCCTTGCTCCTTTTTGGCCTCAGGACCTTTGTACATGTTGTTCCTCTTGCTTATAAAATTCTTCCTGCCTTTTTCTAATTCCTACTTATAATGTGACCAATAGTTTTGATGTAATTTAAACAGGGCTGTCTCATAAAAGCTTTCTCGATCCTTTAGACAAAGTCAGGTCTCAGGTTCGCTGATAAATTTGCTCCTTTCCCTCCTTGGTTTTCTTTTCTCTTGAAGGCTGCCTGGAAGGTCATCTGAAATGGTCTACAATGTCCTGGATTGTGGGGTAGGGGACTACACTATGACTTGCTGAAACCTACCTTGTTTCTGTACAGTTTTCAAGTGGAAATTGACTCTAAACATGAAACACAGGTCTTTGTTCATTCACATTCTACCATTTTTTTGTTTGCTATATTGATTTTTATTATTTTTAATCATGGTGAATTAAAAATATGAGCATAAACCAATCAAATGGAAAAAATGCCATCAAATTTCAGAAAATCATGGTTTACATGAAATATTAATACTTTATCACTATTAAAAAGTAGGGTGTGTATGGCTGGGGAAGGCAAAAGGCTTGGCTTTGGAAATAGTAGACCAAGGTTAAATTTTTAGTTTCACCTTTTGCTGGTACAGGGTTTACCCCAACACCACCCTCCAGAGCACTCCCCTTAGGTCCTGCATCTACAATATAAAAAAAGAATGAGAATATTTTGGAACCAGAATAATCTCTAATGTTCTGTATAGCAACAAAATGTCTATAAAAATAATTCCTTTTTCACTGCTTACACATATTATCTATTGTTGTGGGATATCTGTAAAGCTAATGTAATCCTTCATATTACTATACATCTTGTAGGAAAAAGGGGTCTATGTAAAAACCAATCTTAGAAACATAGCCACAGTAATACAACTGTGTATTTTCTAGAAAAATGAAGCTAAACCAAAAGCAAGGCTATCTTGTTCCCCTACTATATTAGTCCATTTTCACACTGCTACAAAGATAGTACTTGGGACTGGGCAATTCATATACAAGAGGTTTAATTGTCTCACAGTTTCACATGGCTGTGGAGGCCTCAGGAAACTTACAATCATGGTGAATGGCAAAGGGAAAGCAAAGCTCCTCTTACATGGTGGCAAGAGAAAGAGAAAGAGCAAGAAAGTGCAACACTTAAAACCATCAGCTTTCCTGAGAACCCCCTCACTGAGAATAGCATGAGCAAAACCGCCCCCATGATCCAATTACCTCCCACCAGTTCTCTCCCTTGACACGTGATGATTACAACTGAGATGAGATTTCAGTGGGGACACAGAGCCACACCTTATCACCTACAAAAAACATATTTTACTTGTGTTGTGTAATTCAATTAAATAGAGAATTCTAAACTCTGACTTCCCTTTCTCTAAGCTCACTTGGAAGACATGGCCAATCTTTTGTTCCTTGTATGGTAAGTACTGTCTGGATTCTATCTCAGGGTAGGAAGAATACACAATTAGGGAATATCTCAGATGTCATGAGAGACTGAACTGGCAGTAACTTACTTCTAAAAAGTAGAATAAAATCTGAACTTATCACTAATCTATATAAGGACAACACAGATGAGCTATCAGTATCAATGATATTCATACTTCTAGGAAGGCCTCAGTTTCAGAGTGTCCACTTGAGATATAAACAAGGCAGATAAACTTGTAGAGGAGGAAACACTTCATCTGACACCTGCTTTCTAGACCTCTTGGCACTTCTGAAAAAGCTTTACTTTGAGGCAAGGTGTTCAAGAACAGTGGTTCCAGGATGGTTAACAAAACAAAAGCAGATACCTGACAACAGACAGAGAAAAAAGTGGGCACAGAAGAGAAATGTGGTATCAGCTGGAGCTCAGGGTAAATAAGTGTACCTCTGCTAAATAAACTATTACACTGTCATTAAAAATTTTTTTTGTGTAAAAATGTTAAGATACGGAAAACATTTTCTCATGTGCTAAAGTCATAAAAGCAGGCTATATTCAATATGGAAACAAGTGTTAAAGGTCATTCACAAACAATAAGACTTGTAGGGATATATTTTAAAACATTTATAGCAAAGTCCTTGGATGGTGGGACAGAAATATAAAGACAGTCAATATTTCAGACCAATGTGTGTGCATTGGGGAAGGATGATGACCTGACATGGTATATCATGTCAGCAAAACCCCAGAACACCGAGAATCTAATAGACGCCATTCCCCAAGCACATCCCTTAAGTGACCACACTGGAACCACATATGGAAAGAGTCTTAAAGCAACATTTAACACTAGTCTTTCACAAAATTTATACTATTTGCTGGATTTGGATGCTTTCAATAAAACTCCCTTGACCATATTGTGGGCTTCCAGTGGGTACTTTTAGTCAGCACACTTAATTATAGCAAGAATAGGAGATCCTATGTGCTTAGTGAAGTCTCTTGTCCCTCTCACCCTCATAAAGTTCTGAACACAGCCCATAGCTCTCTATAACACAATGCTTGTGTTTATACATAACACAGCCCACAGCTCTCTATGACATACTGCTTGTGTTTATACATAACACAGCAGGCTGTATACAAAACAGAAATATTCTTTGAGACATATATTTATTCATTCATTCAATAGATGGTAAAAAGGCCAGGTGTGGTAGCTCATGCCTGTAATCCGAACATTATGGGAGGCAATAGCGGGTGAATCACTTGACCCCAGGAATTAGAGACTAGCCTGGGCAACATGGCAAGACCATGTCTCTACAAAAAATACAAAAATCTGCAGGCTTGGTGGCATGCACCTGTAGTCCCAGCTACTCAGGAGACTGAGGTAGGAGGATCACTTGAGCATGGGAGGTAGAAGCTGCAGCGAGCTGTGATTGCACCACTGCACTCCAGCCTAGGTGACAGAGCACCTGTCTCCAGGAAAAAAAAAAAAAAAAAAAAAAAAAGAGCGAGAGAGAGAGAGCGCGATGGTAAATGCCAGGAGCTAGGTAAAAATATGCAAAAATTTGGTCTCTCTTTCAAACAGGAGAGTCTAAAGTGGAGGTACACGAGCAACTGCAGTGTAAAAAGATGACTCCAAAAATTGAGGAGCATTAAAGAATGAAGAATTAAGTCTTCCTGGAAATAACAGAAAAATATTAGACAGAAGGAAGTACTTGATCTTGTTTCTCCATTCAATAAATATTAACTAAGCCACTCAATATTATACTAAAATCACAGTAATAAATGCACAAAGTATAGTAAAAGGGAGGGTAAGTGTTTAAGACAAGGGCTTTACATCATGGCTGTGGAAACAATCATGTAAACTTTGACCTGAAGGATAAAGTTGAGCTAATAAAGAAATAAGCATTTTCCAGGGAGTAGAAAAAGTTTGCGTAGAAACCCTCAGGTGGGAGATTCAAAGGATGATTAGAAGTCTCAGGGTTGATCAAGAAGCGGAATGGAGTGGGGTTTTCTCAGCAGAAACAAGGAGCCAACCAACACAGAAAGATCCAAATTTCTTGACTGTCAAACCATAGGGGTTGAATTTTTCCCAAGTCACTTCAGATGCCAATGAAACAAATCCGAGCAAGTACCCGCCATGATCACATACAAGTTTGCTAGAAAGATAATTCTGCTTAATGAAGAGTTCTTGAGAGCAAGATTGCTTCATGATACAATATTAAGTGAGTAAAGCAGAATAAAAATATTTTGTATTCTTAAACTATTGTGTGCCTGCATAGTAATAAATAAATGTAGAAAAAAGTCTTGACAAAAATGCAACTTATACATATTCTCATAATCCTGGGGGCTCATTTCAATGCCCTGTCAGTTAAAAGGACTGTAATTACCCTTTGATCAAGAATCAGGCTATGCAAACTTTCCTTGCAGACCACTGTAATTTACATATATTCTTATACAGGAGTCTAGCTGCACTGCACCTAATAAAATGCTGAACTAGGCAATGACAGAAACATCAGCATCTAACTGGAAAACAGCTATATGTTGGCAAAAAATCCCCATCTCTAGATTCCTTCAGAATGATGGAGGACCACCCACAGCTTTCAGTAAGACAAACTATTTGATATTTAAAAACTCAGCTCTCCCCACCAGCAAAAATTCTTGAACTATGCTTTCACTTGATGCATTCTTAAACTCATTTTCTTTTGAACACAGGAAAAATATTATAAACTATATACCATAAAACCTCAAATTTAAAGGCCCAGACTTTATGAACAAAGAGATGGGGAGATGTTTTCCTAAAAAGACAGCTACTTTATCTAAATATTATTTATTTCAATGTGACTCATTGTTTAGCCAAGTTACTACATTTGGCTTCAAAACAAAAAAACAAGTCTGCAGAACTGCAGAGGACAGTGAAGACATGTTCATTTAACTTTAAACACATTTGTCAGTCATTCTACGCAGAAGCTCCCTTTTCTCCTTTTTTCTTGTCTCTCTCCCTCTGACACTGTCTAAAATACAAGGTCAGTGACTCTGCAGTGCTCAGCGGCTGGAGCAGAGATTTAAACAGTCCTTGGGAGTGGGCTTCTACATAGTAATAGAGCCACCCTTTAATTCTTTTCAAGAGAAGCACAAAGGATGCAACCATGTTTCCTGCAGCTTTGAAAGCCCAAGACTTATCATATACACAATGGCTTTTCAATGTATATCCAAGACATTTCTCTTTCCTTTGTGCTAGACTGCGAAACCATTTGTTTCCAAATTTCACGTGATGGTATTTGGAGATGGCATCACTCAAGCTTTCAAAAGAGATCAGTGTTGCACTTTGCTGTTTTTGCTCTGGAAACATAATATTTATCATTCTTGCATGTACTTCAAGAAGAATAGCAGAATATGAGACTCAAAGTTTATTTATTTTACAAAATGCTGCTACCCCATTGAGACAAACATTAGCCATGACTTTCTTTTTAATTTTCAGTAAAATCTTTTGGTGGAAATAAGGCGCACTTAAAAGAGGAAATGAGAAACCATGAGAAATCCAGTTTGACCTAAGTATTAACAGCTCATGGTCACCTTTTTAATGCAGAGGGAAGCTTCACTTCACTGACTTACAGACATTTTCATTCCTGAATCTCAAAAAGCAACACATTTTACTAGGCAAAATGAGTTATAGATAGCTGGGGTGGTGTTATTTGAGGGACTGAACATTAAACAATTTAAGTAACTTTACAAGATTAAGTCAAACAAGCCACATTATGCCATACAATCAGAAGAGCAAATAAACAGGGTTCTAGTGCAGAATCTGTCTTTCTGTTTCTTTTCATCAGAGACATATAAACTGTATTCCCTAATTTTAAAACTCTGCAAGCTTTGTTACTTCATCGACAATGAATATGAAAAGAACAAAATTATATTTTCACATCCAGGTGTAAAATTAATTCAAGTTAGTACATTTCCAGTCCAAAAATCAATTTAGCCTAAAACATGAAATTAGAGGTTAGGAGGGGCGTGTGGGTGGGGGTGCAGATAAAGAGAAGTTGGTTAATGGATACAAACATAGAGTTAGATAGAAGTAATAAGTTCTAATGCTCTATAGAAGAGTAGGATGACTGTAGTTAACAACAATGTATTACATATTTCAAAGTAGCTAGAAGAGAGGACCTGAATCGTTTCCAACACATTCAAATGATAAGTACTCAAGATAATGGATATTCCAAATAACCTGACTCTATCATTACACATTCTATGCATGTGACAAAATATCACATGTACTCTATGTATTATCTATCAATTAAAGCACAAATTAAAAATTAAAATGAGACTCTTTTTCTTTGTGTTGTTTTTTTTAGCTTAATGCATTTTCCTGGAACAAAGTCTGGCTTTTGAAGACAAATCTATTCTAAAATCTTGGCACTGCATCTGACTAGCTGTGTGGCTTTAGGCAACTTACTTAAATTATTAGTGCCTAAGTGTTCCCACATGCATGAAGAAAAAAATACCTATCTCATGGGACCATTGTGCTAATTGAATGAGAAAGTAAGTGTGAAACACCTGGAGCATAATAGCTATCACTCACAACTGGTAGTCTAGCCATGCAAAGACAAGAGTTTCAATTTTAAACAGGATAATTGTACACTAGCTTTAGGGCATTACTCCAGAGTTATTTTCTAAATTAATCCTGCTAAATAAAAATCTATTGAATTAATATTAATTTGTATTGAAATATAATGAGTGCACCAATAAAAACCATTATGATATCTCAAGATTCTAAGAAAAATAATTTTTATTACAACACAAAAGTAAATGAGAGGAAAAGTTTTCTTACTCTTTACCCAGTCTGCCTAATTTAAGTTACCACACACTACCTAATTCCTACTGAGAACATACAAAGTACCTATAAAGTGTCTAAGAAGAGTTTACAAGCACTACCTCATTTACTCTCTACAAAAATGTTATTAACCAAGTTTTATTATTTTCTCCATTAAATATATAAGAATACTGCAGATGAATCATGGGTACCTTTCCCACATTTTGAATTTAAGTGCCAGTGTCCACACTCTCCTGTCCCCATGGAGGATGAGAATATGCTCAGCTGAGGCACTTGGTCTCCATCACTTTTCATGAGTATAGCTGCAGTCTTCAAATTTTAATGCACATACGAAATATGTAAGTTGCTTATTAAAAATAAACGTATTGGACAGTGCCAGTGTTATGCTATAAACTGAGATCCAACAGTTCTCCCAGCAAAACCTATCTGACCAATTGTCATATTAATATTACTAATGATTATATTGAATCAAACATTTGTCCAATAATATTTTCTAAGATTTTACATAAATTAACATTTATCCTCATTACAGTCCTACCTGGTATACAGTGGTTCAGAGTGTGGGCCCTGAGCTTGACACTTACTTGTTTTATCATCTAGCAAAGTTACTTAATTCCTTGGAACCTCAGTTTACTTACTTGTAAAATGGGGGTAATGATATTATCAATCTCATGGGTTCCTAATTAAGATAAAGTAAATTAATAAATTAAAGCAGAGCAGTTCCAGGTACATTACATTGCTCAGAAAATATTGACTGTGATCATTATTCTCATATTTAAGGAATAATAATAATATTCCTCAGAGAGGTCAGATCTATCTTTCTCAAGGTCACACAAGTAAAAATGGCCAGTGGGAGAAAATTAAAATGATGTGTTTCTGGCTCTAGAACTACTGCCCTTTCCAACACAATACATCACCTTTCTACTCTGTCAGTGCAAACTCGACCATCAATGAACCATGTCTTTTTGAGAAAATGCATGAAATGTGCTAAGGAGTTAGCACATTGCTGCAGTAGTTTTCAAGGTGTGTAACACAAGCACCATGGAAGTGTCCTTCTAAATCTTTGTATCTTTGTGAAATGTCTTTCCTTTGTCAGGGGGTTCATGATCTCGCCGCTTGAGGAGAATTTTCCAAATGAAAGCAGAATCCAGAAGTGTGAACTCATCAGTGAGAAACCGCTCTTGTTGAATCTCCAGCAGGGCCTCCCCAACCCTGTTGATACGACCTCTCCCCCTCCACTGTTTACAAAGGGTAGCCACATGGCTCAGCTTTTTACTCAATCTAAGAAAAGTTCCCAGAACCCTACTGTTCCCTCACGCAGACTGAAAACTATTGTGAGGCTAAAACTGACAGGAAATTTGGAAATGGGAGACAAAAGGTAAACATTTCTGTAGATACTGGGAAGTTGATCACACCCTCTGTGTCATCTTTCACTTTTTTTGAAACGTGCATTTCCTGAGTACTTCTTAGGTGGACATCAGTAAGCCAACTGCTATGGAGGGTATTAAGACTTTTTAAAAATAAAACCATCTTCAAGGAGAGAGACAGCATACTCACAACACTAGAATACAAGGCAGTATATGATAAATGCCTGTAAAGACAAGCAGCGAATGGCACCAGCATCCATATTCAACCTACAAACAATAAAATCATGCTCCATTCCTCCCTCCCAGCCTACCAATCAGCTGCTGAGCCTTGCTGATTTTACCTCTAAAATGTCTCTCATATCTGTCATTTTCTCTCCATTTCTATTATCACTCAATTCTAGACACATATCAATTCTAGTCATCTCTGATGGAAAATGGCATGAGCCTTCTACTTGCTCTTCCTGTCTTTAGTTTCCTTCTTTGTTCAAATATTTATTGAATGGTGGAAAACCATGGGCACTAGGGGCAGTCTGTGTGCTGGGAGTACAATGACTAGGACCCTACCCTACAAGGCATGTGGAATTCTCACATCAGCTTCGTGCTTCTATCTGAATTAATTTACCACCCAAACACTAAACATGACCATGCTTTCACACATTTTCACTCTGTCCCATTTGAAATCAATTCAATGACTTCCTGTTTTTTAACCAATAGTTCTGAGAAGTCATGCCTACTTTAAGAAAGTAGCAAATGCAATGGACTTTCTTTTTCTCAAAAATTTCATATAGGTCATAGTCATAAAATATTTCATGCAAATTCAGGGTGTCACTGATATTCTGAAATTCATTCAAGTATCCCATAAGGGTAGTCTATGTGCCTAGGAGAAAAATGTCTCATCTAAAGGGAAAATTTCATGCCTACAAATATGTTAAACACAGCCCTTCATGACCTGACCCTTGCTACCTCCTCAGCCTGATGCCTGGTATTTTTTCCTTGATCTTTATGCACCTACAATAGAGCTATCTGTATTGTTTGGAAAACATCATGCTATGTCATGCTTCTCAGCCATATTCATACTAGTCTGCTGTGCCTTTTTTGCTTTGCTAACTTTTCGTTGTTTGTATGTTTGTTTGTTTTTGAGACAAGGTCTCACTCTGTCACCCAGGCTGGAATGCAGTTGCACGATCACAGTTCACTGTAACCTCTAACTCCTGGGCTCAGGGGATCATCCCGCCTCAGCCTCCTGAGTACCTAGGACTACGGGCACACAACACCATGCCTGGCCAATTTTTGTTTATTTGCTCAGCTGGTCTAGAACTCTTGGCCTCAAGTAATCCTTCCATATCAGCCTCCCAAAGTGCTGAGATTACAGGTGTGAGCCACCGTGCCCAGCCCCTTTTCCATGTTTTTAAGGCTTAATTGATACTACTATCTATATAAAGACTGTCCTGATTCTCCTGTGAGAAATGACGAAAATGGCTCACCTTTATTTAATAATACACTATTTTACTGGTGCCAAGATAACTAATTGTAATTACATACATTTAAACTTTGCAACAGCACTATGACGTGCATACACTGTATTTCATATCTTATACATAAAGAAACTACACTTAAGAGGAGTTAAGTATGTGTTGATCAATTATAGCTGAAGAGCAGCAGAGCCAGGATTAGAACTCCAGAAAGCTGAACTCTAAAGTTCTTTCCACGGTAACACCTCCCTCCAGTACTCCTTTTGTATACTGAGTACATGTCCATTCTTACACACTTTAGATACAACCTCAGACTAATTTACCCCACAAGTCTGAGTGTGCTGGACAAAATTTATTATTTATTTCAGGAAACTTCAGAATAGTTTAGAGAGACTGGAAGGCTGTGCCTGTTCAAAGAAAACTGTTTAGGTTGACCTGGCTAAGACCTTCAATTTTCTACCCAGTTTGGATGAGGGAGACAGAAACAAGGAGAGAATGGATTATTCATCTCAGCATTTAGTGCTGCCATATTTTGGGTATTTGTCACTCACCACAGAGCAAATTTGATGAAAGAATGGTATAGATCACTCTCGAATGCTCAGTGGTGAAGAAGTGTTTCTGTGTCTTCGTTTTGTTACTGTAGTATACAATAAGAGTAAATTTCCAGGTAAATAAACATTAATTCAGCCACGCAAATACAAGCCCAAATTTCTTAACATTAGATTTGGTAGATATTACTTTGTCAAATTGCTATACATGTCCTAAAGATACACTATCATTTTCCACATTTATTGTATTATGGACTGGTAATTACTGTTGGCACTCTCTGCCAGCTACAGAGGAACATACTTAAACAACATTGGCATTGAGTAGGTTTTTTTTTCCCCTTTCCAAACGTAACAAACTCGCTTGGCATCCTCATTTTGCTTTTGAAGCATTTAGGACAGACAATGAATCCACAATATAATTTGTCAGCAAATCTTCCAGTAATAAGAAATCTATATAGGGCTGACTGTGGCAACTGGTGTTAAGAGCCACTGGGGCTACAAACAAGCAAGGTGTCATTGTAGAAAGCATACGCTAGACAGAGAGGGGGCACAACAACAACCTTGTTCATACAATCAGCTTTTTACTCTGAGGCAGATCATCTCATTCAGCCTCAAATTTAGCATCTGCAAATGAAGGGGTTGAACTAAATAATCAGTAAGATCGTTTCCAGCATTGGTCTTTTCTGATTTCAAGATTTTCTAAAACTACCTCTAACTCCTACCCCAACATAAACTTTGAATGCTTTCAGATTTTACGTATAATATGCTGCTCCTTCTTTCCTGATATTTCCTTTGCTATACATGCAACTAATTCTAGTGTCTCAGAGTTAGTTACGCAATTTCTGAATAATGGTTAAGCATGTAAACTTAACTACATCTGAATTTGAGTATGTCTAGTTTGCTGTAATTAGATATTCAGAATGAAAATCAGCACCAATAACTAAAGTTCAGGACAATAAAGAGAAAACTATTCCAAGTCATGTCTCCCTTGAGATTCTGACTGGGACTATGCTCCCTCCTTTTAGTCTCACAACTGAACTGCAAGCTCTAATTTTTGACCTTAGGAAAGTCACATACTCTCTTGATTGTAGTCCTCTACCTACAAAAATAGTGCAATAGTAAATAATTGCCTCCTCTATCTAGTACAAAACAGTAAATAAAATCTGGCAATGGAAAAATACTATCTACTAGACGATAACTTGACCACCTTCATGCCTACATATGCTGGACATTGAATAACACTGAAGGTCACGTCATGGTGCCCCATGTTCCACCCTGCTAAACATTTCTTCTCCTAGCAACATTTGAAAAAATAAAGTTAGCCTTCTTTATAAAAGGATAAAACAATTATTAGTCCCATCCCTCTTCCAGTTTTTGATGTTTTTATTCTTCAAAGGATTTATACTCTGTTTCTCCAGCAAGTATTTTTAGAAAACATAAGCAAAACAGTCCAGTCCAAAATTTTCTTGAGAGCATCTTTCTCTCCATTCTTTCATCTCATTTTAATTTAGTGTTTCTTTCCTACATATTATTTATGCAAACTATGTATTTTATAGAAGCTAGTCTTCTCAGTCTATGTTTTCGTTTTATTTTTCAATTTACGGTGGTTTTATTCATGGTGATTTTGTTATAAAATTTAGATAGAAAAATTCTTTTTCTCACTTTGGATGCCCTCTTTTAAATCGAACGCAGACTCTAACATGGAGAGATGATAAGATCTCTTATAAACCCACTTCAACACCCTTTCCCTCCTCAAGTTTCACAGCAACACGTTTCTTAACGCAAGAGATTTTACTGCCTTTTAATCCAGCTTTTGAATGTCATACAAAACATCATTTTGCAGCTAAGTTTCTAAATTTAGCCTTAAGTATGTCTACCTAATTCTACCATGAGTGGATAATTGCTTAATCTTCTACAGTAATCTTCTTTACTGTTCTGCATAAAAAGAATACAAGAATATATACTTTGACTTCATTTTATATAATTTACACACAGCTTTCCACCTACAATTTCAAACCCAACAAGTAGCAACACTAAGTTTTAGCAACAGTGGCCATTAGTAAAACTCCGATGCTTTTGCTGAGTAGACAGCTACATAAAAAGAAAATCACCATTGCTGACAAAATACTTTTCCTTAATTGTAAATCCTTAATATTTTGTTTTTAAACTGATCAACTATAAGTTTCTTTTATCATTATCTCTATTTCATGCATACAAATGTATATGCATAAAAATACATGTTCTTAAAGACGGGCATTAATGAATATATTAGATAATGATGCACCTTTTCATAACTGAAGGATCAAAAAGAAAGAAAATAAACACTATAAGTGAGGGTACAGAGTAACAGATATTCTTGGTTGGTGCAAATATAAATTGGCATATTGTTTCTGGAAGGCAAGTCTATCAGAAGTTTAAGTATAAAGTTATACAGCAAAACTCTTGGAGAATTAAATAGGAGACAATCTTTGTGGTCTTGTGATAGCCAAATGTTTCTTAAATAGGGCAAAGAAGTACAAATCATAAAGAAAAGAATGATTTGTTAGAATACATTACAATTTAGAATATTCATTTATATAACACTACCATTATATGGTGAAAAAGCAATACAAATAATGAGAAAAGATTTCTAAGCACATATAATCTATAAAGGGCTCATACTGAGAATGTGTAACAAACTCCTAGAAACTAATTTAAAAAAATACAAACTAAAATAAAATGGGCAATGCTTCAAATAAATGTCTTACAAGATATTTAAATGACCAACAAACTGAAAAGTGTTCAAATATAATCCAGAGAATATAAACGAAAACTATGATACACTACTCTATAGTTACATGACCGGCTCAAACTTTGTTTTTAAATAATGGTAAAAAAGAAAGCTGTTTATTTCCAAGATTTATCAAAGACACAGAACAACTAGAATTATCATATACTTTTGGAAGGAATATAAATTTCTATAACCATTTTGGAAAATGGTTTGGCTTTATCTACTCAATTTGAATGTATATATACCAATGACCCCACAATTCAATTTCTAGTTATATACCAAAAGATGTGTGTAAAATGTTAACAGCAGTCTTATTCATGATAGTTCTAAAACGGAAATGGTATGAATGTCCATCAACAGGGGACTGGGTAAATAAATTATTGCATTTTTCTTACAATGCAATAAAAAAGAATTAATTACTTCTACATATAAAAATGCCAGTGAATCTCTCAAGACATTAAGCAAAATAAGTCATACACAAAATAACATATACTATGCAATTCCATTTACATAAAGTTCAAAAAAAGGCAAAAGTAATCTATGGTCATAGAAGTAATCCTGGTGGTTATATTCAGGGAGAAGGGAGGAGACGGTCACCGGAGTGACAAAAAGGGTCTAGACATATTTTTCAGCCTGCACGGTAGTTAGACAAGTATGGTATCTTTTGCTAACTAGTGTGGTATGTCATACATACTGAAGATTTTTGTACTTTTTCTGTATCTATGCTCATTTGTTGATAATTATATTTTCTAAAAGAAAGAGTATTAAATCGATGCATGCATAATCTCTGAATCAGTGTATATTAGTTTTCTGTGATTGTTGTAACTAATTACTACAGGCGTGGTGACTTAAAACACAAAATTTTTTCTCTCACACTTCTAGAGACCAGGAGTATAAAATCAGTTAACACTGAAGTTGAGGTGGGCTGCAGTCCCTCTGGAGGCTTTGGGGATCTGTTTCTTGCTTCTTCCAGCTTCTATTCATTTCTTGGCTTGAGACCACCTCCCTCCGATCTCTCCCTCTGTGGTCATGTTGTCTTTTCGTTCTCTTCTGTGTCAGTTTCTCAGCCTCTCTCTTGATAAGTACACTTGTGATTCCATTTAGGGCTCACCCAGATAATCCAGGATAATTCTCCCATCTCAAGAGCTTAAATTTATTCACATCTGCAAAGTCAATTTTGCCATGTAAGATGACATTCGGCCTGGCACGGTGTCTCATGCCTGTAAACTCAGCACTTTTGGAGGCCATGGTGGGTAGATCACAAGGTCAGGAGATCGAGACCAGCCTGACCAACATGGTGAAACCCCATCTCTACTAAAAATACAAAAATTAGCCAGGCGTGGGGCAGGCACCTATAATCCCAGCTACTCAGGAGGCTGAGGAAGGAGAATTGCTTGAACCTGGGAAGCGGAGGTTGCAGTGAGCCGAGGTCGTGCCACTGCGCTCCAGCTGGGTGACAGAGCAAGACTCTTGTCTTTAAAAAAAAAAAAAAAAAAAAAAAAAAAGACATTCATAGTTTCTAAAGATTAGGATGAGCACATCATTCATGGGGCCATTACTTAGCCTACCACAGAGTATGACTGACAATACTAACTATGGTTTCAAAGGAGCAAGACCTAACTGAGTGCCAGAATCAGCTGAGAGGGCATCATTAAGCAGGAGGGGAAAAACTGCCTTTTATGGATAATGGTATCATAACACGTAGACAGCGATAGGCAGTCACAGCACAAAATGGCCACAAATGATGTCAAGTGATAAAGAAAAAAAAAGTTGAATATAATCCACTACTAGTAAAAACAAATTGAAATATACCTGCCTAAAATGTGGTACATTTTCATGAAAGAAGACAATGTTAATTTTAGTTGTATTTACATTAGAAACTATAAAAGTAAAGATATTAATTTTAATATGATAAAAATATGATGGAAGGAGAATATCATGAAAAACGTTTGTTTTGGTTTGTTTTTCCACACTTCTGAAACCCTTGATCTTCTCTAAATGCCTGAGCTTGTTACTCTTATACAGAGTTACTCAGGCTGCTAATGCAAACAATGACAGAGTGTTGCCACAGATGAGGCATTTCATCACCACTCTGGAACTAGAAGACTCTTGGACACATTTGGTTGGAAGCAGACGAACCCCTTTATTATATCCCCTCAGTAGGTATCTGACAGAAATCCCTATGGAGAGTCAGGACACTCTCTCATACACTGCTTTTCACATTACTGCTACTTGTAGCAGCTTCAACCCTGACCTTATTCATGTTACTAGTTTGAAATGCATGGTTATCCCCTTGATACAGTAGCCGGTGTCACTTGTTATTCACTTGTCTCTTCAAAAGAAAAGATTCAAACTATGAAACTACTAAAATAAAACATTAGGGAAACTCTCAGGACACTGGTCTAGGCAAGGATTTTTTGAGTAGTACCCCATGAGCACTAAGCAAAAACGGGATCATCTCAAGTTTAAAAGTTTCTGCACGCAAAGGAAACAATCAACAAAGTGAAGAGAAAACCCACAGAATGGGAGAAAATATTTGCAGACTATACACATAATAAAGGATTAATTACCAGAATATATAAGGAGCTCAAACAACTCAATAGGAAAATACCTAATAATCCAATTTTAAAGTGAGCAAAGCTGAATAGACATTTTTTTTTTTTTTTTTTTGAGACAGAGTCTTACACTGTTGCCCAGGCTAGAGTGCAGTGGCGCAATCTTGGCTCACTGCAAGCTCCGCCTCCTGGGTTCATGCCATTCTCCTGCCTCAGCCTCCCGAGTAGCTGGGACTACAGGTGCCCACCACCACGCCTGGCCAATTTTTTGTACTTTTGGTAGAGACGGGGTTTCACCATGTTAGCCAGGATGGTCTCGATCTCCTGACCTCGTGATCCGCCCGCCTCGGCCTCCCAAAGTGCTGGGATTACAGGCATGAGCCACCGTGCCTGGACTGAATAGACATTTTTCAAAAGAAGACAAACAAATGGTAAACAGATATACATAAAGGTGTTCAACATCACTGATCATCAAAACTACAATAAGATATTATCTCACCCCAGTTAAAATGGCTTTTATCCAAAAAACAGACACTAACGAATGCTGGCGAGGATGTGGAGAGGGAATCTTTCCATACTATTGATGAGAATGTAAATTAGTACAGCCACTATGGAGAACAGCTTGGAGGCTCCTCAAAAAACTAACAATAGAACAACCGTAAGATCCAGCAATCCCATTGCTGGGTACATATGCAAAAGAAAGGAAATCAGTATGTTAAAGAGTCATCTGCACTCCCATGTATACAGCAGCATTATTCACATCAGCCAAGATTTGAAAGGAATCCAAGTGTCCATCCACAGACAAACAGATAAAGAAAATGTGGTACATATACACAATGGAGAACTATTCAGCCATTAAAAAGAATGCGATCCTGTCATTTGCACAACATGGTTGAAACGGGAAGATATTATGTCAACTTAAATTAACCAGGCACAGAAACACAAACTTATGTGTTCTCACTCATTTATGGGAGCTAAAAATAAAAGCAATTGAACTCAGGGAGATAGACAATAGAATGATGGTCACCAGAAGCTGGGAGGGTAGTGGCAGGAGGGGTTGGAGAGGAAGTGGAGATGGCTGATGGGCAGAAAAATACAGTTAGAATAAATAGGATGGAGTATTCGATAGCACAACAGGCTAACTACAGTCAACAATAATTTATTGTACATTTAAAAATAACTAAAAGAGACTAATTGGACTGTCTGTAACAAAAAGGATTAATCCTTGAGACAATGGATACCCCATTTATCCTGATGTGATAACTACACATTGCATACCTGTATCAAAATATCTTATGTACCCCATATATATGTGTGTGTGTGTGTGTGTGTGTGTATACACACCTGCTATGTACCCATGAATATTAAAAATAAAAAAAATGTAAAAAGGAGATTCATTTTGGACATCATTTCACAGAAAAAAAAAGAAACAAAGTTATTGTTATAAGCTCCATAAATAAAACTCAGGTCATTGAGAAATGTAAAAATTATTTTGCTCTAATTAATATAGTATGTTTATAAGTGAGACATCACAATGACCCTGAAAAATACATTATGTGTTTTAGGTAAGGTTATTGATAAAAATATTCTCATAAATCTGGAAGACTCTATGTACCCCAAAAAGATGCTCTCAAAGAAAATGACAAAAAGCCTTTTCAAGGATCTCCATTTGTTCTTCTTTGCCCAGAGACATTTAGATCAGACTCCATATGAACTTGCACTAAATGGCAGCTCATGAAGGTACAGGAAAAGGGGAGGCTCGCTGTTCCTTTAACTGAGCATGCTTTGGAAAGCAACAACTCCCTCTTGCCAAGTGGAGGTGCTTAACAGCATAGGTAAACAGCATAGGTATACCTCCCATTAGAAAGACGACAGTCTTAAACTAGAACTCAGTTCTGGAGCCTCACTACTGGGCTCACAACTGAACTTCTTAGTTGTTAGATCCTGGGTGAGACCAAGGTTTTTGGGTAGGGCTGAGGTAATTATTGTGAGAGTCACCTGGGGTTTTCCAATATTTTAATATTAGTACAGGTATACCGGTGCCTATCAGTTGGGTACAAGACCTGCATCCATTATATTAATGAGCGGCCATCTGGGCTCTTTTACATCTTTATGGAGAGGGTATTTATCCAACAACGAAATCCAGTTAGCTTATGACTAATACCTAACTTACTGTTCACCTAAAATATTTGCCTGAAAGACCAAGAACAACTTTTATACCTATTTCTACCAATAACATTGTTTTCTATGTTTGCATTTCATTACTATAGTGGTTTGAAACTTTTGGAATGTGGATCCACAAATGGAACAACATTGTTTCTGTATTTAGATATTAGATAAGATGTAACCAGATTTTTGCCAACAGACATTTTGAAGCTATCTTGGAAGGCCATGCTATTTAAAGCATGCATGCTCTTTGGATTTCCCTTGTCAATTCTTTTATTGATATTAGAATAATATACAATATAATAATCTTATATTCATAAGCAATATTTCTCTAAGCCCTTTCCATGATTACGGATCATCTCATTTAACATTCACAATAGCTATGTAAATGAAAAGACTATAAGTTATTATCCAAAATGGAACATATTTTAAAGTGAAAGGAGAAAGCTAGCAGTAATTACTTCAGGACAATTGGCACAAACAGGGACTGTCCTTGGAAAACTATAATGGATGGTCATTCCACATATGAAAATTATTATTATTGTCATTTTATTATTATTGAGACAGTGTCTCACTCTGCTTCCCATGCTGGAGTGCAGTGACATGATCATAGCTCACTGCAGTCTTGAACTCCCAATTCAGCCTCTGGAGTAGCCAGGACTACAGGTGAGCACTACCATTCCTGGGTAATTTTTAAATTTTTCATAGAGACAGGTCTCGCTATGTTGCCCAGGCTGGTCTAGAACTCTTGAATTCAAGCAATCCTCCTGCCTTGGCCTCCCACAGCACTGGGATTACAAGGTAAACCACTACGTCTGGCCCCATGAAAATTATTTTATCCTAATCTGAGGAAACTAGGGCAGAAATGTTTCAATAATGTGCCCACATTCACGGCAGAATCAGGGCTGGCTCCCTGGCAGTCTGAGTTCAGAATCTCTCTTCTGAATCTCAAGGCTGGATGACTCTAGTGGAGTCAACATGATACAAAACACAAGGCAACTAGTAGTGACAATAAAAGGAGATGACAATTTTAATAATTTGCCTTCTTTGAAATATTCACTCCTAACACTAGTTTGAGCTGGGGAGTTAACTTTTTTGCTTGTGTTTAGATTTCACTTCAACATGCAGCTCTTTAAAAAAATAACGTCCCTCAATCATTCATGTTACGTTTTAACTAGACTCGGCAAGGAGTTAGCAGTCTCAGAATCATGAATTCATGAAAAAGATGAGCTTTTGTGAATGTATTTCTTGCTTCCTAAAAAAGGTCACATCTATTAAATATAAGGAGATAACATCGTTTTTAATAGTATTTCACACATTAGCAAAGGAATTTTTTATTAAACATAGTTATCAAATTTTTTGGAGTATTTTTAAATTTTTATTATTTTTTTGAAGGGCTCACCATAAATATGCAGGTAAAAATTCACTGTTCTTCCAATTCTGTAAAGATATCAGGATAACAATGGATTTGACAGATTATCTGAATTTTTTTAAATGACCCCTTTGAGGATACATTTTAGAACATTTGATGTTTTCTGTTCATTCTCTTCTACATGTAGCAGGCAGGCAAACCACGTCCACTTCTTATATATAATAATACATCCACATCTGAACAAAAAAGCAACATGAATATGAAATAACTGTGAACTAACGAAATGATAACCCGGTAGGAATGAAGATTAGCACAAGCAGAGAAAGGCTGGCACTGCCATGCAGCACAGCATTCAACATCATGGTGACAGCCCAGCCAGAGATTTTCAAAGTGTACACAATTCTGCATTGGTTAAGGAAAAAAAAAAAAAAAAAAAAACTAGGTTGGAATAGGAATTTATGCTGAAAAAAAAAAAAAATCCTTACACCTCAGGCTTGGAGTTTAAAGGATTAATAAACAAATGAGCTTTGCGAATATAAACTCTTTTCTGGAAAAAAAATGTTATAAACATTATTTCATTATCTTACCAACACTTCTGCTCCTAGATAAAACTCATCCACTACAAACATCTCTGCTGCTGATGAGCTAGGCTGAAAAGAAACTGGACCTAATCTTAAATCTGGGCCTAAAGGTCCTGACTTGGGAGAACAAGGGTAGATTCTGCCCCCTGTGCCACCAAGTATGGCTGAAATTCAAGGTGCTATCATCCTAAATGGACATTCCATTTGCCTCCCCCATGATTTGGAATGAAAATTACAGTTCTCAGGATTAACCTTGAAGTGAAAATCAACATTATCCCCATCCTCCCCTTCCTCCCTTCTTCCTCCCTCTTATTTCATTCTAACAACCACATGCGACTGCATAATGGGAGGACCAGTCACTACGGTCCTAACCTCACAAATTTCATCACCAATATCTATTTTTTAAAAGTGTCTCATGACCTCCACCTTTGCCTTTCATTAATTCCCGAATTAAATGTGTTTTATTTGCCTTGTTATATGTGTATATGTGTTCCTTAACAGGGTCAAATTCATGATTTGCACAATTTTCCCAAGAAGAGCACATAAACACTCTCATGCAGGTTTTGGCATCAGTGACACGGGCCCTTTAATGAAGGAAATTTGAATTTTCAGGATGTGCTCATATGCCACATATTCTTAAACCTCCCCAAATTAATACTGTGTAAGAATTTAGCAGTTAAAATAAAGTTTTAAAAAGGCAAGAAATTACAAAAACGAGAAAAAACAAAATCCAATGTATAAATTATATGATTCACTGCTAATTCAGCCAGGACATCTCAGAATTGCTTATCATTAGACAAAATATTTGCTTCAGATATGTTAATTTTTGAAAATTGCTTATCAGGATTTTGTTTTAATTAGTAGCCATAAAGTGCTACAAAGGGGTCTCTCCCCATTCAAAAATACTTTGTAAAAAATTAATAGAATATCTTTATAAGCATTTAAATCGATCAAAACTTATTTTCTAGGTAGCACAGTCAGCTATTTCATTTCTCTAGACCCTTGATAAAAGGAGAGTAATATTGGGGAAAATAGTTTGATCATATTAGTTACAAGTTAGAATTGGTATGAAGAATTTGTAAAAGAGCTAAATATTCTTTGCTAACTAAACAAACCAAGAATTTTTACTAGCTCAAAATTTTGCTAAAAAGACTTACAGTGTCTTAGTTGCATGTCATGCTTATTAATGTTTTGTTATTGTATGTGATGTTTCTAAATATAGGCAAATATATTCTATGTTCATAAAGTGGAAAACTCATTCAAATAGACCTTTTTTTTCCATACCAAAACTTCTATAATATTCAGATATCAGATTATAATATGGGGAATCCTGTTATGTTATGATATGGCTTAAAATTTACCTTAATATTTTTATGTGTCTAAAAGACTCAATCACACTTCTAGCATTGACATATTGAAAATAAATATTAGGTATTTGCTATCCAAGATGGCTTATACTCCTAGTTATTTGTATAAGGAGGAAGGCTTTCAGGTGAGTTTTACAAAAACAGGTACTCTAAACTACTAGATCACAGTTTCTTTGGGTGCGGCTCAAAATGCATACTTTAAAAAATCTCCCGTATGATACTGAGGTTCAAGCAGGTTTGAGAAGCACTGATATACATCATGACAGACCAAATATGTTTGCCTGTATGGCTTCCATTTGGTTTAACTGATGACCAGATACCAGATCCCAGAGGAAAATGTTTAGTTATACAGATGTCCAGATATATTCCAAACTGAAAAAAACTGTGAATAATTTACAATAAGCTAGAGTACTGCTCTTAAGATAGTTTGAGATTAGAGTTTTAGGTTGTAAATTTGTAAAACCACAGACATTTTGAGGAGGAATTCCAGTTCCTATTTTTAAAGATGAGGAAATTATTAAATAAATAATAGGCATTAGTTTTGTGTGTTTACAAATCACACATGCTCAAATGAGAGTGCACAAAATGAAAAGGCTATTTTTAAAATACCTAAGATAAACAGAAACAAAAAGCTTGAGTTATATCAGGTTGAGTCATTCAAAATGCATACATATTAGAGGCCATGCTTTTCACATCCTCCTTTGTGACCTTGGAGTGTTTAATTACAGCAAATGTACTTTGGCCCAGACTAGTTCCCACTTTAAATAGAGCAAGTATGAATTCGAGGTAATTCTCCATATGAATAACTGAACCCAAGATGTGTAGAACAGAATGGTATCTTAAAAAGGATAAAGTTTGGGCCCCTCGGTTAGAGGTGCATCATTTGTCCTCTTTATTATAACACTCAGACTTTACAAGAGTTTTCAACTTTTCAGGCTTTTCTTTTCTTTCCTTGATCTTTTCCTATCGTTTGAAACCTTTGAAACTCCCTCGTGAAACAGGCATTCATCATACCTTAGTTCTTAGACCATAAATCCAAAAAAAAATAAAGTGGTGAAAACTCAAGAAAAAAAAGAACGGTGTGTGTGTGTATGTGTGTTTGTGTGTGTGTAGGTGCAAAGAAGCATATTTATTTTTCCTATAGAGATGAGCCACTGTAATGGTTTATCCTAGTTATATGTTTATGCATACATACATATTTATATAACTTTTTGTTTTCCTTAATGCCTTTAGATGTAGAAATCATTTCCTTCTGTTTAGAACAAGTATATTATCAAGTTTTGTTATGCCTGTCTTACAGCTTGTGGTTGTATTGAAAAAGTACCCGATGAGCTCCCTAGAGAGGATACCTGTTCTGCTCTATCATTTTCAAGTTCATCCTAAAGATTTCTACCAAGTGTCAGGTGATCCAGTAAGCTCACAAATGCTCAGAAGAGCCTCTCTAAGTCAGGACAGCAACTAGTTCTCTTAATCACTTCGAGACAACTGCATAAACTGAATTCCATATGTTGAAAACAAAAAGAAAAGATTTAAGTCAAACGCAAAGTTTAGCTGATTTCTGTATGTGTATTCTATATTAACAATAGTTTGGCGGCACACATTTTCAAACTTAGCACCCTCCTGTTGCCACAGTCTGCTGACAGCCTCCATTTAGCTGTCTTTTGAGTCCACTGCATGGTAAGCTCCTCTCTGAGGCAAGCCACGAGGCCTTATTTGGTGATGACAGCTCAGTGGCTGGCTGGCTGGCTGGCACAGAAAATGTTTCTGAACTGAACTGAAATTTAGCAATCTCTAACACCTTTCACATGTGTTTTGGTTTAGGAGTCCCTTTGTAAGTCTGCTAGACACTATTTTTTTTTTTAAAATAATCGGGTTTCAAAAATGTCTCATCTGTGTGCTATAAACTCATTTAAACTTGGGAAACAATATTCTAATTAATAATAGGCATAAAATATAAAAGACTATAGAACGACCACTTAGCTTTTATTCAAATATCTTAGTTCTTCTAAAATAATCCTTTTAGTAATATGTATGCTTAGCAAATACGTATAGACTAGTGTTTTTATCCTACTTATTCAGCAATAATACTATTTCCAAGAATAAATGAACTATTGGTTAGTTTTTATGATTAAAGTAAACTATACCTATGACTATAAGTAAACTATGACCATGGTTTAATGGTATAAATTTATAATCATAAAAATATTTTTAATAAAAGATTATAAACCTTCTCCTAATGGCCAACTATTTTTGAATTTCTGCCTTAATATTTTGATGATACTTTTATTTCTTCCTCAAGACACATTACCATGTCTATCATGTCTCCTTTCACAGTGCAGCACCATCATATTTCCATTAACATGTGGCTCTGGACATACAATAGATCCAACTGCACCCCTTAAAACACAGCGGCAATGTGGTAGAGAAAACTGACTTAACATAGTAAAAACTATAGCCTGAGCTCTGCTCACCAAGCTGAGTATTACAGAGACATTATCCTGTTTCCATTTGATAGAGTTAAAGTGATCTCAATCAGAGAGCAAGATCTAAGCTTAATGGGTAAAAATTCAGAGTTGAGGTTTGAGATCCCAAACTGCCAAGGTCAAGGGCCCATGGTCATTACTCTTCTAGCAGTGACAGAAACAGAACGGATAAGTGCATTCAATCAAAAGGCATGAACAGCGAAGACGAGGCCACCCACACAAACATCTGTTTGCTCATGAGGTCCTTTTCATAGGATACCATAAAGACAGGTGTGGGGTTTGAAAAATTCTGTTTGGGGAGACCTACTGCTTGGTGAGTGCTTTTCTTCTGTAGTTACCTTCGAAGCATACTTTCAACAATTCTTCTTTAACTCATGTTTGTTTATTGAGTGCCAGTAATGTTGACATAGTTTATGTGTGACTTTAAATCAAAGGCATATTGAAAGAAATAATATGGATTTTCACTTAATTAACAAAGGCCTTTATCCAGTTGATCAAACATGAGAAAATGAGAACATACCAATATGAACATTCCTTTGCCATCCTGTTCCCTCACAACAGCACTACAGGGCAGACTTTCAGTATAAAACGCATGAAAAAAATGTTTTCTCCCCTGTTCAGAAAAACTTCGATTATTAAGAATTATTCCTAAAGCATCAGTTTATCTATTATTGAAAAGAAATACATATTTTTTATACATATAGAGTATTTTCACAGGGCAACAGCTTCTAGATCAACTAGTTCTGAAAACTTACTATATATATTACAAAATGATTCAGTTATTTATAATATATAATATGTTTCAGTTAAATTTGCCACTTAATAGCATGATATTACATATTTGCTTGCCATGGTTTTCAATATTCTAGACCTTCCTTTAAATAGTCCATAAAATGTCCAAATTTTAGAAGTTACTTCATTGTATATCTAAATCACATTTAATAAGAGGTTATTTGTGGCAATATGTCAAGTCAAACATATAACAAGGTAGATTTAAAACAAAACTGAGCACTGTTCACACAAATTAAATAGCTATGAATTTAAACATTTAAAGCCTTTAGAAGACTGATCTCAAAGGTTATAGAATGCAACTATGATTTAAATTGCAACATTTGTTATTTCAAAGAATATTTTTGCGTAAGTATTCTTCACCAACCATTGTACTAGGCTCTAAGAATACAGTGTTGAATTAAACAATGCATCTCAGATGATTTAACACATGCAAGTCTGGTTTAACATATGCAAGTCAATAAATGTGATACATCACATAAACAGATTTTAAAACCAAAATCACACGATCATCTCAACAGATGCAGAAAAAGCATTTGACAAAATCCAGCATCCCTTTATGATTAAAACTCTCAGCAAAATCGACATACAAGGTACCTACCTCAATATAATAAAAGTCATTTATGACAAACCCACAGCCAACATAACACTGAATGGGGAAAAGCTGAAACCATGCCATCTAAGAAATGGAAAGAGACAAGAATGCACACTCTTACCACTCCTCTTCAACATAGTACTGGAAGTCCTAGCCAGAGCAATCAGACAAGAGAAAGAAATAAAGGGCATCCAAATAGGTAAAGAGGAAGTCATACTGTCACTGTTTGCTGATGATAGGACCATTTACCTTGAAAACCCTAAAGACTCCAGAAAGCTCCTAGAACTGATAAAAGAATTCAGCAAAGTTTCCAGATACAAGACTAAGATACACAAGTCAGTAGTAGCTTGTGTACCAACAGCGACCATGCAGAGAATCAAACCAAGAACTCAACCACTTTTTCAATAGCTGCAAAAAAACAATAAAATACTTAGGAATATACCTAACCAAGGAGTCAAAAGACCTCTACAAGGAAAACTACAAATCACTGCTCAAAGAAATCACAGACAACACCAACAAATGGAAACACATCCCATGCTCATGGATGGGTAGAATCAATATTGTGAAAATGACCATACTACCAAAAGCAATCTACAAATTCAATGCAATCCCCATCAAAATACCACCATCATTCTTCACATAATTAGAAAAAACACAATTCTAAAATTCACATGGAATCAAAAAAGAGCCTGTATAGCCAAAGCAAGACTAAGCAAAAAGAACAAATCTTGAGGAATCACTCTACCTGATTTCAAACTATACTATAAGGCCATAGTCACCAAAACAGCGTGGTACTGGTATAAAATAGGCACACAGACCACTGGAACAGAATAGAGAACCCAGAAATAAACCCAAATACTTACAGTCAACTGATCTTCAACATAGCAAACTAAAACATAAAGTGGGGAAAGGACATCCTTTTCAACAAATGGTGCTGGGATAATTGGCTAGCCACATGGAGGAGAATGAAACTGGATCCTCATCTCTCTTCTTATACAAAAATCTACTCAAGATGGATTAATGACTTAAACCTAAGACCTGAAACTATAAAAATTCTAAAAGAGAACACTGGAAAACCCTTCTAGACTAAGGCAAGAATTTCATGACCCAGAACCCAAAAAGCAAATTCAATAAAAATAAAGATAAATAGTTGGGACTTAATTAAGCTAAAGGGTTTTGCACAGCAAAAGGAACAGCTGAAGCTGGAGAATTGCTTGAACCTGGGAGGCAGAGGTTGCAGTGAGCCAAGATCGTGCCATTGCACTCCAGCCTGGTGACAGAGCGAGACTCCATCTTAAAAAAAAAAAAAAAATAGCTCAACATCACTAATGATCAGGGAAATGCAAATCAAAACCACAATGGAATACCACCTTACTCCTGCAAGAATGGCCATAATCAAAATATTAAAAAAAAAAAAAAACAGTAGATGTTGGTGTGGATGTGGTGAACAGGCAACACTTCTACACTACTGGTAAGAATGCAAACTAGTACAGCCGCTATGGAAAACAGTGTAGAGATTCCTTAAAGAACTGAAAGTAGGACTACCATCTGATCCAGCAATCCCACTACTGGGTATCTACCAGGAGGAAAAGAATTCGTTATAGAAAAAAGGTACTTGCACAGGCATGCTTATAGCAGCACAATTCGCAATTGCAAAATTGGGGAACCAACCCAAATGCTCGTCAATCAACGAGTAGATAAAGAAACTGTGGTATATATATATCACATATATATATATACACACATATATATACACACACATATATATGTGATATATATATCACAGATATATATATCACATATATAGTAGTATTCCATCATATATATAGTAGTATTCCATCATATATATAGTAGTATTCCATCTGATATATATGTGATACATATATATGTGATATGTGATATATATATCACATATCACATACATATGTATCACATATATATGTATCACATATATATCACACATATATTACATATATATCACATATATATCATATATATCACATATATAATATGTATATCACATGTATATCACATATATATCACATATATCACATGTATATCACATATATATCGCATGTATATCACATATATATCACATATATATAAATGACAGACTACTACTCAGCCATAAAAACGAATGAATTAACAGCATTGGCAGCAACCTGGATGAGACTGGAGACTACTATTCTAAGTGAAGTAACACAGGAATGGAAAACCAAACTTTGTATGCTGTTAGTGATATGTGGGAGCTAAGCTATGAGGATGCAAAGGCGTTAAGAATGAGACAATGGACTTTGGGGACTTGGGGGGAAGAGTGAGAGCGGGTGAGGGATAAAAGACTGCAAGTATGGTGCAGTGTACAATGCTCAGGTGATGGGTGCACCAGAATCTCGCAAATCACCACTAAAGAATTTACTCATATAACCAAATATCACCTGTACCGCAATAACTTATGAAAAAATAAAAAATATAAAAAAGTAAAATAAAGAAGATAAAAACAATGTATCTCTTTCCTTAGAGTTTTTATTCAATATTTAACTTAACACAAGGGTTATTATGTTGTTACTAAAGTAATCTTAAATTAGCTAGTAATAGGGAAAATATATTAAGAAAAATAGGACACAATGTAGAAGAAAAAAATAAAGAAAAACAAAAGCCCCTCACCAACACCTTACAAGAAAGGTGTTGTAAGGAGGCTCTTACAAGAGCTTCCAAAATATGACAATTAGATAAAACTCAACTTACTCCCATAGATTCACATAGATGCAGATGATTCCTAACATATCACTCTAGATTCTCCATCTCTCCTGAGCTATGAAATTCTCATTTTCCCAAATGCCTACTCAATACCTCTTCTTGATTTTTCAAAGTTTCACTCCAACTTTGCATATGTTGACCAGAACTTACTAATTCAACTTCAGATCAGCTCTTTGCCTTGTCTGCCTTCTCCTGCAGAAGGTACCTTAATTTTCCCAGACACCCTGGTCAACATCTTTCACTTCCTCTCATTGTTTTTCCAGCTCTCCTCACATCTTTTTTGTTGCATTTCTTATTACCCTACATCACATATTAAACGGTTTGTTTTATCACTTGAAATGATTTCTTAAATGTTTTTACTAACCAATCTTAATCATTTGTGGCATTTACATACACTCTGGTGCAGTATTAATTTTTCTAAAATGAGTTTCTTTAAATCCTCCTTTATAGTTAGCTTTGTGGTCTTAAAAAGGTCACTTAAAGCTCTGAGAAATAAATGTATGGAAGTAAAATGGTATCTAAAATCTCCTTGTTCTTTAAAACTCAACGATTCTGTATCTGTCAGAGATACAGAAACTTTTTTTTAAAGCTTCACTCCTATGTATATTAAATATACAATTAGACTTAATAACACTTAGCTAACATCTGTAGCCATATCCTCCATGACACCCCTAAATGGTACTGGCCTATTAAACTACTTACTATTCTACTAATATATTCCAATCATTGTATCCTTATGTCTCTGTTTTTACTGTCTCATTTATCTGGAATATCCTTTCTCAATCATCTTTCCATCTTTAAGAATGCATATCAAGTCCGGGTGCGGTGGCTCACGCCTGTAATCCTAGCACTTTGGGAGGCCAAGGCAGGTGGATCACTTGAGGTCAGGAGTTCAAAAGCAGCCTGGCCAACATGGCGAAACCCCGTCTCTACTAAAAATGCAAGAAAAAAAAATTAGCCGGGTGTGGTAGTGGGCACCTGTAATATCAGCTATTCGGGAGGCTGAGACAGGAGAATCACTTGAACCCGGGAGGGGGGGTTACAGTGAGCAGAGATCGCGCCATTGCACTCCAGTCTAGACAAAAGGGCGAGACTCCATCTCAGAAAAAAATAAAATAAAAAAGAATGCATATCAAATACCAACATTCTAATGAAAGAATTCTTGGTTTCTTTCTTCAATGACCAGAATATTTTGTTTATATTTATTTTGTGGCATTTGATCTTTCAGAAGATAATTCCTTACATTATAGTTAACAACAGTAAATATATTAAGAGGATGTACCATAGTTTTCTTCTTTTGTCTATCACTTGTAGTGCCTAATTCAATGTTTTGCATAAAGTATTAAATAAGCATCGTTTAAATAACCTTTATGTAAATATTGGAATGATATGACTTGTCTTATTAGAGCAGGATAAAGATCCAACAGTGTTTTCAGATATGTGTTTTCAATTAATTTGCATAAAACTCTATTATATAAATCACAGATTTAATTTGCATATAAGGAAACTGATTCTCAGGGAAGTTAAGTAATTTGTCAAGATTATATCCCTAGATGTTACCACTTAGGCCTGAGACTAAAAGACAAACTATCTTCTGAGGGGTCCAGTGTCTTCTATAATATTATGGTAAAAATTCAAATTAAAAAAATATTTACACAATAAAAACCATACTTTAAGAGTTTCCTAGTTTAATGAAAGAGCTAGAATCAAATCTTTCAACACGGTAATTTTTACTTTTAATTATCACATTTTTATTTTCTTAAGAAGTAGCTCAGCAGCATAAGACAGGGCAAAAAATAAATAAATAAAAAATAAAAAAAAGAAGTAATGTGTCACTTGGTTAAGGCATGATTTCTCAATGAAATCTGTAATGACGGCTATGCATAATTATAATCTGCACTCCAGAAAGGTGCCACAATAGCTGGAGAAGGTGTTTGTTTTGACTGAAAGCTGTCTATGCATTCCAAAGAAGCAAATAGTAACTTGGTGTTGAGAGAGCTCATTCCCAGAGCTTCTTACAACTTAATAGTAATTTTAAAAAAATCATTCAACATAAGGGCATTTAAAATATATAGAACATTTCATTTGCATTTACAGGCACTGCCATTTTGCCATAAGATTTTTCTGATGAAAAAATTAAGAATATAAGCTTCCCATAAAAGGTAAGTTGTTGAGCCTATATAGCTTAAAAACGGACATATTTTCTGACTACATGTGCGTACAGAAAATACAGAGAGCAATACGAGGCTGAAATTGTGGAAACAATGGAGCCTGTGAGTCAAGAAAGTTGAGCAAGTTTTAGGTAGAGAAAAGTGAGAGAGAATTCTAGGGAAGAGTTTCGATTGCACTGCCTATTGGGATAATCCCTATTTGGACAGCATTTGTTTAAATATACAAAATACACAACAAAATTACCAATTGAACATGCAATTATGGGTGTTCATAATAATATTTTCTGATTAATGGTTGTAGAAAAAGACTTTATAATAATCAAAACATACCTTTTTAAAACAAACAGAAAATATCTATGTTGAAGTATACATAAAATAGATTTCTTTCTTTTCTTCTATTTTTTCTTTTTAACTTTTTTTTAGAGACAGGATCTTGCTATACTGCCCAGACTGGTCTAGAACTCCTGACCTAAAGCTATCCTCCTACCACAGCTTCCTAAAGTAGTGGGATTACAGGCATGAGCCACCACTCTCGGCCTAACAAATTTCTTTATATTGGGCCCCACATACTGAGCAAAGTGCCAATATTTCAAAATATTACAGTTTGGAAATCCCTAATAAGTAGTGATGTTGTAAAGTTAACTCTGTCCTCTTTTTTCTTCAATGCTGAGTCCTTTGACCTCTTCGTGTTTCCCTGTCTTGTCCTAGATGCTCAGTGAAATTTTGGAAACTGCTAGTACAGGCAGGGTGCATGCCATAGTACTAAAGTCAGGGAGGAACAGCAGGGCACACAGTGGTATCATATAATGCTGGGTGAAAGTTTATCATTTCTTTCTATATCGATATGTATAAATCATACACACACACACACACACACATTAACCTCTCTGTGTGGAAAAAGTCATGAGAAGGAAACACTCAAAATCTTTACAGACAAAATATGTAATGCAAATGAGTCAAGCAAGCCAGGAGAGACTACAAATTGATGATCAATTGGAACTGAGTCTTGGTCTCAACATCAGGGAAATGATAGGGCATGACAAAGACAGTTGAAACCAGAAAGCATATGCTCTGTCTAAAGAGGATGGCCATTTTTAGCTATTGTAGTATCTTGTGCTGCTAGATTTTCTAATTTTTAAAAGAAAACCAGATGACTTAATTGTATTATGAAATCTTGCAATTTAAAAGTATTGACAACAAATTCCTTGTTTTTAACAATGTAGATCAAGCTACACATGTCAGTGGGCCAATATGTCTGTAAGCAGGGATTGCTGACTTCTGGAATAGAGTATGGTGCATGTCTCTCTCCCAGGAAGACAAAAATAATGGCAGACTTGAGAAAGCATGAAGAATATATTCCTTTCCTTCATATATCCTTCCCTTATATTTTATTTCACTTTATTTTTATTCATTATTTTTTTCTGAGACAAGATCTTACTCTGTCACCCAGGCTGGAGTGCAGCGATGCAGTCTCAGCTCACTGCAACCTCCACCTCCCAGGTTCAAGTGATTCTTGTGTCTCAGCCTCCCGAGTAACTGGGACTGTAGACATGAGCCACCACACCTGACTAATTTTTGTATTTTTTGGTAGAGATGGAGTTTCACCATGTTGGCCAGGCTGGTCTCGAACTCCTGACCTCAAGTGATCCGCCTGCCTCAGCCTCCCAAAGCCTTGGGATTACAGGTGTGAGCCACTGCACCCGGCCCCTCCCTTATATTCCAAAATACAATGCTGATTATTAATATATTATTTAATCATGTTTGTAACCAGAGGATGACCATATACTTTCCTTTCTCTATAAGCAAAAATATTCATGAAATTCATACCAAAATTTGTTGTTTGGGGTAGGGGGAGGAGGGGGATTATAGTCTGGAGAAATTCCACAAGTAGCAGATTGCAGGAAACCACAGCTGATTACTGTGTGGTTATACAGCCCATTACTGAGGATATACCAGGTGTCATGAAAGGAACTGGGGCAAACAACCAAAAACATTTTAGAAAACAATTTATCTGTAAATTAGGACTTGCCCACATTAAATGCATAACGAGGTTTTCTTTTCAAAGGAAATGCTGCATTATAATACCAAAATGCATACTTAAAATTAGACATCTCAGCAAAGATTATTTACTAGTCCTAAAAACCTAAATTAGGTATATATTTAAGAGCATAATATGCCTTACATATTGTAATGGAATAAATTATGGGTAACTACAATTTTAACTACAATGAGGATTGTGGCGATTTATTTAAAATCCTGGTGTTCCAAATCAGCACAATTTTTAGTCGCTGGAATGAATGAACTAGAATACCTCCCTACTCCTCTTCCACACACACAGATTTGGCAGTGCTTGTAAGTGATCACTTATGAATTTAATGTTCATAATTAGCTGTAATTAGCTAGCAAGATGTTAATGAAAACGTGTTTGTTAGCAGCAAGGAAAATCAGCATCTCATTACAAGACAAGCAGGGATTTCTTGGTGTGTAAATCTATTTGCTCGTAGATTGGTTCTTAAATGTTAAAGATACAAATTTGCTGTGTGCCCTTTAATATTTATAGCCCATAACAACTCTCACAGAAGAAGTAAAAATGTGTAGTAGGTGATGTTTGTCTACCCAACCCCATTTCCGTTTCTTACATTCTTCTTTGCTTTTCCAGAACTCACAACAGAGCCATTCAGGGTTAATGGGAAAGGAATTCATATTTATTGATATTCTCCATGCCAGGCACTGTGGCAGGAGTAAAGTGAATCAGAAGAGCCATAAGCACCTAAAATAGCTTTTTGATTAACATGTTTTCCTCCTGTCAGTGTTTAGAATTATAAAATTGTATTGCTAGATTTTCTTTCTCCTGTTCCTGAGAGCACTATTTGTTTAACAGCATTTTTCTAGTTTCTGGGGTTCAGACCTCAGTATCACCCTCAACCCTTACTCCCTCATTCCTCAAACCAAAAAGGGCTGGGTGTCTTATGGAAATCTCTTACTCATTCTGGAATCTTCCTGACTTTAACTCCAACTTCAGGTACTTCTACTTCCTGGCTACTTTTCCAGACATTACTTTCTCTGCTCACCAATTCTTCCTTTGCCTTATTACCAAAGTTTATCTTCTTATGGAACAGATGATCAAAAACTTCATGCTCAAAAATGTTCAGTCTCTTTTTCTGTCTCTTTCTCAGGGTAAAAGTCTTGCCTATAATTGGTAGGGTCCACTGTCCTCCATGCTCTGTCTGAACTTCTCTCATCTTATGTTTCCACTGCACGGCTTCTTACTGTGTGCTACATGAGCACTCCTAGTCATTATGCAAACAGATTACCCAGGGCCTTCTTTCCCCTATCTGCAATTACCTTGCCCCACCTGAGTGGGAAGACAATACCCTTCTCATGTGTCCAAAGTCCATCTGAAAAGTTCCTTTCTCTTCCATGCCTTGTCTGATGCCACCAATGAATCATATTAACCATACTGACTTTTTAAAAAAGTCATCATTTATATTCAGCACATCCATTTGTTAAACAGATTTTCTCCCTTTTATCTAAAGCAAGATTTTGCTTCTCTTTTTAAACAGATAAATCAAACCTTGGGCATGCTAAATGACTTAATTGGGGTCTCACTGCCATTTAGCTGCAAAGCGAATCCTCCTTGAAACTAGCCTCCTATGCTACCATAACGACAAACACTAACACAGACAGGGCGTACCACGTATCAGAGATGTTCTAAGTATTTTTACATGTGTTACTCAATTCTCACATCAAATCTGGAGGAACACCTATTTTACAAATGCTTAAACTGACGCATAGAGACATTCAGTTGGTTGCCCAAGGTCATGCAGCTTATATAACATTGAACCAAAATGAAGCATGGGGGTTTAGCACCAGAGCCCACATTCTTAACGTTTTGCTCTGAGATTTGTATTTTAAATGAGCACAGCAGAAAGAGACACTTTAAAGAAAGTCTCTCTAGAGGTAGAGTTTAGACACTTGTGCCTTCTGGCTAGGAGGGAGAAAGAACTCCCCTGAGCCCTTCAAATCGCTCCAGAGATGCCACACCTCCCTGCTTTATATGAAAGGACTGCCTTAAAGGAATGTGTATTTTTGCCTGACTGAGTTTAGACCTTAATACTGGCCCTCTGAACAAGATTTGGCCACCTTTAATTTACGTTCCTCTATAAAAGTCAACAGAGTTTCTGGCTGTAAATTTGTCATGCCTTACTAATGAGCTAAATTGTGTTTTCTGTCAGTGTTCCATTTAAATTGATGTGACCTCATTCATTAGCACATATGTATTTATAGTTGTAAGAAATGCACGAAGGTTTCAAAACCTTCTGCCCAATAAAAAAGTCAAGAGGGGAGCGAGTAGGAGAGTTGGTAAAGATATGCAGGAAAAGAAAGAAAAACTAACTTTATTTCCTCTAACCTTCAGTACAAAATAATCTTTCTAATACACAATTTTAATCCTGTTACTTCCTTGCCTAGAGACCTTTAATTTTTCTGCCTTGACTGCATGATCTGTTTCATATTCATGGCTTTGTATGTAAAGCTTCCTATAAAGCTAGCTCAACCCTATCCTTCTAAATATAACTCCCATTCAAACATTATGCTAATTTATTGATTTGCTTATTCTAAAATGTATACTGAGTACCTACTGTGCTTCAGACACTGCTCGAGGTGCTGAAGGGTATTAACCCATTTATGCCAGACAAATTTTTGAATTTTTCCTATCAGACCTTGGCGATCACCTTGAGCAGTAGGATATAAATAACTCCCACCTGCTTATCGTTCCAATAATGGAACACTGGGCATAAATGCTTAAGGTGGAAGTCTCTGCCCTCATGGTGCTTATATTTTAGTAAACAATAGGTGAGATCATTTTAGTGTTTGATATGTATTTATAAAGCAACAGTTCTCAAAAATTTCGGTCTCAAGACCTATTTGCATTATTAAAAATTGAGTACCTCAAAGAACTATTTTTTGGTCTATGTTTATTATTTATCATAGTAGAAATTAAAATTGAGGGAAACCTTAAATATGTATTAATTTATTAAAAATAACCATAAAATGCATTACATAGTAATATAAATATAAAAATTTCCTTTTTCACTACAAAATAACCTAATACACCATTTTAATCCTGTTACTTCCCTGTCTAGAGACCTTTAATTTTTCTGCATGATAATTTGACTGCATGATCAGTTTCATATTCACGGCCTTGTATGCAATGTTATAAAAATAAGGGTATTTTTACAAAATTAGTGAGAAGAGTGGCAATATTTTACGTTTTTCTCAGAATCTCCTTTTGTTGTTGTTGTTTTCAGACAGAGTCTCGCTCTGTCACCCAGGCTGGAGTGCAGTGGCGCAATCTCGGCTCACTGCAACCTCCGCCTCCCAGGTTCAAGCCATTCTCCAGCCTCAGCCTCCCAAGTAGCTGGGACTACAGGCACGCACCACCGTGTCCAGCCAGTTTTTTTCTATTTTTAGTAGAGACAAGTTTTCACCATGTTGGCCAGGCTGGTCTCAAACTCCTGACCTCAGGTGAACCATCCACCTCAGCCTCCCAAAGTGCTGAGATTACAGGTGTAATCCCAAGAGGGGGGTGAGTAGAAGTTATATTTAGAAGGATTACATCTCTTTAATGTCTGTTTTAATAGAAGATTGCTGAATTCTCGGCCGGGCGTGGTGGCTTACGCCTGTAATCCCAGCACTTTGGGAGGTCGAGGGGGGCGGATCATGAGGTCAAGAGATCCAGACCATCCTGGTCAATATGGTGAAACCCATCTCTACTAAAAATAGAAAAATTAGCTCAGCATGGTGGTGCGCACCTGTAGTCCCAGCTACTTGAGAAGCTGAGACAGGAGAATCGCTTGAACCCAGGAGGTGGAAATTGCAGTGAGCCAAGATCACACTACTGCACTCCAGCCTGGCAACAGAGCGAGACTCTGTCAAAAAAAAAAAAAAAAAAAAAAAAGATTGCTGAATTCTCATATTGCTTCTGTGTTCAGTATATTGCAATTTCACCTGTCACATAGCTTTTGGAAAACTCCACTATACATTCATGAGAATGAGAGTGAAAAAAAAAAAAAAAAAAAAGAAAGCCACATCTTACTTTTGTTGTGAAACTAGTTTTGACCTTGTGGACCCCCTGAAAGATCCTGGGGGCTTCAGGGATCCCCAGACCACGCTTTGAGAACTACTGGAAGAAGGGAACAAAGGGCAGGTGAAGGGTCAAAACTAAGTAAAAGCTAAGCTGAGTTCAGAAGAGTTGGAAGGACCAAAAACAACTCTAGGCATAAAAAGCAAAAAGCGTACAGGGCCCAAAGTAGGCACCAGCTGGAAAAATGGAGAACTTGAAGAGAGCCACTGTGGTGAGACTGTGGTGAGCAGGGAAAAGTGTGGTATAAACTGGTTGCAGAGCAGGCACAGCCAGACTGTGCAGGGCAAACGTCATAAACTAGTGGCCTGTGGTTCTAATCTGGACATCTGTCTTGCAGATGTTTCGAGTTTGTTTGCACAGTGCTTTATTACTATCTTTATGACAATGATGATGATGATGACAATGATGATGACGATGAGATACTTGAGTCAATTTTTAAGTGGAGACTTTGCCTAAAAATCTGGATTTCTGGATTCTCTTAAACGAATCAAATCATCAGGCAATACTAGGCCCATTTCTATGTGGGGCAAGGAGAACTGAGTAACATCTAGTGCATTAGAGGAAGCCGTAGTCTCCACCATCCCTATTGCATTTTCAGAGTTGAAGCTCTCTTCATTGCCATTCCTCTTGGCCTAAGTCACTTATTAAAGTCACTATCCTCACTGCACAAACTTGTCGTATGCATCAGACCTCTAGGAGGGCCTTTTGTAGTGTTTCGTTTTTGATTTTAAGTGAAATGAGAAAATCTTTGAATTGTGGTATGCAAGGGAGTGATACTCTCATTTCCATTTTTAGAAGACTTCCAGTTGTTGCATGGAAAACAGTTTGTGCACAGGGGCAAGGGTAGAAGCTCTAGTTAGGATGTTCACTGTGCTCTGGCCTCTCCTAGCCTTATTTGCACCATTAGGAGTTATGTTGTTGTTCCTGTTTTTCCCATGCTGAAAGCTCTTCCTCCCTCTTGCAACTCAACTTACCTTCTCTTCTTTCAAGATCACCTCAAAGCCCTTTTTTGGAGTGGAGACAAAGGTGTAAGGTGTCCCAAAACCCCAAGTGTTCCTGGCCTGAGGCATTTACTGTACTCCTTGTTTATACTAACAACTTATAATCAATGGTTTTGGAGCTTTTCACAGTAAGTTATCTCATCCATTAGACTGTAAATTCCTTGAGGGCCTGAACTCAACTGCTCTTATCTCCTAGAATTGACTGCTCCTAACAACCCCAACAAGATAAATCATAACAATTAGCAGTGGTGTTTACAGCATTCCAATTCCTTAGGTGCTTTTCTCACATGGTCTAGGCTTTCAAAGTCCTTTGCATACTGGTTGTTAGGCAGGGTTTTGAGAAATTATCAGAATTATATCCATGTGATAAGTAATTGTTTTTACAGCAAGGGTACGACCTTTTCTATGTTCAATGCATTATTTAAAAGACCATAGCAAGTTATTTATTTATTTATTTATTTATTTATTTATTTATGAGACGGAGTTTCACTCTTGTTGCCCAGGCTGGAGTGCAATGGCACGATCTTGGCTCACTACAACCTCCGCCTCCCAGGTTCAAGCGATTCTCCTGCCTCAGCCTCCCAAGTACCTGGAATTACAGGTGTCCACCACCACACCTGGTTAATTTTTTGTGTTTTTAGTAGAGACAGGGTTTCACCAGGTTGACCAGGCTGGTCTTGAACTCCTGACCTCAGTTAATCCACCCACCTCGGCCTCCCAAAGTGCAGGGATTACAGGCATGAGCCAGCGCGTCAGGCCCATAGCAAGTTATTTACTCTTCTCTCTTAGTTTCTTCATCTGTAAAATGGTGTTTTAAAAAAATAGCACTTTAGAGGCTGAGGCAGGTGGAGCACGTGAGGTCAGGAGTTCGAGACCAGCCTGACCAACAAGATGAAACCCCAACTCTAGTAAAAATACAAAAATTAGCTGCCAGGTGTGGTGGCAGGTACCTGTAGTCCCAGCTACTCGGGAGGCTGAGACAGGACAATTGCTTGAACTTGGGAGGCGGAGCTTGCAGTGAGCAGAGATCACGCCACTGTACTCCAGCCTGGGCGATGGAGCAAGACTCCGTCTCAGGAAACAAAACAAAACCAAAAAAAAAAAACACCTTCCTCATAGGTTGTTTTTTCCTCATAGGTGAGGAATAAATTAGATTGTACATACTAAGTGTTCAAGTCTTTTTAACTGGATGGTTGCGTGACAAATACCAGCAACATGATTCTTAGATGCTTGTCCCTGCATACAAAAGAAATAATGACTATGTCTGCATTATTCAAAATCAGAAAAACTGTGACATTTCCAAAGTTCTCCCTACTAAAGGGCATATAGAAGCTTACTTCCATTTGCTATATTAATTTTTTAGTATCAAAACTAGTTTCAGTGCACTCAGTATATATATTACTTAAAGACACATTTCTGGGAGAAATTTATGATTAACCAATTAATGTGGAGTAGTCCCTCCTTGTTGGTAGTTTGGCTTTCCAAGGTTTCAGTCGCCCTTAGTCAAGCACAATCGGAAAAAATTAAATGAAAAATTCCAAAAATAAACAATTTACAAGTTTTAAATTATGTGCTGCTCTGAGTAAGGTCATAAAATCCCCCTCCATCCAACTCCATCACACTAGGGAAACATGCTTTTGTCGAGCATATCCACTACCCGCCTATTACTCACTTAGCAGCCTTCTGGGTGATCAGACTGACTGCAGAAGTATCTCAGTGTTTGTGATCTAGTAATCCGTACTTTACTTAATAATGGCCCCAAAGTGCAAGAGTAGTGATGCAGGCAATGTGGATATGACAAAAAGAAGCTGTAAGTGCTTCTTACACGTGAAAAGGTGAAACTTCACAATAAGAAAAGAAAAAAAAATTATATGCTGAGATTGCTAAGACCTACAGTAAGAACACATCTTCTATCGGTGAAACTGGGAAGGAAGTTAAAAAAAAAAATGTGCTAGTTTTGCTGTCACACCTCAAACTGCAAAACTTATGGCCACCGTGCATGATAACTACTTAGCACGGAGAAGGTATTAAATTTGTGGGTGGAAGATGTGAACAGAAAAATATTCCTACTGATGGAAATCGAGTTTGCCACCATGCACGGTCTCAGGCATCTGCTGGGGGTCTTTGGAACACATCCCCTGCAGATAAAAAGGGACTACTGTATTAATAATTCCTCTAATCTATTTTTAGTAACTTTAGAATTTTAGATATTCTTATATTATCTGGTTTAGCATCAAGCTCCATAATAAGTGTATTTAAGTATATACTTATTTAAGTATATTAAGTATTTGCATACTTAAGCATTTAACTTAAGTATTTCAGTATGGTGCCACTCTTCTATACAGGCAGGTTGAGTGTTTTAAAGAGGTATATAAGATGGCACAGGGAAAAGCACAATGATTAAGAACAGAGACTCTGGCACCAGATGGCTTGGTTTGAGCCCTGGATGCTCTACCATTTGTTTTGTGTCACAGCTAACTTCTCTGTGCCTCATTCGCCCCATCTATCAATTGGAACTAATAACAGTATCTAATTTACTGAGTTGTTTTAGAGATTAAACAAGTTGTAGTAAAACATTTGCAAAGTGTGTTCCCAAATAATGAGAATGTTACCAAATTATTTAAGAAACAATTAAAATATAAATTATACTGCTTTCTCATCATTAAAATATTTTTCAAAATTACTTAAATCATTAAATAGTTGCCTCTGCATTATAAAATAAAGCCCTTTGATAATATTTAAATTAGGCCACAATGAAAGTCCCATGAATTCTTCAATTTGTCAATCTGATTTGTCACATGCAAAATACGTATTCTTAAGCAGCGTGAAAACACTTGTCAGTAAATTGAAAATGCTGCTGGTCTCCCAAACCTCTCCTTTCTCTGCTCTTTCCATCACTGCATTGCTCCCAGCAGTTCTCGGGGAATTGCTTTCAGGGTCACGCCAAACTGGACCCAAGAGATTCCAATAATTACATCCCAGTGGTGTTGACATTCAGCTTTGTCCCACAAGCTGCTGAAGACAGGCAGGGCGCCATCTGTCATGTTAGATGGTCACTAGTTAACGATAAGTGGTGGAGATTACTTTTCTGACATTCTACAGTTTGCTTCTGAGTCAGCCTTGTAAAGTCTGGAGCAATTAAGAGTTATCTTGGGAAAAGATCATAGCAAGACTATGAGTACACATTGATAATATAGAATTACAAAATTGAAGGCACAGTATCACAGGAAACATGCATACATCACTCCTAATCACACTACACACTTTTTCTACAGTGGCAACCACATACTTTTAACAAGTGCCCTAATTTATTATCTATTCTGAGACACAACATTTGTTAGTCATGCCTACTGAATTCTTCAAATTTGGAATGCTTTGCCTCGTTCTCCTTTAACTGCCAAGCTCTTTGTAACCTGAAGATCTCTAACTTCAGCAGAAACACTTTCCTTTATAGTGAAAAAAAAAATTAATCTCTGTAAAGATTAATCTCAAGTGTGATTTAAATTACCATACTCCCTCATGTAGTCTCATCTTAATGTTTTCATGCCATTTGGCAATAGTGGTCACTATACTTCAAACAGTATTTTATCTACATTTCTTTAAAATATACTTATCAGTTGAAAGATGGAAAAAAAGAAAATACATTCACCTGGTTTTCCCCCTTTCTTGTCCATGTGGACACAGTTGTAGTGACCATATAATTCAATATTTTCTCATCTAGTCTTTGGTTATGCAGTGGTAAGAAAATTGATTGTAATAAGGATTTTATATTTTTAATTTTTTTTTCAGAGTATAACTTTTGAAATGGAAGAGATAATTTCTGACGTGTGAGAATGGATGCACTAGAGTTGGAAGCAATATGACTGAAGAAGGCAAAACTCCTCCCAGGTGATTCCACATCATGAATTCCCACTCAAGGTGAGCTTATTTATTACTTCACTTCAACTCACACCTTCAGTTAAAGTTTTGTATTGACAACTTAAAATTTATCTCCTTCATTTAAATTTAATTACACTTTGTAAGTTGAGCCTCTTCCATTTACATGAATTTCTTACTTGTTTCAAGTCCCATAGAATAAAAAAAATGAGGCCGGGTGCGGTGGCTCACACCTGTAATCCCAGCACTTTGGAAGGCTGAGGTGGGCGGATCACCTGAGGTCGGGAGTTTGAGACCAGCCTGACCCACTCGGAGAAACCCCATCTCTACTAAAAATACAAAATTAATTGGGCTTGGTGGCGCATGCCTATAATCCCAGCTACTTGGGAAAGCTGAGGCAGGAGAATCGCTTGAACCTGGGAGGCGGAGGTTGCGGTGAGCCGAGATTGCACCACTGCACTCCAGCCTGGGCAATAAGAGCAAAACTCCGTCTCAAAAAACAAACAAACAAAAAAGAATTAAAAAATGAATATAATTTCACAAAGACTGACACTGGGACACTGAGGTAATCTGGAAAGTTTTATATTATAAGCTATAAAGGACAAAGTAATTGAAAGTATGGGGGTGGTGAGAGAGGAAGTTAGCTTGGGCACTGGGATACAGGACTGTCATTTACTGGATACAAAACAAGGAAGAGAAAGGAGTTTGGTGAAAGGAGTGAGTGGGGATCCAAGTTAGATATCTTAAGTCTGAGGGTGCCTATGGCTTGTGGATGTTCAATTAGGTGTCCAGTACACCTAATACAATATTTTTCTTGCATATAAAAATATTGGGTTCAGGAGGGAATTAGGGACTAGAAATACACCTGGAAAAGATCACAGCATAAAGATAGTGATGGAAGCCTTGGCAGTGATGAGATTGCCCAGAATGTGGAGTGTGATCCTAGAGACACTGATATTTAAGAAGATACATAAAGATGAATTCAAAAATATTAGAAAAAAAAGTTGTTATAGAGGTAGGAAATGATGTGAAAGAATACTGTAATTAAAGCTAAAGAAAAGAGTATTTTCAAGAACAGTGGCCCATGTCAAATGTTACACAGTAATCAAATCGGATAAGGGGTGAAAGTATTCTAATGTGGCAATGAAGATGCAGAGGTCCCTTCATTGAGGTAGTGGTGAAGAACCCCAATTGTAGAGGCCTGGAAACCAATGAAGAGGAGAGGATGTACAAATACCAGATACAGAAATGCAGCCAAAGTGCTTGCTACCAAACAAGAGAAGGCAGCAACTGCTAGAAAATTGAACCTAGGAAGGATTATTAAAAAAAAAATAAAGAAAAACAATGGGAGATGTCTGAGCATACATTAATGGAAAATGGAAATGGGCATCTGAGCAGGACTTCCTGGAGGTAGACAAGAGGGACAAATAAGTGATGGAACAAAGTTCTTTTAGAGACAAAGGATGAAGAATTCCAGAACATGAGGAATGAAATAACCTTCACAAAAGGGGCATGTGATTCTTTTCAGTCAGCAGGGTAAGGGGCAAGAGAGATGTGGGTGTAGTAAGGTTGTAGGCACCTGATTGTCCTCTCAAGATGCTGCACAAGAATTGGGAGGGGAAGGAACACAGATTCTAACATACAACATTCTGTGAAACCCTCCCTTCAGTCCATGCATTCAGTTATTCATGGAATTTAGCTACTCATTTCCCTGAGTTATGCTATAGAGTCTATGTTACAGCCTGCAGCTATATATTTAGTATCTTATACTTAGCTTATTAAGCTTTAGCTTAATAGCTTTCATATCATATTCAATATCTTATATTTAGTGATATATTAGCTTTTGTTGAGGTAATATATAACTAAAGTTTTAGTGTAAAACACCAACATAGAATAAGCATAACAGGAGGCAAACCACAGAGGTTAGGTGGTATTTAAAATTAGTTTGAACAAGTGACCAAACCTCTTCAGGGTGACATGGAGCAAACAATCTTACAAGGTTTCTCTGTGACGTTTATAGAATTTCCAGTTCTCTTCTTTATAGGAGACCCATCACGGTACCAACGAAATGAGATGTGCCTTTCAACCCAATTCCTCTTTTACTTTAGCTCCTACTACTCATTCTCTCACTCACTCTGCTGGCGTTCTTCCCAGAATATGCTAGAAATTCTCCATCACACCTTTGGGCCTTTGCTCTGGCTTTTTCCTCTGTCTGGAATGCTCTTCCCACAGATATCCCCTTGGTTAAGTCCCTTATTCCATTCAAATCTTTGCTCAAATCTCAACATCTCCAGGAGGCGAACCCTGACTACCATTTAATACCACAGTCTGCCCTTTCCCCATCCTTGCAGAACACCATTAACCTACTCTGTGTTTTCTTGTCCACAGTACCTATCATTGTTTAAGATAGTGAATAATTTATTCATCATGTTTAGTGTTTTTTATCTGTCTCCTTCCACAAGAATATAAGATTCACTATAGTACAAGTACTTGTTCTGTTCAAAGATGTATTCTGAGTCTCTAACTCAGTATCTGGCACATAGTGCTAAGTATCTGTTAAATGAATGAATGAATTTGATGCTGTGGTGATTCTCACTATGTTTAAAAATCATAGTGGTTGCTTATCTTAGAAATACATGTTGGACAATTTACAGAAATTTTTCAAAATATCTATGCCTGGGGGGAAATGCAACTGAAATGTGTTCACTTTTACTTCCCTCCATGTATACGCCATAATCTTACCCAAAAGCAAATCACAGGCTGGGAGTGGTGGCTCACGCCTGTAATCCCAGTACTTTGGGAGCCCAAGGCAGGCAGACCACTTGAGTTCAAGAGTTCCAGATCAGCCTGGCCACCATGGTGAAACCCCATCTCTACTAAAAACACAAAAATTAGCCGGGCGTGCTGACAGGTGCCTGTAGTCCCAGCTACTCAGGAGGCTGAGACAGAAGAATCGCTTAAATCCTGGAGGTGAAGGCTGCAGTGAGCTGAGATCACATCACTGCATTCCAGCCTGGGTGACAGAGAGACACTCTGTCTCAAAAAACAAAAACAAAAACAGAAGTAAATCGGATCGCAGAAAGAAATACCTCATCATACCCTTTAAGGGAGTCTCTTACATTGCAAATATTCCATCACAATTATTCTTATAAAATTACAATTCTGATGATAATCTACTGAAGTTAATTTAATTGCAAGGATGTACGATGTTGTTTCTGATAAAGAATGATCTTCTACCAAAAAAATTCATGCCTGTTACTTTTGTTGCCTGGAGAAAGAAACACACACACACACACACACACACACACACACACACACACACACACTCTCTCTCATGTAAAGTTTTTCAATCATTTTAACCAAGAAGTCAATAAGACCAATAAGATTATTCTTCCAAATGAATCTCAAATATTGTTCTACTTATAGTCTCTTAGCTGGTTTTTTGTCATTTTCATATACCTGAAAATAACCTGTAAGTTATATGGAAATTTGCAATGTGTTTTATGGTGAAGTCATTTTGTTTTTTATCACTAACATAGCAACACTAGTTTCTAAGAAAACAGAATTGATACTTCCTCTGAGTGCACTCTGAGTTTTATACAATACTTACAAGAAATAATGAACAATTTCTGGCATCACTGGAGGGGTGTAAGTGATTTTACATGTGTAAGTGATTAGGAAACTGAATGCTGAATTCTCCCAGAGCTTATCTTTTGTAATATGGAAAATCAAACCTCTCCTACATGTGATATTTGTCTTAGTAATCATGGGAACAATTAACTGTGCTTACAATTGGCTTCATAGCAGCAGCAGCAATGAGTTGAAGTAAGGTTAGAGAATTAGATTCATATTGTTCCTTATGGAGATAACCCATTAGTAGGGCCTCTAAACAGGCAGTGCATTAATATGAAGACAGTGTGAGGGGGAAAATATCAAGCCACATAAAATTTGTTGTGATAGAGAAAGCTTGCTGAGTGTCATAAAAGGCTGAGGAGGTTTATCCACGTATGGATACAAGTATCATCTATTGGGGGACAAAACACAAAATAAACTACTCATGCAACGTTGTTGATTTAATAATAAATATTTTGAATGTATTATATTTAAATAAAACATAAATATCTCAAGTGAAGGAAAGATGTTGCATATAGAAGTATTTGCGCACACAAGAAGTGCCCACGTTCCTTCACTGTCCATCCACGAAGTACAAATTTTACCATCAGCATATAAAAGAACTACAATCACAGCTTATTGGTCACTATAAATGTAGCACAAATCACTACACCTCATTCTCAAAATGCCACTGACTCAATACTGTGTGGATCAGACCACTAAAATGCCTCCACACAAAATCTCAACCTCAATTAATAAAATGAGATGTTAATAATGTCTGTTTTATTGGCCTGAAATGTAACACACCTTCTGGCATTTTTATTTTCTTAGAGACTAAACCATAGCAAGGAGTTTGTGATCACTGTATAGCGCTGAGTGAAACCTCAAAATACATTCTGGAATTTGTAAGGGATGCTTTTTTTTTTTTTTTTTTTTTTTTTTTGGTATTTTCACTGTCAATTATGCCTCGTATTATTTATTTATTTGCCAAAATACGACTGTATGAAAAAAAGCTACCTCATAGAGCTCATGACACATAATAGGTATTCACTGAGCATTTGGTGATTTGTTAAGCACTCACATCAATAAAATATTTCAGCTCAACAGGCACACTAGGGGCCAGATGAGCACTGACTTTCCCCATTGAGGAGTCTCGATTACCTCATGTCTCACTTCAAACAATTTATTTTTCTTGTATGCATAGCTGGGTTCAAGAGTTCTTTCTTGTTTTAATTGGATATATTCTTTTTCTTTTCTTTTTGTAAGTCCTATAATACAGTAAAGACATCAAATAGAACCCTTTTAGAGTTATGTGGAAAACTTTTATATATAAATATTTTATTTGGACAGTTTTCACATAAAAATAGACATATGAAAATTTAAAAAAGAAAAGGTCCTGATGAGGAGGCTCCTATCAGAAAGTGACATTTACCTAAACCCTCTTATATAACAACAACAACAACAACAACAACAAACTAAAGGTAAATACACCTGAAAGATACAAAAGAGGATGCCATGAGATACACCTGAATCTCTGAGGAAACACGTTCTCTCTCTTTCATTAGGTAAATTGCTTTGAATGACTTCTTTCATGTTTTACTGTTATATACCTTTATATTTTATCTCTCAAGCATTTGTTAATACGCCACAAGCTATCCTATATGTGCTTTTTTTATACTTAGCAATGAACACAAAATGCATTCATTAACAAATAATTATACCAAATCAACAGCCTCCTTCTAAAATTAAAGGAAAGGGGTCTGAAAATGTTGCTTGTGACTAAGCAGGTTACGTCACACATGGAATTTAGATTCTGTTCCAAATCTGAGGACAGAAGCACACACCTTAGCAGGACCCCTTATTCCAATCACAAAAAGCAGAACCAGTCCCAGGAGTGTCTGTGTTTGAACTGTGCTTGATCTGGGATACTTTCAAACTGAATCAGAGGTAACTCATCTGAATTATCAAACAAAACTAATTATATAATCATAATCTCCTAAGATAAAAGTATGGGTTTTCCCTTAATACATGAACTTTTAAGATCAGGCCTCTTACTTCCCCAGTTGGATTTTTGCATACTCAGACATAAGGTCACCACCCTGTCTTTGGAATGACATTTTGTGTTTTTGTCCTATGACTCACCCATGCTTCTTGCTGTTCCTTCCATTCTGGACACAAATGAAGGCTCACAATTTGCCCTAAGGCATGTTTCAAAAGCAGCTTTACAGTGATTCACTGCCCTTTGGTCCTTCAGAGTATCAAAGCACATCTTTAAATCATGAGCAAAAAAAATGAGCACATCTTTAAATCATGAGACTTCAACAAAATGCAGTCATACCATTAATTAACTCATAATTCACAAGAATCATTGCTCAACTTTCATTTTTACTTAGCAGTCATTACTTCCCACAAGAAATGTTTTTAAGAGTCTGAACTAAGAGTGAGGCACTGTGATAAATCCAAGAGGTCGTTTCCTAACATCTAGGGTTTAAGTCACTGTCATGGCCACTTTATGAGCAGAAATTCCATTTTGGCAAAAATACTTGTTAACATGGTACATTTTCTTTGAATTGCATTAGTTTTGAATTTTAATTCTAATCTATTAATAAGCTCATTTTCATTTTATTGTTATAAAAAAAGTGAAAGCCCAAGAAATTTACCCGATTTTATATGCAGACAGATGTAAATGAAATCTCATACAATCAACTTGTTTCTCCTAAAAGATGTGAAATATTTAAGACATAACTATCCATCTGAATTTCCACATTTTATAGGTAATCTCAAAATTGAGATTAGTCCAAAATCATGAGTCTCTTAGTGAAAGCATCAAGAACAAGTTTCTTGACTCTAACATAGAGGACTTTTAACTACATTGTCTCTTCCTAACCGCTACAAAAATGTGAGACCCTCATAACTAACTTATCAAACATTAGATACTCTGTAAATATATCCGATTTTTTTAAAAGACTCCTATGATTCAAAAGGATGAATAAATTAATGAAACTTTTTACAGACTTCTGTATTGACAATTCTGTAGTGAAGATAAGTAGCAAATATTTTCCATCAGTCTAAACAGAAGAGGCAAGCAGAGGGAAACTTCAGCTTTTGAGGGAAAGTGTTGATGCGAGAATGTAAGCAGTTCACTCTCATACAAACAACGGCTTTGTCTGCCATGGAAGCTAGTGCAAGGTAACCAAGATGTAAACTCTAAACACATGTTCAGCAGAAATAGTAAAGTGACTGTTTCTTTGTAGAAGAATTTCTTTATGTGTTTATTACTGCTTTGATGTACACCATAAATTTCTGCTTAAAGGTCACAAGATTGTGATAACAAATCAAAAACCAGGTTGTGATAATATGTTGACGGTGTAGGAACACTGTGTAAAGAACTGGAGAATAATAAACATTAAGGCCAGTACCGGCATTTTAAAAATACAGATTAGATGCTCTTAAAAAATCTTCTAAAAATATTTGGTTCCCACAAAGTACAAGCAAAATATTTTACTGTTGAGTAGAATTCATTCTTTTTATGAAATCCTTGTACTTGAAAGCTTTCATAAGATTATCGTTTTGTGATGACATTTCTCTTTAGAATGAGACAAGAAAGACAATTCTTATAATTAAACGTGTTAACTGGTTTAATAGTTTTGCAACTCAGGATTTTTCCCAATATATTGTTTCTGAAGCAGAGTATCACCTGATGTCTGAAATCTAATACCTTTTTTTGTTTGTTTGTTTTCAGACATTTGGAAGATAGCTCTTCTCTACATTTTCCCCCTCTTTTATCCCTAGGTAAATTGTTTAAGGAATAGTTTTTGCCTTCTTAAAAAACCTGGATGACTGGGCTTGGTGGCTTACACCTGTAATCCTAGCACTTTGGGAGGCTGAGGTGGGCGGACTGCTTGAGCTCAGGAGTTCAAGACCTGCCTAACCAACATGACAAACCCCATCTCTACAAAGAAATGAAAAAATTAGCCAGGCATGGTGGTGCATGCCCATAGTCCCAGCTACTTGGGAGGCTGAGGTGTGAGGATCCTTTGAGCCCACAAAGTAGAGACTGCAGTGAGCTGAGATTGCGCCACTGCACTTCAGCGTGAGCAACACAGTGAGACCCTATCTCAAAAAACAAAGAAACAAATATCCTGTATATTGGTTGTTGGTGAGTTCACATGAAAATACAATTGTTTAAGGTAAAAGCTTTAACAGCTCTTTCATAATATAAGTTTTAAACACATGAGTCAAAGTGATGTAAATTTATATTTAAAATCAGTTTTCAAAACAATATCCAGCATAGGCACCTATAAACTATGTACATTCCACCGCTCCAAAAATACTGCATGTACATATTTGCAACCTCTGCTGCTCCAGGCCAGTGACTGTGCCTGTGCAGTCCTTTAATCTAACTGTCTTGTCATCGCACAGTATGTCATTAGTTTATACAAACCTGCTGTGCTAAGCATCTATTACAACAAACCTGCTGATGACATATTGATTTTTTAGTTTCAGTTGTCCCCTTTGAGACCTTAGGACAGCTGTGTTTTTTGTAAGATTCCACTGAGTCTAAAATATACTCACATTATCCATTCAAACTAACTCAAATAGAGACATTGTTAATTACTAGTGAATGCATCTACTGTTGAAGATTCTATCTAATAGAAAAGACCAATCAGCAAATTAATTTATATTATTGCACATATCAAGTCTACCTTTTTTTTTTACTTTTAATTTCTAAGATCTGCTAATGTGGTTATGACATGGTATTGGTATAATAAATATATACCATATATGCAGTATGTATTCATATATCTGTGCATTTATGAAACAGGCTCAGCTGGATGTTGTACAACTGGAAATTAAACTTTTTTTTTTTTTTTGGAGACAGAGTCTTGCTCTGTTGCCCAGGATGGAGTGCAGTGGTGTGATCTCAGCTCACTGCAACCTCCGCCTCCTGGGTTCAAGTGACTCTCCTGTCTCAGCCTTCTGAGTAGCTGGGATTACAGGCACGCACCACCATACCCAGCTAATTTTTGTATTTTTAGTACAGATGGGGTTTCACCATGTTGGTCAGGCTGGTCTCGAACTACTGACCTCATGATCTGCCTGCCTCAGCCTCCCAAAGTGCTGGGATTACAGGCATGAGCCACCTTGCCCAGCCAGTTAAACTTCTTAAAAGTGACTTGCATTCTCAAGCTCTCCCATGACATATCATCTTAGAAGTTGCTTGGTTAGCAAAAATTCAGATATCTAAGGAGTTAGTTAAATGTTGCATCATAAAATTATTAAACCAACCTTGTGCTAAAATGTCACCAGCATTTATTCTAACCTTAAATTATGAATAATATGACCGAATATATGTAGTTAATAATCTCACCAAGTCTATTTTTTTAAATAACAAGACCAGTAAGAAAAGAATTAGGGTATTGCTAGGTAACAAATATTGATCAATTTTTCTTTCAATGCTAAACACTAAAGTCTTGAAATGTGTGCATGTTTGTATAAAATCATTAATATGTTATATAAATTAAATTAACTAAAATTTCAGCCTCTCAGTTCTTGACATACACATATAGTTACCAGGGAGTGAAATTAAAATATTCCCTTAAAAGATTTCTATTTTAATGTATCAGTGCCATTTTACAAAGCAGATCCAAAATTTAAGGCATAATACATTAAGCACATTTAAATTTTCTCACATGAAATATTTTAAGTGTCTGCAAAGTTTTAACAGTTATTAAATATCTAAACAGATTATGCTCACCAATTTTAGTATTCAAAACAATTAATTCAATTTGGTATAACAGAAATAGTATGAGGAAACAAGTCAATAAATAGAAAAGCACGATTTATTGAAACTTTATGTGAGTTTCTCTGTGAGTTTCTCTCATGAGTTTCTCTCATAGTGAGAGTGAATGCCTCTCACTATGGTTCTATCTTCAGTAAATATATTAACTTTAGAGTAAAGCAGAAAGATTAAATCAATGATTCAAATCCCTGACCCAAGATTAAATGGATGAATCGAATCTCCAAATCAAAGCATTGGTAGTATGTCTAACAAATTACAGTATTAAACAATACAGTAGCCTTCAGGCAAAGGTTAAAGACTATTACCATCTATCTGTCAAACCAGTTATTTAGATGATGGTTACAGGCTTTACATTTCTTAGAGTTAATTACATCACAGATTTTTTAAATGAATTGAAAGAGCTGCTTATCCTGAGTAAAAAGCATAACTAAGATTGGATACATACTGACAATTACCTGTCATGGGAAAAAATCTTAAAAGACTCCAAATACGTTCAACTCTTTAAGGCAATATTCTGGTGTTAGACATAGTCTAATATAGAGGCTTTTAAAATATTGATTTTTATATTATCTTAGACATCTCTGATTGTAATTTTGATTTCAATTTATCAACAGTAAATAGTCTACATAAAGAATATAGCTGGAAGGACAGAAATGTAGATTTATGCTACTTGTCTGAAAAGGTCTCTTATTACATGTTTTAAAGATTTAGTGATTTTTACATTAAAAAATAAAATGTTTTAGAAAGAAGTCTCTGGCAATTTTTCCCCTTAAACTATGAAAACTCAGAAATGATTCCTGAGTCTCTAGGCAACTTAAAAAGAAATAATTGGCCAAGTGTGGTGGCTCATGCCTGTAAATCCCAGCACTTTGAGAGGCTGAGGCAGGAGGATCCCTTGAGCTCAGGAGTTGGAGACTATCCTGGGCAACATGGCAAAACCCCATCTCTACAAAAAATACAAAAAACTAGCCGGGCATGGTGGAGTGTGCCTGTAGTCCCAGTTATTTGGGAGGCCGAGGCAGGAGGATTACCTGAGTCCAGGAAAATGAGCCACTTGGGAGGCTGAGGCAGGAGGATCACCTAAGCCCAGGGAGGTAGAGGCTGCAGTGAGCTGAGATGACATCACTGCATCCCAGTCTAGGTGATGGGAGTGAGACCCTGTCTAAAAATAAATAAATAAATAAATAGATAATAATTACATGGTTCTTACAAGGTTGTTGACGTGAACATTAAGTCCAATAATAATGTAGCAAAGAAACATCTAGGAGACATACATAAAATATCTATCTACATTGTAATTAACAAAGGACAAGGAAGACATTTCTACTATCGTTCTCAAGTGTCTGAATTTTCATTTATGTCATTACTTCTGTTTGTGTCAAAAGTATGAAGATTTTTATACCAAGATTTTATATACAGTTTTCCTTATAGACATTATAGACATTTAAAATATTATAACCACAATAACAAAAAAATATTGAGTCCAACTAAGAAGATGGTATATTTTATCCCATAATTTAATGTTAAAATGTACCTTGATTTTATCTTTTATTTGAAATGCATTTTAATTTTTTTTTCTTTTGAGATGGAGTCTCACTCAGGAACCCTGGCTGGGGTGCAAGGGCGCGATCTCTGCTCACTGCAACCTCTGCCTCCCAGGTTCAAGTGATTCTCCTGCCTCAGCCTCCCGAGTAGCTGGGATTAGAGACGTGTGCCACCACGCCCAGCTAATTTTTGTGTTTTAGTAGAGATGGGGTTTTACCATGTTGGCCAGGCTGGTCTCCAACTCCCCACCTCAGGTGATCCACCCACTTCAGCCTCTCAAAGTGCCAGGACTACAGGCGTAAGCCACCACGCTCGGCCATGTTTTGAATTTTATATTACAAATATGAATGTCTTTTTTGTTTCATTTGACTTCGCAATAACCTTATTTGAGAAAGGGCAGTTATTATTATATTCTTTTAGGTATAATAAATGTAAAGATTGTGAAGTTTACAGGAATAAGATGTAGTAAAATTAAAACTAGAATAGAGGTCTCTGTATTCCTAATCTTATATACAAACTTTGTTACATATAATCATCTTTCTGCGTTATGAATAAATCTTCAAATAATTACTTATTAAACATAATTTACTATCAATATAGAAGATGTCATTATCCTCTTTGTTGTATTACAACACATTCCTGTGAAAGACTTAAGATATCTGTAATATAGGTTCTAAATTATAATTTAATCTTTAAAATATATTGTCCTCAAAGAGGTATGGTTACAGATGTATTATGCATTATTAGTAAAAGTATAGATTATTTTGGGTAACATAAATACAAATCAAAGTAATTATATACTTTTCTAAAGTGCCATGTTTTCAAGGCAGAGATGTGGTTATTACAAACATAAATATGACAAAATAAATGATGACACATCATATATTGTAAAAAGAAAAAAAAGATTCTTTTTTTCTTTATAGCATCCTCCCAAATAATGCCTAATGATATAAATTTGTTTCATCCATGATAATTTTTAGTAACAGAATCACAAATAACTAAGTCAAGTCAGGCAGATGGAGTCAGATGTGGGCGATCAATCATTCAGATTATACCTTTGGTATCTTTAAGCAAATTAGTCAAACTATTGTTTCTGGGTGTTTGCTTGTTTGATATGTAGTCTATTATTCTTATAATTGGAAAACTAATTAAAATGTATAGAAGTAAATCAGATTAGATGTGCATTAAGAGAAACCATTTGTTTTCAGAAGTCCAACATATTGAAGGGACTGATGTTGTGGCTAAAAGGTCTATTGATTTTGAAAATCTGGGCACTTGTGTAAGTTAATCTATCACATTTTCAGTACATAAATCTTTGACATCTGTTGCTATCATTTTTTGATAAAATATTACTATGGGTCAATCAAGGACAAGAAAAAAAGACAGCTTGTTTTTATAATCTCCTCAATGACATATACAGGCAAATATTTTCTGAAGGAAGCTGAGGGTCTTCCAATGCTGCAAGCATTCCCAAATATTTCTCCCTTTGGTTGTGGCCCCCTTTTCAACATAGGCCTTAAAACTCAATGAAAAGACTAATGTCTAAGTTAAAAGTGTATAAAGAAAAATAAAAATATATTCAAAAAACTTAAAATCTTGAAGGGGTACTTAGTAAAATAAACTTTAGAAACCACTTCTAAACAACCAAATCTAAAGGCTCAAAAATGAAAGTTGCTTTTTACTTGAGGTTTGGCTGAGTTTATATACTTTCTACTTTTTAAATCTATTGGTCTGGAAACTGAAATACACATGTTCAGTGGTGGCTGAACTTTCCCCAACTGGCTTGACACATGATAAACTACAAAGTTCATGGAGCTCCAAAAATACCCAAGAAGAACGAAGAGCTCATGTCAGAGAAATAGTCCTACAAAGGAAGTTTAGATTCTGGCAAGGTTTTTAAAATAACGTCCTAGCTAATATGATATTATTTGCATATTATCACTTTCTGAAAAATCTCCAACAGTCAAATGTGCTGTGCCTTAAACTGATGCATCATCTGGCTACAAAGCCAGTAATTTATGATCTTTGTAGTGCTGTATTTTAGCTTGTTTCTTTGAGAAGCATATGCACATGTTATCTGCATGTCCTCTGACCTCCCTGTACTAATAAGATTTAATGAATATTGGTTCAGATCTCAATTCCAGGGCCTAGCACAATTAAAAGCCTTCCAGGAATTCCATGTCTAATTCCTCTGTACTTTTCTCTGTTTCACTTCTTGATTTATAGCAGTCTGCTCGCTTCTGCCCTTAGTAATAGAGGACTTGCTTCTGCTCCATGTAATAGAGGTCTACCTTTTTACTGGTTTCCGTATAAATTTCAGACACACTCAGCATTTTGTGATATTTGGTTAATTTACTGATTGTCCATAAGTGAAACAGAAGGAAACTCATCAGACATTGAAGCCCTCCTGCCATCTTCCGTCTATATCCCGTCTTGCGTCCAAACTCCTGACATAGGTCCATCCTCACTTTGCAAAACCTGTTACTGAGTGAGTTCAATTCCACTCACTCCTTATCCCTCCCTCCCCCATAATACTTCTACTGCTTCCCTAGTAGCAACAGCCTAGAGGAAGAGCTTATCTTCTCCATCCCCCTTAAATTCTGAGAAATGAACTTTATCCATCATAAAATTCTTCAAACAATTTGAAATATACATGGAGGGATAGGAATCAGAATGGTAACAAAAAAAAAAGTAAGGAAAAACAAGAAGACATACATGCCCTTTCTTTGCACACCTATCTTTGTTTTAAATGATTAAAAACATGGGAAATATCAATTAATTAAAAAATATTTTCAAATGTTTTTAAAAAAGAAAAATGCAAATTATTTTATTGAGTCCTGGGGGAAAATAGTCTAACCCTTCCTGCTGAATTTAATAGTTAAAATCAAACTAAAAGTTACAAAACTATGAGGACTAGTGATTTCGTTCTCTTAACTAAAATTCATTCTCCAGATTATATAAAGTATCTTAATTTCCCTAAATGAAGATTGTTTTTCCATGCTAAGCAGAAAAGTCATATTATTATAAAATTTACTTTTTAAAGTAAAAAGCATTAGCAATAGTTTTATAATTCAAACAAGAATAATCAACCAGAAATATTTATTTTCTTTCCCATTATTTTATAAGATACCTACCCATACGCTTAGGATACTATCTTCCCCAAAAAATCTGAAACAGTAGAAATAGTAAATATCTTATAAACCATAAAATCTTTCATTCTTATATTACTAATAGGCTAGTTCATTCAGAGATACAGCTTTGCAATAACTCTTTGCATAATGGTAGAATTGTAGGATCACAGACAAAAATCATTGGCTTCTGTACAGTATCTTTACAGGAGGCAATAAACTACTACTTGCCAAATTGACTAGGATCATTTTGACATTTATCCTGCAGTTCTCTATAATGTTTTATAATTAAAAGTTAAATGCACATTAATATTTTCCTGGGAGACCTAGCATAGATTATTAAAATGTATTTACAGAGAGATCATTATTTACTTTAACAGTCAGTAGGAATTTCTTTGTTTTTTTCTAAAAGCAAGGTGATCTGTGATATTTTCGTCCTTTTGTATGATTCTCTACTTCTTATTCAAGACCTGTGATTAAGTTGTGTGTATATTGTCTGTAAAATGAAACAAAAGTAGGTCCTAAACATTGTAAGAATATGGTATACTAAAAAGCTTTGAAACCAAAAGAAAATTTAAAAAAACAACAACAACAACAATGTAGAGTACCTCATACCTAACAGACACTATAGAAAAGCTGATATTTTTTTCCGTTGAAGTTAGGACATTAGATCATTTTTCACAAAAATAGATTCCTTAAATAAGACATGTTGTCTAACAGGTATTTACAAGGCATTTCTAGAAATTCAGGCGTAAGTATTTTGCTCTTTGTCTACTCAAGTTTCTAACTAAATTCCCACTTTGAACAAAAAATTCCTCTTTTAAAGGTTGGAACATGTGGTTGTATTTGATGTTTTTTTCCTTCATTTTTCATGGCTCTAACAAGAATAATCTTTTCTGGAAAACAAAAGACTGTGTTTCTTGTGATTTTATTCTAAGGGAATACAGGGTATTGGTTATTCTTATTTTCTTATTCTTTCTTCATTGATAAAGATAGAAGCTAGGGATTGTGTTACATTGAGCAACCTAAAGTTGTGCTTCAACTTCATAAAACCTCTTGTCCTTAAGCTCCTTCATTAGCAGATGACTAAAAGACGAAAGGTGGAAAATGTGAAGCCCAGAGTTTTTATTTATTTTTAGTTATATTTATCCCTTTTCATTAGCTTATTTATATTGCTTTCCTTATCTAGCCCTCCTTTTCTCCTAATGTACCTTGAATTCCAAACAACTGCCCTGTCAGGGCAACTTGTCTCATCGTTTGGACAGTTCATGAGCCAGGTTAGGTTTCTCCAGCCCCATTTGTCTGAGTCTCCACCATCAACATTGTTCAAATCCATGACATGGTGTCTTAGACTCGAGGCAGAACAAATTGGGAAATTTATGTCTACACCATTGTTCTATCAGATACACTCTCTGCCTTCTTTCCTGACCATATGTTCTTAAACTGTACTCTTTCCAGGTACAACTAAGATTTTACACCCCTTTTCCTTTATCTCTCTAGCCTTCAACACTGATTGCTAATAATATCATCTGTTATATAGTTATTATTCTCATCATCTCCTTATGGGATTGTAAGTTCATGGCAAGAAAGAAATTTACCAATTACTGATGTCTGTTCGATACAAAAGACAATGCCTCAAATACAGTAGGTGCTCAAGAAGAATTTTAAATTATTTTATTTAAGGGAAATATATTGGAAGGCTTGGGTGGAGGGGTCATATTGATACGTGCTACTGTGTATTTGGTGTTAGATGTCATCCTAGATTTACATAGACTCTGAGGTTACATAAATAATTCAGAGAATACATTAAGGATATTTCCAAGGTATATACATAATTCCTGGAAAAGAAAAACCAACCTATAAAAACTTCAGTTAAATTACACTTCAGCCATTTTGAAACAGACAAGCACTTTTAAAATGTAAACAACGTTACAACGTTATGAGAGTTTTCATGCTGTATCATGAATGAAAGGTAACTGAAGACATTCCTCTACTTTAATTACCATTTCTACAACTCACTTGAATTTTAACCCTTGACACACATGAATGCTGTGAAAACTAGTTCTATTTCCCAAGGATAAACAATCTACTTTGCCATCGTTAAAAAATAAATATCCAATTTATCATACAACAACCAAATGCTTTCTTTTGTAGATAATACTGTCTACATACTACTACCAATTCATCCATGAATACTGTAATTACAATTTTAATTATAGCAGGTGCATAAGAAAGTAGAGTATACCATTTTTCTTATTTAAATGTAGAGACCTCGATTTTTAAAGAATATAAAGAAAACACAGTAAGTTAGATCTGTATATTTGTAATTAGGAAATAAAATCTTTGTACCTCCCTAATAACTGAATTATTAATAGTTCTTGATGTGTTACACAATGGTTTCACATTGTCATGTCAATACAATGTTCACTGGAATTAAATTTTACATGATTTAGTTTTTCAATATTACAAGAATTTTTTTTAATGTAGCACTCATAGCCACATGTTTCTACAAAAAAATTTTTTTAATCACACATTGCTCCAAAGAAGCTGTTTCCAAGGTAACGGGATTTGAACCCAGTCTGATGCATTAGCACTGGGGGTTTGAAGGCAGACGACTGACTATGACTACACATTATTACTTTTTCTTCTTTTCTTTGGATGCTAAGAGCAAACAGTGGATATTTTAATAAATCAACTAATTTTTGCTTGTTTTAGGTCCCCAAACTCTTGCAACTGATCCTAATTTACCTTTCATAACTATTTTTTTTAATGCCTGATTGGACCCACTCTTAACCTATTTTTATCATCCTTCACACTGCATTATCTCAATTCCTCCATTTACTTCTTAAGTGGTTAGGTAGAGAAGAGAGTGATGATGGGGGAACACCATGGATGCACAAGTAATAAGTATATCCAAGTTCTAGTTACGCTGCCTAGTAGCCAAGATTCTTCATCTCTTTGGGCCTCCCTCAGCTGTAATATAAGGGGCCAGATTAGATGATTCTAATGTTTCTTTTAAACTGTGAGAAATAACACTGTAAAATAAAACATGTCCCAGTCACTAATGGCATCCAACTATCACCACCTGATTTCTTCCTTACTGATTTATCCCCACACACACGTGAGCATGCACGCGCATGTACACACAAACTCCATAAATCCACCTTCTCTTTGAAAGTGCCATTTATTTCACCTAAAACTGTTCCTAAACTAGTCTTTACTAATGGCACTTAATCTCCATGTGGCTTAAAGTAACAAACCAAGGAGTATGTGTGTGGTGAGCCTGTGGTCATGAATAAGAGGAAATTTGAATGTAAAGGGCAGAAAGCAATGGAAAATGGAAGCCAGCCGACTACCACTGTTTTTCCAGCTGTTTGTTTCACTGGTCAAAAATTCTAGTAAAACAGATAGTATTTCTTTACAGCCTCATTAGTTTCTCCTATGTAAACTGACAGTGCAAGGCAATGTTCACTGCATCTAATGTTCAGATGCAGCAATCTTTTAATTTTTAAAAATTATTTCTTGACTCTAGACTTAACAAAATGACTTTCATAAAGGTGTTAAAAATCTGCAAAAAATTCGAATCCTTGAAAAATAAAACAAATTCAGTCCTTATATACACATCACACTACACATGTGCACGGAATGATTAGAATGTTGCAGAGATTATTAAATTTAAACATAAAAGGGTCTCAGGAATACATGTCATCTATTAATTATCTAGGTGGAAACAATTATGAGCTTTATAATGAGGAGAATGCCTTAAAAAATCTTGTTAAAGATACAAACAGCTACTTACTTTTTAAAATATCTCTGGGATCTGTAAAAATTAAGGTGATGATTCAATTTAGGGCTGTCTAAAGCAAAATTTATTCTATAGCAATTAATTACCTTTATTTCATCCATTTTAAAAGTTTTCTTCTATAATCCTTTAACATCTGACAGATATTTAGGCCTGTGAATAAAATTTGTAGTTGCTCCTTAATTTGTTTCACAATATTTTCTGAAATATTGTGAAATAAAAAGAAAATATAGATAATACAGTAATGTGAATGAGAGTTGTGTTTAGTTTATCTTATCAATTGTACTTAGTAATATCCCCATAGTAGTCTAAGCATGATATTAATATCTAATATTGTAATTCATATTACAATATGAATTTTTAAAATTGCTTTTTCGATTTCCCCAAAATAATCAATGATTGTCTTTTAAAATAGCCCTACAACTGTAAACATGGAATTCATTCATTAATTTACAATAACTGATTCCATTGTATAGAAACTGAAAATGCTTCAAACCTCAGTAAAATCAGGAAAATAAAGTTGATATAACCATTTGTGTTAAATCACAGTTATGTAAAAACTTGTGTTGTCTGCCCTCTAGTTGCTCCAACTCTAGGAGTCCTTTCTCATTTCTCTATTACTGTATGCTGTTATTTAGCTAAGCCTTAGTCATAAACCTGCTATCAAGAAAAGTTATATCTCAGATTACCTTTAAAGAGAATGCATTAGATATATGCAGGATAAGGTACATGCAATATACAATTATTTGAGATAATTAAATATATGAGATAACGTAGAAAGGGAAACAGAAAAGTTGTCTTAGCCTCCTAAATCAGCCTAATGCTTAACTGGAACCTCAGGTGGAATAGGCTGTTTAGCTCTAATAGTTAACAGGATCTCTTGTGACCCTCCATCAGTCCTGGTTGTTGTTTCTTCACAACTTGCTGTCTCAGAATTGTCTGTTGGGCCCTATTCTGGTCCTTGCCATGCTATGAACCAGCTAGCCTACATCCTAACTTCTCTTCTTTCTGAGACAACTTTTCTAGAAGCCCCTTCAATGGGGCTTCTCCTTTCCTTGGGGCTTCTCCTTTCCTTAAGTCTTCTGCCCTTACCCAGCTTCCAATGTCTGCTTTCTCCCTGTGTATCTCAATTTCTTCACCCTCTCCTGATGCTCCGTCTCGTGTTCCGATCTCAAAAGAAAGGAAACCCGGTGACAGTGTGTGGCAGGGTAGCAAGACTTGTGTGGCAGGGGTGTGGGGGCAGGTAGGCGCCGGAGAGCATGGGGCTGTGGGATGGGCCAGCAACTTGCATGGCCTGACTCAACCACTGGCACACATTTTTGGAATGTTAGCAATTCTACTCAATTCTTCTCCCTCTAATTTCCCTTTTAGTAATTATTAGAAAAATAAAGATCTAAAATAAACTAGAGCTAGACAAAACTATTCATTTTTGCTGTCTGAGTTATGAGGCAGCATGTGGAAACATTGTATTTGGGAATTCCCATCAAAAACACAGAAACATAAAACCATAAAACACTAAGAAAAAGGCCATAAAAACATTAAAATATCAACATCCTTTCCTTGTTCCTTGAATAACAAGTGGATCTCCAGAGGGAAGTAGTGCCTTCTTTTGGGGGCTGGGAACTACAGGAGAGATTCAGTAGTAAAAGAGCTGCTTTAAGTAAGCTTTAGTCAACAGACCACACTTGCCTACATGCCCTGGCCAATTCTGACCTCCCTTCTTGAACACCAGAGAAGAAAAGCAAAGGATAAGTAAAAATGAGAGGAGATGTTCATGATAGGAAACATAGAAAATAGTGCCCAGATACGAAGAGGGATAGTAGAAATAAGAATTAGAAAAACTGAAGAGAAGAAAGATAACCTAGATGAGGAAAACATGCTTAAAAAAAAGTTTGAGGCTGTTTAATTGACTGCAAGGTTTGATACTGGCATAAGCAAACAAGTAAATAGAAATTCAGAAGGCTTCATTTACCATTTAAAAGATTAAAGCTACTGTTCAGCTTTGCTTAGTCATAAATTTTATTGTTTACTTTGTTGTGAAGTGTCTTTATTGATACTACAGTCAGACAATATAGAAAAATGGATCCTAAATACATTGGAATAAATACATAATAAAGCTATTTTTCTAAATTGTTTATAAACTTAAAAATATAGGGTTGTTTTCTTTGTAGTTAGAGCCTGGCATGCCTTATTAAAACTCTTGCCAATTGTCCTAAAGGATAACGAGATAATTTAGGGGCTGTTTATATTGATCAATTCCAGATTCTTTTTTCTAAAATATATCGTAGATTAAAAAACAGAAAAATAAGCCAGGCATGGTGGCTCACCCCCTGTAATCCTAGCACTTTGGGAGGCTGAGGTGGGCAGATCACCTGAGGTCAGGAGTTTGAGACCAGCCTGGCCAACATGCTGAACCCCGCGTGCCGACGAAAAATACAAAAATTAGCCAGGCATGGTGGCACATGCCTGTAGTCCCAGCTACTCGGGAGGCTGGGGCAGGAGAATCGCTTGAACCCAGGAAACAGAGGTTGCAGTGAGCCGAGATCGCGCCACTGCACTCCAGCCTGGGTGACAGAGCGAGATTTTGTCTCAAAACAAACAAACAAACAACAGAAAAATATAAATCTAAGTACTAAAATGTGAAATAATTCTTATTGAAGATGAGTAACACTGAATTCCATATATAATAATAACAGAAACAAAGATGAGTATATAGCAGAGTAATTGTATTAATAAGAATTATTGTATGTATAAAAATATGCATGTGTCAAGCAATGTTTTTTGTGTTAATATTTAGCAAAGTATAGGCAGAACCAAATCACACTAGTCCTGCAGCTCACAGGACATGGGAATCAGGCTTCCATAATCACTCTGTATTGAGAATCAGGACACGCAGGTAGGGAATCTCTTTCCTTAAACATACTTGCATAAAGGTAGGATAGGTTTTCACTGAAATTACAGAATAATTTTTTCACAATAATTATGCAAAATAGTATTAGCCCACATTGTCTTATTAGTAGCCACAGCCTGTCCATAATTTTTGTTTGACCAAAAAAAAAAAAAAAAAATTGAGAACTGTTGGTCATAGTAGTGGCTTGATGAATTCTATCCCAAAGTCTTTCAACATGGCCTAAATTGGTTTATAGGTGATTTGTAGCTTCATACAAACCTCAACATACACACCTATGTACACAAATGGATAAAAATGAAGTAATGCTATTGTTGAATCCCTTCACTAAATAAACATTCTTATGTGCCCTACTTTATCAACATTTTTTTTGTTTGAGACAGAGTCTCGCTCTGTTGGCCAGGCTGAAGTGCAGTGGCATGATCTCGGCTCACTGCAACCTCCGCCGCCCGGGCTCAAGCAATTCTCCTGCCTCAGCCTCCTGAGTAGCTGCGATTACAGGCGTGTGCCACTGCGCCCGGCTACTTTTTGTATTTTTAGTAGAGACAGGGTTTTACCATGTTGGCCAGGCTGGTCTCGAACTCCTGACCTCAGGTAATCCGCCCATCTTGGCCTCCGAAAGTGCTGGGATTACAGGTGTGAGCCACTGTGCTCGGCCTCAACTTATTTTTTCGTAACAAATATGTTCGTAGACAAAGACAAAAGTAAATGCATTATTTTATTCAGTTTTAAAATGATATGACATATTGTTAGAAAGATATGATATACACCTTGTTTTATGACTTTAACTTTTTTCTAATTGTATTTTCATTGAAATAAACAGTTCTACTTTTTTTCTTCTCTGCCTTGATCAATACCACCCTGGAGACAGCATTCTTATAAGAACTTTTGCTTTAAATATAAATTAATTTTTTATCTGTCACTGTGCTTTACTCTAGACCAAGAGTAGAAAACTCCATGTTGTTGAGGTCAGGCAAGTAACATAAATTAGTAAAAGAAACCAGGCTAGAAGAAGGGCTCTTCTCAGCCCCCATCAGTCCTTGCCAGATCCTCTGACATTTCAAGAAAAAATGAGAAATAAAGACTGTCAACTGAAGTCTAATTCTTAAATGTTAGCAGCTGATTCATTTTTAAATATTATATGAACCAAGACTATCCTTTTCTAGGCTAGTGACAAGTTTTCTACTTCTATATTAATATTTCTTAATATACCCAGACAATACATTTCTTCAGGGTAGGGAGTCTATTCTAGTTATCTTTTAAAATCTGTGTAAATTTAAGGGATACAGGTGCAGTTTTGTTACATGGACAGACTGCAAAGTGGTGAAGTCTGGGATTTTCACATAACTGTCACTCATATAGTGTACATTATACCCATTAATTCCTAGTCATCTTTTAATTTCCTCACTTTATATAATCTTACATTTAGTATGTTTTTTTTTTTTCTTTGAGACGGAGTCTCGCTCTGTTGCCCAGGCTGGAGTGCAGTGGCACCATCTCAGCTCATTGCAAGCTCCACCTCCCGGGTTCACGCCATTCTCCCGCCTCAGCCTCCCGGGTAGCTGGGACTACAGGTGCCCGCCACCACGCCTGGCTAATTTTTTGTATTTTTAGGAGAGACGGGGTTTCAACATGTTAGCTAGGATGGTCTCAATCTCCTGACCTCGTGATCCATCCACCTTGGTCTCCCAAAGTGCTGGGATTACAGGCATGAGCCACCATGCCCAACTACATTTAGTATGTTTTTACTGTGTGTCACATCTTGATAAGTGTTTTACACATATTACCTAATTTAATATTCACAATGATATTATCAGGTAGCAACTAATATTATCCTAATTGTATAGCCTAGTAAACAGTTGAGGAAGTTGAGGCAACTGCCATGAGTTACATGGCTAGTAAGTGGTAAAGCAAGATTTCACACTCATGCAGTCAGCTCCTGAGCCTGACCTAGGCTTTCTACATTTGCCTCAGCTAGCAGAGGTTGTGCAGAAGGGAATCAATTGTTTCCATTTTGGTTTGAACAAGGCAAAGATAAAGGTTGGGAGGGCCCATTCACTACTGGCCTGTAAATCGTGCACAGACTAAAAAGTAACTCTATATAACAAATGAATCACTTTCATGACTAGTTTATTGTACAACACTATAAATACTCCATCACCTTTTCTTCCTGTGTACTGCTGAGATAACAAAGAGAAAAGAATGAAGTATGGAAAATATGTAATTTGTGTTTTAAGGTGTGCTCCTTAGAACAGAAGATGTTGGATATATTGCCTGAATGGCTTAAAAATAAATTGGGAAATATTGTGCCATAACACCTCATTTTGTACATTGCACTAAACAGTTCTGGCATAACTGGATGGAGGAAATGAGTCACAGTTTTGCCTGTTGTACAGGGTGGTACAACGAATTACTGCATCTAATTTTGGTGGATGAACTCCAGAAATGAATTGGGAACATAAAGATTATAACAAAGTCAAATAATTTTTCCAGTTGTCAAGTTAGTTAGAATTAATAATTTTGGTTTTATCAACAATATTCTAAAACAAAAAATTAAGTAAATATCCTGTGAAAAATAAAAACTATCCTTGACTATGTGATTCAACGATTTACTGATGTGGCTATTTTAGTGTTGTCCAGAAGTAATTTCCATTAGGCAAAACAATTTTTCTTTGTTCCATCCAGGGAAGCACCACAGCTGTGAAACTCACATTTTGACACACAGAGAGTTGTAGTCTTACAGTTTCCTAAATCAGATATTGATATTTTACACCTGCAACTATATCCTAAGCATTTCTTACTTGTCAGTTACTTCACTGTATCTATATACTTTGCAAAACTTACCGCCAAGTGCTAAGTAGTAGAAGCACACTACATTTAATCACTTCTTTCAAAGGGAAAATGTATCTTTCCATTAAAGATCAATCAGTAAAGTTGTAGGTAGAAGCTTGGAATCAGTATCTTTGTTTTCTGTGACTACAATTTTAAAAATACACAATGTCCTAGAATATCATCTGCTGTTTCATTTCATAAAATAGTTGTCTAATTTTCTTATCTTGCCTAAAGGGCATCCAATGAGTAACATGTGTGTCTCTGACTTTGCCCATATTAGGTATATTGTACATTATAAGGTATTAAATTTATACCTCCCACAAAAAAGTTATTTTTCCTTTTTTTCTATAATGAAAGACATTATATTGATGCACTAAAACAAAGAATGTTATAAGCTGTTGATAAAGGCCATGTAAAGTTTTTCAATTCATGTTGTTTGGGTTTTTTTGTTGTTGCTTTTGAGACTGTCTCGCTGTCACCCAGGCTGGAGTGCAGTGGCGCTATCACAGCTCACTGCACTCTTTGCCTCACAGGCTCAAGTGATCCTCCTACCTCAGCTTCCTGAGTAGTTGGGACTACAGGTGTGCACCACCGCACTCAACTAGTTTCTGTATGTTTTGTAGAGAAAGGATTTTACCATGTTACCTAGGCTGGTCTTGGACTCCTGGACTCAAGCTATCTGCCCACCTTGGCCTCTCAAAAGGTTGGGATTACAGGTGTGAGTCACTGCACCTGGGCTTCATGTTGTTTTAATAAGAACAAGTAAAGATGACATATCCTTTCTAGCCAACACTGACAATTTTCATAGTCCCTAAGTACTCAATTTGTGTTCTGTTTATTACTGACCTGTCCATAAGACTTCTTATTTCTACCTCCTATCAGTTACACAGTTTTTTCCCTACAAATTTTTTCAATTGTAAATATGTAGCTATGTTTATAAGCAAATGAAAGCATCTAACTGTGCATATTAAAACAAAGTTAATCTCTCATATAGCTAAAGAAAAATTATGTTCCGGAAAAAGCACAAATATTAAATTGATCACATAAACAACTATAAATTTCCATGGTCCAATTTTTCAACTATCCATGTATTTAAGACTAACTAACATCAATGATTCATTTAAAACCAAAACACATGTCGTCATGATATCACAACATCACACTAAAATAATATATGATTTGTAACTCATAATAGCAGGGGCAGTCTTGTTCCCATTTCCAGGCTCCAGTGAAGTTTCCACTATTCCTCAATGAAATCCCAGGTTTATTTCTAGAGGCCCATGGGTATTTACACTTTTCCTTGTGTGTTGTTGAGTATACCAAAACAGAACTGCCAGCCATTAGCCCATGGCTTTTCTGCCTACGTGAAAACAGCAGGATTATAGTACAAAGGGCAGAGACCTAAGCCAAGATTATGTGCTAAGAAGAACGGTAAGAGCATAAGCCCGCTGAATTACTGGCACCTTATGATCCTGGAACTGAGAGCCCTGACAGGGTTTGATCCACTATTTTGGTTCTTTCTGCTCTACCTCTGCCCATCCCTCCTAATGCAGATAAAATTCATTCATTCTTTCACTTTCAAGTATTTGCAGTCACGCATCCCTTAACAATGAAGGTATGTTCTGAGTCATTAGGCAATTTTGTCATTGTGCGAACATCATATATTTAACTTATACCAACCTAGGTGGATCTCTTACTACACACCTAGGCTATATGCTATAGCCTACTGCTCCTCAGTACAAACCTGTACAGCACGTTACTGTACAAAATTCTGTAGGTAACTGTAACACAATGGCATTTGTGTATCCAAACATATCTAAACATAGAAAAGGTACAGTAAAAATGTAGTATAATAATCTTATGGGGCCAGGCACAATGGCTCACGCCTGTAATCCCAGCACTTTGGGAGGCTGAGGCAGGCAGATCACCTGAGGTCAGGAGTTCAGGACCAGCCTGGCCAACATGGTGAAACCCCCGTCTCTACTAAAAATACAAGCACTAGCCAGGCATGGTGGCACATGCCTATATTTCCAGCTACTCAGGAGGCTGAGACAGGAGAATCACTTGAACCCAGGAGGCAAAGGTTGCAGTGAGCTGAGATCACGCCACTGCACTCCAGCCTGGGTGACAGAGCAAGACTCTGTCTCAAAAAAATTAAAAATAAATCTTATGAGACTACCATAATACATGTGGTCCTTCTCAATGGAAACATCATTATGCAGTACATTAGTGTGTTAAGTATCTACTACGTATCACACATCATTTAAAAGGCTAAAAAAAATGATATACAAGGAAACAAATGTAAAGAGCCAGAACCTGTTCCCACTTCCACAAGTGACATATTTTTGTGAGTGACAGGAAGCCTTCCCTATCTTCTACTTCCACTCCCCTACCCCTACCACCACTATAGCTTCTTCATCTTTTAGAAAGTCTATTATCCCACCATTAGACACAGAGGGCATCTATTGCACAAACCTGTATTTAATCCCCTATATGTTAGGCCTGATGATGTAACCTAAAGGCCTATTTAATTTTATTTTATTTGAGACAGAGTTGTGCTCTGTTGTCCAGGCTAGAGTGCAGTAGCAAGATCTCGGCTCACTGCAACCTCCACCTCCTAGGTTCAAGTGATTCTCATGCCTCAGCCTCTCCAGTAGCTGGGACTACAGCCGTGCACCACCATGCCTGGCTAATTTTTGTAATTTTAGTAGAGACTAGATTTCACCATGTTGGCCAGGTTGGTCTCGAACTCCTGGCCTCAAGTGATCCACCCACCTCAGCTCTCCAAAGTGCTGGGATTACAGGCATGAGCCGTCACACCTGGCCTAAATACCTTTTCATGTTGTTGAGATTCTTACAGATATGTCATTATGTTTCAAAATACAAAGGATATAGAAAATAGAACACAATTTTCTAAATCATGGCTTTGAAATGGATCTTCACATTCCACACAGAGTAAGTGAAGGGTATTTGTTCACTCTTAATGGGTTGTAGCCACTCAAACTGCGTTACCACTACACTGATGATGATTTACCTGGCTTTGAGAATCTCAACTGTTGAGTAAGGGGGCTAAACTTTAATTTTTAGTAACGATTGCAGCCTGAAAACTGCTAGAACACTAGATTGAATAGTGTTCTCTTTTATTATTAAAAGGAGTTCCCTGACACTTTCATGTTGTGTAACAGAAACTGCATTTTAGGGATTGGGGGAAGTGGTTTCTAAATATGGCAGTAGGTTAAAGTCACCTGGACAGTTTTACAACACTAGTGTCATCCCTAGAGATAGTGACTGAATTGGTCTGGGGTGTGGCCTTGGCATCAGCATTTTTTAAAGCTTCTAGGTAACGTACAGCCAAGGTTGAGAATCACTGCCCTAGGGTCTCAGGTTTAACCTTACCAGTCATTCCAAAAATTCAGAATTACAGTTTCTTTTTCCTGAATTTTCAGAATCTTAGCGCTAACTTTCTAACTTCAAGCCTTGTGGCCCTATAATAGGGTGGCAAACTGCTGATGAAAATGAAAGCACAGAGAAAAAAAAAAGCTTTTGAACTCTGGGTATGAAATCTGTCAAGAAAGACATTTCTTGAGGTAATGTTGTTTTGAACTCCTGATATTTAAAATAGCCTCTTTCATGCCTTTGCTGCAACCCTCAATTATGGCCATTTTTTTTTTTTTTTGAGGAGGTGGGAAGAGGGAGGTAGGGAGAGACAGGGAGAGAGAGGGAGAGAGAGGGAGAGATAGGGAGAGAGAGGGAGAGAGAGGGGGAGAGAGGGGGAGAGAGGGGGAGAGAGGGGGAGAGAGGGGGAGAGAGGGGGAGGGGTGGAGAGAGAGAGAGAGAGAGACACCAAGACCCCTACCACCACCACAGACAGTTTAGGATTTTAAATGCTCAGGGCAGTTGGATTTAATTTGACGATTAGAAGTCAGCCTGTTTGTCAGTTATCAGTCAGGCAGTCATAATGACTCTGCACAGTTACAGGCACTGTTGGGAATTTGGAGGTAAAGAAAACAAAATCAGCAAAAGCATTTTGCCCCAGAGGCCGGGAGACTCCTGCAATAAGTGTAAGTGCAATAAGCTCATCCCGGGCATTCCAGCTTAATTCCCCTCTCCATTCAGTTTGTAACTATGATAAAGCTAATCCCTGCTAGCAAAATGATTAATGCCTACAATGGGTTTAAAGCTGATGCTCTAAACTAGTTTAAGATAATTTTTGCTTTTAAAATGTCACCTTCTGTGAGGTGTCTATGCTTCTTTTATGGTATGCAGCAGGGTTTGCCTGGTGTAATATTTACATGGTTGGCTTATGCCACTTACTAGAGTAGGTGGTTGCTGAGGACCAAATTCACGCCACACTTCTTTTTGTACCCACAGATGTAGCACACAGCATTGTACAAGGTAGGCTCTGGAAAAGAGTCATGGAATTGAATGTAATTTTGTTTTGTTTTTTTTTTAACTGAATAATAAAACCTCTTTGTAAGGAAGCTGGGTGAGTAGAGAGCAAAAGAAGGAGAGACAGATGGACATAACAAGCTTTACAAAAGGGCCTAAAAGCTTTTTTTCTCTTATCGATCCATAATTCACCAACAATCAATTCTAACTAGATTTTCCTGCTTCCACTGGAAGATGAACAAAATTTCTATTGTTGGAACTTCATACAGATACGTATGTATCTTGAAAAATGTCTATGCTATTAAGGGACCTCAGCAAATTTATCTTTAGTTATTAAAAATCTAATATTCTTTTTACCCAGAAGCAATATTAGAAAAGGTTGCAACTATGCTTTACTATCAAATATTGTAAAATTTGGAAACCGAAGATGGTTATTGCAGAGGTAATTTCATCTAAGTGCTCATGGCACTGAATTTCATCTCCATAGCACAAATAAATGACACATCTTAACTCTCGGCCACCTTTAACTACATTCCTGCTACACATTCCATCAGCACCTGGGCTCTGAAGCTTTCACCATTTCATGAATAATTCCAGACTAAGCTTGATCATCTTTTTCTCATGTCAGTAAAAAAGAAGAGAAAAAAAAGAGAGGGAAGAAAGGAAAACAAATACAAGAGATCAATTGCTAGATAGTATATTTTATAAGTCTCTAGTGTAGTATCTGAAATGTCTACATATAATTATGCGTATTAAAAGTGTTGAATACATTATCAGAAGAGTAGAAGGTAGATGTCAGAAGAAATATACCAGTGTAGATCATTATAAAATATTCTATGCAGACAAGCTGTTGAAAATAAAAACATTATAAAAGGAATACTATAGATATAAGGGGAGAGGCAAGCATTTCCTTTCACCTAAAACCAGAATATTTCATTATTCTGTAGCCAAGCGGTAGGGGCTGCTTTTTCTTCCACAAAGTAAAGCTTACTGAATGCTTTTTCTTCTATCATAGAAAATTGATTATACCACTGTTGTCAATATAATTAAATGAATAACCAAAGGTTATAATACTAGCATATAGAACCCTTTGCTTACTGTACTTTAGATATCAAAATAGAAAATACAGCTGCATAGTTCATATTCATTATCAGTTTCCTCTGAAAAAATGTACATAATTAGATTTTTACACAAAAGTTTTAAAACTCCAGTCACATCAGCAGGTTTTGACTACTAATGGAAAATGGAATTGATGCAATTATGTGAAACAGTGGCAGGAAGCATGGCTTTTAAAAGAATCAGCTTAAAGAAAAAAAATTCCAGTTGCATGTGCATTAAAGCTGTCAAAACTCTAAGCTAAAGATCCGCTCTCTGTGCCAGCTAAACCCCTGCCCGACTCCGGAAAGTAACTTTCTGAAGCCATGCCAAGCCCTCTGCTTGAAAATAACATCTTAATTGGTTTCTTCTAATAAAATTCAAAATGCTCTTTTGGTGATGATAATACACTCATTGTTTTATTCCTGCTTAATGTTCTGGTCTCTTGGAATGTTTTGAGCATTACTGTTCAGGAGAAAGGAAAAAGCCCTTGAGCCTGAATTTATGGAGCGACAATCTGGCTGGATGGACCAACAAAGTTGGAGGCTTTTGATGCCAGAAAGATTGTTTTTATAAACAATCTATAAGGGTGGTTCTATTTAATGTCAGATTCCTATATAATGGCAATGAGACTCCAATCTCTTCCTATTAACTGCATCATTAGTATGTAATAATGTTTAGTTGTGAATACAGAACTAGACTGTTTAGAGAATACTTAGGGCTCTGACTGGCAACTGACACAAATTAAATTATTCGATAATTCTTTTCAAATCAAGGGGTAATTTAAGTCATAAGGTTTTTCTTCTGCTTGAGTTATGATAACTAGCGTACATCTATCTACAAGGGCAGACATGTTATTTAAAAGGCTCCAACGTATCCACCATACCATATCTAAACTTCTGCATGCCTTATCATCCTGTTAAGTTTCTTTATTAAAAGTTGTTCAATTCAGGCTGTTGAATAGTTTGTTTACACATGGACTCTAATTATGTAACGAAATTCAATAGAAAAATATCATTTGTATAATATTTATACAAGCCAATTTTATAACCACTTTGCTACTACTCACTAATTCCATTAAACAAGAGATCCCTGTCTTAAGAATTATAGTTGCATTGGAATTGTCTTTTCACATGTAATAGTCTGTATCATTTAAAATAAACTGTGATCACATATATTATTTCTACTTGACTCAATTACAAGGAAGGTCAAGCAAGAATACTAGGACGTTCAACTCCCCTTACTCTCAGTTTCTAATTTTGTTACTGCTGTCTTAAAATCTTCAGACCCGTTGTGTTCACTATCAAATTTCAGCGATGAATGAAGTGCCAGCTTGGTGTACTTCACACAGTTTGTACAAAGTTATGTCTATTTACAAAAGAGAAAAGGTCTTTTCTAATTTAACTTTTGTGAAATGAGGATTTTGGAAAACTGAAGCACATAATTAAAGACTACATTTCATATGCTATAATTGAGATTCTGCTCGCTCTTTGGCAACTGACGCTAACTATAGTAACACTAGCAACTTGGGTTGCAAGACTTCGCTGGCTGGAAAAAAAGAAAAGCAGGCGTAGAGAGCAAATTTAGGTACTTATCTTATTGATGCTTTACATATTATGTGCCCCATTGACTCCCTTTACATCCCCGTTATCTGTGCTAGGGATGGATTACTTCCTTTTTGCGGGTTGCTATTCAACAACTCATTTTGTTCTCACTATCACCAGCTGTCAGAAAAATGGGAGGGAGACAGGGCTCAAATTCACAAGTCACCAGAGTTTCTTGTCCTGGTCCTCAGCTTGCTTGCACTAAAAGCTGTCACTATATAAGTGTTACAATAATGTTTTAAGTAATAAAGTGTTCACCAAACTAATGATCCAATTATATAATTACAAATCTGTGGTTATTCATAAATTTAAAATAAGAAAACATATAAATAATGCATTTAAAATGATACCAGGAATACAACAGCTTTTTTCTGACTGAACAGTTTTTGTTATATGAATATACAAGAGAGTATACACTTAGGAAAGACTAAAACGGTATTCAAATATAATGTAATTTTACTCATAGACGATGTGAGTGTGTGTATGTGTGTGTGTGAGAGAGTTCTGCATTTATTTTTACTCAGATATATATCCTCTCTCCATAATTAATTCTATCTGTAGAAAGTCAAAATCTATAAGGAAATAAGTTTTTCCTAAAATAATTTAGAAGTTGCTTCTTCAGAGCTATTAATTCTACATAGAGTTAAGGTTTTCTTTCTGCTGGATCAACATTCTGTCTCCCTTCTCTGAGGAACAGAAATCTTCTGTAAAATTACATTGCTGTAACTCCCTGAGTTTATCTATTCCATATAGACTAGAGACTTTACATTAGCCATTATATTACAAATAAGGTTAAATATAAGAGCAATCTTGTATTCAAAATTCAAAGTCTGGTACCTGATCATTTTTATCAGAAAATAGTTGTACTAAGGTAGTAATTTAGAAATTAATTAGGTAGAATGTTTTATACTTTTATTATCAAGAATCTTAAATGCTAGCAAGCGTTAAAGTTGAGTAAGGCAAGAATATTTAGCATTTTCAGTGGCATCAGTTCAAACCAGAACATAAGATTACTTTAATGGATTTTTCACTCTAAGGCAATACATAAATGAGCAGAGTGGAATATTCTAGGGATTGACTAAGGGGAATATGGAATCCTGATGTACATAGCACATCAAACGAGCTCTTGATTACAAGAGCAGTAACTTGGGGAAGGAAAGACAAGACTAGTATGTTCATTAATTTGCATGAATTAGAGATAAATGAAAATATAAATTATTCTTATTTATGTATTGCCTCAATCTTCGCAAAGAGAATTGAGAGGCACTTAAAATATGGTGTTGAACAGATTTAAAGCCTGATATATAATGATCCTCAAATTACTGCTGAAAATCAGCAGTTAATTAAAAATGTAAGGTATGTTAAAGCTACAGTGTTGTACATACTTGGAGAAGAAATATCATGAAGCAAGTTGTTAATACTCATATTAATAGCCTTGCATTTCTGCAGATTTTGTAACATACATTTGCAGGGTATCTCTGATTCTATACAAGCACTGCTCATAATTAATTTTTCTCTTCTTATACCATTTTGTCTTCTAGTCTTGTCAATGCCACCATTAAGCTGTAGAACCTTAACCAAGAGCTTTAGCCTCCATGCCAATTTACTTCATAGGCATTCTATAATAAATTAAATAATAAGGGAATTATTTGAAAAGTAAAAAGCATTTTACAGAAGTAACATATCCCTATTGAGAGCTTAAAGACAGCTCATTCTCATTGGATAAGGAGGATGGGTTGAAATGATTGTTTCTGAAAAGCCTGCAATTTAAAACGTGGAACATACTTGCCATCTTTTACAGCTCAGCAAATTGTTTCATGGCTAGTGCTACCCTAAAATAGCACATGGCTCAGCACTTAGTTCTACCTTCCATGTGCCCTTCTTGCTAACTCATACTCTGAGCTACAGAACATCTTACCTTTCTGTTCCTTGCCTTTAAATGTGTTTTCCTTAACAACAGAGGTCTTCAGTAATATATAAATGAAAATGCAGAAGGCAAAAAAGTGCTGGAATCTGCCCAAAGCTCACAGCTCTATTTCCCAATGCTCGTTCTTTTTTTTTTTTTTTTTAACAGTAATGGAACTAAAACCAAAGTGATAGTTCTTTATTATAGCAAAGTGATAGTTTTTTTATTTAAAATAAGTTATTTTTTACAACCTCCTTATATAAAAGATGTTTATGAAAGAAAAAATTGAGTGTGTCTCGGTGCCATTTTTTTAATGCAATGAATGATATCCATGAAAAAGAACATCTGAATCTTTTGTTTTAAAAGACAGTGCAAGGTATAGTGAATTTATGGAGATACATCCTGATAAATTTGCATAATGAAATGAGGAGAGTGTATAATAATTTTTTTCTACTGTTATCCATCTAAGCACTGACTTGCTCGCATAGGCACAAAGGGAGATCTCAGTTACAGCAACAAAATAAACATGTTCCAGAGAGGTAATTCCCCTCATCTTCACCTTGATGAATCATAAATTAAAGGGGGAATTTGGGATGATATAGGGAATGAATTTTATTTCATTTTCAGGCAGGTTTGATGTTCTAAGAGCAATGTAAAATTCTAGCATGACATAGTTAACATGATATGTTTACAGAATATCTTACTGAGAAAAATTCTTTTCCTTTTTCCTTTCATTGTGATCTTTGTGGATCTTAAAACTAATTCTCATGGCAGCTACAGAAATGGCTGCCACAAAGTCAGTATTAATGTTAGTGTTTAATTGCCAAAACTATTTTAGAAACAAAGAAGACAAAAAGTAGTATACACCTAGGAAGAATGCGAAAATGTATAACTTTGGTTCTAGATATATCTTCTGAATCAAAATTGCAAATAAAGGCTAAGTAACATCGTTTTATCAATATATGTGAACAACATATCAACATATATGATCAACATGTGAACAAATTTAAAATAAGCTATCTAGGATCACTTGCACCATCTTCATTTGATAAAGAGTTCAATTTAGTAAACATGTTTAGGCATGTCTATTAATTCATAGAATAGGACCTTTTTTTTTTTTTTTGAAAGAGAGTCTCACTCTCTTGCTCAGGCTGGAGTACAATGGCTCAGGCTGGAGTACAATGGCACGACCTCGACTCACTGCAAGCTCTGCCTCCCGAGTTTATGCCATTCTCCTGCCTCAGCCTCCCGAGTAGCTAGGACTACAGGTGGCCACCACCATGCCTGGCTAATTTTTTGTATTTTTAGTAGAGACGGGGTATCACCACGATAGCCAGCATGATCTTGATCTCCTGACCTCGTGATCCACCCGCCTTGGCCTCCCAAAGTGCTAGGATTACAGGCGTGAGCCCCCGTGCTCGACCACATTTTTTTTTAATGGAACCGCTGTGTTCGTATGACCGATTAACAAAACACTCAAGCTCACTCTTCTAACTTCAGAACACTAAAGCATTCCTTCTTTGCTCCCAATTGTAGGAACCTTGTAACTCTGAATGGCTTAACACAGAATATCATTTATTGGCAACAGAATCAAGCTTATTATAATCTGATGAAACTCACCTGGAACAGTAATTACTTTTTTAAACAGGAAAATATAGGCTTACACATTTTTCTAAAATTTTTTCTCTAGGAGAAATCCACAGCATATCAATGTAACACCTTTTATCCTAAAATTTTCAAGAGATGTTCTTTGCAATACCTGAAATAAAATTTCCTCCCTCCAATTCAAGTCTACTAGAAATATTATTTTATTTTGATTACCAGAGCCCTATATCAATACATATTACAGGGGAAAATAGACATACGAGGCTACATTTCTTAGCAATTCTTCTCATCTTCCATTGCAATTGTATTTTATAACAGTTTTTACCTTGCTGCTTTACAAATTTAGTGTTACTCTATTCTAGACTCATGTTTCAGGTAATGTCCAACTCACAAGTGAATTCATCAATCCTTTGCTGAGTTCAATTAAACTCTCACAAGGGGGAGAGTAGAAGGAACTTTTTATTCACAGAGCACCCCTTGAGTTTGGGTTTACTAAAACACTCATGTGTGCTTCAAGATATTTCAGTGACATTTAATTGAAACCATCATAAGGAGACTTAAAAGAAAATGCCATAACACACACCTGAGAACTAAATACTTCTCAGTAACACAAACCTGAGAAGATTCAATACACCCAGAGTAAGCATCTTCCAAGATTAACGGAGAAATCAAGAACAACTGCTTTTATTTTCATTTCTTGGGCAACCACAACAAAAACTATTTCAACAAACGTGCCTTGTAATGCTAATGCTACCAGAGCTCATAAAGAGGCAATTTATTATTTTCAGTTTATTGTCCAATAACAATTCATCAGCTTTGGGGCTTAGTTCATTAGTTCACAGGGATTCTTTTATTTGTTGAGGGTGATTTTAAAAGATGTTTTATAAAATTCCATAGTCTTTCATTTACATACTATCAAAGACCTGGAGACTTTGGCAGCTTTATTACTAAAAATTCAGCACACACAAAAGGGAAAATGAATCACAAAGTAAATAAATAAAACAGGGCCAGGCGCAGTGGCTCACGCCTGTAATGTCAACAATTTGGGAGGCTGAGACAGGCGGATCACCTGAAGTCAGGAGTTCGAGACCAGCCGGGCCAACGTGGTGAAACCCTGTCTCTACTAAAAGTACAAAAATTAGCTGGGCATGGTGTCGCACACCTGTAATCCCAGCTACTCGGGAGGCTGAGGCAGGACAATTGCTTGAACCCAGGAGGTGGAGGTTGCAGTGAGCCAAGATCTCACCATTGCACTCCAGCCTGGGAGGCAGAGCGAGACTCTGTCTCAAAAAAAAGGAAAAGAAAAAACAGGTAATCCTATGCAAGTCTAGTGCTTAGTCATAAAATACCTATTTCCAATTCAAAACTCACACTCAGTTTTCTGTTTTTAAACCACTGTCATGCATATGCAAATGTAAATTCAGCCATGGGCTGCAAGATTGGCCAATATTAACTAAGGAAAAACTTATACTAAAAGCATTTGTGTGAACCTTATATTCACTTGCAAAGCTATTTGGCATAAAATAAGAGTTAGACCAATTACAAAAGAAAATATTAGAAGTCACAGGTCTCAACATAGAAGATTTAAGTAGCACAAATGTAACTAATTAATAACATCTGAAGTACATTCTCCCACAGGACTGATGACCATCTGGTTGACCTTGCCCTAGATCAACAGGGAAGGCAAACCTGTAAATCACTGTTTTACAAATGTTATTACTCCATTATTTCACCACAAGAAAAAGGGATGGAACATGAATGGGAGAAGAGACTCATTGCTCTACACACCTTGAAATTGCCTATGATGCTTATTGCACCGGAAGTAACACAAGACTGAGTGGTTTCTTCTCAAGTTCCACCCAGAGAGAGACAGGCAGAGGACCAAGTTACAGTGATGGAGAAGAATTCAAGACAAAAGAGCCAGTAGGTAAAGTAATTACGAGAGAATCTAAAGGTACTTAGAGATATAAAACAAGTAATGCAAATGACCTCTGTCTAATACAACTTGAAACTATCTGAATTTCTGCAAAACACCTTTCAGTTGCTGATTTTTTATTGGAAAACAGTAATAGAACTTTAGAAATACGAACTAGAAGTATATGCCACATGTATTTAAATATATACTCTTAAATACATTAACCCCATACAAAGCTCTATATTTTGATGTTGAGAATAAACTACTTTGGAGGAAACTTAAAAACCTACTTGGTACAATAGTCAATGAGTCATCATTTGACTAATGAGAAACTTTAAATAATAATAAATTTGAACAGGCATTTCAAGCAGGTACACTGTGAAATCTCCTAAGAAAACTGTATTGAACCAAGGTTTAAAATTTGTACATTTTGACAACTGTTTTCGCCTGATACTTTCCCTATAACTTGTCTATGTAGTTCATTGTAGGAATGTTTAAAATTATTGAGTTACCAATCGTGCAATTTTATTAGATGTATTCTCACTGTTGATACATCTCTTTTAAACAGTATTCAAAACAAGTGATTTTCTATCTCTCTGATTATTTGCTCTGTTTTTCTCTCACTTCCTAAGAGTACCAGTAATACACCTGAGAAGAACAAAATATCAGGAATTATAGAACTTTGAGATCAACAACTCATGTCATATTCTACATAAGTTACAAATCAAGGCAAGTCTTATTCTGCAAGAATCTGTTTTAAGTTTGAGTGCATTTAAAATATTAGGCATATATTATTTTAAATCCCATCATTACTTCTAGTCACTGTATAGCATAGCTGTCACTGTCTTACACAGTTCTGAAGTCTGGTTCTAAAAGATTATACTATGTAATTTCCTTCTGTAAAATATGAATTGCAATTGCTTTTTCAAATACAGAATTGGTTCATTATCTCTAGTAACACACTTTTTGTTGATATTTACATTAGTTTGGATTAATTTTCATGTAATGGAAAAGAAAGCAGGTAGAGACATCTAATCTATTAGGTCACTCCATCTCTATATATACTAGGAGAAATATAGAAAATAGAGGGGAAATTGCACTACTTCTTAATGCCCTTTCTCTTTTATTTGAAAACGTATTTCATAGTTCTAACTTGGGAGGAAAAGTGTGGGTAGTCTGTAAGATGCTTTAGTAATTAAGGGGCTAAAAAGGATACCTCAAAGGGTCTGTTTTTCCATTCTTCACAACTTAACTGCATAGCTATGGGTTTTAAGGGGAAATGCCTTGCATGGAGGCTAAGGAAGCAATTAGAAGCTCACACATTCTAAGTTCCAAATATGGCTCCTTCGGTGCTTATGACAACCTTGGGGAAAGCACTGGTGACTTAAAAAGAAAAAAAGGACAGCCATTTGACTGGCAAGTGTCAGTCATTCTGCTATTTGAAATTTGAGGCCAGGCGTGGTGGCTCACCTCGGGAGGCGGAGGCGGGCAGATCACAAGGTCAGGAGATCGAGACCATCCTGGCCAACATGGTGAAACTCCGTCTCTACTAAAAATACAAAAATTAGCTCGGTGTGGTGGCACGCACCTGTAATCCCAGCTACTGGGTAGGCTGAGGAAGGAGAATGGCTTGAACCTGGGAGGTGGAGACTGCAGTGAGCCGAGATCGTGTCACTGCACTCCAACCTGGTGACAGCGTGAGACACTGTCTCAAAAAAAAAAAAAAAAAAAGGAATTTGAGACAAAGTTTCAGAGACACTCTGCTATAGAAAGGTCTGAGAATATATTGTTTATCAAATGAAAGAAAAAGTACTTGCAATGACACTAAAGTTTATGCAGAGTTGAAAGAAGTAATAAAATTATAAATGACCTTGATTGGCAGGATGGTGTTCCTCATCCATGTCTTGCTCCATCTGTCCAATTAGTATGGGTTACTTGACTAACCAAATTCATTCATCTGTAAGTCCTTTGAACTATATACATTAAAGCTCATGCAAACCATTCCCTCAGAAGACCTTGCACCTTTTATGTATGTGAAAATCTGAAATCACACCCATTTCCCTAAGCTTCTGAGAACATTTGTATACAACAACCATCAAAAGCATATTTCCAATTATTCTTTTAGGTCCTTTTCAATTAATTAGGGGACTATGCCAATCTCAGGAAATCCTTGTGGAAAAAGAAGAAACACCATTAGAACAACACACGGAGTAACCAGTTTTGAGACTAATGCCCAAAAAATTAATTGGGAGAATTTTTTAGTAATTGAACCTGCATAGCTCTCTCTGCTGCTGAGGATTAGCACAAAGGGGCAATTTCTTAACATTACCAGGTGAACAGTAAGATCAAAGATGCTAGGCTTTGAGCTCGTGCCCATCTCCTCTGTGAGTACACAGGCAAGCACAGAAGAATTATTTTACAAAAAGCAGCATATATTATAAGCATTTTCATAAATACCTCAAATCCAACAGAGGATCTTTGTCTATTAACCAATCATTTAAAATAGCTATTGTCCTCCAAAACGCAGCCCAGTAAATATTTTTAAAATTAATATCCAGTAATATTTATACTCTTAATTTCTGAATCTGGATAAGGAAGATAACAAAACTTAAAATAACATTTTTCCCAGAGTGTTTATCAACTCTCTTACCATCAAATGTTAAATAAACTCTTGCTTGGGGCTGGGAAGATCCTTTCACACAGATAGAACAAATAAATACTCCAACCAACACGCAAATTGTCCGGAATGCCATTTCTTCAGATATGCAAGTTAATATCCAAGGGAAAATACCTTTAAGAGAGAGACAACATGTTTGTTATATCTCATTTCACATTTTAGGAGTAGGAAAAAACAGCAATCTAGACAAAACACCCTATTCACAAAAGAACCATCTGAACTTTTACAGTAATGCAAACAGTAGGAGGTGCTGTGTCTTTGCTTCTCAGATGTGAAAATGTGGATTTGATTCATTTGTGTCTGGAAGTCTTTGCAACAAGAGAAACTTTCATCTTCCAGCAAATTGATGCTACCATCAAAACAGAACAAAGCAGTGAAGAAAAACACTGATACCCAAAGGAAAGCCCAATATTTTAACGGATCTTCTCTCTAGAAATCCATTACATTAAAAAGACTTGAATAGAATTGAGCTAAAAGAATATTACTGGATGAGAACTCTTTCCCCCCACTAACGTAACAGCAGCAGCAAAATCTCACATGAGCATTCATGTGTACCTACTCACTTCAATAGTCATTAGCTCTTTTGGAGTAATTGTCTCTGGAAGTGGTGTTTCCTTACATAAATCTATGTGTGCTCAATCCTGGATCACTGAAGTCACTGGAATCAGTTATCTGCCATTTTATCCAGATGACCAACAGGCAGTTGTTAAATGATGCAGTTGAAGTAACCATGGACTAGTGCCAAATTCAAACCAATGACCTAGTGGTGAGCAATCCAGTGAGCCATGTATCCACCAATGCATATTTTAAATAAATCAACCAGAATGTGGGCTGTCAAAATTCCCAAAGATAAATCAAAGAGACAGGTGTCACTGCTTCAAACTATAGATATAAAATTGGTACATGCTATTAACTAATATCTGAATCCCAAGGAAGACCAGATAATGTGTTACCATAAACCTACAGGAGCTCTAGTGGCTACATCATGTAAAATAAACTCAGGACCATTAAAGAAACACAATCATTTTGCTTCTACCATAATTACACAATAAAGTGACCCAAGAGTCCAGTAAAGAAATTTATTTTTACAGGTTACAACAATGCTGATCTTCATTATTTGGCTTTTCAAATTAAAATTTCATAGTCAAAATTATTAAATTCTTTGTAAGAACCACTAACAACTGAAAAAGACAGCTTCATTAATACAGAATAAAAAGAATTAAATGGAATATGCAATTTTAAACAAAAATTGTAAGTAGATTTCCTAGGTGGTGCATATGTTATGAGAGTTAGAAATGAAATTGTACGCTTCTTTTACCACACAGATGGAGGAAACTCTAGAGATGTTTGTGTTGGTAATTTTCAAAAGAAACAGTTTCTTCCTGCTTCCACAACCTCTTCACCCTGTCATCCCTAAATTAACTTAGAAAGAAACTGATTTTATGGGTGACTTTCCCTCAGTAATTTACCCCTTGGTTCTGTTGACTTCATAGTTAAAGCCAAAAGAAAAAAACTATTAATATGCCTAACCTTTGTTATGTTTACTGAGCAAGTTGATATTATTTACACATTTTTTTTACATATTGGTATCTTACCTTATATGTTTCTCCCAAAAGTACATATACAACCAATTGCAAAGAATACTGGTGATACAATGGCAGGTGAAACGAAGATAGTCTACAGGGCAATTTGATTTACATCCCACCTAGTGATGAGGAGTGAAAGACTGAAAGCCAAGTGTCTTAAATACACCCCCGCCTCCCCAACAGTATCTTACAACTTCTTCCCTTTAACTCAGACACAGACGTTCCTCTTGGTGTTTTCACTTCTGCTGATCGCAAACTAACAACACATTAAGAAAAGAATTCTCTTATCTCCTCTGGAGCAATTTTGCCTTTGAAGGCACTGTAATACTCAACTTGAAACTCTCCGCAGGTGTCACCGCCTAAAGAAACAACTCGAGCAGGGCTCTCAGCAAGGGGAAAGCTTCCCTGACAAACCGCGTGTGTTCTTAAGAAAATGTCCAGGCTTGAGCATACCAATGTATGAAAAATCAATATACAGGCCAAAAAAGTTATACTTTGCTAAATCTGTAATGCGGAAAATGACCAATTTAGCTTACCGAGGTTGAAAGAAATCAGCACGGAAAAGTCATCAGTTTGCTACCGGGGTTGGATGCGCTTGTGTCTCCAGTCCTTTTCCCAGACGACCTTATTTTCTAGCACGTCGCAAAGGTGAAATTCTTTCTTCCCGGTCCTCTGAGTTTCTTTGTAAAGGAATCTCAGCGCTGCAGTGCCGCGGCACCCGGAGCTCTTCTCCGCGTCGCTCAATCAAGCACCTCGGAGTGAATGGAAAGTGGCCGGAGGCCGGGGGCGAGCGCTCTTGGTGTCCGATTACAGCGCCGCGGCGCGCGGCTCCGGCTGCCCCGGCGCGCCGCCCTGCAGGCTCGCATCACCACCGCGCAGCCCCGGCCGCATCTCCGCCAGCCGCGAGGCCCCACCCCGAGCGCGCCCGCGAGAGCCTGGCAGGGAGCCGCGGGGGCGGACCGGGCGGGGCCGACCCTTAGAGCTCGCGGCTGGCCAGACGCAAGAATGCGCGGCCGCAGGCTGGAGCCCTAGCTCCGCAACCCTGCTCCTTTCGCAGTCCGCGGCGGAGTGAGCAACTTGCTGGGTGCGCTCCACGGTTTTTGTTGCCGGCGGCTCTCGAAGACTTACACAGGCTTTGCCTGGCCGTAAATATCAAAGTGCAAAGCAGTTGTGGTTTTTTATTTTTGCCAGGGAAGGATCACTGCAGCCTTTTAAGGCAAAGAGATGCGTTTTTAAAAGGACGTGAGTTTTGTCCTTATTCTGCTGCGTTTTTTTTTTGTTTTTTGTTTTTTGTTTTTTGTTTTGTTTTTGGAGAGGGAATCTCACTCTGTCGCCAGGCTGGAGTGCAGTGCAGTGGTGTGATCATGGCTCACTGCAACCTCCGCCTCCCGGGTTCAAGCGATTCTCCTGCCTCAGCCTCCTGAATAGCTGGGACTACAGGCTCCCACCACCACGCCCAGCTAATTTTTGTATTTTTAGTAGAGACAGGGCCAGGATGGTCTGGATCTCTTGACCTAATGGTCCGCCCGCCTCAGCCGCCCAAAGTGCCGAGAGCCACCGCGCCGGGCCTCTGTTGCGTGTTTTCTAAAACAGGTCAAGATAAACGACAATCTTGTTGCACAAGTGTATCCTTTTAATGGGTATTGTTTCCTATTGAGTTTCCTTAATGCCCTGAAAGCAGTAATTCTGTTGACCCCTCCACGTTGACTCATATCCAGTACGTTGTCCCCAACCATACTCCCAAACATAATTACACGAAGAAATTATTTGACAATTCTATGTGGAGAGGCTGTTCTGAGTTATGCCAACAGATTGCCATAACCACACATCTACAGAAATACATCAGAGGTATTTTTCCAGCATTACTTTCAGGTACACTCGTTAAACTCTGGAACTGACTTTGATGTTTAAGTGAAAATTACTTCTCCGGACCACAATAAACTAGATGTTTAAACATCGGGAGAAATGAGCTTTGATCCCCATAAAACAAGCAGGCACTTGCTTAAAATCACTGTGGGGCACAGCCCAGCAGATGTCACTCTACAGAAGGAACGTGGAGTGTAATATCTCCACCTTATACCTGACAATTCACATAATGAAACAATCATTAAATTCTTATAAACTGTATCATAGAAAACCCCTCTGGGGGTGCAAAATCATTGTTCAGTGGGAAAGTTGAATGAAATCTCAGGTAGGAGGAAGAGGTGAGTGAGACACATCTTTCATGTGTCTGGGGCCCACCTCTTGTGTTCAGTAAACATACACGTGTCTCAGACTCACGCTGCATAGTCAAGGAACGAAGGATCAAGTCAAATAATGCAAATTTATGAGTTCAAAAATACTATTCCAGGGCTAATATTATCTCCAAACGTCAAAAAATTAATATAGTAACAACAGTTAAAATTATTTTTTGTGATGATGCGTGAGAAGATCCTTGACATAAATTTGTAATAAGGAATTTAACCCCCCAAAAACTGACAATATTAAAATCCAGATGTCAATGTGAATAAGCACTGTGCGTGCTTCTCTGAAATACTTCTGAAACTGAGTAAGATCCAGGTTATATACTCTCCACTATTATCCTCCTTCTGATATCTCATTCGGCATTTATATATTAAGCAGGGAGAAGAATAAATCATTAGAAAGATGAGTGTGTGGATTAAATTAATTTAGAAATGTGGAGCTGTTAGAAATTGATCAGCAAATTCACGTAAGATGGAATTCGTTTATACATTTTAAGTTTGAGAAAACCACGATAAAGAGTTGCAAGATGAAATGCATCTCAAACGGTGTATTTACAAAGGAGCTTAATTCCAAACTCAATTTACAAACACCAATGAATTAGCTCAATCTGTTACACATTCAGGGGTTTGGAGGCCTTGACAAATAGCTTAGATTTAATCACAGCCCATGAAATTTGTGCCGAAATTCCCTCAATATTGCTCAAATAAACCTCTTTTCAATGTGCTCCTGGGATTTAATGGTATTTGCTTAGCTCTGAGACGTTTACAGTTGGCCACACCTCAAAATGAATCATAAAAATACTGATAGGCTTTAGCCAAGATAGATTCAAGCGCAAGGACACAGTGCTCATGCTTGCCAGAGACTTAGGCCACAGAGTGGAATTTTAACAGTGGCACTAGAAGCCCCTAAGATTAATCTCTGCCCACATTTCCCCACACTGCTTAAAACACCTTGACAAAACAAGACTTGCCTAAGAAACATTTCTGGGCACTACCACTTTTTTAAGACTTCAGCTTTGACTGTCCTTACAAGTGGAAAACAACAGCTAATTGAGAACGCTGTTTTCGGTAAGGGGGACACTAAATGGATCTACAGGAGTAGTGGCACAACTAAATTTAGAGAGCACTAATTACAATGTTTGCACCCAGCAAAACGTTTCAGACGAGCGGCCAAACTAAAATACTTAGGATAACTTTTATTAAGACGTTTTAGAAATGGTGCAGTATCTTACACACTGAAGTGTCTCTGCCTGCCAAGGTGTAGTGGGCATATTTTTAATATTTTATGTTTTTGATGGTCCTGAGGAATGCTATTTAACTTAAAACTCTAGCACCGATGTTGAGTTACATACTTTTCTCCAGGAGTTTCTGCAGCTATACATTATCTTATTTCAAATTTAAAGAAAACAGATTTTTCCCTATTATACAGATGAGTCATGTAAATAAACTTTACCCTAACCAGAGAATATTAATCATTCAGAGGTTAAAAATTGTCTTATTATTTAGTCATAAAAACTGATATTTGTAATAGAAAATAGATTGTGTATTTGCGAGGTACTTTGCTTATTATCTGCATAGCATTCTTTAATGAAGTTACAATTTTCAATGAGAGAACGTTGAAGGTTTGCCCAAAGTCAAATGGGTAGTAAATATCAGAATAGGAAGAGAAACTCAAGCGTGATTGCCGTAATGTCTCAGGTTTTTCAATAAGTTTCAATACTTCCTCTTACCTTTTTTGCTTAACATTTTTCTCCTCTTTTCTACTTCCCTCTCTTTCTCCTTCACTCAACTTCCATATGCCATCCTTTTAAGTTTCCTGAACTGTATCTTTGGAAAGTCTCAACTTCCAATGGTTACTTACTTTATTTACATCAGCCTTACGTCTCCTTGGGTTACATTAGCAGCTCTGAGACCAAGCCGGTCAAACAGGTCTGGTCTAGAAATCTGTGTGTGAAACTGCTACCTGCACAGCAAATAGGCTTTAATATTTCCTCTATCAAATCATTTCTAATTTTTCAATAAGATGAGTGTATCTCTATTTTCATTCTTAATCTATTGCTAATCTGTATTGCTGACTGTTTTTTCTCTGTTGATATGTACCACTCTATGCTTCTCAAATTGTAGGGTTCTTGACATTAAACAAAATAAACTGGCAACAGTGGTTTGCTCTGGAGAGGAAAATTGGCTAGAAAGGTTTCATGGTTCACTCTGTTTTACATTTATAATTTTAAACGAGGTGAGTGTATAAGCTATTACAAAGTTCAAAGTTTAAGTCCTCAGTATTTCCTTAAACACCTTTAAACATATCAAGTATGTTAAGCGCAATATTTCGCAACTCAACCAAAATAAAAGCATATTGCCTCTAATGTTTATATATTACAATATTTCATGTAAAAGTAGAATAGTAAAGAATTTCAGTAGTAAGAATCCCTTAGTGAATTTACTTCCTTAGTACAAAAATGTCATGTGTGCATGACAAAGGTTGTAATAGAGTTATTATGATCATTCACATTTTCATCACAAGGACAAAATGTAAACTTTCTATTTGTTTTGCCTTCTTGGAATATTTCATGTGAAGCCTCAGTGAGGACAGAGTATATGTATTTGAGATTATATACAACTGCAGTTGCAGAGAATCCCACAGTTAATGTTTGCTAGTGGAGTATATGCACACCCATCCACAGTCACGTCTTGAGGAAAGCCAGCAGCTTTTATGAATCATATTGGATCTGAAGCTCTCTGTCTCTACACCTGGAAGACCAAAACCACTTCCCATATCTGTTCTCACAGGAGAGCCATAAGAGGCCTGCATAAGTGCCTCTGATTGTCAGACGCATGTAATGAGGCTCAAAAATAATAACCAGCTGGAGCAATGAATGCAGGACTGTTAGTTACGGCTAATTGACTCCCATCTACAGCCCTTCGAAATGGGCAAGGGCCTTTCCATGTAATCTTCAGATTTTACTATTGTTATCCTCTTCTTGGACTTTAAATGGTTGACTAGAAAGTGGAGTATTAAATTGTGCAAAGAACTTTCACATCCTAGCAGATGCATTCTCATAATGAAAGTCACATGAGAAATCCTGCTGTCTTCTCTAACAGTGATTTCCAGGAGGTAGAGGGGGCTGTGTAGGAAATTTGCAAAGAATCAACCACTTATTCAGTTTATTTGATTTATTTTTAGTCATGAGGCTTTGAAATTTTTTTCACTTTTAAGTTCAGGGGTACATGTGCAGGTTTGTTATATAGGTAAATTAATGTTAGAGGTGTTTGTTGTACAGGTTATTTCATCACCCAAGTACTAAGCTTAGTATCCATTAGTTGTTTTTCCTGATCCTCTCCCTCCCCACGTCCTCCCCTCTCTGATAGGCCCCAGTGTGTGTTGTTCCCCTCTATGTGTCCATGTGTTCTCATTATTTGTGGCATTTAATAACTTTAAAGAAGGATATAGAATTTTCATTATTCAACAAATATGACATAATTTAAGATATAAAGCTCTTGGAATATATTTCAATTAAATAGTTTTCCTTGATCAATTTTCTTCACTGCAATGGACTCGTTGAACTTTAGACCAGAGATGTACTAGAAGGAGCAACATGATTTAAAGGGCATGCATTATTAATAGACATTTGAGGAAGTGTATTTCTTTCATCTCCCTAACAGCCCTGAAAAAGAAGATATAAGTACCTCCATCATGCAAACAAGGAAGCCAGTCAGAAATTTGAGGTGCTTTCCCCTACTTTGGTCCCTAGGCAATAAATTCAGGTCTGCCTGTCCCACAGTCCATGTGTTTCCTGCTTTCTACCACCTCTTGGCAAACACATCTAATCAAAAGCTCAGTAAATAAGAAACGGGAGTGGAGACTTTTACTTTCCTCCTAGGCTCTTTAGGTCCTGAAGAAGGTTTTCTGTTTTACTTGGATGTTTATCACATTACATTTCAGATTTGAATGATAAATACAGACATTGTATCTTCACTCAAATTATAGACAGCTCGAGAGCAGAAACAGTGTCTAATTCTCCTTAGTATCCTTTAGAATACGAAGAACCAAGATGATTAATGAACAGCTTTGGCAGATAAATGGAGAAGGGGTTCAAGGAATATGGGTAGAAGCAAAGAGAGAATCAACAGCAAATTGACCACGTAAATGATTACACATTATAAAACAGAAAATCATACAAGTTATTTTATTACCCATCCAAGTACATTTATAGTTATATAAATTAAATCTATTCTCTTTAAATATCTAGTTTGTTACTCATGTAAATACAGTAAATGAAAACCCAGAAACAAATTTGCACAGTGGATTCAAGACTAAGTAACAGGAAGTTCATCAATATCAAGTGTAATTTTAAAATTAAAAGTCGCAGGTAACCTGTTTGCAAATTGTCACCAGGGTTACTGAAGTCTTTTGTTCATGTACTGAAGGATAAAGTTGCAGCTTATTTCCATGGCTCATACAGTCTCTTTCCACTGCTTGGGTCAAGGTTAATTCTTCACTCCTTCTCGCTCATTCCTTCCCCTGGCACCTTAAATTCTGTGTGTATCTGATGTCCTACCTGACCGTTGTTTGACTACACTATTCCTCCTCACACTTCCGTGGCTTTGCAAATGCTCCTCTATCTTTAATACATCCTCTCTATAGTATAATCCTTTTTTTTAATCCTAAGCAAAATTAATCAAGTCCTAGATGTCATATATAGAGTTGTAACTATATCAATTTTGATGTCAAATAAATTTACATGTAAATCACCAATTCCTAACCTACTAACTATATATGTTGGGTATTGTTTGATTTCCACTTCTAGTGTTGTTATTTGTAAAATGAGAATTAAAGCAACTACCTTTAGGTTTATTGGTTAAAAACTATAATGTGTTAGTTAAATACTACAATGTGTGTGAACACCTCTCTCACTTTTGTATTGTCTTAAGTTTTTCAGGTATATCATTTCATGTTACAATTATGTGAAAATTTTCTCCATTGACTCCCAACAGCTCCAGAGTAGGACATAGGAATCTTAGACATTGTAGCCAGCTAAAGCCAAGTCTTGCCACATGGTGACAGCTGAATAAATGGTTGATCAATTAATTAAACTGATCTTTTCTTTTAATGATGATTTGAGGACCTTGAAGATCCAAATATCTTATCGTCACTGAGACTGTGGCATTTCAACACATGTGATTTCTTATAGGATTCTTAAGTAATCACTTTCCAAGGTTCATAATTTTACTCCAAAGGTAATTATGTTTGTATTATCCCCTTTAGACCACATTTAAATTTTATTTTGAGTCTGTAAAAACTTTGGGAACATTTGAACTGGTTTGATTCTTGATAATCAGCTGCTACAGGAACAGGTGGTTTGGATTAATTCTTTTTTTTTTTTTTTTTTGAGACAGGGTCTTGCCTAGGCTGGAGGACACTGGTGTGATCATAGCTAACTTAAGTGCAGCCTCAACCTCTAGGGCTCAAGCAATTCTCCCACCTTAGCCTCCTGAGTAGCTAAGACTACAGGCATGCACCACCATGCCCAGGTATTTTTTGTGAGACAGTGTCTCCTCATGTTGCTCAGGCTGGTGTCCAACTCCTGCTGGGCTCAAGTGATCCTCTTGCCTATGCCTTCCAAAGTTCTGAGATTACAGGCACCAGCCACCGTGCCCAGCCTTAAATTCTCTTTTAAGTTTTAAAAATTAAGATTCAGAAATTACGTTTTTAATTTTCTGGTAACAGATTAGAATAAGATTCCCTCAAGATCGTATCACAGTAAAAATAAAAAGAAAATATGATTACAAAGAAACTAGTAGCAATTCCTGGCATAGAAAGGAAAAAAGTTTTCTAGTACATAAATTCAATATAAATTTATTTTTTCTCATGTTTCATTGTGGATTTCTTCTACTAAAGTCTCAATTTAAGGCAACAAAAACATAATTCTTTAAAACCTAAATTACCTAATTGTATTTTTATATTTTCATCTATTCTGTAAGTTTCCAGCTCAAGTTTTTTCTTTATTTTTTAGGTAGATAGCATTTAAAATAATCCATATATAAGAATCTGGAGTTACCTAATGCATATATAATAACATTGTGTTCAGAATTGGTTCCTTCTAGTGGGTTCTCGGTCTCACTGACTTCAAGAATGAAGCTGCGGACCCTCACAATGAGTGTTACAGTTCTTAAAGATGGTGTGCCCGGAGTTTGTTCCTTCAGATGTTCAGATGTGTCCAGAGTTTCTTCCTTCTGGTGGGTTTGTGGTCTTGCTGACTTTAGGAGTGAAGCTGCAGACCTTCTCAGTGAGTGTTACAGCTCTTAAAGATGGCACATCCAGAATTATTTGTTCCTCCTGGTGGGTTCGTGGTTATGAAGATCTTCACAGCTCATAAAGGTACTGTGGATCCAAAGAGTGAGCAGCAGCAAGATTTATTGCGAAAAGCAAGAGAACAAACAACAATGCTTCCACAGTGTGGAAGGGTGGCTTGGGTGGCCTGCTTTTATTCCCTTATTTGGCCCCACCCATGTCCTGCTGATTGGTCCATTTTACAGAGCGCTGATTGGTCCGTTTTTACAGAATGCTGATTGGTGCATTTACAAATCTTTAGCCAGACACAGAGTGCTGACTGGCGCGTTTTTAGAGAGTGCTGATTGGTGCATTTACAAACCTTTAGCTAGACACAGAGTGCTGATTGGTGCATTTTTACTGAGTGCTGATTGGTGCATTTACAAACCTTTAGCTAGACACAGAGCGCTGATTGGTGCATTTACAATCCTTTAGCTAGAAAGAAAAGTTCTCCAAGTCTCCACCCAACCCAGAAGCCCAGCCAGCTTCACCTCTCAGCATGACTTTTAAAACTTGCTTTACAAAAGGATTCTTCATCTGAAAGATTCCTTTAATGAGCAACTTACCCTAATACACTCAAATTTTAAAAATTATATCTAGATTTTCAGAAAATGTCTATGGTTTAAATGAGAAAAGAACTAAAAAAGTAATACCAGTTAATCAGTTTTAAAATGATAGGATGAATAGACCAATTTAACATGTTTATAATTATTAGCATATTGGTTTAAGAATATATGGTACATTGTACATATTTATTTGCAGATAACACATATCAACTAGGAAAAAAGAAGCGTGACCATAGAAAATGTAAGTTCTGCAAAAGTAAACCTTGTTGGGAGGTACTGCACTGTCGCCATAGAGTCGAGTCGAGTACTATTGTTGGCTATTTTTATCACTGGTCCGTTAGAAAGTACAAATGCATACCTATAACTCCAGGAAAATGTTCTTTATGGTTACTACAAAGATAATATTTTATTTAGAGAACTTCTCCTTTCAAAATGAGCTGTTACTCTTCCTGGCATTTTAAATCCCGCCTCTCACATGCCCATATACACACCTCTATTTTTGAAGAAGTGTCTTCTTAATTTTTTTAAAAAAAGATTCTTACTCTGATACTATAAAGTTTAATTTAAAACATTAAAATAAATTGCAATCGTATTACAACATAGGCACACTGAAGTCATGACCTTGATTTTGACAGTATAGATCAGATTTGTGTATCCATTTACTGATGTTGTCATCTGTCTCTCTGTTTATTATGGATCACATTGGAAAGCTCTGTAAAGTACAACAGACTTTCTTCAATATTTTATTGAGAAATATTTCATTATTTGACTTCCATTTAATTTGTCTCTTAAATATGCATAAGCTCTTTGGTCACAATATATTGCCTCTCCATAGGATTTATGTCCTTTAACATTATAAGATAAATATACTTTCTCAAAAAAAAAAAAAAAACAAATATACTTAAGTACTTTATCATTATATGATAAAGTCTATAAAGTATCCTTTAACATTACATGAAATAAGTACATTACATTAAATAAGTACATTTATCATGTAATGTTAAAGGATACAGACTTTTATCATATGATACTTAAGTACATTTATCATATAATGTTAAAGGATACTTTATATACCTCATCATATAATGATACTTTATATTCTTTATCCTTTATGTAGTTTATCATTATATGATGTGTGTATACACACACACACACTCTCACACATACACCAGGGTATAGGTGGTCTAGGCATATGACACATTTATAAAAAATATATATATTTAACTCTTTTAGTCTCCCAATTTCATGTAAGGCTCTTTAATCCCATAGCCATCTCTTGTCTTTATTCTTTTAGCAATTCCTTCCTTGTCAGTCTTTTTTTTAAATTGTGGGTAATTATTTTATAAAAGCAAAATACTATAAGAGTACCTGCAAATTCATTTCTTTTAATGAAGAAAGTAGCCTTTGGCAACACTTTAAACAATTACTGGCTAAATACTGCACTGGTTAACAATTTGAAGATTTGAATATTGCATTTTTTTTAATCTTCTAAGATTGCTGTATATTTTGATGGACAAAACAAATGTCTTCTTCTTTTAAAGCTTAACATTTCCCCCATATTTAGACTTCAAAAGAAATTTCTTCACCACTCAGTTTCATTTTAAAATAACTGTATATATACATAAAAATGATAAAAATACATATACAAAGTGGATATATATATAAAGGGGGTATATATAAAAGGGATATATATATATATAAGGGAGATATATATAAAAGGGACATATATATAGGGGATATGTATATAAAGGGAATATATTTATATAAAAGAGATATATATAAAGGTATATATACACATATTGTATATATATACACATATTATATATATATGTGTATATTTTATATATATATATATATATATATATATATATATATATATATATATATATGGGAGTTTATTAAGTATTAACTCACAGAATCATAAGGTCTCACAATAGTTCATCTGCAGGCCGAGGCGCAAGGAGAGCCATTCCAAGTTCCAAAATTGAAGAACCTGGAGTCTGATGTTCAAGGGCAGGAAGCATCCAGCAAGGGAGAAAGATGTAGGCTGGGAGGCTAGGCCAGTCTCTTTTCACATTTTTTGGCCTGCTTATATTCTAGCCGTGCTGGCAGCTGATTAGATGGTGCCCACCCAGATTAAGGGTGGGTCTGCCTTTCCCAGCCCACTGACTCAAATATTAATCTCCTTTGACAACACCCTCACAGACACACCCAGGATCAATATTTTGTATCCTTCAATCCAATTAAGTTGACACTCAGTTTTAACCATCACACTAAGGAAACACAGCTGCATGAAACATAGGGAAGACAGAAAGCTGTACTAACCATCTCCACCCCACTTCACTCCTGTCACACAGCTACGTGTAAGGAATCTGGCTTGGGGAATTAGTCACAGGTCGTCATCATCTAGCCCTGCCACATCCTCTGGGATGTTCTCCCTCCAGGCAGGCCATGGCCATGTCTCAACAATAGTTTCAGAGGCTCTGAATGATGTCAGCGTCACTTAGGAGGGATTATAGGATAAGTTGTGTCCCCCCAAAAGATATGTTGAAGTCCTAACCCCCTTGTACCTGTGAATGTGACCTTATTTGGAAATACGGTCTTTGCAGATGTCATTCATTTAAAATGGGGTCATTAGGTTGGTTGTTAATCCAATATGACTGGTACTTTTAAAAGAAGAAGGCAATGTGAAGACAGATGCAGAGATTGGACTCAGGCTGCCATAAACCAAGGAATACCTGTGGTTACCAGAAGCTCAGAGAGACAACAAAGGATCTTCCTCCAAAGCAGGGGTCCCCAGCCCCTTGACTGCAGACCGATTGAGGTCCCAAGCTCAACTGCCTGAGCTTGCCTCCTGTCAGATCAGGGGCAGCATTAGATTTTCATAGGAGCGGGAACCATACTGTGAACTGAGCTTGCGAGGGAACTAGGTCGTGCTCGCCTTATGAGAATCTAACCAATGCCTGATGATCTGAGGTAGAACAGTTTCATCTCGAAACCATCCCCCACCACCCTCCCCCCACACTCCCCTTTCATGGAAAAATTGTTGTCCTCGAAACCATCCCTGGGGCCAAAAAGATTGGGGATCACTGTTCCAGAGGGTTTGCAAGGGGCATGGCCCTACTAACATCTTGTTTTGGGACCTGTAACCTCAGATCTTTGAGAGAATGCATTTCTGTTGTTTTAAGTCACTCAGATTGTGGTACTTTGTTAGGATAGCCCTAAGAATTTAATAAATGTTAATTTTCTGCCCCCAGTCCCTGTATTATAATATCATCTTTCCCCTGGATCATAATACTATAAATTAACACTGTTCTCACAGAATGGAAAAATTCTCTTTCTTCTGAGCTTCAGACTCCCGACTTGTCAAATGTTATCAATAATGTTTTCCTTTCATAATTGTGTAGCTTAAGCCAAATAAGAAACATGAAGTATCTGACGTATAATAGGAGTCAATGATTCTTTAACTCCCTACTTCAATAATTTTTAACAACATTTTCTGATTAAATATCACCTTAAATTTCTCAATTTCATATTTGTTAGTAAAATTCCTTCAAGATGTGTACTGTCTTCAAATATTTTATTTAAAACTGAAGACTTACACATATCTATTAGACATTGGTATGAACTTATCTTAACACATAAATATATATGGTTATATAAATACATTTGGGTAAATACAGTTACATATATATCTTTGAGATGGTTAATTTTATTCTCAACTTGGCTGGGCCCCATGTCCCAGCAATTTGAATAAACATTATTCTAGACGTTTCTATGCGGGATTTTGCATGAGATCAAAATCAGTACATTTAAGTTGGTGGCTTTTGAGTAAAGCAGATTTTCCACTATAATGTGGTTAGGTGTGAGTCAATCCTTTGAAGGCCACTATAGAACAAAAAGACTGACCTGTTCTGAACAAGAAGGAATTCCGCAGCAGACCTGAAATGTAATGTTTAGTCCTCCCTGGGTTTCCAGGCTGCCAGCCCACCCTGAAGATTTTGGATTTGTCAAGCCTCCATAACTGCCTGAACCAATTCCTTAAAATGAATCTCTTTACACGGCCAGGCATGGTGGCTCACACCTGTAATCCCAGCACTTTGGGAGCCCGAGGCGGGCAGATCACAAGGTCAAGAGATCAAGACCATCCTGGCCAACATGGTGAAACCCCGTCTCTACTAAAAATACATAAATTAGCTGGGCGTGGTGACAGGCGCCTGTAGTCCCAGCTAATCGGGAGGCTGAGGCAGGAGAATTGCTTGAACCCGGGAGGCGGAGGTTGCCATGAGCCGAGATCACGCCACAGCACTCCAGCCTGGCAGCAGAGCAAGACTTCATCCAAAAAAAACCCCAAAAAACCTGTTTACACAACCACTCACACATACGTTTTGACAGACCTTTACACAGTATGTGAACATGGCATATATATATATACACACACACACACATATATATGTACACACACATACATGTGTATATATATATGTACACACACATACATGTGTATATATACACACACACACACACATCCTCGCTCCATTGAGAATCCCTAGAAGCAATGCCACCAGAGTAGTAACAAGCACCCTCAACACCCAGACCCTGGTGTCTAAATACTGTTCTCCAGTAAAAACTAATGAGAGTTCATTGAGAAAATGGCTAATTTTAGTATCGAGCAGAAAAATAAAAGATGGGTCTAGAGCATCTTGTAGTTTCAAAAAGTAAAGTAGTCAAAAACAAAAGAATGTGATCACTTAAAAAGGACATGAATAGGCCGGGCGCAGTGGCTCACACCTGTAATCCCAGCACTTTGAGAGGCCGAGGCGGGTGGATCACGAGGTCAGGAGATAGAGACCATCCCGGCTAACATGGTGAAACCCCGTCTCTACTCAAAATACAAAAAATTAGCCAGGCGTGGTGGTGGGCGCCTGTAGTCCCAGCTACTCCGGAGGCTGAGGCAGGAGAATGGCATAAGCCCAGGAGGCAGAGTTTGCAGTGAGCTGAGATCACGCCACTGCACTCTAGCCTGGGCAACAGACCGAGACTCCGTCTCAAAAAAAAAAAAAAAAAAGGACATAAATAACCTGAAAGGGCTCTCAATGGCCAAAGCTACAACAATTTGAGGCACAAATACATAATATAACATAGTACTGGATTATAACCTCAAGTATAAAGTAAGTATACATGAATACATGCTGATATAAAACAAATGACTGAATGTTTCTTTCAGAAGAATTCCAAATAATATGTGTAGATAATCCCCAGTATAGGAGGTGGAGCTTAATTCCTATCTCCAACTCCAATGACTCACTTCCAAAGAATAGAGCAAGAGAAAGAATAACAGTAACTGCACAATGGAGAAACCTGGAAAACACTACTTTAGCCTAATAATCAAGGATAACCTCATGAGTGGTATAATCTGGATACCATGTACTTCCATTGTGATATGAAGAAAAGGGGACTTCAACTCTGTTCTAATCTTTCCAAAACCTATAACCACAGTCTATTCATGAAAAATACAGAAAAACCCAGATTAGAAGACATTGTGCAGAATACCTGGCCAGCACTCCTCAAGATTATCAAGGTCATGCAAAGAAAGAAAAGAAAGAGAAACTCCTGCAGACCAGAAGAGACGGGGAAGACATGAAGACTAAATGCAGTGTGGTACCCTGGGTTGGATCTGGCACATAAAGAGAACATTAATAAAACACCTGGTGAAAGCCATAAAGCCTGGAGTTCAATTAGTTATAATGTACGATGTCAGTTCCTTAGTTCTGATAAATTTATCATGGCCATGTCAGATGTTAACAATGAGGGTAATTGCATGAAGGTTTTGAGAACTGTCTGTAATATGTCACCTTTCTGTAAATCTAAAATCATTACAAAATAGGGTTGTTTTGGAAGGTAGCATCAATCTAAAAAATCTAAATAGTAGAGATGGGCTTACAATGAAAAATAATATTTTCTGGCCATTGGATCCTTTCCTCTAGTCCTGTTCTCCACTTTTAAACATTTATAATGGTCTATATTAATATTTCTTAATTTTAGAGATTATCTTTGATGTTCATGGAATTATAGGTGGAAGTAGAGACCTCATATAACATTTGCTGTTGATCGTCTCTCCCTGTGAGAGATTATTTATTTGTTTAGTTTTTTGTTATAAATAATATTCTTACACTTTTATTTCATCAACAATAAACAAAATTTCTTGAATACACATTTTATAGGATGTGTATATTATTACTACCCACAACTTCTTCAGCTCTTATCAAACTTCCTCTCGTTAGTAGCTAGAATATTTTATCATGTGTTGTCAAAATTAGTTACATTTTATTTCATTTTGTAGCCAAAATTAACCCTTCTGTTGTTTTCTATAGCTAGTTTATAAAATTGAAAAGCAGTAAGAAGTACTGTTATGTCCATCTAAATGATGTCTATGTGGAACCAAGGGGTAGGCTGTGATAACATTTTCTTTCCTATCTAGTGCTATTCATTTCATCAATTTACTTTTTTCCTTTTTTTCTGCAATATAAAGGTGACTATCTTTTTTTTCCTTGTAGCTGATATCATGTTTCATGTTTTTCAGAATTCTCAAAAATAACAAACCTGTGATATCCCCCTTTTTTTTTCCCTCCTGAAACGATTCTTTTCTCTAACATTCATTCTTCTGCTTTGATCTGGGCTGATTATTCTATAAACCAAGTGGTACAATTCTACATGACTGTTGAGGGTTAGATTCTCCATTTTCCTTATTCAGTATGTCTATCTTCCTCTTTTTGTATATTTGTATACTCCCTGTTTTCTTCTGGAATGCATATTTCAGAAGCTTCCTAAGAAAGGCTGTGTGGAAAGTAATATTAAAATATCTTAATTTTGTGCCAGTGACTACTTAGTCCACCATTCTCTCCACACAGTCCAAGATGAAGATTGGTTAACTTTGAAGACATTGTAGCATTTTATTCTAGGATCCCATTTTGTTGTTAGGTAGTCTGATTCCAGTTTGATTACTATTCCTTTCTAGTTGACCAGTTCACCCTCTCCTTTAGGAATTCCTCTTTGTCATTGTGGTATTGAAGTTTCATAATACTTTGTTAAATGCATATCTTAAAAAAAACAGGAAGGAAAGCAAATTTTATTATGAGATCACATGTGTACAGGAGTAATACAAAATATAAAAACTCAAAGAAATGGCCAGATGGTTGATGCTTTTATACCCTATTGAGGTTACAGTAAGAATAGGAGCTGAGAGCATGCAAAACAGGTTATGGTGGCGAAAAAGGTTATGGGAGGAGGAGGAGAAGAGGAATAGTAAATGTGTATCTCTGCAAATACGGTGTTGAGAACTGGATTAGACCTTTTCATCTGTAAACTTGTGCCTGTATCTCTCAGAAGTGATTCTCTATTAATTCCTTTTGAATTATTTTCCTTGTATTTTCTCTCTTCCAGCTTTCCAGAACTTTTTAATTCATTTAATGTTAAGTCCCCAGAATTGATCTTCTATGTATTTTATTTATTTTTTAAAAATTTATCGGCTGGGCACAGTGGCTCACACCTGTAATCCCAGCACTTTGGGAGGCCGAGGCAGGCGGATCACCTGAGGTCAGGAGTTTGAGACCAGTCTGGCCAACATGGTGAAATCCCGTCTCTACTAAAAACACAAAAATTAGCCAGGCATGGTGGCAGGTGCCTGTAATCCCAGTGACTGGGGAGGTTGAGGCAGGAGAATTGCTTGAACCTGGGAGGTGGAGGTTGCAGTGAGCTGAGATCGCGCCATTGCACTCCAGCCTTGGGGACAAGAGCGAGACTTTGTCAAAAAAAATAAATTCTTTTATCTTCTAAATTTCTTAATGAATTATTTGAGGAACAATTAATTATTAATTTTTAAGAGATACTTTTTGTTCTGTAATGATTTATTTGTCATAGAATCATATTCTTATGTATAATTTGTATTCTTCTTAAAAACTCTAATGACCCCTACTATATTTGTGAATGTTTCCTAGGGGTCATTTATTTGTTTCATCTGACTTTTTCATGTTTCAGACTTCTCTCAACTGTCCTGTGAACTTCATTTATGCATTTACGTGGGTTCATGACTTGAGGTTTCTGAAGTGTGAGGCACGGGATTGCCAGACTTAGGATTCGGTCAAAGGGCCAGGTTGCTAAACATTTGGCTCCCTAAATATCAGTATATTGATGGTCTTATTTGGGGGTGGCTATTTCTACACACTCAACTACCCTTAAAAGATTAATTTTTGGCTGGGTGCAGTGGCTCACACCTGTAATCCCAGCACTATGGGAGGCCGAGGTGGGCGGACGACAAGGTCAGCAGATCGAGTCCATCCTGGCTAACACGGTCAAACCCCCGTCTCTACTAAAAATACAAAAAATTAGCCAGGCGTGGTGTTCAGCGCCTGTAGTCCTAGCTACTTGGGAGGCAGGAGAATGGCATGAACCTGGGAGGCAGAGCTTGCAGTGAGCCGAGATCGTGCCACTGCACTCCAGCCTGGGCAACAGAGCCAGACTGCATCTCAAAAAAAAAATTAAAATAAAAAAAGATTAATTTTTGACTATCGGGTAAAAAGGCTGTCTTCTGACTGTTCTGTATTCAGTCCTGAGAAATGGAGTAGGCCGCTCCTTCCCTCTACCTGCTTTAAATGCATTTCCCACCTTTTGTAGTGGCTGGTGCTTCCAGGCCTGGACCTTGCTGTGGTTTTGCAGTACATATTGACTCTCTTCTCACCAGCTGCTGCCTTCTCTTCATGTCCCCTGGGCCACAGATTTTCCTATCCTGTTGGAACAGTACCACTTTACCATCTGCTTTCTGCCTTCTAGAAACATGTTAAAAGCTTGGGAATAGCCCCATTCTACTCACTTCATTGTTGCAAATTCATACTCTTTACAAAACTCTTTAATATTGCTTTAATATACAGTTAAGTAGATAAAGATATAAATTCAAATGTTCCATCACTATTTTGAACAAAGCCTTCCCTTCTCCCCTTCAATTAGCACTTGATTCCCACTGCCCTCCTCCCTACTGTATTTTGTTTGAAATTACTGTTGCTCTATCCCACCTCAACATTGGTAAACATTTTGTTTTGCATTGGGAAGATTTGCTCACCAGGAAAAACATAATGCTCATATAATTGCTCCCCAAAGACCACGCTTATTAGACTCTGGCTGGGCTAAGAATTCACTACATGTGAGAAACTAGACAATTCTAAAAACGAAATACATTATATGTGATATGGAAAAGACTGGCTATCTTCCCTCATTTAACTTCTGGCCTTAATTTCTCATCTGTAGAATTAAAGAAAAAAAATTATACATAAACCGTGTGTTAAAGTTTGTCCCTCAATTTTTTTTTTTTTTTTTTTTGAGATAGAGTCTCACTCTGTCGCCCAGGCTGGAGCTCAGTAGCGCGATCTCGGCTCACTGCAACCTCTGCCTGCCAGGTTCAAGCAATTCTCCTGCCGCAGCCTCTCGAGCAGCTGGGACCACAGTCATGCACCACCATGCCTGGCTAATTTTTTGTATTTTTAGTACAGATGGGGTTTCACCATGCTGATCAGGCTGGTCTCGAACTCCTGACCTCGTGATCCGCCTGCCTCGGCTTCCCAATGTGCTGGGATTAGAGGCGTGAGCCACCGCATCCAGCCATTGTCTTTCAAAATTTTAAATAACCTCTCATTAGTATAATCAGATAACAATATTACGTATTTTATATTTTTAGATATTTTATAGAGGGCATTTTCAAGGCATTCTATAAAATATTTGCAGAAATTGTTTTGGTCTAGGGATGAAAAAGAATATTTTGGAATTTGCCCTCATGATTTTTCCCATTTAATGCCACTTATGAGCTTTATTATATATTATATGTTTTTACTTAATAATATATAATAAATAATATACATATTAAACATTTTCTTATAAATTTTTATGCATTCAGGAGTCTTGAACACTATGAGTCTTCATCCTCTTGTAAGTCACTACATCTTCTTGTAAGGATTGTTTTTATCAACAGACAGTATAATTACCTTTTCATATGGAGTGGATCGTTGACTTCAATGACATTTTAATGGATCTTAAGTGGATCCTGACCCTGACCTTATCTTATTTGTGTGTGACTTTCCATAAACCATTAGGCGTATGTTCTTTATTCACTTAAGTTGTGTGAAACAAACCTGGTACATTACTCACTTGCCTTTTATTCCTTTTGTTATGTGATAAAACAATATTTGTAAATCGCTCTAACTCATGTATTAATAACATGATTAGGTAGTTATTTTTAATTATAGACTAAAAAATTGGGTAAGCCAAGTTTGGATCAGTGCTTTTGAGCTTAACACTCAAAATGATGCCATTTCCAATGTCAGGAATGGCCTCTGTCTAATGTATGGTCATTTCAGTGATGTCTAGGACACCTTGTCTTTCTCCACTGAAGGTATTTATAGAATTTCCTTATACGACTAACTGGTCTGTTGGAACTACTTATTGTAAAAACCTAGCCATCTTTATTTCTGCATGTAACATAAAAAATTAAAAGCAAATACATTAAAGAAGATAATTTATAATCATGTATTTTGGTTATAATTAATGTAATTTTATACAAATTATAAATAGATACTTTCCTTAAACCAAAAGATTTCTTTAATTTTTCTTCTCAGAGGAACCAGTATTATCTTCTCTAAAACAGTTTTCTACTTGATTAAACTAAAATCTGGTAAAACCACCTTTTATCTCTAAATAATCTGCAATATTTAGAATTCTAGAATTAGAAAGGATCTTTAAGATGATTTTGTCTAATTTATTCATTATACCTATAGAAACTGAGGCTCAGAATAGTTGGTGATTGTTAGGGAATCAAAATTAATAGGCAGCAGAATCTCAAAGAGAACCGGTACCTGTTGGTCACCAGACCAGGGCTCTTTCAGTTGTTACTTTATGTCCACCACACTTCTATACCTTAGAGAATCAGATTGCCATTCTTCATTGGTTCAGAGAACTGATATGAATGAGTACATGTAGCAAAAGCTATTGTCATTTATCATTGTACAGGAATTTGTGAAGTCCTGGCATTATAGAATGAGAAGCATCTAGGAGGCTAGCTAATCTAATGCATCTGTACCCTAATACTGTGTATGTAATGTATATTACATAGGCATATGTATATGATTAGCTAATCTAATGCATCTGTACCCTAATACTGTGTATGTTATGTATATTACATAGGCATATGTATATTACATATAAATTACATATGTTATGTATATGTAATTACATACATAATTACATTATGTATATTACATATGTTATGTATATTACATATGTATATGTGTGTACCTATGTAATATACATATATTACACATATATATATCTCTGTATGACTTTTTTATTCCCGTTTGTATACCATATATATTTTTTAATCTTGACTTTTTCATTAAATTCAAACTATAGAGTGCTTATCATGTAAAAGATGCTTGGCACTTTACATATATTACCTAATTTCATTTTCACAATAATCCTGAGAAGTTTTCTTATGCCCAATTATACACCGTGAAACAATGTTAAGAAAAAGTTTCTGAAAGAGTGAACATTTCACTTCATATCCCACAGAGCGAGGATTCAAATTCAAGTCTGTCTTTCTCCACAATAGCTTGTATTGTTAACCATAATTTTCTCTGGCTTTTCACACTACTGTTCTTCAAAACTGCCATGCTTGTTCTCACTTTAGAGTCTTCAACCTAACGAGTCTATCTAGGAATGCTCTGCCTTCCATCCTGCCATGATTCACACCTTCTACAAATTGAGATCGCAGCTGACATATCAGTTCTTCAGAGAGTTGTTTCTTGTTCATTTTTTTATTCATCATCTATCTATATTACCTATTATCTATCTATCTATCTATCTATCTATCTATCTATCTTCTACTGTCCTTTCTCTCTACTAGAATGCAAATTTCATAAATGTGTTTCCTTTACCACTATAATATCCATTAGTCCAATACCTGGCATGGATTAGCTCTTGAAAAGTATGACTTGAATTAATTAATTGATTTACACAATTTACATACAGACTGTCCAGCATTTTCTACTTTGTTATCATCTTATCATAGGTGTCAACAATTTAAAAAAAAATAATTTTTTCAGTTATAGCATATTATTTAGTTCAGGGGATGCATTATAATTTATTTAATCTTGCTCTATTTCTAAATTTTTAAAATATTTGCTTTCAACTTTTTGTTACTCTACGTTAAAGTTTCTCAACTGTGCACTACTGACATGTTGGTCCAAAACGTTTTTGTTGTTGAAGGGGGGTGTGAGACTATTCTGTGCACTGTGGGTTGTATAGCAACATTTCTAGTCTTTTTTTTTTTTTTTCGAGACAGAGTCTCGCACTGTCGCCCAGGCTCGAGTGCAGTGGGCCGATCTCGGCTCACTGCAAGCTCCGCCTCCCGGGTTCACGCCATTCTCCTGCCTCAGCCTCCCGAGTAGCTGGGACTACAGGCACCCGCCACCACGCCAGGCTAATTTTTTTTTTTTTGTATTTTTAGTAGAGACGGGGTTTCACCGTGTTAGCCAGGATGGTCCCAATCTCCTGACCTCGTGATCCGCCCACCTCGGCCTCCCAAAGTGCTGGGATTACAGGCGTGAGCCGCCGCGCCCGGCCAACATTTCTAGTCTTTATGCACTAGCTGCTAGTAACTTCCCATCCCTGAGCTGTGAAAACAAAAAATGTCTCTAGATATGGCCAAATGTCCATTAGGGAACAAAATCACCCCCAGTTGGGGACCACATCTCTAAATTATGCTGCAATAAATACCTTTAGGTGTAAGGTTCTTTCCATATTTAAAGGTATTTCTAAGGGTTAAAATCTCAGACTCATTTTATAGATGGAAAATCAGAGGCTTAAAGAGTAAATTACTTTGCCTAAGGCTATACACTTGTGAGGTAGAAAAGTTGGAATTTTATCCTCAGTCAGTATGAAGTCAGGGCCTTGTGTTTCAGCACTATGTTTCAGGACCCCTAAATAAAGGTCCCATATACTATGGTGCCAGACAATAGTATCTCAATTCTTGATTCCCCCTTTACCCTATTTCCCCTCCTTTCTTTAAGGATTTCTTTGCTCCATCCTGCCTTCCAGTAACCTTTCATTTTTATCTCTCTTGGAGATTCATCTTTTCCCTGTCTCCTCATTTTACTCACCCCTCCCTTTGTTGTAGGTTTAGTACAAGCTGACCCTGAGCCAAGGATGTATGTGTAACCAATTTATTAAGGAAATTCCTCTAGGGCATGCAGGTTAGGGAGTTGGAAAAAGCAGAAGAAAGAAGGGAAGTAAGCCAAGCAATAGTGCAGGTGCAGAGGCATGCATCCTGTAGAGAAGAACTTTAGCCTGACTTTTCAGGGAGCTCTGGAGTGTGTGTCACACCTTAGAGTTGCCCCAACTAGAGGCAAGAGAGCTGTTTTCATAGCATCATACACTCTTGTGTCATTGTTATAGGATAGGAGAGAGAATATACACGAAACATTTAACATCCCTCCCTCCACACACAGAAATAACAAAAAAGGATAATAAGGGATTTGTGAAGAGCTCCCATATTGCTCACCACATACTTCTCAGTTATTGTGTTATCGCCACCATGAAATTTGCCATCTGCTGTTTTCTGTTGCTGTAACTGCTCTGCTAGGTCCCAGCTAATAAATAAGGAACACTGAAGCTGAATATAAATAATGGTTCTGGGAACCAAAGTTCTGAGACAGTCTCCTTATAGACCTCTTCGGTTTTTAACCCAAAAGGAAAAAAATGCAGGGTGCTCATGTGTGTGGAAATTCATTAACACTTTAAGAGATCTCTGGATCAAAAGTAACCTCTTAGGGAATGTGCATTTCAAGGCCCTGTCTTACCCCAAACTGGAATTTTTGGCCCGAGGAAAATAGCAAATTATCTCACTTAGGGACAGCTGGTGTCCTCACGGAGGTTTAAATTTAACTTAGCAGCTAGAAGCTAGTCATCTTTAGATTCAGAAATACGAATTCATTGCAATAAGGAGTTCACCAAGGGCAGGCCGAAAGGACAAAGCAAAGACAAGTACAGTCTTATTTCAGTGCCATAAAGGAATTGTCATATGAGCCTTGACACACAAATTCCACAACTGAAGATCATGCAACTATTGCCCAATAAATTTAAACAGAGTGATTGCACTTAGCCTTAATTGTCCAGTTTCTGTTTTTGAAAAAAAGGCAATGAGTAACACAATGTTTCATAACCAGGAAAGAAGTTTTTGAATTTCTTTATATCACAGATAGTGAACACAATCTAAAAATAAATATTAAATAATCAAAATCCCAATGTAAAATATATATCTATCTGTATATATTATCACATGGAGGGAAAATTTGCACCACTAATATAAATGCTATTTATTAGGCATTGCTTTTCTATAGATTTTCATCCACTCTTTCATTCTTCTGCTCTATTCCTTGGTCACCTTCCTTCCATCTCTTTTCTTTCCCCTTTTTTCCATCTTCAATTTAGTGTTTGTTTCTTAAGAAACAAGTTTACATATTTCTTAGTTCTCTGTCAACAGAACCTTTCTCACTTTTCAACTGCAAAAATCAAGGTATTTTTCTAAAGAATCCATCAAAATAGGAGTTCTAATGTCCACTGATTAAATAATAATTCTTCGCAAGGTGCTTCAAATGCATTGACATATTTGAGAAAGCTATTGCAGACAGATAGCAAATTTATTCCCCTCTTAATATGTTAGTACTAACAAACAACTCAAGTCAGTTTGTACAATCAGATTGCTATTTAGAAGTTTCAGTTCTAACTAAAAGGCTGTTTTTCATCTTCACCAAACACTGGCTAGTCAGCAACTCCTGCCAGCATTCTCATAGCTGCCCCAGACAGCCAGTTGCAGGAACTCTGGCTGAGTCATGTCTCTGCTCAGCTACTCAGTAATGAAATATCCCTAGGGACATTCCTAAGACATGTCAGAGATGTGTTTCTAGTCTCCACCTATTTCTTTGTCGTGCCCCAAGCTGTGCCCACATTAGTGGAATTTCCAGTGCATTGCCATGCTCAGTAGGCCAAAGAGAAAAGTCTGCAGAATTGCTACTTAATATTACTTAATAAATCAGTAACAGAAGCAATGAATGGAATGGAATGCAAAATTCTTGGCTCTTAGCCTTAGATAGAACCACTTCCTTCCTATGAGCAAATAGTGGTTCATAGGTTAGCTTGGGGAGGGCTACTTCAAAGGGATAGTGTCTAAGTAGTCAATTTTGCTTGAATAAATTATGGAAAATACAGTTTTCAAGAGGAGAGGCTATGCTACTTTTTTCCCTTTTGGAATACTGGGTATATCCTAGGTAATAGAGAGTCAGTGAACAAATCTTTGCTGATGCTAATAGTTAAACAAAATGATTCAAATAGTTACTGAGCAAACATTTGCTGATTAAATAACATAATGATTCATATATGAAATGCGTTAGTTAGGTTCTACATATACTGTATCATTTCCTTTCAACCAGTATTTTCTATTTGTCCCAGAATAGCCTCCAAAAGAAAATTGCTGCTGGCAATTTAAAAAGACAACCATCTAAAAAAAAGTAACAAGTTGACCGGGCGCCGTGGCTCACGCCTGTAATCCCAGCACTTTGAGAGGCCGAGGCGGGCAGATCACGAGGTCAGGAGATCGAGACCATCCTGGCTAACGCTGTGAAACCCTGTCTCTACTAAAAAAATATAAAAAATTAGCCAGAGCGAGACTCTGTCTCAAAAAAAAAAAAAAGTAACAGACGGTAGAGGCAGTCAAATGTAGAGAACGCAGAAGCAACTCTTCTTTTAGTCCCTATTTATTAATAACCCTTTCTGGACCAAAACAAAAGAACAGTAATGGACAAATTTTCTTGCAGATTCAAGAAAACTGCTTCATATCACTATTATCTAATTATCTTCATCAAGTTGCCACACTACTGTTCTAAAATGTCTCTTTGATCCAAGCACTCCATGTGCTCCCCACTGTCAATGTCCCAATGCTACAGAATCTGCTTCCTTCCAACCTTTTACCTGCTACCCACTGGGTTGATGCTCCTGGACTCATGACCAGATCTTATCTTCACATATGGCAAACATCGCTGTTGGATAAACACTTTCTGCAGAGATTTCCTTTTGAGACATGTATCTAGGTGGCCATGGGTTGCAAAAATTGGTGAAAAAGTTAAAATCTATTTGCTCTACTAACTGTGGTCAATTGCTGATGTAATAAATAACATAATGATTCATATATGAAATGTGTTAATTAGGTTCTACAATACTGTATCATATCCTTTGAACGAATATTCTTTTTTAGTCCCAGGATAGCCTCCAAAAGAAAATTGCTGCTGGCAATTTGAAATAACAGGCATCTTAGAAAAATAACAAGTTAATAAATATAATAAAGAGATGGTAGAGGCAGTCAATGTAGAGAATGCAGAAGCAACTCTCCTTTTAGTCCGTATTTTATTAATAGTCCCTTCTGGACCAAAACAAAAGAACAGTAATGGACAAATTTGCTTGCAGATTCAAGAAAAGTTAATTAATCCTTAATCCTTAATTTAGTTCATGCTTCAAAATACCGACAATGTTTCTTTTCAAAAAAAAAAAACCAATCTGAACAATCTGAGTATTCCACTTCCCTATTTAAATCTTGCACAGTTCCCTATTTTACAGAGGATAAAAGGTAAACTTACCATGGTAAAATGGCTTTCCAATGGGACCTTAACCAGTCCCTTCCTCTGCCTGTCTCATTATGGGATCCAGTCTCGATGGGCTCTAAATCACTCATTGTTCTCAACACGTGGCTCCCTCTCAAGCATCTATGTCTTTGCATTTGCTCTTCCCTTTACCTAGTATAACTTTCTCTCACGCACTGCCACTTTTTCTCAGTTGCAGGATTTGTCTGAATGGGGACTATGAAGATATTTTTATTTTACTTGTTTTGTATAGTCCACTGAACTCTGAGCTCTTTGAAGACAAAAATCATAATTTATTTATTTTGTTAACATTGAATGTAAAGTGTAAGCAAAAGTCATTGAGGACCCTAAGCAAATTGGCATCAAGGAGGAAACAGAATGGACACTTAAGAAAGAGCATTACAGGACCTTACAACTGCTAGTTAAGTATTGGCTAGAGTATTAAAGAGAAACATGTCCTGCTACCCCAGCTTACCAAATGGGCATCACTTTTTCAGTCTGCTGAGATGCGATGACAGTCGCAGACCCACCTGGGGATATCCTGGCTATTAATTATACTTAGTGCAGAGTTCAAAAAGGACTCAGAACCATCAGGCGATTAAAGGATGTAGATTATGGATATAATTTTAGAAGAAAACAAAGCCACTTGAGTCATTCTCCTAATAAAGCAAATTCTGTTAGAAGGGGTAACACATTAAGCAGCATGTTGGTATGTACTTATGTACGTATGTATGTATGTATGTATGTATTTATTTGAGATGGAGTCTCGCTCTGTCACCCAGGCTGGAGTGCAGTGGCGCAATCTCGGCTCACTGCAAGCTCCGCCTCCCGGGTTCATGCCATTCTCCTGCCTCAGCCTCACGAGCAGCTGGGACTACAGGCGCCCGCCACCACGCCCGGCTAATTTTTTGTATTTTTAGTAGAGACGGGGTTTCACCGTGTTAGCCAGGATGGTCTCCATCTCCTGACCTCATGATCCTCCCACCTTGGCCTCCTAAAGTGCTGGGATTACAGGCATGAGCCACTGCGCCCGGCCTATTTATTATTTCTTTAACAAATGTTTATTTATGACGTTCTCTGTGTAAAATATTGTAGTAGGTAGAGGTGACAACAGATTGATATAATCTTTTATGGAGCTTACATTCTGAAGACAAAGAAAAACAATAAATAACAAACATGTAATAACATAAATTACAAATAATAGGTTGATTATTTAATTATAATCTGAGACTTGGGGTGAAAAAAGCATAGAATGGAGAAATATAATCTAAACTTTGGGGTCAGGCAAATTCCTATGGGGAAATGATATTTATGATATGAGGATGGAAGGTGTTACTAAGGTGAAGAGGGGATGGTAGAGAATTCCCGGGGTTTAGGGTATAACCTGTGCAAATGCCCCATGGTTGCATGGTGTAGAATACATTCAAGGAAGAATTTTGAAAACGTTGAATTCATTAGATTTTCTGGCTACAGAATTATAGCTTGGATATGAATAATGCTGATGTGAGGAGTCCGGTTAGCATGTGAGAAGTGAAAATATTTGAAATACATTGGCATAAAATTAACAGGACTTGATGCTAGATTGGATATCAAATTTAAATGAGAACTAGGGAGATGTTGAAGCCCCTCTCTGCCAATGGAACACAGGAGAGGGCCGTGAGAATATCATACTTTCAGTTCTAGAGACACTAAATGTGATGTAGCTATGGGATGTCTGGGTAGAGCTGTCAAATGGGCAGGTGGTTATCAGTGTGGAGCTCAGATGACAGTTATAGTACTGAGGCTTCTATTTTAGAGTCTTCCATATATATAGGGTAAATGAAATCATTGGAGAAGACAATAAAGCCCAGGTAAAATATGTGGAGTGGTAAGGGAAGAAGGCCTAGGAGAGAGCCCTGAGGAATTCCGACATTTAAAAGTTTAATAAAGCAGAAGTGTCAGCTAGTCAGACTGAAAGTGAGTGTGAAGTCATTTGCCAGCTGGAACAGTTAGCAAGCTAGAGATTTTAAAAGACAAAGTACTTTTGCAAAGAGAAAATTATCCAAGCAAAAGGATTGGATAATTTCTTGGCAATAAAAGTTTTCGAAGGTCCAACAAGTCTTTTTTTCACATTCAAGTAATGTAAGTAAAGTTTAGAAAAAATTATTAGTAGATATCTAATAGTTGTAAAATTGAGATTGGTTCAAATGCAACAAAATCTAATATGGATGGATATTGTATGATTTTTTTTTTTCTGACTAGAAGCAAAAACATTTGCCTAGTGAATTGTTCATATGAATAATATTGTATTATTGGAAAAGTAATGTAAAAATAAGTGCCTAAGATCATCTGATAAATTTAAAAAGTTAGAAAGTGAGCCTTGGAATAAAAAAAGCAATTTATCCCCAGGATAAAATCTCTCAGCTAAAAATCAAATATCTATGCGAAACATCAACATTTTGACACTCTCCATTGTCTTTAATTTTGTTGTAGCAAATATCTAAAATCATCTCATTTACCTAAAAATGAGTTGGCATTTAAATTTGCCTTCCTATAATCTTCTTCTGAGAGCATCGTGATGTGTGGTCTTGGAACTCCCTGCAAGAGCAGTGAGCTGATGTTGGTAAGCATGTGTAAAGCAAATTTTATTTTATACAAAATTAACATGTGACGAAGCACAGGCCAGAATTTTAAAAAATATTTTTATATCAGAATTTAATTATGTATTTTAGAAAGTAGCTTACTAAAATCCAATTTTCAACCCAGTGAATTACTTTACAATAAAAAAAATACTCTTTGAGAATTAAATTTTCCTTTGTGGAAACAAGTCAAATGGCCTGAAGGTGTGGCATTGTCATTACTGTCTATTAGTACCATAGGAAAAGAGATTTAGACTGGAAAGTAAACTTGGCATTCATAAATCACTCTACAGCAAAATCAAATATCTTGGACTTCTGGAAAGCATTTGCAGTAATTCTTGAAACAGAGCACAATACAAGATCAGGGCAGACAGGACAAATGAATTTTCCCCAAGTCAACAGTTAAGAGGGCTTCTGAAATATTCAAGCAATGGGAAAAGACAACATTTGCTCTCAGAATCATGATTATATTATTGTTAAACCTTTCGGCCGGGCACAGTGGCTCACACCTGTAATCCCAGCACTTTGGGAGGCCGAGGTGGGCAGCTCACGAGGTCAGAAGTTCGAGACCAGCCTGGCCAACACGGTGAAACCCTGTCTCCACTAAAAATACAAAGAATGAGCCGAACATAGTGGCACACTCCTGTAATCCCAGCTACTTGGAAGGCTGAGGCAGGAGAATTGCTTGAACCCTGGAGGTGGAGGTTGCGGTGAGCGGAGATCATACCATTGCACTCCAGCCTGGTGACAGAGTGAGACTCCGTCTCAAAAAACAAAGCAAAACAAACAAACAAAAAACAAACAAACCTTTCATATTATAGTACATGGTTTAAATACTGGAGAGCCAGGGTGTTCCAGAAATTGACTTCTCTTCTAGAAGAATTAGCACGTGATGTATACTTAGAAGAATGGGGATTTCTATAGCCAGAGAATGACAGTAAGGCTGTACTGTCTGATAAAAGACATAAAGGATCATATAAAAATGAATGTGGATTGGAGGAAGCAGTTAGTATTACGGTCTGCCTAGAGCATTGGGTACCTAAAAGGAAGTATCAAGTAGGTAGGGTGAAATAGCAGCACAGGAGACATCTGTTGTTTGGCTTGTCTAACATTGACAGTGTCTAACATTTCCCCTCCTTCTGAGAAAAGCCATTGCTTCTTTCAATGGACTGCTTCCCATTTCACTCCAAATACATGGTTTTATTTGGGGCTGCCAAATATGATATGTCACCTAACTCTCAATCCCATCCGTCCTTACCATGAGAATGGGCAGGTGGCCCTTGCTCGGCTAATAGGAATTCTTCTCTAGGACTTTTGTTTTTAAATTGAAACAAAGGGCAGCCACTTGTCTTTTCTGCAGTTTGCTCATTGGAATAGAATAGTCTCCTCTTCCCTGCAACACAAACACATCCATATCTTAATCCATGAAGTCTGTGAATTTGTTAGGTTACATGGCAAGGGAAAAATAAGGTAGTAGATGTGATTAAGTTTGCTATTCTGCTCACTTTAAAACAGGGAGATTATCCTGGATTTAAAAAAAAGAAAAGAAAAGAAAAAAAACAAAGTAAAAAGAAAAGTGTTACCTTATTCCCATATTATCAAATGACTATTTGTACTCTAGAGGTTGTGCCATTTTTCTAGAGAAGCATCAGCTTTAAGACCCAACACAAAGGGCCTAACAGACACTTGTGCACAATTACACATATAAATTAATTCCATCAAAAAGAAAGACACACAAGCACACACACACACAGACACACACATGCATGGAGAGAGAGAAGAAGGCAGAAAGAATGGAAGAAAGAGAAGAATGGAAGAAGGGAGGAAGAAAGGAAGAGAGGGAGGGAGGAGAGAAGAAAGTTTCTGTGGTAGATTCCTACTTAGGACCAAAGACAGTCACTTTGATTATTCTTTCCAATACAATCCAATTTTACAATTAAGTTTGTTTTTTAAATTATTAATTCTGCATTAACATTCAACAATGATGATTATTCTGTTACTCTCTACTACTGTTATAAAGTTGGCTATATTCAGGCTGTTTTAATTGTTTTAATCTACCAATCTAACTGCAAACATTTTCCAAATAGATTAATTCACTCTCTTAACTTTTACATGTCTGCAGAAGTCTAATAAAATATATATAGTATTCTGTAAGTTGATTTCTTATTTTTTTAAAAAGGCATGAATTTGATCTTGTACTACTACTTTCCTGCTGCTCTCTTTGCTTTTCAAGCTTCTACTAACGGTGCTATTATCTGACTTTCTTTTGTAGATAAATTAATCCAATCATAAAATGTATTCAAATTATGATCCTTGAGAAAATTGCTTTCAACCCATCCAGCTTCTAGGGCCTTACATATTTGAGAAATTAGGAGGATTTATTAGAGCTCCTCTGCTTTATGGGTGGACTTGGTATTACTATAATATCTTTTCCTGTATTTTGGGTGACTTTTCACTCACAGCCGTGTGTATATGTGTGTGTGTGTGTGTGTGTGTGTGTTAAGAGACACAAAGACAGAGGCAGAGAAGGACAGAGAGAGATTAAATGGAGAATATCCTTTCTTTCATACTAAAGCAGTTGTTTCATATTCTTAATTTTAGAGCAACATGGCCGATGCTTACATTATCCACTTGGGTAGGAACCTCAAACCTGCATACGTACCTGCAGAATCTGAAGCAATCTAATGACTTCCACAGTGATTTCTGGGAATGTCCTCACCTACATGGTTCTAGCACCCCCTCCCTTTATGTACAATAGGCACAGCAAATGGTAATTTAGAGAATACATTACTTAAGAAGAGAAATTGCCTCTCAATCTGAAAGACATCATTTAAGCAACACAACGAAGGAGTAACTCAATGAGTGCTACTCATTTTTTGATTGGCAGTAGGCTGTCAGATCTGTATAGGCAAGGTTCCTCAAGAATAACCTATAATTTAGCCTTCTCCTCTAATAATAAATGGTTCAGTTTCCCTGTATCTCTACTTTCTAAAAACATTCTTCTACCCAAACCATGCATAAAGCTCATGTAATGGCAGTGTCAAAACATTAGACCATTGAACTCAGGAACCTTGAGAAACTATATGGTCTTCCAGTAATTTAGAATTTTAGTTTCCCATTCTCCTTCGCATCTTGTACTTCCTTGCTCAGATTTTCTTCCTTTGGTCTTCTTGTTAATACAGGCATCAATATACCATGTTTTCTTAGTCCTGAGACATAAGCTTTATATTTTTAAATATTTATTAATTTGGGATGCATAGTATAATCAATATGACATTTACATAGTACATATTTTTCCTTGAATACTGTTCTCAAGTCAAGGGTGTCTCTACAATGGAGAATATCTTAGAATTGAGGAAACGTGCTAATTAATGTCTAGCTGTTATAAGGATTAAATAAGTTAGTCTATGTAAAGAACTTAGAATAATACTTAGCAGATAAGAGTCACTCAAGTAATCTCAGGCATTATTATCATAAACATCATCATTATTACCTTAGGCAGAATAGTACATTTGTCAGGAGCATAGTTTCTGAAGCTAGACAGACCTGAGTTCAAATTTCACTCTGCTATTTATTACCTTGGGGGTCCTGGCATATTATATGAATTCTCTAAACCTTGGTTTTCTCTTATTAAAAATGAAGACTGACATTTGAAAAAGTAGTGAGACTGAATGAGAACAGCAGTTTTTACAAGCTTAGCGTAGTACTTGGATCAGAGCAAAATCTTAGTTGAGGAACTATCGATTGCTTCCAATTAGCTGTAGCCAATTATTAGAGCATTTATCTCTCTGAATCCTAGGCTATGCTCACAGGACTGGCTTTTGCCACTAGGTATTTTCAGGAATGAAGAAACAAGAACGAGCTGAATGTATCTGGATGTGTCTGGTCCTGGCTTGCAGCCCTTTTCTTAAATCCAGTATCACTACTTGTGGTTTTAAACTTGATGACATCTCTGGGCCTAAAATGATAGATGATCACAACTTTGTTGCTGCTGTGGTTTAGAGAAAGGGATAAAAACCATGATAGGACATCCTGATGGTGACCTTGGGCACGAGTTTTAGCAGAGTCATGCAGTGACCCTTTGGTGTCCCTCTGTGTAGAGGTCTCAGTTTGGTGTGTGATTCCAAGTGTTTCTATTACTGTCACATAATTGGCAGGTGGTGTAGGGGAAATTGTGGGGGAAGTTACTAGCATACAGAGCAGACTTGTACTGGCCTTGTAGAAATGATTGTTAAATTTTCAGGAGTTTTGCAAGCCAGTTATTAAATACAATCATTATTAAAATTAAATTATATAAATTTACAATTAATTATATTAAAAGCAAAGGTAATGTAAATCCCAAACTCCTCACTTCCTAATTATTCTACTATGTATTACTATAGCCTATGCTTTTGTGACTATTTAAATCTATTGTCTCCATATAGTGAAAATGCCCTCCAATGGTGTGCTACTGAGTGTAGCTTTTCAACTCTGTTCATTGATAGCATGTCCATAGCTTTAAATCAGCAATGGTGGGAGTATATACTACAAAATAGAAATCTATCTCCCTGAGCTGGTTCTTAAACATGTACCAGTAAACCACTTGAATTAGAATAGAGTTGGGTACATTGGACTATAGTGGAAATGGTTTTTAAGCAGTTATTTACTAGATTTCCCTGAATGCATTTGATGTCAAAGTAGTGACAGGTTTAAAACTGTGTGTTTGTGAGTATATGTATGTGAGTATGTCTTTCTGTTTTTACAAGACAAACTACTGAGTTTAGGGTGAGGACAGGTCATGTTCAGTAGGACATGATTCTCAACTATTCAGTATTTTGATAGCCATTTACTAAATGTTACTAAACAGTTAGTAAACTATTGGCATGCCAACAGTTGAAATTGTCTATGATGTGAGAATATTTGTACTACAATTTAAAGTGAATTTTGTTTCTTAAGAATTGGTTTATCAATACTCTGCCTAAAATCCTTATCTTTGCCCAAAGCTCCAACAAAATATTACCTGATTTATCATTGTATTTAGTAATTTTGGGGTTGTTCTTATTCAACTCTTTTTTTTTAAATTATACTTTAAGTTCTAGGGTACATGTGCACAACGTGCAGGTTTGTTACATATGTATACATGAGCCACGTTGGTTTGCTGCACCCATTAACTTGTCATTTACATTAGGTATCTCTCCTAATGCTATCCCTCCCCAAGACAGGTCCCAGTGTGTGATGTTTCCCACCTTGTGTCCAAGTGTTCTCATTCTTCAAGTCCCACATGTGAGTGAGAACATGTGATATTTGGTTTTCTGTCCTTGTGATAGTTTACTCAGAATGATGGTTTCCAGCTTCATCCATGTCACTACAAAGGACATGAACTCATCCTTTTTTGTGGATGCATAGTATTCCATGGTGTATATGTGCCACATTTTCTTAATCCAGTCTATCATTGATGGACATTTGGGTTGGTTCCAAGTCTTTGCTATTGTGAATAGTGCCACAATTAACATACGTGTGGGTGTGTATTTATAGTAACAGGATTTATAATCCTTTGGGTATATACCAGTAATGGGATGGCTGGGTCAAATGGTATTTCTAGTTCTAGACCCTTGAGGAATCACCACACTGTCTTCCACAATAGTTGAACTAGTTTACAGTCCCACCAACAGTGTAAAAGTGTTCCTATTTCTCCACATCCTCTCCAGCACCTGTTGTTTCCTGACTTTTTAATGAACGCCATTCTAACTGGCATGAGATGGTATCTCATTGTGGTTTTGATTTGCATTTCTCTGATGACCAGTGATGATGAGCATTTTTTCATGTGTCTGTTGGCTGCATAAATGACTTCTTTTGAGAAGTGTCTGTTCATATCCTTTGCCCACTTTTTGATGGGGTTGTTTGATTATTTTCTTGTAAATTTGTTTAAGTTCTTTGTAGATTCTGCATATTAGCCCTTTGTCAGATGGGTAAATTGCAAAAATTTTCTCCCATTCTGTAGGTTGCCTATTCATTTTGATGGTAGTTTCTTTTGCTGTGCAGAAGCTCTTTAGTTTAATTAGATCCCATTTGTCTATTTTGGCTTTTGTTGTCATTGCTTTTGTTGTTTTAGTCATGAAGTCCTTGTCCATGCCTGTGTCCTGAATGGTATTGCCTAGGTTTTCTTCTAGGGTTTTTATGGTTTTATAGACCAATGGAACAGAACAGAGGCCTCAGAAATAACACCACACATCTACAACCATCCGATCTTTGACAAACCTGACAAAAACAAGAAATGGGGAAAGGATTCCCTATTTAATAAATTGTGCTGGGAAAACTGGCTAGCCATATGTAGAAAGCTGAAACTGGATTCCTTCCTTACACCTTATACAAAAATTAATTCAAGATGTATTAAAGACTTATTCAACTCATATAATATTTAGTCTCATTCTGAGTGATACAGGGGTATACTTTCTGCTAAACTTTCAGAAAATGCAATAAAACTAAACACAGGCCAGGCGCGGTGGCTCACACCTGTAATCTCAGCACTTTGGGAGGCTGAGGCGGGCGGATCATGAGGTCAGGAGTTCGAGAGCAGCCTGGCCAATGTGGTGAAACTCCATGTCTACTAAAAATACAAAAATTAGTGAGGTGTGATGGTGTGCGCCTGTAGACCCAGTTACTGGGGAGGCTGAGGCAGAAGAATCGCTTGAACCCAGGAGGCGGAGGGTGCAGTGAGCCAAGATCATGCCACTGCCCTCCAGCCTGGGCAACCAGAGCGAGACTGTCTCAAAAAAAAAAAAACTAAACACAAAACAGTAAAATATGTTTTGACTCAATACATGTACTGTACACAAAGCAATTTTATATAGCTTTTCTGTTTCTAAAATGTTATTCTCTAAATTCCTCTAGCATTTATTTCATATGAATTCTGTCTGTTATCACGTACCCGAAAACATACGGGAATCGCTTTCATTTTGGTAATAGTTTTAGTCAATGAATATCTTTCTTCAGTAAGAGTCAAAAGGTACAATAAAATGTTTTTGCTCAATTTCTACACACTAATACTAAATCTGCATCTTATGGCACTTAAAACAGAACTCTTTACTTTCTAATATATATGCATAAATATCAAATTCTAGAAAATAATAAGTGCTCATAAATTGATAACTGGAAATTTTTGCTTCCTTTTATGTGTTTGGTTTGGGTAATTAATGGATGATTACATTAACTTGGGGGAATCTAAATTTCATTCATTCATGACCAGCCTAGATATGAAAACTAGCTTATCCTCCTTTAATTATTACTCATTTATCACACTCAATATGCTAAAATAAGTTATCACAGAAATATTGTTAACCCAATTAGTTTTAACCTGCCTGATAACAAACTAATTAATAAAAGTTATCGTTTACCAAAAATGTATTCGTACAGGGATATTTTTAGAGAACTTTGTGGAGAATCTCTCTTGGAACAGCTGTAAGAGAAGAGAGATAGTTTGATAATACAGAGGATCATCAGAACTTTATTACTGTTATCTTTTAAAGTCTCCAGTATAAGTGGCTCTGCCTTTCCTATTTTCAGTATGGTGCATCATTGCCAAGAATCACCAGAGCATGCCTGAGGCTTTTGAAATTTTATCCTCAAATTCCAGAGGGTCTGTCATGAAACCCTCTTTGACTTTGTCTATCTGTTAATCCAATGCCTGCCCAGATGACGTTCCCAGGATAGAACCAAGGGGCCCCACAGTTTGGCACTCAGTTCATATGACATAGCATAAAGGATCATAAAAGACAGTAAAGCTATATATAATCACTTATGAGAATTTACTGAACTTCAATGACAAAATGGTTGTAATTTCTACATGGTAGATATTTCACATGATTTTAGAATTTTCTCCATTTATGACATTGATCTTTAACGACCAGGAATCAGTGCCAAGCTGGTGTTGAGCTCATTTTGAGTAACAAAGCAAAACTATACAAAACTATAAAAATGCTAATTTATTTTTGTCTTCCTATTTATTCAATATGTATTTTTCTTGTACCCGAAATGTGGTGGATATTGAATAGACTCTGGATAACAATGATTAAAGAAAAAGACATTTGTTTTTCTCATGGAACTATGAAGTATTGTGGAAAAGATACACATTAGGGTATAAATATAAGTACAATTAAGTGTTACAAGGGGCACAAGTAAAGTGGGAATCAGTAACACAGGATGTAATATTGTTTGGGGAAGTCAGGGACACATTCCAGAAGAAGTGATGTTTCCACTCAAGTCGGAAGGAATAAAAGGAGTTAATTAACCAACGAAGGCAGGCAGCATTACCAGCCTAGAGGCATCTCCCTTTCTCATCCGTGTTCCATTCAGTTTAGTTGTCCTCCTACCACCTCTTGAATAATTTTGGAGAATATGACTGTAGAGAAGAGTAGTTTAATAGGGGAAGTGGAGGAGAACAGTCCTGCCCTGACACTTCCTGATTCCTCCCAACTCCCCACAATCTTTACTTTTTCTGTGATCCCAAAACTTGGGCAGGATTCAATTAATTCAGGAAGCCAGTGTAACTACCTAAAAGAAAATTGACTTCTGGAGGATAGACGGAGAACAGTGATACACAACTAACCACTTATCTTTATCCTCTACCCATTTATCGCTTCTGCTTATTTATGCATCATCTGTAATGACACGCAGCATGTTCTATGTGTGCACACGTTCCTTTCCTCTCCCCAAAGAGAGGTTATATAGCCATTCATTTAATTATTAAATGGATCTGAGCCAAAAATAAAAATTGTTAAAAAATGGTCTAACTTACCAATATCAGTTAATATTTACCTATATATTCTTCTTATTCTTTAAAAAACGCTTTGTTGATACATAATGTACATATTTTGGGGGTACATGTGATATTTTGATATATTCTTATGATGTATAAAGATCAATCAAATCAGGATAATTGAAATAACCACCACCTTAAATATTTATCTCTTCTTTATGCTAGGAACTTATTATTCTTCTATGGTTTCATTTTAAATTCAATTATCTGAATACATATACTCTGATTTTATATATAAGGTAAAAAATCAATTTCTCTTATACCACATGTTGAAAAATAAATGCCTCTGTAATTAATTCACAAGATACCCTTTGTTATGTATCATGTTCACGTGTAATATAAGATTTATTTTAGGACTATTCACAATAATCTTTGAATCTATGTGCTACTTTTTATAACAACCTCTTGGTGTTTTAATTGTTGTAATTTCATAATGAACCTGCATAGCTGAATAAAATCTACCATGTTTTAAAAATGTAAACTATTTTACATTTCAATGACTTTGTCAAGTTACCAAAAACAGTTCATTGAAGTTGTGATTTGGAGAACATTCAAGCTATGCATTCACAGAGAAGACTAACTGCTTTGTTAAATCCATCTTTCCATTCAGTGACCTAGTATATCTCTCACATATATATATGTATATAATTTTCGTATATATATTATCTACTCAGCCTATACATTCTGTACATTTCTTGTTAAAGTTATTCCCAAACACTGTACATATTTAGATGCTATTGCAAATGAAGTCTATTCCTGATTAGCATTCTAATAGGTTCATGCTGATGACTTAATTTTTTTATTCTGTTCAATTTATCAAACTCTCTTATCCATTCTAAAAGATTTAAACTTGATTCTTCTGCATTTTCTAGATAATCTACAAATAATGAAAAACATAAACTCTTTTTCCCTAAACTTACTGGTTTTGCTTTGCTTTACTCTTTATTCTATCACTTTTTGTAGAATTCTAGTATAATATTAATAGTACTGGTAACAGTGGACATCCTTGCCTTTGTCCTAATTTTATTTTATTTATTTATTTATTTATTTATTTATTTATTTATTTTTTTCTGAGATGGAGTCTCACTCTGTCACCCAGGCTGGAGTGCAGTGGCGCAATCTCAAGTTCACTGCAAGCTCCACCTTCCGGATTGACGCCATTCTCCTGCCTCAGCCTCCCGAGTAGCTGGGACTTCACGTGTTTGCCACACGCCCGGCTAATTTTTTGTATTTTTAGTAGACAGGGGGTTTCACCATGTTAGCCAGGATGGTCTCCATCTCCTGACCTCGTGATCCGCCTGCCCTGGCCTCCCAAAGTGCTGGGATTACAGGCATGACCCACCCCTCCCGGCGCCTTTGTCCTAATTTTTTCCTTTTTTTTTTTTTTTTTTGAGACAGAGTCTAGCTCTGGCGCCCAGGCTGGAGCACAGTGGCGCGATCCCGGCTCACTGCAAGCTCCACCTCTGGGGTTCACGCCATTCTCCTGCCTCAGCCTCCCAAGTAGCTGGGACTACAGGCTCCCGCCACCACGCCAGGCTAATTTTTTTGTATTTTTTTAGTAGAGACAGGGTTTCACCGTGTTAGCCAGGATGGTCTCGATCTCCTGACCTTGTGATCCGCCCACCTTGGCCTCCCAAAGTGCTGGGATTACAGGAGTGAGCCACCGCACCCAGCCCTTTGTCCTAATTTTAAAGAGAACTAATCTATAAGTGAATAATGGTGAACGATCCTTACTTGTGATTTAAGAAAAACTGTATTCCAGATGACAGAGAATGCTCCTCTTAGGATCATCTAAACTTTTGTATGTTTATCTAGGATTAAAATATTCATTCCAGCATAGAATCACATCCTGTGCTCTTTAATAACAGTTATCCAGTGTACTTGATGACCACAAACACAGCTGCATTTATTCTTGTTCAATGGTTGCTTTTTATATCTTCACAGAAAATGGTATGTCTCACCTAAAACACTTCAATGCATGAGTAACTGTTATACATAATTAAATAAGGTGGAGAGGGGTGTGTGTGTGTGTGTGTGTGTGTACTAATTACCATGCACATTATTAGCAGCCCAGGAATACAGTTCAAATTTCACTTCCTCCATGAAGTCTGTCTTGAGTTCCTGTACATAAATATTTCTTCCCACCTAAATTTCTAAAATATGTTTTCAGCATTCATGTGATGCTTATCACATACGATTAAATAGGGTAGATTTTTTTTTTTTTTTTTTTAGACGGAGGCTCACTCTGTTGCCCAGGCTGGAGTTCTGTGTCACGATCTGGGCTAACTGCAAGCTCTGCCTCCTGGGTAAACGCCATTCTCCTGCCTCAGCCTCCCTAGTAGCTTAGACTACAGGCACCCACCACCACGCCCGGCTAATTTTTTTGTATTTTTAGTAGAGACAGGGTTTCACCGTGTTAACCAGGATGATCTCGATCTCCTGACTTCGTGATCCACCTGTCTCGGCCTCCCAAAGTGCTGGGATTACAGGCATGAGCCACTGCGCCGGGCCTAAATAGGGTAGATTTTTAAAAATAGCTTTGCTTTCATCGTTTTCCAGTAAAGTACAGTGATTTCAAGCACAGAATCAGAAGTTAGACCAGCTAGTTTCAAATCTCAGCTCTACTTATTAACTTCATAACTTATCTTGACCTTCTACAGGTTTCTAGGGCAAATTATTTTGCCTCTCTGTACCATAGTTTCCTCATACGTAAAATGAGACTAAAAATATTTATTATATATTTAAAACTTTATTTTAGAGTGTTCTGAAAATTAATGAAATATATTAAAGCTTTTAGAATGAATCTTTGCTCAATTCATTACGAGTATAAAACAAGAGGAGCTATGTAAGGTCACTTTTGTGATGGGTACTCTTGTTAATGTTTATGTATATTACTTCTCATTTAATCATCTCAGTAAATTAACGACAGCTGAAGCTTGTGGAGATAAAATTATTTGCCCAAACACACAACTTTAGTAAGTCAGAGAGCTGAAATTTCATTGCTGTTGTTTCATGGCAAAGCCTTTACTCTTAAGCAATGCACAATTCAGGTTTCCAACGAGTACCACGAGGAAAGGGGGTCTCTTTTATATAGAGATTCACATAGAGCGTAGGGGAAGCTTCATATGAACTATAACTCACATATTGCAACTAAAAAAACATAGCAATGGTGCTCAACACTCTGCTGTACTTTAGAATCCATTGGTATTAGAGTTTTGTTTTGTTTTGTTGTTTACTTTCTTCCTCTTCTAAATTCCAATGCACAGGGTACACCCGTATCAACTAAATATGAGTCTTTGAGGGTGGGGTTGTAGATATCAGTTTTTGTTTTTTTTTTTTTGTTTTTGTTTTTTTGAGACGGAGTCTCGCTCTGTCGCCCAGGCTGGAGTGCAGTGGCGCGATCTCGGCTCCCTGCAAGCTCCGCCTCCCGGGTTCGCGCCATTCTCCCGCCTCAGCCTCCCGAGTAGCTGGGACTACAAGTGCCCGCCACTGCGCCTGGCTAATTTTTTGTATTTTTAGTAGATACGGGGTTTCACCGTGTTAGCCAGGATGGTCTCAGTCTCCTGACCTCGTGATCCGCCCCCCTCGGCCTCCCAAAGTGCTGGGATTACAGGCCTGAGCCACCGCACCCGGCCAGACATCAATATTTTTTAAATTCCCCAAGTGATTCCAGCGTGTAGCAATTATTGACAACCAGTGGTTTAGAACAGTGGTTGTAATTAGAACCAATTAGAATTTACTGGAAAAAAAATCCTCAACTCCTCCAGATGAGTCAGGGAGGGTTTTACAGAATAGGAGTCATTCTTTACTTGATATTTGAAAGCGGGAAAATTTGTCAAAAAAATCATGGGGAAAAAAACAAATATGGAAAGGGGAAATTTTGAATGAATAGAACGTTCAAAAAAACAACAATAGAGAACACGGTGTAGTACTCTCTGGCAACAGTTAGAATTCTGCATTCTTGGTCATCCTGAACCACCCCCTAAATGGTCTTGTTTGTATAATATTTCCAGTTCTTCACTGATCATGTTCATCTTCTACTCTAAAAACATGGTTCTTTGTTGCTTCTTTCTCAACTGCTCTCTGACAAGCCATCTATGGGGTATTTTCTTTGAATCTCCAAACCAGTCCAATGTGACCACATTCTTAGTTCCTGCTTATGATTTAGTGGTCTAAGTTTTCATTAAAATGTTCATTATAACATTCCATTTTTGTTATCTATTTATTCCTTTTTTTTTTTTTTTTTTTTTTTGAGACGGAGTTTCACTCTTGTTGTCCAGGCTTGAGTGCAATGGTGCAATCTTGGCTCACTGCAACCTCCACCTCCCGGATTCAAGCGATTCTCCTGCCTCAGCCTCCCGAATAGCTGGGGTTACAGGCTTGTGCCACCACATCCAGCTAATTTTTGTATTTTTAGTAGAGACAGGGTTTCACCATGTTGATCAGGCTGGTCTCGAATGTCTGACCTCAGGTAATCCACCTGCCTCAGCCTCCCAAAGTGCTGAGATTACAGGCGTGAGTCACCACGCCAAGTCACTTATTTCAAATATTGAATTATGTATCTGTTTTCTTATGTTATATGTATGTAAATATGTATATAAATATGTCTATTAGATAAAGTGGTAAGTTGAAAAATAAATGGCATTTTAAAATACATTAAAATTTAAGTCTGCAACAAGAAGAAATTCTATTCATGTAATTCATCTATGTATCTCAAGCTGCCTTAATAAAAAATCAGAGTTTATTTTTTAATGGTTACAGATGGGATGACAAGTTGGGTACAACAGGAATTTCTGTAAAACCTATTATTTCGCCTGAAACCATGTGCAAATGACTTCCAGGAAACAATTGGTCAGAATGTGATTTGAGTCATTACTTAAAATTCCAAAGAAGACAGTAATAAAAACAAATTAAAATGCTATGCAAGTCTATTTGGGGAAAAAGTTGTTTACTACAAAGCAGAAAATCCAAGTATAAAGAATTAAGACATTTCTTTTTCAAAGCGGAGTGACAGTAAAATGCAACATATGGCTTGAAATCACAATCCTGACAGTTTTTGGAAATTACTCAGTAGTTTCCAACATGAAACCAAATAATAAATATCATACTGGCTTTAAAATGTAATAAGCCAACATATGTCTGAATTGTTTAATGAAATCTTGGAGTGTTAACTGCCCCTGTGAAAAAAAAAGGAATGTATAAGTGGAATCAATAGATTAGAAAGTTGATTGACCAATTTGAACTGATACCTTCATAATCATGTGTCTGCCAGCCTTATACACTCAATAGATACAGCTGTTGACATAACATTTTAGATAACAGAAGAAATTTTACAGGTGCTTAGGAAATACACATGAAGCTTTGGAATCAACCTCTGGATGAAACTATCAGAGCATTTGTGAACTGCTCTGACACAGTACTTCTGGGAGCTGGTGGCTGCAAAATCCACTGTCACCCTGATATCCTGGTACACAGAAAAAGACAATCAAAACAATCAATTGTTCATTTCCTGCCACAATATGGTTCCTTATACAGGTCAAAGACTGAAAATCAGAATACAAATACAACTAAAAAGTATCCCCACCACAAGAAAATCATGGTGGACTTATTAAGACTTCCCAAATCATGTTACTTTCACAAATAGCACTCTAGAATTCTACAACTTTATAATCACATTAAGAGGTGACCAGGCACAGTGGCTCACTCCTGTAATCCTAGCACTTTGGGAGGCTGAGGCAGGCAGATCACGAGGCCAGGAGTTCGAGACCAGCCTGGCCAACATGGTGAAACCCTGTTTCTACTAAAAATACAAAAATTAGCCGGGCATGGTGGCGGGCACCTGTAATCCCAGCTAATTGGGAGGCTGAGGCAGGAGAATTGCTTGAACCTCGGAGGTGGAGGTTGCAGTGAGCCAAGATTGCACCACTGCACTCCAGCCTGAGTGACAGAGCAAGACTCTGTCTCAAAAAAAAAAAAAAAAAAAAAAAAAAAAAGGATAATCTAATCTAGGGATCAGGAGATTTGTGTCTGTGTTTTCTCTCACAATCCTTTTGATCTCGGGCAAGCTGTTGAAGTTTTCTGAATCTCTTTGCCTCTTCTGCAAAATGGCAATGTTAGACTAGAATGGTAGTTTTCCACTTTCTTTTTTATATATGCTGTGAAAGGCTCATTTCATATGAAGTCATAGAAACATTAGACATTAAGAATATGTCACCATATTCATCAACTTATCTTTCTGTTAATAAACCAATCAGGAAGTAGAACCTGGAGCTCATGCTGAAACCAACCCAATAGTCCCATAGACAGTTTTTTGGATAAACATAGAAATTGACCCTTCTGGTCATAAAGCTTGAAACTTATATTGGTTTTATCTGAGTTCCCTGCTCAGGAAAAGACTTTCAGTCCTCTCAAAAAGTATCGAAGAACTGAAACTCACCAGATCACCACATCCAGACAATGAGATGACAGACCCCTCATTCATCATGATTGCTTCCTTGCCCCTCTCTAGTTCCTGTTTTTTACACATTGTTTCATCTCTTTCCTGCTATATAAACCCCTAGTTTTAGTGGGTAAGGGAGATGTATTTGAAACAGCTCCCATGTCCCTGGCTGTAGCACCCAATCAAAGCCTTGTTCCTTGGCAATAATCATTGACTTAGTGATTGGCTTTCTGTGCGGCAAAGTGCAGGACCTAAACCAAATCCCTGGTGTTTAGATAACAATGTGAAGAGGGGGTGGGGCGGGGGGGCTATACAATCATTTTTGTGCTTGGAGAATCTTGCAAGGTTATCTAAGAATTTGTCTAACTTTAGGGGCCAGGCCCAGTGGCTCACACCTGTAATCCCAGCATTTTGGAAGGCCAGGGCGAGCAGATCACGAGGTCAGGAGATTGACACCATCCTGGCTAACACAGTGAAACCCCGTCTCTACTAAAAATACAAAAAGTTAGCCGGACGTGGTGGCGGGTGCCTGTAGTCCCAGCTACTCAGGAGGCTGAGGCAGGAGAATGGCATGAACCCGGGAGGCAGAGCTTACAGTGAGCCCAGATCCTGCCACTGGGCAACAGAGCAAGACTCCAATTCAAAAAAAAAAAAAAAAAAAAAGAATTTGTCTAACTTTCTTTTTTTTTTTTTTTTGGGAAAAATGGATAAGAACTATTGGTTTCAAAAAAAGGAGACATTATGTCTAACAAGGCATTTCAGGAGCTCTACAAACCTGAACTCAAAATTTGATGTGTTATGACATTGTTTTAACTCTGTAAAACCTATTATAAATAACTTTTATTTATCAGTTACTAAGTCCCCAGTGCTCTTCTAAGCACTCTACAGAAAACAACATAGTTTAACCTCATTACAGATGAGAAATGCATTACAGATGAGAAAACCAAGGCACAGAGAGTTCAACTTAGTTGCTCCAAACCACATAACCATTAGGTGCTAGAATGGGCATTTGAATCCAGGCAGTTTGGCTCCAAAGGCTACACTCCTCACACTCTAGTGTATTATACAATAAATTCAAATGTAGAAAATGAATAAAGCCACTTGTGTCTTCACTGTGCATCTTCTTCAACTCTGTAAATGTAGAATTTTATATCTTTTATTAGAAATATCTAGCCTTGAACATATCCATCCTGTAATGTAAAACTCTAAAAGCCAGTGTTAACCACCTGTACATGTATTAATGGTTTTCAGTTTATCCTTTTGATTTTTAGGCAGAGCTCTCCTTTGAAAGTCAATCTGAGCAGGGCATGGGAGATCACGTCTATAATCTCAGAAACTAGGGAGTGTAAGGTGGGAGGATAGCTTGATGTCAGAAGTTTGAGGCTGCTGTGAGCCATGATCATGCCACTGCACTTCAGCCTGGGCAACAGAATGAGATCCTGACTCAGATAAACAAATGAATAAATAAATAAAACCAAAGGTAATTTATTTCACTTATGATTTCACTCAATTCATTGTGAAACTTTTATTTATTTTAATGTATGTCAGTGAGAAAAATTTAGTTGTCTTGATGAAGATTTGTTTTGTTTTGTTTTTTGGAAATGCTTCTGAGCCATATTGATGGCTTTATAAACTCAAAGCAAGGGCTAAAAGACACCATTGCAGATAATATCCATTGCGGCTGTACTTGGTTTGATTGTACCATACATGGCACATTTTTATCAATACAGACAAATAGCTCCAAAGATAACTTTTTCCCAGTTTACCTCAGAATCTCAGGATAATCTTCTATTAAGGCTTGGGGGATGAATTGTGGTAGAAAATGTTGAAGCACTGCTTGTATTTCTTATCAGAAATATAAAATCAGAAAAAGAATCCCCCAAGTTGATTAGTAGTGATAATCTATTATATCTCGTTTATTATTTTTCCATTTGCACGTATTCTGATGTGTACAACTGCTAAGTGGACGTACCTGGGCCTTGCTAATTGAGCTTGATACAGGCACTTGTTTCTACAGATTTGCATTAACAGATATGCTCAGGTCTCAATTTAGTTTTAAAAAAATCGAGAAAAAGTACTGATTTGCACTTGATTAAATTACAACATCTTTACAGGAAGTTCAAATACATGCACAGAGGTGGCAGATCTGCACAAGACAAATTTACCCCAAAGAACAAGTTAATGCATTCGTGGTTCCACAGGGTTGCAACTTAACACAAAACACATTAGCTGTGGATGTTGTCTGTCATTACAGCTTTTAAAGATTTAAAATATATTTTAAGGCAAGGTATAGTGGCTCATGCCTGTAATCCCAGCACTTTGGGAGGCCGAGGCGGGCGGATCACGAGGTCAGGACATCGAGACCATCCTGGCTAACACGGTGAAACCCCGTCCATACTAAAAATACAAAAAAATTAGCCAGGCATGGTGGCGGGCGCCTGTAGTCCCAGCTACTCGGGAGGCTGAGGTGGGAGAATGGCGTGAACCCGGGAGGCAGAGCTTGCAGTGAGCAAAGATAGCACCACTGCGCTCCAGCCTGGGCGAGAGCGAGACTCTCTCTCAAACAAAAAATAAAATAAATAAAATAAAATAAAATAAAATATATTTTAAAATATTAAGCTGTTATTAGCTAGTTATAGAGCCCCCAAAATACCATAATAAAACTTGTTTAAATTTTGAAAACCATTCAACTAAACAACATGTATGTCAATTTCATAGCTGACATGTAATTTTTTAAAATGCAAAAATGATTACTGAGCACTAAATTCATTGTGGGATTGGTTTATTATTCATAGCTATTTTGCCACATGTGCTTGTTTATCTTCTATAAGAATTTTCTTTATAAGAGGAACATACAGAAAAATAAAGACAACATTTAAGCTTAGTTCCTCGTCATGCTATATTGTTGCATTTTTTTTTTTTTTTTTTTTTTTTTTTTGAGATGCAGTCTCACTCTGTCACCCAGGCTGGAGTGCAGTGGTACAATCTCGACTCACTGCAACCTCTGCCTCCCAGGTTCAAGCAATTCTTTTGCCTCAGCCTCCTAAGTAGCTGGGACTACAGGCGTGCACCACCACACCTGGCTAATTTTTTGTATTTTTAGTAGAGACGGGGTTTCACCATGTTGGCCAGGCTGGTCTTGAACTCCTGACCTCATGATCTGCCTGCCTCAGGCTTCCAAAGTGCTAGGATTACAGGCGTGAACCACTGTGCCTGGCCCATAGTTGAAATTTTATCTGGCAAAATTTGAAATATTTTTAACATGTATTGTTTTGATTGTTTTCCTCTCCTTTAACTATATATGTTATCAACTTCTGACAATTATTCCTTCAAAATATCTTGTGTATCTGCCTCTTTATGTTCATTACCGTTGTAAGCAACATAGTCCTGGCTGTAGTCTTCATTATTGCAAAATATAGTCTGTTCCTCCAATAATTCTTTCCACACATGCCTTTCCAATCTAATCTATTGATATTCCTTAGTGAAACCCACCCCTGCCTGTATGCCAGTCTCCTTACGATCTGTTTCACCTGTCCTCTCCTCTTTTTAAATATTCTTGAAAGTTGCTTAAGATTTAGAAAATCTAGGCCGGCCCCAGTTGCTTACGCCTGTAATCCCAGCACTTTGGGAGGCCAAGGTGGGCGGATCACGAGGTCAGGAGATCGAGACCATCCTGGCTAACATGGTGAAACCCTGTCTCTACTAAAAATACAAAAAATTAGCCAGGCATGGCAGCAGGTGCCTGTAGTCCCAGCTATTTGGGAGACTGAGGCAGAAGAATGGTGTGAACCTGGGTGGCAGAGCTTGCTGTGAGCTGAGATCGCACGACTGCACTCCAGCCTGGGCGACAGAGCGAGTCTCCACCTCGAAAAAAAAAAAAAAAAAAAAAAAGATTTGGAAAATCTAGTCTTCCCCATTTCAATAAAATGTTATTATTCTTAATAGTAAATGAGGGAATTGTGTTTCATTGTGATAATATCATCTTATTTTCCATTTATTTTCTCTGATTTTATTGTTCTTTTGAGGGTGTTGTAATTTTACCTGAGAAGTAACTTTTGTCTTAATGATTTTGCTTCCTTGTGAAGTATTTTTTTGCAAACTAACTGAACTTTTATTTCATAATATAGAAAATACAGTTGCCAGTATACAAGAGACAAGCCATTTTCTGAATATTCGTGAGAAAAATTCAAGCTGGTCAGATTGGTTCAAATTTATCTAAAATGATGGCCTCGTAAATGTCGGACCCAAATGCTATTTACTCATACATGCTGTATGATTTCTGTAACAATGTTCTATCACTGACATCCCTGTAATTAATTTGTTCATTTTTTTCAAGAAATGTGTACTGCACAGTGTTCTGGATGCTAAATATATAATGGTAAACAAAAAAGATCTGGCCCCCTACTCTTCCAGAGCTTAGATTCTTGTGGGGCAAAAGGGACTAATTCATAATCTTTCAAATGAACAGGAGAAGAGACCAAGAGGAACTATAAGAGCCTAAATAGGGCATTGGCCTAGAGAGGGATCACAGCAAATTCTCCCTGAAGGAATGATCTTGTACTGAACCCTGAAGCATGAGCAGACACTAACTTGCTAAAGGGAAGGAGGAGTGTTCCAGCACGGCTAAAAATCTTGTGTTAAAAAGAAAGCATGACTGGTTCGGGGTCTGAAAGAAGAGCGGAGTGGTTGAAATGCAGAAAGTGAGGAGAAATGAACTGGAAAATGAAGCTGGAGAAAGAGATGGCAACCATAGCAAGCCTGCTGCTAGTCATCTTAAGTAGTGTTGTTTCTCATCACCCTAAGAGCACAGGGAAGCCAAAGAAGGACTCTAAACATGGGGAGTGATATATGTGGAAAAAGACCCAATATCAACTGTCAACTAAAAATGTAAGATTTCTAGGTATTAAGCACTCACAATAAAGTTAACACTTGGGAACTGTTCAAAGGCACATTAAATACCATGCAATTGTGTTTATATGAAGTGCTTTACAATTCAAAAGTACATTGTGTTGACATTTGGAGACTATATGATATGCCTGAAAGTGGCAACTCAAGGTTGTTTCAGAAATAATCCATAAATTAAAGTCTAGGTGTATTAGTCCATTTTCATACTGCTATAAGAACTGCCCAAGACTGGATAATTTATAAAGGAAAGAGGTTTAATTAACTCACTGTTCTGCATGGCTGGGAAAGTCTTAGGAAACTTACAATCATGGCAGAAGGCAAAGAGGAAGCAAGGCACTTTCGTCACAAGGTGGCAGGAAGGAGAATGAACACAGGAGGAACTACCAAACATTTATAAAATCATCAGCTCTCATGAGAACTCACTCACTATCATAAGAAGAGCATAGGGTACACTACTTCCATGATTCAATTACCTTTATCTGGTAATTGATTCATGATTCAATTCCCTTGACACATGGGGATTATGAGGTTTATAATTCAAGATGAGATTTTGGGTGGGGACACAGTAAAACCATATCACTACAGATGACCAAGTGTTTTAAAATTAAAACACTGGAACTGAAAGTAGGACCAAAATGCTTACGTAATAGTAATCTGATGTGTTCATGCATTTTTAAGCAATTTTACCTCTATGTCCCTGGTTTGCTTCCAGTTTAGGTTGGAAATTACTTGGAATTGTTATCACATGACAGCTGCTGACACATTTGAAGTTAATCAGTTCTGAGGTTAGCTTCTAGAGCATGTGTTCACACGGTAAAGCCAACATCCTAATTGCCACCAACTGTTTTCTTCTGCAAAGTCAGTAAGAGACCACAGATCAAGTTGTTTAATGACATCAATAAGAAATGGAAAAGAACCCTTAGTTCACCTTTCCTTTTCCCTTGAGACCACAGCATAGCTGCTTCTTTTTTCTTCAAGTATTTTGCCCAGTCCTATCTAAAACAAATCAAATGGTATGAATTCTCTGCTTCCCTCTGCGATTCTCTCCAAAACCTCTAAACATTTTGCTTTCCCCCACCCCCCAGTTATTCTCCTTTTTGCTTCCTTAGTAGACATCTTCAGGAATCCCTGCCCTTGCTGTGTATTCCCAGGATTCAGAAAGCAAGCTGAGATGTTCCGTTAGGTCGTGGAGGAGGAATGAGGTGGAAAACTGAATTGCCTAATCACCTCAGTGGGTGGTCCTTGCGCATAGAGATAAAATTAATCCTAAGGGTGGGACTGTGGTAACTATAAGCTATCCACGACACAATAACATAGACCTTAATAGTATTTGATATTGTGATCAAATATTGGCCAAGAAAGAAAGTCACCAGAAAGGCTAAACAAATAAAATGCATTGAAGACTAGACAGGAAAAATGAAATATGTGCTCTGGAATATTCCATTTGTTATATTTTTAAGGCTGAGTAGAATGCATGACTGTAACAAATAGGTGTTTTATTCAACAACACAAATCTAAAAAGTGATCATTGGTGCGTAATGTTGAAAGTGGTTATCACAAATGTTTGGAAAAAAAGCATTTCTATTAGATGTTCTTTTCACATTATGAGAAAATATCTTTTAAAGGTGGTCTTTTTATGTTCTTATAATACGACCCTATAAGATTTCTTGTTTTACAGTATAGGAAATTGAAATTCAGCAGTTTAGTAAGTGAGAAAAAAATCTAGAATTAGAATTTAGGGTTCTTATTTTTCCAAGGCCTACTTATTTCACCATTACCATCTGTTAAGTTGTTCCTTTTATAGGAGGTTTTTATCATACACGAGGGCCAAAATGGAAACTTCTGCGTGATGACAAAGAAATCTTACAGTTATGGGGAGAGTGGTAAGGTGGAAGGGAAAGCTTGGGATGATGAACAAAGAGTTTTAACAGCTTAGTGTTTCACACATGGAGAAACAATTCTGAGGTCAGCTAACACCTGTTTTTCCAGATTCTGATATATCTGGCTTGTGTGAAAACTCCTTTATTCTCCTTTTTATGTAAAGGATTTTACTGGTAATAGCTATGGGGAAACAGACTGTCAATAGCAGAAATAATGTGGGAAGTTTATAAAACTCATAAGGTTTCATCACTCATCTTTATCTTCAAGCATCTTTATAGAATTTTAACACTAATTCTAAGCAGATATTAATTACAAATCCCCCAGAAAAAGGAGAGCGAGGCTGTTAAAGAATTGATACTTTTCTTTTGAATATGTATCCAGAAGTAGGAATGCTGGATCATATGGTAGTTGTATTTTTTATTTTTTAAATTTTTATTTATATACTTTTAATTGGAAAGTTGAACTCATAGAAGCAGAGAGTAGAAAGGTGTTTTCCAGGAGTCAATGCAGTGGGGGTTTGGGCAGGGGGAAGGAGGAATGACTGGATTACAAACTTTTAGTTATAAAATGAATAATCTCTAGAAACATAATATCCAACATGGTGACTATAGTTAGTAATAATGTATTATATATTTGAAATATGACAAAAGACTGTATCTTACATATTCGCACTATAAAAAAAGCAACCATGTGAGATGATGGATATGATAATCAGCTTGATAGTGGGAATCATTTCACAGTGGAGATATATATATGTGTGTGTGTGTGTGTGTGTGTGTGTGTGTGTGTGAATCCATCATGTTGTATACCTTGAATATATGCAAGTTTTATTTGTCAATTATATCTCAATAATCCTGAAACTCACAGAAATTGTTCCCAGATGCTGGGCCTCCCCAGTGTTGGCCTATTGGAAGAACATTAATAGAAAAAGTCAAATGACTTTATAACTGTGCCATAATATAGCAAGTCCATACTATTCCTATTTGGATTTAGGCTTTATAAGCATGGCTTTAACAAACATTATCCTTCACAGGGTGCTTTGCATATTACATGACCTCGTTATCTGTTTTTAGAATAAACTGTTTGGAGGCCAAGCTTTTAGTTACGCAATGAAATAGCAGCTCGTTAAGGTATAAAGGTAACTAAAAAGCATACCAAAGGTAACGTGCAGGATTAGCTTTTTCTTTGTGATATGGGTCTTTTGTGAAATATTTTCCTTGTCTATCTTGTATCTATGATCTCATTTTTCATTACTGGGAATATCATGACTTTCATTCAGATACCCAACACTGTTATGCAGCCCATGAGGATTTCACATGAGTTCCTCTCCCCTCCCCACAAGTTTGATTTTCTATATGCATACATAGATTCTGAAATTTGGGGCAGAATAATTTTTAATAAAGTTAAGGACAGGTGTGGTGGCTCATGTCTGCAATCCCAACACTTTGGGAGGCCGAGGTGGGTGGATCCCCTGAGGTCAGCAGTTTGAGACCAGCCTGGCCAACATGGTGAAATGCCATCTCTACTAAAAATACAAAATTAGCTAGGCGTGGTGGCAGACGCCTGTAATCCCAGCTACTTGGGAGGCTGAGGCAGGAGAATCGCTTGAACCTAGGAGGCAGAGGTTGCAGTGAGCTGAGACTGCACCATTGCACTCCAGCCTGGGTGACAAGAGTGAATCTCCATCTCAAAAAAAAAAAAAAAAAAAAAAAAGAAAAGTAAATAGTAACAATTATATAAATACTGAATGAGGATTTATTTTTATTACTCTTGTCACAATTGGCTAAATAATTACTATAAGGCAAACAAGTGTGTGAAGTATTGGGGTGGAGCTGTGTTTTCTAAGCATTTGCTGAACACTTAATACCAGTGCCAATGCTCACAAGTTTAATACCTACTGGACGTACTAACAGAGGAAACTCATTTATTCCTTTGTAATCATATATCTTTAAATAATGTATAAGTCTTAGTCCAATCAGGAGATTAAAACCACACAGCAATTTGAAAAGGAAAGGGGTAATATAAAGAATTATTAAATATAATGAGGGATTGGAGTAACAAGGGGTTGGCTAGTAAGAAGTAAAAGAACTCTAATGAGTAGAGGAATGGAATATATAAGCAAGAGTCAGTATCCTAGGAATGGAATATATAAGCAAGAGTCAGTATCCTAGGACCGAGATAATTGTCCATGGAATAGTTCCCATTACCCCAGGCCTGAGATCCAGGTTTTATTGGGAAGAAAAAAGCTTGGCTCACTGAAAGGCAGAGAATTTGTTGTAGTGCCCTGCCAATGGAACTTAGAGAAAATCTAACTTTCAGTACTGCCAGAAATCACCCTCTTGGTAGCTGGGGAAATCTGTTTATGGGGAGATGTCTCACCAGAGGGCCTCCACTATGAAACTGCTCATCAGGCGTTCAGAGGGCAGCCACTGGCTCCTGAGTGCCGTAGGTTAATTTTCTGCAAAAGCCTAGTGCTAGAGAAGCTGCCTGCACTGTCGGAACCTGCTGCTGGAGAAATTACCTGCCTTAGACACGTTAAACCTACTTGAATATATTGGTTCATAAGCACTCAGGAATAAAGCTAATTAAACTTCTGACTGGAGCACTAGAAAGCTCTCTCTTGCTGTGAGGCTCATGAATTTGGCATCTCAGCTCTGTTGGACATCGGCCCCCATTGGGTTCTGGTTTCAGTCGACCAACTAGACAAACAATTTATATCACTCCCAATCTCGTATGTCAGCATACCAAATCATATCCCTCTTATCAATATAGTGTAATCTAAAACTAAGATCTGTATTCATTCTAGCTCACTCAGAATTAATATCCACAAACATTTCCCCAGCATTGGGAGGTACAGTGCAAACTTGCCACTAGGATACTTGTACAAGTGTTCATGTAAAACTATGGCCCACACTAAGTCACACTGCAATCCCAGAATTGCCATAGCATAGTAGTTCTTAAGCAGAGATGATGTGTTTCCACTCCCTCCCCAGGATATTGGCAATGTGCGGAGGCACTTTTGATTGTCACAGCTAGAGAGGTGCTGGCAGTGTCTACTGGGTAGAGATTAGGGATGTGGCTAAATATCTTACAATGCACACAATAGCCTCTAGAAAAATATAATTATATGGCCCAAAATGTCAACTGTGCTAAGGTTGAGAAATCTGCTAGACTCAAAGAAGTGGTCATGATAGAGTAGAGAAAATCTAGTGTGGGAGGTGCCCAAGGGTACACTTTTACAAAAGAATGGGTTCAGCGATGTCTTTGGAAGCCAGAAAGAGAAGCCATTACAGGAAGAGAAGCCATTACAGAACTAGGCCCGGTGATGGCATCGTGGATGATAGGATCCACATGATGGTTATGTCACCAGCCTCTGAATGCATAATTGGAATGAAATAGAAATAACTGGTAGTTGGCACAATTCCCACAAACGGTCCTTGGTCTGTGGGGTAAGAGCTATTATTGTTCTATATTTACATAGCCATCTAATTATCTTTACAAATCATTTTGCTCTCCACTGAAATCTAGATTAATAGAGGACAAAAATATTCCTAACTAGAGAAAGATCACTATTTAGCAACTATTATAGGAATGTAACTAAAATTTCCTACCAAAAATGATGAAAAGATTCCCTTTTATTAACAATAATCATTAACAGTCTCATAGCTTCATTATTGTTCCTTGTTTATAATGATTTGAATTTGTTAGTTAGAAGGATCCAGGAAAATAAAAGTTTATTTTGTTCTAGGTACAAGTTCGTCAAAATAACAAAACAAAACAACAATAACAGAAACAACAGCAACAAAGATAAACTTGGGTTCTGTTTATCAATTTCCACACATAATATGCAATATTTTTTTTTTGCTTTCTCTCTTTAGGTCCAGACTGAAAATGCAGGCATGTATCCTCAATCCAAATAATTTAGCTGTCACCTGGAGAATTAAGTGTCCTGAATTTTATTCCTAAAAGTGGCCTTGGAGTTTATTTTACAGATAAAGAAATTGAGGCTCAGGAAACTGAAATTACTTCCTTAAAGTCAAATTGTTGGTCGGCTGCAGCCTAGATTTCTGCACTCCCATTTAATGCTATTTCCATTAAATAACAAAATAATAATATTAAGGATAGTCAGAATAACATGTGAATTTAAATCATGCTATCTAGTCTATTTTCACTATATTTTATTTATTTGGGCCTAAATATATTTACTAATTTGTACAGTTAGGGAGTTGTTTTACACAAGGGAAAAAATTTATGTTAAATATATACTGTATGTTTTCTTAAACCATTTATTTGACATCTCTAAAATACTTTTGTTTCTAATGTAATTTTCAACTTTCCACAAAAAGCCACGAGGATCCAAGGATTGAGAAAGAGCTTATCTATTCTTGATTTTCATCATCATCGATAACATCCATGCTCTTGATAAATCACTCTGTCCCTTGTGTTTGTTTCCACACTAACACTCTGTCTTTTTTCTCCAGCTCATCAGAGTTGGGTGCAGATGGATAAAGGAAAAAGATAGTTGTTGCTGGGAAGACAAAGTGGTAAAGATAAAGGTTTGAAATAGAATTTTCCTGGTATATAATTTAAGAGTAAAAGTATTGAGCTAGATAGTGACTATGTTTGAGCAAAATACGTGGTAAAAAAGAAAAGGTAAAAGGAGAACAGCGTGTGTTGGCAAATTTCTCTTTCCTAAAGGCTTAAGGTATGATTATTTTTTCTATTTATAAACAGAATTACTTTTTTGCATAGCCCATTGTTCTAAGGTCTTAGATTGTCAACTAATTCAAGAAAGACGAAGAACTGTTCTCTGAGTCTTATGGTACAAAGAAAAACAAGATGTGAATGCTGAAAATATAATTTCATAGATATTGTCCAAAACTGGACTTCATAATGTAAATTTGAATTCTAAAATATAAATACCTATTTTCATTTTTATCATAAACTTTTTTCTAATACCATCCAAATCACTGGGGTCTTTGTCTTCAAGTGGGATGAAAAACTGACCAAAGCCTATTTTCCTTAATGGAAGCTTTATTTCAACAACGTCTCTATTTTGACTAACGTATTTTATACCTTATACTCTATTAATTCTAAATTTTTCCTGCATATTGTTTTTCATTTTCTTTTGACAAATACTTATTACTTTCCAAATTAAGGATACAAGCATTCATTCAACATATATTCATTGAACACCTTCAAGATGCAAAAACTTACTGCTAGGAATCAAAAGGAAATTGTTCCTGCCCTTGAGGATCTCACAATTTTAATTATCAAAAGTAAAGTAAATGCATAACTTTGTTCAGCAGCCGAGTCCATGCAATCAGGAAGGGGAACACAAAACTCAGTACTATATTTTTAAATTTCAAATAACTGATTCCTTTATCCAAATAGAATATCTTACTGAAATTGCTATAAAGCAGAGTAACAAAGAATCCGTGAAAAAAAATCCCATATTTTGAATTTTCTCACATAACGTTAATCTAACTTTAGAAGTGTTAACCTCATTCCCCACATAAATTAATAAAGATTAGTGTGTTCAGAATTGGTGGGTTATTGGTCTCACTGAAGCCACAGACCCTTGCAGTGAGTCATACAGTTCTTAAAGATGATGTGTCCAGAGTTTGTTCCTTCAGATGTTCAGATGTGTCCAGAGTTTCTTGCTTCTGGTGGGTTTGTGGTCTCGCTGACTTCAGGAATGAAGCTGCAGACCCTCACTGTGGGTGTTACAGCTCTTATACGCAGTGCTTCTGGAGTTGTTCGCTCCTTCCAGTGGGTTTGTGGTCTTAACTGGCCTCAAGAGCAAAGCTGCAGACCTTCGTGGTGAGTGTTACAGCTCATAAAGGCCAGGCAGGTCCAAACAGTGAGCAGCAGCAAGATTTATTGCAAAAAGCCAAAGAACAAAATGGAACAGGGGCAGTTTGCTACTGTTGACTTGGGTGGCCTGCTTTTATTCCCTTACCAGGCCCCACCCACAGCCTGCTGATTGGTTCATTTTACAGAGAGCTGATTGGTCCGTTTTGACAGAGTGCTGATTGGTGCAGCCAGCTTCACTGCTCACTCACACTTGCTGGGGGGCTTTGTGGCACCTCGCCTGGGCACTCTGGCAGCACAGAGGGAGCTCATCCCAGACAACCAAGAGGAAAAGAGGGGAAGTGAGAAAGAGACGGAGACCCGCCACCAAAGAGGGAACGGAGGTCCACGTACAGGACCCAGCCTCTGATCAAGCCCAGCAGGCACTGGCGGGCCACGCCTACTACGGAGAGCTGAGCCTGTGCCCACCTGGAACCTGCGCCAGCCTGAAAGTGCGGCATGTAGCCCTGGCTCCCGCCCATGCCTCTCCCTCCACACCTCCCTGCGAGCAGACAGAGCCAGCTCTGGCCTCAGCCAGCCTCAGAGAGGGGCCCCCACAGCACAGCGGCAGAAGGGCTCCTTGAGCGCTGCCAGAGTGGATGCCCAGGCTGGGGAGGCGCCGAGAGCGAGTGAGGGCTGCTAGCATGTTGTCACCTCTCATTAGTATAGAAATAACTTGAGTGATACTGTATTTATGCTACTGTGACTAATTTAATTTTTTTGTCATGGAAGAAAATCCTTTGTGAGATTTAAATTTTTTCAAATTTCTTAAAACATTTCATGGTTGAACATATTTCTTATTTTAGGGAACATTTCATGTGTACTTGAAAGCTTGTTTATTCTGCAAATTTAGGGGTATAGTGTTTTACAAAATGTCAATTAGGTCAAGGGGGTTGACAATATTGTTAAAAGCTTCTATATCTTTCTTTTCCCTTCCTTCCTTCCTTCCTACTTTCCTTCTATTATTCCTTCTTTCTTTTTTCATTCATTCATTCATTTATTCTAGTTAGCAATCATTTACCCAGAAAGACATATTAAAATCTCTAACTACAATTTTGGATCTGTTGATATATACCCTTAGTTGTATCCAATGCTACTTTTTCTTTGTAAAGAGTGGACTCTTTTTTTTTTTTTTTTTTTTTTTGAGATGGAGTCTTGCTCTGTTGCCCAGGCTGGAGTGCAGTGGTGCGATCTCGGCTTACTGCAAGCTCAGCTTCCTGGGTTCATGCCATTCTCCTGCCTCAGCCTCCTGAGTAGTTGGGACTACAGGCGCCCGCCACCACGCCCAGCTAATTTTGTTTTTGTATTTTTAGTAGAGATGGGGTTTCAGTGTTAGCCAGGATGGTCTCAATCTCCTGACCTCGTGATCCGCCCGCCTTGGCCTCCCAAAGTGCTGGGATTACAGGCGTGAGCCATTGCGCCTGGCCAACTCTTAATTATTGTGAAGTGACTCTATCTTGGTAATACTTCTTGTGTTACTAAGTTTTCCTAGCATTAGTATAGCCACACCAGATATGTTTAAAATTTGCATGGTACATCTTTTTGGATAATTTTCCATTCAGTCTCTCCAAGTCTTTATATTTAAAGTGTATCTCTTGTAGATAGAATATACTTTTTTTTAACCTGAGGTCTTACTTTTTCTATCCAGTCTAACCATCTCTGCCTATTCATTGAAATATTTAGTCCATTTTCATTTAGTGTACTTCTTGATGATATTCAGTTTAGATCTACCCCGTTTTATTATTTTTCTCCTTGTCCCACTTGTTATTTTAGGTTAATCAATTGTTCTTTGTATTCCATCTTAATACTTCAAATTGCTTTTTTTTTACTGTAATTGTTTATGTAACATGTTATGTCGTTCCACTAAAGAATACAATATATATACATTTTATCACAGTCTCCTTAGAGTTACTAATATACCACATCACATGAACTGTAAGAAATTTGCAACAGTATTGGGCAGAAGAGAGTTAAACAACAGGCCTCACTACTATCCCTTGAAAGGCCTGTTTACATGTCCAACCCTTGACTGGTACATGGAAATTTAACTCTTGGAAGAGTTCCCACCATTAACTGCTTAAGAGTGGTTTACTAGGCCGAGGCGGGCGGATCACAAGATCAGGAGATCAAGACCTGCCTGGCTAACACAGTGAAACCCCATCTCTACTAAAAATACAAAAACAAAATTAGCTGGGCGTGGTGGTGCATGCCTGTAATCCCAGCTACTTGGGCGGTTGAGGCAGGAGAATGGCGTGAGCCCAGGAGGCAGAGCTTGCAGTGAGCCGAGATTGTGCCAGTGCATTCCAGCCTGGGTGACAGAGCAAGACTGTCTCAAAAAAAAAAAAAAAGAAAAATTGGTTTACTATGCCTAAATCATTTGTAGAAGCGACATGGTTTAGGGTGGGCACCCGCTTTTCCTCTAGGAATCTGGAATTTGGGTACATGCCATCCAGGGGTTGCCTACATCATTAGCCTCCCATAAAAACTCTGGGCACTGGGCTCTAATGAGCTTCCCTTGTTGGCAGCATTTTACCCATGTTGTCACAGCTCACTGATGGGGAAATGCAATGTTATGTATGGTTCCATTAAGAGAGAGAGGACTCTTGGAAGCTTGTGCCTGATTTCCCCCAGATTTTGTCCCACTTGATGTCTTCTTTTGCTGATTTTGCTTTGTATTCTTTCATTATAGTAAATCATAGCCACAAGTATAACTATGCACTGAGTCCTGTGAGACCTCGTAGCAAACTATCAAACCTCAGAGTGATCAAGATCCCAACACAAGTATAAATGTACCCAACCCTCTCTTTTGTGTCTTCTGTATTATTGTTGACATATATTTTACATCTATATATATTATAACCCCTAGTAAACAACATTTAAAATTTTTCATTATGCAGTCATTTATCTTTAAAAAACTTAAAAATAGAAACGGTGTCTTTTATGTTTTATTTACCTACATAAATACAGTTTCTATATTCTCTATTTACTCCTGTAGAAAGTTTCTATATATGTCATTTTTTTCAGATCAAAGAACTTATTTCAGTATGCCTCGTAGTGCAGTTCTACAGACAACAAGTTTACTCAGTTTTTTAAATCTCAAAATGTATTTTTAAAAATTAAGTCTTTATTGTTTTTGCTATGTATGACCACTGAAGTCTGTGTTCTATTAGCCTTGTGGTCAGCTGGTGATTTGCAGATGTTTCCTTTAACGTTTGGTATTAAAAACAACAGCCACAACAAGAACAAAAACAACTTTCCATGCCTTTGCAGATTGGTTCTGTGTTGGGACATTCCTGGAATGCATAGCCAGGCAGTTTATAACTCTACTTTAGTCTTCACTTCCTGCTTGCATAAGCTGGAAGATCAATCAGAGATGAGAGCTTATGATCTTCTCAGGTCTTCTCTGAGCATGTTGTTAGCCTAGGCATGCATGTGGGTTTCTAGATTCCCTGAAATATGTAGAAGTTTCTTTAAGCCTTTATTTTTCTCAAGTATTTTCTTCTTCTGGCTCTTTCTTCCCAGGTTTTTTGGTCTATTGCTTTCCCTGACTGTTACGGCTCACCCCAAATGGCAGTGGCTAATTCATTTGCTTTAAATGCTTTCAAAAACTGCCACCTTGGAAGTAATATCTGCCATAGAGAAGCTCCAGTGCAGGTGAAACAAGTGCAAACCCTTGAGTCAGTCCTCTAGGAAACCACCAGACAGATTAAATCACACAGCCACAATTTAAAAAAAACAAAACAAAACAAGATTTCTATTCCTTCCCCTGGTACTAGTAACCTGCGCAAGGAATGCGAGCGCTGGAGACTTGGGGATGGCAATAGGGTAAGTTAAAATGCCACAGACTTCTCTTAACAAAATTCAGAAGCTTTTATTTCATGAAGTGCTTTCCTAGTTGTTGTAAATTTTTTATTAGATTTTAGAATTCCACAAAAGTTGATTCTTAAAATTTTGGCTAGCTTTATTCAAAGGAACAGAGTTTTGTATATTCCTACATGGCCATATTCCCTGATGTCAGTCTTGCTTTCATATTTTTTTAATTGCCTTCATTTTTTTTTTTTTTTTTGAGACGGAGTTTGCTCTGTCGTCCAGGCTGGAGTGCAGTGGCGTGATCTCTGCTCACTGCAAGCTCTGACTCCTGGGTTCATGCCATTCTCCTGCCTCAGCCTCTTAAGTAGCTGGGACTACGGGCGCCCACCATCGCGCCCGGCTAATTTTTTTGTACTTGTAGTAGAGACGGGGTTTCACTGTATTAGCCAGGATGGTCTCGATATCCTGACCTTGTCATCTGCCCGCCTCAGCCTCCCAGAGTGCTGGGATTACAGGCGTGAGCCACTGCACCTGGCCTTCTTGCCTTCATTTTTGAAGGACATTTTCACAAGGTATAGACGTCAGAGTTAGTGCTTTTTTTCCTCTCAGTATTTCAATAGTGTGCTTTATTGTATGCTAGAATGCACTATTTCTAATGAGAAATTAGCCCTTATTCTTATCATTATTCTCCTGCATATAATATGCCTTTCTGTATTTCTAGTTGCTTGCAAGATTTTCTTTAGCTTTCAGCAATTTGATTATGATTACCTATATTTTCTTTTCTTTTTATGTTTACATATGGGGTTTTGCTGAGCTTCTTGGATCTGTAAGTTAGTATTTTTCATCCACTTTGAAAACCTTTCGATCATTTTTTTCAAATATTTTTACTTCCAGTCCTCCTATTATCTCCTTTTTGTACTCCAAGCACATGTACTTAAGATAAATAGTGTCCCACAGATCAGAGTTACCCCTATTCGTTTAGTTTTCAAAGTTTTTCCTTTCCTCTTTATTTTTCATAATATATTACTACTATTGATTTTTATTCAAGTTTATTGACTTTTCCTTTTGCTACCTCTAATATTAAGACCAAACAATAGAATTTTTGCTTCCAATACTATAATTTTTAGTTCTTGAACTTTCATTATGATTCTTTTCAAAACAATTTTTTTTTTTTTTTTTTTGAGATGGAGTCTTGTTCTGTCACCCAGGCTAGAGTGCAGTGGCGCTATCTCTGCTCACTGCAAGCTCCGCCTCCCGGGTTCCAGCAATTTTCCTGCCTCAGCCTCCTGAGTAGCTGGGACTACAGGCGCCCGCCACCACGCCCAGCTCATTTTTTGTATTTTTAGTAGAGATGGGGTTTCACTCTGTTAGCCAGGGTGGTCTTGATCTCCTGACCTCGTGATCCGCCCGCCTCGACCTCCCAAAGTGCTGGGATTACAGGCTTGAGCCACCGCGCCCCGCCAAAACAATTTTCATTTATTCTTTGACATTCCTTTCTGGTTCACTGACTTTAATGATCATTTCCTTTAAGCCAGTCGCTGAACATATTTATCATTAGCTGTTTGAAAGTTCAAGTCTGCTCATTTCAATATCTAGATGACCTCATGATCTGGATCTATTAAATGTCTTGTCTTTTTCACATGCACCAACTTTTTTCTGTTTCTTTACATATATCTTCTTGGTGTACACCGAACAATTCAGATGATATATTGTACAGACAATGGATTCTGTTATGTTCCTCTGAAAAGTCATAATTTATCTTCCAGTGTGCAGTTAGATTACTGACTGGCATGCTGAACTTTTGGAAGCTTGGTTTGGCACCTTGCTAAAGAAGGTGTGTTTAGGCTTTCCCTTTATTCATAAGAAAAATTCTTAGTTCTAAGGCACAAAAATACGTGAGAGTGTGGCCTCTCTTTGGTTTCCATGGGAACTCCCCTACCCTAGTAGATTTTACATCCAAAATTCTAATTTTCCTTCAGTGATCATCAGTCAGTATCCCACTCACCCTCTTCTGACATCCATCTTTTACTTTCTGCTGAGTTTCTTACATATTTTCCTGCTCATGCACAGTTAAAGAGTCAGCCAAGGGAATGAGGGGACTTTATGTACAATATTGCTGGCTTTCATTTTGTGGCTTCCTTCGTTTCCTGAATGTATCTTCTCAATTTCCAGCCACCTGCCAAATTCAAACTCTGATATCACACCTCAAACCTGTAACACGGCAACTTTCTACTTGATCTCTAGAATTTGCCCCTAGACCCTGTGGAATAGGCAATGCTCAGGAGAAAAGCCATAAAAACATAGATCTTGCCCAGTGAATAATCCTTTTTCAAGGGTCAACTTCCCTCAAATTTCTGATTAATTTGTGTCAGTCTCCAGTGTTTTCAATAGCTCAATTTCTATTTTTGTATTATAACATATTTTGTCCATGCTTCTTTCTTTCTTTTTTTTTTTTTTTTTGAGATGGAGTCTCGCTCTATTGTCCCGGCTGGAGTGCAGTGGCACGATCTCGGCTCACTGCAAACTCCGCCTCCCAGGTTCATGCCATTCTCCTGCCTCAGCCTCGCGAGTAACTGGGACTACAGGCACCCGCCAACACGCCCGGCTATTTTTTTGTATTTTCAGTAGAGATGGGGTTTCACCGTGTTACCCAGGATGGTCTTGATCTCCTGACCTCGTGATCTGCCCGCCTCAGCCTCCCAAAGTGCTGGGATTACAGACATGAGCCACCGCACCCGGTCCATGTTTCTTAATTATTATTTGCAGGAGGGTTAGTTTGAAACAAGCCACTATGACATTACTGAAACTGACAAGTTTAGAACTGGATTCCTTGGAGACATAGTGGACCCCAGATAGGATCCAAAGAAGTTGAGAAGTTAGGTTGGTGGGGTCTCATTGTTGCAGGACTTTTCCTTAGTTCAGCTAAAAATGAGGTTCTTTGTCCTACGGCCATGAAAATTCAGGCTCACAATTTAAATGGTGAGTAAGACAGTGTTTTACTGGGTAAAAAGGAAGAAAAGGGGGAAACAGGGACTCTTGCAAGGCCAGAGTACGTCTGCTAGAGTGCTTCCTGCCGGCAGCTTAAATCCCATTTTCCACACAGGAAGAGGAGGGGCCAGGCTCCTCCCTGCTACAAACCCAGTGAACTTCTCAAGGCTCCACCTCAGTGGGTAGGCTGGTTGGAGTTTCTCCAGGGACTCCCTCCCACCTGGCTGTCTCATCATCTTCCTCCCTACTTAGAGATGATCTCCTTTTAATGTTTTATTTTATTCATCATTGTTGTTACTTATAAGATTTTATTTGGAAAATAAAATCTGTTAAGAATAATTTGGAAAATCACTGCAGCAGACCATTTATGCAGCAGATTTTGAATAAAATCATGACATGTGCTGTACCAGACTTTTAGATTTTGATTTCAGTTAATGACTAATGTTAGGGATTATGGTAACATTTTTAATAACCCAAAGCTATTTTTATATGTTCAGGCTTCTTCATTCATACTTCTGTGATATTGAAACAAATAGCATTTCCAGACAGAGAAAAAAAGCCTTTTATTTCAACATTTTATGGAGTGTGTAACTTATATTTAGGCTGTTGGCCAACATAGGAACAAAAATTTTGATTGAAATTGTCAAATAGAATCCTCTCATTCCAGATTTCTGGTAATAGGAATAATTGAAGTATTTTGACACTCCTGAAGGTGAGAATACAACAAAGGGAAAAATTACAATGAAGTCACTATAGAATAAGGCCAATACATATTTTATTATATAGTTAACTTAGTTACATAAGATAGCAGTAGAAATATTATATAGGGCTGGGCGCGGTGGCTCACGCCTGTAATCCCAGTGCTTTGGGAGGCCCAGGTGGGCGGATCACGAGGTCAGGAGATGGAGACCAACCTGGCCAACACAGTGAAACCCCGTCTCTACTAAAAATACAAAAAATTAGCCGGGCGTGGTGGTGGGTGCCTGTAGTCCCAGCTACTCGGGAGACTGAGGCAGGAGAATGGCGTGAACCCGGCAGGCAGACCTTGCAGTGAGCCAAGATCGTGCCACTGCACTCCAGCCTGGGTGACACAGCGAGACTCCATCTCAAAAAAAAAAAAAAAAAAAAAAAGAAAAAAGAAAAAGAAAAAATATTTTATATAGAAAGTTTCGTTATTTAAATGTAAAGAGTAGCACATATTTAATTACTTAACTATTGTTTCTGTCTGAAAATTTTATCATCCAGAATAATGTTCTTAATTGCTTTTGGAATGCACCATTCCAATACCTTTCATCAAGACAGAGTTTTTATCAATTTTATTTCTAAATAAATGGGATTTAAATTTTTCAGTAATCATAATAAATAGCATGTTATATTTTCAATTTCAATGTTAATTTTATAATACTTGTTGGAGTGGAAGGAATTCTGTTTTTTTGTTCAATGTTACATTTTACCAAAAGAAAAAATATGAAGTGGACAAGATTAGCCATTATTAGACACAAGTTTTTCTTACTTTTATTTTTTATTTTTATTTTTTTTTGAGAAGGAGTCTTGCTCTGTTACCCAGGCTCGAGTGCAATGGCGCGATCTCGGCTCATTGCAACCTCAGCTTCCCGGGTTCAAGCAATTCTCCTGTCTCAGCCTCCCAAGTAGCTGGGATTACATGTGCGTGCCACCCATCCCAGCTAATTTTTGTATTTTTTAGTAGAGACAGTGTTTCACCATGTTGGTCAGGCTGGTCTCGAACTCCTGACCTCAGGTGATCCATCTGCCTCAGCCTCCTAAAGTGCTGGGATTACAGGCATGAGCCACTGCACCTAGCCCTTGTCTTACCTTTTTTAGAATGTTAAGAAATATCCTTAACATTTGTTTCACTAAGTTGCTGCAAAAATCTCTATTAGTGGTACAACTTTTCAGGTGAAGATTTTTGTTTGTTTTATATTGAAAACAGCCTGCAAAGGGTACTATATGATTACTTATAATTTTATGAGTCAGCTTATCTATTTTCAAGCTAATGTGAATAAAAGATGAGTTAGAAAAACAAGCCAAGAGGTAAGATCTCAGAAGGAAATCTTGTAAAGTTAAGGTTTTACTTAGATAGAAGGTCACAAGAGATTATGTTATGCCTGGACTGAGAAGAAAATTAAGGATAAACACATAGAAAAGGGAGAAGGAAAGGGATGATGAAAAAATGGGGATGAGTTAGAAAAAAGGCAGAAGATATCCTCATTCTGACCTTAAATATAAGCACTTTTTTACTCAAGTAAATATACAGAGAGATCATTTATTCCCCTCTTTCTATTTATAGATAATTTAAATTAGACCAGGCAGCTTATATGAATTTTCTCACGTTGGAAGGCTAGATACAATAAGAACAAGGACCAGGTGATCAGACTCTATCTGCACTCATTTCGGTTCAATTCAATGTATTGCACAGTAAGTCAACTTGATGCTCTTTAACAACCCTATTTTATAAAAATTCAATTTACTCAAATATTAACTGCAAATTTGTTGTTATGGAGAATACATTGCAATTGTCCTAATGAAGCTGAACAAAAAATCTCAACCTCATTGATGTAATGAGGTGAATGTAATCATCAAGAATATTAAATAGTTTGAAACACACTAACAGAAACTTGCTAAATAAAGAGTAAAAATGGGCTGGGCACAGTGGTTCATGCCTGTAATCCCAACACTTTGGGAGGCCAAGGTGGGCGGATCAAGAGATGGAGACCATCCTGGTCAACATGGTGAAAACCTATCTCTACTACAAACACAAAAATTAGCTGGGCGTGGTGTCACGTGCCTGTAGTCCCAGCTACCTGGGAGGCTGAGACAGGAGAATCACTTGAACCCAGGAGGTAGAGGTTGCAGTGAGCCAAGATCATGCCACTGCACTCCAGCTTGGGGTACAGAGCAAGATCCTATCTCAAAAATAAATAAATAAATAGCAAAAATGTTGAATATTTGTATGAACATCTTCCAGTTTCCCTTTGAATTATCTTATCTTCAAAGAGTTAGTCTTTCCCCACTTCATTTTGTTTTTGGTAATTACTTATTCTGCATTTTTAAAACAAGAATTATGCTTATATGATAATACATCAACAAGACCAATGGATATATATCCATTTATAATTCTATAAATATATACCTACACACGTATATTTTTCTATCTTTAATTGTGTAACCATTTTCCTTAAGGGATTCATAAGAGTGCAGAATTTCTCAGAGTATACACCTAGATTAAAAGACAAACCACACATTTCATAGACTCTAAGATAGTCTCATAATAATAACAATCTTGAATGTTGCTTTAGAAACTTCTGCCAGATCTCAGGCCTGGAACTTGTTATACATAAGGGCATGATAAATAGCAAAAAATAAACAAGTGAGCTGAATTTTTAACCAAGGCAAGGAACAAAAACTGCCAACACACTGTCAGACCAAATAGCCCTGAAAGGCTCGTCTATGCCTAACTACCATTTAAGGGAAAGAAGGCAGAGGGAGAGGATAGAATAAAAGAATCTTTGGATTAGTTGCAAACATTAGCATTTTTGGATAGTTTAGCTTTGGTGGTGATGTGATCAAAAAATCAAAAAGCTTGATTTTAAATTCTGTAAACAAATAGTCTTTTCTTTTAGAACATAGTGCTTATTTTACAGGGGCATTCTTGGTTTATCTTTTATTTGAACCAATTTTTATCTCATAAACATCAATAACAAAAGAGATGTCTGTAAGTACAGCAGTGAAAGATAGATTGTTAGTTTGAGAGTGGGTGACAGAATTATTTAGGGAGGGAGCTGTCTTTTCCTGAGCACGCGTATTATGAGCCGGATTTAGTTAGAAAAAGATAGATCTTAGGCATTTTATGGAGCTGTCTTAGGACTGATATACAAAAACTAAATTTCTCTTCTCTAACCTTAGTAGTAACATTAGAATACATTGGGGAGTTTCTTAAGGTTGCTCATAAAGAGAATGACATAGCTTGGGGACCTGAAAATGATTGGAATCAATGAGGAGCACAGGTAAGGAAAAGGTATGTGAATGGCCCAGAGGAATTGAACACAGATGTCCATTTTTTTTTTTTCTTTTTTGAGATGGAGTTTCACTCTTGTTGCCCAGGCTGGAGTGCAATGGCACGATCTTGGCTCACCACAACCTCTGCCTCCCAGGTTCAAGTGATTCTCCTGCCTCAGCCTCCCGAGTAGCTGGGATTTACAGGCATGCACCACCATGTCCAGCTAATTTTGTACTTTTTTAGTAGAGATGGGGTTTCTCCATGTTGGTCAGGCTGGTATTGAACTCCAAAACTCAGGTGATCCACTCATCTTGGCTCCCCAAAGTTCTTGGAATTACAGGCATGAGCCACCGTGCCCAACGCAGATGTCCCATTTTTAATGTAATTACAGTAGACAGTCATGATATTCTGTGCTTTGGGCACTATATCATAGGCTTCTGCATCTATTCCTAATTTTTTTTTTTTAGTAAAATTCTCCTGCACAACTAAAGAGCTACAACATCGTGCCTATGGTCAACAATACTGTATTGCACACCTAAAAATCTGTTTAAAAGCGAGATTTTATGTTGTGTTTCTACCACAAAAAGTATCATTGTGTAAATGTGATTTGAGAAATATAAGAAAAAAGAATATTATATGATTGGGTCCACATGGCACAGATAAAAGGAAAGGCTGCTAAGACGATTCCAGGCAAAGCAAGGAATGAAACCCATAACTAGAAGATATGCAGGAATCACCTGGTGAGACTGAGGATAGTATATCCCACTATTCGTAGAAGGAAGTTATGAGTTCTCCCTTTTAAAAATGAATAATGGGACACAATAACCCCAAAAGACTGGAGGACTTTAGGGAAGCTGAAAATGTTATATTTTGTCATGTTTAATTTAAATATCAAAATTTCTGTGAGAATACCATTGTTCTGAATTCAGATGTCATGTTAAAGTTAATATTAAATTCATTAAAAACACATAGGTTTAAAAGCTATATACCAATGAAGACAATGCAGATTCTTAGCATATGAAATACTATTTAGCTAACCTTAAATAGTGACTAGTGTGCTTCCTCTTGCTACCTGTATCTTCTGACTTACTTTATCTTAATACGTTAGGTTTGGGGATTTTGTGTATACTCTTTCCCCAAACTTGATAATAATAAGATAAATTTCTAGGTCTGTCAATGGGGGAATCTTGTACAACTTTATCCTTTGATAAGAGAAACATGTATTTCAACATTTAGTAAAATATCAATTCTACCAAGTTATTTATTAGTTCAGATCACTTTCTGGGTAAGCGTTATCGTGTTTTTTAGTTTTTTAAAAATTCCTTTATTATGGACACATTTTCTTTTTAAAAATAATATTTAAAAAAGCATACAGTTGGCTGGGTGCACTGGTACATGCCTATAATCCCAGCACTTTGGGAGGCCAAGGTAGGTGGATTACCTGAGGTCAGGAGTTCACGACCAATCTAACATGGTGAAATCCCATCTCTACTAAATACAAAAAAAAAAAAAAAAAAGGAAAAAAAAAAAATTAGCCGGGTGTTGGTGGTGCATGCCTGTAATCCGAGCTACTTGGGAGGCTGAGACAGGAGAATCGCTTGTACCTGGGAGGCAGAAGTTGCAGTGAGCCAAGATCATGCCATTGTACTCCAGCCTGGGCAACAAGAGTAAAACTACATCTCAAAAAAAAAAAAAAAAAAAGCATACAGTTACTATTTTTAAAGAATTACCAAATTGTTAAAAAAATTAAGTTAGGTTTGGGGATTTTGTGTACATTCTTTCCTCTATTTTTAGATTTCTACTGCTACACTATACCACACATTTTAGATGCTTAATAAAGTACACAGCAGCTGGGCGCGGTGGCTCACGCCTGTAATCCCAGCACTTTGGGAGGCTGAGGCTGGCAGATCATGAGGTCAGGAGTTCAAGACCAAACTGGCCAACATAGTGAAACCCCATCTCCACTAAAAATGCAAAAATTAGCCAGGCATGGTGGCACGCGCTTGTAATCCCAGCTACTCGGGAGGCTGAGGCAGGAGAATCGCTTGAAACTGGGAGGTGGAGTTTGCAGTGAGCCAAGATCGTGCCACTGCACTCCAGCCTGAGCAACAGAGTGAAATTCGGTCTCAAAAATAATAATAATAATAAAGTACACAGCAACACATTTGCCAATGCAAAGTTGCATGGGGGAGGCACACCAGAAATTTTATTTGGGAAAAATTAGAAAAAGGTTTCAACCTTCCCTTCCAAATCTTCTGGAGCACCACTTTGCTAACAATACTCTTTATTCATTCTTGCTGCCTTCAACCAATTTAAAACCCTCATTTAATAAATGTTCTATCCCATGTTTCAGAATATCCATATGTATTAGTCCATTCTCACGCTGCTATAAAGGACTGCCCAAGACTGAGTAATTTATAAAGGAAAGAGGTTTAATTGACTCACAGTTCCACATAGCTGGGGAGGCCTCAGGAAACTTACAATCATGGTGGAAGGGGAAGTAAACATGTCCTTCCTTACATGGTGGCAGGACAGAAAAGTGCCGAGCAAAATGAGGAAAAGCCCGGCAGTGTGTGGTGGCTCACTCCTGTAATCCCAGCACTTTGGGAGGCTGAGGTGGGCGAATCACGAGGTCAGGAGTTCGAGACCAACCTGGCAAACATGGTGAAACCCCATCTCTACTAAAAACACAAAAAAAATTAGCTGGGCATGGTAGCGGGCACCTGTAATCCTAGCTACTCGGGAGGCTGAGGCAGGAGAATCGCTTGAACCTGGGAGGCCGAAGTTGCAGTGAGCCAAAATCGCGCCACTGTACTCCAGCCTGGGTGACAGTGCGAGACTCCGTCTCAAAAGAAAGAGGAAAAGCCCCTTATAAAACCATCAGATCTCGTGAGAACTCACTCACTCTCATGAGAACAGCATGGGAGTAACTGCCCCATGATTCAATTACCTCCCACCAGGTCCTTCCCACGACGTGGGGATTATGGGAACTAAAATTCAAGATGAGATTTGGGTGGGGACACAGCCAAACCATATCACCGTATATCCAGTTGATTTTAAAATATAATTCTAAGAAAATATTTCTAACTATGCCCCTTACTTTTACTTATTTGTTTAGTTTCTAAATCTAATAAAAATGCATCAAATTTTTGGGCCAAGGATGCTATGTTATATAATGGATGAATTTAACAAATTATAAAGCACTTCAAAACAGGAGCTGTTTATATCTCGAGACATTTCCTTTGGAGTTTCTCATTACTGGTTGCAGAGACAAAACCAGAGAAGTTTTTTGAAGTTATACTCTAGCAAGATCTTACAGATCTGTATTCAAATCTATTTTCTGAGAGAATTATACCTATATTATGGGGATAAGTAGAAAAGATACAGAAACATAAATAAATGGAGGCTAGAATATTCTAAGATAATATGTTTTTATAAACATGTGTTTAGCTCCTCTGGCTGTTTTGCTTCAAGTCACTCACAATAATATATATAGTTAATTTTCATAATCAAAATCATACATATTTATTGTTAATTCTTATCATCAGGAACTACATATTGTGCTACTTGTTGGAGAAATTTATGAAGCAGGACACAATGGGAATGATTTCAGGACAATGTTCTAGAGTGAGATGAGAGCTAGCTTGGGATATAAGTGGGTGGGTTGGCTCTGGTGGAGCAGGAATGCTTCTGTAATTTCAATGTTAAACCCTAATCATGAGTAATTTCACATCTATGAGTACTATTAAAATGCCCATCACTAATCAGCTTCTAAGTCCTTCAGGAATCTAAGTGCTAATGTTTTCGAATTCAGGTCCAAGTACTACATATCTGTCAAGACGGATATTTGCCACCAAAAAAATAACTGGGGAATCTTACATTTAAATAATATGATTGTTGGCCGGGCGCAGTGGCTCATGCCTGTAATCCCAGCATTTTGGGAGGCTGAGGTGGGCGGATCAGGAGGTCAGGACATTGAGACCATCCTGGCTAACATGGTGAAACCCCGTCTCTACTAAAAATACAAAAAAATTAGCCGGGGTTGGTGGCGGGCGCCTGTAGTCCCAGCTACTCAGGAGGCCGAGGCAGGAGAATGGTGTGAACCAGGGAGGCAGAGCTTTCGGTGAGCCGAGATCGTGCCACTGCACTCCAGCCTGGGCGACAGAGCAAGACTCCGTCTCAAAAATAAATAAATAAATAAATAAATAAATAAATAAATAAATAAATAAATAAAATGATTGTTATTAAAAAAACTGATTACCTGGAAAACCGTGTATGTTTTCAGAAGAATATCATGTAAATAGGCCGGGCGCAGTGGCTCATGCCTGTAATCCCAGCACTTTGGGAGCCCGAGGTGGGCGGATCACGAGGCCAGGAGATCGAGACCACCCTGGCTAACACGGTGAAACCTCGTCTCTACTAAAAATACAAAAAATTAGCCGGGCGTGGTGGCGGGCGCCTGTAGTCCCAGCAACTCGGGAGGCTGAGGCAGGAGAATGGCGTGAACCCAGGAGGCAGAGCTTGCAGTGAGCCAAGATAGCACCACTGCACTCCAGCCTGGGTGACAGAGCGAGATGCCGTCTCAATAATAATAATAATAATAATAATAATATCATGTAAATATTACATTTTGAATTTTGTATTTAGTGAATCCAAATCAGTTTTGTTCCTGTCCATAACACTTTATGTTATGAGGATGCACTGAGATAAGCATTTCATGTGTCACTGGTGGGTGATGAAATCGGTACAACTTTATGAAAAGAAATTTGGTGTTATCATGTCAACAGCACTAATATGTACATGCCCTTTGATACCAATATGCTCGTTCTCAGAAACCAATCTAAGGCTAAAAGAATTTAAAATACAGGGAGGGAAATATGTATTGTATAAAATGTTTATTGCAGTAATGCTTTCAACAGGAAATATAAGTGAATGAAAATGTCCAGTAATATATTAATGTTTTAATATTAATCATTTGCAAAATGAAATATTACACAGCCATTCAAAAGTATTTTCCTTATGGCTATGTAAGAATATCAAAATACTGGCCAGGCACGGTGGCTCATGCCTGTAATCCCAGCATTTTGGGAGGCGGAGGTGGGAGAATCATGAGGTCAGGAGTTCGAGACCAGCCTGGCCAACATGGTGAAACCCTCATCTCTATTTAAAAAATACAAAAAATTAGCTGGGCATGGTGGCAGGCGCCTGCAATCCTGGCTACTTAGGAGGCTGAGGCAGGAGAATTGCTCGAACCTGGGGGGCGGAGGTTGCAGTGAGCAAAGATTGTCCCACTGCACTCCAGCCTGGGCGACAGTGTGAGACTCCATCTCAAAAAAAAAAAAAAAAAAAGAATATCAAAATACTTTGTTAGAATTTTAAGAAATTATAACAAGTAGGCATATAATTAAACATGCATAAAAATATAGAAAGAATGGCTTATAAAATGCACCTAGATGCACAAAGATATATGAAATGCACTGTTACAAACCCATTGCCATTTGTTTATCAAATGCTCTGTGAGGTATTTTTTTTTAAAGGGGCTTTAAAATCACATACCTATAGGTGTATAATATTTGCCTTAAAGCCATTAAATTCTCTTAGCTAAGATATAACAGAAGGTCTTGCTGTTAACAAAAGGAGAGACTTAAAAGTAATACTACTACTTGTGGATTTGATTTGCCCATTAGTGATTCCCAATTTAAGGCAGACAAGCAGGAGTTTCTTTTCTATTCCCTACTGAAGATTTGTTTCTGAGTAGGACTTATTTGCTGTCTAGTCATGTGGCAACAGATCTCACATTCTTGCCATCTCCATGATGCAGTCCCTAGCTATCAGATTAAACAGCTTTTCTTGGATTCATGTTGACTACTTTTTTTAAAATCTGAAATTTCTCTTTCAAATGATGGTTTTGGATCCTGCCATTAGGCTCTATAAAGGCAATGAGCATGGAGTTTCTCAGAAATCGAGTGCTCATTCTTCATAGGCTCCCTTTCCCTCTTTTAAAAAATTGTTTAATTAATTAATTAATTTATTTATTTATTTATTTTTGACACCAAGTCTCGCTCTGTTGCCAGGCTAGGGTGCAATGGCATGATCTTGGCTCACTGCAGCCTCCACCTCCCAGGTTCAGGCGATTCTCCTGCCTCAGCCTCCCGAGTAGCTGGGATTGCAGGCGCGTGCCACCACGCTAGGCTAATTTTTGTATTATTAGTAGAGATGGGGTTTCACCATGTTGGCCAGGCTTGTCTCGAACTCCTGACCTCATGTTCCATCCACTTCGGCCTCCCAAAGTGTTGGGATTACTGGTGTGAGCCACTGTGCCCGGTCCCTTTCCCTCCTTTTAAGGGTCATTAACTTTTGGACTTTAAGCAACCAGGCTAGTTCGAAGAGAAAAAGAAAAAGAAACTAAAACAAATAAACCAAAACAATTACGTAATTCTCTTTTCACCAGTTAACTTTGCAAGTGGCTATTACCTATTACAGATTTTACTCTTATCCCAACCAAGTAATAGAGAACAATGAATCTATTTGTTTGACAGCTGACATAATTTAAGAGATGGAATCTTTGCAATATTTCCTAAGGTAACCTTCTTCTCTTGCCCCATTAAGGGTCCATTTTTTTCTAATTGCCAATGAATAAGGAGGCCAAAGTAATGGGGGTTTTATTGCATACATATAGTTATTTAAGTGCTATTTTCTATCCACTATATTTCAATTACCACCATTGCTACCTCATTGCAAGTTACCATACTGGATGCCATAAGAATTGCTAAGTCTTGCCCTAGTGTGCTTTGAGCACGAAGGAAAAAATGCAATTGAGGCAACAGTGACATTTTCTAGAGGGTGCTGGGATACTGATGTTTATCCATTAGTCTGGATGGGTCCTTATAGCTCTTCAGTATAGTAACATTTCAAATAGTATACATCAATGATATGAAGTGATGACAAAGTCAAGCATTAAGCACTCTAAAGCCATATTAAAAATTCCTTCACTCGGTGGGGCGTAGTTTGTGGCTCTGCTTTGCTTTACAGACAGATTCTTCAGGAGTTTAGAAGCCAATACAAATTTAAAACTCAAGAAGTTCAGTTATACACTGAAAGGAAAAGTTAAAAATTGCCAAATAACCAATAAAATGTGGGAAAACATCTGTTTTGAACTACTAATAATGGTTATATTAACACTAGTAAATAAACAGTAAAAGAAGCATTCTGTGTTTATTCTTTGCCTCAAGAACTTAATTTCTTAGGTTCTTAATTAGCTTAGGAAATGAGTGAAAAATATTTTCTTGGATAAATGTACTTGAATATTCTCTACCAATATGTACTGTTATACTGATGATCCTTTGAGAAAATAAGATTTTTGAATTGTATAAGATTTGAAATTTTATAAATTATGAGAATATATTGCCTCCACAGAGATGTTAACTGCTAAAAAGTATACTGTTCTCATCAATGACTATCTGCTCTTATCACTTAGTATCTGTTGTTATGATTAAATAAATACCACCTTAAAAAAACTAAAACTCTATATTCTGATTATGTACAATTTGCACATGCAAATAAATTGCATTCAGAATAAGATTTATAAAGTTAAACATTTTATTAACTTCTCCATCTTTGTTACATTTCAATAATTGATATGTCATAATTTTATGTAGATGCAAATTGTCTTCTTTTTTTTTTTTTTTTTTTTTTGAAGCATAGTCTCGCTCTGTTGCCCAAGCTGGAGTGCAGTGGCACGATCTCGGCTCACTGCAAGCTCCGCCTCCCGGGTTCACGCCATTCTCCTGCCTCAGCCTCCCAAGTAGCTGGGACTACAGGCGCCTGTCACCACGCTTGGCTAATTTTTTGTATTTTTAGTAGAGACGGGGTTTCACTGTATTAGCCAGGATAGTCTCGATCTCCTGACCTCGTGATCTGCCCACCTGGGCCTCCCAAAGTGCTGGGATTACAGGCGTGAGCCACTGCGCTCGGCTGGGTCTTGTGTGTCTTTCTTACCACTTATTCAAGACAATTCAAAAGTTTGGTGGAAGGATGTATAATCAAGAAAGATAGTTGCTGAATTATTTTAATGTTTTTAATCGGTGAAAAAAAATTCAGTTCTGTGTTAAATGTTGTATTTGTAAAGGGGCAAAACCAGAGTTATTAAATTGACTGGAAGTTCATGATTTTCTTTCTTTTTTTTTTTTTGACAGAGTCTCGCTCTGTCGCTCAGGCTGGAGTGCAGTGGCGCGATCTCGGCTCACTGCAAACTCCGCCTCCCGGGTTCCCGCCATTCTCCTGCCTCAGCCTCCCGAGTAGCTGGGACTACAGACTCCCGCCACCACGCCTGGCTAATTTTTTGTATTTTTAGTAGTGACGGGGTTTCACCACGTTAGCCAGGATGGTCTCTATCTCCTGACCTCGTGATCCACTCGCCTTAGCCTCCCAAAGTTCTGGGATTACAGGCGTGAGCCACTGCGCCCGGCCGAAGTCCACAATTTTCTTACCCTGAGTGTGGAATCAAAACCTTGCTTAGAGTCTAAATAACTCTAGCTATCAGCACAATAACAAATTGAAACTCATTTTTAAAACCACTTGACATCTGAACTTTAAATAACCTTCTATATTATCTGTATATGATTGCTTTTCTTGTTTAAAGCATTATGTTGAAAAATGTATCTGCATAAAAATACCAATTTTGGTTATGAAAAGCAATTATTATTGATATATTGTTATCAATGACATCTAAATAGTCACCTGCCTGATATGTCCTCCACTTTGTGCATATCACTTCTGCTTTAGGGAACATACCCATTTTTTAGTATTTAATTCATGAGTTTTACAATCAATTCCAATGAACTTGTACAACACAGATAACGCTTATGTAGTACTTGCTTACGTTGAAATATTTTATGAGATGCCTTGAGTATTTTTTTCTTTTTCTTTTTTTTTTTTGAGACGGAGTCTCGCTCTGTCACCCAGGCTGGAGTGCAGTGGTGCGATCTCGGCTCACTGCAAGCTCTGCCTCCCAGGTTCACCCCATTCTCTTGCCTCAGCCTCCCAAGTAGCTGGGACTACAGGTGCCCACCACCATGCCTGGCTAGTTTTTTTGTATTTTTAGTAGAGACGGGGTTTCACCATGTTAGCCAGGATGGTCTCGATCTTCCGACCTCATGATCCGCCCCCCTTGGTCTCCGAAAGTGCTGGGATAACAGGCAAGAGCCACCGCGTCAGGCCTAGTGTTTCTTTATTGTAAAGATTTGTTTATTTCACAGTTTTAGACATAATCTTAAAGTTTATCTATTCCATGGGTTTACAACTTTGGTGCTATGCAGTAGAGTATGTCTAGCAGTATTCCTGACTACTAGCCACTAAAGCCAAAAGCAGCTCTCTAGTGTGACAGCCAAAAGTGTCTCCAGAAGTTCCCAAATGGTCACTTGTAGATAAAACAGCCCTTGTTGAGAAACACTGATATATTCCAATTAGCCAAAGGATGCTTAAAACTCTATTTGTTCATACTAATTATTCAGAACCATTATGCAGAGTCATTTATTCTTCTGTGTGAAAAAATATTTCATGTGACAGTCAAATTAGAAAAACTGATGAGTAAAGTTTTATTTAGTTTACCATTTTTCTATCTCTAAATAGTACATCTGGTGAATATTTGCATTAGCTTTGAGAGAATTTATAGAGATACAGATATTCTAATTTCAAAATACATTAGTTGATGTTTGGATACTGGGATTGAAAAGATCTATATAAGCATCTTGTAATAATTTATACATTAAATTAGTCATCAAAATGATTATGTGACTATTGCCAAAATAATTCTCTTAAATAGTTGTTTCTCTCAAAATATTTATAAAAGTGTGATTAAAATCTTTAGGTTTTATTTTAAATATTTTTTCTGCTTTAAGTGCCTACGAATAAGCAATTAACCCCCCTCCTTCTTTCCACATTAACACATTATGAGGAATTATTCACAGGGATTAACATTGCATTGGCCACAGTAGTAAAATAAATACGACCATTCAACCGATGAATAAAAATACAAACATGGAGTTTTAGTGAAAACTTCCTTTGCTCATTCCTAGAAAGTCTGATTCCTGAGAAAGAGGCTATGGAAGGAAAAGGATTATATCAAAAGCATTTACATGGGTTCCTAGAAACCTGGGCAAGATTGATTTTGGTTAAGAAAACATTCTTTCTACAGAATGTTGGGTGATTCAGAGGGTAGGACAGGTGAAAATAGGATCTGCCAGTAGTAATATAAAAAATCCTGTATATAATTTGCTGTTTCTCTTTCTCATGAAAATAAGTCCAATCACTGATCTTCTCCTCATCAGTGCTACGATTATGTTAACCACACTCCTGAGAGAGGTCGAGGGTGAAATGCTGAGAGTGGGAAACGGAAACTGTGTTACTCTCAATCTTTCCTCCACCTGACCTTAAAGCCCCTCCCTCTCCGAAGCAAAGAAAGTCAGACATACCCAGTGGGATGGCTTTAATGAGTATCCAATTCATTTGGATCCTCTTCTGTGAGAAAAATGGGAAAGAAACAATAAACCCTATAAGCAGATTTCCCATCAAGCATGATTCATCAGAAAAACAAGAGGAACAAACCTTTGAAGGTAATGGCAACAAGGAGGAGGATGGCCCAGGTGGGGCAGTGTGGAAGATCAGGAAGCAATGCAGCAAAGGGTGCTGCCTATGGGGAGGGGGTTAACTCTGACAGAGGCAGAACCAGGGTTCCCCAGTAGGAGGCAGTCTTGGGGCTGAGTCAAAACTGTGGATAAACAACATCAACAGGTTTGATGCAGAAAGGCCATCACTGGAGCAGAGATAGCAGAGAATGGTGCTAACTCGGGATTCCAGAGTTGAAACACACTGGGTTAAAAGCACCATTTATTCAACAGTTAGAGTATGCAAAGTGAGAAAAAAAATTCAAGGAGTTAGAGGGTCATTGTTTGGGCAATGAAAATGCCTGACAGACAACAACAGATGCTGGAGAGGTTGTGGAGAAATAGGAACACTTTTACACGGTTGGTGGGAGTGTGAGTTAGTTCAACCATTGTGGAAGACAGTGTGGCAATTCCTCAAGTATCTAGAACTAGAAATACCATTTGACCCAGCAATCCCATTACTGGGCATATACCCAAAGGATTATAAATCATTCTACAATAAAGACACATGCACACATATGTTTATTATGGCATTATTCACAATAGCAAAGACTTGGAACCAACCCAAATGTCCATCAACGATAGACTGGATTAAGAAAATGTGGCACATATACACCATGGAATAGTATGCAGCCATAAAAAAGGATGAGTTCATGTCCTTTGCAGGGACATGGATGAAGCTGGAAACTATCATTCTCAGCAAACTATCAAAAGATCAGAAAACCAAACACCACATGTCCTCACTTATAAGTGGGAGTTGAACAATGAGAACACATGGATACAGGGAGGGGAACATCACAACGGGGCCTGTGGGGGGTGGGGAGCTAGGGGAGGGATAACATTAGGAGAAATACCTAATGTAGGTGACGGGTTGATGGGTGCAGCAAACTATCATGGCACATATATAGCTATGTAACAAAACTGTACGTTCTGCATATGTAACCCAGAACTTAAAGTATAATTTTAAAAAAAGAAAAGAAAATGCCTGATGATATGCAACACAATGATGCTCATATGAGGAGATGGGCTTTTCACCTGTAGATTGCATGAATCCTGTTAACTGCATCAGGGGAACGTATAGAGTAGCAAGTGAAAGATGGGAGGAGGAGCAGACCTGACAGTTGATTTAGAAGGGAACTTTGTGACTATTTATACAACTTGAAAAGACATAAAGGTTTGGATTTTGATGTCTCATTGAGATGCCTGGTTAAGAATGATGCTCTTATACCCAATACATTTTGTATAATAAATTTCCTGATTACCATGATTCTGTGGAAAAAGCGTTTTTTTTTTTTTTGAGACAGCGTTCTCGCTCTGTTGCTCAGGCTGGAATGCAGTGGCGCAATCTCGGTTCACTGCAAGCTCCACCTCCTGGGTTCACGCCACTCTCCTGCCTCAGCCTCCCGAGTAGCTGGGACTACAGGCACCTGCCACCACGCCCGGCTAATTTTTTTTTTTTTTTTTGTATTTTCAGTAGAGACAGGGTTTCACAGTGTTAGCCAGGATGGTCTCGATCTCCTGACCTCGTGATCCACCCACCTCGGCCTCCCAAAGTGCTGGGATTACAGGCATGAGCCACCACACCCAGCCAGAAAAAGCATTTCATAGTTATTTTCATAAATCATTGGGAACATGCAAACCCATTTATATTAAATCTAGGATTCATGAGACTACAAAGGGAAGAAAAAAATTAAAACTTTAATGTTCAACTATGCTATAGACAAAGCATATTTTACAACTTTGAGTCCTATACCTTGGGGTGTAGTTTAAATACAAGCTCAAGCCATGTGAGGAACCAGATACAGAGAGGGAGTTGGAAGCAGCAGAAAGGCGACCTAGGAACACATTTTCTCATCCTGAGGTGGCGGGTTGCCTGCCACTCACATGTGCAGCAGATGGCATAAAGGCAGTGAGGGTGGGAGTGGCTGGCACCTCGCAGACTGCCAGGCTCCATCTGGGCTCTTGATAAATATTAATTAAATGAATTGAATTCGTCGAAGAGCACTGTCCATGCTGCCAATTATATCAACCAGTCTTTGTTTTATGTACTGTCCTCATGTCAGCGTGACAGGGTAACTCTGATCGGTCTTTATAAAGACTGAGTGAGATACACAGATAAGCTAACAGAGATGAAACTCAAAGACATAGCTGTTGTATAGATCCTTCTTTATAAACATATTGTTAAAATCATATCCTAGTAATATTTTGATTCACAATTCATCTGGAAATAAAGCTATTATTTATTTATTTACTTATTTATTTATTTTGAGACAGACCTCTCGCTCTGTCGCCCAGGCTGGAGTGCAGTGGCACAATCTCGGTTCACTGCAACTTCCGCCTCCCAGGTTCAAGTGATTCTCCTGCCTCGGCCTCTCGAGTAGTGGGCACGTGCCACTACCGCCCAGCTAATTTTTTTGTATTTTTAGTAGAGATGGGGTTTCACCATATTGGCCAGACTGGTCTCGAGCTCCTGACCTCGTGATACACCCGCCTTGGCCTCCCAAAATGCTAGGATTACAGGCTTGAGCCACTGCACCCGGCCAAAGCTATAATTCTTTAGCAAAATCAATCTCTGTGTTACAGAGACTGGGAGAGCTTCAGATTTTTCTATTGCTTGGTGTGGGGATATGGCAGACAAGGAGAAAGGAAGCAGCCCAGAATTTGTTCATGAATGGCTCTTATATTTCTGAGTTTCACAATCCATGTAATCTAGAAGTTGTGAAAGTGTTACCTGAGCCCCTGAAGTGAAAACCATTGAGAGGGACCTGTGTGCCTCTCTTCAGGAAAGAGAAGGTTATAGTGCTGCAGCCTAGATGAAATGAGGGTCATCTGGAAATTAGCCATCCCCTGGAGGGATGAGGGTTGAGGAGCCATAAAGAAATCTCCATGTTCAAAAACATCCCTAAATTAAGGTGTGTTAATTAAACTTTGTATCAAGAGAGACCTAAGTTAAAGAGTCATAGGAATACATTTTCTCAGTTATATCAAGGTACCCATAATGTCTGCCAGCCTCACCAGCTTGTGAGTTCAGATGAGGATTCATTAATATTAATGCCCAAATTCCACAGGCTCACTCAAAATGGCAAGACATCACTCTGTCTCCTCGTGCAATGTCTGGAAATGCTGGCCAGTTATTTCTGGAAGTCCTCATAAGCTATCTCGTAAGTTCACAGCTTCTTTTACACCATTCTTCTTGTTAACAGGTACTGCTAGGCAATGTTCTAAGGGGAGGCACCTGGTCACTGGCAATTTCCCAGGATTTTTTTTACAAGGACATTGCTAGGCACCAGAGTTAGAGTGACGTCTCTCTCCCTCTATGTACACAGCCAATCTGCTCCAAAACTGCACAATTAGCACCTGGGCCCCTCAGAAATACAGCTACCACTAGTTTTGGTGTGTCAGACCCAGCCCTGGGCACAGATGAGGAATTCTGGCTTCTCCTCCTTACCCTTCAGGAATGAGGATAAACATTGCTCCCCCAGGATAGCATTGCGTCATTTCTGGAGTGTCTTAGGATTGCCATCTTTAGGTTCTCATAATTCTCTATACTTCTAACATTGCGCTTTGGGATTTTACTTATATTACATATCTATCTACCTTCCCTCCTGTAAATTCTTTATTTTTAATGGCAGAGCATTGTATGTCTTGTATATCACAGTATTCCCTAGAAGGGCTACCATATTGCACACATCCAGTGGGCACTATTGGCATGCAATTCTCTGACACTGAGCAGCAAAATCCCCATTCCGCAACATCATTAAAACTTGGTAAGTGCTTAAGTAATTTTGAATAAGTAATTCATGTCATGCATTTCTCCGTCTTTCCTACAACTTTACTTAAAATCCATGAATAGAACCTCTGTGTTCTATTCAATTCCAAGAACATAATACAGTACAGTATAACAAATCTCTTTTGTACTGGGGGAAACTGATGATGAAGCAAGTGCTACTCAGAAGAGGATATAATTTCCATCAACCCAGTTCAAATATCCATACAAGATAGAGACATGATAAAGATGTGAATAGTAGAGAAGATATAAAAGTTTGGGCTGAGGAAGAAACAAGGGGACGTGGACATGTATTCATTCAGTTATTCCACAAATACTCACTGAGCACCAACTCTATAGGTGCTGTTCTAGATGCAGGGAACACAGGGTTGTATGAAACAAAATAAACAGTGAGTTAGTAAATAAATGACAAAGAAGGTCAATATTTAAATAATAAGTATTATAAAAAATGCAGGAGAGCCACAGGATACAACATGATAGAGGCATGTGTTTATCTAATACAATTTGATCGGGGATTGACCTCTCTGAATAATGAAGAATGAGTATATAAAGATACTGAAAAATAATTACAGGAAAGGAAACACCATCCCAAGGCAAATCAGGTAATACTAGTTATTCTTGAGTTTATTGGATGAAACAAAGAAAATGGATGATAAAGGTATAATATAAAAATAAGACTTAGGGCTGTGTTGAATTCACTAATACACATTCATCTTACGAATATTGGCACTTTACAAACAGTAGAAAACTGAAGTTCTATGTACTCTGCTAAGCACTTTACATTTAACCATCTCAACAATCATATGAAATAAGGAATATTATTACCCCCCTCTTACACATGAGGATATTTAGGACAAAAACTTAAGAGGTTTTCCCGGCCGGGCGCAGTGGCTCACGCCTGTAATCCCAGCACTTTGGGAGGCCGAGGTGGGCAGATCACGAGGTCAGGAGATCCAGACCATCCTGGCTAACACAGTGGAACCCCGTCTCTACTAAAAATACAAAAAATTAGCCAGCGTGGTGGCGGGCACCTGTAATCCCAGCTACTCGGGAGGCTGAGGCAGGAGAATGGCGTGAACCCAGGAGGCAGAGGTTGCAGTGAGCTGAGATTGTGCCACTGCATTCCAGCCTGGGCGACAAAGCAAGACTCCACCTAAAAAGAAAAAAAAAAAAAAAAAAAGGAAGAGGCTTTCCCAAGGTCATGCAACCGACAAATGTTCTTGGATTTGAATACAGGAAGTATAGTAATAGAATCTGTGATTTAATCAGGTAAATATATACGTGGTCTCTGACATTTCCAATGTTAATGTTATATGAAGATATTTAGACATAAGGAGAACTATGATTTTTAAAATTTAAATTATTTAAATAATTACTTATTGTCAATTATTTGGTTTTCCTCATTGAAAAACATTAATAATATAATTACTTGTATTCTTTTCCTTATTGTGTGCTGTGTAACTGAAATGTTTGTGTAAGAAATAAGTATAAAAGAGTGTAATCAATGCAATTTTTACCTTTCTCACAGTTGTTGACATCATTTGGCATCACAAAGTTAGCTATGGTAGTTGATGTCAACTATGGCACCCAAATAATTGGGTCAACTTTACTTTGAGTAAATAATAATTTATGAATTTTTATCAGCTATAACTTTAATGTTAGTCAAATATGCTTGTAATACTTTCTGAGAAAAGAAACAATAGGAAATAACACTTAAGGCTTTGTACATCTATTTATATTATGTTGGGTTTAAATATGATTCACGTAAATATTTGTATTTTTATTTTGAGACGGAGTCTCGCTCTGTCGCCCAGGCTGGAGTGCAGTGGCGTGATCTCGGCTCACTGCAAGCTCCGCCTCCCGGGTTCATGCCATTCTCCTGCCTCAGCCTCCCAAGTAGCTGGGATTACAGGCGCCCGCCACCACACCCGGCTAAGTTTTTGTATTTTTAGTAGAGACGGGGTTTCACTGTGTTAGCCAGGATGGTCTGGATCTCCCGACCTCGTGATATGCCTGCCTAGGCCTCCCAAAGTGCTGGGATTACAGGCGTGAGCCACCACGCCCGGCCATATTTTTAAAGTATTAATAAGTGTAGTAGTAGATGAAACCCTAAAAGAGAATATTAAAAATAGAATCAGCATCTTGTACAGCACCTCCCCCACAAGATAATAATGTATTACAAAGAGTAATTTTTGATAGTTTTTCTGGATACTTCTTGGAATTCTTCCCTTGGGCAATGTTAACATTGAAACATCAACAGGGTTATTAATGAAAGTATCCAAAGCAGTGAACAAATAGAGTCAACTTAATTCATAGAATAGTTACATTAATTTCATTTATTAAAAGTTTGGCTATTATTTGTACACACTCATACATCACAGCTCAGTGAATGAAAATCTGGTTCCCAAACTGCTGCTTGTCCTGAAACTGCTATTTTTCCTTAAACATTTTTTAAAACTTTGCTTCCACTTTTGTTTATTTAAATTTACTAGTAACAATGGTGCCACCTATCCATCTGCTCTTGGCATGTTTTCTGCTATGTACAAATAATTCTGTCCAAGTGCTTTATCCCAACCAAAGCCATGTTAGTAGAAATGATAAATTTAACAGGTATGCATGGTAATAGTTGGAAAAACACTGACTTGGGAAGATCACAACTAGAAAAGAATTTTAATGCTAAAAGCCACTCTGAATGTTCCAGTGGGCAGTGCCAAGCAGAAGCACAGAAGATGACAGATGGTAAATATATTCTCACCAACTGACAATTGCAATTTCCTTGGCCAATGATTCTCTAAGTCATGCAGTTTCCAGGTCAAATAGACTTCATTCTACTTCTATGCTTAAAAAATATATATAATTATATTTAATGAAGAAATGTTTTGAGCTACTAGAGGGTATCTTGGTAGGCATAATGAAAATATAAACAATTATTAAATATTTTAAGACACTGAAAAATCTATTTGATCATACATATTGTGTCATACTATTCTTGAATGTTTTGAGTATTATAGAAACCTCAGCTAATGCCTTTAGTCTTCGGAAAAAATATTTTTCCACAATGGAAACTAAAACACAAAATCATTTGGTACTATCTTGCAAAATTACATGTTTTTATGGGAATTAAAATTAGATCAATGATTAAAATGTCTAAGAGGCAATTATTATATCCAGCTTTTGCTGTATGCATTATATAAATTATAAAAAAAAACAGTGAGTTTCTCTAGACTGGTATGAATTAGATTATTTAAAATAGGTATCACTCTGCTTTCTTTTACTATTGCTATGTTACAGAAATGGAATTCTTTATTCTAACATTAGTAAAGAGCATCACCTGCTCACCTAGAAAAATATGATCATTGGCTGCTGTTCAGATATGTAACACATTGAAATGCTGACAGTGCTGGCTAGTCCAACACAACAATCTTTCTTCATTTCAATTATACTATTACATGGCAGTCAACATTTTAGAGTAAACAATCCCTCTAAAAATAGGGTGTATCCAAAGGAAATTGACCTACCCTGTACAGAGGGTCGAGACCGTCATGTTGAAAGGCATCTACTCTCCCAAGACTGGCAGGATTTCCTATGCCATTTTTTTTCCTTCATTCGCTCTGAGAATAGGACTGAGAAGTTTTGCCAGATAAAAATCTCACTGAGGCTTTGATGCTAATAGTTTTCAGTTCCTAATTTACATTAAACTGTAGCTCTGCCAGCTTCAAAAGTACAACTGAGTACAAAGCCAGATGACCTTAAATAACTCCAAGAATGAGCAGTCACCTGTGCATTACTAATTTACATACTAAACTCCAGAGCTGCTTAAAAATTTTAGAAAGAAAATAATTTAATAATTTGCCTATGACATGATCCCATGTAGTACCAAAGCTGATAATGTAGATCAGAATATAGATAGGACTGCCTCAATACGTGTATCTGTGCTATCTTATTAATCCAATAATTGCCAAATTTCCACATAATTTCCATTCCACTCCAAACTATAGTATCAATAAAGGTTAATTGGATTCCATTTTCTTATTTTATCTGTTAGTTTGAGGGAGAGATATGTCACCCTGAATGTTAGTGGCTTAAAACAACAACTATTTTTTGGCTCACAATTCATCAGGCTGCAATATGGGCTGGATTTCATGAGTGGCTCTTCCAAAGAGCTGAGTTAATCTCACGCATTCATCAGCTATTACCTAGAAACTGATTGGGGCTGGCTGATCTAGAATGATCTCATTCATAGTCTCAATGGCTGGCTGGTAGCTGGCTAGTACAACAGTGGTGACTGGGTCATGGGTCTCTCTTCATCCAGCAGACTGGTCCGGGCTTACTCATGTAGTGGTTGCAGAGTTCCATGAGCAACAAGAAAAAAAACAATCCCCAAAGCATAAGCATTTCCAAGTTTCTGTTCATTTGCTATTGTCCCATTCACTAAAACAAGTCACATGGCCAACCCCAGCATTAGAGTGGGTGAGTACTCAGGATTATAGGGCAAAGACAGTGTGGATACCAGGGAGAAGAATGATTCATAGCTATATTATATGCAGTCTATCATACTTATTAACTGTGGTCAGTTTAACATATAGAAGTGAGCTGAGCTCTGAGTTTACTGCTTTAGCAATGTTTACTGGAAAACAAGGCCAAAAACTGCTATAATATTCAGCTTTCAGTAGGTCAAAAATTCAGATGAATAACTTAATCTACCAATTTAACATTGACTAATGTTGATTGAGCATTTACTGTGTACAATATATGAGCATTTTACCCACATTTTTTCATTTGACTTAGAAAAGGGAGTATGGTATTTATGAGTGTAGACTTGAAGTCAGACTGCCTGTGTTCAGTCCTAGGGGATCCAAATACTCTGAAGATATATTTACTTCCTTTTCAATATTCTATGGAAGGATCTTAACTTCTTGCTCTGAGCTGAACTTGTTTACTTCCTGGAAGCTCTTATTTCTATCAAGTAACAGATTGACCTTTTGCTGAAAAGAAGATAAATGTAAATATAACAAAAAAAATTAAACAGACACATTCTGAAAATCAATATCTGTTAAATCATGGGTCAAAGAAGCCAAAAATTTCTATTAAATGAGACATCTTGGCAAGGTACATCAAAATAGTTCTTATATTTACACATTCTATAATAGCAACTGACATTAATTTTTCACCTGACATATGAAATTGTCTTTTGTTGTCTCCATGTGTTTCCTGACCAAAATATCTTTTTCTTAGCTGCCACACATCTTAATGTGTCACCTTCTTTATTGTTCAGCTCATGTGATTTTCATTATCTATCCCTGGTATTGCAACAATACCTCTTCAATCCTGACTACCACACTGACACCAACGTCCTAAAGTGAATGGAACAAGGTGCTACACTATTCCTGCTTCTAGCTACTTATATCCGCTAATGTGGAGCGGTCCAGGGAGAAACTCTGACCAGCCTGACCACTGGGAAAACAGTGTGGAGCCTCAGAAAGTTCACCCAGATTGCAGGAGGGAGGAGCTTGGCCTCTCCTATTCCAGGGTGGGAACTGGGATTCAATCTGTGAGGCGGGAGGCCAGCCAGCAGGACTCAGGCTTTGCAGAGAGTCCCTGTTTCCCTTTTTTTCCTTTTCACCAAATAAATTCCATGTTTCTCACCCTTCAAAGTGTCTGTGAACCTAACATCTCATGGCCATGGGACAAAGACCCCGTCTTTTGCTGAACAAAGGAGGAAATCCTACAACACTAATATATGTTAGTAGTGATGATTCTCCTGGCTGAATGTCTTGAGGTAATATAAACTGTAGCACAAACATATTCTCTTTTCACAGACCGGTTTTATTTCTGTGGAGTCCAGATTGCCTGGAGAAAGAAAGGTTCTTCCAAGAGAAAACTTAACCAAAGAGGAGGATCAGAATGGTGAGCCCGATGCAGAGAGAAGGATAGCTGGAAGAGCTAAGGAAGACCCAGTGCAGATTCATGAGATATGCTTTTTTTTTTTTTTTTTTTGAGAGGGATTCTCGCTCTGTCCCCCAGGCTGAGTGCAGTGGCGTGGTATCAGCTCACTGCAAGCTCCGCCTCCCAGGTTCACGCCATTCTCCTGCTTCAGCCTCCCCAGTAGCTGGGACTACAGGTGCCCGCCACCACACCCGGCTAATTTTTTGTATTTTTAGTAGAGATGGGGTTTCACCACGTTAGCCAGGATGGTCTCAATCTTCTGACCTCGTGATCCACCCGCTTTGGCCTCCCAAAGTGCTGGGATTACAGGCGTGAGCCACCTATCCTGGCTGAGATATGCTGATTCTAACCCAACTTCCTTATCATCACATTTGAATGCTAGAAATTAGAGATTCTGCCTACAATTCGAAAGATCTGCTCAGGAATATAACCTTTTAAAATGGAAGTAACTTTGGTTTAGGATCTGTTTACCAAGTTGAGTGTTACAGAAGACTGTTGTTTTCTCACTTCATTAGAAAGGGTATTGCTCATCTACTTTAAGGTCCAAAAGTAGTTTTCCACTTTTACTCAGGAGTGGTACATTCCAGCCCCACCAGATCCTAGGTGACAAAAATGGCCTCACAAAAATGCACTGGGAACCATGAGCATCGCAATTTGGAAAACTGGACTGGCTACACAGGTCCAACTCGGCCACCAGAAAGCATTGAAAGAACAGTTTCAAAAATTTCTGTAATATTCTTCATCCTAATCAGTTTTTTATTGGACATCCTAAATAGACATAACATGGAAAACTCTGCTTTTTCTTATTTTGTAAAAGGAGAAAGAAGGTAGAAGTTGATATCCGAGATTTACCAATAACCAATGCTCTCCTGGTAATGACCTCAGAGAAACACAGTATCTGTGGATCTGCAGGAGGCCTGGGCCAATGAATCCCAGCTCCACTGCTCCCAGGAGCAAATTACAAGTCAAAGTGATTCATGGGCATCAATATTCTTGCAGGCAAACAAGGGGTTTTGGAACATGGAGATTTTGGTGTTAATGTCAACACACAACATCAGCAGTGGCTGGAATAATAAGGCTTGAGTCCATGTTGCATAGAGATAAAGAAACTGAGGCTCCTGTCACAGCTCTAAATTAAAAATCGTATTAATGAAATGATAAAATAAGTAAAAATTGATATCTTTATTATTATTCCGAATTAACAAACACTGTTGTGGATGAGTCTAAACATCAGTGTAAATTGTTACCAGATTTTTCTTCTTTCTACCTGAAAGCACATAAAATATGCTTTTTAAATGTGTACAATATGGTTTAATAAATTTGGATTCCTCCTCCATTCTTTCTCCTCCCTTTAGCTCTTGGCTGACCTAACTGGGACTGGAGCCACTCCCTTCATTTTCCAGCAGAGAACATATTTATTCTTCTAACTTACGGTAGCCTGAGGTTTCTAATCAAATCCAAGGATTTAGGATTTAGCTTGAAGGCATCACCACAACACATTACAGTACAGATAAGTTGCTTTAAGTGTCACTCTCTATAAAGTTTCTAGAATACATTAATAATTGAGGCTATTTTCTCAAAGTTCTGATTGTTTTAACAGTTTCAACTGATATTTAATCAAATGCTATTTTTAAATTAACATTATTATTTATTTTATTTTATCCATATTTCTTTTTAAATCAGTACTTGGATAAATAAAATTCCTTCCCCATGGCATAAATTCAACTCTATTTGTTGAACAAATAGAGACTCTGTTTTGGGGAATATGTAGAAATCCAGGTACTAGAGAGAAAGAATTGTGCTCTCTATTTATTTACACTAGAATGTTTTACATATAATGGAAGTTCAGTAAACTACTACCGAATTGAACTAAAGCATATTTTTATTTCTGCTTTTAAAATATTTTCAAAAACTAGACTATAGGTTTAGATAGGCTAACAATTTATGTAGATATCAATAGTCCTGACTTCAAAATAAGTGTTAAAGAAGCTCAGTGGCAGCAAAAAAATGTGAGATGATTTCAGAATACCCTTCCACCTGTCAGACAGGATAAGACACATGCTAAATATGGAGAAACAGCCAGTGATTTGTTACTCTGGTGATGGATCCATGGATATTTGAAAAAGTATAAACCTGGGGCCAGATGAAAATAAAAAAAAAAAGCATAGATAGCACCAAAATTTTGCTTAGCCATGTCTAAAAGATGTAAAAAATGAAGAATATTTTAATATTGGTGGAATTGGAGGAAGGATTCAAAAGCAGATAGGTAAATGGTACCAGGAGATTAGAAGACTGGGATGCAAAAGTGGATAATTCAGCCATTTAGAGAAGATTACAAGGACATGAAGCTCAGTCACTGTAGGAATCTCTAAATTGGGTTGATATTGTGAAAAGAGCATGAGCATTAGAATTAGACAGACCTGGAATTTAATCTTGTCTGTGGCTTTTAGCACATTAAATAATGTGTTTAAGCCTCAGTTTATTTCAAAAGTTGGAACAATGACATTAAATATGTTTGAAATATCTAGGACAGTACCTTTCACATTGTAGAGGCTCAGTAAATACTAATATGTATATTCTTATGAATCCATAATGAGTAGATGTATAAGCTGTAACACCGTTCCATGGAGAATCAAGGTCAAAGGAAAGTATCCTCTAGGACAGATAGATTGTGATATGGTATACCAAGATGACCTTGAGTTCTGAGGAACCAGGACCAAGACTATTAACTGCTGAGACAGACAGCAGTTATCTACTTGGAAAGTTTGGTACAGTATATGAATGTCCTTATTTTCCCAGTTAAACAGATTTTTTTTTAGATGGAGTCTTGCTCTGTCGCCCAGGCTAGAATGCAGCGGTGTTACCTCGGCTCACTGAAAGCTCCGCCTCTCTTATTATTATTATTATATTATTATTATATTACCCAAATAAATATGTAATTGCAAACTGAGATTTAAAGATCTATAATTGAAATTAATATACTTTTTAAAAGACTATGAGGGAGACTCAATTGAAACTGGAAAGTCAAGGAAGTTCATTCTGAGGAAGCGAATTTAGACTGATATCGAAAGGACAAAAAGGCAAAGAATCTCAGAAAGTAGACTATTCCGGTAGAGGACTCACATTTAAGGAGTCTTTGCAGTAGGAAATGGATGGAGGAGCAGTGTGGCTGGCTGGCACATAATGACCATGGGTCAAGTAGAGACATGAATTTGGAAGGGTCATGTTAGTCAGGAAATGTCTGGGTTTTACTTTAAATGCAATGGGAAGCTATTAAAAGCTTTAAAGATGAAAGACCTATTAAAATTCCAACATTAAGTAATAGACTGGCAACTTAACAATGTTGAAAGGTTGACTGGAGGAAGAAATCGTGAATTTGAGGCTTCTAGGCTTAAGTAGTCCAGACAAGCAATGAGGGTGGCTTGGATGAGGGTATTGACAAAAAATGGATGGTAGTGGTCAGATTTCAGGTGCCCTTGGGAAAGTTAGATTATTTGAGCTTCACTTTTATCCACATTAAATGAGTGTAACAGTAGATATTTAATTGAGATATTATTGATAAAGGAGATAATTGTAACCTTAGTTTTTTGTTGTTGTTTGTTTGTTTTTTGAGACGGAGTCTTGTTCTGTCGCCCAGGCTAGAGTGCAGTGGCAAGATCTTGGCTCACTGCAACCTCCACCTCCCAGGTACAAGCAATTCTCCTGCCTCAGCCTCCCCAGTAGCTGTGATTACAGGCGCACACCACTATGCCCAGCTAATTTTTGTATTTTTAGTACAGATGGAGTTTCATCATGTTGGTCAGGCAGGTCTCAAACTCCTGACCTCAGGTGATCCACCCGCCTCAGCCTCCCAAAATGCTGGGATTACAGGCCTGAGCCACCGTGCCCGGCCTAACATTAGTTTTAATAAGAAATCTGTTGGCCGGGCGTGGTGGCTCCTGCCTGTAATCCCAGCACTTTGGGAGGCCAAGGTGAGCTGACCACAAGGTCAGAAGATGGAGACCATCCTGGTTAACACAGTGAAACCCCGTCTCTACTAAAAATACAAAAAATTAGCTGGGCGTGGTGGTGGGCGCCTGTAGTCCCAGCTACTTGGGAGGCTGAGGCAGGAGAATGGCATGAACCTGGGAGGCGGAGCTTGCAGTGAACCCAGATCACACCACTGCACTCCAGCCTGAGTGACAGAGAGAGATTCCGTCTCCAAAAAAAAAAAAAAAAAAAAAAAGAATTTATCACAATTTACTTGTCAATGTTACCTTTGACATACATTCAGATATTTTTCCTGGTTTGGGGCTCTTTTAAATAATGCTTCTATGAACGCTCTTGAACAAGTTGTGTGATGCATATATGTGTGCAGTTCCCTTGGGTGTATGTCTAGGAATGGAATTGTTGGGTGTGTGTATTTGTAGCGTTAGCAAATATTGCCAAACAGTTTTTCAGCCTAATTTTCATCTTTTTACATTCCTATTGGCAGTGTATAAAAAGTATTATAGTTTAAATCTGCACCAACTTATCATGGCCTTTTTCAAATTTAGCCATTCTTTTAGGTGCTTAATGATGATACATGGTAGTTTAAGTCTGAATTATTTGATGAGTAATGATGTTAAAAATCACTTTTTAAATATTTTAAATGAACATTTGGATATCATCTTTTGTCATGTACCTAATCAATCATTTATTCTTTTTTCCTTTAAACTAGAGATTCTGTTTGTTTTTTTTCTCATTGGTTTGTGGGAGTTTTTTGTGTATGCATTATGAATACAAGCCTTTGGCAGATTGATATATTGCCACATCTTCAACTCTGAGGCTTTTTCAGTTTTGGTGATATCTTTTGACGAACTGAAATATTTAATTTTAGTGAGGTTGAATTTATTAATTTTTTGTTAATTTGTAGTGCTTTTAGGTCCTGCTTAAGAAATGTTTGCTTACTTCAAATAAGAAAGAAAGCTACTCTCCCATCTTAATAAAGTTTTAAAAACGTATTGTTTACCTTTTACATTTAGGTCTGCAAACATTTGAAATTGACTTTTGTGTATGGTGTATGCTGGAGATAAAGTTTATTTCATTTTTCCATGTGAATATCCAACTGAATCAATGCCATGCATTGAAAAGACTACTTTTCTCCATTGTATTGCAGTGGCACTTTTTGTAAGACAGCTGACTCTGTAAGTGAAAGTCTGTTGCTGAACTCTATTCTGGCCTATTTGTCTTGCTTGCACCAATAATAGAATGTTTAAAATAAGTCTAGATATCCAATGATATATACCAGTGAATATTACTCTACTTTGAGAATAGATTGACTATTCTTGAATTCTGATATGGTTTTTTTTTTTTTTTTTTGAGATGGAGTCTCGCACTCTGACCCAGGCTGGAGTACAGTGGTGCCATCTTGGCTCACTGCAAGCTCCACCTCCTGGGTTCACACCATTCTCCAGCCTCAGCCTCCTGAGTAGCTGGGACTACAGGCACCTGCCACCACGCCTGGCTAATTTTTTGTATTTTTAGTAGAGATGGGGTTTCACCATGTTAGCCAGGATGGTCTCAATCTCCTGACCTTATGATCCGCCTGCCTCGGCCTCCCAAAGTGCTAGGATAACAGGCGTGAGCCACTGTGCCCGACGGAATTCTGATACAAGTTTTAAAAACATTTTTCCAACTTCTAAACACACAAACATGAAAAATAATCTTCTGGGATTTTGTTGAAGACTAGTTTTTTTCTATCCATCAATTTTTGAAGAATAAATATTTTGACAATATGTACTTTGGCTTGTTTAGGCCTTCTTTAATTTGTCAGTGACATTTTGTAGTTTCTGTTTAGATGCTTGTGTATTTAGCATTAAATTTATTCTAAGTTATTTGATACTTGATTCTTTCATGAATGGTATCTTTCTTAAATTTCATTATCTAACAAATTGTAAATGTATACAAAATGATTTTTGTATACAGATCATGTGAATCTATGGTCTATAATATGTGTTCTATTTTTAGAATCTGGATTATTTAGGTTTTCTGTATTCTACTATCTGTGAATAAAGGTAGTTTTAGTCTTTTATCACCATTTATATATTTTATTTCTTTTTCTTGCCTTATTACACTGGCTAGGACTTCTTGTACAACGTTGAATAGACATGATACTGGGTATTTTATTTCTGACCTTAAGAGTAAAGCTTTCAACACACCACTAATGTGTATAATGTTTGCTGTTGGTCTTTGTAGATATTTTAGAAGGTAAAAAAAAGTTCTATTCTAGTCATTGTTTTCTTAGTTTTATTATTATTGATAGTGTTGAATTTTATCAAAAGAAAATTTTCATCTTTTGCCATTATCTTATCATTTTCTCCCTCTTTATTAATGTGGTGAAATTATCTTGCTTGATATATATAATTTTAATTTCTGCATTATATATAGTTGAATTAAGGCTATGGATACAATCTTTGGATCTTTAGCATAACTGCTTTTGCCAAGTTTGGAAAATTTTTAGACATTAGCTTTTCAGTACTGTTTTAGCCTTATGCTCTCTCTCCTGTTTCTGGGACTCTACACATATACTATATATTTTTTTCTTTTCATAACATCCCATACTTTCCTTAGGTTCTTTTCTGTCCCTTCCTTTTTGTTTGTTTGTTTGTTTTGAGACGGGATCTCACTCTGTCACCCAGGCTGGAGTGCAGTGGCGCAGTCTCAGCTCACTGCAACCTCCGCCTCCTGGGTTTACGCCATTCTGCTGTCTCAGCCTCCCAAGTAGCTAGGACTAAAGGTGCCCGCCACCACACCTTGCTAATTTTTTGTATTTTTAGTAGAGACAGGGTTTCACCGTGTTAGCCAGAATGGTCTCGATCTCCTGACCTTGTGATCTACCTGCCTCAGCCTCCCAAAGTGCTGGGATTACAGGCATGAGCCACCGTGCCCAGCCTCTACTTTTCTTCTTAATTTTTTTAGACTCTTTCTCTGTGTATAGATTTAAAAAATTAAAGAGAAGTATTGCTAACTGTAAGCCCATTTTTTCCTTCTGTCTCTCTTGGATTTTGCCTTTTAAGTTCTAGATACCTCACACTAATTTCTGTCTCTTGATCCTACCATATTTTCCCTACATACCTCATGTGTTTACCAAAGCTATTTTGTTTCTCAGCTTTTTGTGTTTTTGCTTTGGCTTCTGCCTTGTTTCTCAATCTCTCTCTCCAGCAAATGATCTAAATATGAAAGCTGCTTACAGAATGTCAGGTAACCCTTTTGTGATTGACCTCTTTGAGGGATCTTGACCCCTCAAGTCCTGATAGCCTCAGCGACTCTTCCAGTGACTTCAAACGAAGCCTCTCCCTCTTTGTAATTATATCTGTTTTTTTCTAGTTGTTCTCAGTGGGAGTGTTAGTCAGCTACTCTATTGCAGCCACCTCAGAAATTCCCTGTAAATTTGTTTTGATGACTCAAGAGTTTCATGTTGTTTTGAGTGTCAGAATCTGAGTGATTTAACAAGTATTGCATAAGCTTTAATAAAAGCCATAAAAACATGAAAAATGTTTGCTATAATATGTGTGAAATTCTTTAAATAGGCAACCCAAAGGCACTATGCCAGTGGAAGATTTCTTATTTCTGAAAGAATTGGAATGGAAAGGAATCCCAGTTTTTCTGAATCTGAGAACAGATTATATTAGAATATAAAATGGCAAAAACATATAAATATATAGTCACTTAGTATTTAGAGTGGAAAGAATATACTGATCACAGACTACAGGAATTTCCTTTGCAATCCATTGGAGACCTGAAATATTATTTCTCACTAGTTTTCCAGTTAGGGGAGAGGGAAGAAATAGGGTTGTGCTGTGGTCAGATGAGTAGTGAAAGCTTCAATGGCAGCAAGAGAATTCCAGAAGTTGAAAAGTTGCAGATCCATGGGGCTCAGGAACTGTTACCATTGGACAGACTTTTCACTTTTATTCTGCTAAGGGACATTAATAGGCAGTTGGATTTTGCCAAAAAAGAATTAAGATAGTGAATAAGAACTTATTGAAATGATTTTAAAACCCTGTAAATCATTTTCAGGTGAGATTATATTTTAGATGTGAATTAAAACATATCAAACCTATGTTTGATCTTTATTTTATGTATTAATTTTTCAGGACTAGGTCTAGTGTAAAACTAAATATAAACCAAATAACTAAATCAAATATAGAGATTAATATTCAGATACTTTAGATGATAAGAGGGGAACTTATCTATGCTTGTATCTCATGCATTAGGTCTGCATTTTCCTAAAATTATTGTATCCAAATTTTTTAATTGTGTCAAAAACATTACGTATTTACAAATAGGAACATTTTATTTTGAAATTGTGGAGTAAAATTTTTAAAACTAAAATATGTCTAGTATATAAAATTTCATATCGCTATATTTTATTATGAAGGATACATGTATTCATGCTCTAAAGGAGGAATTAGTCACAAATTTTTACATATTTTAGAGACATTAAAAGCTTTGGTATCATTATAGACATTCTAAATAAATCTCAAAAGCACTAATCTACAAAGAGTAACAATTCAGAGAGTCAGGGAGAGAGGATTATAGTTTCAGATGTAACAAGTTATTCACCATTATGGTTTGCATATTGACGGCTGTGGAAACTGTTGACTCATTAGTGACTTACACACTCAAGACAGAGTAAAATTTTGACTCAGCAATTCCATTTCTTATTCAACTGCGTTTATAACTTGACATTATTTAATCAAATAATTATTTTACAGAGGTTATGAACTCTCTGTCTTCCATTAAAGTAAATGTTTTATATCAACTTCTATATATTTATTTATTCTGAACATTATAATATGCCAAACAGTAATTTATTGCTAATATTTTATGGTTTTACCCCCTATGGATATAGAGTTGGGATGGAAATAATCTACCTGAGAATTAGAAAACCCCAAATCAAATCTTTGCTGTCCCACTACAGCATGGGTTAGGTTAGACAAGTCATTTTCTATCACCAGAAATAGAGATTCCACATGTATATTTATTAAATGTTATTTAATTATGTGATTATCTCAATTAACATAACTTCTAAGAATGAGCACAAGGATATTTACATTGCAACATATAATTATACAGCAATTATTATTTTTCAGTTTCGTTCATTGCAAATGCCTGGAAGCAATGGCAACCCAATAGGAATAGACACTACTTATCTATATTATCACCTTAAAATACCATTCCTCATTAAAAGGAATTATAGCTTTTGCAAAGAATACTGGACTTCAGCCATGTGGCAGAAAATATATAAATCAACCTGGAGAATTTCAGTGAGTCAATAATCAAGCATCTGTCAAACTCTGTTATTTTGTGTAAAAGGACACAGAAACCAACATAAATAGCTCACATTTTTCAAATATAGGAGAATAATTTGAACATAAGAAAGAATGATTAAGGGAATTATATAAAACATTAAAATAGGGTTCTGAGTTTATTATGTGATGAGAGATTGAAAGAGGTGGAGATGAGAGAGAGAACAAGGTGGGGCTGGGGGTGCAGGAATTGTAAAGGAATCAAGAAATTCATTGAACAACACCACTGGAGAAATTTGGCACCAACACCTGTTCCTTAAATTAGCAACTAAAATGAAATAATCAAGAATTTAGTCTGAATTTTCCTTATGATTGATAATTCATACTGTCCAAAGAGCTTTGGATGATAAGGGAGGGAAAGTTATTCTTTATGATAATATTTGATCTAATAATAACAAAGTATAATTAAATTTTTAAAAATTGTCATTTTAGGCTGGGCTTGGTGGCTCACACCTGTAATCCCAGCACTTTGGGAGGCTGAGGCAGGTGGATCACCTGAGGTTGGGAGTTTGAAACCAGCCTGACCAACATGGAAAAACCCCGTCTCTACTAAAAAATACAAAATTATCTGGGCATGGTCGTGCATGCCTGTAATCCCAGCTACTCAGGAGGCTGAGGCAGGAGAATCACTTGAACTCCCAGGAGGAGTTTGCAGTGAGCCAAGATTGCACCATTGCACTCCAGCCTGGGCAACAAGAGTTAAACTCCGTCTCCAAAAAAAAAAAAATGTCATGTACAGCTCCAGGTAAAATAAGTGATTTAGGAACTAACTCTCAATTGAAAACAAAGATGTAGAAAATTGACGGAAATGTTCACAATGAAGGGAATATGGTCCATGTTGGTTAGCATGACTAAGATGGTGAAAAAACACTGTATGGTTCCTCATGTGATGTTATATGAAACACAGAATAACTATGTTAGTCTTCTACTCCTATTACAAAATACTAGAAACTGGGTAATTTATAAACAATAGAAATTTATTTCTCATAGTTATGGAGGCTGAGAAGCCCAAGATCAAGTTGTTGGTAAGTTCAGTGTCTAGCGAGAGCTTAGCCTCTGCTTCCAAGATGGCACCTTGAACACTGTGTCCTCCAATGAAGATGGAAGGGCCAGGTAGCTCTCTGATGCCACTTGTTCCATCATCAACTCAAAAGTCTGAAGAGCAGTCTTACCTGAATATCATCTAAATTAGAAATGGGTGACACTCAAGGTATGATTCATTCTGTGACAAATTTCCCTCCAGCTGTGAGCCTGTGAAACCTAACAAGTTATGTGTTTCCAAAATACAGTAATAGGACAGGCATAGGATAGATATTCCCATTTCAAAAGGGACAAATAGAAAAGAAGAAAGGGGTAACAGGTCCCAAGTAAAACAAAATTTGATAAACTGACCATTGGTAAAAATTAAAAGCATTTGATGTTTAAAAGACATCCTTGCAAAAATGAAATCACGTGCACAGAATGAGAGAAAATAATTTATCCATTTATTTTTTCTGAGAAAGGGTCTCCCTTTGTCCCTCAGGCTGGAGTGCAGTGATGCCATCACAGCTCACTGTAGCCTCAACCTCTTGGCCTCAAGTGATCCTCCTACCGTAGCCCCCGAGCTGGGACTACAGGCATGCACCATCATGTCCAGCCGCATTTTTATTTTTCATCGAGAAGCAGGGGTCTCACTGTGTTGCCCTGGCTAGTCTCAAATTCCTGGGCTTAAGTGATCCTCCCACTTTGGCCTCCCAAAGTACTGGGATTACAGGTGTAAGCCACTGCACACAGCCAAAAAGATATTTTTAAGTAGTTATGATAAAGGTACAGAATTTGTGGGGGTGGGGCAGGATACACACACACACACACACACACACACACACACAAAGAAAAATACCAAAATCAAAAACACCTCTTCCAACCCAATACAGTATCAAGAAAGCAGACAACTCAATTAAAATATGGGCAAAAGATTTGAACGGACATTTAGCCAAAGAAAATATGAATTGTCAGCAAGCAAAGGAAAAGATGCTCAACTTCATTAATCACTAAGGAAATGCAAATCAAAAACATGGTGAAATACTTCTACACACCCACTAGAATGGCTAAAACTAAATACATTGACAAAACAATGTATTGATGAGGCCTTGGATCAACTGGAACTCTTGTACATTTCTTGTGGGAATATAAACAAATACAATCTTTTTGAAAAGCAATTTGAAAGTTTTTTTGTTTTGTTTTGTTTTGAGATGGAGTTTTGCTCTTATTGCCCAGGCTAGAGTGCAGTGGTGCAATCTCGGCTCACTGCAACCTCCACCTTCCAGTTTCAAGTGATTCTCCTGCCTCAGCCTCCTAAATTGCTGGGATTACAGGTGCCCGCCACCATGCCCAGTTAATTTTTTTTGTATTTTTAGTAGAGACAGGGTTTCACTCCTGTCTCATGGTCAGCCTGACCATGTTGGTCAGGCTGGTCTAGAACTGCTGACCTCGTGATCCACCCGCCTTGGCCTCCCAAAGTGCTGGGACCACCGGTGTGAGCCACCGTGCCCGGCCTGCAATTTGGTAGTTTTTTTTTTTATAAAAATAAAGCAAATTAGAAGCAAATGTTTTTTAAAAACCAAATCATTGTTATTAAATTATTGATAAGTAATAGATCATTATTCCTCTGAGCTCTTGTGGGAAATTCACACTTTTTGGTATTCAGAATTACAATAAATCCAGAAATAGAAATGGAGAGTTATTTCTGTGATTAGGATTTTTAACACTTCATGGTGTGGCTATTTTTTTGGAAAGGATCTTTTAGAAAGATAATCACAACAAAATGTATAAAATAGATCAAGTTATTTTAAATTTTGTTCACTAACTTTTTTTTTTTTTTTTTTTTGAGACAGAGTCTTGCTCTGCCACCCAGGCTGGAGTGCAGTGGCACGATCTCGGCTCACTGCAACCTCTGAGACCTCAGCTCACTGCAACCTCCACCTCTAGGGTTCAAGCGATTCTCCTGTCTCAGCCTCTCGAGTAGCTGGGATTACAGGCACCTGCCACCACGCCCAGCTAATTTTTGTGTGTGTGTTTTTGTTTTTGTTTTGTTTTGTTTTGTTTTGAGACGGAGTCTTGCTCTGTTGCCCAGGCTGGAGTGCAGTGGCGTGATCTTGGCTCACTGCAAGCTCCGCCTCCCGGGTTCAGGCCATTCTCCTGCCTCAGCCTCCTGAGTAGCTGGGACTACAGGCACCTGCCACCATGCCCAGCTAATTTTTTTTTGTATTTTTAGTAGAGACGGGGTTTCACCATGTTAGCCAGGATGGTCTTGATCTCCTGACCTTATGATCCACCCGCCTCACCTCCCAAAGTGCTGGGATTACAGGCGTGAGCCACCGCGCCCGGCCACTCAAAACTATTTCTTTTAAATCTACGTTTAGAAATTGAATTTCACTTTTCTCATGACATTGGTGAGCATCAACATGTACAGGGTTTTCCCAGTGAGGTTTCTGATTTCTTTGGTATATGTCTCAGAACCAAATAAAATAAACTCCCTATTTTGCTCTTATATGTTGTGAGGACTTGGAAAGACAGAGAAAATAAGTACAATATATTATTCAGTAACTTCCAGTAATAGGTAACAAAACTCATACTCAAAATATTGTGTATTTAAATAAATCGCCACTGACTACAATAATAATTTATATCCTAAATTAATGAGTTCTGTTTGTGTAGGATTCCAAATGCTACTACTTTTATTTATTTATTTATTTGAGACAGAGTTTCACTCTTGTTGTCCAGGCTGGAGTGCAATGAGGCAATCTTGGCTCACCACAACCTCTGCCTCCCAGGTTCGAGCAATTCTCCTGCCTCAGCCTCCCTAGTAGCTCATGCACCACCACGCCCGGCTAATTTTGTATTTTTAGTAGAGATGGGGTTTCTCCATATTGGTCAGGCTGGTCTCAAACTCCCGACCTCAGGTGATCCGCCCGCCTCAGCCTCCCAAAGTGCTGGGATTACAGGCGCGAGCCACTGTGCCTGGCCCCAGAATGCTACTAGTTTTAAGTGATGCCAAAATATTTGCATAAAAGAAAAAACTCAATCATCCATTTATTTTCAAATATTCAGATGTTATTCACATCAAACATCCAGATGTGTTATGAAATTTATTTTTTCTTTGATTTATACTAGATAGCTATGTCTGAATGCAACTAATTAGATCCATATACTTCTAATTTAATAAATAAAATGTAAAAAGATTCGTATGTGGAATAGAAGAATGCATTTGAAAGCTTGCAGTAATGCAGATACAGGATCTATTAATACAATCACCATTTTAGAGCTCATTTTGTAAATATAATTTCAATCATATGGCTTCAATCAATTAAAATACTTTGACTTGGATCCTATTAATGTCTATTTGAAGATATAAAATAATAGCTATGCATTGTTCTAACGTAATCCTCAATTCATGAACATGTGTTACACACATTACATCCTTATTAATGGTAACATAGATCAAAAAGGTTGTATTTATAAATTAAAACACATTTTAGTTCATTCAAAGTATATTTTGCTTATACTGACATGACTAAAAACTACAGCATGTATGCAAAAGCATATGTAATCAAATTCACAGATTCTTCGTGCTCATTCATGTTATTCTCTTTAGCACTCTGTCTGTTGAAAATGAAATAACTGGCCAGGCATGGTGGCTCATGCTTGTAATCCCAGCAGTCTGGGAGGCCAAGATGGGCGGATCACGAGCTCAGGAGATCAAGACCATCCTGGTTAACATAGTGAAACCCTGTCTCTACTAAAAATACAAAAAATTAGCCAGGTGTTGTGGCATGCTCCTGTGGTCCCAGCTACTTGGGAGGCTGAGGCAGGAGAATCGCTTGAACGCAAGAGGCGGAGGTTGCAGTGAGTGGAGATCGTGCCACTGCACTCCAGCCTGGATGACACAGCAAGACTCTGACTCAAAAAGAAAAAAAAAAAAGAAATAACTAAATATTTAAGTGATCAAAATGCAAACAAAGATCTAACTAGGAACTAAAATAATTTCCAGCCCAATATTTTAACCTTTAGCTTACCTTCTTAAGATTTGGACACACCTAACTATGTGTCCTTCTAGATTAGCAAAATATGGAATATAAGTGTTCTTGATAGATGGATGCAGGATATATCTACCTAACATTAGTAAAAACAGATTTGAAAGAGAAACTTTTACATTTGCCATAAGATTACAGAAATGATAAAACAATGGCTTTTAATTTACAGTGTCTGAGCTTTAAAAGATGAAGGATTAAACTTTAGGCATAATTTTTATCAAATCAGCTTTTTCTGTCCAAACCATCTTTATGCTCTATTTGGAATTAAAGAATGGGCCAAATATATTTTTTTCTTGGAAGTAACATGATAATTCTCCAAAGAATCTGGTCACTATCTAAAAGCTTGCCTGGCTTTTATTTATTAAAATATTTTGTACTTGCAATTAACCTGCTCATTCTCAAATATAGACCTTCTCCATCACCAAACCCTTTAACACCAGAGCTCCAGGCAGATTGATAATGAACATTACACTGCTTCACTGCTTTCCTTTTGTATTTTTCTTAATATGGTTGAACTTAAATTATATAACAAGTGAATGTTCAATTTTCATAGTTTTCAATGTCTGGTTATATGTTCTTCAGCATTATAAATTAAGTAAACCAGAGAAATAAAGACAGAAGTACTCAAATGAGTGAATTCAAATTTCTATTAATATCTGATAAAATGTTTATTGGAAAATAGTGTTAAAATCTATAGGTAAATTAAGATTTGCATATCTTTCATTGTATTCATGATTACTATTAATTATGCAGACAAGGGTGGCTTTTGGTAGTGACAAGCTAATTGCAGTTCTTGGAACCAGGTAGATTATTTGGCTCCATTCAGAAATTATATGACGTGTTAATGATTGTCTTCACTGATTTTTCTTCTTAAATGCCCACAGGTAACCAACCAAATAAAATAATTCCAGAGAATAGTACCAACAGGTAGGATAATTTATTCATTTATTAATTCAACTATTTACTGATTACCTACTGTGTGCAAAGCATAGTTCTAGAAATGTAGAAATAAACTAAAACAAACAACAAACTATTTCTTGACTCCTATGACCTAGTGGTGAGGGATAGACAATAGACAGAATAACATTATACTGTATTAGAAAATTCATATTAATATGAAGAATAGAAGGTATGCAAGGTGATAGGAAATATTGAGGCATGTTGCAGTATTATATAAGGTAGCAAGAAGGCCTCTCTATGGATGACATTTCAGGAAACATTTGAAGTAAATTTTCGCATGATTCATTTAGGTATCTAGTCTGGGAGCAGCATCGTGGACAGAGTGGGACAGGATTCAGATACAGGGGCTCTGAGTGGGGAGCTCCTGTCATGTATGAGAGACATGATGGAGTCCTACGTGGCAAGATCAGAGGGAGAAAGAAGAGAGCAACAGAGATGTGGTCAGAAAGGCAATGGTTGGGGGCAGATTAAATAAAGTCCAGATTACTTAATGGTTTGAATTTTTTTTTTTTTTTTTTTGAGACGGAGTCTTGCTGTGTTGCCCAGGCTGGAGTGCAGTGGTGCGATCTCGGCTCACTGCAAGCTCCGCCTCCTAGGTTCATGCCATTCTCCTGCCTCAGCCTCCCAAGTGGCTGGGACTACAGGCGCCCACCACCACGCCCGGCGAATTTTTTGTATTTTTAGTAGAGATGGGGTTTCACCATGTTAGCCAGGATGGTCTCGATCTCCTGACCTCATGATCCGCCCGCCTCGGTCTCCCAAAGTGCTGGGATTACAAGCGTGAGCCACCACGCCCGGCTAATGGTTTTCAAAAGTTCTCTATGAAGTTTATTCATAGTAAAGTTAGTGATTTTAAAACTGAATTATATTCAATAAGAATTAATGCTTCAGCATGAATTTGGAAAATGAGTATTACTTATATTCTTTTCAGGTTAATGGAAATTCCAGGCAAGGGAATACTATAGTGCGCTGTCCCTGTCCTTGCCTTATGAAAAGGTATATTGATGGCTGGGCGCGGTGGCCTCACGCCTGTAATCCCAGCACTTTGGGAGGCCAGGCGGGCAGATCACCTGAGGTAAGGAATTCGAGACCAGCCTGGCTAACATGGTGAAACCCCATCTCTACTAAAAAAAACAAAATTAGTTTGGCATGGTGGCACACGCCTGTAATCCCAGCTACTTGGGAGGCTGAGGCAGGAGAAACGCCTGAACCCGGGAGGCAGAGGCTGCAGTGAGCCGAGACCACGCCATTGCACTCCAGCCTGGGCAACGGAGTGAGACTACATTTCAAAAAAAAAAAAAAAAAAAGGAAAAGTATATTGGCAATTTGGGTGAAAGCATGGAAATAATATTTATCATATCTCAAGTTTAAATAAAGCAAGAAATGGCTAATATAAAACACTAAGCTCAAATAACTAGAACCAAACTTAGAAAAATAAATACAACTGTATTTCATTTCAAAATAACAAATTACATAATTTAGGAAATTTCTATTGATAAGAAATCCAGTAACATTAGAAAAATAACATTCAGATCATGAGACGTAACTGTCTCTCGTACTTCTCTTGTCGCATCATCGGGTGTATTGTGTTTTATTCTTGGAAACACATTTTAAGAGGACACTAATAAACTGCATTATGCCAAGTAGAAGATACAATGGAAATTCAGGATGATAAGGGATCAGGAAACAATTTTATAAATTATGCAACATATTAAATATAACTCCAAGATTTTACCCTTGTACTCCAACCCCTACTGATAGTCTATTGTCAACACTGCAGCAGAGCTCATCTCTTAAAAATATGTCACAAAATGTCTCTTCTCCTCTTAAAACTCTACAGTAGCTCCACAAAGTCCTTACAAGTGTCTGCAAAGCTGCATATAACCCTTCCTCCATCACCCCTCTTAGCTTGTTGGCTTCTACAATCTTCCTGTTTGCTCACTCTGCTCGGGTCACTGTGGCTGCTTTGCCGCTTTGCGTAAGGTTGTTCTTTCCACCTGGAACACTCTTCCCCAGTCACACGGCTAATCTCCCTCATTCTTTCAAGCCCTTGTTCGAATATCACTCCAAAGAAACCTACTCAGGGCACTCTATGAAACTTGCAAGCCATCCTTTTTCCTGAATCCCCATTCCTTCACCTGGCATTCGTTTCCACAGGACTTACCGATATTTAAAAATTATTTAAATATTTCACTTATTGACTATGGTTGTTGTTATGTTTGATTTGTTTGTTTTCAGCTATCTCTCTTTGCTAAAATGAAAGCTCCATAGGCGCAAGGGTCCTCTTTTTGTTCATGGATCTGTCCTGAATTCTCAAAATGAAATAGGAAATGTAGTAAGATGTCAATAAATACTTTTAAAGTGTCGTTCTTTCAACAAAAAAAAGACAAAGCCTTATGATGTTAGAAGTCCCTTAATAAAAACTGTAGTAGATTTAAACTTTCACTGTATAGTATAGTATAGACCAATAAAGCAATAACAATACAATGATGAAAATGTTTGCCACAGTATCCAGGTTAGTAGCCACTAGTCACATACGGTTCTTGAGCACTTGAAATGTAGCTGGTATGGCTGAAGAACTGAATTGTTTATTTAAGTTTAATTAAAATTTACATTTATATAGCCACATAGGCTAGTGGTAACCTCATAGGAAAATGTAGCTCTAGAAAGCATAAACTAAAGCCACTGAGTAAAGGTTAATGTGAAATCGTTTTGTTGAATTAAGGAAGAACATCCCAATCAGAGTTATCCAAAAATGGAATGGGCTGTCTCACAAATAGAATGAGCTCTACCTCAACAAAGTAGTTTCAACAGTGGCTAGAGGGTTACAGAATTGTTACTGCAGAGATATATGCCCAGGTAGGTTTTTTTGTTTGTTTTTGTTTTTTTGTTTTGTTTTATGAGACGGAGTCTTGCTCAGTTGCCCAGGCTGGAGTGCAGTGGCCTGATCTTGGCTCACTGCAAGCTCCGCCTCCTGGGTTCACACCATTCTCCTGCCTCAGCTTCCCAAGTGGCTGGGACTACAGGCACCTGCCACCATGCCCGGCTAATTTTTTTTTTGTATTTTTAGTAGAGACGGGGTTTCACCATGTTAGCCAGGATGGTCTCGATCTCCTGATCTCGTGATCCACTCGCCTTGGCCTCCCAAAGTGCTGGGATTACAGACGTGAGCCACCGTGCCTCGCCATGCCCAGGTAGGTTTGATGCACTACTAAGTTAATGTAATTTCCAAATTCAGTGCCCTATTATGCTTTTTAGAGCTGAAATCCATGTCTACTGAAATGTGTTTAGTAATCCTATAATGGAAGAAAATACAGTATTCCAAAAGTAATAAGTAGTATACTTATTTATACTTATCACTTTAAACAATTTTTTCTTTAAATTCTGTTAGTGAAGGGCAATGGAGAATATATATACACACACACACACACACACACACACACACACATATAAAAGATAACAGAACAAAACAGTTGTTTTGTCATCACTTTTGGATATGAAGCCAGGCTCTTTAATGTAATATAAGGAGTGTGGACTTTAGAGTCATAGCGAGAGTCATGGAGGCTCCAGATACTCTGAGGAATTACCATTCTCTGATGGTTGAAGACTACTACATGTCCATCAGTGTCGGTCTTCTTTACTTTCATAGTAATAGAATTGTGTCTAGCTATGGCTGCCCACCCAGGAAAAACATGTCCCTAAGTCTCTGCAGTAGTCGTTGATATGGGACTAAGCTCTTGCCACTGCAGTACAAAACAGAAGTAATGTGTGCAACTTCTGCTTTGCTAATTTAAGAGGGAATCTTTAGCTCTAGCCATCTGTTCTTTGTCTCGTTCCACTGGCTAAAATGGCAATAATCAAAGAGACCTTGAATTTTTTTAACAATGTGAATATATTATTTGTTCAATAAGTTAAAAACACATCTATTACATTTTAATCTATATCGGGACTAGTTAATAACATAGAAAACATAAGGTGTTTCCCTCAAAGCAAAAAAAGTGTTTTAAGTATCTGATTTTCTCAAAATCAAAACTGTTGTGATTTCTTTCTCAACAATCTAATGTTAGATTTGCAATACAAAGTTTGGCAATAGTCCTGATACAGTGATGAACATGACAGGACAAACTTTATGATTGCTACTATGACTGGTGACTTTACTTTTTAATTTGAAAAGCTTCATATGCAAAAGGAAAAGTCTATTTAAAGCAATGGCAAAGGCACTGGTGGGCAGGTGCCTTTCTTTTTTTCCTATATGGTACTTAGTGTTTGATGACGACAAACACACTTAGATTTAAGACTGTAATTTTAGATGGCATTCAAAGGATATGAATCAGTTTCCTGATACAAACATGTAATTAAAATCAAACAATGAGAATTGTTAAACATGGCATTGCCCAACAGATTGTTTAATGATGGACTTCCTTTCCCCCCTAGTTGAAAGGTAAGGGTTCGTTGCAACTATTCAGTAGTCTAAATACAATTTGTGACTTAAAATATTTTTCAAAAAAAGTGTTCACCTTCTGTCTATATTTTCTCATGGGTGAATGTCAGGATTAATAGACATTTTATTTATTTATTATTTATTTATTTATTTTTTGAGATGGCGTCTTGCTCTTTCAACCAGGCTGGAGTGCAATGGCGCGGTCTCGGCTCACTGCAAACTCCACCTCCTGGGTTTAAGTGATTCTGCTGCCTTAGCCTCCCGAGTAGCTGGAACTACAGGCATGTACCACCACACCTGGCTAATTTTTGTACTTTTAGTAGAGACGGGGTTTCACTATGTTGGCCAGGCTGGTCTTGAACTCCTGACCTCGTGATTCGCCTGCCTCAGCCTCCCAAAGTGCTGGGATTACAGGCGTGAGCCACCGTGCCCAGCCCAATAGGCATTTTATTAAGCAAAAGTGTTTTTGTTTGTTTGTTTGTTTTGTTTTGTTTTCCCACCAAAGTTTGCCAAAAGTCAAAGGTTAGCTGAAAAGACTCATTGTATTTCTGATATAATGAATTGTAATTAGGGTACCTAAAGTTTATCATAATAAATAGGACATTTAGTTTATAATATAAGCAGATGGAAAAGTTTACCCAACTTACCTAAAAAGATAGGGTTTTGTATTGTTGCCATTTTCTATTATTCTATTCTCCAAGTTTAACAAAAACACATTCAATTCCAGTACTCGTTAGAAGTTTTAGCAAGTTATTGAAATCATATATAATCAGGTCTGTTTACCCAGGAGAGTACTAAAATCCTGAAGATTTTCTCTTGGGTAAAATAGTCTATCATTTTAAAAGGATCTGAAAGAATTCCTAAAACATTTGACATGCATTAAGTTACAAGGTTATAAATGAATATATTCCAATATGCTAGTAGAACAAAAGTCAACTTTCTAAAACATATTCTTAAGGCAAATTCTACCAAACATACAGTGATTATAAAGATAAGGAGGCAGGTAGAAGAGAAAGATAATTATTTATATGTTTAATCTTTGTAAATAAATCAAGTCTATGCTATAAACCTCAAATCCTCCAAGAAAATGAACAAATGCATTCAGTTTCAAAATCACTTTAACTCATTTCTCCTAAAACTTCTCTAATTCAGTCACACCATAAACCACTCCTTAGTTTCCTACTTTAACATTTGCCTTCTGATACCACAAACTGAACTGCATAAATCAAGAAGGCAGAAATGGAGGAATATTGGAATATACATAATGATTATGCAATAAAAATGAGATTCAGGTTTTGGAATAATAGTCCAATCTATTTTAATTTTTTTGCTTTGGTTTTTAGAAGACTTTTTCCATAAACACAAAAGTAGATTTCTTTAGATTTGAGGCATTTTTAAACCTCTTTAGCTGAGTAGTCTCGGAATTTTTATATTTATCTTGTAAAAATATTAAGCAAGGGTGATTTCAGTTCCATCTCACTTTATATACTCTGAATAAAAATCTAGATGATGAAATAAATTAACAAACAAGACGGATTTGTATAGCCGGGTGCGGTGGCTCACGCTTGTAATCCTAGCACTTTGGGAGGCTGAGGCGTGTGGATTGCCTGACTTCAGGAATTCAAGACCAGCCTGGGCAACACAGTGAAACCCCGTCTCTACTAAAATACAAAAAAATTGGCCGGGCATGGTGGTTCACGCCTGTAATCACAGCAGTTTGGACTTTGGAAGGCCGAGGCGGGTGCATCCTGAGGTCTGGAGTTCGAGACCATCCTGGCCAACATGGTAAAACCCTGTCTTTACTAAAAAAAAAAAAAAAAAAAGAAGGATTTGTATATTGTGTTAATTGTGCAAAGTGTTTTTAACTTATAAAAGCAGATAATGGGTTTCCAGTTGAGAAAAGATGGTGTAAATTCATTTCTTTATGTTCTTCCATGCAAAGTGAAACTATAAACCCTGAAAATAACACCAGAGGCAGACAAAGGAGAATTTTGAAACATGTAATAAGGAAGACAGAATGACTAGAGAACTCAAGACTGGAAATTCAATATTTTAAGGTAGCTGAGTACCTTAAAACCCTTACCCAACAGAAAAAGATGATCTAAGCCCAAGCCAGTAACAGAAGGCAGTCCACCTAGATGAATTCCTCCACCTGAGTGTCCAATAGATCAACAGGTGCAAAACCAAGATGAAAAAAGGTGCTAGAATTATCTGACGAGGAATTTAAAGCAAGGATCACAAAAATGCTTCAACAAGCATTTTTGCTATTTTTTTATTACTAGGCATATTCTCCAAGTTGAACAAAAACACATTCAATTCCAGTACTCTTTAGAAGTTTAAGAAAGTTATGTAAATCATTTATAATCAGGTCTATTTACTCAGGAGGGTACTAAAATCCTGAAGATTGAATCAAATGTGAAAATCAGAATGTCTCCACAAAGAAATGGAAGATACAAAGGGGAAAAAGTGGAAATTTTAGAACTGAAAAAGATAATAACTGAAAAAAAATCCTAAACGTCATAATATGCTAGTCATTAGTAAAAGCTGACACAAGTGAAATAATTTATCATTATTCTTGAAGATAAGTGGTAAAATAAGCTGGAATCTTTACTGACAGATTATGATTTAATAAATTCCATTTATGTAATTTTTAAACACCCAACTGATTTTATGGAAATAAGCTTAATTTGGTTAAATAATAAGTTAGTGAATTCAGTAACAGTGACTTAAAAATAAAAATTCCATTTCCCTAAGACTCATCTGGCCTTAAACACTATTTATAAAATATGTTTGTGATTCTTTTTAAACTACCTATATAAGGACACCATTCTTTATTAAAACCAAATTAAACGCATATTTATTCATTTTGATATTATCAACACTCAGTACAAACATTTTTCTTGTAATTCATCTCGTGGAATTTTACAATTTCCCAAAGTAATTCATCTTATACTCACACTAGATTTAAAGTCATTAACAATTATTTGAAGATTATTTTTTCTCCGTATCGAATGAAATCAGAACATTTACTAGGCAGAGAACACTTCTTTTAGAAGGCAAAATTCATGAGTTTTGCCTCATGACTCCTTATGAGGATCTGTATGAGTTCTAGCATAAGCCAGTTTTTGATTGTTAGAATTATTTGGGATATCAACCACAAGATGTAAGCTAGTTTTCTGATGAATAAAACTTGGGGTCAAAAGAGAATATTTTTTCCCAAAAGAATATGAGAAATTTGAAAGATTTTTAAAGAATAAGTTGATTGGCAGAGTTTAAAATAACCTAATTATTGTAGAATAAGTGATTTTTGGTGGACATTTCTATCAGTCTTCAAGGAAAACCAACATTTTCCTCTTTAAACATGCTGTATCACAAAATAAATGCACCAGTGAATCCAGAACAATTTTGATTCCTTCTTATAATCTGATTCCTTCCTTTAAATATGAATTAAAGGAGAGAATTGCAGAGACCTACATTTAATAAGTGCCTATGGTATACCAGATACTGAGTTAGGTGATTTGTGTTATATCCTTCTCCCAAGAACGCTGTTGTGACTAGTGTTACCTGAATTTGAAAGATGATGAACTAATTTAAGACACCAGATTAAATACCTTTCTTCAGGTCACATATTAAACAGGAGTTGAGCCTGGAATAAAACACACTTTCCCTTTTGTCCAGAGTCCGTTCTCTATCATCCTGCTGTCTCAAACTACTGCCAGGTGTGATTTGGTTGTTCAGCATTCAGATGAAGAGCTAACAGAGCTTTTATCTTCACAGCTGAATGTTATTGTCCTCAAAGTCAGATGTGCTGTCTCCTTCTTCATTGCATATTCATTCAATATCAAAGAATAAAATTGAGAAGAAAGTGCCGACAACTCATGGTCTAAAAACTGTGTGCGCACAGCAGTAGTCCTTGTCAAAAGGCAGTAGACAAAAGTAAGAAAACATTTCTGATCAAAACCTAGTTGTTTTTCTAGTTGCCTTTCTCCATTTCCAGCTGCTTCAGGCTTTCACTTGGCAGCAGGAATTTAATGACAGCTGCTGCAAGGATTATGATGAGAGGCTTCCTACTTTAACTGATCTTCTGGACAGGCTAATAGCTTTGCTCTGTCATTGATAGGTCCAATCTAGTGCTGGTGACAGATAGGAAATTTAGCCTTATTACCATTCACCTAAAAGCTGATCCAAAATTAGACACAGAAATAGAATTATGTTGTTCCATTTGGTTTAAATTGCGATGTAAGTTAAAGGACTAAGTGAATAAGATTGTCTATAAATGGGAAATTATTTATTAGTTGTCTTGGCTTTTTAGGAGCACAAAAACATTTTACTACAAGAACAGCAGCAATTGGGCATTATCCCTCCAAATCCCAGAAGTAATTTAGCAGCTGTAATGGATTCATAAATGACAGAATTATTTCTCCCAAAGAATATAACTAGTACAAAACATTAATGACTAAACCAAAGCAAATTTGAGAATGATATAAAGATTTGTCAAAAGTGTAAGTAGTTTACTCAATTTTATTGACTGAAATTTTTGTATTTCATGTGAAACAGTGCATCTTAGAATGAGTTTTTATCACACTTTTTAGTTCTTCACGCATTCATATAAAATTTTTCAGCTCTCATCAGTCTCCCATCCTTATTCCCATTATTCTCACAAAATAGCCTGCCTCCTACTTTGCTGCAAACTTCCATACCTCGAATTCCTGCTTACTCTATATCCCTTCTTACCTCTAGGTGTTTTTGTAAGTTTACCTGTGCTTTTATCATTTTTGGTGGTTTCAGAAGGGGTTTCTTGCTTTTTGGTCTAACCTCTCCCATTTTTGTCATTAATTCAAAAACCGTTTAATTCGTGTCTGTTCAGAGCCAAGAACTGTAGGAAGTAGGAATTAAAGACTAGTAATTCCTCCTGAAGGCATTCACTGCCATATCCTTGCCATCCATTATATTCGATCACACTTGTAGCATTAGGCTTACACTTTCCATGGACTCATTTTCCTCTGCATCTAAATAAACAACTACAGTACAGGAAAACAAAAGAAACTTATCTCTGTTCAACTACTGTCCTGTATCTTACCTTGCTATTGCCTCTCAATTTCTTAGTAACATTTGTGCCTACAAAATTTGTTTTCATTTACTCAGCACCAAGAAGTTTTTTAGCCTTACACACCTGATTTCATCACACCACTCTTCTGAAATTTATTGAAACATATCTATGGTCTCTCACTGACCTTCTTTGTACTTCTTTTTTTTATGGCTTATTTTCAACAATTATGATAACTTTTGAATTCAGCACCTTCATTTCTGGGTTTGTGATGGTAAATTTTTATTGCTGTCTTTCCAACTTCTGTGGCTTTGCTTTTCTCTATGTCTTATTTGCCAGTAATTGGCTTCTGTAAATGCCTAAATATGGATATTACCCAAGGTTGTTTTCCATCTTTTAAAATTTTCTTTTGACAAAACTATCTGTTATCAAGTCTTCAACTGTTGCATTAGTGTAATTGTTTTACAGGTTTTTGTGGTTGTTGTTCTTAGGGGGAATAGAACCAGCTAGCCTCCATCAGGGGCTGAGATATATTTATCTAAGACACAGGGTGGAAGGAAATCGTTTTGAACAAAACTATAGCAGCTTTGTTTTTATGTATTTATTTTAAAAGTCTTTCAATGTAATATAGTGATAGTCTCTTACATTGTCCCAAAGATCTGCTAAACTCACTTCATAATTAGTAAAATATTTGCATATGTGATGTCAGCATTTATAAAGAAGAAACCATTGGGTGATGAGTCATGCACCTTCAATGACAATATAGGAAAAAAAAAAAAGGGAGTGATACACTTTGTAGGAAGGGGCAATCCTCAAATCACATTTACTTAAAAGATAAACCCTGCCTGCTGCAGGGCACCGAGTTTCCTGGGTCATTGTTATATAAACCTCAGAAAGTGGTGTTTCTTGAAGAAAACTGGGGAAGAGTTTAGAGAATATATACCACAGAGTTGTTCTATACTCCAGTGTGGTTTAGTAAAGTTCAGGCCTTTCCATAGGACTTTTTCTTTTCTATCAAAAGCGTAAGATCTATTTGACATCTTATTCAAGACAAGAACATCTTTTTAGCCATAATTTTGTGGCTAAACCCTCAGAATCTGGGGGCCTCATTCTAAAACTGAGAAATTATATGTCAAATGGTGTGTTACTTATACATATGTTGCTGTTAATATTTTTTAAGTTTTTTTGGTGTAAGAACAATTCAGGATTTACCTAATTCTCTTGTTGGATAATAGGGAAGCTTACATAGTATCTGACTGCCTCTTGTCATCTCCAAATTCTCTCCGTCATAAACCTAGAATCCATTTGTTCCATTGCCAGTCATGAACGAAGACAACTATTAACATTAATTGTAAGCCTATATAATTTCTCATATGGAATCCTGACAACTGAACTTCCTAAGATGATTACTAATATAAGTACAGGCCCTAAAGGCACACTACAAAAGAATATAGGCAAATCGTTTTATTGCATCAACACTGTAGTTAAGTGTTTTATTACATTGATTGCAGTATGAGTTCCATTCACATAAGTATTTACTACTCTATACTAGTTTGATGTCCATAAATGTTTTAGTAAATTACTTAATTGATCTATTAATGTTGAGTGCAAATATCTCTCTCAGTTGCATTTTTCAGTCTTAAGTTTTTGTGTGGAATATTGAAAATTGTATAGTTTGTTAACTGTGGCTAGGTAATCTTGGTTGAATATACAGTTTCCCTTAACAGTTTTTCTCTTGTGGAACTGCTAAGTGAATATGTACCAAAGTTAAATATGACAGTACTTTCTAGAATTAAAAAGTAAACACCTTAGCTGTAAAATGTCTTTTTCTTCCAAAAATAAAATATCCTGATAATAATTTATTTATTGTAGATGCTTGAATAATCTTGAAACATTAGATTGTAGATGTAGATGTTACATTACTGACTACATCCTGCTCTGAGAATTTCTAGAACTCTAACCCTTCAGATTATCTGGTAAGTAATTATGTCTTTTAAAACATCTTTTAAAAAATCATTTGGTTCTTTCCCTGGTTGTACATAAAGAAGGAAATTATTTTTAACTTTTATTTCAGGTTCAAGGTGTATATGTGCAGGTTTGTTCATGGGTGAAGGGCATGTTGCTGACGTTTGGTGTACAAATGATCCCATCAACCAGGTAGTGAGCATAGTACCCAATATGTAGTTTTTCAACATTCACTCCCCTCTAGTAGTCCCTAGTGTCTATTTTTTCTCATCTTTTTTTGTTGTTGTTGAGACAGTGATCTCCCTCTGTTTCCCAGGCTAGAGTGCAGTGGCACAATCACAGCTCACTGCAGCCTCAATCTCCCAGGCTCAAGCAATCCTCTCACATCAGCCTCCTGAGTAGCTGTGACCACAGATGTGTGCCAACACACCAAACTATTTTAATTTTAATTTATTTTTTTTGAGACGGAGTCTCACCCACCACCACGCCTGGCTAATTTTTGTATATTTAGTAGAGATGGGGTTTCACCATGTTGGCAAAGCTGGTCTCAAACTCCTGACCTCAGGTGATCTGCCTGCCTCGGCCTCCCAGAGTGCTGGGATTACAGGTGTGAGCCACTGAGCCCGGCCTAAATTTTTTTTATAGAGACAAGCTCTCTCTCTATTGTGCAGGCCAGTGGTCTCAAACTCTGTGGCTCAAATGATCCTCCTGTCTTGGCCTCCCAAAGTGCTAGAATTACAGGCAAGAACCTGGCCCTATTGTTTCATCTTTCTTTCTTTCTTTCTTCCTTTTTTTGTTTTTCTGTGTTTTTTTTTTTTTTTTTTTTTTTTTTGGAGATGGAGTCTCGCTCTGTCGCCCAGGCTGGAGTGCAGTGGCATGATCTCAGCTCACTGCAACTTCCTCCTCCTGGGTTGAAGTGATTCTCCTGCCTCAGTCTCCCAAGTAGCTGGGACTACAGGCGCCCACCACCACGCTGGCTAATTTTTTTGTATTTTTAGTAGAGACGGGGTTTCACAGTGTTAGCCAGGATGGTCTCAATCTCCTGACCTCATAATCCAACCACCTTGGCCTCCCAAAGTGCTGGGGGGATTACAGGAGTGAGCCACCCACCACACCCAGCCTTCATCTTTATTTCTTAAAATGGGAGATATATGTAGAAATAACCTGTTCTAATCCCTTTTCTGTTGACTGCCCTCAGAAAAATAGCATCAAGGATAGGAATATCAGTCTTAGACTGATATACCATGGCATAGGCATGTGGTCCTAAAATTTGATAAATAATGCTTATATGGGGATGGAAATGCCTCTTGCTTAAAGGCAGATATGATATTGAGAGGTGAAGCCAGGTGGGCTTCTGGGTCGGGTGGGGACTTGGAGAACTTTTCTGTCTAGCTAAAGGATTGTAAACACACCAATCAGTGCTCTGTGTCTAGCTAAACGTTTGTAAATGCACCAATCAGCACTCTGTAAAAATGCACCAATCAGCGCTCTGTGTCTAGCTAAAGGTTTGTAAACGCACCAATCAACACTCTGTAAAATGGACCAATCAGCAGGACGTCGGTGAGGCCAAATAAGGGAATAAAAACTGGCCACCTGCGCTAGCAGCGGCAACCCAATTGGGTCCCCTTCCACGCTGTGGAAGCTTTGTTCTTTCGCTCTTCACAATAAATCTTGCTGCTGCTCACTCTTTGGGTCTGCACTAACTTTATGAGCTGTAACACTCACTGCGAGGGTCTGCGGCTTCATTCCTGAACTCAGTGAGACCACGAACCCACTGGGAGGAGCAAACAACTCCAGACGCGCCACCTTTAAGAGCTGTAACACTCACTGAGAAGGTCTGTGGCTTCACTCCTGAAGTCAAGAGAGACCACAAACCCAATGGAAAGAAGAAACTCTGGACGCATCTGAACATCTGAAGGAACAAACTCCAGACACACCATCTTTAAGAACTGTAACACTTCACTGCGAGGGTCCGTAGCTTCATTCTTAAAGTCAGCGAGACCAAGAACCCTCCGGAAGGAACCAATTCTGGACACAATATGCCCGCATTTTAGGGAAGGGTAGAATCAGCAGGTGGCTAAATATGCTTACCAGGGAGGTCGCTATGATAGCCCCAAGTGCCCCAGCAATAAGACCTATCATTTTAGATGGCATTGCTTTTGAGCTTAGCTTTTTTTTTTTTTTTTTTTTTTTTTTTTTTTTTTTTTTTGAGACAGAGTCTGGCTCTGTCACCCAGGCTGGAGTTCAGTGGCACGATCTCAGCTCACTGCAAGCTCCACCTCCCGGGTTCACGCCATTCTCCTGCCTCAGCCTCCCGAGTAGCTGGGACTACAGGCGCCTGCCACCACGCCTGGCTAATTTTTTGTATTTTTAGTAGAGATGGAGTTTCACCATGTTAGCCAGGATGGTCTCGATCTCAATCTCCTGACCTCATGATCCGCCCGCCTCAGCCTCCCAAAGTGCTGGGATTACAGGTGTGAGCCACCGTACCCGGCCAAGCTTAGCTTTAAAATATGAAAAGAATTTATGGTTATGGGGAGGCTACTGGCAGATTTAAAAGGTAAAAGGCTGGATAGCACATAGAACATTCAATATTTGGATAGTATTTCAGGTAAGCTGAATATATATGTAGGCATGCAGTGGATATACACACGGGAAAACTAATGTGGCAATAGATCATATAGACTTTCAATGTCAGGCCTATGGATTCCTATTATTTGGCAGGCACTATCATTGGCAGGAAGGGGTACCAATAACTTTCAAATTTTTTAAGAAACGAGGATATAATAATAAATGTTTAAGATTAACCAAGCAGAATCAACTCAAGAAGTTAAGATTAACTTAAGAAGAATCAGCAGCAAATATGTTATGGGCAGGGAGACTGGTTTTAAGAACTTTTCTTTTTTGTTGTTGTTAAAGTACTAGAATAACAGTATTATTAGGGTAGTGATCATTGGCATGAATGAGAAAGGCTAGAGAAAAATACATTGGCAAGCAAACAAAAATACATCATCAGAACAGAGAAAACAGATTGAATATGGCAGAAATGAAGAGGTTTTGAGCCAGAATAAATGGGACAATAATCCTGAATAGAAACAGACAAGTCTGGGGAAGGCTCCATTCAGAGGTGGAGGGCAGGGACCATGGGTTTGTTTTCAGGCATGATGAATTAGGGCCAAAGGATAACAACAGGATGAGAACGTTCAGGGCACATTTGGAATTTCATGGGGGAGATGATGACATGAGATAGAGATTTGAGAATCATCCACAAAATAAATCAAGAAACAAAAACAATTCAACGAGAACTTTTTTGTCTTAAAGCGAATGTTGTGCTGAGGGGTTCTATTTCCTACCATAAGAGTTCTGGACTTCTTTTTTGTGTAAGTGCCCTTCTGTATAATTCAGTGCAATGATTATCACATGGATGTCATGCTGTAGCATGAGAGCTATTCGTAGGAACAGGGCACCATGGAATTGTTTTCATCTGCTAATTGTTTAGTATTTTGGTAACCGCTTTATCAGTTCAAAGTTTCTTTAACTTCCAGTGCCATGCCAGTGCTGTCACCATAACAAGCTGAGGAATGCAGAACACTCCTCCGAATTCCGTTTTGGCAGAAAAATCTTTCACGGGGTTTTAAGCTTGAAGTCAGTTCAGTTTGTGATCTCTTAGAACATCACATTTCACTAGATTCATTCATTAGCCTTTTAATAACCAACAATGTGAAATCTAACCTGTTAAAATACAGAGAGGTGGGGGTAGAATCATATAGTATTAATACAATTTCTAGGAAGTATTTTACTAAGACAAGGACCAGGATTGCAGAGCAACTAACTGGGGCTTTTGTGAGAATCTTATTTTAAAAATTTAATAGTGAAGGTAGGTAACAGCTAATAGAAAAATAAGTGAAAATTGAAATAAGAGGCAATCTTTAGTCTTTCCACTTTGGCAAATAACTAGATAAAATCCTCCTCTACATTGTTATAGGGATTGAAAACTGGTTATATTTTTACAGGGAAAATTCTGTGGGTAAAAATGAGAAAAATGACTGTAACTTTTCTTTCAATGTCCTACTTCTGGGAGCCTGAGGCTACAAAGATAAAAATACTAATGCATATTATTTTGTTAAATAATAGATAAAAACTTAGCCTTATAGGAGAGGATACACATATTTTGAAACAGTCATATAATTAAATAGTATACAGTTATTAAAACTAATAATATAAATGTGTTATAGAAAGAGGTTCATAAAGTATTTATTAAATGAAAAAGCTAATTACAGAATATTTTTGATCATATATATAGATGTAGTTTTTCAACATTCAACAAAAAATATTTAAAAAATTAGCCAGGCATGGTGATTTGCACATGTATTCCCAGTGACTCAGGAGACTGAGGTGTGGGGATCACCTGAGCCCAGGGAGATTGAGGCTGCAGTGAACTGTGATTGCACCACTATACTCCAGCCTAGGAAACAGAGTAAGACTCTATCTCTAAAAAATTTAAGAAAATATAACAAAAAATGCATGGTTTCACTTTAACTAAAATAAATATGCTCAAGTAGCCACATACTCTGGCCCCATACCCATCAGACCAAAGGAAATGTCTGTCCTATAGGATAGGCCTTCTGCCTTCCCTGGAGTCCTGGCCTTTGTGTGGTACCTCAGGAAGAACAGATGGCAGTCATTGGAGAGGAAGTCTAGAATTATGCCTGCATTGGAAAGGGTGGAGAGCAAGTCACAGAACAAAGCAAAGGAGAATAGATCTTAAAAAAAAAAAAATCAGGATCAGGAATGGTACCTCACACTTGTAATCCCAGCGCTTTGGGAGGCTTAGGTGGGCCTATCACTTGAGGTCAGGAGTTCAACACCAGCCTGGCCAACATGGTGAAACCCTGTCTTTACTAAAAATACAAAAATTAGCCGAGCATGGTGGCGCATGCACTACTTGGGAGTCTGAGGCAGGAGAATTGCTTGAACCCAGGAGACAGAGGCTGCAGTGAGCCAGGATTGCATAACTGCACTCTAGCTTAGGTGACAGAGGGATACTCTATCTCGAAAAAAATATATATGTATCGCCGGGCGCGGTGGCTCACGCCTGTAATCCCAGCACTTTAGGAGGTCTAGGCAGGCAGATCACGAGGTCAGGAGATAGAGACCATCCTGGCTAACACGGTGAAACCCCGTCTCTACTAAAAATACAAAAAATTAGCCAGGTGTGGTGGCGGGCGCCTGTAACCCCAGCTACTCGGGAGGCTGAGGCAGGAGAATGGCATGAACCTGGGAGGCGGAGCTTGCAGTGAGCCGAGATCGCACCACTGCACTCCAGCCTGGGCAACAGAGCAAGACTCCATCTCAAAAAAAAAAAAAAAAATTCAGGATAAAGAGCTGATAAAAAGATCTATACGATGAATCTTGGGGATTTAAGAAGTTGAGAGATCAAAAATTATGAGCAATTATGATACAGGTTGAGACACTGAGATAGAAAAGCAAGTTTTAAAAACTTGTATTATAAATATACTCTAGCATCAGTGTATTCTAGAGAAATACTGGTGAATAACTGGATCTTGATCAAGTTTAATTTTGTAGGACATTATTTTTTTAAGTGTAACCAGCTGCCCAGATTAACCCACAATTTACTCACTTTCATGTAAGTTAGGCCATTTTTACAGATTTAATAAAACATGATTTTAAAGTAACTATTTATATTTCTTCTTTTTTCTAAAACAATGGTAAAATTAGGGGTGGTTTCATTCTGCTAAAGAGAATTGATAAACAATTTCTTTTCATGCTATTACTTTATATACATACACACACACACACACACACGGTTGATTTATTTATAGCCACCAAATAGGCACCAGTATTTCTAGATTTTAAAAGTAGAAGAAAGGGTCTTTTGATGGTAACAACTAACCCAGCACAAGTCTTGGACACCCAACAGACCCTCACAAGGTACATGTCTGTATAACTTGACAAAATCACATTGATGGTCCTTTATTTCATTCTTTCATTGGATCATGAGAGTTTGAAATAAGGGCTTTGAAGCCACGCTGACTGGGGTTTAAAACCACTTTATGTGAGCTAAACATGTTACTTCTAAGCTTCAGTGTTCTTAAAAATAGAGAAGAAAGGAAAAAAGCAATAGGTCTAAGGGTTACATACTAGCTATCTTCTCCTTTTAATACACTTTATATCTAGTGACTTTCATGTACATCTCTTTGGCCAGAATGACCACACATACTACAAGCTGCAAAGAAGTCTGAGGAACCTAGCATTTTAAGCTGGGTTCATGGCCACTCAAAACAAAATAACAGAGTTTGTTTAAGTAGAGAAGTAGAAGAGAACAGATATTTATAGATACTTAAGCAATTACATGGGGATAATAATATTCACATGGGGATAACATCAATCCCACAAATACTGTCATAAAGACAAAGTGATCTTATAGACACACTGCACAACATACACGATAGAGAACATAATACTTTGTAATGAGTATTGTATTAGTCCGCTCTCAAGCTGCTAATAAAGACACACCTAAGCCTGAGTAACTTATAAGGGAAAGAGGTTTAACTGACTCGCAGTTCAGCATGGCTGGGGAGGCCTTAGGAAACTTACAATCATGGTGGAAGGGGAAGCAAACATGTCCTTCTTCACATGGAAGCAGCAAGGAGAAGTGCAAGGGAACTCTCATTTACAAAACCATCAGATCCTGTGAGACTTATTCACTACCATGAGAACAGTATGGGGAAAACTGCCCCTGTGATTCAATTATCTCCACCTAGCCCCACCTTTGACACGTGGGGATTATTACAAGTCAAGATGAGATTTGGGTAGGGATACAGCCAAACCATATCAAGTATATAAAAATCTTTTTCAATTATCCTGGTTTGAACAACATACCTAAAACTGGAGTGACTTATACAATACTTGCTTAGGCATTTTTTTTCTCCCAAGATGGGAGTCTTTCTCTGTCACCCAGGCTGGAGTGCAATGGCACAATCTTGGTTCATTGAAACCTCTGCCTCCCAGGTTCAAGCAATTCTGCCTCAGCCTCCTGAGTAGCTGGGATTACAGGCGCACGTCACCATGCCCAGCTAATTTTTTGTTTTGTTTTGTTTTGTTTTTTGAGACGGAGTCTTGCTCTGTCTCCACAAGCTGGAGTGTAGTGGCACCATCTAGGTTCACTGCAAGCTCTGCCTCCTGGGTTCATGCCATTCTCCTGCCTCAGTCTCCTGAGTAGCTGGGACTACAGGCGCCCGCCACCAAGCGTGGCTAATTTTTTGTATTTTTAGTAGAGATGAGGTTTCACAGGGTTAGGCAGAATGGTCAAGATCTCCTGACCTCATGATCCGCCCGACTCGGCTGCCCAAAGTGCTGGGATTACAGGCGTGAGTCACCATCCCCAGCCAATTTTTGTATTTTTAGTAGAGGCGGGGTTTCACCATGTTGGCCAGGCTGGTCTCGAACTCCTGGCCTCATGATCTACCTGCCTCGGCCTCCCAAAGTGCTGGTATTACAGGCATGAGCCACCATGCCCGGGCAGCTTAGGCATTTTTATGGAACATATATATTATATTAGCGATTATATTTTTAAAATTCCAACCAGGTCACAGAAGTTTTTGTAATGACGAGAGAAAAACTGTCTTATAATTTTATATGTATACTAATTATGGATTTCTTTCACATTAAGGTGTTTAATATCAATAAGAAAATGTAATAGTTTATTTTTTTCAAATATAATACTTTTAAGTTTCACATTAAGTACAGGATGGTGTTGAATGGCAATGAGGATATCATGCATGAAACCCTTGAAAGAGCTTAAATAGAATAATTAAGTTACATTTAATACCATTTGAAGAAGCAAACAGAGTTTAGCTCTAGGAACTATTCCAGTCTACTGAGCCAGCTTTACACTTTAATGGAATTCATTTTACAATATTTGTACATTCAGAGAAGTCTTTTATTTCAGTGAGCTTCTCAACATTTACTCTGGTAACCTGCCTGACCTGCTGCAAGTGAGTTGCAGGTATTTAAACAAGTGGGCCCTTCAAACTTTAGTTACGCCACAGTTCCTGAACATCAAATGGCCTGTCCCTTTACCTTAGCATACAATAAAATATAATTCAAGGTGTATTATAACTTTGTATGTTGTTATGTCTCATCTCCCTAATTTGCTGTATGCCTCAAGAGCAAGAACTGAGTCTTTTTATTTTTATTTTTTTTGAGACGGAGTCTCGCTCTGTCTCCCAGGCTGGAGTGCAGTGACGCGATCTCGACTCACTGCAAACTCCACCTCCTGGGTTCAAGCAATTCTCTGCCCCAGCCTCCCAAGTAGCTGGGATTACAGGTGCTCGCCAGCAGGCCTGGCTAATTTTTTCTGTATTTTTAGTAGAGATGGGGTTGCACCATCTTGGCCAGGCTGGTCTTGAACTCCTGACCTTGTGATCTGCCCACCTTGGCTTCCCAAAGTGCTGGGATTACAGGCGTGAGCCACCGCACCCGGCGAACTGAGTCTTAAGAGCCTACATGGTTGCATAGAACTGGTACTGAGGGCTTTTGACTGATAACATAAACCATGTTGTCTTCTTCTGGCATTTATGTACTAATAAATGTTATCTATGCTATTTTGTCAAAAAAGAAAGTTGTTCAAGTCTCTCCTGTTCTCTTGATGATTTCGGCACTATGTTGCCTCTTGATTAAATTGTATAAAAGAATTATGTGAGGCATTTATATGTTCAACTTATACCCATTAAATATCATAGTACATGTCTTCTTTTTCATATTCTCTCTTTTATATTGGTTAGGGATTGAATTTTATTTTCCGAGGTGAGATCAGGACTAATTAGCCCTGCCATAGTGCTTATAGAACTCACAGAGCTTGGAAGGACCTTAGAAATCAGGCATCTCGGCTGGGCGCGGTGGCTCACACCTGTAATCCCAGCACTTTGGGAGGCCAAGGTGGGCAGATCATGAGGTCAAGAGATCAAGACCATCCTGGCTAACACTGTGAAACCTCGTCTCTACTAAAAATACAAAAAATTAGCTGGGCGTGGTGGCGGGCGCCTGTAGTCCCAGCTGCTCGGGAGGCAGGGGCAGAGAATTGCTTGAACCGGGAGGCAGAGGTTGCTGTGAACAGAGATTGTGCCACTGCACTCCAGCCTGTGGAGACAGAGCGAGACTCTGTCAAAAAAAAAAAAAAAAAAAAAAATAGAAATCAGACATCCCGGCACTCGCTATTTACAACTGAGGAATACGAAGCCAGGAAGGTCTGAGTTTTCAGTTCAAGAAACATTTGTTGAACAAATGTCATATGCTTATCCCCAGGCTAAGTCCTGGGGATGAAGAGGCAAATTAGAAATAATCATGTAAGGATTAAATGTGAACTCTGGCATGCCATACTCATTCATACAACAATATGTGGACATTTAACATTTAATATTGTGGCTCCCAATTTTCCTAGATTGGAAACAAAAAGTAAAAAACCTAAGAATTGATTGAAAGATGAGGATTCCTTAAGGATTTCACTCTTAGTCTAATATGACACACTAATATTTTGACTATTCTCTGATTACACAGCAAGTAATGAAAACAGAAATTTAACTGAGGTGGCTTGACTCCTGTTTAGAGGTTTATTTTTTATTTAAATCTCCAATTACAACTCTTAGAGTTATATTATGGTTTGCAGACTTTTACTGATAGGTATGACTATTACTATGCTAGGAAGTAGAGAGAACAAAAACAATGGAACAATGGAAGAAAAGGAAGAAGAGCTTTTCTTAGCTCTATAGTATACCTACTATATTTAAGAAAACATACTAGATTAAGAAAATGTATACTTCCTAGTGAGAGGTGACAGTGTGCTGGCAGTCCTCAGAGCCCTCGCTTGCTCTCGGCACCTCCTCTGCCTGGGCTCCCACTTTGGCGGCATTTGAGGAGCCCTTCAGCCCCCCACTGCACTGTGGGAGCCCCTTTCTGGGCTGGCCAAGGCCTGAGCCCACTCCCTCAGCTTGCAGGGAGGTGTGGAGGGAGAGGCGCGAGCGGGAACCGGGGCTGCGTGCGGCGCTTGTGGGCCAGCTGGAGTTCCGGGTGGGTGTGGGCTTGGTGGGCCCGCACTCGGAGCAGCCAGCCAGCCCTGCTGGCCCTGGGCAATGAGGGACTTAGCACCCGGGCCAGTGGCTGCGGAGAGTGTACTGGGTCCCCCAGCAGTGCCAGCCCACCGGTGCTGTGCTCGATTGCTCGCCGGGCCTTAGCTGCCTTCCCGTGGGGCAGGGCTCGGGACCTGCAGCCCGCCATGCCTGAGCCTCCCACCCCCTCCATGGGCTCCTGTGCGGCCTGAGCCTCCCCAACGAGCACCACCCCCTGCTCCACGGCTCCCAGTCCCATCGACCACCCAAGGGCTGAGGAGTGCGAGCACACGGTGCGGGACTGGCAGGCAGCTCCACCTGCAGCCCCAGTGCAGGATCCACTAGGTGAAGCCAGCTGGGCTCCTGAGTCTGGTGGGGACGTGGAGAGTCTTTATGTCTAGCTCAGGGATTGTAAATACACCAATCAGCACCCTGTGTTTAGCTCAAGGTTTGTGAGTGCACCAGTCGACACTCTGTATGTAGCTGCTCTGGTGGGGCCTTGGAGAACCTTTATGTCTAGCTCAGGGATTGTAAATACACCAATCAGCACCCTGTGTTTAGCTCAAGGTTTGTGAGTGCACCAATCGACACTCTGTATCTAGCTACTCTGGTGGGGCCTTGGAGAACCTTTATGTCTAGCTCAGGGATTGTAAACACACCAATCGGCACTCTGTATCTAGCTCAAGGTTTGTAAACACTCCAATCAGCACTGTGTGTCTAGCTCAGGGTTTGTGAGTGCACCAATAGACACTCTGGCTACTCTGGTGGGGCCTTGGAGAACCTTTATGTCTAGCTCAGGGATTGTAAATACACCAATCAGCACTCTGTATCTAGCTCAAGGTTTGTAAACACACCAATCAGCACCCTGTGTCTAGCTCAGGGTTTGTGAGTGCACCAATCGACACTCTGTATCTAGCTACTCTGGTGGGGCCTTGGAGAACCTTTGTGTCGATACTCTGTATCTAACTAATCTGATGGGGACATGGAGAACCTTTGTGTCTAGCTCAGGGAATGTAAACGCACCAATCAGCGCCCTGTCAAAACAGACCACTTGGCTCTACCAATCAGGACGTGGGTGGGGCCAGATAAGAGAATAAAAGCAGGCTGCCTGAGCCAGCAGTGGCAACCCGCTCGGGTCCCCTTCCACACTGTGGAAGCTTTGTTCTTTCGCTCTTTGCAATAAATCTTGCCAGTGCTCACTCTTTGTGTCCACGCTGCTTTTATGAGCTGTAACACTCACTACAAAGATCTGCAGCTTCACTCCTGAGCCCCGCGAGACCACGAGCCCACCAGGAGGAACGAACAACTCCAGACACTCTGCCTTAAGAGCTGTAACACTCACCGCGAAGGTCTGCAGCTTCACTCCTGATCCAGCGAGACCACAAACCCACCAGAAGGAAGAAACTCCGAACACATCTGAACATCAGAAGCAACAAACTCCAGACGCGCCACCTTAAGAGCTGTAACACTCACCGCGAGGGTCCGCGGCTTCATTCTTGAAGTCAGTGAGACCAAGAACCCACCAATTCCGGACACACTAGGAATTCTAGAGGAGAGAAAGACAATATTATGCCAGACACTCCTATGGTCCTCTGGCACTGGGGAATGTAGAAAAATTTCCAGAGGGTAGGCAAGGAAAGATGGGGCCATCCATGGGACTGTTTGCCTGTTTTCCTTGACCGTATTGTCCCTAATATGGTTTGATTTGGTTGTATGCATCTAATGGCAGAACTATTTTTAATTCATATTGATAATATATATTCAATTGTTAAGTAAATTCTATGGATACTATATCAGAGATGATTGTAGGATCTTTTTTTTTTCTATCCCCACTTTTCTTCCGGGATGTCACCCCCAGCTCGCTAGTGGCCCACTGAAAAAGTTGCTTGTTTAACTGTCTTTCACATCTGTCTACTCCCTCCATATTCCTTTTTGTCATTCAAGCACCATTAGTTATCTTCCTTTAAACCATATCGAAAACACATCCCTCTACCACTGAAAAACATCCGTAGGCTTTTTGTAGTACATAGGTAAAAATCCAAATTTCCTCAGTAAGTATAAAATACACCATTTTCTTGATTAAATCTCAAAAGCTTCAAGCTCCTGGCCCCCTGTTAAGAAGCTAGAAATTCGGGCCGGGTGCAGTGGCTCATGCCTGTAATCCCAGCACTTTGGGAGGCCAAGGCCGGCGGATCACAAGGTCAGGAGATCAAGACCATCCTGGCTAACACGGTGAAACCCCATCTCCACTGAAAATACAAAAACTTAGCCGGGCGTGGTGGCAGGCGCCTGTAGGCCCAGCTGCTGGGGAGGCTGAGGCAGGAGAATGGCGTGAATCCGGGAGGTGGATCTTACAGTCAGCCGAGATCGTGCCACTGCACTCCAGCCTGGGTGACAGTGCAAGACTCCATCTCAAAAAAAAAAAAAAAAAAAAGCTAGTAATTCGGGCTGGGCATGGTGACTCATGCCTGTAATCACATCACTTTGGGAGGCCAAGGCTGGCAGATCACAAGGTCAGGAGATGGGGACCATCCTGGCCAACATGGTGAAACCCCATCTCTACTAAAAATACAAAAATTAGCTTGGCATGGAAGCACGTGCCTATAATCCCAGCTACTCGGGAGGCTGAGGCAGGATAATCACTTGAACCAGGGAGTCAGAGGTTGCAGTGACCCAAGATCGCACCACTGCACTCCAGCATGGTGACAGAGTGAGACTCTGTCTAAAAAAAAAAAAAAAAAAAAAAAAAAAAAAAAAGCTAGAAATTCTACTGATATACTTTAAATAACTATGTTTTAGTCAGCTCAGGCTTCCATAACAAAATATCACTGACTGGGTAGCATAAGCAACAGATACTTATTTTTTCATAGAACTACTGGTAGCTGGAATTCCAAGATCAGGATGATTGCATGGTCTGGTTGTGGTGAGGGCCTCACATGGCTGAGAGAATAAGAACAAGCTTTCTGATGTCTCCTTTTACAAATCCCATCATTAGGGCCCCACATTTACAACCTCATCTACCTTCCAGAGGCTCTCTTCCTGCCTGTCTCTCTCTCTCTCCACCATGTGAAGACATATTTGTTTCACCTTTGCCCAGGATTGTTAAGTTTCCTGAGGCTTCCCCAGCCATGCCTCCTGTACAACCTGTGGAACTGTGAGTCAATTAAATCTCTTTTCTTCATAAATTACTCAGTCTCAGGTATTTCTTTACAGCAGTGTGATAATGGTCTAATACAGAAAATTGCTACCAGAGAAGTGGGGCATTGTTATAAATATACCTGAAAATCTGGAAGCAGCTTTGGAACTGAGTAATGGGCAGAGGTTGGAACAGTTTGGAGGGCTCAGAAGATGACAGAAAAATGAGAGAACACTGGGAACTACCTAGAAACTTGTTGAATGGTTTTGACCAAAATGCTGATAGTGGTATGGACAATGAAGTCCAGGCTGAGGAGGTATCAGGTAAAGATGAGGAACTTATTGGAAACTAGAATAAAGGTCACCCTTGCTATGCTTTAGCAAAGAGACTGGCAGCATTGTCACCCTACTCTAGGGATCTGTGAAACTTCGAACTTGAGCGAGATCATTTGTTCTTTTCTTTTCTTTCTTTTTTTTTTTTTTGAGACAGAGTCTCACTCTGTTGCTGAGGCTGGAATGCAATGGTGCTATCTCGGCTCACTGCAACCTCCACCACCCAGGTTCAAGCAATTCTCTTGTCTCAGCCTCCTGAGTAACTGGGATAACAGGTAGCCACCACCAGGTCCAGCTAATTTTTGCATTTTTAGTAGAGACAGGGTTATATCATGTTGGCCAGGCTGGTCTTGAACTCCTGACCTCAGGTGATCCACCCACCTCAGCCTCCCAAAGTGCTGGGATCACAGGCATGAGCCACTGCACCCAGCAGAGAGAGATGATTTAGGGCATCTGGCAGAAGAACTTTTTAAGCAGCAAAGCATTCAAGATGTAGCCTGGCTGCTTCTAAAAGGCTACAATCCTTTGCATAAACAAAGAAATGATCTGAAACTGGAACCTACATTTAAAAGAGAAGCAGAATATAAAAGTTTGGAAAATTTACAGCTCAGCTATGTGATAAAAAAACAAAAACCCATTTCCTGGGGAGGAATTCAAGAAGCCTGAAGGAATTTACATAAGGAAAGAGCCACCAAGTATTAATAGCCAAGACAATGGGAAAATGCTTCCAAGACATTTCAGAGAACTTTGTGGCAGCCCCTCCTATCACAGGCCTGGAGGGCTAGAAGGGAAAATAGTTTCATGGGCCAGGCCCAGGGCCAGCTGCTCTGTGCAGCCTCTCTGCATTGTGGCCACTCCAGCTCCAGCCATGGCTAAAAGGGGCCAAGGTACAACTTGGGCCATTGCTTCAGAGGGTGCAATCCCCAAGCCTTAGTGGCTTCCACATGGTGTTGGGCCTGTAGGTGCACAGAAGGCAAAAGTTGAGGCTTGAAAACCTCCACCTAGATTTTAGGGGATGTATGGAAATGCCTGGATGTCCAGGCAGAAGTCTGGTACAGTGGTGGATCCCTCATGGATAAACTCAACTAGGGCAGTACGAAGGGGAATTGTGGGGTTGGATCCTCCACACAGAATGCCCACCGGGGCGCAGCTTGGTAGAGCTGTGAGAAGAGGGCTGTTGTCCTCCAGATCCCAGAATGGTAGATCTATTGAGCATCTGGAAAAGCTTCAGGCACTCAACAATAGCCTGTGAAAGCAGCTGCAGGGCTGTACCCTGCCAAGCCACAGGGGTGGAACTGCCCAAGGCTGTGGGAGCCCACCCGTTGCATCAGTGTGCCCTGGATGTGAGACATGGAGCCGAAGGAGATTATTCTGGAGCTTTAGGATTTAACGACTACCCTGCTGGGTTTCAGACTTGCATGGGACCTATAGCCCCATTGGCCAATTTCTCCCCTTGGAATGACAGCATTTACCCAATGCCTGTACTGCCATTGTATCTTGGAAGCAACTAACTTGTTTTTTATTTTACAGGCTTATAGGCAGGAGGGACTTGCCTTGTGTCAGATGAGACTTTTGACTTGGACATTTGAGTTAATGCTGGAATGAGCTAAGACTTTGGGGGACTGTTCGGGAGGCATGATTGTGTTTTGAAATGTGAGAAGAACATGACTTTTGGGAGGGGCCGGGGCAGAATGAGATGGTTTCGCTCTGTGTCCCCACTCAAATCTCATGTTGAACATTGGGATTATATATTATATATTATATTAAATATATATTATATTATATACATTATATATATAAAGCTCAGAAGGCTTTTTGCTATTTATATGGGATAATTATAAATTATTTCATAAGAATCAAGGAATTAAGGATCAATACTTAAAAGACTATGCATTGAGCAAACAAGACCAAGATCTATTAACAATGAAAAGAGGCCAGGTGCGGTCACTCATGCCTGTAATTCCAGCACTTTGAGAGGCCAATGCAGGTGAATTACCTGAGGTCAGGAGTTTGAGACCACCTTGGCCAACATGGTGAAACCCCATCCCTATTAAAATACAAAAAAAAAAAAAAATCCAGGCATGGTGGCAGGCACCTGTAATCCCAGCTACTCAGGAGGCTGAGGCAGGAGAATTGTTTGAACCTGGGAGGCAGAGGTTCCAGTGAGCCAAGATCACACCATTGCACTCCAGCCTTTGCATTGCATTCTAGCACTCTAGCCTGGGCAACAAGAGGAAAACTCTGTGGAAAAAAAAAATAAAAAGGAAGAAAGAAAGAAAGAAAGGAGAAAATAATCACAGCTGATTTAAAATTTTCTTTTAGAGAAGGAATTTAGGAATTTTATGGTGTTTAACAAAAATACATTGGTGAACCATCTAGAATAAAAAGAGATTCTAATAACAGAGTTTGGGCTAAGACAAAAAAGAACTTTACTCCGCTTAGAAATGGAGTAAGAATAGACTGATGGTATCATAAAGGACAAGAGAGAGAATCGGAGAAAGAACATTAATCACAAAAGGAATGTGTTGCAGTTGGAGAGATTCTTTCTCATCAGTTCCAGATTCTAAGCCAATTGAGAAATAGATACAGGAGTGAGGTAATAATCTACATATTAACTTAAACAGTGGTAAAACTGGATTGGAGAATGTAACTTGAATGTGGAGTTAAATGGGACCTGCTGCTTCTTCCTTCCGGTAGTGGACTGAGCACAAAGAAACCTGAGGACAAAGTGTTGGGATGGATATATGCAGAAGTAGTCTTGGCTTTCCCAAGCTTTTATTGTTGTTAATAGAGAATGAGAGTCATCAAAAAGTCTCAGATACCTACCTGGCTGCTATGTATATGGTGATTAATAGGGAAACTGAGAGCAACAGAGAAGTATGTGCAATGGGCAACTGTCTGAGAAGGGAACGTGACTTTTGCCAAATATTCAAGTAGTCTTGGGGATGACCGTGGTAACTGGCTTCTACTTACTAATGGAGACCCTGAAGCAAAAATGGTTATCTCAGGCCAGAAGTCATGACATAATAACCAGCCACCAGGAGTCTTTGGCTGTGTACATCATCAAGCCTCTGGGAGTGAAACCAACCCAATAGTCCCATAGATAGTTTTGATAAACATAGAAATTGATCCTTTGAGTCTTAAAGCTTGGCACTTTTATTTGTTTTATCTGAGTTCCTTCCTCAGGAAAGGATCCCTCTGGCCCCTCAAAAAGTATCAAAGAACTAAAATTCACCAGATCACATCCAGACAAGGAGATACCAGACCCCTCATTCATCATGATTGCTTCCTTGCCCCTCCCTAGTTCCTGTTTTTATACACATTGTTTCATTTCTTCCCTGCTATATAAACTGCTAGTTTTACTCAGTCAGGGAGATGAATTTGAGGCTGAGCCCCCGTCTCCTGGGCTGCAGCACCTGAGTAAAGCCTTCTTCCTTGCCAATACTTGCTTTCTCAGACATCAGCTTTTTGTGTAGCAAGTAGCAAGACCTAGACAGACCCCTAGTTTTTCAGTAACAGGAGAGAATATGAGGTTTTTTTTTTTTTTTTGAGATGGAGTCTCACTCTGTTGCCCAGGCTGGAGTGCAGTGATGCCATCTCGACTCACTGCAAGCTCCACCTCCTGGGTTCATGCTATTCTCCTGCCTCAGCCTCCTGAGTAGCTGGGATTACAGGTGCACGCCACCATGCCTGGCTAATTTTTTGTATTTTTAGTGGGGGTTTCACCGTGTTAGCCAGGATGGTCTCAATCTCCTGACCTTGTGATCCGCCCACCTCAGCCTCCCGAAGTGCTGGGATTACAGGCGGGAGCCACCAGAGAATATGATTTTTAAAAATACCAAGGCTGCATTTTTCATCATTAAGAAGTGTCCAACTAAAGCACATACATAACTTCCACAGAGGTAGAGAAAATGTGAAGTCAATTGTAGTGCACACTCTGGCTGAAGCTAATGTTGGTAGCATGTGTCCAATTTTAAGGCAAAAGGAAAGGAGACGTTTCAGTATAGCTCCCTCAGTACCATGTTTATAGCTGTCTCTAGCAACCAATATTAGAAGTCTGGACTGTATTACCAGTATAGAAAACTAAAAAGATAATGCATAGTCAAGTCACCAAATAGTTTGGAGCTTTTAGAGCACTAGACAAAATCTTGGCCAGGAAGTCACTCTAGTCACTCTTTTAGGAGGTACAGCATCACAGCAATGATGACATGGTTTCATCACATGACTTCAGAACTACAGATAGTAGAGCATGACATGCACTTTGGGAGGCCGAGGCGGGCGGATCACCTGAGGTCAGGAGTTCAAGACCAGCCTGGCCAACATGGCAAAACCCCGTCTCTACTAAAAATACAAAAATTAGCCAGGCATGGCGGTAGGCGCCTGTAATCCCAACTACTTGGGAGGCTGAGGCAGGAGAATCACTTGAACCTGGGAGGCAGAATTTGCAGTGAGCTGAGATGGTGCCACTTCATTCCATCCTGGGCAAAAGAGTGAGACTCCATCTCAAAAAAAAAAAAAAAAAAAAAAAAGAGCATGACATGATACTTGGAAGGGGGATGATGTGATGAGGTCATCCAGTTATGTAAGGCAAACTAGCGAAGTTTGGTAATAATATTAGTATGACCTCAATTTGTACCTACAGTCTTGTTTGGCTGGGTTATCAGGTTACATTTCATTTTCTTTCTTTTTATCCTTCTGATACACTTCCCTTTTATTCGGTGGCTATAGATTTGTGATATTTTAAGATCATGCTCTGTGCAACTCTTGGTAGAGAAAATGGCAATGGTGTCAGAGTGCCCAAGACTGATAGAACCCCTGGGAAAGAAGCGGCAGTCTTAGCAGCAGTGCTGTCTATGTTGCGACAGCAGGAGCAGCAGTGGTTCATTCATTCCTCAATGTTGTGTCACTGCAGCATATGCAGATCAAAGTAAGTGTTCTTAACAATCACTTCCCTGAGGGATGCGAATGACTCTGTTTCTTTCACATAGGGAATTATATATTTATAGAAATAATGAGATAGGACCTACTCAGTTTTTGGTGGGGTGTGTTTATATGCTAGGTTCTAATGCCAATCTACAGGTCTTCCAAACTCAGGTGATTACCACCAGCTAGAGTGAAGAAGAAAGTTGTTCTGATTTATCTTTCCATTGTTCAATAGACAACCCTCAAAAAGCCGAAGGAAGGAAGGAAATCCCTTGTTCTCTATATGCTGATACCAACTGTCATACTATCTAGTCAGACCATTCTCCCATAAATGTTATCAAAAAATTAAACCCATTTAAAAAGGTTGACCAAACTTATTTAAATTGGAGAAGACATTATTTTATTTAAAAAAGAAATGCCTTTCTAACCCCAAGTAAAATATAATCATCAAAAGTTTCCAAGAAAAATGTTCCAATGACAAAGCATTCCATAACTTTTGGAAGACTCTCAGGTGAGCATGTAACTGCTCTGTGCAGTCGCCGTTATTGATTATGTTATATTTGCTTTACTTAGAAACAGAATTCATCTCTCCTATTAAAATAAACATATAAAAGAAAATGTAAAAGGGAAAACATAGCCCTACGTAGAAATAAATATTGCATATAGTTCAAGAGCACAGACATATTGCAGATGATTTATAATACCAAGGACTAGAAAACAAAATTAACCTACCTCTTCTTGAATTGACTCAAAGTCACGAAAAAAGTGTTTTCACAGTTGTCAGGATCTTCTTGACAAGAAGCCCAGCTGAATAAAGCAAAAGAAAAAAATGGCTTGTAATATGAGTTAACATCAAAAGTTTTATGGAATTCCAAACTTGCGTAGATATCTTGACCAAAGAAACTGTAGAAAATAAAATGAAATAGAATGTTACACTGTTCCTTTTTGGGGACTTGAATAAAGTATCTTTTTAAGCTTACATTAAATTTTAACCATGAAATTCACAATTAATGAGAGGTCAGCTTGCCCTGAGGGACTAATCTAAAACAAGAAGTTTAAACATGTGTTGAAAATTCTCTCTCTGATCAAAGAAGCTGTTTTAACAGGAAAGTTTTATTTGTAAGTAAAGCTATGACATTTAAAAATGGTATTCATACATAACAGAGGAGAGTGAAGTATAAGCATGGGATCATCAGGACAAGAATAAAACAGAAAGCAAGAGATATTAAAGCAGAACTTTGTAATATCTTAACTAAGCATTTAAATATTCTAGTTGAATTGGCAAAGCTCTTTCTATAGTGAGTAGAAGCTTCCCCAAACTTTTATGGCTCAATTTTAGTCTTGGTAATTTGACTTCCATACAGTTGGCAAGATTACTCACAGAGTAAGAAAGAATATTTCTTAACTATAGCAGATAAAGATAGAATTTAAAATATATATGTATACATACTAAAGCAAGATTCTGATGTTCAACTTCCCTTTAATGTGACCCAAGGACAGAATGCTCTGATAATTTGGATTTCAGTTACTCTGGTTTTGTAGTTGTTTCTCATAAATAAATTTACTCTCATATTTGTATGAGTTTTCTGATGACCTCTACTTTTGGGCACTGAAAGCTGGTCTTTGAAGGAACACAGCCAGACCATAGAGTTTTAGGCCCAGCCAAACTTCAGCAGGCTTTTCTGTGGACACCAGCACTGGCCTTCATCTGCTTGTTTGCTACGTATTTCTTAACTTATACGTATTATTTATGGTTACTATAGGTTGTGCAACTTTAAATTGTCATAACAACATTGCCATATTGAAGTACTAAATTGAAGTTTCCAATTTTTTTTCCAAGGGTAATATTTGTTGAAAGGACACTTTCAAATAGAACCTTTATGTGTTGTTTTCTTCCTCTATTCCTCTATTCAGCAAATATATGTTGAATGCCTGTTGTGTCATAGAAATACGGCTCAACAATGGCAATACAACAGTGACCAAGTTAGAAAGAGAACAATGTCTCAGTTCATGACCTCGTAGTTGACACAGATTATTAAAAACACAATCTGTGGGATGCTGTGTAATTACTGAGTTTGGTAGGTCAGTGAAATTTTAGTAGAGGAAGTGATGCATCAAAGCTAAGAACAAAAGGATGAGTAGAAGTTAGCTAGGAAGGAACACAAGTGGAGTGACCATTTATTAAATGTAACATATTCTCTAATATACCACGTGTCAAACTTAGCCTCTGAGGACACAGTAGTGGACCAAACATACCAGATCTCTATTCTCCTGGATTATTTGGATTCTCCTTAGGGAGTCAAACAAAAATCAACTAAAAACCCTGTAAGTAATTTTAAATGGCAACCATGCCATGAAGAACTATAACTGGGTTGCAGTACACTTTTTTTTTTTTGCCTCCCCAGCATCTATTTGCTCTGATTTTTTTTGGCTGGGGGTCAGGGGGATTTACTCTTTACATATGTAGCTTATAAACTTCTGGGGAAGCTGATGGATGTTTCCTCTCTTACCCTGTATGAACGTATTTGTTCTAAAAGCAATTCCATCTCTTTGCAAACAATCAGCTGAGTGATTCAGTTCAAAGCAATGAAGTCAGGAATGGTAATGTAACACAATTCTAGCCAATGAAATACGAGGGGACACTATTCAAACCTCTAGGGGAAAAGTTGTCTCACTCTTAAGAGAAAGCCACTGGGAAGAAAATGGCTTCTTTGCTCTTGTGTTTGTGATGCCTAGAGCTGCCCTATCCCTGAGTGGCTGAGAAGATCTCAGAGAAATAAGGCTATGATTGAGCCATGTCAATTCCCCCCTGCCTCTGGATATTTGCTGTGTAAGCCAGTGATCACAATTGTATAAATCAATGCCACTCTGGATTTCTGTTACTCATTGAAATCATTGTGAATGAAACCAGAGAAAATGTTTAATGTGTTAGAAAAAAGAGTCAGTGAAAGAACACAAGACAGGGTAGGTTCTACTTTAGACTACCTGGTCAAGAACCTTCATTCTGAAGAGGTGATATTTAAGCTGAGACAATAAGCCATCCATGATAAGCCCTGGGAACAGACTCTTCCAGGAAGCAAAAAGAACAATTCAACACTCAAAAGATTCAGTTGAAAAAACTGAAGGTGTACAACTAGATTTGAGCCATGTCCTGATGATAAAAAGCTTGTGAGTCTTGTGGAGAGGTTTAACTCACTCAAAACCGCTCAACTGCATGGAAACTGAACAACCTGCTCCTGAATGACTATTGGGTACATAACAAAATGAAGGCAGAAATAAAGATGTTCTTTGAAACCAACGAGAACAAACACACAACATACCAGAATCTCTGGGACACATTCAAAGCAGTGTGTAGAGGGAAATTTATAGCACTAAATGCCCACAAGAGAAAGCAGGAAAGATCCAAAATTGACACTCTAACATCACAATTAAAAGAACTAGAAAAGCAAGAGCAAACACATTCAAAAGCTAGCAGAAGGCAAGAAATAACTAAAATCAGAGCAGAACTGAAGGAAATAGAGACACAAAAAACGCTTCAAAAAATTAATGAATCCAGGAGCTGGTTTTTTGAAAGGATCAACAAAATTGATAGACTGCTAGCAAGACTAATAAAGAAGAAAAGAGAGAAGAATCAAATAGACGCAATAAAAAATGATAAAGGGGATATTACCACTGATCCCACAGAAATACAAACTACCATCAGAGAATACTATAAACACCTCTACGCAAATAAACTAGAAAATCTAGAAGAAATGGATAAATTCCTCGACACATACACCCTCCCAAGACTAAACCAGGAAGAAGTTGAATCTCTGAATAGACCAATAACAGGCTCTGAAATTGTGGCAATAATCAATAGCTTACCAACTAAAAAGAGTCCAGGACCAGATGGATTCACAGCCAAATTCTACCAGAGGTACAAAGAGGAACTGGTACCATTCCTTCTGAAACTATTCCAATCAATAGAAAAAGAGGGAATCCTCCCTAACTCATTTTATGAGGCCAGCATCATCCTGATACCAAAGCGCGCAGAGACACAACCAAAAAAGAGAATTTTAGACCAATATCCTTGATGAACATTGATGCAAAAATCCTCAATAAAATACTGGCAAACCGAATCCAGCAGTACATCAAAAAGCTTATCCACCATGATCAAGTGGGCTTCATCCCTGGGATGCAAGGCTGGTTCAATATATGCAAATCAATCAATGTAATCCAGCATATAAACAGAACCAAAGACAAAAACCACATGATTATCTCAATAGATGCAGAAAAGGCCTTTGACAAAATTCAACAACCCTTCATGCTAAAAACTCTCAATAAATTAGGTATTGATGGGACATATCTCAAAATAATAAGAGTTATCTATGACAAACCCACAGCCAATATCATACTGAATGGGCAAAAACTGGAAGCATTTCCTTTGAAAACTGGCACAAGACAGAGATGCCCTCTCTCACCCCTCCTATTCAACATAGTGTTGGAAGTTCTGGCCAGGGCAATTAGGCAGGAGAAGGAAATAAAGGGTATTCAATTAGGAAAAGAGGAAGTCAAATTGTCCCTGTTTGCAGATGACATGATTGTATATCTAGAAAACCCCATTGTCTCAGCCCAAAATCTCCTTAGGCTGATAAGCAACTTCAGCAAAGTCTCAGGATACAAAATCAGTGTACAAACATCACAAGCATTCTTATACATTAATAACAGACAAACAGAGAGCCAAATCATGAGTGAACTCCCATTCACAATTGCTTCAAAGAGAATAAAATACCTAGGAATCCAATTTACAAGGGACGTGAAGGACCTCTTCAAGGAGAACTACAAACAACTGCTCAGTGAAATAAAAGAGGATACAAACAAATGGAAGAACATTCCATGCTCATGGGTAGGAAGAATCAATATCGTGAAAATGGCCATACTGCCCAAGGTAATTTATAGGTTCAGTGCTATCCCCATCAAGCTACCAATGACTTTCTTCACAGAATTGGAAAAAACTACTTTAAAGTTCATATGGCACCAAAAAAGAGCCCGCATCACCAAGTCAATCCTAGCCAAAAGAACAAAGCTGGAGGCATCATGCAACCTGACTTCAAACTATACTACAAGGCTACAGTAACCAAAACAGCATGGTACTGGTACCAAAACAGAGATATAGATCAATGCAACAGAACAGAGCCCTCAGAAATAACGCCACGTATCTACAACTATCTGATCTTTGACAAACCTGAGAAAAATAAGCGATGGGGAAAGGATTCCCTATTTAATAAATGGTGCTGGGAAAACTGGCTAGCCATATGTAGAAAGCTGAAACTGGGTCCCTTCCTTACACCTTATACAAAAATTAATTCAAGATGGATTAAAGACTTAAACATTAGACCTAAAACCATAAAAACCCTAGAAGAAAACCTAGGTATTACTGTGTCCGGAATCGGTGGGTTCTTGGTCTCACTGACTTCAAGAATGAAGCTGCGGACCCTCGCGGTGAGTGTTACAGCTCTCAAGGTGGCACATCTGGAGTTTGTTCCTTCTGATGTTCAGATGTGTTTGGAGTTTCTTCCTTCTGGTGGGTTCATGGTCTAGCTGGCTCAGGAGTGAAGCTGCAGACCTTCGCGGTGAGTGTTACAGCTCTTAAGGTGGCGTGTCTGGAGTTGTTCGTTCCTCCTGATGGGCTCGTGGTCTCGCTGGCTTCAGGAGTGAAGCTGCAGACTTCTGCAGTGAGTGTTACAGCTCATAAAAGCAGCGTGAACCCAAAGAGTGAGCAGCAACAAGATTTATTACAAAGAGAGAAAAAACAAAGCTTCCACAGTGTGGAAGGGGACCCGAGTGGGTTGCCACTGCTGGCTTGGGCAGCCTGCTTTTATTCTCTTATCTGGCCCCACCCACATCCTGCTGATTGGTAGAGCGGAGTGGCCTGTTTTGTCAGGGCGCTGATTGGTGCATTTACAATCCCTGAGCTAGATACAAAGGTTCTCCTTGTGCCCATCAGATTAGTTAGATACAGAGTGTCGACACAAAGGTTCTCCAAGGCCCCACCAGAATAGCTAGATACAGAGTGTCGATTGGTGCACTCACAAACCCTGAGCTAGACACAGGGTGCTGATTGGTGTGTGTACCAACCTTGAGCTAGATACAGAGTGCCGATTGGTGTATTTACAATCCCTGAGCTAGACATAAAGACTCTCCACGTCCCCACCAGACTCAGGAGCCCAGCTGGCTTCACCCAGTGGATCCCGCACCAGGGCTGCAGGTGGAGCTGCCTGCCAGTCCTGCACCATGTGCTCGCACTCCTCAGCCCTTGGGCAGTCGATGGGACTGGGTGCTGTGGAGCTGGGGGCAGCACTCGCTGGGGAGGCTCGGGCTGCACAGGAACCCACAGAGGCGGGGGAAGGCTCAGGCATGGTGGGCTGCAGGTCCCGAGCCCTGCCCCGCGGGAAGGCAGCTAAGGCCCGGTGAGAAATCGAGTGCAGGGTCGGTGGGCTGGCACTTCTGGGGAACCCAGTACACCCTGCGCAGCCGCTGGCCCAGGTGCTAAGTCCCTCATTGCCTGGGGCCAGCAGGGCCAGCCGGCTGCTCCGAGTGCAGGGCCCTCCAAGCCCATGCCCACCCGGAACTCCAGCTGGCCCACAAGCGCCGCACACAGCCCCGCTTGCACCTCTCCCTCCACACCTCCCTGCAAGCTGAGGGAGTGGGCTCTGGCCTTGGCCAGCCCAGAAAGGGGCTCCCACAGTGCAGTGGTGGGCTGAAGGGCTCCTCAAGTGCTGCCAAAGTGGGAGCCCAGGCAGAGGAGGCGCCGAGAGCGAGCAAGGGCTGTGAGGACTGCCAGCATGCTGTCACCTCTCATTACCATTCAGGACATAGGCATGGGCAAGGACTTCATGTCTAAAACACCAAAAGCAATGGCAACAAAAGCCAAAATTGACAAATGGGATCTAATTAAACTAAAGAGCTTCTGTACAGCAAAAGAAACTACCATCAGAGTGAACAGGCAACCTACAAAATGGGAGAAAATTTTCGCAACCTACTCATCTGACAAAAGGCTAATATCCAGAATCTACAATGAACTCAAACAAATTTACAAGAAAAAACAAACAACCCCATCGAAAAGTGGGTGAAGGACATGAACAGACACTTCTCAAAAGAAGACATTTATGCAGCCAAAAAACACATGAAAAAATGCTCACCATCACTGGCTATCAGAGAAATGCAAATCAAAACCACAATGAGATACCATCTCACACCAGTTAGAATGGAGATCATTAAAAAGTCAGGAAACAACAGGTGCTGGAGAGGATGTGGAGAAACAGGAACACTTTTACACTGTTGGTGGGACTGTAAACTAGTTCAACCATTGTGGAAGTCAGTGTGGCGATTCCTCAGGGATCTAGAACTAGAAATACCATTTGACCCAGCCATCCCATTACTGGGTATATACCCAAAGGACTATAAATTATGCTGCTATAAAGACACATGCACACGTATGTTTATTGCAGCACTATTCACAATAGCAAAGACTTGGAACCAACCCAAATGTCCAACAATGATAGACTGGATTAAGAAAATGTGGCACATATACACCATGGAATACTATGCAGCCATAAAAAATGATGAGTTCATGTCCTTTGTAGGGACATGGATGAAATTGGAAATCATCATTCTCAGTAAACTATCACAAGAACAAAAAACCAAACACCGCATATTCTCACTCACAGGAGGGAATTGAACAATGAGAACACATGGATACAAGAAGGGGAACATCACACTCTGGGGACTGTTGTGGGGTGGGGGAAGCGGAGAGGGATAGCTTTAGGAGATATACCTAATGCTAAATGATGAGTTAATGGGTGCAGCACACCAGCAGGGCACATGTATACATATGTAACTAACCTGCACATTGTTCACATGTACCCTAAAACTTAAAGTATAATTAAAAAAAAAAAGATTCATTTTAAGAGCCATTAAAACATTTGAAGTTTGTGGATGACAACGTATTTTCTTTTTTGTTCTGTGTAATACTAAATCTGATGTTTACAATTACTGTTAAAATGTGTTATTTAGTTTACAGAGACCATATTTCATTTTACAGTGGTAAGAAAATTAAAATGGAATTAACATCATTCTTTCTTATGGCATGCAAATTTGTTCAAAAGCATTTGATGACGGGAATTTCTTACAGAACACAATGACATTAAATGAGCAAAACGAGTTAGTAAGTAAAAATTCAAAAGAGTACAATTTTAATGAAAATAAAATCTAGACAATTTGTCTTATTTTTAAGTAATACGGTAATCAAAATAAAATTGTAGGCTATTGCTGTCAAAGGGTGTTTTTGCTCTAAATCCATTTATTTTCCAAGACTCTGTTGTACTAAGAATAGGGTAATTGAGATAAGTAAGAAGGCATGGCTGAAAGAATTAGAAATAAACTTACTGGAAAAATTTAAAATAGCTTTCCTAAATTCTCACATTTCTACTCTTAAGAAACTATATGTCATAAATATGTTTCTTTCATTATGCATATATTCACTAAAATATTCACCATGGAAACGTATTAATTTCTACACACATTTACCAAGTTCCTCTATGTGCAATGCAATATGCTAGGGACTTCGAAGTGTGCACACACACACACACACACACACACAACAGACTTAAAAATAATATAAAGTAGAATGAGACATCATTTTGAAAGAGGAATAAAAAAGGATTTCCGAGATCACTTTTGATAGTGAATAAGAAAAGGCATCACGAAGAGGCATTTGAAAAGTCTTCAAACATAAGCCAGGTACTTACAGGTCAGGCAGAAGTGTTCTAAGTAATTTTAACTTAAATATTGGATTTTGGGGGCATAGTGTCATGACTATAGGATCATTTATGTCTAATTTACCGCCTACTAATCTTAGGGAACAAGTCATATTTGGCCTTACCATAGGGAGCTATAATTGTCCATGTAGCCACTGATGCCCTATATACATGAAGGTTAAATATCAGAAATATATTTCCTGATGCCAAGAAATTCATAATATGATGAAAATCCGTAGAGGAAAAACAGGGTCTTGATGATTTTAATGCACTCATCTTCTTAGGGTAACTCTTACAGGAATAAAGATTATAGAGACCGTGAGTAGCCAGAGAAGCAGTGAGGTGTACAGTAAAAGAATTACAGTTGTAATTCTGCCACAATGCCTGTACGATCTTGTCTCTTTGCCACCATTAATTTTAATGTTATCATTTGTAAAATAGAAGTTATATAATACATACAAAGTTTAAGATACAAATGAGAAAATGTGTGAAAGTATTTTTTCTTTTAGTAGATATGGTCTTGCTATGTTGCCCAGGCTGGCCTTTAACTCTTATGTTCAATCCATCCTTTCACCTCAGCCTCCTGAGTAAGCTGGAACTACAGGTGCATGACACTAGGCCTGGTTTGATGGTACTTTTTAAGCTCTAGAATTGTCCTGTTCAATATGGTAGTCACTGGCCATGTGTGGTTATTTACATTAATTAAAATGAAATAAGATGTAAAACTAAGTTCCTTAGTCATAGTAGCTATATGTCAAGTCATTAGTAGCCATATGTGGCTAGTGGCTACCATATTGGACTGCATGAACATAGAATATTTATGTCATCACAGAGAGTTATATTGGACAGCACTGCTCTAGGTTACAGTACAAATATTCATTGCTCTTTCTACCTATTTTCATGATCACAGAATAAGATGTTATGGTCAATAAATGAACATTTTTAGGTAGAAAATATCCTCATGCCTGTAATCCCAGCATTCTGGGAAGCTGAGGTGGGAAGATTGCTTTAACCTAGGAGTTTGAGACCAGCCTGGGCAACATAGCGAGACCCTGCCTCTATAAAAAAATAAAAGTTAGCTGAGCATAATGGCATGCACCTGTAGTGCCAACTACTTGGGAAGCTGAGGCCAGAGCATCACTTGAGCCCAAAAGTTTGAGACTGCATTGAGCCATGATTGTGCCACTGTACTGGGGCCTGGGTGACAGAGTTAGATCTCATCTCTAAAAATAAATGAATAAAGAAATAAATATTAAAAAATAAAAAAACAGAAAACATCTAGATGCCGGATAAGTGTTGCAAAATCTATCTTTATAAGAAAATATTCTGCCAATAAATTGCTAACCATACATTCCAATGTATTAATTTTCTCAGGTATTTCAATTGTTTTGGGGGGGATTCCATGAAGAAATAATCACATTTTCAGACTCAGAAAACTACAATGGGTACTACAAACCATTCTGTAGTCACAAGGTAAAGCTAGAAATCATATCAAGTTTTAGAACATGCTTCAAACACTGACGCATATTAAAAAAGAAATCGGCCGGGTGCAGTGGCACACGCCTGTAATCCCAGCACTTTGGGAGGCCAAGGCGGGTGGATCACGAGGTCAGGAGATCGAGACCATCTTGGCTAACACAGTGAAACTCCGTCTCTACTAAAAATACAAAAAATTAGCCAGGCGCAGTGGCGGGCACCTGTAGTCCCAGGTACTAGGGAGGCTGAGGCAGGAGAATGGTGTGAACCTGGGAGGTGGAGCTTGCAGTGAGCTGAGATGGCGCCACTGCACTCCAGCCTGGGTGACAGAGCGAGCCTCCGTCTCAAAAAAAAAAAAAAAAAAAAAAAAAAAAAGAAAAAAAAGAAAAGAAATCAATGTCATAACATTCACAATACAAAAGTGTACAGATCTTATGCCTACAGCTGGATGAAGTTTTGCTTCTATACACACCCACCACAACATCCACTTCCCATAAGGCTGCCTTGTAATCCTCCCACTCAATACAATTCCTCCCAACATATATAACCACTAGTCTGACTTCAGTATTTGTGACTTGTTCTTGACTTCAGATAGATGACATTATATAGTATATATTATTTTTTGTTTGGCTTATTTTACTCAGTATGATGTTCGTGAGATGAGGCTATGTTCTTATAAACAATAATAACTAATTATTTTCCGAAAGTGAGACAGATTTTGATACTAAGCTCTCCTGTTAGGTGGAAGTAAGGTCCTCACCCAGAGAAGAAAGTATAGTTGCCTAACTGATTTTGATGCTTAGAAAAAAACAGTTGATACACACAGTTGTAATGTGTATTGGCTGTACATATGGTTAAAAACTTGCTTGAGGAAATAGATTTATTTTTCTGCTGTTTGTGTCCCCCTTAAAGTGCAGAAGTTTCCCAAACATCATTGTTCTTAGCCTTAAAAACTGCACTGAAAGCTTATTCTTCAAGGAGGCCATCATCTTTTTAGAATGATGATGATTACCTGCAACTTCAAGCCGTCTATGGATTTCTAGCTCCCCAAAACTGAGGATTTTTCTCTATAGAAATAGCACTTGAAGGCAGTGAACATGAAAGGTCTTCAGCAAACCTAGGGTTTTCAGATCTTCTTGTCGTTTGTATAAAAGCAGTTATATTTTTTTAAATTCCCTTAAAGACTACATAATGATCATTTAGTTTCCTTTTGAATATAAAATTATCTAAACATTAGATAAGAACAGGTCTGAGGTTTTATTCCAGCGTAGAACAGGGCACACAAATAGTTACCATTTGTTAATATGTGCCAAGTATTCTGATACTCTACATAATCTTAAAATCCTTCCTACCCCCTCTTGCACACCAGTGAGATTTTAAGATAAGAATTAGTTTTCCATTTATAAATGGAGAAACAAAGTTCAGGGAGCTTAAGTAATCTCCCCAAATGAGGTCAACATTAGAGCCTGGCTTCCAACTCTATTTGACACAAAGCCACGATGGCAGATGTCTATTGTTCCTATGTGTTTTCCTGCAAGGGTATGGAAAGTGTATAGGTTTTAAAGAAATATTATAGATTCTGTGCACTTTAACATCTGGGTTTATATACAATGCCTATTCTTCTGATATCAGAATCAAATTTTTTAGAAAGAGAATTTATCTAATCGTAAATGCTGAAGTCTAATGCTGGCAAAATAGGAATGATTTTAAAATAGTGTTACCAAAATAGATCAAGTATAGAAAGTTGAGAATTTTGTAGATCCCAAGTAATGTTTGCACATTTTTCTAATTTGTAGACTATTTGTTTATCTTGTTGTAAAATGTGAAAAAGTATCCTTTAAAGTTATGTACCAGTGCAGAGTTTCCAAGTTTCTTTTTTATTGTGCTAGAAAAAATGTTTTCCCTTATTGTGGAACAAAGAAATAGTAAAGCCATGGAAATTAGGACTTTCATTTCATTCACTTAATTTTTTTACATATTGGATGGTAAAATTTAAGATTAACACATGTAGTTATCACCCCCTACCATAATAGTCAGACACAGCCTAATCCAAAGGTGGGAGAAGTGGGTTAAAGTAGGTCGGAAAAGTCAAGGTAATTAATGCAGAACATACAAAATCAAATGTTGCCAATAAGTTGACACAATTCAGGCCTCTATTTCAGGAGGAAAAATTCTTTAAAAATGTTTTTAAAGATACAGGCATGAAAAAATATCTTTTGTCATGTCAGTTTCTCAGGGAGTTTAACAGCTATTAGATACATAATGTTATGCTTAGTAACTACAAATTTATGAGTTAAAGACTAAGCTATTGTCTTAGGAATTTTAGGATTCACTTTGTAGGAAACCTTGAGAATAAGAATATAGGAGAAATTATATTTCTTTCTTTCATATAGTATCTTTTCCTCCATTTCTAAACTTTTAATTATTGTCTGAGGTTTAGAACAGTTTTAACCTGGCTTCTTCCAGACAAATGAAGTCTCTGGAAATAACTAGGTAGAACTGTTTTATAAATGTGCTGTTGGATATGGGCAGTGAAGTAAGTAAAAAAAATGTGCTGTTGGATGTGGGTAGGGAAGTAAGTGACCAGGGACTTGTTAACCAAGCCTATCTTCCCTGAAAAATACCCTTCATTAATCTCAGAGAATACTAAATCAGTGAATCTGATATGGAAATATGTTTTACTAATTCAAATAATTGCCATGATATTTACATAGTAACTGACTTTTTAAGAAAATTCAGCAAATAATTAATGAAAAGGGGAGTTCTCTCTTTTAACGCTTCAAGGGGAGAAAAAAGGACATAGCAATGCAGTGAGCCAAAGAACCTTAAAAGAAATCAGCTTCAGATAAGTGCCCTGAAGAACAACTTTATTTCCATTGGAGATCTTATTGAGTTGCTTTGTTTGACTGTGGAAAAGATTTTTATTTCTGAGATTTAGGAAGGCACATTTCCAGAAAAGACAGTTCTTGTGGCTTAATTGATCTCTCAGAAGGAGTGTGTTTCAGTTTAGGAGGCCAGAGTGTATTTTCTGTTGGATCAGACTCTCAAGCAGACATTTATGGGGGAATTCTTCCATTCTACTCTCAGCTGCTAGGCCAGTTGGTTAGATTTTGCTGCCAGTGAGTCAAAGGTCATAAGTCTAATACTTGAACAGATCACTTTGCTTTACACAGAGAAAGCTCTGTAACAAAGACATAGATTACAGCCTTATCCCTGCCAGCGCCAGCTGGGTTTCAAGTGTGAGGCTATTCCCATAAGAGGGACTGGACTCTTCAAAGACCTGATGGGTCCCCCAACAAGCAGTGTAAATTCTTTTGCTCAAATTATTTTTTCCAAAATGTAAAGAAACCAATCACACACAAAAAATGGAATTCAATCTTTAGGGTTTTTTGAGAAAATTATTATTAATGCAAATCAACTTTAAAAAAATGACATCTAAAATTTTAACTGGAATGTATATTTTTTCAAGTTTTTTTTTAAGTGGACTAGATTTTTTGTGAGGGTATAAGTAATAGTTTTATTTGCAGTCTAAGACATTAAAGTGAAGATGTTCAACAACAACAAAAAAATCAATAGTTTTAGAAGAGTATTTTAAAATTGTATCCATATGTGGTGAATTTTAGAAATGTGTGACTTATTTATGCCATAAACTTGTAATGTATTTATCCATTACCATCTCTGAAACTATTTCACTTAATTAAATCAGTATTTTGTCAGTTCTACTTGGGGGTATTTTGTTTTTTACCTCATTTATGTACTGTAAAATTTTAATGTATAAGAATATAAAATATAGAGAAGTGAATAGTACTTGAGATTGGTCTTGACTTAACCACACACATCTGTCATGTAACTGGTAACTGATCATATTAATTATATCTCTCAAGCAGCTCTGGAAACTGACATTCTCATATCTAATACACTGTCCGTACTTTAGCCTCTTATAATCCCTCACCTGAATTTCCTAATATTCTCCTGTTTATATGTTTGCCTCCAAAGTCACAATCATCTTTCCAGACACAAATTTCACTGTGTCATTTCCTAGCTCCCTGTTCTCTGTAGAGTAAGTGTGAGACTCCTCTTGACCCATGTGTCATCAAGCTCGGCTAGGTCTCTATGACCTAGTTACATTAAACTAGTTGCAGTTCCCTTAATGTGCTTGCTGGCTAATAGTTCCATTCATTTACATGCTGTTTGAAATCTGTATTTGTCTCTCCAGCAGTCATCCCCAACCCCTTCTTCTTTGCAAAACAACTGATTCTTCTGCTTCCTCGCTATAGCATTCGGGCCCCTCCACATCTCCCAGGGATGAATCTTGATTAGTCTAAGCTCATCATGATGCTTCCCTCTCCTCTCCTTGTCAGTGATTACTTCTAGTATAAGCATGTGAGCATTTGAGTCTGAGGAACAGTCTTCTAAAGGCTTCTAATAAATTCTCCCTTACTCTTCTTTTTTTATCTGTCTGTCTGTCTATCTATCTATCTATCTATCATCTATCTATCTATCTATTTTTTGAGGCAGAGTCTCTCTCTGTCACCCAGGCTGGAGTGCCGTGGTGCGATCTCGGCTCACTGCAACCCCTGCCTCCTGCGTTCAAGCGATTCTCCTGCCTCAGCCTCCTGAAAAGCTGGGACTACAGGTGCCCACCACCATGCCTGGCTAATTTTTTTTTTTTTTTTTTTGTATTTTTAGTAGAGACAGGGTTTCACCGTGCTAGCCAGGATGGTCTCGATCTCTGGACCTCGTGATCCACCTGCCTCAGCCTCCCAAAGTGCTGGGATTACAGGCGTCAGCCACCGCACCCAGCCTAAGGCTACATAGTTTTAAAATATTGTTATAACATCTTACATTGGTTAAAAAAAATAAAACCCTTTTGCCTTTTCAAAGCTCTTCCTAGACATAATTACATTTTGTTTTTCACAATGTCCTTACATGTAGGGGAGAGCAGCATGTTTATATACATTTTCCCGGTAAGATTTACTCAGTCATAGAAAGAATAAGTCACTTGCCCAAAGGATTGAATTCACATGAGCCTCCTTTTCAAAATACCAGAGACTTTTCTCAGGTCAGTTCTCTTTCTAGTTCACTGCAAATGGATGTGGCACTTAATGTTTGGTATATATCAGAATCACCTGAGACGTTGTTTAGACACAGATACAGGCTCCACTCCAGCCATAGATAATCGGGATCTCTGGTGGTCAGAGCCTTGGTACATGAATTATTGCACAGAGATCGAATGAGGTCAGTAAGGCCCACAGCTCTAATAGACACCCCTGCATCAGAATCACGTGATATTCTTGTTAAGAATGCTGGTTCCTGCACCTAACTAAACTTTCTTAACCAGACTTACTGGGTTGATTTGGGACCAAAGAAACTGTGCTTTTGAAAGTTTATCAGGTGATGGATATACAAGTTTTAGAACCACTATTCTATGACTTCATTTTTACACTGTTCTACTTTTTCACAGCTGCCATTGCCTACTCTGACCATGATTTATTTTCCCCAGGTCATGACCATTGTTGCAGTAAGACTGACACCTGTCATTTTTGCTGCCTGTCCATCAAGACAGGCCACTTTCAAAAACTTTTCAGGTGTTCTTTCTAGAAATAGCTAAGCAGGCAAGATAAATACAAATGTTCTAAGAGTTAACTTTACTATCTGTATTGTAGCTTGCAAGGCAAGGTTAATCTCACTGTCATGTCTGCTTTCTATTTTGATAGATGTTGTGGTGGTTTCTATATCCCCATACATGGGTGCTGCATCATGAGAATTTAGTTTATGGAATTCGATTCTACTTGCTTGGCAAGTAGAATAAGAGAAAAAATTATTCACCATGTCGTGTTTAAATATTTTGCTTGATGCATAGTGTCGTATAAGACCCCCACTAACCTCAGCAGGGATGGCACCATATTTGAGAGGCCAAAGAAGAGACTCAGAGCCAGTAAACAAGATATAGGGTTCTATTAGCGGGTAACTTACAGGGACGGTCTAGTGACAGCAGGATGGAGAGGAGAACCGTAAATGCTTACAAAAAGCATTCAGTTTATATAGCATTTTCATTTAGCACCCTCAGCCTAACAACTTCCACCTGGCAACCTTCATTTACCCCCCCCACTCCAAAACAAAGGCCTGGATCTCCATACAGTCTGAGTTCCATAGAACAAGGAGGGGGTCCAGGTGTTCGTCATAGGTAAAAAATGGATCTTCGGGTTGGCCACTCCCAGATTCCTTAGCTCAAAACTCAGATCATACATTTAGGTGTGTCTGCCACACAGGGTCATTCTCGGATATGCTTAAGTTATTGCTGTCAGATGCATCTGCCATACACATAGTAAGTAGTCAGTTGTATTAATTTTATATTATTGCATAAAAACTTACCACAGGCTTAGCCCCTAAAAACTGCCCACTTCATTTTCTTCTAGTTTTCATGGGTCAAGAGTCTAGGCATAGCTTAACTGGGTCTTCTGCTCAGAGCCTCATAAAGGTGCAGTCAAGTGTCAGCCAGGGATTGTTCTCAGCAGATAAAGGCTGCCCTCTAGTTTTGCCACACAGGCCCCCCACATAATATAGCCATCCTCAAGGCCAGCAGGAAAGATCTCTATGACCTCTAGGTCCTCTTTTAAAGGTCACATTTGATTAGGTCAGGCTCACCCAGGAAATATCGCTTTTGATTAACTTAAAATCCACTCATTAGTGGCTTGCATTACATCTGCAAAATCTTCTTACCTTTACCTTCTGATGTAACCTAATCGTGGAAGTTAAATCCATCAAATTGACAAGCTTCACCTGTACTTAAGGCCTATAACTAGCCTCAGGACATGTACACCAGGGGACAGGAAACTTGGAGACCATCTTAAAATTCTGCCTACTGCCTCAATAAATGTTTGTTAATTGTGGAATCTTGTTTTGCATTGTTTATTTTTAAATTAAATACATGTAAATGTAAAAATAAAAAAATCCAAGAAGACAAAAATGTATATAATGGAAATGTGTCTATCTCTAACCACTAAATTTTAGTCCCCTTCCATGCTTGCTGGCAATAATATTTTAAAAAATTCTTACATAGGCTTCCAGATTATTCTATGTATCTGTGTGCTATAACTGATTTGCATACTATTTGTTTTTCCATTTAATCTTTAAGATATATCATTAGCAGCACATACAAGTCTACCACATAAATGCATCTATGTGTTTGCACTGAATATTATTCATTTGCACACATGGATTTTAAAATATGTGACTAGTCCTGTATTGACAAAATACAAGTATCTACTCTTTTATTATTGCAAATATTTTCACTATTTGTGTGCCTTTGTGCATACGTGTTCATATATCATGGGAGAAATTCCCAGAAGAATTGCTGCTTTAAATAGTAAGTGCTCTTAGTAGTCTGATAAATATTGACTTTTTTTCAAAGATATATATCAAGTTACAGTTCCAGTTTCCTTACATTCTTAATGATACTGCATTAGAAAATGTTTAGCTTTACCAATCTGACGGTTGAGGAAACATATTACATTATTGCCATAACTTGTGTTTCCTTAAGAGCATGGTTGAGTACCGTTTGATATGTTTCAAAGGCATTCTATTTCTTTTTTTCATAAGTTGCCTCTTTATATTCTTTACTAACTTTTATTCAATGGCATTTCTTTTCCCTGGCACATAGCAGAATACTCAAGGATTATGTATCCCAGTGTGGGAAGCAGGAAGTATACTATTCTAATAACTTCAAAGCATAATGAGTCATGTGAGTATTTAAGATGTAAGGAAAATTCATGATTGGAGTTTCCATCCAATTGGATATGGGTTCTTCACTTCCAACTCTTTCCTCACTCCCTTCTGCTTTACCCAAGTAGATTCCCAGTTCCTGTAGGTAGGTAGCTATACATATATACGTATCATTTGCACTTCCTATATATATAGCTACATATATATATATATATATATATATATATTTTTTTTTTTTTTTTTGAGACAGAGTCTTGCTCTGTCACCAGGCTGGAGTGCAGTGACACGATCTCGGCTCATTGCAACCTCCAGTTCCCTGGTTCAAGTGATTCTCCTGCCTCAGCCTCCCAAGTAGCTGGGATTACAGGCATGCACCACCACATCCAGCTAATTTTTGTATTTTTAGTAGAGACGGTGTTTATCCATGTTGGCCAGGATGGTCTTGATCTCCTGACCCCGAGATCGGCCCACCTTTGCCTCCCAAAATGATGGGATTACACGCATGAGCCACTGCACCCGGCCAGTAGATAGCTTTAAAAAAGATTATGCTGGCTGGGCGCGGTGGCTCACGCCTGTAATCCTAGCACTTTGGGAGGCTGAGGCAGGCGGATCACGAGATCAAGACCATCCTGGCTAACATGGTGAAACCCCGTCTCTACTAAAAGTACGAAAAAGTTAGCCAGGCGAGGTGGTGGGCACCTGAAGTCCCAGCTACTTCGGAGGCTGAGGCAGGAGAATGGCGTGAACCTGGGAGGCGGAGCTTGCAGTGAGCGGAGATCTTGCCACTGCACTCTAGCCTGGAAGACAGAGTGAGACTCTGCCTCAAAAAAAAAAAAAAAAAAAGGGGGGGGTTATGCTGAAACAAATAATGAGCACAAAGAAAATCTGCCTTTAAATTTCAGTTGTGATGTTTGCTAGCTTACATGATGTAAAATAGGTGTGCACGAAATAAGTAAATTAAGTATTTAAAGAAAATAAGTCTTTTCATTTTTTACTACTGGTTTAGTTTCTGATGCAAGAATATTTCAAAAATTCTGATAAATTTTAATCTACAAATGTAGCAAATGAGGTAGCATACATAACCATATATAAAAATTTAATCTATAAGTGCAACAAATGAGGAAGTGCAAGTGATATGTGTCCCCACCCAAATCTCATGTCAAACTGTAATCCCCAATGTTGGACGAGGGACCTGGTGCAAGGTGACTGGATCATGGGAGCAGATCTTCCCCTTGCTGTTCTCATGATAATGAGTTCTCACAAGATCTGGTTGTTTAAAAGTGTGTATCATTTCTCCCTTCACTTTATTCCTCCTGTGCCAGTCACATAAGACATGCCTGCTTCCTCAGTCATTATTACTTGTCTGGAGGCAAAACATAAACAATACCATAAAATATGTTTAAAAATTTGACATTCTCAATGATATTAATATGCAAGATCTTCAATAATTTATTTTCTTAATCTACTCATAACATTCAATGGTCTCACCAATGTGAGCTTAAAATTGCTTATTCTGAAAGTTTTATAAATAAGTAAATACAATGAAAAATAAGCTTCTTGTCTATGACGACACGATAAATAAAAGCAGATGTTCAAATGGGAGACACCTGAAGAGACAAGTTAGTCCAATGGATAGGAGCGAAGGAAACTGCCCCTTTGTAAAGATTGAGGAAAAGAGTGTAAAATTATGCTCTCATTACACTCATGCTGTTACTAAGGCCTACAGAGAGAAGGTATTGAGAGGTGACAACATGCTGGCAGCCCTCGCTTGCTCTTGGCGCCTCCTCAGCCTCGGTGCCCACTCTGGCCGTGCTTGAGGAGCCCTTCAGCCCGCCGCTTGCACTGTGGGAGTCCCTCTCTGGGCTGGCCGAGGTCAAAGCCAGCTCCCTCTGCTTGCAGGGAGGTGTGGAGGGAGAGGTGCGGGCAGGAACTGGGGCTGTGCGCGGCACTTGTGGGCCAGCTCGAGTTCCAGGTGGGCATGGGCTCGGCGGGTCCCTGCACTCGGAGCGGCCAGCTGGCACCACTGGCCCCAGGCAGTGAGGGGCTTAGCATCCGGGCCAGCAGCTGCGGAGGGTGCCCCGGTTCCCCAGCAGTGCTGGCCCACTGGCGCTGTGCTCGAATTCTCGTGGGCCTCAGCTGCCTCCCCACAGGGCAGGGCTCAGGACCTGCAGCCCACCATGCCTGATCCTCCCCACCACCGTGGGCTCCTGTGCAGCCCGAGCCTCCCCCATGAGCGCTGTTCCCTGCTCCACGGGGCCGGGTCCCATCAACCACCCAAGGACTGAGGAGTGCAGGAACGCAGTGCGGGACTGGCGGGCAGCTCCGCCCATGGACCTGGTGTGGTATCCACTATGCGAAGCAAGCTGGGCTTCTGAGTCAAGTGGGGACTTGGAGAACTTTTATGTCTAGCTGGAGGATTGTATATGCACCCATCAGAACCCTGTGTCTAGCTCAAGGTTTGTAAATGCACCAATCAGCACTCTGTATGTAGCTAATCTTGTGGGGACTTGGAGAACTTTTATGTCTAGCTAGAGGATTATAAATGCACCAATCAGCACTCTGTGTCTAGCTAAACGTTTGTAAATGCACCAATCAGTGCTCTGTGTCTAGCTAATCTAGTGGGGACTCAGAGAACCTTTATGTCTAGCTAAAGGATTGTAAATACACCAATCAGCACTCTGTATCTAGCTCAAGGTTTGTAAACACACCAATCAACACCCTGTGTCTAGCTCAAGGTTTGTAAATGCACCAATCAGTGCTCTGTGTCTAGCTAATCTAGTGGGGACTTGGAGAATTTTTGTGTCTAGCTCAGATTGTAAATGCACCAGTCAGCACCCATCAAAACAGACCAATCAGCTCTCTGTAAAACAGACCAATCAGCTCTCTGTAAAATGCACCAATCAGCAGGATGTGGGTGGAGCCAGATAAAGGAATAAAAGCAGGCTGCCCAAGCCAGCAGTGGCAACCCACTTGGATCCCTTTTTCTACTGTGGAAGCTTTGTTCTTTCACTTCTTGCAATAAATCTTGCTGCTGCTCACTCATTGGGGCCGCACTGCGTTTATGAACTGTAACACTCACCAGGAAGGTCTGCAGCTTCACTCCTGAAGCCAGGGAGACCACGTGCCCACCAGAAGGAAGAAACTTAGAACATTTCTGGACATCAGAAGAAACAAACTCCAGACACACCACCTTTAAGAACTGTAACACTCACCGCAAGGGTCCATGGCTTCATTCTTGAAGTCAGTGAGACCAAGAACCCACAAATTCCGGACACGGTATCACCTTAAAAGCATGCATTGAATCAATCTTATTTATATTTTTATCTTAATGAAGGCATGAATGATGGAAGATATCAACTTTATATAAAAGAGCTTCGGCCAGGCACGGTGGCTCATGCCTGTAATCCCAGCACTTTGGGAAGCGGAGGCAGGCGGATCACAATGTCGGGAGATGGAGACCATCCTGGCTAACATGGTGAAACCCCGTCTCTACTAAAAATACAAAAAATTAGCAGGGCATGGTGGCGGGTGCCTATAGTCCCAGCTACTCGGGAGGCTGAAGCAGGAGAATGGCGTGAACCCAGGAGGCTGAGCTTGCAGTGAGCCGAGATGCCGCCACTGCACTCCATCCTGGGCGACAGGGCGAGACTCTTTCAAAAAAAAGAAGAAAAAAAAGAGCTTCTACTGCCAGGGAGAGAAGAACCCATGATCTTCTTGGGCTGGAAAATTAACCTTGAGATGCTTAGTAGAAAGGCGCTTGGAATTTACAACATTCTTCCCCTCCACTTTGTAGCTCATATGTAGTAACCACATCCCTATTTTACACCTTTAAATGTGACCCCTCAGTTGATTACATGTCTCCTGTCCTAGCCCCTTTGACACTAGTCTTCAAAAGATCAGATTAAATTAGAAGCATATCTCACGCCTGTAATCCCAGCACTTTGGGAGGCCGAGGCGGGCGGATCACGAGGTCAGGAGATCGAGACCATCCCGGCTAAAACGGTGAAACCCCGTCTCTACTAAAAAAAATACAAAAAATTAGCCGGGCGTAGTGGGGGGCGCCTGTAGTCCCAGCTACTTGGGAGGCTGAGGCAGGACAATGGCGTGAACCCGGGAGGCGGAGCTTGCAGTGAGCCGAGATCCCGCCACTGCACTCCAGCCTGGGCGACAGAGCGAGACTCTGTCTCAAAAAAAAAAAAAAAAAAAAGCGTATAAGCCTACTCATTGACTACTCTATATTAAGCAAGTTGCTGTACCTGTCTGAGTCTCAATTTCCTTATTTATAAATGGCAATAATTATACCAACTTGATTGTTTTTTAACAATACCAGAATGCCTTGCACTTAGTAAGTGATCAATAAGAAGAAATTATTACTGGTGTTATTTGCTTTCCATCATGAGAGAATTTTGTCTGGGCTTTAAAACCAGTTGACAAAACCTCCACCTATCTGAGATTTCTCTGTTACTCTTGGCCTATTCCCAGAACCTTGCCTGCCACAGAGAGGTGGGTCTCCCTGCCAAAACATGTTTTTCTTGTTGATGACGTTGTACTCGCTGCTGTTGAAACCTGTCCTGGCCACCTGTTTCCATCCTCAGCTCCCAGGGGATCTATTAATAGCTAGCACCTGGCCCCTCCCAGTCTGACAACCCCACTGACTCAAGGTTCCGTCACTGGTTTTACTCAGCGAACACGTTGTTGCATTTAGCAAAAACCAGTGAAAAATCCAACACATATCCTAGTGAAATTCAACACACGTTCTCTATGTGAAATATTTCTCCCTCCAGTCCCTCTGTCATTACTAGGTAACTTATGAACACACTTTATGCTTTCACATCACAAACTTGGAAATTGTTTTTAAAAATTCCATGGCTTAGCATTGCAAAAGAATGCAAAAGAAACTAACCATTTTTATTAACATGCCTACTGTATTCATGTATTCTTAGTTTTTGTTCAATTTGGAGCTCATGCTGAGTTCATAGAACTTGACTTATTTATTTGGCAGACTGTCAAAAAATTCAAAATTCCAATTCAAAATGCAATATTATATTTTCCAAACCTAAATGTACACATGCACATATCACTCATAAAGCCCATTTCAAATGCTATTTTCACTGCACTGTTTTTTTTAGCAGTTTTGTTACTTAGTGGAGCAGAATGCTGTTATAATTATGATTATTATTATGGTTGATGTAGGATATATAATTGACTTTTTTCTCATCAGCAAAAAAGATTTAAATGTGATTGTTACTCCCACCTACATGTACCTGAGTTCTGGGCTTTCCTGTCTTAGGTGCGATGAATTGCTTGTGTTTATGGCTAAACGGTGGAGTAGCTCCCTGAAGGCATCTTTCCCAGGCATCTAATTTGAAAAGCCTAAATTTTTGAGGCTGCATGGGTGGATGATCCTTGCAGAAGTCGGAGGCCCTTTGACTCAGGAAGAGAAGAGATTAACTTGACTCCTGGTGATTATTGAGATGGTTGTGCATTAACTCAGCCACCCTGAAGCAAAGAATGTGTGCACCTGAGGGTCCTTGGGAAGGATCTGAGCAGGGTAGACCCAGAAGGCTCTGACCTTGGGAATTTTAGCAATGATCCTTGAGGTCAACCTTGTGGCCAGTGAAGAGGGACACTATGAGGGACTTTCTGAGCGGAACAATATTTGATTCTCATGCTTTTCAGACCATGAAGATCAATGTTGGAATGGTGTGCAGCAGGGACTAAAACCCAGACCTTGTCTTTATTGTTTTGCCTGAATAAAATGAGAAGTTCCTTATATACTACAAGGGAGGAATAAGAAAGCCATTAACCTGACATTGACCTTAAAAGGTAAAGTCACAAGTTTTCCTCACCCATAAGAAAATATTCACTGGCGTGACCTGACATATAATCTCATGGGTTTCATGGATCTGTATCCCTGGGCATTTATGCCCTCACTCTCCTGTACATCTAGGAGACTAAGAGATTACCACAGAATGACTATTTCTGCCTCAGTCTGGAGCAAGATTGAACAATGGTCGTCTGACTGAAGTCACTCCATAAGGAGTACCTGTGACTGTGGAACATCTGCATCTGGAAGGAAATGTAAAGAATAAGTCAGATAGCAGCTATTCTGAATCAACCACCTACTCAATAGTGCTGGTTTTGTACATTCCAAATTCTGGAGTCAGAGTCTTTCTGATCTACCGTGACTTGCTTAATTGCTCTCTGGCTCCTCTTCCAGGTGGATGCAGTCCACAGTGGAACATCTTGATGACTGCCTGGAATCTTTGTGTAAAATAGAAAATGATACTAATTTTCCCTCCATGTGGGTACAACTCCATGGTAAAGTTGGTGAGTGGCAAAGCAGGCTTACCTCCCACCTTTCCTTCTTGGCTGGATATTCTTATATAGATTAACTATACTACCCTGCGCAACAACACTGATTCTTTGTCCAGCTTTCTGAAATTAGTCTTTCCTGGATGGTTCTCTACAAGCAGTCAATAAACTTTTGTGATCACTTAAAAATAATTGTCATTACTTACCCATGATTTCTCTGTTAAAGATGCCCAAATCCATGTATCAGCAGTGAAAAATGTCTAATAAAAGTAAAATTCACTCACATGTATTTCACAAGGCATATTTAACAACAAAAGATTAATGCATTTTTATTGTAAAAATTTAAGAATTAAAGTAGAACTATGTACTTGGAATCAACCTCAGAAATTGAAAAATAAATTTTGAAGGAAAAGAAAATAGATTTTAGGAAGAATCAGAATTGTTGAATGTGGAGATCTGAAAAAGAAAAATGAAAGTTGGAACAAAAAAAATGAAGAAAGAAAAGTATATGCTATAAGTGAAGAAATGCTTCATCTGTTGTCTTTTAGATATCTTTGAATATAAACTAAGCTGTCTAGTTATGGTCACAAATGTAAATAAAGAGTAGAGTTTCCACATCTCCAGAGAGATATTACCATCCCAGACTATCAGAATAATAAAACATTGTTAAAATTGGGGAATATTTTTAAAGTTGGGGTCAATTATGATAAAGAAGGGAAGACTAGGAAATGATTATTACTCTCCTTCAAGCACTTCAGGGCCTATTATCTTGAGAATGCTGAATATTCATTACACTAGAGAATGGCAGCAGAAAGACAACATTTAATTAGAAAAAACATCTCTGTACTTAAAGGATAATTTTAAAAAATAATAATAATAAATTAAAACAAAAAGAGGGAGTACAATATTCATCAACGGTTGATGATATGTACTATTATTCACCTTTGGCTGGAGCAATAGGTAACACCAAAATCTTTATATTTTATGACAATATTTATTTCTTGTTCACATTACATGAGGACCACAGATAGGCTGTAGTTCTTTTTTTTTTTTTTGAGACGGAGTCTGGCTCTGTCGCCCAAGCTGGAGTGCAGTGGCGAGATCTCGGCTCACTGCAAGCTCCACCTCCTGGGTTCACGCCATTCTCCTGCCTCAGCCTCCCGAGTAGCTGGAACTACAGGCGCCCGCCACCACGCCCGGCTAATTTTGTTTTTGTATTTTTAGTAGAGACGGGTTTCACTGTGTTAGCCAGGATGGTCTCGATCTCCTGACCTTGTGATCTGCCCTCCTCGGGCTCCCAAAGTGCTGAGATTACAGGCGTGAGCCACCGCATGCCCAGCCCAGATATGCTGTAGTTCTGCTAGGTTCATCTAATCTTGGCTTAACTTGTTGGCTTGGTTGTGCTTGATTGCACTTGGCTGGGCCTCAATCCATGTGTTTCTTTTTCTGAAACTCAGACTGAAGTTTCCAGATATCCCTCTACCTGGGATATGTTCTAATGAAGGAGGACAGGAATAAGACAGGCAGCTAAAAAAAGCATTTAAAGTTTCTGCTGGGACATGACATCTATAAACATCTGCTCATACTCCATTAGCCAAAGCAAGTCACAGGGCCAAGTACAAAATCAATGAAGCAGGAAAGTGTAGTTTCTGTATTAGTTTCCTATAGCTGCCATAACAAATTACCACAAACTGGATGGCTTAAAATCACAGAAATTTGTTCTCCCACAGTTCCAGAGGACAGAAGTCTGAATTCAGTGTCCTGGAGCTGACATCAATATGTTGGCTGGGCAGCAATCCCTCCAGGGGCTTTAGGGAAGAAACTGTTCTTTGCCTCTTTCAGTTTCTGAGGGCTGTCAGCATTCCTAGGCTTGTGGCCACATCACTCCAGCCTTTGTCTTTGTCTTCACATTGACTTCTTTGTATGTACACATCAAATCTCCTGCTGTCTTCCTCTTATACATGGCATTTAAGGCTCTACACAAGATTACCCAAAATAATCTCCCAAACTCAAGATTCTTAATTGACTCTTCAAAGACCATATTTTCTCCCAAATAACACGAGAATAAGAGCATGTTTATCTCGAGGCCATTAAAAAATTTACCTAAAGGGAAGCATGGCAAGAAGGAAAGAAAGGAAGCACACTAAACAAATAAAACAATCTACCATATACTCTATGGGTTAGCAAACATTTTCAGCTTTTAAGATGAGTCAACACTGGTATAGACAACCATTATGAAATGGGAGAGTTCCTTGGTTCCCCTCACAGGACGTGCAACAGAGGTGTGGCCCACCTGTTCTGTCACCCCACAGTTCAAACCCCTTGAGGAAGTGGGAGCTTGCAGACAGGCAGGTGCAGAGACTGGAGCAAGCTCTCCGGCTAGCGTCTAGGAGTGGGTGCCTGCGACCCCATTGTTACAAAGCTCTTTCAGCTTTGCCATCTGTAGACAGTTTTTGTGTTAATCAGCTCAATGGACCCTCTGCCTTTTTGCAAGGACAGAGGGCAAGTGTGACAGGTTTCTGTGTCCCGAGCTCTTGTCCAGCTTCCCAGAAAAAATCGGGTCACATACGGACTCAAAGGCTAAATGTGAGGTTTTACTGAGTGGTGCAAGTGGCTTTCAGCTGGATGGGTGGGGAACTGGAAAGGGACGATGGAGTGGGAAGGCGATCCTCCCCACTGTTCTGCCACTCTGTTCCTCTGCTCTTCTTGATGTTCAGCCACTTGTATGTGTGACCGCTAAGGTCTCAGGTTTATATGGGCACAGGATGAGGGGTGTGGTTAGCCAGAATGGTCTTTGAAAATGCAACATGTGGACATGAAAACATGAGTGCCTATTCTCTCTTACGTCCGAGGGCACAGGCCCAAGGGTGGAGCCCTCACTAGTGACCCCACTCTTCTCTACCCAGCACTTCCCTGTCCGTCTCCTGTATCAATTATATATGTGCCTTATCCTTAACTTTGGAATCTTTTAACATAACATAGATGGTCATCAGGTTGCTTGGTTTAGAAACAGCCTCCTTAGAAACACTCAACATTGGTCCTCTAATGTAATTCAGCATTGGTCCCCTAATGTAATTCTCAGTTCCCTAATTAGAAGATTTTTTGATTCATTTCCATTTTAATATAATTTTAACATTATAATTGTAGCATTCAAGCCATATATTTTCGAAAGACTTGCAGTTTCATATAAATATTTTCTTTTGAAAAATGTGAATCATTTGTCTCTTTAACATTAAGTGTTAATAAGTGTTGAATGGTGCCAGAGCTCAAAGGTAGGACTGCTCAGTGAGATCTGGAAAAGTAATTGGAGGCTTCAAGAATGAGCCATTTGTGACTTAGAGCTCCAAGGGATTTAAAATTTGGAAATATATTTGAAAAAAACACAAAACAAATTAAAAAAACCCACATCACTTTGCTATTGCATGGGGAGTGCTTTAATTTGTACGTATGAAAGCATTTTGTTTCTCTTGTATCTTACCAACATCCTCTAGGATAATGAAGGTGAGTTATTACTATCTTCGTTTTACAAATTAGGAAACTGATATATAGCAAGATAAAATGAGTTCCCAATCTCATATTGAAGATTTTATAGTATAGTCAGTCCTAGTTATTATGATTATCAGTTAAGTATTTATTACGAAATCTGTTTGCTCAATATAAAGAAAATAACATGGAAGGCAGAGAATATCTGAATCCTTCCACTAATGGGATTTTTTTAAGAAATATAGAGGTTAGCAAATGAAAAGCAAGAAGTGCATTTAAAATAGAAAATACCTGTAATCCCAGCACTTTGGGAGGCTGAGGCAGGCAGATCACCTGAGGTCAGGAGTTCAAGACCAACCTGGCCAACATGACAAAACCCCATCTCTATGAAAAATACAAAAATTAGACAGGCATGGTGGTGTACACCTGTAGTCCCAGCTACTCCAGAGGCTGAGGCACAAGAATCACTCAAACCCAGGAGGTGGAGGTTGCAGTGAGCCGAGATCGTGCCACCGTACTCCAGCCTGGGCGACAGAGAGAGACTCCATCTCAAAATAAAATAATAAAATAAATAAAATAATAAAATTTTAAATTACAGATTAAGTTAAATAAAATTTATAGGTCAATAAATACTCAATTAGTCAACTTGGAAGTACTATAAGGTGTTAGAAAACTATCTGAAAAAAATTTGTCTTGATTCATTTAAACTGTTAACTAATAGTCTTCAATTTTCCTCCGGCTCTGCAATTTTCTAGAAAAAAAAAACAGCCAAAAGATTAATGTTGTTAACATAATACATACCAACATTTTCTGTATTGGCTCTTACAGTAGAGATGAATTACAGCATATCTGGAGTCCATGTTTCTACCTCAGTGTTTAATTCCCATAAGGCTGGAAGAGGATGTTGTTGCTTGGCAATCATTCCCCACATAACTTGTAAATCTGCATGTCCTTGTCTTTGTCTTCATGTGAACTCAACAGAAAAATATGTATATACAACTTGTTCCATTTCACCTCCCAACCCCTGTACTACAGAAAATAGCAGGTGTTATATATAACACTTGTGATGAGTTCACGGATGTAGTAAAGCAGAGAACTACAAACTCAAGGGACAGACAAATCATGACCTAATAATTCTGGATGCTTTTGGAGTTAAAATGTGGTTGACAGTGAGATTTAAAATTCAAAATGAAAGGTCTTTGATATAAAGTTCGATTAATCATTTTCATATAAAAATATTTTCCCCAAATTAACAGCTCTGTAAAATGATAATTTCCTCAAAAGCAGAAATAGGGCTCATTGTTATATTTATTCCTATTGCTTAATGTAGTGAAATGAATGAATAAAATAAAATATAAACTTATCAGTGCTTAAATTGACTAAAAATGAATTTTATTCTAAATATGGAAATTGCATATTGTATGTTCAATTTTCAATGAGGCTGATAATTGCCCAAGTAGTCTTGATTTAATATCTATAATATTAATTTCAAAATTAGTAAAATATTAATGACTTTAAATTTAAATGATTTGATATTACTTTAAGCAAATAATTTTCTATTAAAACAAGTTAGTTTTTTCTTTTAATCCAAATAGAATTGCAGATTACTTGTTTCCAGGACAGATTAAATCCAGCCAAACCACCAGTTTAGCATATGTGATACTGAAGTTTATAGCACTGTCTGAAAAGTGGCTTGGCATCATGAAGATAAACCTCCAACTCTATTCTGACAGTCTCTGTGAGGAAGAGGATTGAGATGGTGTTTCAGGCCAAAAACTCTCAAATAAATCCACAATCACTTTTGCCTGGACTACTCAGATATTTATTATGGGGTGCTATCTTAAATTTTGTTTTCCACATCTGTTCTTGGACAGTAAAATCCTAAAAGCTTAGGTTTTTCAGAAATCATAATGTGGTTATTTTTTAAATACGTTTTTGTAATGTTAGATCCATCTTATTCTTCACTGCGTTTTTAGAAACGAAACCAAGAAAATATGGTTTCATTTAAATAATTCATGTAAAGGAAGGTCAAATATTTCACATAATAATAATTTAGGAATGTCAGATCTGCAATACCATTATAATTTTGTAAAATGATTATTTTTGAAAATGAAAGCCATTTCCTATAGTCTTTTATTTGGAACATCTATAATGTCACTGTATCTTGGCCATATATGTCGTGAATATATGGCTATAATACACACACACAGACACATCTACAATCTTTTTTTTTTTTTTTTTTTTGAGATGGAGTCTTGCTCTGTCGCCCAGGCTGGAGTGCAATGGCGAGATCTCAGCTCACTGCAAGCTCCATCTCCCGGGTTCATGCCATTCTCCTGCCTCAGCCTCCCAAGTAACTGGCATTACAGGTGCCCACCACCACGCCTGGCTAATTTTTTGTATTTTTAGTAGAGACAGGGTTTCACCGTGTTAGCCAGGATGGTCTTGATCCCCTGACCTCGTGATCCACCCGCCTTGGCCTCCCAAATTGCTGGGATTACAGGCGTGAGCCACTGTGCCCAGCCTACAATGTATTTTTTATATATACACACATAACCATCAATATGTATACACATGTGCATCAATATGTGTAGTTTTATATATATATGTATATATATATTCAGCAAATAGATACATATTTAAAATCATTGAATTTTATATTTAAAAGAGATCTTGAAGTCAACTTCCATTTAGTAGAGAAATTGTCTGAGAAAAAAGATCATATAACACCAATTGAATAATGTGGGGAGTGAGGGAGAGAAATGAGTCTGGAATTATTCCCAGGAATTTGGCTTTTCCAACTGGATAAAAATACAGTCATCCCTGGGTGTCCACTGGGGATTGGTTCTAGGAACCCCCCACACATACCAAACTCTGCCAGTGCTTGAGCCCTATATATAAAATGGTGTAATATTTGCAAATAAGCTATGCATATCCTCCCACATACTTTAAATCACCTCTAGATTACTTACAATGGAATGCCTACACATCACTTTATTTGCATAGATTCAGCATAGTACTTGATGCACAGCAAATTCAAGTTTTTGGAGCTTTGTGGATTTTTTTCTCAAATATTTTTAATTTGTGGCTGGTTGAATTCACAGATGTGGAACTCAGAAATACAAAAGACCAACTGTACTCTACTCACTATGTATTTTTCATACGGGAGGGGATGAAAAAGGTGGAATGAAGGTGTAAGGTGATATTAAAGAATATTGAAGGCAAAATTAGAAATTTCTCTGGGACTAGCCTAGTTGTCTCTTTCTCTCTCTCACTCTCTTTCTTTCCGCTGCCAACAAAGCACATTAATTTCTCAAAGATCACATCTGATCTTTCCTGCATAAAATTCATTTTTGTACACCAAAAGTGTATTTTAAAATCTTGTCAGAATTGACAGATGATGAGATCACATCTGTGTTTATAGTGACCATCAGTAAATGCAAAACAGAATAGCATAACTTCAATGCTGTGATGATTTTGTACACAGACCACTTAGACTCACTAGCTTAACTCACCAGAATTTAGAGAGTAGAACTAACATATGACATAAATAAGAGAAACTAGAAATACCGTTCTATAGATTCTTTTGTTTACTAGAGACCAACATTTGCTGTCTGGCATTTTAGAGCAGGGTTGATAACCAAAACTCTAAAAGCAAGTTTCAGAATTTAAAAATTCTGGTACCAGATGGACAGCTAAGAAATCCAATTGGCTGCAAATAAGAAATAATGAAGCACTCAACTTTTCAAAAAGTTTCAAGTTAAATGATCTAACCATGATATTGTATCTCTGTAAAGTTGCAAACAGAATAATAACCCCTCCAGGAAATTCTTTGAAAATCCAAGATTAACTGAAAACATATAAATACATGAGTATGACTTAATCCCTGCACTCAACAATTTTATAGCCCAATGGGAGAAAAACAGATGAAGAAGATAAACACAAATAAACACTTCAAATATTGAAAAGTAAAATCAGAACAGAGAAAGCAGCAATTTTTGGGTGAAATTTCCCAACATGCTGGCATCCTGTGTTGTAAGAAAGTCCAAAGGGGATTTATCATGCAAATAAAAGAGAAAAATTATCTTGATTTGTCACCTTGTCTATTTATTTTTATTTATATATATAAATAATACTTATTTATTTTTTCTTGTCACTTTGTTTATTTAAAATTTGATGCTAATGAAGGCAATTTTAAATCAGTAGTGCTTTACTAGTCCTCTGATCTCCCAAGGCACATTTTTATAGGCCATTTTATAATTAACCAGATTTATAGTTAATTTTCCTAAGTTTGTGTACCTTTCTAAATCTAAAACTTTTTGAGGACAAGAATTACATGTTATTTTTCTCCACCTCAAAAGACTAGCACAGTATTTTGAATACAGTGTAAACTAAAATATTATTAAGGTATGTATTAAATCAATTTGTGTACTGATAACTTTAATATGAATCAAAATGTCATTCTAACTTCATTCTGATGCAAATTACACAATTATTATTTCATCTAAACGAGTTAGATACAGGCTGAAACATTACTGACTGATTTGTTTTTTTTTTTTTGAAACAGAGTCTCGCTCCGTTGCCCAGGCTGGATTACAGTGGCACGATCTCGGCTCACTGCAACCTCTGCCTTCCGAGTTCAAGCGATTCTCCTGCCTCAGCCTCCTGAGTAGCTGGGATTACAGGTGCCTGCCATCATGCCCAATAATTTTTGTATTTTTAGTAGAGACAGGGTTTTGCCATGTTGGACAGACTGGTCTCGAACACCTGACCAAAGGTGATCCAACCACCTCGGCCTCCCCAAATGCTAGGATTACAGGCATGAGCCACAGCGCCCGGCCTATTGATTGATTTTTTGATTCAGATAATGAAAGAGCTATGATATAGTTGCGTAAGTAGAAAAAATATTGGACTGCGGGTAGTTAGTACAACTCTTTCCTTTTGCTTTGAGATTAAAGATTAAGTGATTTTTCAACAGCACATCAATAATAAGATTCTAGATCCTTGTGCTCTATCTTTTAGGTTTCTGAAGACATATAATAGATTTTTTATAAGAAATCAAATTTAAGTAAATAGAGACATGTTTGCCCAAATGATTTTTGCTTAGTAACATGAGTTTTATATCCAATATACTCTTGCCAGACTGAAGGCATTAAAATAAAATGAATGGGATAAAGATAATTTTTTCTTTTAAAAGTAGGTTTCCATTTTAAATTTATTTCTAAGAAAGGCTTTTAGGAAGAAGTTGTTGGCAGTTGCCTCTTTTCTTCTTCAGTTTGAGAAATGAGAACATGGATACAAACTTTTTTATTTGAGTTAGAAGAAAGATGGAAAGATGAATATGACTTAATCCCCATTCTCAGTAATTTTATAGTCCAATGGGAAAGAAACCAAAAAATAGACACAAACAAACACTTCAGATATTGAAAAGCTAAATCAGAACAGAGAAAGAGACAATTTTGGGGCAAAATTCCCAACTGAAAATTATATCCCTCTCATTGACAAAAAATATAAATAAAATCATATCCTCATATGCATGTGATATATAAATATTTTATTTTCTTGGCCAGGCACAGTGGCTCACGCTTGTAATCCCAGCACTTTGGGGGGCCGAGGAGGGTGGAACACCCGAGGTCAGGAGTTTGAGACCAGCCTGGCCAACACGGTGAAACCCTGTCCCTACCAAAAATACAAAAATTAGCCAGGCGTGGTGGTGCATGCCTGTAATCCCAGCTACTTGGGAGACTGAGGTAAGAGAATCCCTTGAACCTGAGAGGCAGAGGTTGCAGTGAGCCGAGATAGTGCCACTGCACTCCAGCCTGGGCAACAAAGCAAGACTCCATCTCAAAAAAAATTTATTTGCTTGTAGTTATCTCAAATTCATGCATTCCTTTTCAACAAGAGTAATATTGTATTTCCTATAACTTTTCTCTCTTCCAGTGCACATTTCTCCTTATTGATAGTTAAACCTCCATTTGTAGGTTTTTAAATTTTGTTTAATTTTTGGTCATGAAATAGTTTTATATCAACCAATTTTTATAGTTGAAATATGAAATAGTTTTCATGACCAAAAGTTAAACAAAATTTTTAAAAAGTTTCATGGTCATGAAGTTTTTCTTTGGTTCTTGAAATAGTTCAATGTTATCTCTTGCTTGAGCCACTTAGTCTCTATTATCACAAATGTTATCCCTGTTATCCCCCCTTCCTCATAGGTTTAAAATAGCCGACCATCTGAAAGCTTTATCTTCTACTTGTGGAATCACTCTTCACGCTACCTCATTTATGAATGAATTCATGCAACTACTAGTCCTATGTTTAAATCATACTGAGAATGGTAGCTTGAGAATGGAGGAGTGTCTCTATCAATATCTATTGAGATGACTAAGTTTTACATGGGCAGTTATGTTGGCCAGTTTATAAAGTCGGTAAGTGTAACAATAGAGATTTTATCTAAAGAAGGTAATAGGAACAGAATTATCTTTGCCATGACATTCAAAGAAAATAGTTTTATTTTTATCTTCAGTATGTAGATGGAAAAGCATAACATTCACTAAATATCACAGACAATAAAAGCTCTAGGATACTAAGACAGCCCTAAGAAATTTTTTCCTCATTCATTTTCTAATCTTCTTTATTATGTATCAGAACTTTTATAAACTGTGAGCCCCACCGGGACAGTGTCTCCTTGCATGGTTTCATTCATTTTCGTAGTTTCTTCTATCATCTGGTTTTTGCTAATTTGTAAGCACCTTGAGAGCAAGGGTTGTATCTTTTCTTCCTTTCCTAAAAACTTATTTCAATTTTATGGGTCTCACAGGAGTATCATAAAAGTTAACAAACTATAGAGGAGTATCTAATAATAAGGCTCCAGTCTCTTCAATTTTAGTTGGTCTTCCTTTGGAAATGTACAGTTATTTTTCAGGCAAATGAGATTTTTTTATAATCTGATTTGTTATCTGTACTACAAATTCTAACTAATGCATTTCTGGTTTCTGAAAGAATGATGTATAGAATAAGAGTTGAGAATATGGAAGAATTTTGTCCTTAAAAAACATACAGGCATAAAGGCAAATTTCTATTAAATTAATGGTATGTGTTACCATAGTAAAGCTAGAATTCAAATCAATCAAAGAACCATTGTGCTGCTGAAATTTCAATTAAATTTTGTTAGGACCATAAAATGTGAGATGTCAAGCTAACCACGTACTTTGTAACTGGTATTTAGTCGTCTAAACAGATGGTGAATATGTTTTATTGAATACTTATGACTAATAAATATGTGAGAAAATTTTATTCACTCTTAAAGTAACCTATAACAATTTTCAGGGTATATTATAACTGTATTAATCCGTTTTCATGCTGCTGATAAAGACATACTCAAGACTGGGAAGAAAAAGGTTTAACTGGACTTACAGTTCCACATAGCTGGGAGGCCTCACAACCATGGTGACAGGCGAAAGGCCCTTCTTACATGGCAGTGGCAAGAGAAAATGAGGAAAATGCATAAGCAGAAACCCCTGATAAAACCATCATATCTCGTGAGACTTATTGACAACCACCAGAACAGTATGGGGAAACCGCCCCCATGGATTCAAATTATCTCCCACTGGGTCCCTCCCACAACATGTGGGAATTATGGGAGTACAATTCAAGATGAGATTTGGGTGGGGACACAGAGCCAAACCATATCAGTAACACATTTAAATTTACAGAATAAAGTTTTAGAAGTTTACTTGTTATGTGAAACAAAGTATAGATTAACTTTCTTTTTTGTTGTTGTTGTTTTTGTTTGTTTGTTTGTTTTCTGAGACAGAGTCTCGCTCTGTGGCCCAGGCTGGAGTGCAGTGGTACGATCTCGGCTCACTGCAAGCTCCACCTCCTGGGGTCACGCCTTTCTCCTGCCTCAGCCTCCCAAGTATCTGGGACTACAGGCGCCTGCCACCACGCCTGGCTAATTTTTTGTATTTTTAGTAGAGACGGGGTTTCACCATGTTAGCCGGAATGGTCTCAATCTCACCCGCCTCAGCCTCCCAAAGTGCTGGGATTACAGGCGTGAGCCACCGCGCCTGGCCATAGATGAATTTTCAGATAAAGGTTTTGGTATCAATGAGTGGCCATTGTAAAATTCTGTAAGAGTATACTCTATTATTCTTATTTGGTGGCATAGAATATGAAAACACAATTTTTTCTCTTAATTATGATTACAGATTCCTAAATGTTAATACATTATGAACTCTACTTTCTTCTAAATTATGTATCTGAGAAATGATAGAAAATATCTGAAAAAGCAAAGCCACCTTTTATTTTCCATGAGGCCATATACTCTGAGGCCATATATTCTGGGATAAGGAAAGCTGTAGTTTTTCATTACCCTGATCAGTTGAGCTGCCGTGATTATTACAGTAGAAAATACAACATTTTCAATTTTAACAATATGGCAACACTTATGTGTATTATAGTCTATTAGTGCTGTCTAAGAAGTAGTTCTGATTTGGCCGGGTGCAGTGGCTCACGCCTGTAATCCCAACACTTTGGGAGGCCGAGGCCGGCAGATCATCAGGTCAGGAGCTCAAGACCAGCCTGACCAACATGGTGAAACCCCATCTCTACTAAAAATACAAAAAAAAAAAAAAAAAAAAAAAAAAAAGGAAGTAGTTCTGATTTATCTGTATCAAATATAAAATATAAGAAATGTCTACAACAGTCATCTATTTATATTTAGTTTAATTAAAGACAAAAAAGTGGAAAAACAAGTAGTATTTTTTCCTAAAATTTTGAAAACAGTTCTAAACAAAACAGGAATGTTCTCCTATTACAGAACACGATTTCAGTTTTAGAATGATTAATAAAACTTTCCAGCCAGGTGCAGTGGCTCACGCCTGTAATCCCAGCACTTTGGGAGGCCGAGGCAGGCGGATCACAAGGTCAGGAGATCGAGACCATCCTGGCTAACATGGTGAAACCCTGTCTCTACTAAAAATACAAAAAAATTAGCCAGGCCTGGTGGTGGGCGCCTGTAGTCCCAGCTATTCAGGAGGCTGAGGCAGGAGAATGGCGTGAACCCTAGAGGCGGAGCTTGCAGTGAGCCAAGATTGCGCCACTGAACTCCAGCCTGGGCGACAGAGCAAGACTCCATCTCAAAAAAAAAAAAAAAAAAAAAAACTTTCTAAGTTGCTCTAAAATTGAAAACAATATTTTCTTTTCTCTTAAGTGTGCAAAATTTCTGTATATCTAGAATCTAATGAAAAAGATAAAATATAATATTTTGTTATGTACTTAATAAATCAAAGTACAAGATATGTTCATCAGTATTTTAATAGTTAAGCTGAAAGATGAATCTAAAAAGAAACAAGAGAAAATATACATGTCGTTATTTAAATATAAAAATTAGACTTCATCCACAAATAGTATGTGTTAGAGTTTTCATCCTGTGCCAATAAAATATATAATTTTTTTTTTTTTTGAGATGGAGTCTTGCTCTGTCACCCAGTCTGGAGAGCAGTGGTGCAATCTTGGCTCACTGCAACCTCCGCCCCCCAGGTTTAAGCAATTCTCTGTGTCAGCCTCCTGAGTAGCTGGGATTACAGGCATGTGCAACCACGCCTGGCTAATTTTTTGTATTTTTAGTAGAGACAGGGTTTCACCATCTTGGCCAGGCTGGTCTTGAACTCCTGACCTCCTGATCCCCCCGCCTTGGCCTCCCAAAGTGCTGGGATTACAGGCGTGAGCCACCATGCCCGGCCTAAAATATATAATATTTTTGATAAAATTTTAAATCAAATTCATACTTAAAATATTTTTATATATTTTTTCAAATAGAGAAAGACTAACATGAGTGGGATAGTACAATCTCATATCTGAGCTTCTAAAATACAATTTTAAAACTTAGATTAATTTAAACAATGAATTTTAATTGATATTTTAGTGTCAAGGATACAGAAATATTCTCTGTTATACAATATCCATTCAAAACCTCTCCTCTAAAAATATCATTGTAGTATGAACAATCTTTAATCCATCCTATCTCCCATTCTCACATTCTCTTTTCTTTTGTCTTTTATGAAAAACAATTATTTTAATTTTGAATATTGGATGATCATCACTGCTTTATGCTTAAAACTTGTCATATTGTTTCCTAATAAAATTACATAATAACTTTATATTCATATTGGGAAACTTGATAGATTATTTTGCAGAGCTTTGTGGCATAGAGAATAGCTTTAGGTATTTAGAGGATTTTTTTAGTAGTATCAGAAATTTAGAAATTTAAGAAATTTCTACTTTAATACGTTTAGAAAATTTTTAAAGAAATGTTTCCAGATATAAAAATTTATTTTACATACAATTTAAATCAAGAATATATTTTAATAGAGTAAAATTTTCCTTAACATGGTATTTAATTTTGGAAGCACTTAAGCCAGTAGCACAATAAGTAATGTTATAAACTAATGAAAAATATTATTTATATAAATTCATGAGAATTTGATAAACACAAACTGAGTACACTAAATGTCAGAATATTTACTGATATTTATGTAATGAATAATTGTGTTTGGACCTTACTTTTTAATAATCATCCACTTTGCAGAATTTATGAATTATTATTTAGGCATTTTTATTTTATCGTTTCTTGGACAAACTGATACAATGGTCATTTCACAATATAGTCCATCTTCTGTTGAAAGATAAATAGAAAAGAGGAGATAGGAAATAAAGCATGAGTAATAATGGTTAAAATTAATTTTTGAGACACGTGGATAATCGCCTATTATCTCTAATGACTATATTCTTATTTTATTCAGAAACACCACACAAAATTTCTATAAACTTTATGCCGGCTTGGATAATTTTTTTTTATTCTTTATTTCACTCAACCAATGGTAAAGCATTTTTGGAAAACTCTGTCAAGTATATTTGGTATTATTTTATCTTAAGAGTAGAATTACTTAAGAAAAGACAGTGTAAAGTGATTGCATCACCAAAGAAGAAAAATATGTGTTCCTGATGTCCATTTGAATGTACTTAACACGCAAGTTTGTGATAGTATGTCTTTGAGAATAAAAGAAGAAATACATACTTTCCTTCAGTATACTTATCCAAAACTGTTTGACCACAGATTTTCTAGATCAGACTGGGGACTCTACGGCCACTCTTTCCTAAATCTCTTGCAGAAATCCCAATGAATTCCTACCTGAGATGTTATTGCTGAAAGAATTCCTCTAATATATTATTTGTTTGTTAAGTGAGTGTTTGATCTACTATGTGGAACATTTTGGGCTTTGGAATCTTATAATCTATGTTTGTTTTCCATTTTGGGCATATACTGGTTGTGAAGTTTTAGGCAAGTTATAAACTGATTTAGGAACTCAAATCCTCATCTCTCAGTGAAAATAATTATGCTTATGTTGAAGGTATTTGTATTGATAAACCGTGGAAGCAAATGTGAAATGCTTAGCAGATTGGCTGGTATATTAATACATACTGCACAGGGATAGCTACTGCTACTTATTATTGATTTATTTCTCAAATCAGAAGCTCTTAAATGCTGAGGTATCAACACATGTTTGCATTGTTAAATTACAAATTATTTATTTATTTATTTATTTTTTTGAGACAGTGTCTTGCCCTGTCGCCCAGGCTGGAGTGCAGTGGCGCGATCTCGGCTCACTGCAAGCTTCGCCTCCTGGGTTCATGCCATTCTCTTGCTTCAGCCTCCCGAGTAGCTAGGACTACTGGCGTCCGCCACCACGCTCGGCTAATTTTTTGTATTTTTAGTAGAGACGAGGTTTCACCGTGTTAGCCAGGATGGTCTCGATCTCCTGACTTCGTGATCTGCCCGCCTTGGCCTCTCAAAGTGCTGGGATTACAGGCGTGAGCCACTGTGCCCAGCCTAAATTACTAAATTTTAATGTAGATTATAACTGTTGACATACTCAAAATCAAAATTCAGAAAATTTTATATTTATTAATTCATTTAAAATAACAATAATAAAATGACTATTAACATAAATAACAGTTACAAAAAAACACTTGTATTTCCCAGACGGTTTTTAAAAGGCAGTCGGTGGTGCTATGTTTTATTTGTTGAAGTCTATGAAGAAAATCTGACCTCACATAGATACATAAATGGAAATGGATGAGCTATTTTAGTAACATTTTAGGTGATGGTGGAATTCTTGTTTGATACTGCACAAAACTCCACAAAAGTTAGTTTATTTTTCTGGTGTTTGTTTGAGACGGTGTCTCACTCTGTCACCAGGCTGGAGTGCAGTGGCGCAATCTCGGCTCACTGCAACCTCCGCCTCCTGGGTTCAAGTGATCCTCCTGCCTCAGCCTCCTGAGTAGCTGGGACTACAGGCATGCGCCTCCATGCCCAGCTAATTTTTGTATTTTTATTTTATTTATTTATTTATGTATTTATTTATTTATTTTGAGACGGAGTCTCGCTCTTGTTGCCCAGGCTGGAGTGCAGTGGTGCAATCTTAGCTGACTGCAAATTCCGCCTCCCCGGTTCAAGCAATTCTCCTGCCTCAGTCTCCAGAGTAGCTGTGATTACAGGCACACGCCACTACACCCAGCTAATATTTGTATTTTTAGTAGAGATGGGGGTTTTGCCATGTTGGCCAGGTTGGTCTCGAACTCCTGACCTCAGGTGATCTGCCTGCCTAGGCCTCCCAAAGTGCTGCAATTACAGGCGTCAGCCACCACACCTGGCCTGTATTTTTGGTAGAGATGAGATTTCACCATGTTGGCCAGGATGGTCTCCATCTCTTGACCTCATGATCTGCCCACCTCGGCCAAAGTGCTGGGATTACAGGTGTGATCCACCGCACGGGCCAAAAGTTAGTTTCTTAAAGGTTAGTTGCTGTCTAGCTAAGGTTTAGTCGCAAGGCACTGAAGAAACTAAACTGAAGCAGTGTCAGTAAACATTTCATATTGTTACATTAATATTCACTTGTCTATCTTACAATTTTACTGGAATGTATTGGAAAACCTTGACTTACTGAGATTTGCAAATCATCCAAATGTTGATATATTTTATTATTGCATTAATTTGCTAAGCCTGCCCTAACAAAGAACCACAGGGGTGACTTAACAGTGTCTAATTTTCTCATAGCTCAAGGGGCCAGACATTTGAGATTTCGATCTGAGCACAATTAGTTTCCTCTGGGCCCTCTCTCCTTGGGTTTTTAAAAATTATTCTAACTTTTAAATTGACAGATAAAATTGTATTTACCATGTACTCAACACAAAATAACTCTGTGTAGTAATGCATATGTTAATTAGGTAGATTTAGTAATTCCACAATGTATATATACTTCTCCTTAGTTTTATTTTTTATTTTTTATTTTTTTTTAGACAGAGTCTCTGTCGCCCAGGCGGGAGTGCAGTGGCATGATCTCGGCTCACTGCAAGCTCCGCCTCCTGGGTTCACGTCATTCTCCTGCCTCAGCCTCCCAAGCTTCTGGGACTACAGGCGCCCGCCACCACGCCCGGCTAATTTTTTTGTATTTTTAGTAGAGACAGGGTTTCACTGTGTTAGCCCGATGGTCTTGATCTCCTGACCTCGTGATCCACCAGCCTCGGCCTCCCAAAGTGCTGGGATTACAAGCGTTAAGCCACCAGGCCCTGCCCTACTTCTCCTTGGTTTTTAAATGAAATGTCAGTCTTCTCCCTGTGGCTTTACGTAGTCTTTCTTCTGTGTATGGCTGTGTCCTAGTCTTTCCTTACAAAAACAATCAAGCCTGTTGGCTAAGAGCTTCCCAAGTGACCTTATTAACCGTAATTACCTTTGTAAATACTCTATGTCCAAATAGTCACACATTGTACTGGGGTTTAGGACATCAAACTATAAATATTGGAAGGACACAATTCAGATCATAACAATTATTCAGTATTAAATATCACATTTGTTAATACTGCCAGCAACTTTATCAAAAAATCTATACATAATGGATAACCATGGTGGAAGACATAGGTTTTCAAAATTATAAATTTCTTTTGCTAGCTTGAATTTTACAATTAACAACAAAGAGTGTCAGTTGTTTTCTTTGAAGAGGTAAGCTCACCTTGATCATTTTCCAAAAATAAAAAAAAATGTTTACCAGACACTCAAGAATGATTATCACAGTTTGTCAGTTTTTCCTTTAATAAGAAATGGTATTCATAAAATTTAGTTTTTAACTGAAACAATCATGTAGTACTTTTTCATTGCAACAATCGTATTTTGGTGTGAAGCAGAGGTGTTTTATGTGAACTTTCCACTTTTTCACACAGTGTGTAAAAAAGATGTACTATAATGTTGAGATTTAATAAAATTAACCATTTTACAACTCCATCTAAGACATGTGTATGAGAAATAAGCATTTATTTAATTCCAAGTGCATGACCATGAAGAATACAATGACTGCTAGTACAGTTTGGTGTTACTGCCTTGCTTCATGCTAAGGCACCAGCAGTTTTATTCACCATAGCTTTTGCCCCATTGATGCAAATGTCAGAACAGTAGTAATAATAATAATAATAATGTCTTTCTGTTATTATGGAAATAATCTTAACATTGTTGATTTCCTACAAGTGTCTTGGGTATGTGAAGTCCACACATTGAGAATCACTGCCTCAAACACATATTATGATTAAGATGTATTCTGTATCATACATAACTTAAGTGAGTCTTTATAAAAGTAATATCTGTATGAGGATTTGTAGGGTGGGCAGTATAGTGTGCATTAAAGAAATCCTTTGCATGGTAAACCCAATTCTCTTCCTTTCTTTTTGCTTTGGCTATTCTGCTTAGAAAACTGAATTTCAGTTTTCTTATGTTTAAATAATTATATACGTGTGTGTGTATATATACATATATGTATGTGTGTGTATATATGTATATATGTGTATAAATAGGTACATATATATGTTTATATATGTGTACACACATTATACATATATATATACGCACACATATATATATATACACTTTCATTGGGAGAATTAAAATTAGCCTATGTGAAGTGTTTATGTATAAATAGCTTTTAAAATATTAGTATAAAATTACCTTAATTATAAAAGATGAAAAGTAATTTAAAATAAGACTTTCTTCTTCATGGGGGGAAACGCCATTTAACATATAAGAGTATATCAAGTTTTATAACTTTAAGGAAAACCTATAGAAATAGTGTATTCAGAATATATATCTCAACTGTCTATTTTTAATATTAATATAACACTTGAGTTATTTTCTTCTATCATAGCCCTTAGTTACAAAGTCTCCAAGTATATTAAATTCTATGTATCTAAGACCACACTTCAAATTATGCTTGTTTATTGTACCTAACTTGAAAGATGGATACACCTTTAAGTTAGGCATTATTAAGAAAAATTTGTTCAAACTTATTTAAAAACCACAGGGAATTCTTGACCTCCTGAAATGTAGGAACCAGTGGTTTAGGGTATTGATTATTTTAGTATAAGAAAAGGAGAATAAATGTTTTTCAGTAGCATAGTACATCAAAGTTAAATTCAGTCAAATAAAATAGCCTCTAGGTATTTCCATCCTGAAAGAATTATTGAAGGCTTTGATCTCAAACATGTTCAACTCTGGATCAAATTTTAACCTTCATCAGTCTTTGCTAGTCAAAAACTTACTTTTCTTCTCCCTCTCTCTTTTTCTTTTCTTTTTAAATTTTCAGGGATATACATGGCCTTTACTCAGTGTCAATCTAAAGGTATTAGAGAGCTCTGATAAATGAACATGTAGAAATCTGTTTAAGCCTTACTGTGATCTTAAGAAGCAATGCAGCATAAAATGTTTAAGTCTATCTTTATGTTTCAATTATATATATAATATATGTATTTTTTCTGGCTATAACTTTTTTTTCTAGTCAGAATAGGCTATTTTCTCCCTATAGCTATTGAAAAAACAAACAAACAAGCAAACAAAAGAGAGTCAAATGAAACCTAGATTCTTCCCCAATCCATTTAATATTCTTTATTCCTTATTTACTTCAGACTGTGCATGGCAAGAGTGGGTGGGTGAGAGTGGGGATTAAGTTTGACAACCAGAATATCACTCTCATCATAAAAACCCTAGACTGGAATTGGTACCACAGTGAGCCTTGTGTCCTGAGGGAAATTCTGGACATTAGTAACCTTTAGCTGTCAACAATCGCTTGGGTACTGTTTATTTTCTATTTTGTCATAAAAAAGACATTACTCACCATGTCGGAATAAAAATTTGTCCTTTTTTTTTCTCATTGACTAGCTTGATGGGGCTGAATCATTTGCAATTTAATTTGCCAAAACTGTTTTTCAGCTGCCTTTTCCTTTTGCGCAGAAGCAAATTTGCAGTGCTCCATATCTACTTCCCTTTCTTCTTCAGCTGGTGCTGATGTATTTGCTGAAAAGATGAGAAAAGGAGACATGATTAAACTGACAACTTGAAAATGTACCATTTCCCTTTCTATGTAATTATTCCTAAAGAAAAGCCACATGTTATCAGTTTGAGATAGGAAACTCAAATACACAAAAGGTGGAGTGGTAATTAACCAAACAGCATAACATAGATTTATATTTTTATTAGAGGAAAATATAAATTAGAGAATAAACCAATAAAGACCTATACTTGTTTTAAAGTAAAACTACTGGTGTGTTTTTAATATGTGGGCATTGCTTTTTTTTTTCCTCAATGATACTTCTATCTTTAACTCTTGTAACCTTCTGGATTAACAGTAAAAATGAAACTATAATTTGCTTCCACAAATAGTAATCAGATGAGTGGTTGCAAAATTTTTGGTGCTATCATCACAAAATATACCAAAAACTATGTAGGAGAAAAATAAATCTGTTCAGGGGTGAGTTTTTATGCAATGTGGAAAGTGCGAGATGTTTAAAAAGATTGAGAAATATCTTAATTTTTTATGGAAACTGGAGTGGTAATTTTTTAATTAAAATATTTATTTATACTTTATACTTCTAAATATTCACAAAATGACCTTATTATATCACTGGATATACCAAAAGACTTTCCAATAATATGTATTTATTACAATAAAAATATAGTATATGAAGGAAATATTTTAAAAGTTGAGGACAGATATGGTGCCATCTTTCTGTAAAAGATTAGCATTTTTTATGCAGGATAATAATTATTATAGTGTCTTACCTTATCAATCAGTTTTGATGCAAATTTTAAATAATGAAAAACACAAACACTCAAAAACACCTCTTTTTTATTCAGAGACTTAATGTTAATATAATGTAATATCATTATAAATTATAAGCAAGATGATGGATCCAAGTACTATGGAGTTAATAAATTTTGTTTTCTATTTAAAACTTCAAACAAAATTGTGTGTATAATGTGATGGAAAATGAAAGAATGTCGCTTCTAAACTGTTAAACTGTTATGAGTATCAATTGTATGTAAAGATTCTTCACAGTATTTGATGCCATGTATTTGTTTTTAATTTTAGGTGATTTTTCTAATTTTTCCAGTTGGTGAAAGAAAAATAAAATCAGAGAATGCAATGACTAATTCTCCATAGTAAACTGTCTAAGGTTTAAGCTAACTTCCCTGTGTTGCATACATTTACATATTTATTTAATTTTTTAATTTGACAGATAAAATTGTATGCATTTATTGTATGCAACATGATGTTTTGAAGTAACTACACATTGTGAAATGTCTAAATCTAGCTAATTAACGTATGCATTATCTCACATAGTTATTATCATTTTTGTAGTGAGAACACTTAACATGTATTATTAGGATCCTTCTGGGGCTTTTTTAAACTTCCTTTTAAGATGTCACTTGAAGGTAGATTAGATACATCACTTGTTTTATATCTATGCATTTATGTGTTTATATATAAAAGTTTAGTTTCCATAAAATAATTTTTGGATACTTTTCACATGAATACAATGTAATTTAATATCATTTTTTGTACTTTTCAAAAATTCTACTCACTTACTAAATGATAAGCTTTTCAGAAGTATTTTGTGAAGTGGTAAGAAGTCAGCAGCAATGTATATAATTTGCAAAATTTGTGATATAAATGATATTGATAATCGTGAGAGATTTTTTGTCAAATTTCTAATATATAAAAATATCTACCATTGATTTAATTTTACATTTTGTAGTAACTTTCTTTTTTTTTTTTTTTTTTTGAGATGGAGTGTCACTCTGTCGCCCACGCTGGAGTGCAGCGGCATGATCTCGGCTAACTACAACCCCTGCTGCCTGGGTTAAAGCAATTCTCCTGCCTCAGCCTCCTGAGTAGCTGGGATTATAAGCACGCACTACCATGCTCAGCTAATGTTTGTATTTTTAGTAGAGACGGGGTGCCACCATCTTGGCCAGACTGGTCTTGAACTCCTGACCTCGTGATCCACCAGCCTCGGCCTCCCAAAGTGCTAGGATTACAGGTGTGAGCCATCGTGCCCAGTCTGTAGCTACCTTCTTTATATAAATATAGCCTCTTTTTCATTCCTATATATATATATTTAAAGTTCTAAGAAAAGTATATTTTAATTTAAATTAGAATGGCTTTTTGGAAAACTTGATGTTAAAAAATTCTAAACTCTTCTTATAAAATATGTTAAACCTCCTCCCTATTTGTCAAGTAAATGTATATGTGTTATAACATAATTTTTTAAGAGAAATGTTTTAACTCATTAAAATAATTCTGATAAAAATCAGGTAATTAGCCTTAGTAACAGATTCAGAGATTTAATGTTAATACAGAGTATTATATTTCTGTCTATTCTTTTTTACTTGGTTTCATTTGTAGCTATGGGGACAAACTTGGGAAGAGCAATATGCAGATAATTATTAATGATCTCTATCAATCAATATGTAGAAATAAAGGAGACGTGGAATGGTTGATAGGAACAAAAGTAGAAATTACAATGTACAAATGGTAAACCAAATAAAACTTTGTGGTGGTTTCCATTTATTTTTACACACAGGTCTTGTCTGTGATTTAAAGTCATTATTAAGACTTTTTAGAATTTACTATGCATATTTTAAATTCCTAGTTACCTCACTGTTTCATTGTGATTTGGTTTTCAAATATTATATAGAACGTACAAAAACAACATGCATAATATATAGACTTGTTTCATCTAAGTTTCTTTAAGATAAGCAAAGAATTCTCAAATAAACATTTTTGTTTGACTTGCCTTATTCATTCTTTAATTCATTCATCAAATCTATAGCAAATATTTATTGAATAAACTACGTAGGAGTCAAGTTCTAAAAGAATTTCAATCAGAATTTGCTTTTTGTTTTCTTAGATAGATTTTTTTTACTTTGGTCACTAATTTTTGGCTGCGTAAACTCTCAAGTTAACTCATGTTAAACATGATGATCATGGAGCTTGTCGAGAAGGTATTATCACATTTATATTTAGAGATATGATTTGATTTTCTTCTGTTTGCTATTTTAGTGACTTTGAAAACTGAGAATGGTGCTAATCCAGTCTATTTAAACTTTAGTTGTTTGATCTCTTTCCCTTCTTAGACATTATTTTAAATCCTGTACTATAATCTCAATATTATTAGCCTGGATGTATTTATCATAACAAAAATATATTATAATTTTGTTTTACACTTTCTTTCCTAAACATAGATTTTTGTTTCCAGCCCTCTGTATAGAAGTCTAAGAGTGGATAATAAAAGTGAAACCCATGTACTGAGAGATTATATTTTATTATTAATATTTGTGAACTTTATTATTTCGAGCAGTTCAACAATCTAAGATGTCACTCATATTCTTTGTGATTTTGATTTGTAGTGTCATATCAGATTTAAAAAATAATTTTGCTTTTACTTTAAAGTCTAATTTTCTAATAACTTCTGGGTATGAAATGGTGAGGAACGAATACTGGAAGTTGCAACAGGCCTTACCTGTTAGAAAGCAGGTTAGATGCAATAAAATACTCTTATTAGCAAATGTAGAAGCAAGTTTAGTTGAGGATGCAATCAATGTTATAGAAGTAGAGCCAAGAGTATTCTTTAGTTTCTTCCTCATTCTTTCTTTTGATCATTTCCCAAGTAATTATATGAAAAATATTTTGACACCTACTACCTCTTGGAATTAGTGGTATTCTTTTAACCTTACCATAAAAATATGTTCCACATAATCTGTTTTCTAATGACTTCTTTTGCCGGGGGGGCGTGGTCACACATTTACTTGATTAAGGAAAATCTGCCTGTTTTATCAAAGGAGTACAATAGATTTCTCCAAGGCTCTTGGCACAAATCTTTTATAATTTGGATACTAGTTCTGATTTGTTCAAGGCAAGTCACTCTCTTTTTTTAAAAGTTAGCCTTAAAAAATAAAAGAAGACAAAAAAAGGCAAAAAGGGAGGTAAAGAAGACGGGTAGGATGAGGGGGAGGACAAAAGGAAGACTACACTTATTGATATAGGAGTTAAGATGAAATTACAAAAAAATTGCAAAAAAATCTCATAATGTTTTAAGAAAGTTTACAATTTTGTGTTGGGCCACATTCAAAGCCGTCCTGGGCAGTGGGTAGGACAAGCTTGATCTAGAGGATGTCTTTATGAGGGTCCATCATAAACTCCAACCTAATTAAATACACGTACAAATAAGTCCAGTCTCTTATGCTTATATATCATTTTAAAGATAACAACAAAGTGACTCAGAGAGTTGAAGTGATTTGTCCAAGGCAACGAATAATAAGTAATGTAGGTTGCATAGATGTGAATATTACTGCATTCAGCAGCTACAAAATAGTTTTTACCTCAATTCAATGCAGCAATTTTTTGTTGTTGTTGAAGGGAGTGATTGGGGGTTACATTTCTGTTTTCTTACTTTGTATAAATAGTGATTTGTGGTGATGTTTATTATATTCTATTACTCCTAGGAAACCTCATTAAAATATTTAGTGAAATTTCACAATCTGCTACAAGCACATAAATCAAAGTTTCTCAGTAGTAATGATACATTCATTTTTGATCCTGTTACTCTTAAGCAGACATCTTGGTCAATCGATGAAGCATTTTGACACCAGTTCTTTGCCTAAGCTCATTTATACAATTGCAGACTTCTAAAGATATAATTTGTGAATTCCTCTAGGATTTATCACTTGATGAAGGGCCAGCATTTTAGTTCTTGAGTTTACTATTTCCCGTCTAGACAACTACAGCATGATATTTTTTACATAGGTTTGCTGTTCTTCCACTTTTTTTTTCAGACTTTACAAATGATGCAGTTGCTTTTTAGCTCTATGAACTTCATCTAGTTAAAACTTTTTTTCAAATAATTACACATATTCCTGTAGGAGTCTTTTTCACTCCCTGATCCTTATCCTCAGTTCCCTTATTTTTCTCTACCAGATTATATTTTTGTATGTTTCTGACTCTTTCCACAATTTACACCACATTTTGGTATAAATATGTAGTTGGACTAAACAATAGATATTTGAAAGCGAAATATATATATATATATATTTTCGCTATATAAAAATTATATCCTTGCATTCTATTTAAATAATATACATACATATTTTTTTATTTTGTTTTTTTTTGAGACAGTCTCGCTCTGTCGCCCAGGCTGGAGTGCAGTGGCATGATCTTGGCTCACTGCAAGCTCTGCCTCCCAGGTTCACGCCATTCTCCTGCCTCAGCCTCCCGAGTAGCTGGGAATACAGGCGCCCGCCACCACGCCCGGCTATTTTTTTTGTATTTTTAGTAGAGACAGGGTTTCACTGTGTTAGCCAGGATGGTCTCGATCTCCTGACCTCGTGATCCACCCGCCTCAGCCTCCCAAAGTGCTGGGTTTACAGGCGTGAGCCACTGTGCCCAGCCTATTTTATTATTTTTAATAAAAGATATCCCTTTGCTCCCTTTTAAAAATATTAAAAGGATAGTAATATATTTTTTAAAACTTTAAAAAATATTGATCATAGTAATCTAAAAAAGATACTTCTCTGTAACATAAAGTCAGGAACGGTCGGACAACATTATTAATATCAACAGCATGGGCCAGTGAAGAATAATTTTCTAGATTTAGGGCATGTCAGAGCATAATTACAGATAAAAGTTGGTTATTCACTTATAAATTACTTGTTTTTATAACTGTATGAATTTAGATATGTCAGGAAAAGATAATGCTGTTTAATTACATGGCTGGTTTAGAATAAATGAGCAGCTTCCTTAGGTGGTATCCTGGCATGTTCCTCTTACAGATATTTGCAGCTTTGTTCTATTCAATTCTACCTTGGCTACTTGTCACTAAATGAAACACACCCATCATCGATATAGTTTGGTTTTGTGCATTCTTACTTCAGAGTTAATCTCAGTTTAACTCTAATTACAGGTTTATAACTAGAGAATCTAATTTATTTTATGAGAACTCTGTCATGTGTACAACAATTCTGTTTGAAAGTCTTATATTACAAAATAACATAAAAGAAAAAGCATATAGGATTTTAATAAAACTTTATATAAAATCTTGGTTGCTCTAACATAAATATTATCTAATAATAAACAATAGTACTTCATTTTACCATTTTAGCAAAACAGAAAAGAGATTAAACTTCAATTAGAAGAGAATTGTTAGCATTTTTTTTTTGAAAGGCAACTCCTCCACGAACTGATTGCCTCATAGTTATAGGTCAGAATGTCTGCTAAATCAACTTTTTTGACTGGTATTACTCACGTTATCTATGGAACGCTAATTATGTTTTAAAGAGGAAACCAATTAAATATAGTCTACACATCATTATTTTCACTTTGTGTTTTATTTCAAAAATTAATCTGTTTATAATTTAGGTTTCAAATTTTTTTCTATAAAAAAGAAAAAATTAATACTTTGTAATCACTAAGTTGATTTTGAAATGCAATTAAAACAGATTTTATATATGTAATTTTCTACTCTCTAAAAAATTATCTCTTAAGCTCTGATTAAATGGAAAATGAAGTATACATTTGCATTTGATTATACAGATAAGTGTTAAGCCCAGGTTTGTAGTACATAATTTAAAAAAAAACTTTATATAGTTCGTCTTCCATGGGATAAATTCAAATTTTCGGCAATTTTAGAACTGAGATAGAATGTTAGAATAAAGAAACATTTCTTATTTTTTGATAGCTATATTAACATTTTCCATCTTAATAAAATAAATGATTTAGTAACTAATAAGCAGCCCTGTAATAAGGAGTAATAATTAAAATATTCAGCCATGTGCTGTGGCTTACAACTGTAATCTCAATGTTTTGTCAGGAGGATTGCTTGAGGCCAGGAGTTGAAGACCAGTCTGGGCAACATAGTGATACCCTGTCTCTACAAGAAATGTAAAACATTATCCAGGCATGGTGATGCATGCCTGTAGTCCCAGTTACTTGGGAGGCTGAGGTGGGAGGATCACTTGAGCCTAGGAGTTCAAGGCTGCAGTGAGCTATGATCACACCACTGCATCCCAGCCTAGGTGACAGAGCAAGACCCTGAATCAAAAATATTTATGAGTAAATGAAATTAAAATATTCAACAAGGAGAATGACATGAGCTTTTATCAATTAAGATAAAGAATAAAGTGCCATATCAGACCAAGTTCAGGAGTTAATGGCTTGTCAAAACTGAATTACAACCCTGTCTGCAATGGAAAATATAATTTTAGAATGTCATGGCCCATTTCTGGAGGCAGCCTATGGTGTAAAAAAATCAAAGTTTTCACTAATTCCTATGCATTTTACCACCCATGAACCAACTCCATATGTTTGCCTGTTCAAATTCCTATTGTTCTTGGACTTACCCATCTTCCACAAACACTTTATTATGTTTCGCTCAGACTTCTTGTGTGCAACCTTGACATTTTTGGAGAGTTGTGATTTGGTTGCAAAGTGGTATGTAAAATAACCTTAAACTTGAGTATTATTTCCTTTTTCCTAGTAACACATTTTATTGGTATACTCTAGATGCATTTGGTTGATTCTGTTGTTTAACTTATGAAACACGTTAGATTTCAACTAGTGGTATCATTTGACTAAGACATGTGTCTTACTTACACTGGTGAAGCGATCCATTTATTAAATACTAACCAAGGGCCTATTGTGAGTTTGGAAGAATAATGGTAAATGGGACAGATAATACAAATAGTTAACACTTAATAGCAGAATGGCTCCATGTCCCTTACATATGATAAGTTCCCCTAATTATGACAATTCTATGAAGTTTTTATATGTCCTATGAGGTTACTAATGACAGCCATATGTTACTAATGAGCAAACTAAAGCACAGATAAGTGATGCCCAAGGTGATCATCGAACTAGATTTTTGAACCTAACTGGTGGAGCTCCAGTCTATAATCTTAACCACTGTGCCTGGTTGCCCCTCTGGCTTTAAATAGAATATTTTCTCATACCTGGGAGATTTGACTGGTCCTTCAAAACTGAAAATTATAGGAAATAAGATCCTCTACATTAAAAAAGGAGATTCTAGTTACATACCAGTTGGACTTAAGTAGCAGACACAGTTCACCCATGTTCATAATACATAAGAGAGGATGAGAAACCTAAATGGGTGCCTCACTGAGGCATGAGTAGTCAGCTTAGTTGGGATACTGTGATATTTCCTTTTCTTGCCCCAGCTGCCACCTCAATGCAAATAAGGAGAACTCCAGAAGTGTGTCAGACTACCCACTCCACCGTTGGATGCTTTCTAAACAGCAGAAACTCATTAGGCCACCTGTGTGTCTCCTAGGCCAGAGCATATTGAGATAACTCTCAAGAGGGCTTAACAAGCATCCCCAGAATTCAGAGGATATTTGTGAACAAAGCATGTGGTGTCACTATCATTGAGGTCCATTGGGTGGGGTAACCCATGAAGTGCAAGAAGCCTGCACTCTCACGTGACATGTGAAAAATATGTAGGAGTTTCCCATTGGCCAGGTGAAATTGCTGCACAAATGGCCATGCTTAAACCATATTGATAGCATCCTACACAATATGGCCACCTGTTGGGGGGGAACTCTGTCAGGTGTATTGCCAGGGGGTGGGAAACTATATGGAAGCATAAAATATGCAGATATTCACAGAAGCCTTAGAATCCATAAAAACAACCTGTGAAAGAGTTAGCCTTTGGGGCCTGACACACAGAGTGCTCAGATGATTAAAAAAAGCCAATCATGGCCAGGCATGGTGGCTCACGCCTGTAATCCCAGCACTTTGGGAGGGTGAGGCAGGTGGATCACGAGGTCAGGAGTTTGAGACCAGCCTGGCCAATATGGTGAAACCCCGTCTCTACTAAAAATACAAAAATTAGCCAGGCATGGTGGCATGTGCTTGTAGTCCCAGCTACTCAGGAGGCTGAGGCAGAATAATCGCTTGAACCCAGGAGGTGGAGGTTGTAGTGAGTCAAGATCACGCCACTGAACTCCAGCCTGGACGACAGAGCAAGACTCCATCTCAAAAATAATAATAATAATAATCAATAATAGGCTGGGCGCGGTGGCTCACGCCTGTAATCCCAGCACTTCGGGAGGCGGAGGCAGGCAGATCACAAGGTCAGGAGATTGAGACCATCCTGGCTAACATGGTGAAACCCCGTCTCTACTAAAAATACAGAAAAATTAGCCGGGCGTGGTGGCGGGCACCTGTAGTCCCAGCTACTTGGGAGGCTGAGGCAGAAGAATGGCACGAACCTAGGAGGCAGAGCTTGCAGTGAGCTGAGATCGTGTCACTGCACTCCAGCCTGGGCGACAGAGTGAGACCATCTCCAAAATAAATAAATAAATAAATACATAAATACATAAAATAATAATAAAGAAAATAAAAAGCCAATTGCAAAAGATATTTCCTCATTTTTTGCTCAAAATATACTGGAAGAAGAAGTGAGACATAGAAGCAGAGGGTGAGGACTTGTTCTTACAACTGAAATTTATAGCAAAGATTCTCTCCAAGGCTGGGAAATGATATCAGAGATGTTTTACAGCACTGGTTTGGAGGGAAAAAAGTGGGCAGCCATTTCTTATTTGTAATCCCATTGGATTCAGTCCACATGTTAATAGGTTTGGAAAATCATGACACCCCTCTTCCTATAGTTGCCCAAGTCATTTCAATATAATGCAAGAAGTGAAAAGAAGTATATGATTTTATTAAGAGGAGAGGTACCTAAAAAGTGAGATTATAAAAGAAATTTATATCTAAATTGGACCTTAAGTATGAATCTATTAGCCAGGTAAAACATGAAAGAGATGGAGTGACGAATTGCAATTAGTGTTCCAGGTAGAGGGAATTCTGCTCAGGAAGATTTCTATCTTAGTGAAAACTTGACACTGAAGCAATTTAGTCCAATAAGAACATGAATTTCTGGAGAAACGTGGCTCTTCAAAATGTTTTGTGGAGAGGTATGAGAAATGCAAGTGGGCAAAAAGTATCATAGCAAAGAGTGATTTTAAAGCCATGTTCAAAAGTTTGGACTTAAATCATTTTATTAATTCTGAAGAAGTTATTTTGCTTTCCTATAATTTTCATCAGCTTGCTCCCCAACAATACTCCTGTCAAAGAAAAAAACATTATTCAATGATGCTTGTTAAAGCATAGTAAGAAAGACTTTATTAAGGTCCATTGCTATAGGTTTGGGGACCACTGCAATGGAATTTCGCAGTAGGGGAGAAAGATTCAGCTTAACTCAGAATACAGCATGGACAAGTGGGAATTTACAGCCAAGGAGCAGGGTGGGGGCCAGTGGATGGAAAATTACTAAGAGGAAACATTATGAGTAAGGGAGGATTCTGGATAAACCAACGTAACAGAATTCTTGTTGAAGACAGGTCGGCATGATCAGACATCACTTGGGGCATGGGAGAGAATGAGGAACCTGATTGGATATAGAGGGTGTTCAGATACCTTAGCAGATAGATGTCTTTCTAAAATTGGACTTTACAAGAATGTGTACAGATGGGCCTAGGAGAAGTTTCAGAAGCCTGACTAATGTTTGGCCAAAGAATCTTTGTCAACTCCCAAAACACTGTAAAATTGCTATTCTAATGAATCTTCAAGCCTCACTTCCTTTCCAACCAAATAGCTGTCTCTAAGCTTGTTTCTTAGAGAAATTCCGGATACACTCTGTAAATATTATAAAAACTAACGTTGTATATACATGTATATTTACAGTATACGAATACAACTTACATTTCATTGAATTATGCTGTTTTTGCATTTTTTAAGGTCCTTTAGTGTCCTGTTTTATTTTAACCAAAATAAAAGTGTCGTAAAAACAACTTGATACACCTGGGTAAATGATTTGAATTAATAAAAGCCTGTAACATGTTTACTAATGCACCTAAACATCAGATCCTCAGCCCCTTCCTATATCTATGTAAGATGCTCATTAATAGCAGCTACTGCCCTTGCATTTATTCCCAAGGCTTATGAATAACAAGCAGTTACCTCATTTTGTTTAGCATATAATGCATGGCTCTTGACCATTTTCTGGGGAGTTATTTGACTCACATTATACAAGTTTCAGAAACACTAACAAAGATTTACATTGAGTGAATACCCAAGGGCCTAGATAAACCAACAGCTAAGTTGAGTTATTACTTAAGTATTATTTAACAAAATTATACTTGCATGACCTGGGAATACTTTGAAGTGGTGGTTTGATATAGAGGACAGCTATTGTGCTACTTGCTTAAATCTTTTTCAAAGAAAAATGAAGTCATATAAGGAAAAACAATCGCTATAACCAGACAACCATCGCCACAACCTGGGGATACAATGAACCTTCTTTTCTAGGTGGAATTATACATTTGGAGAGGACAATTCTTTTTCTGCTGTATAAGAAACTGAGACTGTTAGAGATAGAGATATCTCTACAAATTTGTAAATTCCACAGGAATGAATTATGCCATTATGTTTTATTCAGAGATTTAAAAAGGTACATTTTTCCCTAGGGTATATATATTTTATCCCAAATTATACTTTCAAATATGTATTGAATCATTATCTAAATACTAGAATTTTTAGTTTTGAAATATGTAATTACCTCATTTGAGGATTACAATTTTTTCTTTTTTTCGTTTTGTTTTGAGACGGAGTCTTGCTCTGTCGCCCAGGCTGGAGTGCAGCGGCGCCATCTCCGCTTACTGCAAGGTGCGCCTCACGGGTTCACGCCATTCTCCTGCCTCAGCCTCCTGAGTAGCTGGGACTACAGGCGCCCGCCACCATGCCTGGCTAATTTTTTGTATTTTTAGTAGAGACAGGGTTTCACCGTGTTAGCCAGGATGGTCTTGATCTCCTGACCTCGTGATCTGCCCGCCCCGGCCTCCCAAAGTGCTGGGATTACAGGCGTGAGCCACGGCGCTCGGTGGAGGATTACAATATTAACAGTTGCTTTTATTTATCACATAATGGAGAATGTTGAACACAACATGTTTTTCTCTTGGAAGACTCTGTGGCTGATCTGCTGCTACCTTTTAATTGGTATTCTTTTGCAAAGACGAGTTCGAATCGAAAGACAAACATTGAAAGTCCATTATGACATATTTACCTGCTGAAAAAGAATGGGTGACTATCTTAAATATAATTTACCATTGAGGGTAGAAAACATTTTACAATAAGAAATTAATGGGAAAATAGATAAATTTACAAATATTGACATTTTTAAAGAACACAATTCTCAGAATATCACATTCATGAACTCTTCAGTAAAACAGCTAATAGCTTTAATGTAAGCACATTAATAATCTGTACCCAGTGACTACGTATGGTAAATATTAGATATTCTAATAGAAAACAGAATAATGTGAAGCATTGATTTCTTAATTTCCCAAAGGTCTACGAATGAATATTATTATCTCTTTGTGATGTCTACCTATAAGTTGGAGTTAAAAAAATTCTTTTCTGACTGCAAATATCAAATAAAATAGCATATAAGCGATACATATTTTATATAGAATTCCTACTTTTAAAATATTCTTAGTTTTGTCAATAGCTAATTCTGCTTAGTTGCAGTTTATTTTTTAAACACAGATATTCTAAGTAATATTGAATTTGACATCTCATAAGATTATTTAGAATTTCATTTTTTCCTAGAAATAGACAATGAACAATTACAGAAAATAAACAAAATTCATTTTTAAATAATCAGTTGCTACCTCTAATTTCCACCTCTGTAAGAAATTTCAGCCTCTATAAGAAAACACATACACTTTGGAGCAAGGAAGAATATAGCTTATATCCTAGCTGTGCCACTTAGATGCTGGGTGATAAGGGCAATTACATATTTTCTCTGACTCTCATTTTCCTCATCAGTTAAATTTATATAATAACACTAGCTACTGGGATTTCTGTGAGAATTAAATTCACAAAGTTCTTGGTGTAGTGCTTGGCACAAATACTTAATGTATGGTACTACTGCTTTCCTTCTGAGATGGAAGCACATGTGAAATAGCAAGGTTTGCTCATTATGTATTGGAAAATGTACTAGCAGATGCAACAATGAACAATCTATTAGGTAGAAAGACTAACATAAGGACATTAGGAAGAAAGATTTTCAAACATTTATGGATACATTCTCAAATGATGCTAATAAATGTGTGAGTGGATGCAGTATTTTCAAATATATTGATTTATACTATATAGTTCATACTGATATAAATATTTTTCCTACTCATAATGAAACTTTAGTTCATTTAATAACAACCTTCAGAATAGTTATATTTTTAGTAACTATGCCAATGCACTGTATATACTAAGCCATTCTGCATATTTTTACTGAGCATATGCTTCTTAATCTAATCACAACAGTAAAAATGTTACACAAATATTCATATATTATTTACTTATTTACATCATATCTTTCCCTATAATGTTATCACAATAGTAAAAATATTACACAAATATGTATATATTTATTTACTTATTTACATCATATCTTTCCCTATCTATCTATCTATCTATCTATCTATCTATCTATCTATCTGTATTTTGCTAGCTTTCAATATTTTGTTAAAGATAGACATACAACTATTGGTAGCTGTTATAGTTAGAATAATATAAAAGTAACTTTCACTTCAAACCATCTTATAATATATTTTGCAATATAAATGCATGCTTAGAACAAGGTAGAGTTTGTGTGGTTTTATTCCAAATTTTCAAGAAATCTGAAAATTTACTGCTGAACTCAAAGCCAACCTTGCTATTAACTGATTCAAATTCAGAACCTCTGTTCCCTGTCAAATTCTCAAGTAATGCCTACATTATTAGTTTTGAAACTCAGATGAATGTCTTTTAAAACATACTAGAAATTCTGCTAGTGACACGAGGAACCAGATGGAGGAGGAGAAGGAGAAGAGCAGGGGAAGGAAGAGGAGGAAGAAAAGGAAAAAGAGAAGAAGAAAAGCTCTACAAATTCCCTTTCTTTTTTTTTTTTTCCAGAGCTGGATTTAGATATTGAGTTATAAAACACTTTAGATCCACAGACTTCTGACATCAAATTTCTGATAGTTCTACTTATCTGTCTGTACAATATTTAAACCTCTCCTTAAATTCCTATTTTCCCCTTTTATTTCCTCAAATTTCCTTGAGAAATAAAATAATCCTTTCATTTTATTCTGTTTTTTAAAAAAAACAAATAAAAGATATAGATATTTTTGCTGTACATCTGATTTTTTGACACATTCATATAATTTGCAGGAATCAAATCAGGGTAATTAGGATATTCATCGCCTTTAACGTTTATCTTTTCTTTTTGCTGGCAACAGTCCAATAATTCTCTACTAAATATTTTGAAATATACAATAGATTTTTGTAAACTGTAGGCACTCTACTGATTTATCAAACACTAAATCTTATTCATTCTATCTACCTGTGTTTTTGTACCCATTAATCAATCTTTCTATAGTCCCTCCAACCCCCCACAATTCCAAGCCTTTGGTAATCACCAAACTACTCTCTATCTTTATGAGATCCACTTTCTTGGTTTCCATATGTGAGTGAGAACATGAAATATTTGTCTTTCTGTTTCTGGCTTATTCAATTAACATAATGACTTTTGTAATCCCTCCATTTCTAAATTCCTATCCTTTACAATGGTATCATAGTTCAGGTTTTCACACTTCCCATTTGGAATTATCCAGTTTTCTTTTCCAATTTACTAGGCATGCAGTTCTTAGTTCCAGTGATTTTTCAACACAAATATTAGAATAAATATAAAAATACGATTCCAAATTTGCTTTTGTTTTAGTCTCAACAGATTTGGGGAAAGTATTTATTTTAAATAACAAGAAACATAGTTTTAAAAATCAAACATGACATTTCTAATTGAGGAGGAGGAGTCTAAAGGCAGCAATCTGAGTTTGACCTATTTCTGTTTTAATAGGAGATATGTACTGACATGTTAAAAATTTGTCTATAGATACAACTCCTTAAATAAAAACAAGACCACCATAAATTTACAATATTATTTTATGTCATAAATGCTGACTAATTTCTGCCAAATATATTTTGTATTAATTTTGAGACAACCAAAAATTGTTTGCTTAAAAATTCCTTTTACAAAAGAGCAGATCAAAGAGCTTTTCTTACTTACTATTGAATTATTTTGATCAATATTTGTGTAAATGTAGTACTATCTGATTCTCTCTCCATAGTGGTGAGAAATAGTCATGTTCAAATAAGTCAGTATTATTCACAGGTTTAGCAGAGGTACATGGCTATAGCAATTGTGTGTGATAGGATATGCCAATTAATTTGGTAACTGTGGTCACTGGGCGTGACAGTTTAGATTGGGAAAGTTTATTTGCCTTGGATGACAAAAAAAAAAAAAAAAAGAGAGAGAAACAAAAAAAGAAAAGAAAGAAAGTGATCCTGAAAGTGATCCAGAGCTACTTGAGAATGAGGAGAATCAATAAAAGGGAAAACCATCAACAACATAAATTACACTTTTCTTAAGTGCTTGCTTTTCAGGTGCAATTCCAATAATGGCAGCAAATGACTTGCCAATATTACTGTGAAAGAACAGGGTCAACGGTCACTCTACTATTTATCCTCAATCTCTATCTGCCATAAAGAAAAGACTGCTCTTTTAGAACCCAGGGTTTAAAACTATGTCCCTCAATATTGCTAGGTATTCTCACTTTGGTTTTTTTTCTCTAAAAATATGGACAAAATATATATCTGAGAAAAACTGCCTGGGGGTTAGTGTGAATTCATAGGGATGTCTTTGAAGACATAGCACTATTTGGAGACCATCAAATGTATAAACCAGCAGCAGAGGTTTAAAAAAATGGATTTACAGTATTGTAAATTGCTGAATTACTTTAAATATGCTTGAGATAGTTCAACAAATTTTACTTACAGTTATAGGATGGGGAGTTGTGAAAGAGTTGATATATCACCATAAATAATATATAAATAATACACATTCTGCTCTTAAGGGTCTAATAGTCCAGTAAAAGAGAAAGTACCTACATTACTAAATATAATGCAAGTTTGTTGTGTTCAATTATTGTGGTCAAGCCGATAAGTCCAGTGGAGTGGAGGAGAAGGATTCCTAGGTGATGAGACATTTGTCTTGCAGTGATTGCATTTCATCAAGGCTGTGTGTGTGTGTGTGTGTGTGTGTGTGTGTGTGTAGCAGTAAGACATAATAAATTGAAAACTCAGAGAAGATGGTGAAAATAGATTTGAAGTATGATCTCCCATAGTCAGAAAGGCCCATTTAAAGGATACTACAAATGAAATTATGAGAGTCCAATTGATGTATTTTCTAATTATGAGAGCAAGGTCCTTTTAAGTTATATAAGGTAAATGGAAATGTAACTTTAGGGTTTCAAGGGGTTTGAATTCTGTGTCTTGTTGTAGCATACTCTCCACTATTCTGTATTCCCCAGCCTGCTGTGATTTCACAGATCTTAAAGGCAAATATCACAGTTACATTGTTCTCCTTCTTGTAAACTCTGTGAACCACACAGCAATGCATATTTATCCTTGTCTGTTTCCTGCCACACAGGCCTGCTCTGTTCTCTTTCCTCTCCCCCCACCACTGACATCCAGATGCACAGGGGCACACGCACGCACCCACGCTCAAGAAAGATTTATGTTTCTGCTTGATGACTACCTATTAAATACAGCCTTTGGCTAGATGAAGATCACTAAAACATACACAGAGTAGAAAACATTTATATAAAGAGAAGCAACGTCAAGTTCAGAAAGTTAATGCTAGAAGCTAGCCATCCGAATAGGATTAGCTTAGTTTCAGTGGATATTTTTCATTCAGATATTAAACTCTCTTTCCCCCTGTGAAGATTATTATTTTGCACTCCAAACATCTAGAGCTAACTGAACAAAATAAGCTACTTGTCTAGACGTTGCCTAATAGACCACGGGGAAAGGGGAGCGAAAACGGAGAAGGTTTGCAGCAGCAGAAATATCTGGACAATCAGTTAAATACTTATATGATGAAACGTTTTCAGAAAAAAGAAAAGTATTGATTACACTCAACATGTACTTTCTGTGGAGGATTATTTGACTAGTTTATATTCAAAATAAAGCACACGACAATTTAAAACTTGTTTATTTATAAAAATGATGCATTCCTAATTTTGGAGAGACTTGAGTAATTTAGGTATAATTATGGTAAGCAGTGGACACACAATAAAGTGAATTTACAGAAAAGAAAAAAATATGCTGCTTAACTCTGCTATTATATTTGCACCCTAAGTAGAATAGACTAGAATTTGCAGGAAACACAGAGGTTCACTAAAACTAATTCCATTTCCTATCAATGTTGTTCCAAAAATCTTCAAGTGGTCAGAAAGATTTCAGAAATATAGTAGAACTTGTATGTACACCTCATTGAATTTTAATTCCTATCACAAGTCCCACCCTTACAGTATCCCTGCCCTTTACAAAGATAACAATAACTACTTTCTTATTCTGTGCATTTTCCAACACTCTTTTGTCATTTGTAAGACAGAAGAGTCTTTTATCATATACAAGACTGGAAGAGTCTTTTATGTTAATTAATGCCTGAGTAGGAATAGCGTCACCTCCTTTACTTCAAAACAGGAGAATTATCTGGTAGATGAACTGGAGAACTTTTATTGTGGAAAACTGCAGTAAAAAGTGAGGTGTGGTAGTGCCAGAAACAGAGACCCCATATCTAAAATACATAGTAAGTTTCAGAGAATATATCTTAAAATGAGAGGGAAAGAAGAGTGAGACAAGAAAGAGTGGCTGGGGATAGGGGAGCTTGGAGTGTGGATGAAGAATTAATTGGGAGATGATGGAAGTTGTATCTCTCTCTATCCTCTCTCTCTGCTTCTCATCCTGTGTGTGTGTGTGTGTATGTGTGTGTAAGAAAGAGAAAATAGGCTTTTTAAAAATGTTGCTGTGCTAATATCCTTATTTTGCATTTTCAAGAAACGTCACAAAGCTTTTAGGCCTTTGACTACTATATCATAATGAAACAGAATTTTAGGTAACTTGACTTTATGTTGGCTACATCTGTAAATGCCATATTTAGGTGTATTAAAGAATATTTTTAAAAGATAAAATCACCAGGCATACAGATATGAAATAAACATGTGCCAAATATTTTATTTAACTCATTAATTAATAAGGGATTCAGTAAGATGTTACAACATAGGTAAATCAGGAATGACAAAAAGAATTTAAAAATAGATGTAAAACTGGCTTTTTTTTTTCCACAAAGAGATGGGGAATTAATTGATTGTCTCTTCACTGGAGAGAATTCATTTTAATAATATGCAGCGCTCTCAGCTGATGGAGACAGCCTGGAGGTGTAAGCTAGTCAGGACAGTAATACTTTTTGCCCATTTCAAAGTCTTTTACGATTTTTTCCTGGCAGCATGTACTGGTTTCATACTGGTTTTAAAATTAGAATTTAGCAACTTCTTTTTTAAAATGCCATAAACATATAAACTGAGTAGAAAATGAGAACAAAGCCAAAATATTAGTGATTCAACTCGTTTTTTTCAGTGTTTAGAAGGGTTGCTTGGTATCATCATATCCTCAGACTTTTCTAGTTATCTAATTTTCCATCTGAATAAATGCTTTTTAATTGCTATATTGGAACCACACACTGCCAAATCTTTCACTTCTGATTCCTACCACATCCACACTCTTCTTCTTCCTAAAAGAGACCTGAAATGCCCTGTGCATGATCTGTTGTTCCTCTCCCACTAACATGGAGACCGGAGTAAGAAAAACACAATTCTGAAAAAGTATAAAAGAGTAAGAAACATTCATTACAGGGATTTTTTTGTAAACTTGTTTAAACGAAGTTCTTACTCCAAGGTCCTCAAATTAAATGAAGTAAAAGAGTCATGTTAATTTGCCTAATGAATGAGTACTGAGAGTTAAATGCTAAGTAAAAAATATAAATAATCTTAGCAACTTGAATGGCCACTAAGTTGAAACTATACAATTACTTTTTTTTCCCCTCTGAGAGGGCTTTTATAAAAATGGAATTAATCATTATTTTGAAAGCCAGATGATAGGTAAAGTGTTTAATGAATTCACAAGTATATTATAAATACATATGCGGTGCTATGCCCATATCTACTGATTTTCAATTTTGATGCAAGAGGCACACGGTTTAAAATATGGTAACATTTTAAATGAAGTTAGATTTTAGTTACACCTAAAAAATAGTAGAAGACAAAACATTTTAACATTGTCTGATTAGAGGCTCAACACTGTCTCCTAACATAAAAACCACTCTAAACATGTACCACCTCACATCATGAGAATGGGTTACCATACGGTTTCTGGTTTACATCATCTATGTTAATAACACTTTCAGCTCAAGTATGATGTATTTCCCTATTAAAACAATGTAAATGTAGGAAGTTTAGTCTGAGAATGACTTGCTTAATTTTTCTTGTTTTGTGTTTTGGTGGTACCTAAAAAATGAGATTAGTCACTTCAAAATTGTTCTGTGTCATTTCCTATGTGATTTACTATGTGTAGATACTAAGTTTTAGTTCAATTTAGTACAGGATTTGTACTGAATATATCCCTAGGAATCAATAGAAAAGAATTTCCAGAAAATTATTCAGTGTATTTAACAAAAACAAAACAACAATTTCAAGTGTTAATTTTAAGTAAGTTTCTGGATAAGTCTTACACTATTTAACATTCTTGCCTCAAATTGACCATGAAGAACATAAACTTTACTACTTGTTAAGAACAATTACTATAATTTTTCCAGCAAACACCAAGCATAACAACATCATATGGGAAATACAAATTTAGTAGCTTGTTAACAACAAAATACAATACTGAGGCTTTTTGTGCTTTGTCCTACATTGAGGGGTAAGGAAGCAATAAAGTGGAACAAGTAATAAAATAGCTGGTACTAAACTTTAAATTAGGCTTAAAGAAGTATACAAGTGTATTAGTCATCATTAAAATTATTATGAAGACTACAGTGTGGAGAAGTTTGTAGTTTAAACCCTTTGCTTTTAAAGTAGGTACCAATTAAAATTACAGCTACAAAATAAGTGGGGTGGTTCTGATGAAGACTTTCTTCTTGACCAAACTTTCATCAGGCTCCACTGAGACATTTTTAGAATAGGCCTTGGGCCTTATCCTCAAGCTTGTCTAGACAAGTTGTAGAAAAAAATCTTGTCAGTTTAGAGAATATCCCCCATCCTTAATATCTGATCTACTTTGATATCTAATCAAATTCCTCATTTCTTACCTTTGATATCTGGTCACGCTGCCCTGGTCTGCCTTCAGCAAAAATCTCCCCTCACCTTGATGACTCCTCCTAGTAATTTTCCATCTATGAAAGGCCAACCCCCTAAACTACTCATTGGTCATAAAGCACCACTTGTACATGCTGTATTCAGAATTGACCTTGATTTTTCTCCTCTGTTGTGATAAGCTTGACACCTATCTCAATAGTCTTAAATAAATTCTTCCTTATGGTCTTAACATTTGTCAGAATAATTTTTTCTTTAATAGTTACAAGGCTGTATCTGACCCAGTATAAAAATCAAGAAAATGCATTAGTTACCAACTTTTTTAAAAAACATAAAATTAATTATGTAACATCCAATTTTTAATGTTCAAATCTTTTTGTAAAAACAAAATCAATAGATATATCTTATTAAGAGTTTGAATTTTATATAATTGCATTGCTGTACTTTAAAATGTTAAAGATAACTTTGATTTTTTTCACCCCTTCCCAACATACTCTGTATCAATATTTAATAAATTTTCATCTAATATTCTTTCTGAGAATGTATGTTTTCAAATTGATTACAGTCCTCAAAGCATCATTTTTTTCTATGACTGAGCTATAAATGTGTTCACATCTTATACAATATTTAGCATATATTAAATATAAAGATACAGTAATTCTGCTGCTAAAGCAAAACAAGCAGAAAGTTGATGCTTTATAAAATCCAAATAACACCCAAAGTCATTAACTGTGAAGATTCCTGGGGGCATATGTACGTGTGTTTGAAAGTAGTGATAGTAAGGAGATTGAGCAACATTCATATTGCAATTTATACACTTCTTTTCTATCTTAAAACTTTTTAAAATTACTTTTATGATAAAAATATAAAATGTTGGCCGGGTGCAGTGGCTCATGCCTGTAATCCCAGCCGTTTGGGAGGTCGAGGCAGGCAGATCACTTGAGGTCAGAAGTTTGAGACCAGCCTGGCCAACATGGTGAAACGCCATCTCTACTAAAAACACAAAAATTAGCCAGGCCAGGTGGCACATTCCTGTAATCCCAGATACTCAGGAGGCTGAGGCACAAGAACCCTGGAGGCAGAGGTTGCAGTGAGCCAAGATGGTGCCATTGCACTCCAGCCTCAGCAACAGAGTGAGTGAGACTCCATCTCAAAAAAAAAAAAATTATAAAAATAAATACAATAAAATGTAAAGTTCAATACCTACATTCAATAACTGGCACAACAATGAATACAGGGTTTACTTCAGATACCTGCTACCCTGCCCATCATATCATGTCTCTAGAGAAGCTTCTTTCATTTATATGATTAAAGGGTTGGGCTGAATTAACTGGCTTTCTTCTAATCATCAGAAAGCATAAATGAAGATGTTGTGATTTTTTCTTTCCAGGCCCACTTCTTTACCAGAGACTAATGTTGCCATTTTATGTTTGTTCAAATGCTGCACACTCTGAGTCTAAATTCTTCTTCAAATCATCACTGTTATCATTCAACCCCACACGATTGGCTTCTATCTTTGTGGATAACTTCAGTAGGTTGTTCACATATTTATTCTCCAACCAATTTCAGATGAACTCATTCTCATGATTTCCAAATTGATGTTGGCTATCAGTACAAATCTTCAAATTCACATCCCTCATTCTCCCCATTAGCTCTGACCTTATCTTCATTCTCTATTGACCACCCAGTAATATAACCTCACTCTTAACCTCATTCAGCACATCCACATCTAACAACTCAAACTTTGTACTTGGCAAGTATAATCCAAACTTCCTGTCTTGTTTTCTTTCCCATTTCTCCACACCCATTAAATCTGTTCTCTAACTTGACTAAGAATGCCAATTCCTCAACATCTCTCTTTCTTTAATTAACTCTCTCTTTTCTTTTAAATAGGTTTGTGGTTTCCTGTGCATGTTCGCCGAGGAAGCTTTTTTCATCATCTTTTGGATTCCTTGCTACCTATCTAGTTATTTCTGCTGGTTGGGCTCATGATAGTTCTTGTGTATGATCCATCCAGAGTCCCCTTGTCTTCCTGCATTCTAAGTCTCATTCTCCAGCCTAACATTAGGTACATGAGCTTGTCTTAATCTGCTCAGGCAGCTATAACAAAATACCATAGATCAGGTACTTTATAAATAACAGAAATTTATTTCTGACGGTTCTGGAGGCTAGAAAGTGCAAAATCAAGCCACCAGTAGATTTGGTGTTTGGCAGGGGCTTTCTTTTTGGTTCACAGATGGCACCTTATAGCTAGCTGTGTCCTCACATGATGAAAGAAATTCAGGTGGCTCTCTGGAGTTTCTTTTATACGGGCTCAATCCCTGTCATGAGGAATACACCCTCGTGCCGTAATCATCTTCCAATAGCCCCACCTCCTAATACTCTCACCTAATACCATCATCATATTTTAATACATGAATTTTGGGACTACAGAAATATTCAAACCAGGGCAAAACCCAAATATTTAATATAGTTAAATAAATATTGTTCTTTTCTTAAGATAGTTATCTTACTCTTTTATTTGCCATCATGAATTCTGATAAGTGAACTTGAAAAAACCCAAAGGCTTAATAGCAGCCTAACTTGGCTATGGCACAGGGCATATCTGTGTCAGCAGGGAAGGCAAGGCTTGAAAGGAAGTTTGGACAATCTTTCAAATGATTAATTCATCTATGCCAGTGATTCTTAAAGTTCAAAGCTACACAAGGAACCTGTCGATAGAAATATATTTAACGGAAATTATTTTCTTGGAAACAACCAAAGGAAACATTCAGTAAAAAGTGTACCTCAAAGCCCAGAATCTGTAGTTGATAAGTAGTGGTTACTCCATTAGTGTGGCTCCTTTTGGTCTCAAGACCTAAGAACTAAAAGGAAAGATTATCTGTTTCATGTACACCCAATATATCCTGGTAGAACAGAAGCACAAAACACACACACTCACACAAACACACATACACCACCACTACCACTTGAGAGGGAAGAATGGCAGTCAAAATACCATCACTAGTTTATAACTATTCTGAGATTCTACTAAGTGTTCACTATATAGGTCTCTTACACTGGAGGTCAGGAGGTTCCTGAGGACATGATTCTGATGCAGGATTTTTCTCACTTTGCAAGCGGGTAACCTCTGGCCAGCAACGCCCCCACCCAGGCCTTGCTTGGGTATGCTATCTGCTACAGGAGGTGGTCCACCCATTCAGCCTGCCTGGGCCACACCTGGCTTGTGCACCAGTTCAGGCCACACCTGGGCTGGGCATGCTCCAGCTCACCTTTATTATAGCTCGTATCCACATTTGACGGTTTCCAAGTCCTTGTCCCACATCCGGGAAGAATGGGGATATGCTGACAATTGAAGGGTGAGGAGGGCGAAGAATTTTATTGAGCGACGAAACAGCTCCTTGTGGAGAGGGGAAGCAGGGGTGGTTCCCCCAGCTGAAGTCAGGTGATTTCTCTCCCAGTGTGGCTGAGTCCGGGGCTTTGATGGGCTTAGAATAGTGAAATGCATGCTGATTCATTTTTGTGTATGCGAAAAAGGTTAAAACAAAGGCACCACTCAAAGGTGGGCACGACAGTATTAAAAACCAGTAAGGGAAGGATAGATATATGTAAAATAGGTGAAGGATGGGGATCAATTGGAGGAAAGCACGTCAAAAGGGAAGACAGGTTCTCAATCAGGTCTGTGAATTTGATGTGTAGCTTGACTTTCAGGCTCTCTTTGGCTTGTAGCTGCGGTTTCACCAGGGACCTGCCCCTATCTGCTTAGGTATTTGTCTGCCTCCTGCCACTATCAATTCTCCTGGGAGAGCATTTTGGTTCACCCTCTTTATTTCCATTATCCTCTTTGACTATTTCTAAAATGAGGCTATATAACTTTCTTATCTTGCTTCCTGCTCATAGAAGGTTGAGGACTCACAGGTTATTCTAATTCTCAGAGAGTTACAGGTTTTTCTAATTCAGCCTCATCACTTATTTGGCAGATATTACTCTTTCACTGGGTTTGCTTCTAGTCTGTTCTGTGTCAAGACCATCTGAATGCTTATTTAAAAGGAGAGGTTCCTATCCTACCCAGTCTCAGGAGATGAGGTAGAAAACAGCATCTGGGAAATGCATGTTAGCAAACTTGTCAAAAAGTTTAGTTCTCTGTACATTTGGGGAACTATTAGATTGAACTGAAGATGATTTTTTTTGAGGTAGCAGACCTTTTTGAGTTGTTGAAAGGTAAAAAAATAGGGTCTAAGTGCCTGAACTAAGGCAGCAACAGAGAAGTTTGAGAAAAAGAAATAACTTCCAGAGATAACTCTGGAGGTGAACTCCACAAACATTAGAAACACCACACATGGGAGATATCCAAAAATAATAAAGGAATCAACATGAACTTCAAAATTTTGCATAAGATAGTGTGCATAGGAATACTCTTTATCAGGATAAAGGTTGAAAAGAAAGAGTTGTACTTGTTGGTGTGGACGTATCCCTGGAGCCTGGGCAGGGAGGGGGTGTTAATCGAGGGCCATAAAAATGAGGAGATAGAAGAAAGTGGTTTGCGGTCTTTGAGATGAGAATATTTTAAGCTATTCTTTTCCAGTGCTATTCTTCTGAGGTCGGATTAGCCTACCCCTTTTTACTCAAATTCTTATGCAAAGCAAGAACTCCTTGAAAGTCTTTCATGCACTAGAAAGTGATTGTGGTTCTTGTCTTCTAAAATTATGAGATAGCCTTGAATGACAATATTCTTATTATGTACCTTTGAGAAAAAAGAAATTCTATTCTTTCTATTCTATTCCATTAACCACAAACCCAAAGCCTAAAGGATGTGTGATTCTGTCACATTCTACCTCATTGCAAAACTTGAAAGTAATACCTCTTTTCAGCACTTGGAGTTAACATTCATAAATTAAAACTAGAAACATACTCAAGAAAAAAATTCCCTAGTCTTGGAATTGATGTCCACCTCAGCCACCATGTCCCTGATTTGGCAAAAGGAGAGCTATAATGTGGCTGCAGAGTGTATGTAAGCATCTGCCGTTTGATTACTCAGTCCTTTGTTCACTATTCTTACTCGAAAAAACTCAAGAATTTTAATTATACCTAGCAATGATCTACCGGAAGTATAGAATCACTCTCTTCTAAGCTGACCTAAGAGTTGCAGCAGAATTTCTCTACTTAATAAAGATTAAAAAAAGACGGCATTCAATAAATGTGTCTATGCCATAGGAAGATAAAGCAAAAGTGTCCCTGGAGATTCCCTCAAATGGCTCCTCCAATTACTGCAGGGTGCTCTGGGGACGTATCAATATATCAGTGTGTCTCCCAGGAGCAACAGATCGGCTTTCTTATCCCAAGTGGGATCATTTTGCCTAACCAAAGTACTCTGACCTTTACTCTACCCCACCGCCTTGTCATTCTTTCTGCCACCACCTACCTCCCCCACCTGTATTTCAAGACAACTCCCAAATTCTGTAAGACACCTTTACTTTAATCTAGAAAGTTTAAAAAATCAATGAAAAATATGTAATGTTGATACTTTTTTTTACTAATTTTATCTGCTGAATATATACACATTTAGACCCATTTCAAAGATATTATAATTTATTTTCATATTTTTAAAACAAATACGTACACTGCTGCTATATCTAAGGCAATCATGAACTTTTCATTTATTCTCTTCAGTTATGTGTATGTTAAATAAAAAAGAAAAATGTGTGTTTACATGTATATGTATATACTTGGCTCTATATGAATCACATTTACTGAGTTTATTTACGTTTTTTTATGTTTGTTTGACTGTAGAAAGGAATAGCTGCACAAAGAAGAGGCACATATTTATTTGCTTTCTTAATAGACCTTAATATCCACTTAAGGTCTGCCCTTTATCTTCAAGGTCCTGAAAACCGATCTGATAGCTGAGATTTGTGAGACCCTTCTCAGTTTCTGGCTCTGACATTCCCCACATGGAGCAGAGAGAATGTCCTGTTTTTACAACATGGTTCAGAGCAAATAGCTTGAAGCTATACCAAATGATCTGTAATCAATAGAACACTGGCATGATTAACAATGATAACAGTAGAAAAATTCTTTCAGAGGTGCAATACTAATGTCTTTTGGGGAATTATTTTATATGAGATATTCTCACTTCCCCAGCACTAGAGGTAATTTCCTTGAACAGAGAAAATGAAATGCTACATTTTGAGCAAAAAACATTTTTGTTGGTGTAATATATATATATATATATATATATTTGGATTACATATATACACATATATCTTTTTATATAAATATATATTTAATATATAAAACATAAAAATATATTAAAATATATATATTTATATATAAAATATATTTTCTATATATAAAATTATATATATTTATATATAAAAATATCTTATATATAAATATATAATATATAAATATAAAAAATCTTATATATAAATATATATTTTTATATATAAATATAAAAAATATATTTTATATATAAATATATATATTTATATATAAATATAAAAATATCTTTTATATATATAAATATATATATATATATCTCCAAATAAAGTGCAAAGCATTTTAAACTGTTTGGAACTACAGTGGTGGTTGGAAGCAATTTATTAAACAAACTGATACTGAAAAAAAACCTTAGAGGCAGAGTTCATTGATGCAAAAATTTTGGTCATTGTTAGAAACTTACAAATATTTCTTCATTCTGCCTGCCTAGCAGATCCCAAAATTAGCTAGTTTTTGAATAATGATGATGCTGGTGATAATAACTTACATACTATAAGAATAAATTAACAGTTATTTTTCATTTATTTTCCCAAAGAAAACGTAGGCTGCTTAGATATTAATTTCAAGAGATATACTGGAAGATATACTTTTCTTCTCATGTTTTTAAATATTTCTCATTTTCTTGTCATTTTACTTATTTTCCTAGAGATGTACTAAATAACTAAATAAGGTGGTATGCCTCGAATATGGAAGCAAATTTAGCAGTCTACAAACATCAGAGAGATTATAAAACAACAATAAAGGCTTCCTGTATTTATTTACTTAAAATTATAAAAAATAATTTCTTTATAAATCACGCCTCATTCTGTTTTTTGTTTACAACCAAGCATATAATTTAAATAATTTAAGCCCTTTTTTTGCATTTAAGTCACATGTTCACATTGTGTGTGTACAAATTTAAATATTATTATTTTTTTAACTTTCTTTTTTTTTTTTGAGATGGAGTCTCGCTCTGTCACCCCGGCTGGAGTGCAGTGGTGCGATCTCCGCTCACTGCAATCTCTGCTTCTTGGGTTCAAGCGATTCTCCTGCCTCAGCCACCGGAGTAGCTGGGACTACAGGCGCGCCACCACGCCCAGCTAATTTTTGTATTTTTAGTAGAGACGAGGTTTCACCGTGTTAGCCAGGATGGTCTCAGTCTGCTGACCTCGTGATCCTGCCTCGGCCTCCCAAAGTGCTGGGATTACAGGCATGAGCTACCGCGCCCAGCCCTATGTCAATATTTTTAAGTTTGGATATGTTAAATTCATTAGTGGGTCATGAAATCCACTTAAAGCATTGTGACTAAGACTTTTCAAAATGAAATATAAGAGGATAGATAATACCATACTGCATTGCACATATTTAAAGTGTTATGGATATCTTTTATTCTAGTTTCGCATTTAGGTGCAAATGTACTGGATTACAATTAAAAAGTATGTTTTTTTGTGAGTTGGCGTTATTTTATTTTAGATTTAGGGTGTACATGTGCATGTTTGTTACATGGGTATGTTATGTACTGATGGGTGTTAGGTTTCCAGTATATCTATTACCCAAATAGTGAACATTGTACCCAATAGGTTATTTTTCAAGCCTTGACCTCCTTCCATCCTCGTGCCTCTTGGAGTCCCCAGAGTCCCCAGTGTCTATTATTTCCATCTTTGTGTCCACATGTGCCGATTGTTTATCTTCCACTTATAAGTGAGAACATGTAGTATTTGTCTTTCTGAGTTAGTTCGCTTAGGATAATGCCCTCAGCTCCACCCATGTTTTTGCAAAAGACATGATTTCATTTTGGGGGGGCTGCATGGTATTCCGCAGTGTATAGCACATTTTATTTATCCAGTCAACCACTGATAGACAATTGTTTGGTTCCATGATTTTGCTACTGTGAATAGTGCTGTGCTGAACATATGAGTGAAGGTGTCTTTTTTTATAATGATTTCTTTTTCTTTAGGTACATACCCAGTAGTGGGATTCCTTGATCAAATGGTAGTTCTATTTTAAGTTGAGAAATCTCCATACTGTTTCCCATAGAGGTTGAACTAATTTACTTTCTAGTGAATAAGCATTCCGTTTTCTCTCTTTTCTCTGCATCCATGCCAATATCTGCTGTTTTTTTTCTTTTCTTTTTTTCTTTTTTTACTTTTTAGTAATAGTCATTCTGACTGGTAGATGATGATAAATAATTGTGGTTCTAATTTGCATTTATTTGATGATTACTGAGGTTGAACATTTTTTCATGTGTTTGTTGGCCATTTATAGTTTTTCTTTTGAGAAATATTTGTTCATGTCCTTTGTCCAGTTTTTAATGGGGTTTATTTTTCTTACGGAGTTATTCGTATGTCTTTGATTCTAGATATTAGTCCTTTGTTGGAGGCATAATTTGCAAGTGTTTTATTTCATTGTGCAGGTTGTCTCTTTGCTCTGCTAGTATTTCTTTTGTTGTGGAGAAGCTTCTGAGTTTAAGTTCCATTTGTCCATTTTTCTCGTGGTTTAATTTGCTTTTAGGGTCTTCACCATAAATTCTTTGCCTAGGCTAATATACAGACGAGTATTTCCCAGGTTTTTTTCTAGGTTTTGTATACTTTGAGATCTTACATTTAAGCCTTTCATCCATGTTGAGTTAATTTCTGTATATTGTGAGAGATAGGGGTCCAGTTTAATCCTTCTACACATGGCTAGCCAAGTTTCCCATCACCATTTATTGAATAGAATGTCTTTTCTCTATGGCTTATTTTTGTTGACTTTGTTCAAGAGCAGTCGGTTGTAGGTATGTGGTTTTATTTTGGGTTTGCTCTTCTGTTCCATTGATCTATGTGTCTATTTTTGTACCAATACCTTGCTATTTTACCACAGCCTTATAATATTATTTGAAGTCAGGCAATGTGGTGATTCTGGATTTTATCTTTATGCTTTGGATTGCTTTGGCTATTTTGTCTCTTTTTTTGTCCCATATGAATTTTATGATTGTTTTTCCTAATTCTGTGAAAAATGACATTGGTAATTTAATAGGTATTGCATTAAATCTCTAGATTGCCTTGGGCAGTATGACCATTTTAACAATATTGATTCTTCCAATCCATGAGCATGGGAGTTTACCCATTTCTTTGTACCATCTATGATTTCTTTCATCAGTGTTTTGTAGTTCTCCTTGTAGAGACCTTTAACCTCCTTGGTTAAATGTATTCCTACTAGGTATTTTTTTTTTTTTTTTGGTGACTATTGTAAATTAGATTTTATTCTGGATTTGGCTCTCAGCTTGAATGCTATTGGTGTATAGAAATGCTACTGACTTTTGTACATTGATTTTGTATCCTGAAATTTTACTGAAGGCATTTATCACTAGGACTTTTGGAGTTAAGGTTCTTTTTAGGTAACAATCATTTCATCAGTGAACAGAGATAATTTGACTTCTCCTTTTCCAATTTGGATGACTTTTATTTATTCCTCTTGCCTGACTGCTCTGGCTAGAACTTCCAGTGCTATGTTGGACAGGAGTGGTGAGAAAGGACATCCTTGTCTTGTTCTATATCTTAGAGGTAATGTTTTCAGCTTTTCCTCATTCAGTATGATGTTTTCTGTGGGTTTGTTATATATGGCTCTTATTATTTTTGTATGTTTGATGCCTAGTTTGTTGAGGGTTTTTACCATGAAGGGATGTTGGATTTTATTGAATGTCTTTTCTGCATCTATTGAGATTATCATATGGGTTTTGTTTTTAATTCTGTTTATGAAGTGAATCACTCTTATTGATTCGTGAATGTTGAAGTATCCTTGCATTCTTGAAATAAAACCCACTTGAATGTGATCAATTATCTTTTGATGTGCTGTTGGATTAGGGTTACTAGTATTTTTTGGGGATTTATATATCTATATCCATCAGGGATATTGGCCTGTAGTTATCTTTTTCTGTTGTGTCCGTGTCTAATTTTGGTATTAGAGTGATACCAGTTTCATAGAATGAGCTGGGGAGAAATCCCCCCTCCTCCATGTTTTGGAATAGTTTCAGTAAAGTTGGTACCACCTCTTCTTTGTACAGGTGGTAAAATTTGGCAGTGAATCCATCTGGGTTCTGGGCTTTTGTTGTTGTTGCTGTTGGGAGATTTTGCTAAATTGATTCAATTTTATTCCTTGTTATTCATCTGTTCAGGATTTCTATTTCTTCCAGGTTCAATCTTGGGAGGTTGTACGTTTCCAGGAAATTGTCCATTTTCTCTAGGTTTTCTAGTTTCTGTACATAGAGGTATTCATAGCAGACTCTGATGATCTTTTTTGTTCTGTAGTATCAGTTTTAATGTCACTTTTATCATTTCTGATTGTATTTATTTGAATCTTCTTTCTTTTGTTTCTTAGTTAATCTACCTACTGTCTCTGAATTTTGTTTAGTCTTTCAAAGAACCAATGTTTTCTTTCATTGATTCTTTGTATTATTCTTTATCTCAATCTCATTTTTGTCTTCTCTGATTGTTATTTCTTTTCTTCTGATAGCTTAGGGTCTAGTTTGTTCTTGTTTCATTTTTCTAGTCATTGAGTTGTAATGTTAGATTGTTAATTCGAGATCTTTCTATCTTTTTGATATAGGCATTTAATGCTATAAACTTTATTCTTAGCACAGCTTTAGCTGTATCTCAGAGGTTTTGGTATGTTGTGTCATGATTTTCACTTGTTTTGAAAATTTTTTTTATTTCTTCCTGAATTTCATTGTTTACCCAAAGGTCATTCAGGAGTAAATTGTTTAGTTTCCTTGTATTTGTGTGTTTTGAGAGTTCTTTTTTTTTTTTGAGACGGAGTCTCCTTTGTCCCCCAGGCTGGAGTGCAGTGGCGCGATCTCGGCTCACTGCAAGCTCCACCTCCCGGGTTCACGCCATTCTCCTGCCTCAGCCTCCGGAGTAGCTGGGACTACAGGCACCCGCCACCACACCCGGCTAATTTTTTGTATTTTTAGTAGAGACGGGGTTTCACCATGTTAGCCGGGATGGTCTAGATCTCCTGACCTCGCGATCCGCCCGCCTTGGCCTCCCAAAGTGCTGGGATTACAGGCGTGAGCCACCACGCCTGGCCGAGAGTTCCTCTTGGTATTGATTTCTAATTTTATTCCACTGTGGTCTGAGAAGGTATTTGATATAATTTTAACTTTAAAAAAATTTATTGAGACTTGCTTTATGACCAAACATATGGTTGATTTTGTAGAATGTTCCATGAGCAGAACCACATATTCTGTCATTGTTGGATGAAATATTCTGTAAATGTCCAGTAGGTCCATTTGGATTTGGTCTATAGCCTAGTTTAAGTCTAGAGTTTCTTTCTTTCTTTCTTTCTTTTTTTTTTTTTTTTTTTTTGAGACGGAGTCTCGCTCTGTCACCCAGGCTGTAGTGCCGTGGCGCGATCTCGGCTCACTGCAAGCTCCGCCTCCGGGTTCACGCCATTCTCCTGCCTCAGCCTCTCGAGTAGCTGGGACTACAGGCCCCCGCCACCACACCCGGCTAATTTTTTGTATTTTAGTAGAGACAGGGTTTCACCGTGTTTGCCAGGATGATGTTGATCTCCTGACCTTGTGATCCACCCTCCTCGGCCTCCCAAAGTGCTGGGATTACAGGCGTGAGTCACTGCACCCAGCAGTCCAGAGTTTCTTTGTTGATTTTCTGCCTTGATGATCTCTCTAGTGATGTCATTGGAGTATTGAAAACCCCATGATTATTGTATTGCTATTAACCTGATTTCTTAGGCCTAGTGTTTTTTGTTTTATGAATGTGGGTGCTCAGGTGTTGGGTGCATATATATTTCGGACAGTTAAATCTTCTTGTTTTATTGTATCCTTAATATTATAATGCCCTTCCTTGTCCCTTTTACTGTTGTTGGTTGGAAGTCTGTTTTATCTTATATGAGAATGGCTGCTCCTCCTCTCTTTTGTTTTCCATTTGTGTGATAAAGCTTTTTCTACCCTCTTACTTTGAATCTATAGCTGTCTTTGATCTGCAGGTTTGTCTCTCCTGGTTGAGCGGGTTTTTTTAATCGAATTTTCCAATTTGTATATTTTAAGTGGATCATTTATGTCATTTACATTCAAAGTTAATTTTAGTATGTGAGGTTTTGTTCCTGTCTTAGTGCTGTTAGCTAGTTTCTTTGGAGTTTCAATCAGTGAGCTTTGTACTTAAGTGTCCTTTCATGATGGTGAGTATGGTCCTTTTGTTTCCATGTTTAGAATTCCTTTGAGCATTTCTTGTAGGACCCAGTCTAGTGGTGACGAATTTCCTTAGCATTTGTTTGTCTGGGAAAGCTTAGTCTTATGAAGCTTAGTTTGACAGGAAATAAAATTCTTGGCTGGCATTTTTTTTTTCTTTAAGGAGGCTAAAAGTAGGCTCCCAGTCTCTTCTTGCTTGCAGAGTTTTTGCTTAGAAGTTAGTCAGATGGGATTTCCTTTATAGGCAGTTAGATAATTCTCTCTTTCTGCTCTTAAGATTTTCTTCCTATGCATTGTCTTTTGCTAGTCCGATGACTCTGTGTCTTGGTGAGGCCCTTCTTGAAATTTATCTTCCAGGAGTTCTCTAGCCTTCTTGTATCAGTATATCTAAATCTCTCCCAAGACCTGGGAAGTTTTCCTGAATAATTTTCTCAAGTAGTTTTTCCATACTTTTTACTTTTTCTTCTTCTTCCTATGGTGTACCTGTAATCTGTGGGTTTGGATGCTTTACATAATCCCATATTTCTCCAAGGCTTTGTTCATTTTGTAACTTTTTTTTTTATCTAATTGGGCTAATTTGAAGGACCTGTCTTCTAGCTCTAAAATTCTTTCTTTCACTAAGTCTATACTATTTTTAAAGGTTTCAATTGTATTTTGTAATTCCTTCAATTTTTTTTTTATTTTCAGTTCTATTTTTTTCAATGATGTCAATATCATTTTTCAGATTCTGAATTGCTTTTCTGATATCTTTGTGTATGTTTTCAGCTTTCTCTTCAATCTCAATGAGCTCCTTTAAGATCAGTATTTTGAATTATTAATATGGTACTTCAAAGATTTCATTTTGGTTAGGATCTGTTGCTGGAGAGTTAGTGTTCATTGCGGCTGTTGTAACACTCAGTTTTTTCATACTTTCAGAGTTGTTTCTCTGGTTCTTTGTCATCTAGATAAGCTATCTCTCTTTATTTTTTGAATTTGCTTTTGTTTGGATGAGGCTCTTTTCCTTCTCAAGGAGGTGTCTATAATGTATGCTGTATAGAGTCCTTTGGCTTTGGTTCTGGATGCTTTCAGTGGCAAAGAGTCTGTATAAGTTCCTTCGTTGTAAATAGCCTTTGTATGGTGGCTTTCCCAAATGCTGATTGTAGCAACAATGTACTGGATGTTTGAACAGGCTCACTGTATCCTGAAGGGCTAAAATGGTGGAGATTTCTGGAAGCTTATGTCATAGGCCAGTGGGTGGTTCTTATGGGTAAGAACTGGCTACAGCCAATGTGGATGTGTATATAATTGATCCTTAATTACTGGGAGAAGCTCTCTGTTGCCTCAGGTAATGGGCTGATCTGTGGAATGCACAGTGGTCTGAGCTCCCTGCTCAGCCACGGAGGGGGGCCCAAGATGAAGAAGCTCACCTATAGGTTCCCCAATGGAAGGCAAAGCACCAGTTCTGAAGGGTTCTTGGGGGTGGCCACAAAGTATCCAGAGGTGTGTCTAGATTTGGAGTTGGGAAACCTCTGCTACCCCAACTTATCTGCACAGGAAGATGGGGCAGACTAAACTCCTAATTTAGAAGTGTCAGTGCTCCAAATGCCTTGATATATGCCTGGGAACCAAGTAGAGAGCACGCTGCTGCGCTAAGATCTCTGCACTTGAAGAGGGGAGGTATCTGATGCTCCTAATCCAAGTAAGCAGGTGCGCCAAGTGTCTGGAAATATGTCCTGGCATGGGACAGAAAAGTAGCTGCTGCAAGGGGTAGATGAGGTAGATCAAGCTTCTAACCCAGTGGAGCAGGTATGCTTTAAGCTGGATGATATGCATGGAGAAGGAGTGGAGAAACAACCACCACCACAAGGTTGTTGCACGGGATTAGAGGGGTAGCTTAAACTCCTAATTCATGGACGAAGGTGTGCCAAATACGTGGAACTACATCTGGGTCTAGAGATGGGGGAGTGCCCCTGCATCAAATTATTTGCATGAAAAGGAAGTGGTGGCCCAAGCTGTTATTCCATGAGGGCAGGTGCACCAAAAACCTGGAACGAGGTCCAGGTGTGGAGCAGAGAGTGTGCCACAGCACCAAGATCTCTGCACAGGAACGGTGGTGAATAGAAATAGAAACAAAATGAACTAAGTTCTAATTATAAGTCTGTTATATGTCTATGGAACTGAAGAAATGTATGACCTTGTATGCAGTGATTAATGAAAAATTATTTCCATTGATATCTGTTTCCATATTTAATTTGTCAACTGGGAAAATTATTATTTTAAGAAACACCTATTATGCACAACTTTAGCTAAAATTATATTTATTCTAGCTGGATTTACTATGTCAGGGTATTTGTCATCCACCTAAAATATTTTATATCACAAAAGACACTTCAAATAAAAATTAACATGCATCTTAGAATTGTATAGCATTTGTGTCATTTTGCTCATATCATTTTATGTGTTTCTTGTAGATGAACAAGAAAATGTTTATAAGGCTCTTATTCCAACTTTTACATTGAATTTTTACCAGAACCTATTACAGAAATCATACTAGAATTGTATTTTCACTGCATAAAGTCCTTTACTTTAGATTCATTCTTATAAGCCCGATATGTATGATTATTACTTATCTTCCAGAAATTGTTAAGTTGTTGATGAACAAGGACTCCATTGTTCATTTGTAGCACATATTTTTTCATGCCTGCTTAGATCACATTCTCTACTGAAAGAATGAGTATAGGTTGTCAGATTTATACCACAAACAGTTTTTCCTGTCCATTGCCAATTGAGCTGTAGATGAGTATTGGACCCAAAGAAATCCACCCAACTATAGGTCAAAGGGATAAGGTTTCTTTTGCAAACATCTTCAATTGGTTGATAATGGTCTTGGGAGTTGAATGGTTATGAACATTGGTGGATTGGAGCTCCTCTGACGAAGGAAAACCAGGGCTAAGCTGAGTTATGGAGATAGACACGATGAATAATCTGAGAAAACTAATCTGTTGACAGGCAAAAAATATCAGAAATAAAAAATCCATGTAGCCCAAAAAGGGAAGATGGAAGTGTGTGTCATTGATTCCCATACTTTCTTTGTAAGACTTCAAGCAATCGAAGCTAATGTTTTCTTGTTTATTTTTTTTTTAATCAACTGGCTGTACCTCTTGCAGTTTGACTTCAATTTTTTATCTTTTAAAAAGCTAACTTTTATATTTTTGTTCTGTGTGGGTTTCACTTCTTTGTAAAGAAAAAGCTTTGCCATTAAGTATCTGTAGTGAGCAGCAACTCTACAGGATCTATATGTATACTGCACACAGTGTAACTACTTGTTGTAACAATTTGGGCTTATAGAAAAATAAAATCATTGAAAAGATCTCTAGGATAGAGAGATGCATTTCTTCTTTCCAGTGGGATTTAATAATTTCTATTAGCAAGAAATTATATTTCCAGTATTCAGATCTAGATACAAAATTACTTTATGCTCAGACTCTTTAGAATAACTTAGCCAGGAAGAAAGTATATATTCGAATATAGTACAGCCCTCTTTCATTCAAATGTTTTTATTCTTTTAATTTTAAGGTCCTTCTTGTCTACTTTATTTTTATATGAGACAAATAAATTGGCTTGGTAAGAGTTTTCCAACTCTCACAGACTTTGTTACATAAAACATAAAGGTTTTTGAGAAGGAACTGGAAAAATTGCTTAGGGTGGCAAGTAGGTTTGGGGAAGTAAACAACTGAGGCTCAGACCCCTTTCATATTTGATGATCAGTACAATTAGGCATCTCTGATGATTGAAATATCCTGATTGAAATCCACGAGCAGAAATGTGCAACAAAACCACCCCTCCAAAGGGGTAGCACATTATGAAAAACAAAGGAGTCCAGACCCGTGGCCAAAAAATATTATTAACCTAGAATATAAGTGGGAAAACCTAGTTCTAGGTATGCTGTGCATCTGTGGCAAGAAATACCTCCTGACCTAGCTGTGCATATATATATATATATATATGCACACACACACACACACACATACATATATTTTTTTCTTCTGGGACAGAGTCTGACTCTGCCACCCAGGCTGGAGTGCAGTGGTGTGATTTGGCTCACTGCAACCTCCACCTCCTGGGTTCAAGCGATTCTTCTGCCTCAGCCTCCCGAGTAGCTGGGATTACAGGTACGTGCCTCCACACCTGAATAATTTTTGTATTTTTAGTAGAAACAGAGTTTCACCATGTTAGCCAGTCTGGCCTCGAACTCCTGGCCTCAGGTGATCTGCCTGCCTCGGCTTCCCCAAGTGTTGGGATTACAGGTGTGAGCCACTGTGCCCGACCTATATTCTATATATTCTTAAATCACATATTGCAGATGATTGTCGGTTTGAATAATATGTAAAGAACAGTGACACTAGACAGCAATGTGGACCTCGAGGGATGCTGGCTAGACAATAGGTGGAGAGAGATTATCTCTTCCATGCCTCCACCCTCTGATTAGATACTTTCAGACAGGCAATAGCATTATCCTAGCAGTGAACAGAAAATGAGTCAGATTTAGAAATACTGTTTGATGCAAACAAAACTTGAATATGACGAGAAAATTTGCACTACAAAGGAGAGCAATGCCAGCCAGATCAGTGAAGAATTCCTTCAGTTTCACCTGCCTTTGACTCTGGCTGCAAACTCTGCTGTGGTACTCTCATTTTATTATGGTACACCTGAGCTCTGTGTCCTCTTTCTTCTCAGATCCAGTTCTTCTATTGCTTTCAAAATCTTTAGGCAATATTCTTCTTCTCTCTGTAGAAAATATTTTATTATTTGTAAATAGAAGATTACTACTCATTTGAGTTTCATAGCTGGCCAATACCCATTTCTCCAATCTCATTGCCAACATTCACATGTGACATACCCTAAGTTCTCAACCAAATTCCCCCATTCTCTAGCCATCCTGTAGAACCTGAAATGAACCTCACCTCCTTCCCTAGACTCAAGGACAATTAAAGCAAAAAGAGTAAGTTATTTAACTACTTCCAGTGTTCAACATTGAATGTTACTGTCCTGAAGTGATCAGGCAAATGTTCTAGAAGAAAAGAACAGTGCTTTGGTCTTTAGTTTTACTTATTTATTCATTTATTAATTGAAAAACTTTTTATTGAATGCCTAGTATATAACAGGTATTGATACAGTTTGGCTGTGTCCCCACCCAAATCTCATCTTGAATTGTAGCTCCCATATTCCCACGTCATGGGAGGGACCCAGTGGGAGGTAATAGAATCATGGGGAAGGGTCTTTCCTGTGATGTTCTCTTGATAGTGAATAAGTCTGAAGAGATCTGATGGTTTTATAAAAGGGAGTTCCTCTACATAAGCTCTCCTGCCTGCTGCCATGTAAAACATGTCAAGACATGTTGCTTCCCCTTCTCCTTCCACCATGACTGTGAGGCCTCCCCAGCCATGTGGAACTGTGAGTCAATTAAAACTCTTTCCTTTATAAATTACCCAGCCTTAGGTATGTCTCTATTAGCAGCATGAGAACAGACAAATACAGGTATTATTTATGCAGTATGCTAAACTAGTGTTTCTAAAGAATGCCAAGATCAAGGTGCCAGCAAATTTGATCTGTTGGGCTTTCTCTTCTTCATAGACGGTGCCTTCTCCCTGTGTCCTCACATGGTAGAAGGGGAGAACTCTGGCCTTGGCAGCTCCTTATAATGACACTAGTCTCACTCATGAAAACTCCACCCTCATGACTTAATCATCTCCAAAGGCCCCATTTCTGTGTAAGTGTGTGTGTGTGTGTGTGTGTGTGTGTGTGTGTGTGTGTATGAAAGAGACAGAGTTTTGCTCTTGTTGCCCAGGCTGGAGTCCAATGGCACGATCTCGGCTCACCACAACCTCCACCTCCTGGATTCAAGCGGTTCTCCTGCCTCACCCTCCGAGTAGCTGGGATTACAGGCATGCACCACCATGCTTGGCTAATTTTGTATTTTTAGTAGAGATGGGGTTTCCCCATGTTGGTCAGGCTGATCTCAAACTCCTGACCTCAGGTGATCTGCCTGCCTTGGCCTTCCAAAGTGCTAGGATTACAAGCGTGAGCCACTGCGCCTAGCCGGCCTCATTTCTTAATACAATCACACTGGGAATTGGGTTTCAACATAGGAATTTTGGGGAAACACAAACATTCAGAAAGTAACATCTCATAACTTAAGTACAATGATGTAACGCTAACAACACTTAAATACTACAATATAAAGTTAATGCATTTTATGTACATGATAAGAGAATAATGAGGGAAGAAAACAAGATACTTCTTATAAACACACACACACACACACACACACACACACACAATTCATAACAAAATAAAGAGGAAATACTCACGACAGTTTAAAAATCTGTTTTAGTTTGCTCAGGCTACCATAACAAAATATCACAGATGGGATGGCTTAAACAACAGAAGTTTATTTTCTCACAGTGCTGGAGAGAGAGGGCTCTGGTGTCTCTTTCTCTTCTTACAAGAACTCCAGACCTGCTGGATTAGGGCACACCCTTACATCCTCATTTAATTCCAGTTACCTCCCTAAAGGCCCTAACTCCAAATACAGTCACAGTGGGGTCAGGACTTCAAGATATGAATTTGTAGGGAACAAGTCAGTTTATAATAGTATTCAATAGATTTTGATCCTTATTTTTATTATACTGGTAAACAATAAATATTTGATTGTTAAATGTATTTGTATTAGTTGGGATATTGAATTTTTACTTTTAAAACTGTTAAAATGTATATATATGAAATAGATTTAACATAATTTCCATTGACTAGAAAGCATAGCTTGTTTAATTGTGCTGCATTTTATTGCACTTCATGTATACTCTTTTTTACAAATTGCAGACAAGACAAAGGACTAATACTTAAATGTATACTTTTCTAATAATTTTGTTATCTATATTATGGTCTTCATATATATGGTGGAAATGCTATATAGTGGTTTACTTCTGTGTAGTTTTTCAACACTGTGTTCGTTGATGTCATGTTGGTAGTGTGAAATAGGACATGATGAGAAAATTGGTGCCATGGCAATTAGAAGGCTTGATTTAGGTTTTTGGATGGCTTTGATGTAATAAAATGATGAAGGATATATTAATAATGCAAATTATGTTTAAAAGTGTGTTGTATCTGCATCCATTTACATTGTGAATAGTCCAAAAATAGCCTAAAATCTGAAAAAATCTTTCAGTATTCATGAAAGATTATTTTATTCAGCAAAGAAGTTACTCACATCATTGACAAACGAGTGAAGGTTAGACATACATCTCTGTTTTATCACATTTGTCTTACTGATTAAGGTAAAAGGAAATGTCAGTCCATATTCATGATGAACTATGATCTTGCATCAACGACAGGAGCAACTTATTTGCTGAGTCAGATTAAAACCATTTATTTAGAGTCTGTCTCTTTTGTCACACTATGCTGACAATAGAATAATAAAACCTGAGTGTACTTCAAGTTATAGGTGTAAACTGCAAATAAGGTGGGTATAGTCACTTAAAGTAAGTTTTTTTTTATTTGTTTGTTTGTTTTTTGAGACGGAGTCTTGCTCTGTCGTCCAGGCTGGAGTGCAGTGGCACGATCTCAGCTCACTGCAACCTGGGTTCAAGCAATTCTCCTGCCTCAGCCTCCCAAGTAGCTGGGATTACAGGTGTGCGCCACCATGCCCACCTAATTTTTTGTATTTTTAGTAGAGACAGGGTTTCACCATGTCAGCCAGGCTGGTCACGATCTCCTGACCTCATGATACACCCTCCTTGGCCTCCCAAAGTGCTAGGTTACAGGTGTGAGCCACCGCACCTGGTCTAAAGTAAGCTTTATGTCTAAAATTATGTAATGTAGTTCTCAGCAGGGCTTTTTATGTTAGCAATCTAGTGGTGGCATTAATTTTGCTAACATTTGTAAGTGCATTTTTTTTAGCAAGCTGATCATTAATTTTCTAGTATATCACTTCCCCCAAGTCTCACTCAAGGGACTTTTTTAAGTTGCTAATTTGGAGTGGACATAGAAGTGGCAGTAAACAGTAACAAAACATTAACAGTCTATTTTTTATAGTTATAACAAGAAAAAACTGTTATTATAATCCTTAGGCTTGCAAGAACTAAATATATATTTTGGTGAGCAGGAAACAACTGGTGAAAAGCTCTTTTCCCATTTCTTCCCTCTCACCACTTCTTTCTCACAGATCAAATATGGATATGGCTAGTCTGAAGTGAAGAGGAGTAGAAGGTCTGTGAAGCACCCATCACTCTTGAATATTTGAGTGGAAAGCCATTGTTGGAAATGGAGTGAATGGCTTTCTTAGTCCTGGAACAGAAACCTCCCACTTAAGACAACGTTGACTTTTCCCCTGCATGACAATGATGCCTGCTCGATAAATATAAAGCAGATTTATTATTTTTTTAAATCCATTTCCTAAGCAACACACTTGGGCTGTCATTGATTTTTTTGTTTATGTCTCTCTTTTTCTTTTTTCTTTTTTTTTGAGATGGAGTCTTGCTCTGTCACACAGGCTGGAGTGCAGTGGTGTGATCTCTGCTCACTGCGAACTCCACCTCCCTGGTTCACGCCATTTCCTGCCTCAGCCTCCTCAGCAGCTGGGACTACAGGTGTCCACCACCATGCCCGGCTAATTTTTTGTATTTTTAGTAGAGACAGGGTTTCACTGTGTTAGCGAGGATGGTCTCGATCTCCTGACCTTGTGATCTGCCCGCCTCAGCCTCCCAAAGTGCTGAGATTACAGGCGTGAGCCACCACGCCCAGCCTGTTTATGTCTCTAAATAAGCTCTTTCTCCTTCTTTCTTTCTCTGCTCTGCTGTTAACTATAAGAGAGTTCAAAAATTCTAGCACTGTGGAAACATTTTTCCAGGAACTTAATATAATGACTGTCTCTTCAGAAGTGAATGCTGAGGTTGATAACTGCAGCATTAGGTTACCAGTCAAAAAGGTGAGCACTCGTTAGGAGGGGTAGGAGAGATGAGCTAGTTTTAGGCATTTTCAGGCAGAGTACACGTGGGATATGCATCTGTCTAGTCCATTTAGGCTGTTATAACAAAATACTGTGACTCATTGGCATATGAATTAGATAAATTATTTCTCACAGTTCTGGAACCTGGGAAGTCCAAGATTTAGGTGCTGCAGAGTCAGTGTCTGGCGAGCGCCCATTTCCTGGTTCATAGAATAGTGCCTTCTCGCTGTATCCTATCATGGTGGAAAGAGTGAGGGAGCTCTCTCAGGTCTTTTATAAGGGCACTAATCCTATTTATGAGGACTCCACCCTCATGACCTGATCACCTTCCAAGGGCCAAAACTGTTAATACCATCACTTTGGGGATTATGATTTCAACACATGATTTAAGGTGGCCATAAAGACTCTGGCTACTGTATTATTTATTCTTTCTCTTTTTGAGAATAATGAAAACAGATATCTGTGTAGCAGTTTATGGTATATGTAGGGTGTACATATTATTTAAACCCCACAATCCCCACCACAACTTGTTTTAATGGGTGATATGTATATCTTGATTTTACCTCCAAGGAAAACTGTGAAACTGTGACTTCAAGAAATAAAGTAATATTTTGAAAATACCATTTGAGTAGTAAGAATAAAGCAGAATCTTGAACTCAAAGCTTTTGATTACAAAGCTCAGTTTCTTTTCATCAAATTATGCTGTAACCCTTTTAGAGCAATGCTTTGCTATATGTAATGATGCCACATACCTTTTGGAAATTTCTATCTGGAATTACATTCGAGGTATTTGTTTAGTTCATTAATAGTAAAATATATAGAATGAGCAAAATTAAATGTTTTATTTGTTTTAACCATATTTTTCTCACATCTGTAGCTTTTGCCACAATTTCATCTTAAAGCTAGGGAGGCTTTAAAGTGTAAAGACAGATATGTGCTGTATTTTTTTGTTTGTGTATATGGATATTATATACTATAAAATAGGTTAAATGGTCTTTTAATTTTTTGATACATAGTGTAAATTTTTGTATCTTTTAAAGTTTTGCACTTTGGAAAACTCAATGTATAAAAAACTTCTTTTTGTTAATTAGCAATAAAAAGAAATTCTGTAATTATACTCTCAGGTTAAAATATAAGAAGCAAAGAAATATAGTATGCAGTCCAATATGTAGCCACTACTCACATATGCCTACTTAAATATAAAATGATTAAAATCAAATAAAATGTCAAACTCAATTCTTCACTCTCACTAGCCATATCTCAAATGCTCAGTAGCCACATGTGACTAGTGGCTACCATGTTGAACAGCACAGATATAGAACATTTCATTCAAAGTGGAAAATTCTATCAAAAAGCACTAGGATATCATCTCAGCATTATGATTTAGAGAGGACCTGAGAGTCAAATTGGCCCTCCACCAGTTTTTTTAAACAAAATATTATGGGATCACAGCTATATCCATTTGTTTACAAGTAGTTTATGGCCATCCTGTCACCAGAAATAGCAGATTTTGAATAGTTGCAAGAGAGATCTTATGGCTCATGAACACTAAAATATTTATTATTTGGTCCTTTACAGAACACAATTTGCCAAACTCTGACCTAGAACTTCTTTTATAAGCAATTAGTGGTATGAATTTCTGGCTAAAATATTATTTTTTATGAGTATTTATAATATTTTGACTTCCTAATTCTCCTCTTCCTTCTCCTTCCTTCCTTCTCTATTTTCTGTTATTTCAATCATATATTTCTTTACTTGAGGAATTTCTTGGTAACTTGATAATGAATAGAAGAACTTGGACTTACATTCATAAATACTTTTATCGTTTTTAGCCACCAAGACATTACAGTAAAAATACAGTAATGTTTCTAATAAATGTCAGAGAACATCATTATTCTGACATGTGATACTGGGATATGGAAAGGAAGCAATCATTCTGTTTTATGGACTTGAATAAAGAGGAAAGTCCTCCAGGAATGCAGTCTTATACATACTTCCTCTTTTTTTTTTTTCAAGAGAAAGTTCATATTTCTAGTATTAGTGGATATGACTACTTTTCACTTTAGGTTAATTTATTTTAAAAAACTCTCTAAAGATAGGATTAAAAACTGTTAAGTTTTCTCATTCAATTCTTATCTAAAAACATTCCAAGACCCTCCTCAGCTCTTTGGCATAATAAAATGAATAGGAAAGAATTTTCTTTGATCTCATATGGAACAATAATGTCTACATAACATACAATTTACCTGCAAAAAAAATCCCTTGCTGCTTGAGGATAAATGCAGTTAAAAGTTGAATTCAAGTAAAACCCTTAGCTATGTAGTAATTGCCAATGAAATTTTTCTGTTTATTAGCAGTGATAGCCCCCTGATAAGAAAATCTATTAGGCATTTTTCACACGTGGCAAAGCAAATATTCCTTTGACTCTGGATGGATAAAACAATTTACCTAACATTTGGGTAGGTCCTTTACTGTGCATCATTTCATTCATTTTGCCCAGTATTTAAGAAATAACTGAGACATGGTAACATGAGTTATCTACCCCATCTAATACACTGTAATAGTCATATACACCCACCTGGCATTTACACAGCGTTATATGGGAAAGAATTCATGGCACAGTGTATCCTAGCTCTGCTTCTTAGTAGCTGTGTAGTTTCCCACAAGTTACTTAATTTTTCTGTTTTTCATATTTCTCATCTATAAAACAGGGATTAAAAAGTATGCATATGTCATGGGATCGTTTGAGAATGGAATGAATTAAATGCTTGTGAAATCCTTTCAGCAGTGCCCCAGTAAGCGCTGCCTAAATATTAGAGAGAGCCGTGTTATTCCTGGTGGAAAAATAACATGCATCAGAACCAGTCAGTTTTGTCCTTAAATCCTAGTTCTTCACTTCTTGTCTTGTTAAATTCATTGAGTCTCATCTTTTTCATCTGTAAAATGAATGTAATACCTAGTCTCAGTAGTTGTAGTAAGGTGCAGTGAGAAAATAATGTAGCATGCCTGGCATATAATAAAATGCTAATAAGTGGCAGTTTATATTAACATAATTGTGTAAATAGGAAGACTACAAATTAGCTGACTTGTTTAGTTAGTCAAGCCAGCCAACATATATACAATTTTAAGCTCATTTCCCCAAATATCCTCTGAGACAAGCCTTGTTAAAATTGTTGAACAAATGTCTAACCAGTGAACTTTGTGCTTGCCTTTCAAGAAAGGCGTACTCTTTGCCTTTGCCAATACACGACTTCCACTCCTATGGAGTTAAGCTGAGAAACATGACTTCATAGACCATGAGAATTGCATGCAGGCTGAAATTATGGAGAACAAGCTCCTCATTCACAGATGAGGTCAGTGAGATTCACAAAGGTTAAACTATCCCCCCAGAGTTGCACAGCTATTTGGCCAAATTTCTTCCAGGAAGCTGGACTGACCCCAGCCCATACTGTTTCTTCCATTACATTGCATTTAGTATTTATATATGCTCATTTTGGATACTTGTTTATATTACTTCAGGGATGTTCTCTCTAGCATAGGCATATAAATTTTCCCCAAGTCCTATGATTCTTGAAAAGCAGAATCTTGGTTGTTTTTTTTTTTTTTTTTAGTCCCTGTTAAGCAGATGCATTCGTGTTATGAACAAATTGATGAATATTTATTTAACCAGTGAAATTGTTATGTGTTTCATATAGACTGAAAATTCTAGTGCGTGAGGAGGAAGTGGAGCAAGATGGTCTAACAGAAGCCTCCTGTGATCTTCCCCTCCCCATGCAGGAACACCAAATTGAGGAACTATCCACAAAACAAAACAAAACAAAAACATTTCATAACATTCAAAAGTCAGGTGAGTGATCTCAGTAAGAAGCACTGGAGGGGGCAGGAAAGACAGTTTTGAACCACCTACAACACCCCTCCCCTACTCCCTGGCAGCAGCCACATGGTGCAGAGAGAATCTGCGCTCCTGATGAGGAGACAGTGTGGTGACTATGGGACCTTCATTAGAACTCAGTGCTGCTCTGTCACAGCAGCAAACGACATGGGGCAGAGCTTGGCTGACACCAATGGAGAGAGCATTTATACCAGCCCTAACCAGAGGCAAATTGTCCTTGCCTGCTGTGAAAACCTGAGTCTAACTAGCCCCAACACTGGTGGCAAAAGCACTGTGGGGTCCTAAATAAACCTGAAAGACAGTCTAGGCCACAAGGACTGTAGTTTCTAGACAAGTCCTGGTGCTGTCCTGGGCTCGGAACTAGTGGACTTGGGGCATATGATCTATTGAGATACTAGCCATGGGGGCCAAGGGTGTGTTTGCATCACCCCTCCTCCAACCCCAGGCAGTACAACTCACAGTTTCGGTTCCGGGAGAGATTCCTTCCCTCTGCTTGAGGATAGAGAGGGGAAGAGTAAAGAGGACTTTGTCTTACAACTTGGATACCAGCTCAGCCACAGTAGAATAGTGAGAGGTGCCACACAGCCCTCGCTTGCTCTCAGCGCCTCCACAGCCTTGGCACTCACTCTGGCCGCACTTGAGGAGCCCTTCAGCCCGCCACTGCACTGTGGGAGCCCCTTTCTGGGCTGGCCAAGGCCGGAGCCGGCTCCCTCAGCTTGCCGGGAGGTGTGAAGGGAGAGGAGCGGGCGGGAACCGGGGCTGCTTGCCGGCCAGCGCGAGTTCTGGGTGGGTGTGGGCTCGGCGGGCCCCACACTCTGAGCGGCCGGCCGGCTCTGCCGGCCCTGGGCAATGAGGGGCTTAGCACCCGGGCCAGCGGCTGCGGAGGGTGTGCTGGGTCCCCAAGCAGTGCCGGCCCACCGGCGCTGCACTCGATTTCTCGCTGGGCCTTAGCTGCCTCCCCGAGGGGCAGGGCTCCGGACCTGCAGCCCGCCATGCCTGAGCCTCTCCCCCACTCCGTGGGCTCCTGTGTGGCTGGAGCCTCCCCGACAAGCGCCGCCCCCTGCTCCACGGGGCCCAGTCCCAACGACCACCCAAGGGCTGAGGAGTGCGGGCACATGGCGCGGGACTGGCAGGCAGCTCCACCTGCGGCCCCGGTGCGGGATCCACTGGGTGAAGCTAGCTGGGCTCCTGATTCTAGTGGGGACTTGGAGAACCTTTCTGTCTAGCTAAGGGATTGTAAATACACCAATCGACACTCTGTATCTAGCTCAAGGTTTGTAAACACACCAATCAGCACCTGTGTCTAGTTCAGGGTTTGTGAATGCACCAATTGATACTCTGTATCTAGCTACTCTGGTGGGGACTTGGAGAACCTTTGTGTCCACACTCTGTATCTAGCTAATCTAGTGGGGAGGTGGAGAACCTTTGCATCTAGTTCAAGGATTATAAACACACCAATCAGTACCCTTTCAAAACAGACCACTCCGCTCTCTGTAAAATGGACCAATCAGCAGGATGTGGGTGAGGCCAGATAAGAGAATAAAAGCAGGCTGCCCGAGCCAGCAGTGGCAACCCGCTGGGGTCCCCTTCCACACTGTGAAAGCTTTGTTCTTTCACTGTTTGCAATAAATCTTGCTACTGCTCACTCTTTGGGTCCACACTGCCTTTATGAGCTGTAACACTCACCATGAAGGTCTGCAGCTTCACTCCTGAAGCCAGCGAGACCACGAACCCACTGGGAGGAACGAACAACTCCAGATGCACCACCTTAAGAGCTGTAACATTCACGGCGAAGGTCTGCAGCTTCGCTCCTGAGCCAGCAAGACCAGGAACCCACCAGAAGGAAGAAACTCCGAACACATCCGAACATCAGAAGGAACAAACTCCGGACACGCCGCCTTTAAGAACTGTAACACTCACCGCGAGGGTCCGCAGCTTCATTCTTGAAGTCAGTGAGACCAAGAACCCACCAATTCCGGACACAATAGGGCACCAGACAGATTCCTAAGGCCTCTATTCCAGGCCCTAGCTACTGGACAACATTTCTAAACACACTGTGGGTAAGAAAGGAAACTGCTGCCTTGAAGGGAAGGAGCTAGTCCTGGCAGAGTTAATCAACTGCTGACTAAAAAGCCCTTGGGCCCTGAATAATCAGCAGGGGTACTCAGGTTCTACTTGCCGTGGGCCTTGGGTGAGACTCAGAGGTATACTGGCTTCAGGTGAGACCTGCCACATTCCCAGCTGTGGTGGCTATGGAGAGAGACTCCCTTTTGCTTGAGGAAAGAAGAGGGAAGAGAAAAGGGAACATTGTCTTGCAGCTTGGGTACCAGCATGGCCACAGTGGGGTAGAGCACCAAGCAGACTCCTGAGGTCCCTGATTCTAGGCTTTGGATCCTGGATGGCATTTCTGGACATCCTCTGGGCCAGGAGGGAGTCCACTGCCTTGAAGAGCAAAACTCAGAACTGGCAACATTGACCATGAGCTTACTGAAGAGCCCTTGAGCCTTGAGTGTAGATCAGCAGTGTCCAGGCAGTACCTGCTGTGGGCCTGGGATGCTGGTGGTTACTGGAAGGAGACTCCTCTGCTTGAGGAAATGGGAGGGAGGAGTGAGGAAGACTTTGTGTTGCAGCTTGGGTGCCAGCTTAGCCACAGTAGAATAAAGCACCAGGCAGATTCCTAAGGCTTCTGACTCCAGGCCCTGGTTCCCAGATGCATCTCTGGATGCACCTGGGGCCAACGGGAACTCATTGCCCTGAAAGGAAGGACGCAAGTCTGGCTGGATTTGCCACTTGCTGATTGTAGAGCTCTTGGGATGCAAGGAAACATAGGTGGTAGGCAGGCAGTGGTCACTGCAGGCCTTGGGAGAAACCAGTGCTGTGTTGGCTTCAAGTCTGAGCCAGTGAAGTTCCAGTGGTGATGGCCATGGGCATGATTGTGTCACCCATCCCCCAGTTCCAGGCTGCTCAGCACATGGAGAGAGACTGTTTGGGGGAAAATAAGGGAAGAGAACAAGAGTCTCTGCCTGGTAATTCAGGGAATTCTCCTGGATCTTAGCCAAGACCACCAAAGCAGTACTTCTGTGCGTCTGCAAGAACCACAGTGTTACTGGGCTTGGGTTACCCCCTAAAGCAGATAATGGCTGCAGTTACCAAAGACTTAGATCACAACATGCAAGTCTTTTAAAATACTTACAAAGCCTTCCCAAAAAGGACAGGTACACACGAGCCCAGACCATGAAGACTAAAATAAATATCTAACTGTTCAGTGTCCAGACACTGATGAACATCCACAAGCATCATGACCATCCAGGAAAACATGATCTCACCAGACAAACTAAATAAGTCACCAGTGACCAATCTTGAAGGGACAGAGATATGTAACCTTTCAGACTTCAAAAGAATTCAAAAGAGCTGTTTTGAGGAAGAAACATCAGACTTAATCTGCACTGTAGACCAAATGGATCTAATAGATATTTACAGAACATTTCATCCAGTAGCTGCAGAATACACATTTTTCTCCACAGCACATGGTTCATCATCAAGGATATACCATATTTTAAGTTACAAAACAAGTCTCAAAACATTCAAAAAAATTGAAATAAGCATCTTCTCTGACCACAATGGAATAAAACTACAAATCAATAGCAAGAAGAGATTTGGAAACTATATCAACACAGTGAAATTAAACAATGTGCTTCTGAATGACCAATGGGTCTATGAAGAAATTAAGGAAATTAAAATACTTCGTGCAGCAAGTGAAAATGGAAACACAATATACCCAAACCTGTGGAATATGGTGAAAGCAGTAATAAAAAAATTTTAGCAGTAAGTGCCTACATCAAAAAATAGAATAACTTAAGCAAAGAAACTAATAATGCATCATAAAGAATTAGAAAAGCAAGAGCAAACCAAACTCACAATTAGTAGAAGAAAAGAAATAATAAAAGTCATAGCGAAATACACGAAATTGAAGTGAAAATAACAAAAAATCAACAATCAAAAATTGGTGTTTTGAAAAGATCAACAAAATCAACAAAACTTTGTTACCCACACTAACTGGGTAATCCAAGCTACGGGAGACTGAGGCAGGAGAATCACTTGAACCTGGGAGGTGGAGGTTGCAGTGAGCCAAGATTGCACCACTGTGCTCCAGCCTGGGTGACAGAGTGAGACTCCGTTTCAAAAAAAAAGTATCACTAGAGGCTACTATGAGCAACTGTATGCCAATAAATTGGAAAATCTGGGAGAAATAGATAAATTCCTAGGCACATACAACCTATCAAGATTGAACCAAGAAGAAATGCAAAACCTGAACAGACCGATAACAAGTAATGAGATCTAAGCCATAGTAAAAATTCTCCCAGCAAAGAAAAGCCAAGGAACTGATGGCTTCTCTGCTAAATTTTATCAAACATTTAAAGAAGAACTACCGATCCTACTCAAACTATCCTGAAAAATAGAGAAAAAAGGAATACTATCAAACCCATTCTACGAGGCCAGTATTACCCTGCTATCAAAACCAAAGACACATCAAAAAAAGAAAACTGTAGGCCAATATCCCTGATAAATATGGATGCAAAAATCCTTAACAAAATACTAGCACATCAATTCAACAACACATTCAAATAATCATTCATTATGACCCGTGGGATTTATTTTAGGGATACAAGGATAGTTTAACATATGCAAATCAATCAATGTAATACATCATATTGACAGAATGAAGGATAAAAACCATATTATCATTTCAATTGATGCCAAAAAAGCATTTGATAAAATCTAACCTACCTTCATGATAAAAACTCTAAAATAAACTGGGTATAGAAGGAACATATGGCATCTATCAACCCGTCATCTAGGTTTTAGGCCCTGCATGCATTAGGTATTTTTCCTAATGCTCTCCCTTTTTCTCCACCCACTGACAGGCCCTGGTGTATGACATTCCCCTCCCTGTTGCCATGTGTTCTCTTTGTTCAACTCCTACTTATGAGTGAGAACATGTGGTGTTGGGTTTCCTGTTCCTGTGTTAGTTTGCTGAGGATGATGGTTTCCAGCTTTATCCAGGTTCCTGCAAAGGACATGAACTCATTCTTTTTTATGGCTACATAGTATTCCATGGTGTATATATGCAACATTTTCCTTATCCAGTCTATCATTGATGGGCATTTGGGTTGGTTCCAAGTATTTGCTATTGTAAATAGTGCTGCAATAAACATACTTGTGCATGTGTCTTTATAGCAGAAAGATTTATAATCCTTTGGATATATACCCAGTAATGGGATTGCTGGGTAAAATGGTTTTTCTGGTTGTAGATCCTTGAGGATTCACCACCTCGTCTTTCACAATGGTTGACCAATTTACACTCCCACCAGCAGTGTAAAAATGTTCCTATTTCTCCACATCCTTGCCAGCATCTGTTGTTTCCTGACTTTTTAATGATCTCCATTCTAATTGGTGTGAGATGGTATCCCATTGTGGTTTTGGTTTACATTTCTTACATGACCAGTGACGAGCTTTTTTTCATGTTTGTTGGCTGCATAAATGTCTTCTTTTGAGAAGTGTCTGTTCATATACTTTGCCCACTTTTTGATGGGGTTGTTTGCTTTTTTCTTGTAAATTTGTTTAAGTTACTTGTAGATTCTGAATATTAGACCTTTGTCAGATGGATAGATTGAAAAAGTTTTCTCCCATTCTGTAGATTGCATATTCACTCTATGATAGTTTCTTACACTGAGCAGAAGCTCTTTAGTTTAATTAGATCCCATTTGTCAATTTTGGCTTTTGTTGCAATTGCTTTTGGTGTTTTAATCATGAAGTCTTCTGCACATTCAGCACATGTATCCCAGAACTTAAAGAAAAATTAAAAAAAAGAAAAATAACAACAACTCACCAATAAAAAACTAAAAAAAAAAAAAAACAAAGACACATGCACATGTATGTTTATTGCAGCATTATTCACAATAGCAAAGACTTGGAACCAACCCCAATGTCCAACAATGTTAGACTGGATTAAGAAAATGTGGCACATATACACCATGGAATACTATGCAGCCATAAAAAATGATGAGTTCATGTCCTTTGTAGGGACATGGATGAAATTGGAAATCATCATTCTCAGTAAACTATCGCAAGAACAAAAAACCAAACACCGCATATTCTCACTCATAGGTGGTAATTGAACAATGAGAACACATGGACACAGGAAGGGGAACATCACACTCTGGGGACTGTTGTGGGGTGGGGGGAAAGGGGAGGGATAGCATTGGGAGATATACCTAATGCTAGATGACGAGTTAGTGGGTGCAGCACACCAGCATGGCACATGTATACATATGTAAATAACCTGCACATTGTGCACATGTACCCTAAAACTTAAAGTATAATATTAATAAATAAATTTAAAAAAATTACGAAGAAAGTCAGGATATCAATTACTTGTGGAGGAAGAGTGGAAGAGAGAGAAGGGTTATGGCTGGGATGGACCAAATAGAGAGATATGAGGTGATTATCAAAGTTTTATTTCTTGGCTAGCATGATGGTAAGGACGTTGACCTCATGATAATTAATAAAGTTTCTTTTGTGAAAAGAAAAGAAGGAACATACCTCCAGACAATAAAAGTCATATATGACAAATCCACAGGTAAAATCATATGCATGAGGAAAATCTGAAAGTCTTTCCTCTAAGATCTGGAATAAGCCAAGGATGCCCACCTTCATCATTGTTGCTCACCATATTACTGGAAGACCTAATTAGAGCAGTAAGAAAAGAGGAAGAAATAGAGGGCATCAAATTGGAAAGGAAGAAGTCAAATTATTCTTGTTTGGAGATGATATGATCTTATATTTGGAAAAACCTAAAGACTTCAACAAAAAAATATTCGAACTGATAAGCAAATTCAGTAAAGTTGCTGCATACAAAATCAACATACAAAAATCAGTAGCATTTCTATATGCCAACAGTGAACAATCTGAAAAAGAAATCAAGAAAGTTATCCCATTTAAAATAGCTACAAATAAAATTAAATACTTAGGGATCAACTTAACCAAAGAAAGGAAAGATCTTTACAATGAAAACTATGAAATACTGACACAAGAAATTGAAGGGGACTCAAAAAAATGGAAAGATATTTCATAGTCATTGGAAGAATCAATATTGTTAAAATATACATATGTAACCAAATCAATCTACAGATTCATTGCAATCCCTATTAAAATACCAATGACATTCTTCATAGAAGAAGAAAAAAAATCCTAAAATTTATACAGAACCACAACAGACCTAGAATAACCAAAGTTATTCTAAGCAAAAAAGACAAAACTGGAGGAATCACATTACCTGACTACAAATTATCCTGCAGAGCTATAGTAATGCAAACAGCATAGTACTGGCATAGAAACAGACAGACAGACCAAAGGAACAGAATAGAGAACCCAGAAATAAATCCATATGTCTACAATGAACTCATTTTTGACAAAGGTAGCAAGAATATACATTGAGAAAAAGATGGTCTCTTCAGTTAATGGTGCTGGGAAAACTAGATATGTCTATGTAGAAGAATGAAATGGGACACGTCTCTTTCACCATATATAAAATCAAACCAAAATGGATTAAAGATTTAAATTTAAGACCTCAAACTATGAAATTACTAAAAGAAAACATTGGCAAAAACTCTCCAGGACATTGCAGAGTTTCTTTTCTTGAGAACTACCCATAAGTACAGACAACCAAAGCAAAAATGGATAAATAGGATTACATCAAGTTAAAAAGCTTCTGCATATCAAAGAACACAATCAACAAAGTGAAGACACAACCCACAGAATGAGAGAAAATATTGGCAAACTGTGCATCTGACAAGGAATTAACAACCAGAATCTATAAGGAGCTCAAACAACTTAATAGGAAAATAAAATCTAATAATCTGATTTAAAATGGGCAGAAGACTTGAATATCTCAAAAGAAGACATACAAATGGCAAACCAATATATAAAAGAGTTCTCAGCATCACTAATCAGCAGAGGAATGCAAATCTGAACTACAATGAGATATCATCTTACCCCAGTTAAAACGGCTTTCATGCAAAAGACAGGCAATAGCAAATGCTGGCAAAGATGTGGAGAAAATGAACCCTTCATGCACTGTTGATGGAAATGTAAATTAGTACAACCACCATGGAGAACATTTTGTAGGTTCCTCCAAAAAACTAAAAATAGAACTACCATATGATCCAGGAATTCTCTTGCTAGGTTTATATCCAAAAAAAAGGGAAATCAGTATATTGAAGAGATATCTGCCCTCTTATGTTTATTGCAGCACTCTTCACAATAGCCAAGATTTGGAAAAAGCCTAAGTGTCCATTAATAGATGAATGGATAAAGAAAATGTAGTGCATATACACGAATGAAATACTATTCTGCCATAAAAAAGAATGAGATTCTGTCATTTGCAATATCATGGTTGGAACTTCAGGCCATTATGTTAAGTGAAATAAGTCAGGCACAGAAAGACAAATGTTGCATGTTCTCACTTATTTGTGGGAGGCAAAAAACAAACAAACAAACAAACAATGAACTCAAGGGGATAGAGAGTAGAACAATGGTTACCAGAGGCTGGGAAGTGTAGTTGGAGGGGGAATGGTTAATGGGTACAAAAATATAGTTAGATAAAATGAATAAGACCTGATATTTGATAACACAATAGGGTGACTATGGTCAACGATAATTTATCATACATTTAAAAATAACTATAAGAGTATGATTGGATTGTTTGTAACACAAAGAAAAAATAAATGCTTGAGATGATGCATACCCCATTTACCCTGATGTGATTATTATACATTGTATGCCTGTATCAATATATCTCATGTAGCCCATAAATGTATATATACCTACTGTGTACCTAGAAATATGTAAAAAAGAATTCTAGTGTATGGGGGGCAAAGTATCTTATGTACTTTATGTAAGTACTCCCTTTCCAATCAATCTCCTCTAGATATCAATCTTACCTCTAGCTATTTTATACATTAAAATACAGCAAACACACAGATACATGTATACATGCTCAGAGCTGGTTCCATTTCATTGTTCATGTTGTTATTCATAAACAATGAATGCTTTATAACAGTTATTTGGGGGGAGAAAGGGCTTTATAAACAACACACATTCTACTCTTAAAATACTGGTATATTTCTTTGCTTTCCATTCTCCAGTTACCACAATCATGAGCCAAGGTATATGTCACATTGCAGTTTTGATACAGCTACTTTTATGCAACACAAAAAAAGTTAAATGTCAAACTGTTAAAATTACTAAGTAGTATATGAGGTAGATTTCTTCAGTCATTTCCTTAATCATACACTGTCTCTGATCCTAAGTGATCATGACTATTTCTTGGGATCACAGATATGTTGAGGCTCAGGTGATCTGGGTTAGAAGCCAGGGATAAGAGATGCCAGAATGAAGGTCAATGCAATGAAATGAGCTAATACCATGGATGTCCATTCATATATTTGACATTATTGCATAATAAAAAATCAATGATTTTGTATTGATCCATATTAATCAGACCATAACAACTGATCAAATAGGCTTCAACAAAAAGTCTTATTTTATTTAGTTGCTACTAATGAGAATAATTATGTTCCTTAGGTGTATTGGGTTAGAAAAAAAAAGATTTCTCTGTTAAAATATTAGACTAATTTAGACTATATAAAACTTTGGATATGTTTTAAAATGTATCGTGATTACAAATGAGGATTAGAATCATGTTATCATGAGGATTACTAATGCAATTAAGCAAAGGTTATTTGTTTCAATGAAGAGAAATCACATGTGGTTAGTTAAGCAGAAAAAGGCATTATTGAAGAAATATCTGGTACCTTCCCAAATCAGCAGGAAGTCAATAGAGCTGGGCTGCAGAAAAATAATAGGGTATAAAGGAGGCCAGGCAGCCAAGAGCCCAGCCACCATCTCATCGTGTGCTCAGGCTGGTTAGAAAATTGTCCCTGGTGCCAGGAACACTGGATGTGCCCTGCTGAGCTGTTTGAATTCAATACAACTGCCAATGTGGTCAGTGGACTCTAGCTATTTGTGTTGCCACCACAATGTTCCAAAGGATTTGTAAACTATCAGACAGCACAGAAGCACAGGCTTGGGCAGGGGAATCTGACTGGCAGAGCAGAGGTCCCAAGCCCAAGCTGAGTCACATGCCTGCATCTGAGCTACCAAGGGCTTCTGATCCTTTCTGTTTCAGAGAAAGAGTCTTCACCAGGCCTCAAAAAGGGTCAGACTGCTCAGTCATAGGAAGAGCATTTTGATGCTCATCAGCCAAAAAGTAAAGAATAGCCATCTCACTGTTTCTCTCTTGTTGGTTTTGATTTCTTCCTCTCTACATATTTTTAACTTAAATGGTTAAACTCTTCTGAACAGCTAGCTAGACTCCTTCCTGAGTTTCTTAGGCATTGACAATGCTCTGTACTACTAATAATTTTGTTTTCCATAACTGTTCTTACTAAACATTTCAATGTTTCATTTCTGTATCTTATTTAGGTTTGGCTCATGATCAATAATGAAGAGTTGAATTGCACCAAGGTAATGCCTTCGTTATAAGATAATCTTAACAGCTGGATTTAGCTAAAAGTGTGAGGTTATGCAGATGGAAAAACTGATCTAGGATCCAATTATTAGGTAGCCTGCTTTTTATTAGTTATTAGGTATGATATTTAGTTGTTCCTAGTGAATCTTGACAAAGAATGTACTGTTGGAACACAAACAGCAGAAAATTGCCATTTGTTCTAAGACCTTGTTTGCTCTCTCCACAGTATTAGCACTAGCGTATCAGTGAATGTAACTCATCCTTGTTAGCTTCCTTGATCTTTTTCTTAGACAATTGTCTCTTCGTGCCTAAATGCATTTGTTCAGCTTTTAGTACAGGCATGCAAGACATATGCCCTTAAGCACACACACACACACACACACACACACACACACACACACAGGCACACATGCAAACACACACTAAGCTACTGTTTCTGCTCCCCATCTGTTGGTTACAAACGGAACTATATGCAGGGAAATTATAAACAGCAATAGAGCTGAACTCACCTCTTCATGAAAAACAGAGAAAAATTATATGGATTTGTCTATTCAAATAGTATGCGTTATGTCTATAAATGTTAACCCTTAAAATAAAGTTTTTATGTCTCCTATGTGGCATATAAATCAAGGTAATTACATTTATTATACAAACACCCTGAATCATTATCTTAAGAGCTAAAAGCATTTTGAATTACTGAGATAAAAGCAACTCAGATCATAGGACCAGGTCTTTGCTGTATCAATCTTATTTCTATCCAAATAGACTCATTTATCTCTCTTTGTTGATTAAGACACCCATTAGTAGAAAAGCATATCTATTGACTATATAAAAGAAGTTGGATTTATGAAGCTTTGGTAATTAGCAGTCAAGAGAATTAAAAATTAATGTTCATGCAAAAAAATTGGAAAGGGAAAGGAGAGAAGAGGAGGGTAGTGTAAGCAAATTAAGTCACTTTAAATTCATTGAAGAGTCTTATCTAATACAGGTTAAATTTAATAAATCATAATATCATAAGAAAAGCCTATCATTTAGAACTATACTGTTTATCTGAAGAATTGTGAATGGAAAAGTTCAAATATACTTACCCCTTAACCCTGAAGTTTTGGATTGATGTTTTATATACATGCAGAGAGAGAGAGAAGAGGAAGCAGACATATAAATGGTGATTAATTTTTATTTTTTAACTTTGAGATTTTATTGTTTTGTCTACATGTGTATATATTTATATGAAATGAAAATATGCTAAATGAAAATATGCTAGACAAAAACCCACAATAAAAAAGAAAAGCCAATCTTGAGGAAATAATTTTAATGAACAAAAATATTCACGGATAACAAACTGCATGCATCAAACTTTGGATTGGAATAGAAGAAAATGAGAACAAAACAAGGGGAGTACAATAATGGGTTTAACTAAGGAAATGATGGTATGATTATATGATTTACTTCTTTGTCATTATGAAAAATGAAGTATTTTATTTTATTTTATTTATTTATTTATTTATTTATTTATTTATTTATTTATTTATTTATTTTTGAGATGGAGTTTCACTCTTGTTGCCCAGGCTGGAGTGCAATGGCGCCACCTCGGCTCACTGCAACCTCTGCCTCCTGAGTTCAAATGATTCTCCGGCCTCAGCCTTACGAGTAGCTGGGATTACAGGTGCCCGCCACCGCGCCCGGCTAAATTTTGTATTTTTAATAGAGTAAAATAATTTTGTATTTTAATAGAGACAGGGTTTCACGATGTTGGCCAGTCTGGTCTCAAATTCCTGACCTCAGGTGATGCACCTGACTTGGTGCTGGGATTACACATGTGAGCCACTGTGCCCGGCTGAAAAATGAAGTTTTAAATGTAAGTTTTATTGACTGCATGCCAGTTAGACCTAGGATTGGACAGCACCACAGAAAATTCCCAAAATAAGTGATTTAACTAAAGAAGTTTAATTTCCTCAGCCATAAAAGAAGTCTGGGGGGGTGCATAGGCCAGGACTAGTATGGAGCTCAGTTTCCTCTCTTCCTACTGTCATTCTGAAAATATGAATGCATCCTCAAAACGTTGGCTGGTGGTCTATCGTTTTAAGAATTTTTTATAGGAAGCAGCCTTGCAAGGTAGAAACAGCATTTCTGTCCTACACAAAGGGTGTGCAGGTTCACTGACCATTATAAAAGTTTTAGGCTCTGTAAGTGTCTCATCCTCTTCTGGCCCTGTGGGAATTGGCACTCAGAAAACTGGGACAAGAAAACCACCTTTCTGTGGAAGGGTTTCTTTTTTGCTTTCAAGTAGTGCAAAATTTTAGAAACTTTGCAGTTCTTTACAGTCCAATACAACATTTCTGCTAACATCATTTTGTCCAGAATTTAGATAAATAAGCACATGGCCCAAGGGAGGCTGCAAATGTTATCTTTTGATTGAGCACTAAAATTAGAGCATTGTTACTGGGAGGAAGGAAAAATGGACTTCAGGGTAGGGCACAAGACGTCACCGCCATAGACTGAAAAATTTGTTCAAAATTTAGTGTTATGTGAAAAAAAAATATTTGAATAAGTAAACAGAAATAGGCCACAGATTTTTAAATGTATAGTAAGTGTTTACTGAGGTTATCTCTGGGTAATGAAGGTGCATTAATTTTCTAGGTGATGCTGTAGCGAGGTACCACAACCTAGGTGGCTTAAATAAGTGGAATTGGTTGTGGTATAGCTCTGGAGACTAGATCAAGTTGTCGGCACCACTGGCTCCTTCTGAGAACTGTGAGGGAAAAATCTGTTCCAGGCTTCTTCTTTTGACTTTTAGATGGCCATCTTCTTCCTGTGTCTTGTGAAAGGAAAATAAATCTCAGGACCCCAAAATCACCAAGCCGAAGGGAAAAGTCAAGCTGGAAACTGCCTCACACAAACCTACCTCCCATTTTGTTCCTAAATAAGATAGCTACGAAAAAGAAAAGGCCACATACCTCCCTCACAATTTGCCCACTAGGAAATTCCTTGTGGGCCCCAAGATCCTTACCCTAAAACAGTTCTGTTGAATTTCACCCTGACAATGTTAATTGATAACTTATCTTCAAAGGTATGGGAGAAAGGACAGAACTCAAAGTCATCCCTCTGCTCCCCTGAGACAAATGCATATCTGATTGCTTCTTCTGCCCTATGTTTATTTTATCTTATGTAAAAATACAGATTCACTGAGTTAGAAGAATGCATAAGTGACTATTCCTCTACCCCCCCACTTTCACATGCGAATGGCTGATCAAAGACTCAAAAGAATGCAACCATTTGCTCCTTATCTACACATACCTTTAAAAAATGTTTTTGTCTTTCCTCAGTATCCACCCTTTCTCCTATAAATATTTAAGCCCTAAAAATCAGCTTTGGAGAAAGGCACAGACATGTCTCCTTACCACGCATCCTGAACCTTGGCAAAATAAACTTCTAAATTGATTGAGACTTGTCTCATATGCTGTTTGGTTTACAGTCCTTTCACATGGAATTCTCTTTGGGTACATGCCTCTGTGTCCCAATTTCACTTTACTACAAGGACCCTAGACAGCCCATCCTAATAACCTCATCTTACCTTAACTTATTATATCTGTAATTAATCTATTTTTCAAATAAGGTCACCTTTTCAGGTACTAGGAGTTAGGATTTTAACAGATGGATTTTGAGGGACACAATTCAAGCCATAAGAGAAGGTATGGGTAACTTTTTTATTTGAATTTTTATTCTTTCCAAGTATCATTGTATTGCTTTTAGGTAATTTTGCTAATTAAAAGAAAAGATATAATTTTTAAAAACAAAAGTTCAAAGTGTCTTGTTTACTCATTATGCTTATATAATCCTATTAGTAACCTCAAAGTGTGATTTAATGTCAACCATATATTTTTTAGTCTTTAGTAAATAATGTTGTTTTGTAGTTAAATCAATAGATTTGTCACAACAGGTTGTGACACTACACCTCTCTTCCAGCACATTTTTGTGATGCATTTTGTTTTGTTTTGCCTGTTTGCTTAAATTTTCAGGGCTCTCTATATGTTCACAAAATTACTGCACATACATTCAGCCCATGGGCTGGCATCCTTCAACAGAAGTGGCTTCCAGTCTGGGACTTGTTAACCATTCATTATATTTCTGACTTCAATGCTGAATTGGTGGGAAATTATATCCACTAGGCTTCATTCCTAATGACACAGAGACACTGAGTGGGAGTTTGTGAGTGATGACTTTTCCAGTAGAATGTGAAGGTAATTGTAACAGTTTGACATAGAAGAACAGAGTGACTGCTTCAGGCATGAGGACATAGGGTACAAACCAAGATAAAAGGAAGACTTGGAAACAAAGGCTACATTCTGAACCAGTTCTTTCTAAGTACTTTACACTAGAGGAGAACTTGTTAATGAATAACCTCTATTGAATAGCTGCCATGAAAGCAAACAGAGAGCTATTTTACTATTAGTTACATTTTCATGCAAACGTTACTCATTTGTTCCTGAAAAACCAAATATTCCCTATCACCCTTGAAGTGTAGGATAGAAAGGAATGCTTAGGTAGCCAACACGAACCACTGAAAGAAGAGGTAGAAAATATGAAGAAAGCTGACCGCAGACGAGACAGTGAACTCCAAGGAAAAAAAAAAAAAAAAAAAGGAAAGGAAGGAAGCAAAGCCCACATTTAATGTAAAGAGATGTGTAGTTCATTGAACTAAACCCCAGAATAGAACATAAGAGTTAACACTTTAGTCAACATCAGGGAAATGGGATCATTATTACAATTCCCACATAACAATATTTATTTGTTTTAAATCCTGGTTACCATAAAAGGTTAGAGTTTTATATAAATGTTAATATTCTTTGTTTACCATCAGTAATATGATGGGAATCTTGAGCATCTAAGATTTAAAATCCCAGTTTAACAACTTAAAAATCCCAGATTAACAATTTAATACTGTGTTCATTGCTCTGTTTCAAGTTTGCTTTTTATTTATAAACAAATCCTAACTCTTTATTTCTCAGTAGAGCATCTATCATAATTCCAATTTATTTTCTTATCCTTCTATCAATTTCTGTATTTTTTTCTATTCCCTGCCACATCTTCTAATCATAGCTGCACATCTAACTTATGAGAGATCACTTGGAAAATCACAGGATTCCACAGGACCTGTCATTTTAATTAACAATACATTAGATAAATTCCAATTAACATTCACATTTATTGAGTTAATATGTTTAACAGTTTTTCAATTATTGGATTTTCCCATAATGAATAATTGAGTTTCAGTTTCCTAATGACTCCTCTCAAATTTCAAAAAAAAGTCAAAAAGTCAAATAGAACTTCCAGCTTTAGGGGTTCATGTATGGAACTACACAGTGCTATCTATATTTAAAATATAGAGCAAATTGGATGCTTTGTATAAACAAACCTTTACATTCTATTGGCTTCCGAGAGGCATAGTTCACATGAAATCTGAATGCATGTCCTTTATAATCTAGTCTAAGTGTCAGTTTGAAGACAAGATTCAATGTTAATAACTCAAACCAGGAGGAATTCATCATATTCCAAGTTAGAAAGAAGTGTATCTGAGAAAAATGAATCATATTTTAATCTGAACTCATGAATAATAATTTTAGTCCAAATGAGATGTTTTGATCTTGAAAAGAAGAGTTTAAGGAGGCAACAATTTGAAAAGAAATGCTACTGAAATGGCAATGTTCTGACATGATAGAATCTGTTAGGTAGCATTTCACTTCTACATTTCTCACCCCAACTTCTTTCCTTTTGATTTAAACATTGGCATACCTAGTATATGTAATGCCCTGAGCAGATTTTTTAAACATTCTTCATATTTCCATAACAAAACTATGTACAGTAATAATCTTGCAACAGTCACTAATAATCATTATTTAAATCACTCTTTAATTTAAAATTGAACAATTTAAAAGAGAAAAGAATCCCAACTTTAAAGATATATTCAAATATTTACTCTGTCATTAAGTATGTAATTCCTCCCCCCCCCCAAAAAAAAGACCCTTTCATGTTTAGTCTATTACACTTATAACATTGTAAATATAAGTAAAAGCTCTAACCAGTCACATGGAATGGCAGATAGTTACTCATGCTTCTTCACTTTTACAATCACTGTGTTTTCACCGTTTATTTAAAATCCACTGTTTAAATACAAGACTATGTAATACTATGGAGCATGAAGACAAGATGTGTACCAGAATGAACTTGAAGACTCTGAACCATTAAGAACTTAGTCTAGAAACAAACACAATCACTTCTCTGCCCTTTGGCTAAGATCAAGTATAGAAAAGAACACATATAGCTAAGTCCCTGTGTATGTGTATGTGTATGTTGGAGGGTGTAAATATAAAAGAAGGAGAAACTTCAGGAAGATTACAAAAGACAATTTGCCAGTAAATATTATTTCTGTGTTCATATAATGCAAGACATTTATATTTAAAGAGACCACTTGGTTTTCTAGGACTTAAAAAAAATTTTTTTTCAGGTCTTTTTCAGATCAACATTAAAAACAGGTCATAATATATTTTTATTTTCAACCCTGAAAAAGGGACCTGCTGAATTTGCATTAGTTTAGTTGCCAAAATAGATCAGAGGATGCTAATCCATGAGAAACGTGTCTCCTCCTCCCCTTTTTCCCTTCCTTTAAAACCAAGAGATGCATATAATTTAACCATGCTTGCTTTGGGTAACAAACAGCATGGGGTTGAAATGCATTGAGTCTGCTTTCTAAGGAAGTACAATACTTCACATTTTTAATGCATCACTGAACAGAGGTCAAGTAGGGTAGTACCAGCATAATATAGCACATCAAACTACCCGCAGTAAAGTAACTCAATATACCCTGTGTATATTTCTCCCACATTAGCAAGTGGGTCATCAATCTCTTAGCTAACTTAAGCCCAGTTGTAAATTTATGGTATTTTGCTTCCCAACATGTTCCTGCTCGGTTTTCATGATCTTCCCTAATATATGATCACTTAGCAAATACAAAAAGACAAGATATTTATTTTTGATTTCCAGATTAACTAAAAGTTATCATTATTCCCCACCAAGAATTCTGAAAAGCTAAATAAATTCTATGAAAAACAATTAGTGTTTATCTAACAAAAGAATTATTACCATCTAGCTTCCTCCTAACTTTCTTTGTAGCTATTTAAATAAAATTAGCAGCTGAGACCATCACTTTGAGGAGAAATGATAATTGTCAGATAATAGGATCTACATAATTCTTAAAATTTACAAAAATTTATAAAATTCTTATAAATTTAAAAACTGCATAAGAACAAATAAGAGAGAAATTCTGTGACTGTTAAAGTAGGTGTTTTATTTAATGTGTGTGATGAATAACCTAACTCCCTCAAGTTAATATATTTTTCTCGCTGTTTAGTACTTTTTGTGGAAGTGTTGATGTGTATTTCATTTTAAGTAACATAGAGCAACAGTGACATTACATTTCAATTACAAGTGAGAAAAATGGAAGGACGACTCTGTGGCTTATTTGAACTCTTTCATTATTTAGTTATACCACCCTATTTTGATACAACAATGGGAAGTTTTATGTTTAGAAGACTTTTATTCTGTCCTCCTTTAAGCATTTCGCACAGGCACATATATTTTTCTCTAAAAACACCCCTAGTAGGCATTTATTTCATAAACATTTGAGCATTACACATATATTGGGAGATAGGAAATTAGTAAGATAAGGTTCCCAGTTTTGAAAAGCTTGTAGTCTACTGGAGAAAATATATATTGTAGGAGAGGGTGTTTTGCTTTTGTTCTTAGATGACACAATTTGGAAACACCTTGAAAATTCATATTCTGAACCAATGAGATGAAGCTCAAATTGTGTTGATATATGTTTATATGTTCTAAGGATTCACAGAGTAGCCTGACCTGCGACTCTGCAAATAGTGCAAGTGATGCTATCTCCAGGAAAGAGGAGTCCATTTTCAGAGCAGGTGACTCATCTTCCATGGCTGCTGAGGCTGGGACCTGGGAACCAAAGATGAATGAACAGAGGGTGCAGCACCAGATCCTTAACTAAGATAAAGTTACTAATTCATTCCTCCCAGAGGATAGAACTGGGACACACTGCTTTGTTTAATTGGAATACATACATACATATTTATTCATACTTCTTGAAAACGTAAATTTGTTTTCTCAAAATGAATGTTTTCTCATAATATTTTTAAAGGCAGATTTACTTTGAGTTCATGGGGATTCTTGCTAAGATACTCACTATCTAGCAACTGCAAAATGATCGGGCTTGTTTTTTAAAATAAATGTTGATAAAGTCTTGAAGAAGAAATAGCCAAAAGTCCCATCCTAGTGATAAAATGAATCTATAAAGCTGAAATGGTTTTTCAGAACTGAAAATTACCTAAATGTTGTATCAGTTAAATAAATTATATAACATCTATATAAAAAAGAGGTCGTTTCAGCCGGGCGCAGTGGCTCACACCTGTAATCCCAGCACTTTGGGAGGCATAGGTGGGCTGATCATGAGGTCAAGACATCGAGACCATCCTGACCAACATGGTGAAACCCTGTCTCTACTAAAAATACAAAAATTAGCTGGGCGTGGCAGTGCACCCCTGTAGTTCCAGCTACTTGGGAGACTGAGGCAGGAGAATCGCTTGAACCCAGGAGGTGGAGGTTGCAGTGAGCCGAGATCGTGTCACAGAACTCCAGCCTGGGTAACAAAGCAAGACTCCATCTCAGAAAACAAACAAACAAACAAACCAAAAAAACCCTCAAAAACAAACAAAACAGCAGGCCATTTCAAAGTATATTTTTGAGACAAACTTATTGACAGTGAGAAAAACTTCATGTTAAAGTAAGTGAGAGATACAGCTTTTTAATTTATTTTTATTTTTTATTTTTATTTTTTTGAGACAGAGTCTCACTCTGTCGCCCAGGCTGGAGTGCAGTGGTGTGATTCGGCTCACTGCAACCTCCGCTTTCCGGGTTCAAGCAATTCTCCTGCCTCAGCCTCTGAAGTAGCTGGGACTACAGGAGCCGCGACCAGGCCCGGCTAATTTTTTTTTTTTTGTATTTTTAATAGAGACGGGGTTTCACCGTGTCAGCCAGGATGGTCTCGATCTCCTGACCTCGTGATCCACCCGCCTCGGCCTCCCAAAGTGATGGGATTACAGGTGAGCCACTGCGCCCAGCCGCTTTTCTCACTCTTAAGAAAAGTCACAAACACATTTCAACTTTGCTGACTTTGGAGATGCGTGGAAATCGTTTTTAGGACTAGGAGAAGATCTGCCAGAGAGAAAAAATTAACATGCTAACAATGGTAAAAAAAAAAAAAAAAAAAAAAGAAAGTTGGAAGGAAACTATTTTTTTTCGCTTAAGAATGAGGAGAGCCAGCCGGGCGCGGTGACTCACGCCTGTAATCCCAGCACTTTGGGAGGCCGAGCCGGGCGGATCACGAGGTCAGGAGATCCAGACCATCCTGGCTAACACGGTGAAACCCCGTCTCTACTAAAAATATAAAAAAATTAGCCGGGAATGGCGACGGGCATCTGTAGTCCCAGCTGCTGGGGAGGCTGAGACAGCGGAATGGCATAAACCCAGGAGGCGGAGGTTGCAGTGAGCTGAGATCCCGCCACTGCACTCCAGCCTGGGTGACAGAGCAAGACTCTGTCTCAAAAAAAAAAAAAAAAAAGAGGAAAGCCTTCCTAGGTGGTCTCCTGCAGATTTCCTTTTACAACTTATTGGCCAGAATTTGGAAAAAAAAATCTAACTCTCACTCTTCCTTCATTTGTATTTCTTCATTTGTTTCTAAGCATCTTTAAGGGTTAGTCTGTTGCATTCAGGAGTAAGTCCTCTCAGTCATCCTAGAGCACGGAAAATAACAGCCTGTGGCCCCAGTCCTGCCTGTCACCTGTTCATGTGCCAATTCCCTATGGATGCTTCTTCACCACATGAGTAGTTGAGTAGTTGCAAAAGAGGTGAGTCATTGCAACAGAAACCATCTGGCTCACAAACCGTAAAATATTTAGTGTCTGGCTTTTTACAGAAAAAGTTTGCTGACTCTATAGAGTGCCTTTGACAAAACTAATTCCATCTTAGAAAAGGAATTCAATTTTATATTTCATAGGACACTTTGCCAACAAGGATAAGATGTTTTGCTTCATAAACAAATAAAAAAATAAAGATTGCATCCAACCAGATAAGGGCACAAACAAGCACACTCTTCCACTATCAGTTCTCACCAGAGGATTCTGTGATTGCAAATGAGCAGGCCTTCGGCAGCTCCAAATGGACATCTTAACTGACACTGTCTACCAGTCACTCGTGATAAGAATTCGGATCTGCCCCTGAAAGCTCTGCCACATTAAACACTCTTCCTTGTAAGACCAAGGCCCAGACCAGACTTCCTTGCAAGACCAAGACTGGCTCCAGACCAGAACTTCGTTTGTCTTCTTAGCTCCCCCTTAGACTGGTTAATTAACTCTTTCTCCTATCGCTTTTTCCCCTTCATGTTAAATGTTACTTTGTTTCTTGTGGAATGTTTAATCTATAACATTTATATATTAATTAAGTATACTATTATGTATGTTTTGCAATATTGACTGACTTCTAGCATGGCTAGAGCCTGTGTGTCTGTGGCTCTGACTACTGAGTGAATGGGAAGCACTAAGAATTGTCTCCTTGGGACCTCCATGTAGCTCATGACTTTTGTGACTGAAATAGCAACAATAAAAGCCTGACATTGTTGAAATACACAAATATGCATGGACCTGGTTATCTCTTATGTTGCACCGCTCATGACACCGACCCCTGACCTACTGTCCAGTGGCTGTTTCCTTGTGTCTAACCTTACCCTTATTCACTGATGTATTACCTCTATATAGATACCACGCCTGCTGCTGGTGCTCAACGTAAGCTTCCTAATTCAGATTCAGAAATTGTTCATAGCTCCTGAGGACATTAAAATGAGCCTTTTGAGTTCTGTATTTACAACCAATCCTGTCAGATGCCAGGTATCTCTGGTTGTCACAGGAAAAGGTATTTGTGGTCCCCTGAAATCCTTGATGACAGAACTGAGATGTGTTCTCATGTGCTCTAAATGTACATGGTCATGCTAAGTTCTAGGAATAAGCAGAAAGTGTCCAAATCTCCCACCTTTGTGTTACATTTTGTTACACAAAGCAATTTTTAAAAATTACTGCTTGTGATGGTTAATATTGAGTGTCAACTTGATTGGATTGAAGGATGCAAAGTATTTTTCCTGGATGTGTCTGTGAGAGTGTTGCCAAAGGAGATTAACATTTGAGTCAGTAGACTGGGAGAGGCAGACAGACTCACCCTCAATCTGGGTGGGCACCATGTAATCAGCTGCCAGTATGGCTAGAATAAAGCAGGCAGAAATTGGAAGGCACTTGACCTGCTGAGTCTTCTTGCCTTCATCTTTCTCCCATGCTGGATGTTTCCTGCCTTCTAACATCAGACTCCAAGTTCTTCAGTTTTTGTACTCTTGGACTTACACCAGTGTTTTTCTAGGGATTCTCAGGCCTTGGGCCACAGACTGAAGGCTGAACTGTCAGCTTCCCTACTTTTGAGGTTTGGGGACTCGGACTGATCCACCACTGGCTTCCTTGCTCCTCAACTTGCAGACGGCCTGTTGTGGGACTTTACCTTGTGATCGTATGAGTCATTTCTCCTTAATAAACTCCCTTTCATGTATACTGTTAGTTCTGTCCCTCTAGAAAACCCTGACTAATACACTGCTTTTGCAGTTCAGCATCTTCAAAACAATAATGGAACAGTGTGTCTTCAGGTTTGGGTTTGTTTTTTTTTTTAATTTTTCTGAGAAAGAGTTTCACTCTTGTTGCCCAGGCTGCAGTACGATGGCGTGATCTTGGCTCACCGCAAACTCTGCCTCCCGGGTTCAAGTGATTCTGCTGCCTCAGCCTCCTGAGTAGCTGGGATTACAGGCATGTGCCACCGCGCTTGGCTAATTTTGTATTTTTAGTAGAGATGGGGTTTCTCCACATTGGTCAGGCTGGTCTCAAACTCCCAACCTCATATGTCCACCCACCTCAGCCTTCCAAAGTACTGGGATTACAGGCGTGAGCCACCATGCCCAACCTAAACTTTTATAACTATTTTGAGAGAAACAACTATTCAAGATAATTATTTTGGCAGTAATTGATTTCTTTGTCAATTCTCTTCCTAGGTCTTGCTCATAAGGTTATCATAGCTTAGGGCAGAAAATTGATTTGAGTGACCATTTCTATATTGGACTCAAAATTACCTTTTATTCTAAATAAACGAAGACGTTTTTGTTTGTTTGCATCTTTCGTGTCTCTTTCTCCACCTTTAGAATGATTTTATTTTCAGAAAGCCAGTTGCCCTTTTAGGTAAATAAACTGCTGATAGATCCTCTTCACCAATCTTCTAAAGACTTTTCTGCACGTGTCTGTATTTAGGCATCATCTAAGTTCAAATTGTGAATCCTTTTACCATCAATCCGTTACTACATTTAATCCTTAAAACAACTCTGGAGGAAGGTATTATTCTCCCTGTCATATAGATAGGGAAATCCATATTAGAGAGGTTACGTAAATTGATCCATTTTAAACAGTATAAGTCACATAAAAACCTGACTCCTAATCTGTGTTCTTGTCACCAGATCATGGCACCAACATCTAGGATAAATAATAATATATTTCTTTAAATATTTAATCATTTGTTTCTACATTTAAAAATTAAAACCAGTGGAGAAAAACAACAGTAGCTTCAAAAGAAAGGAAACATCAGAAAATGATTGCTTTGGAATTGGGAAAAAGCAGTTTCATAATTTACCTTTTGTGACTTAGCATATTACTTGGCTGATTTATATGAAAGAGCTTAAGATTTCGTTTTTTTCTTAAGCACCATCTGGATGGAGTTGTTTCCTTCTCCCTGAAGGCTCATTGAATCGATGTTCAAGTCTCAAGAGCTTGGACTCACAAGAACATAGCTTTACCTAAGCAAGCCCCTTGGTCTATTACACTAGCCACTGGATTGCAGACATTTAAAGTACCATTTAAAGTAATGGGCAGAAGAAAGAACAGAACACAGGTACTACAGGATCTGGACTCCAAATATCGTCTCTCCCAGAGGCAATTAAACCTGGGGGGGCCAAAATTTTGTTTCATGGTAAGGATCACTGGTCTTTGGATTGAAGATTTTAATAAAAGCTATGAGTAAATAGAAAAATAGCCTGCCAACTTAGTAATATCTTGAAGTGGTATTAAAAGAGTATCATTTATAATAGCTGTAATATTCATACAAAATAACAAAGTCTAGAATTATTTAGAATTTTATTCTAAATACCTTACTAGATTCACAAATTAATAAAGTTTGCTTCTCTCCTATTAGTACCGCATTAAATTAAATAAAAAGTTAACTACCATCTGATAATTTTTATTTTATTTTGGATAGACTGAATGCAGCTTTTTAGGTATTTTACATATTTTCATAGACTACATGAATGTCGCTAGTGCTTTTTCAAAATCCGTGATTCTGTCCATGAGCAATGAGCTTGATTTATAGCTTTTCTGTGTTTCTTAATCTGGGCTGGATGATTTATAGAGTCAAGAGTCTTTTGTTCTTGATTACAGTGTTCAACATGCAAATTACACTCACTTCTTGGTATAGAAATGGCACCCTGCCTCTTCCCTGGGACATTTAATCTGCATAGAATTCTAGGCAATCCTTATCCAAGCAAATGCCAGCAAATAGCCTTTCCCCCTCTCACAATAACCTGTAAATTCTCTCTTATCAAGAATAACAGGGAAATGAGGTCTTTAGTTCAGTTGAGTAGCCGTTTACGATGCAAAATCATCAATTTTTCAATGAACTGACATATTCTCAACTTCAGCTTAAGATTTCATATGGTTTAACCTGTCTTTTTATGACCTCTAAGGCACTTGAGAATCCAGCAATGGTTTAGGGTCATTGGCTCACACTGAACAGTATTCAGTGACATAGAAGTTTTGCTAAATCTCTTCTGGTCCTGGATATTCCCTCTGAAAAGGGGTTATTTGAATATAGTTTTGATATACTTGCTTTCTATGTCATTCTGTAGGGTCAAAATGGACAATACTAGAAGATTTGGTTTTACTCGTTCATAGTTAATTTTACTCTTATAAAGAAAAGTTATACAAATATGAACAAAAAATTAAAGTAAAAATTCAGGATGTCTGAATCCCAAGAAAACAGAAGTTGGTTACCATGGTTAGAAGTCAGGCTGACTGTACATAATTCTAACTAACAATTATTAGTCATAATTGACAATATTTATTTCAAAGATTGAATTTTTATTAAACTTGATATATTATCACTAGCTTGAGTCCTCCCCAACTTTCTTACTTTTATTACTAAAGTTACCAAAAGAAGCATTTAAAATATATTTTAGTACACAGTATCACTAGTCATCAGAGAAATGCAAATCCAAACCACAGTGAGATATAATCTCACCCCAGTTAGAATGGCTATTAATAAAGAGACAAAGAATAACAGATGTTGGTGAGGATGTGGAGAAAGTAGATAGGCTTTTGGTGGGAATGTAAATGATTACAGCCTGTATGGAAAACAGTATAGAGATTTCTCAAAGAACTGAAAATAGAACTACCACTCGATGCAGCAATCCCATTACTAGGTATCTACCCAAAAGAAAAGACATCAATATATCAAAAAGGTACTTGCACATGTATGTTCATCATAGCACTATTCACAAAAGCAAATGTACAGCATCAAACTTAATGTCAATCAACGCATGAATGGATAAAGAAAATGTGGTATATATACACAATAGAATAGTGTTCAGCCATAAAAAAGAATGAAAACATGCATTTTGTAGCAAAAGGGATGGAACTGAAGGTCATTATCTTGAGTGAAACAAGTCAGGCACAGAAAGACAAATATTGCATGGTCTCACTCATAAGTGGTGCTAAGAAATGTGTTCACATGGATGAGGAGACTGGAATCTCGTCTCTTGCTTTCACTTGCTCACTGCTCAATAGTAGTGTGTTGACTTGTTACCAGGCTTGAGGTAGCTCCCCTGTAATGCCTGCTTTGTGTCTAATTTCCTTTCTTAATTGAGTGTATGATATTTGATGAAAACATTAGACTGAAGTAAGTCCACTAGCCTTTGAACTCATCCATAGATCCCGACACATGGTTGGAAATCAATACATATTTTTAAATGAATACACTAATAAATAACAAAGTTTTGGGGAGTTACTTTAGAAGTTCACTTATCTTTTATTATCTGATCATCATTTGTTAGATAATTCTCAAATTTGAATTTTCTGAAGATAATAAAGTGTATAAAATGAGCTGACTTTAGAAAGCAGACTTATTAGGTATCAGGTATTTTGTATAGAGGCATTAAATGAATTACAAAAGAGATATGTTTTCATACTATCATGAAGTTTTCATTCTAGTGAAAGAGAAGAGAGTAAAACAAAAATATGCAGAAGAGAGTAAAGCAAAATATGCAGATAAAGAAATTAAAAATTATTAAGGTCAATAAAAACAACAAACTAGAGACTAGAATAGACAATAATAGGATATAATTTCTAGCAGAGAGTGATCGTGTAAAGCATCACTGCTGAGATGACATTTAAGCTGATAACCTGAGATGAAAGGATGTTCCTGTGAGAAGAGCTAGAGAAGAATATTATGAATGCCCTGAGAAGGGAAAATCTTGGTGTGTCCAAAACCCGCAAAAAGACCAATAAGGATAGAGTGCATGCAATAAATTAAGAGAGAAGGATATGCAGTAAAGCTAAAGAGATGAGCAATTCACATGGTGAAGAATCTATAGCTATGGGGAAGCTCTTCAATGTTGTTTGAAACAGAAGAGGAAGTAATTGAAAATACTTTGTCAGAAAATTGACATGGCAGTGACTTAAAAGGGGTAAGATTAGAAGTGAAAAGCCCCATCAGAGGCTTTTGCTCTCATTCTGGTGAGAGAGGATGTTGGCCTGTGTTTGGGAGCTGATAATAAAGAAGAATTAATTAGACCCATTTGAAATATATTTTATAAGTAGCATAAGCAAGATTCTAGACTAAATGGGACGTGGAGGTTGAGGGCAAGTACGGAATTTAGGATGGTTTTTAAGTGTATAGTTGTTTTTAAAATTGACATGTAAAAAATTGTATATATTTGTGGTGTCAAACATGGTGTTTACACACACACACATATATAATGGGATGGCTAAATCAAGCTATTTAACATATACATTACCTGACATAATTTTTTGTGGTAAGGTGTTTAGTTTTAATAGGTCTTCATTTTGAACAGTGATGCTATTTATTGAGGTGTGAAAAATGTTTAAGTGGGTGGAAACTTGGGAGATTGGGGCTGTAAGACCTGCAAGTGAAGTTGTCCAGCAGGCAGGTAAATAGATAGAATACAATTCAGCCAATAGATTTAAATTGGAGATAACAATCTGTGAGCTAGACACTAAATCATGGCAAGACATGAGTATGAGTGACGTCACTTAAAGAGTACATTTTGTATTATTTGTTTTTGTGTGAAAAGTTGACCCAGGACTGAATCATGAAGAACACCAAATTAGGAGTATAAGTAGAAGATGAGGAACCACAAAGCTATAGTGAAGACTGACAGGGCATGGTGTCAAGGAAATTAAGAGAAAACTTAATTTCAAGAAAGAAGGCAAAAAAACCATCTCAGTGATTACTGAGAATACTAATTATAAGAAGAGCAAACTATCCATTGGATTTGGTAAAACAGAGGTTATTATGACCTTGACATGTGCTTTTGAAGGACTGGTAGATGTAAAAACCAGATTAAAAGTCATTAAAGGTGATTGGGAAGTAAACAATGTAAACGTCTTTTACAGACAACTTTTTGAAGAGCTTTTCTATGAAAACTATCAGAGAATTGAAGCTGAAGGCAGATGTAAGATCAGTAGAAGACTTTTATAAAATAGTCTATATTAGAGCATTTCTTTGTGCTCATTGGAATGATTCAGAAGAGAAGGTAAGTCTGATAATACTGGAAAGAAGAAATACATTAAGCTACAGCCAACAGGAAGACAAGAATAAAGGGGTTTTAAGAACATGTGGCTTGATGGTTCTTTGATAGGAGGTGATAGTTATGTGGCATTTTATCAATTGCTGCAATTAAGAAAAATATTGTATGTCATTGATGCAGATGGATCTGCAGGTTTACCACTGGTAAAATGAAAGAGTTTAATTTAATGTCTTCTATTTTTCAATAAAGACTAAATATAGGTCATCAGATAAAATGAAGCTAGAAGAAGGAATGAGGGGATTCGATAACTGAAGAAGCATTCTTGGGGTGCATAAAAGTGAGACTATCAGAGAAACAATTGTTTTTCTGCCTAGAATTCAGTATGTATTTAAACTTTGTGACTTAATATCTATTTATTTACATTAGAAAAAGTTAGAATTCAGTATGTATTTAAACTTTGTGACTTAATATCTATTTATTTACATTAGAAAAAGTTAGCTCTATTGTATAATTTTTTTCAAAAATATTCATCTAGCTGCTCAGGCAGACACTTGGAGAAGATAAATAATGTGTATTTAAACAATGAAGCCTGCTGTAACAAATCACCAAAACCTTGGAGGTTTTAAATAATACAGATTTATTATTTCACAGATCTAGTAACCAGAAGTTCAAAATCAAGATGGCACCAGAGCTACAATCCTTCTGAAGTCTCTAGCATAGAATTCTTCCTTGTGAAGAGCCCAGTTTCCTATAGGTCCAGGTGTTCTTTGTCTTGTGGATACTTAACTTTAATCTCTGCCTCCATTTTCACTTGGCCTTCTCCTCTGTCTTCACAAGGCTTTTTCTGCATATCTGATGTGGACTTCTCTTCTGTATCTGTATCTTCTTCTCCTCCATATCTTATAAGGACAATTGCCATCGGATTTAGGGCCCTCCTGGATAATTCCAGATGATCTCATCTCAAGATTCTTAACCTAATTGAGTCCGCCAAGAACCTTTTTGCCAAATAAGTTCACATTCACAAGTTGTGGACGGACATATCCTTTGGAAGACCATCACTCAATAGGGTTCTATTGGAGCTAATATTTTATTTACCAAACCATTAGATTAAAAGTGAGTATTTCAGACTGAAGGCAGGTATATCAAGATACCACAAGATAATGGAGTAACAGAATAAGTAGCTTTATTTTTGAATATTGCTCAGAAGTCAATAGACTAAACTTTGCTTTTCAAGCATCTCATTTTTAATATGGAGATAATAACGTTTACCTACTTGAAGGGTAGGCTCTATCACAGATGATTCTCTGCAGTCCCCTTTGCTTGGAAGACCTCTGATTCTTTATTTTAGCTAGAATATTTTGCTTTGAAAATGATCTTGAAACATGAAGGTGTGGTAGAAAAATGATAAAATAGTACAAATTTTTTCATTCTGAATCACACTGTGAAAATATGGAAAGCCTTGTACTTAAAATAAATACATATTTTCACAGAAAAATAAAGACAAAGAAATACTTATCATCATCAATGGGAATTTATTTTAAACCTTATGTTCTAGATTTGGGGAATGTTTTTCTCTCAAAGCTCTGACCCGAAAGGAAGGAAGGAAAAGACTACTCTCACATAAGTCACCTAAAATGTATTAAACTCAACTAATTGTTAGAATTTAAGAAAAAGATCAAAAAACTGTTTGATAAATAGTTTTAAAATCTATTGCGATTCCATATTGTGGATAGTTAGTAGAGGTCAAGAGGCAGGGAATGTAATGAAATGGATGGAGACAAATTATAGAGAAAGAAATGTAAATAAACAGATGGAAAGAGAAGCAAATTCTTCAAAAGTGACTCTTAGTGAGCTACAGATTCACACAGCTTGTTGATATGCTTATGATCATCACCAGATCACTATAATCTGTTGTGTTCCTTCAGGGATAAAAAGACACTGCTCGTTCATAGAAAAGGAGGAACTGTCAATAAAGAACTCCAATTCTCAGCTATTTAAGTCTCCAAGCCTAACTTATGTCTTTGCCGCTACAAAGGTTGAGTGGTGACAGAGGAACTATTTCTGTACTGTTGAGGCAGTAGTAATGAGAAATCAGGCCTAAGGCTGTACTGGACTCCAAAGTTGAAGGCTATCTCTCAGCTCTTACTTCTCATGTTTAAAGGCCAAATCCAGAGACTATTTTCAATTAACCAAAGGAATGAATTCAGAAATCACTACTACAAGTTACAAGAAAGCAAATGTAAAGGGCATAAGCAAATTAGCAGTTTTCATAGGTTAACAATAGCAATGACAAACAGACATTGAATATATACTATGTACCGAATCCCTTTTTAAATGCTTATATAAAAAATCACCCCATTCAACCTTCACAAAACTCAATGAGTTAATATTAGGATCCCTTTTCCCAGAGGAGAAAACGGAGTTTAAGCCACTTTTCCAAGGTAACAGAGAATAAAGAGTAGAAATAAGATTCAAATTCAAATCTATTTAACACATTATGTTTTCCACCAGAGTATTTTTAATATACTTATCTAGCAACCAAAACAGCTTGTAGTTTAAGATGTTTTGCTACTACAAATAGATGAACTTCAGGGGTTTCCTAAAGTACCATAAAATGCATCATTTTTATAAGTCACAAGTTATCAGATAGTTGTGGCTACAGAAGGCTGGACAGTAAGTACTGCCTGCCCTATTTGCACCTTGCTCCAATTACCAGTTTTCTCTACATCAGAGTTTCCTTGGTCCTTATGCACCTGCCCTATTATACTTAAGCTTAGTCTGTAGGGCAGGGCACTGGTAGTGAGGTCTGGGTCACCCACAACAGAGATAATCCCTATATCTTAAACAGAGATAATTCCCAGTGCCATAGACAGAAATTTACAAATTAGAGAACCTAGGTTTGATTTACTATTTTTTCCTTTAGTTAGGTTGTTTATTCAAAACTTGAAAACATATACAATTTCAGGGTCTTCTACAGTATATTTACACCTGTTGTAAAGTTGTTCATCAGAACAACTTTTTTTTTTTATTATACTTTAAGTTTTAGGGTACATGTGCACAACGGGCAGGTTAGTTACATATGTATACATGTGCCATGTTGTATATTCTCAACGATGTCAGCTTTAATATTATAATTAATGTGCACAAATCTGAACACTGTTCTTGCTCAAACTGTAATACATTAAATAGACCATAGCAAACAACTTCTTACTTAAATGCTTGTCTGTGCCTGTCACTCTTCTCATGCTTTAGCCTCATAACATTGGTTATAATTATATAAATGGTTAGTATTCATATTCTCATTGCAAAATGAAAAGTGAGGAAGAGAGATTAAGCCATTTGCTTAAGGTCACAAGTCTGGTAAAATCAACAGAGGCACTCAGAATGTCTCCAAAATCATTTCCATGATGCCAGAAACTTTAAATGCTACAGAAACAAGCTACAGCGATACATTTAAATGTTCTTCTTTGTAGGGCTTGAGCTGTATCTAAACTTAAGTTAGAGCTCAACCAACATAGAATCTAGTTCAGTAATATTCTACAACGTGAGATAACCATATTGATATTTGATCTAAAATGAGATTGCAGAGGAAACACATTTTAATACCTGAGGTGTGTGCTTAATCTTCTTGATGTACATTAAAAGCTCAGTATGTGAGAGTAATATGAGGTGATGGGGGTTACTCTTAAAGAGATTACTAATAATGTTTATTTGGAAAAAGATGAAGATTTTAGAGGCTATTTAAGAAACTGGCGGCCGGGCGCGGTGGCTCACGCCTGTAATCCCAGCACTTTGGGAGGCCGAGGCGGGTGGATCATGAGGTCAGGAGATCGAGACCATCCTGGCTAACAAGGTGAAACCCCGTCTCTACTAAAAATACAAAAAATTAGCCGGGCGCGGTGGCGGGCGCCTGTAGTCCCAGCTACTGGGGAGGCTGAGGCAGGAGAATGGCGTGAACCCGGGAAGCGGAGCTTGCAGTGAGCCGAGATTGCGCCACTGCAGTCCGCAGTCCGGCCTGGGCGACAGAGCGAGACTCCGTCTCAAAAAAAAAAAAAAAAAAAAAAAAAAAAAAAAAAAAAAAGAAACTGGTTCTGGGAAAACCAGCCATAACTTAGGGGTTCTTCTTTCACCCAATCCCATTGGAATTCTGCTTTGCTATAGAAACATGCTCAAACCAAGGCAAGCAGCACACATTACATGAACAAACAACACAACAATGAAAAGCAGATCCTTGAGACCCTCCCAAGAAGACCAAGAGCTCTCTCTTTAAAACTTTGTAAAATACCTAGGTTCTCTAGTCTTCCTGTGTGTTATTTCCTAACCAATTGCACTATCAATTCAAAAATGGAACAAAGGATATTCTATGTATCAGAACCTTTTTTCCTATACATTAAGAAGAACTTTTCCCACATGAATAGGTAATCACAATCTTAAGCCAGAGGATGAAACCTATGAATTCCTTGTATCATATATATTTTAACAAGAAACATAAATATCTATGACCTACCTATAGCCAATTTATATCTTGCCCAGGTTGTTTTGTTTTCTAAACTTATCCCTCATATGGCTTAATAATGAAGGCCATAAATGTGCCTCCTTCCTATCTCACCCCTATGGCTTGACATGTATTATAAAATGAACTTCCTATATAAAATAATATTTACTGAATGAAAGGAAAGTATTACATACAACTTTTATTATTATATTATTAAGCTTATTTTTTGCACATCATGGCTAGGTCATCTTAAAATAGTTTGGCTCTGTCTCTTTTCCCATTTTCATACCTATGTGTAATCACACATGAAATCCCATATGTGGATTCGTGGTATTCCAAATGTTCCCTTCTTTATATTTCCAATTTATCATGCACTTAAAATATTTTCATTGTTTCACTGCCACGTTGGAGCTTTTGTCTCCATATGAGGATATGTTTTGTGAATCTGGAAATATACATTTTTAAAACCAGAGAAACCCTGGAGTTTCATTTACTTTCACATGTCTCCTATTTTCATTGTTAGTCTACATACCATTATTTGTGTTCAAGATTAGTTCTAGTGGTTGCTAATTTTACTTTTAATACTTGAAGCAATGTAATGTGATTTACAGGGAAGGTATACACTGAGGGAAAGTCGGTTAAGCAGTTCCGGGTAGGCTTAACTTCCCTAGCTTCCTTTCATATTTACTAATACCCGTATCTTATCAAACACGCTCCTGAGTAAATGGCTGGACTGAGGTTTTACTAAGTTTCTGGGCAAGAATCCATGTCAAATGAAGTGCTGCATTCCTTTGTGATGGATTTCTGCATGCACCGCTAGTGAAATCCTGAAAAGGCCAGTTGAACGGATGGACCACATTCTTTATGTTCAAGGTGAAGGCTGCCTGGGTTCATCACACACGGTGGAACTCTTGATTTGGTTTGAACTTGCTTTTGAGCCAAATACTAGTCCCACACACCTACAAGAAAGACAAACACTACCAAGGGATTTATTTTCCACAAGAAGCTGTGCATTACCAGCCAAAGAAAACAAACACCAAGAAAAAGAAGGCTCTCCTGATGCAATTAGAATTTACTCAACATTCTGTTTCTCCCTCTCTTAGAGAACAATGAAAAACAGTTCGGTGGTTAAAGTTCAGTCTATGACTAAAAGGATTTTCTGTGGAATTTCTTGACTTCTCTTTCAGCACACTTTAGAACAATAAGGTAAAACTCCTTATTTGCCTGAAATGAAAAGAGTTCCTGCATGAGGTCAATAATCCTTCTGTTACTCGTTTTCTTTACATCCTTCCCAAGAGCCTAAGAGTAAAAAAATCTACACTGTCTTTGGTACTGAATTTTTAAAAAAACATTAATTTGAAATAGCCCCAAATCTTTTGTAATATCTGTCATAATTTGTTATTCATTTATTTGTTAGTGTATTTAATTATAGTACTATTTATTAGAAAAGCAAATTTAGTCTGAAATAAAATTCATTACTATTTTACACTGAATTAGAATTGGAGTTGTTTGGTTGTCCTGGGTATAGACTTCAGGATGTCTTAGGTTATGCAGTATACAACTCCAGTGCAATTTCTGTAGATGATAATGTGAATAGTTTTCTCTGAAATTATGTAACTACCATAGCACTGCAGAAAGTAAATAACATAGCAGAAATGTCACTTTCATTAAACCAATAAGTGAAAAAAAGAAAGTTTAGATTCAATATAGATGTATCATGGTATCACTTCCCTCCCCTCAGAATAAAAGGCTTATTTCATTCATTTCAATGTGTTATTTTCAATTTAGAACTCTACTGAACTAAAGATAATTTGAGTCTCTAATCAATTTTTGTAAGATAATATATAAATTTCTTTTATAAACCCACTAATGCAAAGAACAAAATGTGCTATTTTGGATGATGGTTGTTCTTATAAAATATTTTGTTGCGTTACAGACAAGTTATTTAGAAACTTGTGGATTAAATTTTTTCTTCAAATACACAAGAGTTTAAAAAATAGAAATGTAAATACTTGCTAAAATGCTTGACAAATTTTTTGAAAAGTTATCTGGCTTAAAATATGGCTGGGTTTGCCCATCCCTTTAGGAGATCAGCTGTTGATGTATCATTAAAGGCCAAAAAAAAAAAAAAGTCAATTCAGCTGTGTCTGTAACCAGGCGTGTCATATGTAGACACTTATACCGTGGGAGGTCACTTTATGTGGGTTTGCATTGACAAAAAAAGAAAGGTGTTCAAACTCCAGTAGCAAAGATATAAACTTGTATCAGTAGGAGAGATATTTACAGAACACAGCACATTCTTTTCAAAGCATACATTTTTGGAATGGCAACAATGAAGAATTTCGTCTCCATGGAGAACCCATTTACACGCCTTGTGGGGCTGGCAAATGTTCCAAATCTGCCACTATGAAATAATTGGCAGCAAGGATGGGAAAAAGAAAAACCTCATTTTAATGGTAAATTTAAATGTCAGGAGTCCACAGACTGCTTCCTCCTTAAGGGAAATGTAAACAGTGGGAAATCTTCTGTTGAATAGGAATTTTCAATGACTGGGATCAAAAGCAAGCCTCACAATGTTGTCCAACAGGCAGAACTGGCTGTGGGAATAGATACATCATGGGTGGTTGCTTAGGTGTTGAGTCTTCAGAGTTATTGCCTGACTGCTGATCAGTCAACCATCATTTGTTGTGTCCTAAATGCTGCTTCTGAAAAGTTCACAGCTTAAGCTCTTACTAGATGATCTTTTTAAAATTTCCAGCGAATGACTTACCAGGAAATAAAACACAGGACCTCAGATGAGTGGGCGTTCTCCATAGCAAACCCTGCCCACTTAACAGTTTTGCCAAGATATGGTCCAGATACAGGTGGGTAGACAGAGCTACTGATATGCCCTTTACTGTCAGAGCAAGTGGAAAATCCACAGTTGTCAATGTGGACTCAGAAAAATCTCGGAAGTGAAAGCAGATTTAAGTGCTGAAGTGTGAAAGGTTAAGGGTCATTAGAACAAAATGTAACAGCAACATGATGCCTTCTATTTGGAGGTTTATGGTTCTCAAAGAACTTTCAAATTCCTTAATGGTTTTGATCCTTACAGTAGCTCTAGATTCCTGACTGAATTGAATAGTAACAATAACAGTATCAGTACAAGGTGTTTATGTGATTTGCTATGATGTTGGCTCACTGACTCTGCCTCTACTTAAATTGTACTCGTCATTCCTCATCCCTAAGGCTTATTTGTTTTCTTACAGAAAAGATTATGGTATCAATTTTAGCTAAATAATAATTAGTTTGAGAGATTAGTTTGTTTCAAACTTCAAAGGAAGATTAAAGTTTCTCTTCCTTGTATATGCCATACATTCTTTATCCTTAGAAAAATCACTATTTTTCCACACCTCTCCAGCCATATTCTGCTTGATGTCTGATTGGTGAATAGATCACATGGTCATTACTAGCTGCAGGAGAATTTGATAAACAAGCATTAAACTGGGTTAAGAATATTGCATTCAGTCAACCCATAGTGTTTGTCGCAAACCAGTTTCTCAATCTCACAGCAGGAATGTAATTATGTTCCCATCTAGACTAGTGATGACCAACAAGAGGTTTTCAAGGCCACCTAACTTCGTGATATGGCTGAAAATTTAACTTCTAAAGCTGTTCTTTGATCAGTCAAATTAGAGAGATTAGGAAAATTAAAAAAAAAAGAACTTCCATGGCAATCACATATTTTTTAATTATTTTTAATTTTTTTTATTATACTTTGCAAAACGTGCAGGTTTGATACATACGTATACATGTGCCATGTTGGTTTGCTGCACCCATCAACTCATCATTTACATTAGGTATTTCTCCTAATGCTATCCCTCACCCAGTCCCTCACCCCCAACAGGCCCTGGTGTGTGATGTTCACCACCCTGTGTCCAAGTGATCTCATTGTTCAGTTCCCACCTATGAGTGAGAACATGTGGTGTTTGGTTTTCTGTCCTTGTGATAGTTTGCTGAGAATGATGGTTTCCAGCTTCATCCATGTCCCTGCAAAGGACATGAACTCATCCTTTTTTATGGCTGCATAGTATTCCATGGTGTATATGTGCCACATTTTCTTAATCCAGTCTATCATTGATGGACATTTGGGTTGGTTCCAAGTCTTTGCTGTTGTGAATAGTGCCACAGTAAACACACGTGTGCATGTCTCTTTGTAGTAGCATGATTTATAATCCTCTGGGTATATACCCAGTAATGGGATGACTGGGTCAAATGGTAATTCTAGTTCTAGATCCTTGAGGAATCACCACACTGTCTTCCACAATGGTTGACCCAATTTACACTCCCACCAACAGTGTAAAAGTGTTCCTATTTCTCCACATCCTCTCCAGCATCTGTTGTTTCCTGACTTTTTAATGATCGCCATTCTAACTGGGGTGAGATGATATCTTATTGTGGTTTTGATTTGCATTTCTCTGATGACGAGTGATGATGAGCACTTTTTCATGTGTCTGTTGGCTGCATAGATGTCTTCTTTTGAGAAGTGTCTGTTAATATCCTTTGGCACTGTTTGATGGGGTTGTTTGTTTTTTTCTTGTAAATTTGTTTGTGTTGTTTGTAGACTCTGGATATTAGACTTTTGTCTGATGGGTAGATTGCAAAAATTTTCTCCCATTCTGTAGGTTGCCTGATCACTCTGATGGTAGTTTATTTTGCCGTGCAGAAGCTCTTTAGTTTAATTAAATCCCATTTGTCTATTTTGGCTTTTGTTGCCATTGCTTTTGGTGTTTTAGTCAGGAAGTCCTTGCCCATCACTATGTGCTGAATGGTATTGCCTAGGTTTTCTTCTAGGGTTTTTATGGTTTTAGGTCTTCGATTATCTTGAAATAATTTTTGTATAATGTGTAAGGAAGGGATCCAGTTTCAGCTTTCTACATATGGTTAGCCAGTTTTCCCAGCACCATTTATTAAATAGGGAATCCTTTCCCCAGTTTTTATTTTTGTCAGATTTGTCAAAGATCAGATGGTTGTAGATGTGTGGCATTATTTCTGAGGCCTCTGTTCTGTTCCATTGGTCTATATCTCTGTTTTGGTACCACCACCATGCTGTTTTGGTTACTGTAGCCTTGTAGTATAGTTTGAAGTCAGGTAGCGTGATGTCTCCAGCTTTGTTCTTTTGGCTTAGGATTGTCTTGGCAATGCGGGCTCTTTTTTGGTTCCATATGAACTTTAAAGTAGTTTTTTTTTCCAATTCTGTGAAGAACGTCATTGTTAGCTTGATGGGGATGGCATTGAATCTATAAATTACCCTGGGCAGTATGGCCATTTTCATGATATTGATTCTTCCTACCCATGAGCATGGAATATTCTTCCATTTGTTTATGTCCTCTTTTATTTCGTTGAGTAGTGGTTTGTAGTTCTCCTTGAAGAGATCCTCCACATCCCCTGTAAGTTGGATTCCTAGGTATTTTATTCTCTTGGAAGCAACTGTGAATGGGAGTTCACTCATGATTTTGCTCTATTTTTGTCTGTTATTGGTGTATGGGAATGCTTGTGATTTTTGCATATTGATTTTGTATCCTGAGACTTTGCTGAAGTTGTTTATCAGCTTAAGGAGATTTTGGGCTGAGATGATGGGGTTTTCTAAATACACAATCATATCATCTGTGAACAGAGACAATTTGACCTCCTCTTTTCCTAACTGAATACCCTTTATTTCTTTTTCCTGCCTGATTGCCCTGGCCAGAACTTCCAACACTATGTTGAATAGGAGTGGTGAGAGAGGGCATCCTTGTCTTTTGCTTGTTTTCAAAGGGAATGCTTTCAGTTTTTGCCCATTCAGTATGACATTGGCTGTGGGTTTGTCATAAATAGCTCTTATTATTTTGAGATACGTCCCATCAATACCTAGTTTATTGAGCATTTTTAGCATGAAGGGCTGTTGAATTATATCGGAGGCCTTTTCTGCATCTATTGAGATAATCATATGGTTTTTGTCATTGGTCCTGTTTATGTGATGGATTACGTTTATCAATTTGTGTATGTTGAACCAGCCTTGCATCCCAGGGATGAAGCTGACTTGATCATAGTGGATAAGCTTTTTGATGTGCTGCTGGATTCGGTTTGCCAGTATTTTATTGAGGATTTTCACGTCGATATTCATCAGGGATATTGGTCTAAAAGGCAATCACGTAGTTTTTACTATTTCCATGATGAATGTCATTGGCATTTTGATAGGGATTGTAAAAATGTCCATAGCACCCAAAACATCTACAGAGTCATAGTCTTTAATAAATCCACATACTTGCAGCTCAATAAGAACAGATGAAGGGGCAGAGAATGAGGAATGATAAAGGAAATCACTTCATGGGAAGGACAGAACCTAATTCTCCCTGGAACTGGGGCAGTGGCTTATAGAAGAATGAGGCTTCTTAGTTCCAGGAATAGCTGAAATAGGGCCACATTGATGATTTTTCTGATTTCCCATTTTGAACTCCTGGAATTCCCTGAGAAACTCAAAGAATCCTCTACTTAGGAGCCTTAGGATATGAAGGTATAGACAGCTTGGGTAAAATAGATAGGTCACATAGTTTGGATATTTTTCCCTGCCCAAATCTCATGTTGAATTGTAATTCCCAATGATGGAGATGAGGCCTGGTAGTGAGTTGTTTTGTTCATGGGGACAGATGCCTCATGGGTTGGTGCTGTCTTTGCAATAGTGAGTGAGTTTTCTTGAGATCTATTCATTTAAAAGTGTGTGGTATATCTCCTCCTACTCTCTCTTTCTCTTGCTCCTGCCATGTGAGATGGTCTGCTAGCCCTACACCTCCCGCTATGATTGGAAGCTTCCTGATTCCTCCCCAAAGGCACATGCCAGCACCATGCTTCCAGTAGAGCCTGCGGAATTATGAGCCAATTAAACCTCCTTTCTTATAAATTATCCAATCTCAGGTATTTCTTTATGGCAATGCAAGAACACACTGATACAGAAAATTGGTACCAAGAAAAGGGCATTGCTATAACATACCTGATGATGTGGAAGCAGCTTTGGAACTAGGTAACAGGCAGAATTTTGAAGAGTTTGAAGGACTCAGAAGACAGGAAGATGAGGAAAAGTCTGGAACTTCTTAGAGTCTGTTTAGATGGTTGGGACCAAAATACTGATAGTGATATGGACAATGAAGTCCAGGCTGACAAAGTCTCAGATGGAAATGTAGAACTTATTGGGAACTGGAGCAAAGGTCATGCATGTTATATCTTAGCTAAGAACTTGGTTGCATTGTGCCCCTGCCCTAGGGATATGTGGAAGTTTGAACTTCAGAGTGATGATTAAGTGTATCTGAAGAAGAAATTTTTAAGCAGCAAAGCATTCAAGAGTTGGTCTGGCAGCTTCCAAACACCTATACTCAGATGTTGGAGCAAAAACATTACTTAATGTTGGAACTTCTATTTAAAATGGAAGCAAAGCATAAAAGTTTGAAAAAAAGGCAGCCAAGCATGTAGTAAAGGAAGAAAAAGCTTTTTCAGTAGAGGAATTCAAGCAGGCTGTGGAGCAACCACTTGCTAGAGATATTTGCATAACTAAAAGCAAGCCAAGTGCTAATATCCAAGACAATGGGAGAAGGGCCCCAAAGGCATTTCAGAGACCTTTATGGCAGCTCCTCCCATCACAGGCCCTGAGGTCTAAGAGGACTGAATGATTTTGTGGACCAGGCCCAAGGCCCTGATGCCCTACGCACCCTTGGGATACTGCTTTTCACATCCCGGCCACTCCAGCTCCAGTCAGGTTTAAAAAGGGGCTCAGGTACAGTTTGAACTACCACTTTAGAGAATGCAAGCTGTAAACCTTGGCTTCTACCTTATGTTAATCCTGTAGGTGCACAGAATGCAAGAGTGAAGTATAGTTGACAGTTGCCACCTAAATTTCACAGGACGTATGAGAAAGCCTGGGTGCCCAGGCAGAAGACTTTTGCAGGGGCAGAGCCCTCTCAGAAAACTTCTACTAGGGCACTGCCAAGGGGAAATGTGGGTTTGGAGCCTCCCACACAGAGTCAGTTCCCAATGGGGCACTGCCTAGTGGAACTGAGAGAAGGGGGCCATTGTCCTCCTTCTGTGGCCAGAATGGTAGATCCACTGTCAGCTTGAACTCTGTGCCTGGAAAAGCCACAGGAATTCAATTCCAACCCATGAGAGCAGCACTGGGGGGTGAACCCTGCAAAGCCACAGGGATGGAGTTGCTCAGGGCCTTGGGATACCACTCCTTGCAGCCATGTGCCATGGATGTGGGACATAGAGTCAAAGGAGATTATTTTGGAGCTTTAAGATTTAATGACTGCCCTACTGGGTTTTAAACTTGCATGGGTCCTGTAGCCCCTTTCTTTTGGCAGATATTTTTTGGGATGGCAATGTTTACCATTTGCCTATGCCTCCATTGTATCTTGGAAGTAAATAACTTGTTTTTGATTTCATGGGCTGATAGGTGGAAGGGACTTGCCTTGTCTCAGATGAGGCTTTGGACTTTGGAATTTTTGTTAATGTTGGAATGAGTTAAGACTTTGAGTGACTGTTGGAAAGGCATGATTGTATTTTACAATGTGAGAAGAACATGAGATTTGGGATAGGCCAGGGTGGAATGATATAGTTTGGATATTTGTCCCTGCCCAAATCTCATGCTGAATTGTAATCCCCAATGCTGGAGATGAGGCCTGGAGATGAGGCCAATTAAATTACCTAGTCTCAGGTATTTCTTTATAGCTACGGAAGAACAGCCTGATACAATAGGATTGCATCTGATGTGTCTCTGCTTCTACAACATCTAGCAAAGCATGCTGAATAATCGAATAAAAGCTTCCTTGCCTAAGCTCTGATGTTAACAATCTGTGCCCTGTCCTTGAATCTCAGTTTCCTCACTGGTTTTGTTACCAGGGGGTTCTTGTTCTTAGAGCTCCCAAGATGGTAGCAGGCCACTTCCAAGATGGCGGCAAGCCTCTTGTTCTCTGACCTGGGGTTCTTGGTCTCACAGATTCCAAGGAATGGAATCTTGGGCCATGTGGTAAGTGTTATAGCTCTATTCAGCTCAATTACGATGAACCCTGGGCACTTAGCCAGTGCAGGAACAATGGCGTGCCTCTAGCCCAATTGGGAGTGGCAATGGGCGCCGCCTTGCTGGATCAGAAGTGCAGCGGACACCCTGCCAGATCCGGAGGGGTAAAGTCAGCAGCAGGTCTGCGACAGCGGCAAACAGCAGTGGTGGACAGTGAGCAAAAGCTCAGTTCCAGCCATAACAAACACGGACCAGAAGAGTGTGCAGTTGCAAGATTTAATAGAGTGAAAACAGAGCTCCCATAAAATGGGAGGGGGCCCAAAGGGGGTTGCCGTTGTCAGCTCGAATGCCTGGGTTTATATCCCGATCATTGTCCCTCCCCTTGTGCTCTCAGGCGATAGTTGATTGGCTATTTCTTTACCTCCTGTTTTTGCCTAATTAGCATTTTAGTGAGCTCTCTTTACTACCTGATTGGTTGGGTGTGAGCTAAGTTGCAAGCCCTGTGTTTTAAGGTGGATGTGGTCACCTTCCCAGCTAGGCTTAGGGATTCTTAGTAGGCCTAGGAAATCCAGTTAGTCTTGACTCTCAGTTTGCTTCCAGAATAAAAATAATGAGTACAAACTCACTTTGAAATTTCAGAATACTACATATACATTATGAATATGTTAGAAATGATATATAGAAGGATTAAATATATATGTGTTACATAACTAACTTCATTGCTGCTTCTTAAATATATACAGATATAGTGTTTAATAGGCTAAAATACTGACAATATTCTTCTTAACATTTTTCTATGTAATAAAAGTGTAAAATATACTTCTATGTTCTATATCAGGCTTAGTAAAACTAGTTTTATTTTTAGTTAAAACCCATGACTTTATATTTTCTTACTCAGCATTTGGGCAAATAAAGGTAGCTCAACGGCATATACCAAGATAAGAGCTCCTGAATCTTCCAATAGGAAATAGGAAAAACAGTTTCTATTTTGATAGAGATTGATAAAGTTTCAGCTATAATTCTTAATATGGAGACTCTTTGAAAGCATTTGTCTTTTTGTTTACATCAGGCATCTGAGGATTCATTCTGTTTTGGAGAGACTATCCCCCAGTGTGCGTCTGGGGGAGAGGAAATGTTCCTTATCCAAATAAGTAAGCCAAAGGAGACAGACACAACTTCTTCCCATGTATGACAAACTAAGGTTCGAGCATGTGCCCTAGACTTGGTCAATAAGATCCTCACCAGAGACTTTGGATCATAAGCATTTCATACTGAGATGTAGAAGTAGTTGCAAAACCTTTCATTGCATTGAGTGCTCAACAGTGATGGTGGCCTTGTGAGCTTACCAATGTTAGGGAGTACACAGTGGCATCAATGTCACCTCTGCTGCTACTGATAGTATGTTAATTAGACTATTCCTGTACCAGGGCTTGGCTGTTCTCCCTTTCGTCTAGCCTCCTTTGGTGCTAATCTGTTTGCTAAAATTGATTGCCAAGTGTTTTTGTGAATTCTGTGAGCTATTTGATATCCATCCACTATATTCTTTTTTCTTTAGTTGGTGGGTATTAATTTTTATTCTGTGCAACAAGACTCTTTCCTTATTCATATACAGATACCTGTCAGAACATGTCTAATTGCTGGTACGTTAATGGCACATATAAAACAAATTCTTACCTTGCTAGTGATCACCTCCCGTGTACTTTACTTACTGTCTACGATTATTTTAAGTCACTAAGAGGCTTTTGAGTAGGTTATCAATGAGAGCTGTAATTATCTTCCAAAGGTTAAAAAAAGCATATATTCTACATCATTCACTGAATAATCACAGTACTGTGGCAAAATCATATATTACAAGCTAGCTATTTACTGTTATAAATTTCATTTTAAAATAGTCAAACATATATATACATAACACCATGAACTTTGGGAAAGAAAAAGGATATCATCCGAGCTGAAAATAAATGAACAAATGTGGTAGGATTATTTAGCATTTCTAAATACCTTTTTATATTACATTACTTTTTAAAACAGACATGTTTCAAAAGAAGACATACATGCAGCCAACAAGCATATGAAAAAAAGCTCAACCTCACTGATCATTACAGAAATGCAAATTAAAACCACAATGAGATACCATCTCACATCAGTCAGAATGGCTATTATTAAAAAATCAAAAAATAACAGATACTAGCAAGGATACAAATAAAAGGGAACACTGATACACTGTTGGTGGGAGCATAAATTAATTTAACCATCGTGGAAAGCAGTATTGCGATTCCTCAAAGAGCTAAAAACAGAACTACCAACCAACCTAGCAATCCCATTATTGAGTTTATACCCATAGGAATATAAATCATTCTGTCATAAAGACACATACACATGAATGTTCATTGCAGCCTTATTCACAATAGCAAAGACACAGAACCAACCTAAATGCCCATCAGTGACAGAATGGACAAAGAAAATGTGGTACATATGCACCACAGAATATTATGCAGCCATAAAAAAAACAAGATTACGTCTTTTGTGGGAATATGGTTGGAGCTGGAGGCTATTATCCTTAGCAAACTAACTCAGGAACAGGAAACAAAAATACCACGTTCTCACAAGTGGGAGCTAAATAATAAGAACTTATGAACACAAAGAAGGAAACAACAGACACTGGGTACTACTTGAGGGTGGAAGGTGGGAGGAGGGAGAGGAGCGGAAAAAAATAACTATTAGGCACTGGGTTTAATATCTGGGTAATGAAATAATCTGTACAACAAACCCCTGTGACTCGAGTTTACCTATGTAACAAAGTTTCACAGGTAGCCCTGAACTTAAAATAAAAGTTATTAAAAAACTATCATATTTTGCAGATGTTATGACTACTTGAATATTTTAAAATGTGCAACATTATTGAAAAATTGAGACATTTTTAGTAATTTGAAAATTTTGATTGTTTTTTCTCTTGATTTTTTTCAAACTATGACATACTTATGCAACACAATATAATTTAATTGTTAGGAAGCAGTTCAGTGAAAATAATAATGAAAAGGCAAACATACAAACAAAAACTTTTGTAGTCAGCAAACTTTTCTTTCAGTTCCCACTTCTCTTTTACCAATTACTTGTTGTGGTTAAACCACCTCACACCTTTGAATCTGGTTGCTTACCTGAAAAAAAAACATATATTCTAACAAAATTACTCTGAGGCCTTTAAACACTAGCTGAGGGAGTATTCTTGAATGTATGGACTGCCAGCTCTTAATTGTTGCAGAAATATTGTTATTGCTATTGCTATTGAAACCAGATTTCACCTAATCATGGATTTAACACATTTTTAAAAATTTATAATTTTTTTATTTTTTGATGTTTTAAATATAATAGGAAAATTGCTGTCTTTATTCTAATGAAAAGTAGTTATTTATCATTTCATTTTCATTTCTTGAATACAATTATTGCTTATTGCTCTTTGGAAGTTATCTGTTATTAACTTACTAGTATGTTGGCTTCTTTTTTCATCAGCCAGAATTGACATTTTATGTGTACAATATAAATGGGATAATATAATCCACAAATCATTTATTCTGCTTTGATTTCAAGTTTATCAACAGAGAAAATGCATTTCACTTAAGTCCAGGAAAAAAATATATCCATGGGCTATAATGAGATTGGCACTAAAAATCAGGGGATCCATTTGAAGTGCCAATTCTGCCCCTGTTTACTTGAGAGATTTATTTTATTTTTCTGAGTGGGTTATGTTTATTTAATTCAAAAAGGTAAGTGGTTAGATTTAATGGTTTTTAAATTTCTTGCCAATTTGAAAGTTTAATAAATATATATTTATATAGCAGATGTTTAGCAAAACAACTACTGTAGTGCCTTTTATTGAAGGGACTAAGTTGGGATTGATGGGACAGAGCATGTGTAAGAATATAACTACATATATGCGATTCTGCTAGAAAGTGGTGATCATCAGTTGGGGTAAGCTAGAGTACAAGTGTTGCAGTGTGATTTGTGAGGAGTGAAGCAGTTCTACCTGGCCTCAGATAAGTTTCTTCCCTTCCTATCCCCAACTGCACTGCTGTTTGAAACTCTCACAATAAAAGTCATAATAGTAAATACACTTAGGGCACCTTTTACCAAGAATGGACTTTGTGAAAATGCAGATTTGGAATTCTGTATTAAAATGAGGACAAGAATTTGGGGTTTCTGACATTCATTTATGGCCATCCATTAACATTATTATTTGTGTAAAAATATTAAATGTTATAATTCCCAGCATTCTGTGGCTAGAAAATGTAGCACAGAGATGAAAGAGCTGGAGTATCTATTTTCAGGAAATATATAGTCTCAGCTACACACAGAAAAGGATGTATTATAGTATTACAGAGCAATATGATAACATGGTAAATTACTTCAGTGTTCAGCACTTAAATTTTTGCCAACTACTAAAAATCCAAAAGACTAAATATGCACTTTACTTCTGAAAAGAAAGAAACTTCATAATGAGGTATCGATAATTCTCATTTAGTCATCAATAAAAGACAAAACAGAAAAACATTTTTTACCTCCTTGACTATTAGTAACTTAGTAAAACTGGCTGTTGCTGAAGGTCTTGAACCTTGTAACATGGCTCACAGTTAAGTTAGGTTTTTGAATTCCTATTATCTGATTCTGTCTTTGGGGGCTGGCTGCAGGAGTTGCCTCAGAAGAAGTCGAAGAGAAAATGACCTCTGAGGAAAGGTCTCTCGCTTAGCTCAGAAAATCTCCACCCTTCTTTAATGAGTCAGGATTCCTGGGTGGATCTTTGGCAAATCAATCCAGGGCCATCTGTTAAAAAGAAATGAAAAAATAACCTGTCTCTTTTCTAGATTATTATGTCTCAGCTAAAGCAATAGGAGAAAAGTTGGACAAAACAAAGTATATCAGAAGAAGAATTAAGAAATAGATGTTGAAATAGCTTAACTTTTTAGTTCAGGAATGCCAAACTAATTTTTCAATCCATAGTTAATGCATTTGTCAACCCCGTGAACTTTACCTTTTACTTAAAATAATGAATATGCATAATTGTAAAAGTCAAATTTCTCTCTAAAGCATAAGGTAAAATACTCCAGTCCATTAATGCCTCCACTTGCATTTCATTGCCCACCTCCAAGAGTACTATTCTCCAAATCCAATTACTGTAACTTCAACTCTTTTAACTGTTTCATCTGGTCTTCATATCCATATATCTAAGTAATGTGCTATAGTGGGCACTTGTGAGGCACCACTTCCTTAGACCACTTAACAGTTTCACACATATTTGCCAGTGTCCAGTATCTAGCTACTCTATACACAAAAAGTCATTCAGCCATAAGCTTGTACAATAATGGAGTGCAGAATTTGATGTCCCCTAAAAACCCTTCAAATAATGAGATGAGCATAAGGACATAGGTGCACAGCTTCCTCATCCTTTGGTGGATAATTCTAAGACATGCCCTGCATGATACCTTAATGGGATATCACCAGAGGGATAGTCTCTGAGTTATTTACAGTAGTAACCAACTTGATAACATGGTAGTTACTGCCAGTTAACACTTCCCTGTCTTACTTTTCCCATAATCTCACTTTTATTTTCTGAGATTGCCTTTCCTATTCACTATATATTCCTAGGTCCTTACCTCTGGTTTGGCTTTCACAGTGAAGCCAAACCAGGACAGCTTGTTACACAGAGTCTGGAAAGCAGCCCTTCATGTTGGGATTCTGGAATTGGGTCACTGCCGAGTCAGATTTCAATAAGGAAAACATACTTGGTAAGTAGGGTGGTGACAATTGTTAATATGCTTCAACATCACATTTCCTGAGACTCCCAGATGTATTACACTGGAATGAGACAGAGATGGAAGAATCAGCACTGATTACAACAATGCTTCTCCAAGTGTAGTCCCTGGACCAGCAGCATTAGAACCACCTGGGAACTTGCTAGAAACACACATTCTTTTCACTTCCCTAGACATATGAAATAGAAATTTGAGGGATGGGGCCCAGAATCTGCTATTTAAGAAGGCTTCTAAGTGACTCAAATGTATGTTAAAGTTTGAGATCCACTATTATACCGGAATCACTTTGAAATTCTGACAATAGTGAAGGACTGGTGAAAATAAGGTGCAGATACTGGGACTGCCTTGGCAAAGTATGAAGGTAAGTGGCTAAACGCTCCAAAAATTGGGCACGTGAGAAAATTGGGCAAAAGTTGGGCCCATCTGTTAAAAGCAAACAAAAAAGTAACCTGTTTTTTTGAGATAAAAATTTGAGTTAAAAAAACTGGGCCCAGTACCTAATGAACTTATTATGTGAGACCAGAAATTGTCTATGTTTCCTAGGTCCTGGGAATTAACTATGTTCCCTACGTGGCCCAGAAGTTATTTCTTTCCCTTAGGCAATTAGAAATGGATGCACTAGTGAGGGGGTATCGGCATAATTGACAGGCTCAATGTAGTTGTCGTGTATAGTATAGGATTGAAGGTAAGAGAAACTACCCTGGAATTAGACTTATTATCAATAGACCTGATATGTTCCCATAATAGGCAAAAGCAAGTGATGATACTTACCCATCAGACACAAAGTAGGTGCAATTACCATTATAGCAAGAAAGAGGTGGCAGTCTTGGTGTTTTAATTTGCAAAGCTCTGTATGATGGCTAATATATTATATTATTTCCAGTGGTGAGAAAGATAGGCTCCTAACTAAGATATTGTTTGACTTGTATAACCAGATTTAAAAAATATTAAAACTAAAAAACTTTTGTAACCAAAAAAAATTCTTTAAAAATAAAAGGCTTTCTACCACCAAGATGAAAAAATCATAATCTCTTGCCGAATTTCTAGATTTGAGCCAAGTGACAAACTCAGGACCTATTGTTCTAAAAGGAGTGTGGCTTTCTCTGAAGAAGGGCTCTGACAGTCTCACTGCAATCACGTACAACATTATCCAAACCTTCCTCTAAAGGACCTAAAGATATCTTGTGATGTAGACACCCAGATCTTTTGAGGGTTGTGGCCTACACAGTTTGAGCTGACACTACCTGTGGACCTGACATATCACCATGCCTCCTCAGTTAGAGAACTATAAAGGCCAGATGATAAATGGAGTTGGGTCCCAAGTTTATTTCATAGTGGTTTCAGTGGGATGGTGGACCCATCCTGTGATCGTTTTTCCAACCCCAAAGTATATAATTGGGGGGATTATACTGAGCAACAGGCAAAACTCCCACATTGCATCTCTAGTTTGTGGAGTAAGAGCTACTATGATAGTAAAAATATTCAACTGGAAGCCCGTAAAATATCCCTCCCCCTTGTTCCCACTCAAGATAGTAAATCGGAAGCAAAACTACATGCCAGGAGGAATTACAGAGTTTGGCACAACCCTCAAAGAATTAACAGGGATGGTTTTCCTCATTGTATCAATGTACATTCCTTCTATTTCATGGCAAGAGAAGTCAAACGGATGTGAAAGAGGATAATGGATTACCCTAAACTTCATAAAGTGTTAGCCCCAACTGCAGTTGCTGTGCCTTATGTAACATCTTCTCTGGATTATATTAACATAGCATTTTACCCTTGGTGTGTGACATTTGATCTAATAAATCAGTAAAAATGATCAGAAATAGTTTACACTTATATGGAAAGATCAACAGTCACATTGTTGTCTATGTCTAAAAGCTATGTTAATTGTCCTTCTCTTTGTCACTATATAGTCTAGAAAACTTTACTATTTATGTTTTGCAGAAAATCATGCTGACCAACTATATTGATGACATTAGGCTAATTTGACATGGTAGACAAGAAATTCCAAGTACTGTGAGTATGCTGACAAGATAATGGCAGACTGTTGTAGAGATAAACCCTATAGCAATCTAGGGCCTGCCATATCAACTTGAGTTTTTTTTAGGGATAAAATGATCTGGAGCATGCCAAGTAAATGAAAGTTATTGGATCTTGAATCTTCTACCACTAAGAAAGAGGCACAGTGCTTTTTGGACCTCTTTGGATTTTAGGGAAGTATATTCTATAATTGAAAGTGGCTCTCTGACCTATTCATTATATGACTGTGAAGACTACCTATTTTGAATGAAACTCTGAGGAAGAAAGGGCTCTGGGGCAGGTCCAGCCTGCAGAGTAACCTTCCCTCCCACTTGGAAATCCTAACAAAATCAAAGATATCCTTGATAGCTAAAGATAGGTAAGTAGGAATTCTACAAGAAATCACCAGCATAATGTTATACGAAATATCAGTATGGATCCCTAGAATCTAGAGGGAGAATAGGCTTTCTGTCCCAAAGAACTACTCACCATTTGAAAATTAGCTACTTGTATGCTATTGAGCTCTGTCTGAGGTCAAGTAACCATGAAAACAGAGCACTGCATCATTATCTGGGTATTATCCTATCTACCAAGTTATGAGGAGTACAAATCCATTTTATGATGGAAATAGTAGACTTGAAATTAGGTCCAAGCTTGCTGGTCCAGAGGGTATAAGTATGTGAATCGATAGCTCACTGCCTCAAATCACCTACCTTTGCTGCATTTTTTGCCTCTCACTCAACTTATAGCAATGACCTTTTGGGGATGGGTCCCTTTAATCAGCTTCAAAACGGGAAAATTCTCAGGTCTGGTTATTGCATGAATCAGCCTAATATGTTGGACTGCTGCAGCACTACAGCTCCACACATGGGGGTCCCTCGAAGACAGTGCTGATCGTCTCCAAAGGACAAAGCTAAGTGAAGTGCCATCAGTTGGTAAGAAACGGCACATATGCTCATCAACTTTGTATGAAAAGGGAATTAACCTGACATAAATGTGTATACAGACTCCTAAGCAGTATTTAATCAACTGGCAGGTCTAACTGGAGCCTGCAAATAACAAGATGGAAAATCAGAGCCAAAGTGGTTTCAGGAAGAGGCATAAAGATAGACTTATGTAGGTCAGCAGAAAGTCTGTGGATCTTTGTGTCTCATATCAGCACACACTAGAGAGGACTGTCAGCAAAAGAGGTATTCATCAACAAGTAAGAAATATGACTCATCTGTCTGGTGTGTGCCAGTCTCAGCCAACCCTGTGCAATGACTCCAAAGTCAGAGGCAGGAATGGGTTCTATGTACAGTCCAATAATATGGGCTTCTTCTCACCAAGTATGATCCAGCTAAAAGCTGCCAAATAGCTAACCTGTCATTGACAGAATAAAGTTACCTTTATCCAAAAATGAAACAAAGATAATGTTCATGGGACAGAAATAGCTTTGGAAAAACAATTGACTGAAATGCCAACTGCAAGTGACTTTTGAAATGATATTTGTTCTAAATGCGGAAAATTGAAGGCTTCCTCTACATGTGAATAAGTAAGTCTTGGCAGTATTACTTGGCAGTACTACTGCTGGAGATTTTTCTAGACCAACGCTTTATGGTTGGGCTCTGCTGGCCTTCGAACTTTGCCTTGATGGCTGTCAGATGATTTCTGACACAAGCAAATCCAAACTATCAGAGAATCATTTCACCCTGGTTCACAAAGCTGCACACCTCTAGCTGTAATCTCATGTGAATGATGGCACTGAACTTGAAAGTTTTGTATGCAAGAAGGTTAATGAGAAAATTGAAACTCCAAAAAATCTTGTTTGGAGAGCTGGTAGTGACAACACCCGATTTTGCTTTACTACAGTATACAAGCTGGATTATAGATCTTCTGCATTTGGTAGAGTAACTCATGCCAGTCTGAATGCACACGGGTATACTGAAACCTTTCCATCAGGAGTCAAAGTGATCCTGTCAGCTTAAACTGATGGGAAAAACTTCCATGCAGAAGGTTATAAGGTCGGGTTAAGATTTGAACTGGAAGCTTAATGGATTTTGAGTAAAGCATTGCATTCGACCCTGCAGGTTAAGAGAAATGAACCCACAGTATATTGGCCTTAAAATTCTGTAGTATTTCAAATGGGAAAAGTTTTTAGTCTGTAAAATAACTATAGTTCTCCCCGTAATGAAGTCTTGGGATGGCAAGTCAATTCTAGAAGACACACTTGAAAGCACACATGGCAACTGTAATATTTGTGACATGTTTCACTTCAGTTCCTCAGTGTTATTTTATATGTGTTCAAATGACAGTATAGAATCATGTTGTAAAGGAAATGACCCAATTTGCCACTTTGTACTTCATGTACTTCAGTTTTCATGATCTTTAAATATATTGTTGTTTGTACTATAGTTGAATTTAAGTTACTATATTTGAATTTAATTTTGTACCAAAATAAAATAAATACATCACATTTGGGTCACAGTTGCCCATAAAAATATAATTCAGACATGTCTTATTCTGGCCAAGATGTAGCAACAGGTACCAAAATTGCCTGTAGCCTGAAATAACTAAATACCATAAATAAATACATAAATAAATAAATAATAAAATGATACTGATCAGTCTATATGTGTGAAGAAACTTAGCTAAAGCCAACAAATGGACTGCTTGATGTGATTAAAGGGAATGATCTCTGGGAATTTCACAGGGCTGGAAGTATTTCTGTTTCAAGCAGCTAGAGATCAAAACTTCATCAAACCCATGGGGCATAGGATAAGCACCCAGAGAATTTTGCCTCAGGAGTAGGGAGAATTAGCTGCATGCTAAACACTGTTGCATTTCTAATGAAAAAATATAAAATAAAAACAAAACCCAAAAAGATAAAACTGTTTTAATGTAATATAACCATAGTGCAGAGCAACACTAACAAATTAACACCTAACAATGTACAATTTCCAATGTTTAGTATCCAATACAAAAATTATTAGGATTCAAGAAACTAGGGAAATACAATCTATAATGAGTAGAAAAATCGATTATTTGAAACTGATCCATTAAATGGAACAGATGAAAGAGTAAGCATAGAAGGATATAATGACAGTTATAATTGTATTCTATGCATTCAAGAATCTAGAAGATATGTTGAACCTGTTAAATAGATACATATGATACATGAAAGACCTAAATTCAATTTCTAGAGGTAAAATTACAATGTCTGAAATAAACAATACACTGGACCTGCTTAATGGAATATTGGGACATATTAGACATACATAGAAAAAGTTTAGTGAACTTGAAGGCACAGCAGTAGAAACTATCCCAAATGAAACCCGGAAAGAAAAGTGAATTAAAAAAAAAAAACAAAAAAACGAACAAAAACAGTGGATTGGTGAATAGCAACAATTTGAAGCACCCCAACATACATGTAATTAACATTCCCAAAGCAGAGAAGAGAGGGGGGAAGGCAGAAAAAATGTAAGAATACTTATAAAAACATTTATTTCCAATTTTAATAAATGTTATAAACCCACAGATCTAGGATGCTCAACGAATCCCAGTCACGATAAACATGAAGATCTATACCAAGTCACATAGTAATGAAATTGCTTAATACCAGTGATGAAGAGAAAAACTTGCAAGCAACAGAGGAAAATAATACACACACACACACACACACACACACACACACACACACACACTCACATACCCCACATGCCAAGGACCAAAAATTAGGATTGCACCAGATATCCTGTTGGAATCATTGCAAACCAGCAAACAGTGGAACAATATTTTTAATGTGCTGAAAGAGAAATATTTGCCAACTTAGAATTCTAGACTCATTTCAAAAATTAAGACAAAATTAAAAAGAAAAATGGACATCAAAGGTAAAATAATTCATTACCAGAAAAAAGAAATGTCAAAATCATTTTTGGGGGACAGAAGGAAAATGATACTAGATGAAAATCTGGATCCACACAAAGCAATGGAAAATGCTGGTAATTACCTAGAAAAATGAAATTGACTGTTTTCTTAATATTTAAATATTTTTGAAATAAAATAGATGAAGGACAAATAATGGAGTGTAGGGTTTATAACACAGGAAAATGTAAAATGTATGGCAACAATAGTACAAAGGTTAGGATGGAAGACATGAATTCACCCTTAGAGTCTTGGAAGGAGCATGGCCTTGCTTAATTTCATACCTCTAGCCTCCAGAACTGTGAAAGAATAAATTTCTGTTGTTTTAAGTCACTAAATTTGTGGGAATTTTTAATGGTAGCCTCAGGAAACATGGAATGCGTGTTTCAAAGTAGTGGTTAATTTTTTCCATATACGTCTCTATTTTGTCGAAAGTTTCTAAAATCATTTTGCTTATTTTTCGTTTTCTATTGTTAAAAAGTTCATTTACAAACTTTTATTCCACTTACATTTATTTAATTAACTTGTTCTTCACAATTATGCTTAGATTACTTAAAAATCTTAAATAGGATATTAGACAAAGGTCATCATCTCAAGGTATTTCCCTGTCAATTATTTTTACAGTATCTGCATGTTAGGCAAGGATCACAAAAGTAAGAATGTAGAAAGTTGAATAATTGGGGTTTTGTTTTATTGTCGTGCTTTATATACATACATCGATGGACACTGCACTTGTGCATTTGTTCTTAGGTTGAACCCATTATCTTAGGATTTTAAACGTCTAATGGAGAGAGAAATCGTGTGTTTGCCTTCTGTATAATTCTGACAACTCTGAAGGCATGACCATTTTAATTAACTAACAATATTCTTATTTATCGAAGTTTACTGAAGTAACATGAACTTGAAAAACATTTAGTTTATGTGATAGTTAATATTGTGTCAACTTGATTGGACTGAAGGATGCAAAGTATTGTTTCTGGGTGTGTCTGTGAGGGTGTTGCCAGAGGAGATTAACACTGGCGTCAATAGACTGGTAGACGAACACCCACCTTCAGTGTGGGTGCGCACCATCCAATTGGCTGCCAGTGTGGCTAGAACAAAACGGGTGGAAGAAGGTGGGATAAGCTGGCTTTCTGAGTCTTCCGGCTTTCATCTTTCTCCCATGCTGGATACTTCCTGCTCTTGAACATCAGACACCAGGTTCCTTGAGCTTTGGACTCTTGGTTTGCCTGGGGCTCTCAGGCCTTCGGCCACAGACTGAAGGCTGCACTGTCAACTTCTCTACTTTTGAGGCTTTGGGACTCAGACTGAGCTACTCCTAGCTTCCTGGCTCTTCAGCTGCAGATGGCCTATTGTGAGACTTCAACTTGTGATTGTGTGAGTCACTTCTCCTTAATAAACTCCCTTTCATATATACATGTATCCTAGTAGTTCTCTCCCTTTGGAGAACCCTGACTAATACAGATTAGTTTGCATTTTTCTTTCTTTTTAAAATCTATTTTGGCCTTTATTAAATGAGAAATAAATTTTTATAATATTTGGACCACCATACATCTGAAGTGTTTTTACAGCAGCTAGCATCATGTTAATATAAACGCTATATCTGGCCCTATTACATTGGATACCAAGTCCTTAAGTGATGCTTCTTTTTTTTTGGTGTTTTTAAGTTTTTATCTTTTTCAACTTTTTTTTTAGATTCAGCAGGGTACATAAGTGACATTTATGCGGATTCAATTATGGTAAATATAGCATGCTAGGGTGATTTCATTTTACCTGCGGGGGATTGTGGAACGTTGCAGATTCAGAAATACTAACTAATAGTGCAAGCAAGGCAATCTCAAACTGTTCTGGAGATTAACACAATTCTTAGGGAATTCATGTAGCTCTCTAAGTAATATCAGAGTCCAGCAATCAAACAATAGTTTACCCTGCAATAAAGAGCACAAAGGCAGACGATTCAAGAGCAAATGAAACTTGAAGTATCTGGGGAAAGAGACTAGAAACTGTATACTTACCTGGGCTTTGATATGACAAGCTTTTTTCTTTGCTTCAAGAATGATTTAGAGTCACTTTACTCAAGCCTGAGAGAATCTCAAAAATAAACTTTAGAGATTAAGAATAGGTGGATAAAAGAAAAAGCAGAATCTAGTTTCAGCTAGTTTAAATTACCTTATACTTTGTTCTAAATTACTTATCTAATATTTAAATAAGTGGTTTAGGCTGGGGGCGGTGGCTCATGCCTGTAATCCCAGCACTTTGGGAGGCCGAGGCTGGTGGATCACGAGGTCAGGAGATCAAGACCATCCTGGCCAACACGGTGAGACCCCTCCTCTACTAAAAATACAAAAATTTAGCTGGGTGTGGTGATGCGTGCCTCTAGTCCCAGCTACTTGGAAGGGTGAGGCAGGAGAATCGTTTGAACCCTGGAGGCAGAGGTTGCAGTGAGCCAAGATGGGGCCACTGCATTCCAGTCTGGCGACAGAGCAAGACTCCGTTTCAAAAAAATAAATTAATTAATAAGTGGCTTAATAGTCTAAATGTTTTGCTTTGCTATTCTAACACAAAATTCCACTTGTATGGGAAACATCTAAATAGGATGGAAAGATTTGAAACATGAAACAAAACCCAAGGCATCTCCATGAATCTGTTGACTGAAAACCAAAATCCGGATCAACACATCTACAAGGTAATAGCCTCTGGAGCACTGGCTTTACACATTCAAGTCTGTTGTTGGTAAATATTACAACCAACTCCAAGTAGTTTATAAACTAAGAAATATAAAATGCAGTCATTGTCCTCTGGGAAAAAAAAATCTAGGAACACTGGGAATTGAGTTTTCTGCATGACTTTGATACATTGCATATTAATGTGATTTTGATAAGGAATTTCAGGAAAGAAAAAAATTACAGGCCACTTTGTTAACCTGGCATTCATTTACCTCATGAAAAATTCATGAAATTATAATACGCAAGTAAATTCTAAGTAACTCTTAGATTAATTTAAGTTGATTAATCCTAGATTCACTCAATTCTAAAATCTTTTCACGTGAAATATGTCTCATATACATGTCATATTCTCTTCCATATTAAGCTAAATTACTTTAATTTATGTAAATCCAGATGTGTTTGAAGTGTGATTGAGGCCATATATTTTAATTCAGAGGATGATTTTTGGCACTTAGTCCTATGTAAGATATTTTCTGATGTGCCAGGTAAAGGATACATGATGAGAAAATTTCAATTATGTCCATTTCTCCCTATTGAATTTTATCTTCACATTCCATTTATTAGCACAGGCATTGAATGGAAATGAATTTCAGAAAATAATTAAATATTTTATTTCACGTCAGCTTTTCATATCACGCTTCCTCCTTGTTGACAATAGTCTTCAGATGCAAATGTGCATGTGTAATCCAGAAATTAGCTGTCATCACTACCTGTAAAGGTTTAGATCACATTATTTACGTTACTTTCTCTACATTTCTGAGAAATCTCAGGAGGACTTTGCATCATCGTGGTCCCTTCTGGCTCTATTTTCCTGCTTCTGCTTAACTTGCTTAGGTAATAGATTATCTTGCTTTTCTCCATCTGCAGTTTCTATTTGGCCTCACATGGACCCAGATGTGGAACTGGGACCATTTTTTAAATGTTCACAAAAATAACCTTTCCCATTTAATGTTTGCAATTACTTTTGCACCAACCAATAAGTGTGAATTGCCTCATGCAGGATTCAGCTGAGGGGAGGAGGCAGGGGTCACATCTTTCAAACACTAACATCTTTGTAATGAAAGTTGAGCATCCTGTCCCTCAGCAAGCGGGTATTTGTTTCTTTCTGTCTGCGAAATGCCCTTTAACAAGTTTTTGTCTGCCCTTTATCATATCTCTCTTCTCCACATTCTTCAGCCCTTCTCACACAACCAAGTAAAAGGTTGCATTTTCATATTTGGACCCAGGGAATGGCTTGAGATGTTCTAAGTTTAGGAGGTTTGTAAAGTCATTAGACTGGCATAAACATAAATGATGACAGAAGAAAATCCAGCACTTCAATATATGGAAGACAGGAGCCAGCAACGGAGACAGAAAAAGTAAACATGGACGTAAAATGAAACCTAGTAAAGTATGAAATCACAAAATTCAGTGGAAGGAAAAATGCAAATAAGAAGGAAGTGATAACAGTATCAAATGGCAGCAGTGGATTGCATAAGAAGAGAACTGAGAATTGATAATTCGATATGAAAAAAAGGTCATTGATAACCTTGTCACAACCAGTTTTAATAAAATGTTTTAAATACAATTTTAGGATTAGATTTAGGAGAAATTTGGAGGTGAGAAACTGGAGATAAAAAGGTTTGTTGTAATAAAGTTCTTCATTAGGAAAAGTTTAACTAAAGAATGATATAGTGTCTGGGAGACCCTGTAAGATGGTAATAATTTCAGGATGATGGTAGGCTGATGGTAATGGTAGATCAGTCAAGGAAAATGTATGATGCAAATGAAAGAATTAGAAGAGAAAAAGATGTGTGCTATAGCTCAGACTCTGTGGAGGGGTTGGTTTTAGATAGAAACAGAGAAAGTTTATCTGTTTTGACCAGAATGAAAGGCAAAATGTAGTGATAGATATAGACAAGTCTATGGACTGTGACATGGGATATTTCCTGTTTGATCACTTAACATTTTCTCAGTGAAAAAATACAAAAATTTTTCTTTTGAGATTGGAGATGGGAGATGAAATGATTCTCAAATAGCTTGCTCTGGTAGAAATTGTTAGCTGTAAAGTGTGTAGTAGCAACTTATCTGTATGACACCCTCAACAGTGTTAGGTATTTAAAATGATTTTTCAAAACTGTATCTCATTGTCAATTAAATTTGCATGTTTTTGATAATCTGCAAGTGAACTCTCTTTTTTTAAATTACATATCCTCATTTAACAAAATCAATATGGAGCACTAGAAGTAGGAAATGACTAATTTAATCCAAGATATTCTCAAGAAATTTGTATTTGTTTTAGGTTCTTTGCATTATTGGTAACTGTGTCTGCTGTGCTTTGGAATAAGGTCCAAGATTTGAAAATGACTTTGGAACTCTCTCAAGAAATCCCTTATCCAAGAAATACGGATAAATAGCCATGTGGAGATGATCAACATCAGGAGTATGGTTGTACAACCAGAGCTGATGAATAAACTTTTAGGTATTCCTAGTTTTCTTTTTCAATAATATAAATACATTTTAAACAATTTATGTGTGCTTCCATCTCTACTCCATATACTTACAGAACTAATATAAAGATATTTAGCTACACAGCCAAATGCCAAAGTCATAACTAGTTTATCCATCTAATTGTTAGTGGACATGGAATTCATTTTCCTCTAATTTTGTTGTTGTTGTTATTGTTGCTCTATTTAAATTATGAGACAGAAATCAGTGGAAGTGTAATTAAAGCTGAATAAATGTACAGGTTTCTTTCTACTCCATCACTATTTACTGGTTCAATAATGGATTTGCATGGTGTTTAAAAAATCAATTCCCTGAGGACAAGGTTATAAAATTTAGATTGAGCGAACACTATCAGAGGTCAAATTTCTCATAGTTAGGTGGTTAGCTGAGGTGTATGTTGGCAAAATAACATCTGTAAGTATGAAATTAAGTATTCTTTGCCAGAGATAATATTGCTCAAAGTAGCTTTGCCAAAATATTTTTGGAATTAAAGGTGTGTTCTCATCAAAGATGTGGTTACTTAGGTTTATAAACATTACAATTCAAGATTTCAAGGTTCAACTGTGGTTTATCTACTGCATACCTACCTCTACCATGAGGGATAAGTTTAACCTGTGCACTGGGTTAAAGGGATGTAAATGAAATAACTCTAGGAATATTGTCAACTTTTTTAGACATGCATTACTAATGAATCTATTCTTCTTTAATAAACCAGAACTAAGATAATTTTCCATAACAATTTTCTCTTTAAAGCAGAATACACAGATGTTCATTATGTACATGTAGGTGTACGTGTATATAGATAGATGTAGATGTAGATAGTTACAGATATATAGATAGATGTGGTCCTACTCCCCAAAGTAGTCTTAGAGCTTTTACTTGGGAGTTCATGTTATTGATTAACAAAATTTTAAATTTAATATCTTGCTAGATTTGCAACCTTCAAGTCTCAATGAACTCCTTTCCATTTTGACTCTCATATTGAGTCCATTTTCAAGCTCTATCAATTAATCTTTCCTTTTCCTAATCATTTACATTTATTTGTTCCTACCTATTTTCTTACCCCATCTTGGTTTAGATCATTTCCTCCTTACCCTTGGATTATTGAAATAGTCTCCTTTTCTCTCCTCTTTGTCACACAAACTTATTTTCCCAAATTGATGGTTAGGTGAGCCATATGGCTGATCAGCAGCCATTGAAATGTAAGGAGCAGTAATGTCCGTTACCCCAGCTCATATCCTCTATATGCTTTGTTGTAATGTATGGGTTCTCTGAGACGGAAAAAGTATTTGACAAACTCATCTTTGAATATAAAACTTCATGATGATCAATGGTAACTCATTTTGACTATCTCATCAAAAGCATGTCTTATCAACTTTTGTTGTTTTTTCCTCCCAAACAATTCTCAAGGTAAATTATTTTTCTTCGTATTTTTCCATATTAATCTCATCCCAGATTATATCTGAGGCAGAAGGTGGGGAGCAAAAAACCACAATGCTTTCAGAATGTGATTTCCCAGATATATAATAGCAGCTCTGAGACAAAATCAGATTGTGGCGTTTGTCTACATACAGAGTAACAGAGTTCTTAGATTCATATCTTGGAAGTAGAGTATAAATAACATGTATGACACAGAGTTAGATGTTTCAAATACAATTATTAGGTAAATAATTAGCTGATTTTTTCTCATGGGTTCATGCAAAAGTGGACCAATTCTACTCTAAAGGCTCTCCTGCCATATTTGTAAATAAAGCCATAAAAACCAGTCTCTCTGTTCTTTGGTAGCCATTAATACTGTTTCAAAAGGAGATGGGTTTATTTCTTTTTGGAGTGGAGTAAGTTCCCTCCATCACCTTCCGTGACTCCTCTATCTTGTCTTCCTCACAATCCTACTCTCCTTTATAAAAGGGGATCCCAAATTGTCATTTGTTCCAGACAGTTTTGGAACATTTTTGTAGAGACAGGGTCTCGCTATGTTGCCCAAGCTGGTCTCGAACTCCTGGGCTCAAGTGATCCTGCCTTGTCTCATAACTTTTGATATGTATTTCTTTGTTAAACTTTAAACATCTCTGGGAAACAATATAAAATTTATTTTCACTCTATTTTGTAAAAGTATGTTGAGGTCTCATAAATTTTAAATGACTTCTCAAGTGATGCAAATGGCATTTTCTCTCTGCTATCTTCCTCCTGAAAACATATAACCCCTGTCTAATCATTAAACAACATGAGACAAACCCCAATTGAGGGACAGTCTACAAAATATCTGCCCAGAACACTTCAAAACTGTCAAGGTCATCAAAAACAAAGGAAGTCTGAGAAACCGTCATAGCCAAGAGGAGCCTACGGAGATGTGACGACCAAACATAATACGCTATCCTAAATGTGATCCCAAAACAGAAAAAGCACATTAGGCAAAAACTAAAGAAGTCAGAATAAAATATAAACTTTAATAATAATGTATCAGCGTTGGTCCATTAATTGTGACAAATGTACCGTATCAATGTAAGATTTTAGTAATAGAGTAAACTTGGTGTGGGCTTCATGGGAACTCTCTATGTTGTCTTCACAATTATTCTGTAAGTGTAAAACTGTTCTAAAACTAAAAGTTTATTTTAAACAATTAAAAGATTGGTTACTTTAAATTCAAAATTTAAGTCCAATGTATCTGTAAATTCCATATTTTTCTGCTATATTATGTTGTTTCATTTCTTTTGCTACTGAAAAGGAATTTTTTATTGTTGTTAAGTTTAATTTATTGTGAATGGAGAAACAGGACTGAAGTGAACAATCACACAGATTAAATTATAAAGTCAGAGTACATAAATTGTACTCAATTTATGTACTTCACCCAATTATCATAAGTTTTTACATTAGGCTTTATCTCCATTAAAAAATTAATATAAACATCTATGCATTTGGTTATCGTAGGTTAACATTAGTTGAGGGTCAACTCTTTGTCAGTCACTGAACCATTTACATATATTATTGCTGGTATTCTTCATAACAAAAATATAAATTATGCACTAGTATCATTTCCGTAATACAGAGAAGGAAAATGAGACAGGAGAGGTTATTTAACTTGCTTAAATCTATGCAATCAGTTAGTGGTACAGCCAGGTTTAAGAGAAACAAGAATTGGTCCTCCAGCATCACATATGTCCTCGTTTAGTTACTGTGAGATTACTTTATAGATTGAGCTTTCAGTAAATAATCCTTATGGAAAAAGAATCATTAAATCAATGCGATAGTAAATTCTTTTCATGGAAAAAAGAATCATGAAATCTACAATTCTAGAAAAATTGCTCTTCAGGTGCAGCTAAATGGCTATGTTTGTGTCATAGTATGTGACTATTGTAACCTTACTATAAACTTATTTGTGGTTGTTAAAAACATAGTCTATAATATAGCATGTGTAATTGCTCATTAATAACGTGGCTAATGTATGAATTAAAAAATACCTTAAATAACTTTAAAATTAGAGCAATATATTTTCATGACTTTAATTAACAAGGAACTATATTTAATTTTGCACTCTTTCTCTCTATAAACACACGCACATACACACAGAGAGAGAGAGTGAGTGATTTACTTCTAATTCTGATGTGCACAGACAGCATATGTTTTGTTTTTTACCAAATTGGTATGAGGAATTGATACTATCATCATTTTTAGATGTGTCCACTTAAGTTTCCAAGATCAAAACATTAGAAACACACATAGAATATTCACCTAATGTACCCTGTCCATTTTATGCAGATTCCTAAAATTAAAAAAAACCTTAATACTTCCTTTAGCAACATTTCTTTTGAAAAAGAAGATAAAAGTAATAATTTGCTGTATAGTTACTCATATTCAAATAGAAATAGCAGTGTTTAATAGCATTATGCATAAACTGATAAATAGAAGCACAAAGAAGACCCACTTCTAATTATGCTCAAAAGGTTATATAACTTTTCTTTAAAATAGCTCCGTGCATGAGTGATTAAAAAAGCAGTGTCCGGCCAGGCATGCTGGCTCACACCTGTAATCCCAGAACTATGGGAGGCAGAGGTGGGCGAATCACCAGACTTCAGGAGTTTAAGAGCAGTCTGGCCATCATGGTGAAACCCCGTCTCTACTAAAAATACAAAACTTAGCTGAACATGGTGGCATGACCCTGTAATCCCAGTTACTTGGGAGGCTGAGGCAAGAGAATCTCTTGAACCTGGGAGGTGGAGGTTGCAGCGGGCCGAGATCACGCCATTGGACTCCAGCCTGGGCGACACAGTGAGACTCTGTCTCAAAAAAAAAAGCAAAAAAAAAAAAGCAGTGTCCTTAAATAGAATGACAAAGATTGGTGAGTGGCACCACTTTGTTGGGGGGGTGGGGAGGCTGAAATATGTTAAGCAAAAGGTGACACAATTTCAGATACTTGATTTTACCACGATCTTTATCCATGTGGCTACATGGCCGTCAAAAATACATACTTATTAGTAAAACTGGACCATTTCCTTCTGGAAGCTGATGTCTATTGGAGAATGCATCTATTATACTTATGTATTCAGAAACACTGCAGACTCTTTTCCAAGCAGATTTACATTGATCTGCCTTAATATTCTATACATTACTTTTTAGTCAAAACTATATTTCAACTGGCTTCTATCACTTCTCAACTAAGTGAAATTAGTTTTTTGGTCTTTTTTTTCCACCTGTATACCATTATCAACTAGCATAGTGTTCAATATAATAACGACTCAGTAAGAATTTATAGGATTAACTCACTAATTAAACTGACCAGCTGGGCGCGGTGGCTCAAGCCTGAATCCCAGCACTTTGGGAGGCAGATGCTGGTGAATCACTCGAGGCCAGGAGTTTGAAAGTAGCCTGGCCAACATGGTGAAACCCCGTCCCTACTAAAAATACAAAAATCAGCCAGCATGGTGCTGCGCACCTGTAGTCCCAGCTACTCGGGAGGCTGATGCAGGAGAATCGCTTGAACCTGGGAGGCAGAAGTTGCAGTGAGCCAAGATTGCGCCACTGCACTCCAGCCTCGGCAACAGAGCAAGACTCTGTCACAAAAAATAAAAATAAAAAATAAACTGAGCATTCATTATAGAATTCCAACTATAAAGTAGGCTCTTGATGGATAGTTGAAAATTAACTTATTAAGATGTTTACTTTTATGTGAGTGAATATTTGCATAGTATGTAGAACAGTTTAACTTTTATGTTACCTTTACTGTTATACAGATCACATCCTTTTGCATGCTATGGTCTAAAGAGAACTCTAATGTAAAATTATGTAAAACTCCATTGATGTTTTTATGTTTTTTTCATTTTGTTTTGTTTTTATTTTTTCAAGACAGGGTCTCACTCTGTTGCCTAGGCTAGATTGCAGGGGTGCGATCATAGCTCAACGCAGCCTCGATCTCCCCAGACTCAAGCAATCCTCCCACCTCAGTCTCCCAAGTAGCTAGGACCACAGGCGCATGCCACCACGCCTGGGTATTTTTTGTATTTTTTGTAGAGAGGGGGTTTTGCCATGGTGCCTAGCCTGGTCTTGAACTGAAGACTTGGTCTCAAGCTATCTTCCTGCCTTAGCCTCTCAAAGTGCTGGTCTTACAGCCATGAGCCACCACACCTGGCCTAATGTATGGTTTTTACAGAATTAGCTGGACATATTACTGTCTTATGTACCTTGAAACATGCTCTCTCTATGGTAAAACAATTGAGTTTGGAGATGACTTCCAGATATTCTTGACTTTTTTAATGCTCTTCTGCCCTGTTGAACTATCTTACTTTTTCATAAACTGTTCATTTATACAACAGGTGAAGTAACAGCTAGTAGAATTCTGCAGTAGAATATTTTTGTCCTACATATTTACAGATAGTGCCCAGATGGCAGATGAGTTACCATAGGCTAGAAACAAAGAAAGCAAAATAAAACAATGGTAGGCGAGGGGGAGAGACAAAAAAAGGAGAGTGAGAAAGAGGAGAAAGAGCAAAAGAGAGGAGGGAAGAGGAAGAAACAGAAAAGGAGGGGAGGAAAAGGGAGGAGAGGAGAGAGAGAGAGAAGAAAGAAAAAAAAGAGGACTGGGCCGGGCATGGTGGCTCATGAGGCTTATGACTATAATCCCAGCACTTTGGGAAGCCGAGGTGGGCTGATCACCTGAGGTCGGGAGTTTGAGAGCAGTCTGACCAGCATGGAGAAAACCTGTCTCTACTAAAAATACAAAATTAGCCGGGAGTGGTGGCACATGCCTGTAATCCCAGCTACTGGGGAGGCTGAGGCAGGAGAATCGCTTGAACCCGGGAGGCGGAGGTTGTGGTGAGCCAAGATTGCACCACTGCTCTCCAGCCTGGACAACAAGAGCAAAACTTTCTCTCAAAAAAAAAAAAAAAAAAAAAAAAGACTGTAAAGTATTTTCAGTTGAACTAGAGACAGTGTCTCCACTACAAACAAAGAAGGGCCGATCCAGTCCAACAGAATATAGGTTTCTTTTCTCCATCTCTTTTAAGGAAACTTTCAAATCGGCACAAAAATTAGAACTAGAGCTGAACAGCCATTTAGGGAGATGAGGGCATCTCATCTTGTTTATAAGAAATACCTGACCCAGAATTTCTCCTACATAGGCCAAGCCTCCACTTTGCCTTTGCCATTATTATTATTACTATTATTTGAGACAGAGTCTGGCTCTGTTGCCCAGGCTGGAGTGCAGTGGCACGATCTTGGCTCACTGCAAGCTCCGCCTCCCGGGTTCACGCCATTCTCCTGCCTCAGCCTCCCGAGTAGCTGGGACTACAGGTGCCCGCCACCACACCCAGCTAATTTTTTTGTATTTTTAGTAGAGTCGGGGTTTCACCATGTTAGCCAGGATGGTCTCGATCTCCTGACCTCCTGATCCACCATCCTCGGCCTCCCAAAGTGCTGGGATTCCAAGCGTGAGCCACTGCACCTGGTCGACATTCTTAAAAAAATGTGGAGATAACAACGTTCAGTAAGGGTATATGTTGAAAGTGAAGAAGTATTACTCTTGTTAGAATAAAATTGGTACGTGATTTAAGACGGGTGAATGTTCTCATGCACTCCAAGTTTCATACTACTGTATCAGAGGTATATGAAATTGATGACAGAGACCTGAAATATATGTACTTTTTAATGCTTTCATTTGTTAAATATCCTCTTGTTTTAGTTTCTTCTAAGAAATTTGTTGGGAAATAGGGATACAAATGTGAATAAGACAGTGTTTTGCCTTCCAAAGCTGTGGTTGAGTGGGGGAAATGCAGACTGCCAAACACACCAAGATTCATCTCGTATTAAATGGTATAGAAAGAGAAACAGGATGATATGAAAACACGTAGAACTGACATTTGTCATTCAGGATATCTGATTGACATTAATCACTTGAAAGGCTTTTGGAGGAAGAGCCACCTGAAATGCGTCCTAGGGACTAAGGAGGAATTAGCCAGGGAGGAGGAAGAGCTTTTAGGCTGAGATAAAATATGTGTAATAGGATCAAAAAGTGGAGATATTTCATCATGGCTGAGAATTAATGGTGACACGATTGGTATGTTATGTTAAAGAACATTTACTTAATGTTTTATAATGTGAATACTATTTAGTGCTGTAGTATATTTATATATGCATTTTAAAGCAATCAGTATTTCATAAGAGTAGATGTTTTCTGAAAGAGATTAAGAGCAGACATAGCAATATGAATTTGTTATTTGTGGTGATTAAGGTTACAAAAGGTTAGTGGCCTGAATGAGATAGCTTCTTATCAAATGGAAGAAGTGAAAATGGGGAAGGCAGTGAGAAAGAGAAATAAAGTATAACTCCAGATAAAGACTATCAAGAAGATAGATGGTAGCACCAGGACTGTCCAAAGTAGACGTGAAAACCCAGATGATGGTTTCTTTTTTAGGCATATTCAGCTTGATTGGTAAAAATATTTAATGTGTAATTGAATTAATATCTGTGGCACTTAGGAATGAGAATGAGGCTCATATTAATTTGAGTCACCAAAATACATGAGACAGTTTAAGCAATGGAAATGGATGGAGTCACGCAGTTAGAGATGCTGGAGTATTGAAATTATAAGGGGTGGCTCAAGAAGAGGAACTACTAACAGAGAACAAAATGGAGTGGCTGGAGAGATAAGAAGAAACCAGAAATAAGATATTATGAAGTGCAAAAACAGCATGTTCAAGGATAAGTAAAACAAGACTGCAGAGGATCTTTATTTAGGAATAAATCTGTTATTAGAAATATTGGCAAAAACATTTTCAGAGCAATGCTAGAAAAAATGGTGTAAAAACGAGTCTGGACTAATATTATTAATTGTAAAGAGAAATAAGGAAATAGCTGAGAATATATTGAGTTGAGGAGTGTTGTTTCATTTTCTTGTGTACTTTGCATAATATTTTTATGGTAAAAGTTACTTGTATATGTTTAAAAGCTATTGTAAAGGAGCCAGTAGAAAAGGATAGGATGAAGATACAGGAGAGAGAAGATCAACAGTAAGATCTAGGAGGTGAAGGCAGATACTAACGTATCCAGGGGACAAGATGCAGGATTTGTATCTCATTATCATGAGAGAGAAACAACAAAAGAAGAGTAAAACCTCAGATTCTCTGAGAGGTGGATTCATAAGGCTGTTTCTATACATCTTCTTAGTGTTGCTGTGCCTTGCTCCAATATGACTGTATAGAGAAAGCATAATGTTTTTGTTATGTTTTTTAACTACCATTATACTGATCTGCCTCCAGAGTCTATACACAGCTGTTATCTGAAAAATAAACTCAGTACCTAATCCTGTGAAAGCTTAGCCAGAATCACACAATTCCAACAATCCCTCCAGTTTTTCTTGTATAAAATTACTCAGGCCTCGTCATTGCTGACATGCTTCTGATTATAGATATCTAAATGAATTCCTGAAGGAGTATAAGGACTTTCTCTCCTGTGGCTGTCTCCCGCTGATCCTTTAGTCTAAGAAGTTTGTTCTTCGTCGGTCCATTCCTGCAATCAGTGTTGGCCTCTGATGCACAAGTCTGTGGTGAATGAATTCATAGAGTATTCTTTTTGTGCAAGCAATCTAGGAAGTACTCGGCATTTCTCTTTTGCTGATGGGGTTTCTTCTTAGTTCTTGCTGGCTGCCCATCTCCACCCTCTGCTGTGAGACCTTCCCTTAGAAGCCATAAAGCAGTTCTTTAGTCTCAAATCAGAGTCCACATCTCCTAACAACAGTGAGCAGCTTAGGTAAAGCTACATGACTTACATCCTGTTTATTTATTTATTTATTCATTATTCTTTCATCTATTTATTTTTTTCTTGGTCCGACCAAGTTTGCCAAATTGTTATGTGCCAGGTTAGTAAAGAAGTTTTTTTTTTTTTTTTCTTTCAGAACCCAGCAATAGATTGAAGTCCTTTTGCTTTGCAATAAATGTTATCCTCACTTGTTTAACACATCTTCCCACTAAGGAGCTTCAAAGACCCAAAGAAAGTGAGCAGATTTATTTTCCCCTCATTCTCTCTGTTCCCTATTGTAACTATCCTCCAGGGCTAGAAAAGGAGCAAGACTAGGTTTACTAAATCCTCCCCTCTAATTCTATCTAAGCCTTAATTAAGTGAGCTGAGATATCCTTTTCATCCTGTGAATAAACTCTAGGAAATGGCTCCTCTGGCCTTGAGCTGGATATGAGAAACAAGAAAAGCAAAAGGAATTAGCTAATCTTTTCTACTGCCTTGCCAAGAGATCTAGTACCAGCCTTCTCCCTGACTGGATAGATGTTGGAATGACATACAGTTTAATAAAGAAATTAATACCAGCCTTCTCCCTGACTGGATAGATGTTGCAATGACATACAGTTTAATAAAGAAATTAATACACGACAGGTTTTGAAGGAGACATTCCAAGAAAGAAGAACGTATTACCCTATTGATTGAGGTGAATATTCAAAGCCAGCAATAACCAGGAGCATGGGTGAAGTATAAGCCGCAACAGGCATCCCATCAGCCTGTCAACAGAAAGTTCAGGGCACAGCAACACTGAAGACACAAGGACCAACAATGGCATAAGCCATATCTTCAACAGAAAATCAGGTGCAACAGACTGATAACAGAGTGTCATGGCCTTGAGAATAAACCCTATCTAGTTCGTTTCCTGAAGAGAAAGGAGAGTGAGGCAACCAACTGGAAGAGGTGGTAGGATCAGCAGCCCAGCATGATGAGTAAGCATGTCTTGAGAATTTTCAAAACATTTACAAAATGGTTCTTAGCCTTGACTACACCTTAGTGCCACCTTGGAGCACTTTCAATGATCCAGGTGCCCAGGCAGTGCCCTATGACATCAGAATCTCTGGTTATAAGACTCATAGTTTTAAAACTCCCTAGGTGATTCCAATGTACAGCCAAGTTTGAGAACCACTGCACCAGAGGAAGAAAGCTAAACAGAGACTGGAAATTCTGCTTTTATGAAATTGAGGGCTATTATACTATCATAATCTCTTTTTAACGTGGACACAATTTTTTTACAAACTATAAGATATTATACTATGGTTATTATTTCTCTAAAGTTTATGTGTAAGAGGTATAAGGGGCTTTTGCTTAGGTTGTCCAGTATTTCTCCAGACCTGTGGATCTCTTTCATATTATTTTCCAGACTACTCCAGTGAGGATAGAGAAATGAGAAAATTTTGGCTAAAAAATAACAAAAATGGATCTGAAAAATTAAATTACAAGCTAGAGGCTACATGGATCTTAAAAGAGTTGTTGGTGTTTTGTTTTGTTTTTGTAGAACTCACAACTAAACTTTTCACCTCCATCAATTAAAAGAAAAAAAATCTCTTTCCATTTGCAAACAACCAAAGCTCTAAGCTCTGGGTTTATGAAAATTGAATTATGTGTAATACTGTTCCAGCTATCAATTAGACAAGAAGTCATCATTAAGAAGTTCTGCGAAAAAAAATCACTCACATTTGCAAATCAACCGAGTATTTCATTGCAAACGTAAATGGGAAAGTGTTTGCTTAATTAATGTTTTCTCCAAGGGAACTAGAAAACTCTATTATCTGATTTTCAACACAGGCCCAAGCATTGTTTATCATTGTATACTGTCCCTTTAAAAATGGCATTTTTCTAATGCTAAAATGATGTTAGCTTGTGTATTAATTCAGATATTTCACTGGTGATGTCAGCCTGACAGCATGCATGGTGAGAAAGCATTACACACTGCCTAATGGGAATGTAATCCTGGAGGAGATAGATAGACATAAATTGCACTTTTGGGTCCATGACAACCATCACTAGGAAAATGGATATTATTAACAAATTTTGGAAAGGTTAGTAAGCCTTGTGTGTGTAAGAATATTTAAAAGACATGATAAAACGCAGGTACTGGATACAAAATAAGAGATGCAAAGAACAGGGAAGACCTTTGGTAGAGTGTATTGGCAAGCAAGCATCTGGTTTTAACATCCAGGGATAATATTTTGCAACAGATCACAGTAAAACATATAAAACCTTTAAAGCCTCCCAACAAAATCTTTCAGACTTTTCTGCCAACTCCCACTCAGAATTACAGAGTATTTTGACCTAGATGGGATTTTTAGATATCAGGAAATATTATATTGGAATAATACCTACTCTCCTTCAGTTGCACTTTTGCCAGTTACTTGCTATCAGATATTGGACAAATTATTTAAACTATCTGACTGCACTAAGGTTGTGACGATTAAACAAATAACATGTCTTACTCATAGATGATGCTCCAGAAATGTTAGTTGAGTAATTCACAGATTAAGATTTGAGTGACTACTTTTTGGCAACACAACTAGCCATTGGCAGAACTGGGACCAGAACCACAGACTTCTGGCTCCTTTAAAATATTTTCAGTTTTCCTCCTCTCTTCTAAAAATCAGAGGCAATGTTATGATTCTTAAGGTTTCTTAGAATTTGTCACAAGACTCCCAAACTCTTTGGAAGGAAAGAGACCACTAAGTGACTTTTACATAAGATGCCTGCTGATACCAGTATAGATAATTCTCAAATTCTTTAAAATTAGAGCTTTGAAGTCATGAAGGAATATTTTGAATCCTTAACCAATGTGGTTTTAATTTTGAATTTTTCCCCACATAACCCTTCTCCTCATTTCAGGGAGACATAGTATTTTAGTTTCACTGCCTCAAGAAAGGAAAGATACAGCAAAAAAGAAAAGAAATAAATAAAACAATGAGAAATAAGTAAGGACTCATGTTGTGGATTTCAAAATCTACTTTTGAATTCAAGGGAGCCCCAACTACCTTAAGACAAAAGACTTAAATTGCATGGTAAGGGTTTTTTTCAGCATTAAGAGTTAAATTCCTGACTTAAAATAACTAACAGAGAAAAATACATAACTTTAGAATTAATTTTCCTTACCTGGTAAATCTCGATAAAGCACCACAGAAGTTACAAGATACAGTAAGAAAAGAAAGATAGCCATGGACCAGTGTCCTCTTGAATTAGAGATTATTCTGACTGCACTCCTGGGTAGAGTGACAGAGCATCCAGCTTTCTGATTGGAATACTTTAAACATTTAGAACACTCCCAAAACCATGACCCTGTGAATACATAGTGATGTTTACGTGAGTTATTTGGCTGATGGACACGAGGCCCAGAGGCCCTGTAAACCTCAATAGGTTCTAGGAGTGAGCAGACAAGTCATTTTATACCACATGTATTGCACATGAGTGGCACAGTCGGGACTTAGAGAACCAGCAGTCTGCAGAGGGAGGGATGAGGAAGCCGCTGTGGAATGCGTCACATTACCTTCCAAATATAATACAATAGCTTCAGCTTGTGCTGATGTGGAGGCTTATATGGAAGGAGTAGACAGCAGGAGAGCCTGCCGAGCACAGAGATTCCAAGCTGAAGTTCCAGAGTTCCAGTATTGCGTTCAAACTCCAGCTCTGTTTCTTAAGTGCTGCATAAACCTGGCCCAGTTTTTAAACTCTGTGCATCAGTTTTCCTATCTATAAAATGCACATTGTAATAATAGTACTTACTTCACGGGCTGTTATGAAGGCTGGGTGAATTCAGATATGTAAAGGACCTAGCATAGGGTTATATGAGTGTTTCATATATGTTAGCTATTTTTATTCTTAATGGTCATCTCAGCAGATGCTAGCTATGGATAGATGTAATGCAAGGACTAGATTCTTGCAGCTTGCTTTTACCACGTTCCATTAGACTGCTTTTATTCCCTTACATTTAGAATCTATGCCACAGTGGGGCAGTGGGGATAGGAATAGGAAGGAGCCCTAAGCTTACTAAAATAGGAAAAATTTGAAGGGACCCTATCTGCTAAGGTTCAGTTTTCTGCTATGAGGTACAATTATAAATTAAATTCAGTGTATACAAACACACACACACACACACACATACACACATACACTTTCATTTCATAAACATCTAAGTAATCTAAGTGTATGGTCTATGAAATTCATACCATCCAAAACTGAAAGTTTTTAACTGAAAATTCCTCTTAAGTATGACAGGAAGACGTTTATATCAATCGGTAACAAATGTCTTCCTGTCATACTTAAAAGGAATTTTAGGCATCTGATTACACACACACAGACACACAGACACACACACACACACACACACACACACACACACACACTTATAAATTTGCAATTTGGCCAGGCACGGTGGCTCACGCCTGTAACCCCAGCACTTTGGGAGACCAAGGCAGGTGGATCACTTCAGGTCTGGAGTTCGTGACTAGCCTGGCCAACATGGCGAAACCCCATCTCTACTAAAAATACAAAAATTAGCTGGACGTGGTGGCTCGCAACTGTAGTCCTAGCTACTCGGGAGGCTGAGGTAGGAGAATCGCTTGAACCTGAGGGGCGGAGGTTGCAGTGAGCCAAGATTGCACCACTGGACTCCAGCCTGGCAACAGAGTGAGACTTTGTCTCAAAAAAAAAAAGAAAAAAAATTTACAATTTGATGTTTTTATAGCAAAGATAATTAAGTATTTTGCTAAGTAATTAAATAATAAAGTAGTAGTATAGATTTGGAGCCAGGATTTTCTCAATATTATTGTTTATAAAATAATCTGTTTCATAACCATTTTAATGGACTAGCAGTTAATAGTAAATGACCATTGTCTGTCCATTGGTAACTCAACAGAGAGTAAGGTCACATTTGATTTATCTTGCCATGAATTTTATCATTACTTTTGATTCTGATTAAATAAAAGCAAAAGAATACTAATGGACAAGAAATTGAAATGTGTTAATCCAGAAAGACTATACACAGAAATATCAGAAATTAGTTATGTTTTGCTAAGCATGCTTACCATTTTAAGAATCTAATATTTTAACTGGAAAAGTCCTGAGACTTTCAGACTAAATAAAGCAGTATAGAAAATGTCAAGTTGCCTTTATTCTTTATGAGTGGAAAGTGTGAGTGCATCTATTCATTTGTGTGTCTAACAGCAATTCTGTGAACACCTTAACTACAAAGACAGATGTCAGTGCTTGAAAGCTTGGCTTTGAGACTATGAAGATTATTGCTTTCTGAGGCATTCAAAGTGGAAAAGAAATTATGTTCACCAAAACTCAGAAAATGAAGCCATTTTAAAGAAAGGAAGGTGGAGAAACAAAACATATGTTTCATATGTTTAATTTAAACTTGTCATTTGTCTACCAAATAATCCTCTCTTTTCATTCCCCTTCTTTATCTCTTTCCTCCTTTTCCTTCCCTTTCCCAGCAGCCTGACTTTAGACTCTATCTGTGCGAACAGCTACACTATACTACATTAAGATGGAAGGCTTTAAAGGGCAAATCACTTCTATGTTACCTATGAAGAATTTTACAGCTCTAGTTCATCCTACAACCAGACATGAGAAAGGGAATATGATGTAAAAAATCAAGTCACTTTTATTTTTATTTATTTATTTATTAGACAGAGTCGCTGTGTCACCCAGGCTGGAGTGCAGTGGCTTGATTTCAGCTCACTGTAACCTCAGCCTCCCAGGTTCAAGGGATTCTCCTGCCTCAGCCTCTTGAGTAGCTGGGACTACAGGTGCCCACCACCATGCGCAGCTAATTTTTTGTACTTTTAGTAGGGATGGGGGTCTCATCATGTTGGCCAGGCTGGTCTTGAACTCCTGACCTCAGGTGATCTTCCTGCCTTGGCCTCCCAAAGTGCTGGGATTACAGGTGTGAACCACTGTGCCTGGCCTACTTTTAAATCAGAGAAAATTATCAGGGTTTGTAACTAAGAGGTAGTAGCTCAACACCTACAAATGACTACAGACATTAATGTATTGATTCATTCTATAGATAAATATTGATCAGTTATGCATGTCAGAGGGAATTCTATGACATGATGATGTTAAATCTTTTCAGTGAAGTTCTTACAGGCTCAGTCTTAGTACACATACATAAAAGTGGAGATTATGTATCAGTTTAATTGGATGCTATAAAACCTCAGCCATTCCTATGTATTTCTTGTTTCATATTCAATACTTTGTCATGGAGAATGTGAAAAATATGGAGCAAAATGTCTGTTAGCCTCTTTGACACAAAGAAGTCAAATATTGGATGATAGCTGTAATCAAAAGAACAGGGAAAGAAAAGTCACAGGTGAGCAACTAGGCATAAACAGGATAGTAAGCGCTGGATTTCAGGCTGCAGTTTCGAGGGGCAGGGGACAGGTCCATTATTTGCAGCACTCTTCTGCTCAAGATTTTCCAGTGGTCAGCACACAGGAAGTAATAGGCCTTGGACTTCTCTTCCTACTATAACAACTAGAAAACCCAACAAATTATATAAAATAAACATTTTTAGATGTTAGACAATAGGCAGGGCAGGGCTATTATTCCTAGAATTAGGGAAACAAATTGCAGTATCTTTATGCCTGGAGACAGTTTCTAGAATGCAACACAGGGAGGGGAAACCCAAACAGAAATCAGTGATTTTGCTCTGTTGACTACATGAGGATTCGACTTACAGGATGCTGAGGTGACTAGAATTTACAAGGTAGAAAATGCAAGATGAGAGACATATACAGAGAAATAGTTCCAATAATCTGTTTAGGGACCTCTGAATTTTTAGTGGATTGCATTCTGCACAGAAGAGTCAAACCCCAAAAGGCAGGCAAAGAACATCTAAGGAAAGAGCAATGACAAGGGAATTATAAGCCAAACAAGTCCCAAGAATCACACAACACTGGGAATTATTCTAGCTCTAACCATGCAGAGTAGGGATGAATCAATACGTGGAACACTGTGTAGAGACCCCAGAAGGTAATGCCTTTATATTAGGGCTAAATTAAATACTGCTCTAGACCTGCCCTAAAAAAATATTTAAAAGGTTTTTAAAAAGTAGCTTTGAAAAACCTTTATTTGAAGAGCAATGGACATTGTTAGGTAGTTATTTGTCAATTAGTTGTTAATTAGTTGACAAATAACTGCCTAACAATGTCCATCACTCTTTAAATAAAGACAATAAATGTCAACACTTAACAACATAACATTCACAAAAAACCTAATGAAAAAATTACACATATGAAGAATCAGAAAAATGAGATTTACAACAAGACATAGTCATCAATATAAATATTTCCAAAAATGACAAAAATGCGGGTATTTGTGAACAAGTACTGTAAAATCTATTATAAACATGCTCAGAGATTTAAAGAAAAACATGAACATAATGAGAAGTGGAAAATATATAAAATAACCAAATATAATTACTAAAAATGAAAAATAATACACCTGAAGTAACAAACTCACTGGCTAAGTTTAAAATAAGATTAGATTTGGCAGAAAAAAAAATCAGTAAACTTGAAAACATACTATCAAAAACTATCCAAAAGGAAGTAGAGAGAATGAAAGAGAAAAAGTACAGGAAAAATGACTTATGAGACAAGATTAACAGCTGGAAGGAGTTATGGTAAGAAAAAAAAATTAAAGAAATTATAGCCAAGATTTTTCCAAATTTGGTGAATTTAAGCCCATGGACCCAAGAAGTTAAATGACAATCACACAGATGAAACATGCAGGTAACTACACCAAGGCACATTATAGTTAAATTAAATATAGAGAGAGAAAGAGAATGAGAGAAATCCTTAAAAGCAGCAAGAGAAAAAAAAAAAAAAAAAACATCAAGTAGGGGTAAACAAACTGTGGTCCATGTGCCAAATTTGGCCTGTGTCCTGTTCTTACAGTACTCAAAAGCTAAGAATATTTTTATATTTCTTTAAAAAAGAAGAATATGTAACAGTGTCATTATGTGACCCCTGCAAAACCTGAAAATCTTTACTATCTTGACCTTTACAGAAAAATATCATCAACCTTTGGTATGAAGGAATAACGATAACATTTAAGGTAGACTTTTCTTCATAAACTATCCAAACCAGAATAAGATGGAAAAAACATATTTAAAGGGCTGAAAGAATAAAACTTCCAGCCTAGAATGCTTTGCATGGTGAATATCTTTCACTGGAGTCCAAATAAAAAAAGTCTTCGGAACAACAAAGCTAAAAGAATGTGTTCTTTGCATATCTGCACTGTAAGAAATGGCAAACGATTTTCTTCGAGCAGAGGAAAAGCTATTCCATATGAAAACACGGATCTATGCAAAGAAATGAGTGCCAAAATGGATAAATGTGGGGGAGATAGGAATTTTTTCCTGTTGTTAAATGTATTTAAAGATAATTGGGAAGAAAAAGGGTCAACTCCTTCTTATAGATGAATTTCAATTAATAAATATAAAAGTAAAGGAAACATAATATCACCATTAGAGCAATGTAGTAATCATTGGAGGCAAGATCCAGCAGTAAATGCTGATCAGAAGACAAATGCTGAAATCAGAAAACAAAAGTCTGAGAAACAGTGCATTTAATAGCTTTAACGTATCTCACTCTGAATACGTATTAATTACAAAAGGAAAAATGTTAACAGTGAAAAAATTTGGGAGACACCACCTTAACCAAGTGGTAAATGTTAATATAACCACGAATAAGACACAAACACCATGCACCCTTGATATGATGCCTGAAAACAGACAACACCTCTGTAATACTTTCTTCAACATCCATAGCCTCTTTCTAATAGAAAGAAAGCAGCAGAGATACAAAAATTGAAACACATTTTATAACATATCAGGTCATGCTCTTTGAAAGTGTTAAGATCATGAAAAAGATAAGGAAAAGATTGGAGGAGACTAAGAAAAGAGGAGAACTAAATGTAATGTGGCATCCTGGATTGGATCCCAGAATAGAAAAGGAACATTTGTGGAAAAATGAATGAAATGAGAAAACTGATGAAATGAGAAATGTAGTTTAGTTAATAATTTTGTACCAAAGTTAATTTCATGGCCAGGTGCAGTGGCTCACACCTGTAATCCCAACATTTTGGGAGGCTGATGAGCAGGAGGGTTCCTTAGGCTAGGAGTTGGACATCAGCCTGGGCAACATAATGAGACTCTGTCTCTACCAAAAAAAGTTAGTTTCTTAGTTTCAATAATTGTACAGTATTTATGCAACATGTTAATATTAGAGGAAGCTGGGTAAAAGCTATAAAGGAGCTCTCTGTACTGTCTTTGCAACTTTTCTGTAAGTATAAATTGTTTTAAAATATATAGGGAAAATGTTAAATGAGAGTTTAAAGCAAAATTAAATAATGTATTGTAGGGTTTGCAGTCCACTTTGGATAGCTCAAAGAACAGAAATAGTGACATGGTGTCCCTCTAGCCAGACTGCTTCATTTTATATGCTTGTTCTCCCAATCAGTTGCTATACAAGCTAGGACAAATTATTTAACTGTCTCAGTTTCTCATTGACGGAATTCTCTCCGTTGGAAGAGTTAAATTCACTGCTAGACATAACTATCTTAATATGTGACTTCCCAGCACTTTGTGTGTGTGTGTGTGTGTGTGTGTGTGTATACATAGATATGTATCTATACATATATGTATAGATATGTATATATATTTATCATTTGTAATTTTTCATTTTTCACGTGTATATATATATATATATATATGTATATATATATATGCATATACCCCCCTGGCAAATGATAAATTACTTTATTAGGGTAAATATATGAGAAAAAAATAGCAATGTAAAAGTACAAATAAGAAATGCCATAGCCTGTTACTACTGGATCCTTCAAAAGTAAATTAACTAAATTGCATTGCTTGTTGGAGGCAAGCAAACAGACACACACACACACTCACACTCACACACCAAAAAGTTTAGTAAATTTTAATTCAGAATACCTATTTTAGGTGGAATGCTTATGGAAGATACATTTTCTAATAAGCAAAATAAATGACTCAAAACAGCCTTACCACAAAAAGCTTATCTTCCTAGCATCATAATCAGACACATAAAATAAAATCATAATTAGAGTTATACTATAAATTCAAGTAATGTTTGTCCTTACACTATATTCACAGCAAACCTGGAACCAAATTTCTTGAGACAAAAAAATACAATGGCCTGAAACTCAGGAACATTATTCTGACAAGCAGAAGTGGAATATGTTTCAATTCCTATTTGACAGGGCAGATAAACATTCCATAGACAAAATTGCCATTTCATTCTAATTTGCAGGCATTTATCAATGCCTCATTGCACGAATGTCCTTCCACCTTTTCAAGTAGGAATGACGGTATAGATTTCCATATTAGCTTTTATGGAAAATCATAGCAAATGTCCTTTACTATTACTTTACTTGATATACAGGTCAGTATGCAATTTTTAAAAATCCTTATGCCTTCCCCTTGTCTTATAGTTATGTCTCATTAAATCTTTCACCTTTATAATGATGTCATCATAACATTTTCCCCAACACCTGAAAGAATGAGTAATTTGCAACAGCTGTCATTTACTGTTAGTACCCACAATTCTGAAAAATCTATTCACACACAACTATTAAAAATTTAAAGTTGTTTAAGGAAGTATTATTTAGGCCATATCTTCATGAAGACAAGACAATGAAATAGACAATAACACTAAAAAGGAATATATGTTATTTCCTGAGAAATTGTGATGCCTGAAGTAATCACACAATTTCATTATTCTTATCTCTTTACATAATTTTTTATGTAAATATGTACTACAAAAATGAAAAAAATACTATACCACATTACTCTAGGGTCAAAATGACATAATTGCAACCCCAAATACAATGCATAGCAATTTTAAGCACAATAAATGAATGAAATGCTGAGGATATGAGTTTTTTATTTTTATCTTTTATTTTATTTATTTATTTATTTATTTATTTATTTATTTTGAGGTGGAGTTTCGCTCTTGCTGCCCAGGCTGGAGTGCAGTGGTGCAATCTCAGCTCACTGCAACCTCCACCTCCAGGATTCAAGCGATTCTTCTGCCTCAGCCTTCCGAGTACCTGGGATTACAGGCATATGCCACCACACCCAGCTAATTTTTGTATTTTTAGAGAGACAGGGTTTCTCTATGTTGGTCAGGCTGGTCTCGATCTCCTGACCTCAGGTGATCTGCCCGCCTCGACCTCCCAAAATGCTGGGATTACAGGCATGAGCCACCACGCCTGGCCTAATATGGGTTTTTTAAATCAACTAATTTTGTAACACTAAAGATAAAATAAAGTTGGGAAACAAAAAAAAATTAAATATTTTTAGATTACGTATGGTCCCTATAAGGTGTTTTAAAAATACAAAACAATGAGCTAACTGAAAGGTGATGGGTTTTTGATAATTTGTGGAGTGGTGATTTACTTCAAAATAATATATGTATTTTCAAGTTGTTTAGGGAACTTGATATGTGCATTACGTATATTTACATGAATATTTGTTATCAGATGCAGGTAACAAAACAACTACTATGTTTCATAAATAGGTTGTAAAATTTTAATTCTTTATCAATTTTTAAATTTGTAATTGTCATATTTATGGCGTACATTGTGATAACTCAATGTGTGTATACATTGTATAATGATCAAATCAGGGTAATTACCATATCTATCACTTTGAACATTTATTATTTCTTTGTAGTGATAATATTTAAAATCTTTTCTTCTAGTTATCTTGAAATAATACTACATTATTTGCTATAGTCATTCTAATGTGTAATAGAACACCAAAACTTATTCTTCCTAACTGTAACTTTGAACACATTAACCAACCTTTCCTGTTTTCTCCCCTCAACCTTCCCAAGCCTCTGATAACCACTATTCTACTCTCTCCTTCTATGAAATCAACTTTTTAAAATTTTGCATGTGAATGAGATCATGAAGTGTTTGTCTTTCTGTACCTGGCTGATTTTTTACATAATGTCCTCCAGGTTCACCCATGTTAGCTTGCCATAAATGACAGGATTTCATTCTGTTTTATGACTATATATATATATATATATGTATGTGTATATATATATGTATATATATACATATATATACATATATATATACACACATATATACACATATATATATACACATATATATATATACTCATACACAATGGAACATTATTAATGTGATATATACATATCACATTTTATTTATCCATTCATCTGCAGATGGTCATTTAAGTAGACTCCATACCTTGACCATTATAAATAGTGCTGCAATAAACATAAAAATGCAGATATTTCTTTATCATATTGATTTCATTTCCTTTGGATATATACCCAGAAATGATATTGCTAAATCATATGGTAATTCTGTTTTTAATTTTTTGAGAACCTCAATACTGTTCTAATTTGTATTCATGATGACTATACTAATTTACATTTCCATCAACAGTGCATAAGAGTTCCCATTTCTCCACATCCTTGCCAGCATTTATTATTTTTGTATCTCCCTGGTAATAACCACTTTAACTAGAGTAAAGTGATGTCTTACTGTGGTTTTCATTTGCATTTCCATGATGATTAATGATGTTAAACATTTTTTTCATATATCTGTTGGCCATTTGTGTGCCTTCTTTTGAGATACATCTATTTAGAAATATTTTGCCCATTTTAAAAATCGATTATTATCATTTTTTGCTACTGAGTTGTTTGAGTTTCTTATATATTCTGGATATGAATCTCCTTCTGGATGAGTAGTTTGCAAATACTTTCTCCTAACATGTAAGTTGTCTCTTCACTCTATCGATTGTTTCCTTTGCTTTGCAAGAGCTTTTTAGTTTGACGTAATCCAATATTACTAATTTTTGCTTCTGTTTCCTATGCTTTTGAGGTCTTATTTTAAAAAATCTTTTGACGAGTCCAATTTCATGAACCATATCCCCTGTGTTTTCCCATAGTAGGTTAATAGTTTGGGATCTTACATCTAAGTCTTTAAGTCATTTACAATTCATTTTTGTATATAGTGAGAGATAGGAATCTAGTCTCATTCTTCTGCATGTGGATATCCAGTTTTCCTAGCACTATTTATTAAAGAAATTCCCCGCCCCCCCAATATCTGTACTTCATGCCTTTGTTAAATATCTGTTGACTGTAAATGCATAGATTTATTTCTGGGTTCTCCATTCAGGTTTCATTTGTCTATGCATCTTTTTTATCCAGTACCATGTTATTTTTGTTATTATAGCCTTGTAGTATATTTTGAAGTCATGTAGCATGATGCCTTCAGCTTTGTTCTTTTTGCTCAAGGTTGCTTTGGCTATCTGGGATCTTTTGCATTTCCATGTTCATTTTAAGATTGCTTTTCCTGTTTCTGTGAAGGATGTCACTGGTATTTTAATAGGGTTTGCACTAAATCTGTAGATCACTTTGGGTAATATGCATATTTTAGCAATATTAATCCTTCTGATATGGTTTGGCTGTGTTCCCACCCAAATCTTATGTTGAATTCCCATGTGTTGTGGGAGGGACCCGCTGAGAGGCAATTGAATCATGGAGGTGGGTCTTTCCCATGCTGGTCTCGTGGTAGTGAATAAGTGTCACAAGATCTGATGGTTTTAAAATGGGAGTTTCCCTGTACAAGCTCTCTCTTTGCCTGCTGCCATCCACATAAGATGTAACTTGCTCCTCCTTGCTTTCTGCCAAGATTGTGAGGCCTCCCCAGCCACGTGAAACTGCAAGTCCATTAATCCCTTTTTCCTGTCTAAATTACCCAGTCTTGGCTATGTCTTTATCAGCAGTGTGAAAATCAAGTAATACAGTAAATTGGTACAAGTAGAGTGGGGCACTGCTGAAAAGATACCTGAAAATGTGGAAGCAACTTTGGAACTGGGTAATAGGAAGATGTTGGAACAGTTTGGAGGGCTCAGAAGAAGAAAGGAATATGTGGGAAAGTTTGGAACTTACTAGAGATTTGTTGAATGGCTTTGACAAAAATGCTGGTAGTGATACGAACAATAAGGCCCAGGCTGAGGCGGTCTCAGATGGAGATGACGAACTTGTTGGGAACTGGAGCAAAAGTGACTCTTATTATGTTTTAGCAAAGAGACTGGTGGCATTTTGCCCTGCCCTAGAGATATGTGGAACTTTGAACTTGAGGGAGATTATTTAGGGTATTTGGTGGAAGAAATTTCTAAGCAGCAAAGCATTCAAGAGGTGACTTGGTTGCTGTTAAAAGCATTCCGTTTTATAAGGGAAGCAGAGCATAAGAGTTTGGAAAATTTGCAGCCTGATGATGCGATAGAAAAGAAAATCTGATTTTTGGAGGAGAAATTCAAGCTGGCTGCAGAAATTTGCATTAGTAATGAGAAGCCAAATGTTAATCCCCAAGACAATGGGGAAAATGTCTCCAGGGCATGTCAGAGGTCTTCACAGCAGCCCCTCCTATCATAGGCCCAGAGGCCTAGGAGGAATAAATGGTTTTGTGGGCCTGGTCCAGGGTCCCTGTGCTGTGTGCAGTCTACGGACTTGGTGCTCTGCATCCTGGCCACTCTAGCCATGACTAAAATGGGCCAATGTACAGCTCAGGCCATGGCTTCAGAGGGTGCAAGCCCCAAGCCTTGGCAGCTTCCACATGGTGTTGAGCCAGTAGGTGCACAGAAGTCAAGAACTGAGGTTTGGGAACCTCCACTTAGATTTCAGAGGATGTATGGAAATGTCTGAATGCCCAGGCAGAAGTTTGCTGCAGGGGCAGGTCTCTCATGGAGAACTTCTCCTAGGGAAGTGCAGAAGGGAAATGTGGGGGTCAGAGCCCTCACACAGCATCCTTACTGGGGCACTGCCTAGTGGAGCTGTGAGAAGAGGGCCACCATCCTCCAGACCTCAGAATGGTAGATTCACCTACAGCTTGCACTGTGTTCCTGGAAAAGCTGCAGACACTCACTTTTCAGCCCATGAAAGCAGCTGGGAGGGAGGCTATACCCCACAAAGCCACAAGGGTGAGCTGCTCAAGATTATGGGAACCCACCTCTTGCATCACAGTGACCTGGATGTGAGACATGGAGTCAAAGGAGATCCTTTTGGAGCTTTAAGATTTGACTGCCCTGCTGGATTTTGGACTTGCTTGGGGCCTGTGGCCCCTTTGTTTTGCCCAATTTCTCCCATTTGAAATGGCTGTATTTACCCATTGCCTGTACCCCCATTGTATGTAGCAAGTAACTAACTTGCTTTTGATTTTACAGGCTCATAGTTGGAAGGGACTTGCCTTATCTCGGATGAGACTTTGGACTATGGACTTTTGAATTAATGCTGAAATGAGTTAAGACTTTGGGGAACTCTTGGGAATGCATGATTGATTTTGAAATGTGAGGACATGTGATTTGGGAGGGGCCAGGGGCAGAATGATATGGTTTGGCTGTGTCCCCACCCAAATCTCACCTTGAATTCCCACATGTTGTGGGAGGGACCCACTGAGAGGTAATTGAGTCATAGGGGCAGGTCTTTCCCATGCTGTTCTCAGGATAGTGACTAAGTCTCACAAGATCTGATGATTTTAAAATGGAGTTTCCTTGCCCAAGTTCTCTCTTTGCCTGCTGTCATCCATATATGATGTGACTTCCTCCTCTTTGCCTTCACCATGATTGTGAGGCCTCCCCAGCTGCAAGCAACTGTAAGCGCATTAAACCCTTTCTCCTGTATAAATTACCCAGCCTCAGGTATGTCTATCAGCAGCATGAAAATGGACTAATACATCTTCCAATCCATGAACATGGAATAGCTTTCCTTTTATTTGTGTCTGCTTCAAAAATCCTCAGAAAAACACTAACAAACCAAATTCAACAACACATTAAAAAGATTATTCACCATAATCAAGTGGGATACTCTCAGGGATGCAAGGATGGTTCAACATATGCAAATTAATAAACATACATATTACATTAACAGAATCAAGGACAAAATATGTGAACATTTCAATAGATGCCAAAAAAGCATTCAATAAAATTCAACATTTCTTCATGACAAAAACTCCCAACAAATTTGTATTGGAAGGAACATACCTGAACACAATAAAGTCTGTATATGACAAACCCACAGCTAACATCACACTGAACAAGGAAAAGTGAAAGCTTTTCCTCTAAGATATGTAACAACAAAATAATGCTCACTTTCGTCACTTTTATTCAACATAGAAGTGAAAGTTCAAGCCAAAGCAATTAGGCAAGAGAAAGAAATAAAAGGCATCCAAATAGGAGAGAAACAAGTCAAATTATCCCAGTTTGCAGACTACATGATTTTATGTATATAGAAAACTAAAAAGACTCCACCAAAATGCTATTACAATTAATAAGTGAATTTAGTAAAGTTGCAGGATAAAAAATCAATAAGCAAAAATCAGTAGCATTTCTATATGCCAGTAATGAACTATCCAAAAAAGAAATCAAGAAAAAAATTTTATTTACAATAGCTACAAAAATTACAATAGGACAAAACTTAACCAAAGATGTGAAAGATCTCTACAATAAAAGCTATAAAATGTTGAAGTTTTAATTCTAAGACCCTGTACGAAGGACCTTAGAATATCCAAAGATTAAAATGTAGCGTACCAAGACAAATACATAGAAATGAAAATTTTATTGACACTAACTTGTAACTAGTGCTGTCCTCATTTTAAATGTATCATGAAGCTGGTAAGAATAAATTCAAGATTACTTTAAATTTGTTAAATTAGACTACTGAAATGTCAAAATTATATCAAAGAGGTAGATTTGAAAGTATCCATGATATCAACACCCCCATTCATTTCTGTAAATTCTTTTAAAATTTCCTGTAAGAGTTCATGCCCATAGGATTTCTTTTAATATGTTGAATAGTACAGTAAGAAAATTACATTTACATAAGTAGATTTTTTTAATTTTCAAAAATCTTAGCAGTATTTTTCAACGTAGTTGCTAAACTTTATTAAAGCCTTTGATTGCCCTCATTTTGACCAAAATTCACATGTTGTGATATTATAAAAGAATAACAAGTCTTGATTTTTATCTTCCAAATTCAATACTCAGGAATTCAAACATTTTTATAAAAATATACTGAAATATTTTCAAAACCTCATCAAAGTAAAGAAAGAGTAGATAAAAGAGGAAGTCATTTCTTTCTTTACCTCTACCCTAGGTAGGAAGAAGTTGGGGGAAGAAAAATAAATTTGTACAATATAATGTACTCATAAAGAGGTTATTATTTTTATGAAGAAATAAGCATACACTTAAAGAAAGAGATATTTATATGATCTTTTCTTGGAGTATTTATTTTTTTAAATGAAGATTTCAAAAATCATCATCCAAAGTAAAGAAAACGAATTCCAAGAAAAATTAAGGTTATATGAAGTTGTTAAATTCCACACTCTCCAAGTTTCCACTCGAAGGAATTCTCTGTGAGGTTTTACCCACTGTAAATCTGTTGCTTTTGGTTTTAAGCCTGTACATTCTGATGTTCATTATTCTGATTTCATTATTCTGATCTCCCTTTCTTTTCATTTCTCCAATTCACTAACCCTCTTCATCATGCTATTTTGTCCTTTTATTTTTTTTTCCCAGTATCCATTCATTTGTTAAAGTGTCAGTTATAATTGTGTTCAAAGTAGAATCTATAAAATCATTAGAGGTCTTAGCTAAGTGGATTGAGGCAGGTATAAACAGACCTTTTAGCACTACAAAATCTTCTAGACTTCCAAGAGTCACAAATTCTTATAGAAAGAACAAGACAAATGATAACTAAACATTGGTTTCTATAATATTTTTAAGAGTTTCCAGTATGAAGTAAGGATATCACAAGTGTATATGTACATACATGTGTATGTATACAAGGACATGTACACATGTGTGTGATTTGTACATGTTGCCATTTCTGTGTATGCATATATTTGTGCAAATGTATATATGCTTGTGTGTGTGCATGTTACATTTTCATGTCAATACACATGTGCATGTGGGTCCATACGTGTGCACGTGTGTTTTCTTATGTATGCACATGTATAGGTATATAAACATGCATGTATGCACATGTCTTTACAAATGCAATGCACAAATAACATTCGGCAGGAGAAGCTGACTTTTATAGAAGTATACAACATGATCAATTGTAGTTATTGAACACTTAAGGGACACTATGAGACAAAAACATAAAGCATATTTTCCACATGGTATGATCCATAATGTAGTTTTTATTCATTGGTACAATGTTCTCTTGAATCTTCAAGATATTTGTGTAGTTTCTTATGGAAATAAAAAGCAATTCAATCATTTTTTGTTGTACCTTGAAATTATTGCAAAAAAATAAAAATTAGAATTGTGAATTTATTTACCTAGTGGAAAAATCTTATGTATAGTCTATAGTAAGCATTTCTAAGCCAAGATTTCTCAGACTTATGTATACTGAAAAATAATCCAGCAAAGGTAGAAATGTTGATTCTTGTAATCTACCACTAGAGATTCAATAAGTCATGAGTAGATTCCAGAAATCTAAATTTTTATGACATATTCTGCATTATTTTAATGCAGCTGGCCCATGGATCGCACTTTTAGATAAATAATACAGCACTGCAATTGGAATTTCATATTTTTCTTCAGTACAAGGGATTAGAGCACAGAAATCTAAATTTTGATATAGACTCTGCCAAGTATACAGAGATCATACAAAGTTATTTTTTCCATCACAAATATTAACATGTGTGGGCATGCATGCAACCACTTGATTTTGGCTAGTGAGGGGATTTGAATACTAAGCAAGAAGGTAGAATACACCAGACTCAAGCTACACTTCATATAGGCCTATGGAGATTCAGGACTCTTTTGATGAATATTAATTATAAGCCCGTGAGGTGCCTGGGCCAAAGGTAAGAGACAAATTTATTTAAAACACATATTTAAAGCCTTTTGGGAATCCAATTGTTAGCCATTCATCTCTTGATGAATATTATAGTAACAGTCAAGTGGAGCACACCTGCTTTGCTGCACCTGAGACAGTTCATCCAGAGGTTGCTCTGGCTTCCATGGAATGTTGACAGCAAGACCAGCTAAAAAGATGAGACAGAAGCATGGCACCAACTGTAGCAGTCAGAGGAATCTAGAGCTACAAACTGCAAATGCACATTAAATAACATATTAGACCAAGTGAGGTATTTTGGAGCATTCAGTCTTTGAAATGCACATATTATTTATTATTCCTCAAGGACAATATGTGATAGTAGGGATACGGATGTTCTTTGCTGGGAGTTCTTTGTTTCATTTGCTGAAAACACTAATTCAGGCAAGCTATTATTCACCTAAGTCGTGTTTCAGCAAGACTAGAAACTTCATTGTTCTGTTTACTTGCCTTTTGTGGGACAGAATAAAAAGCAGGATTTGTATGAGTGAAACATATTGGACTCTTTTGGCTCCATCATAAAGATCGGTGGAATCGGTAGATACACAGCAGGTCTGAGGTGAGAAGATGAACTCCATATGTTGATTATGAGGAAGAAAAGAAGGCAGACCAGACTGTACTCTGCTAACAACACTAACAGACATGTTATAATAATGTCAAATCATATAAACGATAGTCAAACTCATGAATAGCCCATTTATTGGAAGTAATTTGATGACATTCAGATAAGTGGAACATATTTGCATAAATTATTTCTGTTGCATATATTTAAAATTATTTCAGTAAAATATCTTTAATTAGAGGAAATTATGTATCAGTAAGCCAGATTCTCAAAGTAAAGGCAGCAATACCATGAATAATTCTCAGATACTGATACTCAATCTATTTCAACATGGATTTTAGGAAACACAGTAAATAAAAGTATCTCTTGAACCCCAGTGTGATCTATGAATAATAGAAAATAGACATACAGTCTAATGAAAGTAAGACAATAAATAGTAGAAACTAAAAAACTGTGGTGATAATTCCAGAAATAGAATAAATAGCACGAATTGCATTAAATAGTAGATATTATTAAAGGCATTAAAGTACACAGCTATATATAGGTATATAGGTTAAAACTATTCTGTAATTATTTATTTAAAGTTTTACTAACTTGTTGCTTATTTTTATTAGCATTATTTTAGGGTTCTCCAGAGGAACAGGGAACAGAAACAACAGGAAATGTGCACACACGCACACACGTGAGCCAATTTCTTGTAAATTGCAGATCTTATAATATATAATATATATATTTTTAGATAATATGTATATATGTAGAACATATATTATAAAATTGTCCAAAAATATAAATAAAATTGTCTTATCTATATGTATGTATATATATTTATCATAAGAAATTGGCTCACGTTATTAAGGAGGCTGAAAAGTCCCAAGATCTGCATTTGGCAAGCCATAGACCCAGGAGAGCTGGTGGTATAGTTTGTCTGAGAGCTGGCAGGCTTGATACCCAAGAAGAGCCAATGTTTCAGTTCAAGTGTAATGGCAGGAAAAGACTGCTATTTTAGCTCAGCAGTCAGACAAGAAAAGTTTTCTGTTTCTCACCAGAGGGACCCCCTTTTTGTTCTATTCCCACCTTCATTTGATTGGGGGAGTCTCACCTATGTTAGAGAAGACAATCTGCTTTATTCAGTCTACAGATTCAAATGTTAATCTCATCCAAAAAAAACACTCTCAGAGTCACAACCAGAATAATATTTGAGCAAATACCTGGCACCTCATGATCTACTCAAGCTGACACATACAATTAACCACCACAATCATATTTATTTATTTCTAACTGATTTATTTAACAATGGCAAGCATGCTCTACACTGGGGATAGAGCGGTGAACAACAATAGATCAAAGCCACTGCTCTTATGGAGCATACATTATAAAGGGATGGGAGGAGATATAAAATAAACAAGAGAAACAAGCGAAATACAATAAATCAGAGATTTATAATTTTTTGTGAAGAAAATAAATCAGGGACACTAACGGTATTTGTTTGAGGTTTGATGGGAATGAGTTGCAACTTTAAATAGTCAGCCAAGGAAAACCTCATTGAGATGCTAAGATTTAAGTAGAGTCTTTAAGTAGTGGAAGAGAAAATTATGCAGACATCTGTAGGACAGCCTTTTAGTCAGGGGAACAGCAACAGAAATGGCTATCGTAAACGCAATGCCTGGTGTATTTAACAAAGGCAAAAACTGCTATGTTGGAGCAAGCAAAAGAAATAATCATAGGAAAATAATAAAAAATAGGTAAAGAATGGGAGGATCAGATCATGTAGAGCTTTGTAGGATAATATAATTTGAAGCCTTTGGCTTCTTTTTGTTTGTTTTCTTAGTAAGAAGTGAAGACTTTGGAACTCTCTTTTGCGAGTTTTCATATACATCTTTATTAGGGAGGTATATCAATTCTTCCATTTATTGAAAAAAAATGTTAAGTCTGTTAACATGTCTGTAGTATCCATAATTGTGCTAAAAACCAGAAACCCAACAGTGAAAAAATGAGACATTGTACCTTCCCTCACTGAGTTGACATACTGGTTGGAAGACGCTCATTTACAAGAAGCCACAATTACTTAACGTAAATTCTATGAAAGGAGACATTACTGGGTGCTTGTTAGCACACAGGAGAGGCCTCTATTGAGTGAAAGATTTCTCGCGAGGGAAGTCACATCCAAGTTGAGACATGAAAGGTGAGTGGAAGTTAACCAGGCATAGTGAGAGGGAAGGAGGGGTGCTAGTGTGTGCTTGTGAAGTCAGAAGTGAGAGCCAAGCAGAGGGTACATCATGTTGCAAGGTTTATATCCGAGAGTGTACATATCTACGAAAGCAAGAGAGAATGTTAATGAAATTTGGAGAAGGGTTGAAAGTGCTAAGCTGAAATTGGACAGGTGTGGAGGATTTTGGTGGGCCTTTATTTCCCTGATTAAGTACTATATCCTGAAGTCACCAGAAAATGCACACAGTTTTAAACTGAGTAGTGATTGTTTCCATTTTCATATAGAAAGATCAACTTGGCTAGAGAATGGGCTTGACAGGAAAGCAATCATCAAAAGTTTGGAGTATTTCAGGCAAAGTGGGATACAGCCCTGGGTTTGGCAGTGAATAGAAGTTAAGGAAAGGGAGGGAGATATATTTTAGACACCGCAGAAATAAAATTTGTAAGATGTGGTGATTTATTAGTGGGCAGGACAGGAAAGAAGGAAATTAGCTGGTGTCTGGTTTGAGCAACTAGCACATGATGCTATTATGAGGTAAGAAATGCGGAGGAAAAGCAGTTCTGTGAAGACAGGTGAAGTTCTGTCTAAGATCCTTAATTTAAACATTTAAGTGGTGATAACCAAAATATAGTTGGATATATGCATTTGCAGTTATGCGGAACTGTCTGGGAGAAGATACACATTTGCAAAGTGATAATAATTTGAGACAAGGAAATGAATGAGATTACTCAGACTATGTATAATATTTGAATCTAAGAGACCTTTTAGTGGAACTTGTAAGAAGCCAAATATTTAAGGGATAAAAATAGAAAAAAAAGTGTCTTTAAAGTATATCAGAGGTATAGGAAATAAGATAGGAAATTATGATGTCTCCAAATAAAAAGCTTTAAAAAAAGGATAAAATGGTCAGTGTTTGTAAATATTCTCAAGAGTTCAAGTCATGTAAAAACTACAAACTTATCCATTATATTTTCTAAGAAGTCATTATTAGTAGCTTTGTGGGTAACACTTTCACTGAAGCAGTATGGACTGCAGAATTGAAGGGTGACCATGGAGAAAAGAAGCTGAAAGAGATGTAAAAGCTCTTCTAAACTAGTGCAGTTCTCATATTTTAAAGTTTTTAAAAAAGTTCTGTTTTGTCCATCAGTTAGCATATAAATACTGAATTAAGTTCACACACACACACACACACGGCATAAAGTTGTTCTTTATATCTTCTAGATGGCAGGCATCTGATCACATCCGGATGAGTTGGGGCCAGAAATGAAGACGATGTCAGTTGGAGAGGAGTGCACGCAACTCTAGAAGGCAGCTCAACTGCTGTGTGGTTTGCCAGTAGCATATCTTACTCTTGAGGGCAAACTCTTCAGATAATTACAAACACAAAGTCTGCAATTCTAGCCAGGGTCGTATTTCAGAAAAGCCATCTATGGAGAGCAGGAAACTAAAGTTTGCCAAGCAAAGGGGCCAAGAGTAAAGTCAAGTTTTGTGCCAAATGAGACCCTGCCAAGGAAGGCAGGCTATAGGAGGACTGGGAGAATTTAAGGATCTAAAATGTCAGGGCAATAGATTACATCCAAATGGGTGAACCAGGGAGCAAGACTGGGTAATATCAAACACGATGCTGAAGAATAGGCCAGCAGGAAACCAGGAGACAAATTATGTCTGACAGGAGAGGAGCAGAAGCCCCATCTGGGTTCTAATTCATGGCACAGTGAATTAGCTCTGCCATTCTAAAATGTTAAAGGCAAAACATCAGACAATGAGCTCTGAAAAATGAATGTCCAAACACTAGCTTTCCTGAGTTCCTGTACCCTAATCTACCCTATGATTCTTAATCTTCAGATACTCCAGGCCAGAGAATTTCTTGTTTAAAAAAAGGAGGTAGGAGATTTCAGGGAGGTAGGGGATTTATTGCATTTTCTGTAAGTGAGTGACATGTGATTTGCTGAAGAATACAAATTGTCCCTGTCATGTAGAAAAATAAGAGAAATAATGACACAGGATTTTTTTGGTGCCGCCTCACCAGCCAGAAACCTCTGTGACTGGTGGTGCTTCTGCTTGAGTTTTGCTCTTGGCTGCCAGGCTCATTCTGCCTGCTTGGCCTGGCAGGCTGTGCTCAGCTCATGCTACTGGCCCAGATCCCACACCTGCCAAGGGCGAGCCAGGTGCAGAGTGGCAAGGGGTGTGTGAGAGAGCAAGCACAGGGTCCTGGCCACTGCGCACAGCCAGGCATGCCAGCTGCTATGGCAGAGCAGGCAGCTCCAGGCACTAGCACAGGCGCTGGCTCTGTGTGAGGCTGCAGCTGGACCAGACATACTGCAAACAGCTTCTGCTGTGGGCTGCAGCATCTGGATGAGGGGAACACCGTGGCTCCTCAAAGCTCGGAGATGCAAGGAACTACAGAGCCCCACAGCATGTCACAGCCCTGGCTTGGAGAGCCTCGAGGTCTGGGATCCTAGAAGGACCACAGCTCTTTCCTCCTCCTTGTCACCTGCAGCAGGGCAAGCAGGGGTGGGAGGGCTGGAGGGAGATGTTTCAGCCCATTTGTATTACAGCTCTTTCAGTCCATCCCACTCCAACTGTGGCTCCTGGGCTGGCCTGGCCCTGCAACTACTTCCCATTGCATGGGGTGGCTGCCCAGCACCAGCGGAGGGCAGGAGGGCTACCATGTTACAGCCTCTTTTGTTCCTGCCAGCATCTTGGTGAGCTGGCCAGAGAAGTTATAGCTCTTTTCACTCCTGCTGTTAAGCAGATCCCAAGTTCTTGTCCCACATCCGGGAAGAACAAGGTTACTTGGACAACTGGAGGGTAAGCAAGGTGGAGAAGAACTTTCTTGGGTGACTGAACAGCTCTCAGTGAAGAGGAAACCTGAAGTGGAGAGTTCCTACCTACAGGCGGTTAGTCCCAACCAGTGCCTGACTCTGGCAGAGTCTGGGGTTTTTATGGGCTCAGAATGGAGGAAATGCATGCTGATTGGTCCACGGGCAGGAGGAGGTATGTGCCAATTGGTTCATGGGAGGACATGGAAAAAGCATCACTTGATTGGCTAAAAGGCATCAAAGAAGTGGTCACTCTGGGTGTCAGACTTCACCTGGAACTTGGTAAAGTTCCCCAGGCTTCAGGCTGTCCCTGGCTTGAAGGTGGGGTTTCAACAGGGACCCACCCTTTCCTGCCTAGAACCTGTCTGCCTCCTGCTGCCATCAACACGCTGTCCATGGCATTCAGGCTGTCCATGCCAAGGGGCACCCACAGGCCTGAGCCGAGCCACCCTCAGCCCCCTGGCCTCCCTCCCGTGCTCGTCAGTAACCAAAGTTTCAGTCTCAGAAGCAGTTTCCAGAGCAGACTGAGGCAGCTGGGGGTTGGTGTGTCAGCACCACCCCAAGCATGCACACACCCAGCCGGGTCATGCCAGCACCCAGGCTCAGCTATTGGGACGTGACCACAGCTTTGCTTTGCTGTGGAGTGGGGAGAGGCCAAGGAGTGGGAGCAGGCACTTCTGAGCCTGTGGGGGTAGGGGGCTTCTCGGGCCCCTGAGAGCACAGGGATGCCCGGATCTGGAGCCATGGCTTGGCAGCTGCCATGGTGGCTGGGCTGCATTTGCACCCAGGAGCACAGGCTCCACCCTGCCAACTCTTTGGGGCGTGGGGCTCCTGCTGGATCATCTGTTCCCAGCCCACAGGCTCCATGGAGTCTGGCCATGCCTCCCCTGCAGCAGCTGGATTCCTCCCAGCGGCTGCTCCGGAAGGGCTGCTGCTACCATCAATGAGTTTATAACTTAACAATTACACAAGTAGAAGAAAATGTAAAAGCCAACCTTTATATGCTTTTAGAGACAAAATTTGCTTCCTAAAGGAATGAATCAAATCCAAAGATTCTCATAATTCTGTACTCTTAGTAGACACTGTTGTCATCTTGTCATCAAGGAGATGATGCTGAACAAAGTGGTGAAGATCATCACATAAAGTTCTCCTGAAGATGAATGGTTGCATCTACCTTACAGTTGTCCATAACTGATATGAAATCAGTTTTAAAATCTCATGTTAGAGGTCAGTGCAATTAATAGTATTGTTCCTCCAATAAGGGGAGAAAGGCATATTTTAAATTTAATTATATCACTCAGTGAATATGAGGCTATGTTACTTATTAAAAATAGTAAAATATTCTAAAGTGAAGAATGAGGGAAATGCATGTCAAAATCCAGCATAAAAAGTAGTTGCTTTCTGGAATTTAGAACAGCAGCTCATAGAGGATGCATAAGTATTTTTCCTAAGCTGTATAAAGAGAAAGTACAAATGACAAATATTCTTAGTAACAAATGGCCTAAATTGAAATAAGTAATCCCCTGGCCCTTAAGTAAGAAATTGGAAGCATCTATTGGTATATATCTGTGCTTAAGATAAATTGATAAAAATAATAATAAATGCTGTGACAGGTAATGAAATGAGTACTCAATCATTTTACTTAGCACAATATTAAAATGCTTCTGTTCTGACAGAGGCATGTACCCATCAGGATTATTGATCCTTGTAAAATGTTTTAGGTAGTAAATATATATGTGCATATCTATACATAAGAATTTTGACAAGCTATAAAAAATTAGAGTAGAAATTCTGCCTCATCTCATTTATTTAGATCAATTAATAACTAAAGATCTCATTTGCTCTATTAAGAAAGTGTGAGCTATTAAGAAAGTGTGGGCTGGGCGAGGTGGCTCACAGCTGTAATCCCAGCACTTTGGGAGGCCAAGGTGAGCAGATCACTTGAGGCCAGGAGTTTGAGACCACCCTGGTCAACATGTCAAAACATCGTCTCTACTAAAAATACAAAAAGTATCTGGGCATGGTGGCACATGCCTGTAACTCCAGCTGTTCAGGAGGCTGAAGCATGAGAATCACTTGAACCAGGGAGGCAGAGGTTGCAGTGAGCCAAGATTGCAACACTGCTCTCAAGTCTGGATGATACAGCCAGACCTTGTGATAAAGAAAAAAAAGAAAGAAAGTGTGTTTCTGTTGTGGTTTCCTTTCACTCCAAATATTTCCACAGCTTTGCCCATCCACAGGTGGTCTATCACAAACTTAATTCTCATTGTCATGCTTATTAACTGTTGAAACTTGATGTTAGAAGTTACTAGAGACTCTGTTCCATTTATGAGCAATGCCCCTGCCATTCCAGATCTCTGACTAGGGTTGCAGAGGTGCTCCCACCTGCCCGCCAGGACTACAACTGTTTGACACTGCCGTGTTCTGGATTTTGTTTCTCTAAGATCAACACTTGACCTCTGAGCTAGGAGGAGTCCTTCATAACAATAATATTAATATACTCCAACTTGAAACATTCCCATCAGATTGTGGTTGATATGTTACCCTCTTAAGCTCTCAATCTTCCTATTTATGTCACCTACCAATTCTCATTCTTATTTCACTCAGTAAGCTTTTGTATTATAAACATAATGTCTTCCCCTAAGCATGTCATTATTCTTGGTAATATCAGCCTCTATGTGACTGTCTCATTCAACACCTGACCTTTGATTTTCTTTACTTTCTCATTGCAGATGGCATTTTCTTGTGCTCTGTCTCACAATCACTCCCCTGGTTGTTAGCTTCTGGAACTTGTGATTATCAGAAGCTACACAGTAACTTAATTTTCCAAAACTGACATCACACTTTCTGATCAGTTTTTAACATTCATCCTGATTTCTGGTCCATGAAATTCAAACTCCTTATCCTGCTCTACAAAGTCTCATCTGATCAAAGGTTATATCTGCTCTTTCTATGCTAAGGTTAAATCCACACCTTCCACTTTCCCCATTGGAACCCATGCTGTCTCATCTAATCAAGGACTTTTTCCCACTTAACCACTCTGTCTTATATCAGTGTTCTCCATCTACATAATCATTTCCATTAACATGTTGTCGTATTTCCATCTGAAAAAGCAAAATCAAAAACAACAAAAAACTTCCTTGATCCCACATTTCCTTTGTTCCTCTTGAAAGCAAAACTCTTCAAAAGATGTCTGTAATCATTGACTCTACCTCCTCTTCTCCCCCCATTCCTTTTGATCCTTTTCCAATTAAGCTCTTGTTTGCACTGCTCTAAGGAAACTTCTCTTGGCAAATTTCCTAATGTAGAAAAAGAGTTTTATAACTTCTGCAATACTAATTCATCCTTGACTAAAAATTGGACTTGAAGCCACAGACAAGAGACTTCAATTAACATTTATCAGAAACCTCGAATAGAATTTGAAGGATCTTAACCGAGACGCTTGGAGAAGACAGTGCTGTTACTTAGCCTATATAACGGGTATGATTACATAAGAAAAAATGTTTTCAAGTCATCACATACATGTATTTTTCATAAAATTTAATTTAAATTTATATTTTCTCTGCCTAATTTCATAGAGTTGTGTCTAAGTGTATTTGCTAAGAACTCTCAAGTAATGCTAAAAGGGTTACTTTATTGTTTCCAAAGACTGTGAATGTAAACTTTAAAACTGCTAAGGTTTGTAGAGGTTTGTGACAGGAAATGACTTTTGTTAAAATATGTCCTATAAAAATAATTTAACTCATTTAGAGTGTAAATATGTTTGTTACAGGAAGTTATAATAGTTAATTAGCAATCTACACCACTGACTTTCTCTAATCTTATTCATAGTTAAGTGGCTTGACTTTGCTTATGAGTCAGCAAACATTTGATACCCTTTTTTTTCACTTTCTCCCTGAGTCCATTCGTAATAAAACTCTTGATTCGAAAAAAGCAATACATAATGAGATTTGTTTTCCTATCACTGACTTCTACTTTCCCAAATCTAATGGATAATTCACACCTAACTTATGTGGCTTCTTAGCTAATCATTTCTACTTTCCCAAAGCCTTTCTTCATGTTCTTCTGATTTTCCAATGACTATATTGGCTGCTCCTTCTCACACTTCTTCATCAAAGCCTCTTCATCCTCCCCAACCTCCCCACTGGGATCATACCTAATTAGTCTTCTTTTCACTAACTTTTGTCAGTTCAGTCCTATCTATGCAATTCAAATTTAATAGCTCCAGGATTCACCTCTTCTCTGAACTCCTGAACCATGTTCCAATCACTGCTCAGCTTTTCCCTTTGGCATCTTAGGCGGAGTCTTGCTCTGTCACTCAGGCTGGACTGCAGTGGCGTGATCTCAGATCACTGCAACCTCCGCCTCCTAGGTTCAAGTGATTCTCATGCCTCAGCCTCCTGAATAGCTGGGATTACAGGCATGCGCCACCATGCCTAACTAAGTTTTTTGTATTTTTAAATAAAGATGGTGTTTCACCATGTTGGCCAGTCTGGTCTGCAACTCCTGACCTCAGGTGATCTGCCCACCTTGGCCTCCCAAAGTGCTGAGATTACAGGCGTGAGCTACTGCACCCGGCCCAAACCTCCCATTTTTCTAACCTAAACCCCTTCCTTCCTTCCTTCCTTCTTTCCTTCCCTCCTTCCTTCCTTCCTTCCTTCCTTCCTTCCTTCCTTCCTTCCTTCCTTCCTTCTTCCCTTCCCTTCCCTTCCTTCCCTTCCCTTACCTTCCCTTCCCTTCCCTTCCCTCCCTTCCCTTCCCTTTCCTTCCTTCCTTCCTTCCTTCCTTCCTTCCTTCCTTCCTTCCTTCCTTCCTTCCTTCCCTCCCTCCTTCCCTCCTTCCTTCCCTCCCTCCCTCCATCCTTCCTACCTTCCTTCCTTCCTTCCTTTCTCTCTCTCTCTCTCACTGTCTGTTTCTCAAGTATGTAATTTATCAGCTTGATATCAACTACTTTACCTCTCATACTCATTATTATTAACAATATACTACAAAATTATATTCCCTCTGCATCTAAAATCCATGCATCTAAAATCTGACCACTCATTTCACTCTTCATGCTATCACCATGGTCTTAACTGCCATCATTTCTTGGCTGGACCATGCGTTTACTTTCATTCCATTGTCAAGTATGACCTCAAGTGATCGTTTTAGAATATAGATTATTTCACTCTCTCATTTAAAACCATCCCATGGAATTTCAACATGTTGAAATTATAATAAAAATAATTGCTATGGCCTATAAGACTATTAGTGACTTGGCAATGGCTATCTCTTAAATTCCAGCCACACTAGCCTTTTTGTTGCCTCTCAAGAGAGACTGTTCTTACCTTATTTCATTTGCACACACTATATCTTCTATCCTGAAATCTCTTTTCATAGTCATTTAGATGGATAATTCTCTCAGTTTACTTCTCTTTAAACATTACCTCCTCAAAGTGGACTGTCCCAAACAATGTTTAGTTTTTCTTTATTTTGAGACAGGGTCTATGTCACTCAGGCTGAAGTTCAGTGGCATAATCACAGCTCACTGCAGCCCTGCCACAGGTATATACCACCACACCCAGTTAATTTTTTAAGATGTTTTATAGAGATGAAGTCTGTTGCCCAGGCTGGTCTTGAATTCCTGGGCTCAAGCAATCTACCTGCCTCAACCTCCCAAAGTGTTGGGATTACAGGCATGAGCCACTTTGCCCAGCCTCCAAACAATGTTTCTTAAGTAAAATCCTGTCGTTCTCTATCTTCGGAACCTGCTTTACTTCCTTAAATGCAATTCTTATTCTCTGATGTTACAATTCAATTTTAATATTGTTTATTTTATATTCATCTCTGTCACAATAACCTAAAGGACTTGTTCTTTTGGCTCACTGCTGTACTTACACTTAGAACAATGCCTGGCATTAAGTAAGAGCTTAATAAATACTTAATTGAATGCATGGCCTAGCCACTGTCAACTTCCATGCCTTCTTTCCTCTTGCACTAAGTTCTAGCCACATATGTCTCATTTTAATTCTCTTATGTTATTAGTCTTGTCATTTCAAACCCTTTGCTAATGTATTCACCTCTACCTGAAGCAATGTCCCTTTTTCCAAACTTTTTTTTTCTTTTTATGGTTGATTTAATATATTTCAAATATTTGGCTTAAAAATTACTCTGCATTACAGCCAGGCATGATTGCCAATATAACATCCATTGCTCTCACTATTCTTTTATGTTGTTTTGTTTCACACTATTGTTATTATTTGCTTTTTAAGTTGTTCAGTGTCTATATCCTCCATACTAAAATATCCTCTGTCATGATTTGAATGTCGCCTCCAAAACACATGTTGAAATTTAATCGACATTGTGATAGTATCAAGAAGAGGGACATTTAAGAGGTGATTCATGAGAATCATGAGAGCTCCATCTTAATGAATGGATTAATGCCATTATCTCCAGAGTGAGCTCCAGATAAAAGGATAAGTTTGGCCCGCATTTTCTTTCTCTGTCTCACCATGTGATACCTTGTGCCATGGGATAGCCCTTGCTAGATGCTGGTACCATGCTCATGAATCTCCCAGCCTGCAGAATGGTGAGCCAAATAACCTTCTGTTCTTTATAAATTACCCAGTCTTTGGTATTCAGTTATACCATCACAAAATGAACTGAGAAAACCTCTATATAAACAGTGATTATATCTGCATCACTCATCAATGTGAATAGCATTGTGAATATATACCCGGGCAGAAATTATGCACTAAATAAATGTCTATTGAAAAAACAAATATACAAAAGAGTGGTGGGGCCAAAGAGACTACTAACATCAATCACCTGTGATGTCAAGACAACTTATCCTCTAAACTCTAAGGTCTTTTTCTTTTTTCTTGTCTTTTTGAACTCAGTCTACCAGGCTCCAGTCTCTATTCTTCTTTCTTCAATTAATTTTAGTTTTTGTATTTTATTATACTTTCTTATTCTTCCTTATCACTGGGCTTGAACTCACCCCAAATTTAGGAAACAAAATTCAGAGTTTTGTCACATTCTGTACAGAAGAATGACATTGTGCAACATGGCCTTGGGCCTACCTCCTTTTCTAGGGCTCTGCATGTAAGAACAGAGACGAAGTAAAGAGATTCTATTACTAATTCTAGAATAATAAATGCCTTTTCCTATTTATGCACACATAAAAAGATGACTAAAGTGGTCCCTTAGAACAGTGTTCTTAAAGTATTTTTGAGGGATGTCCCACATTCTTTAATACATGTCATGTCACAGCCCAATTCGTACCCAAATATGCAATTGTTTATATGTGCACATGCAAACACAATTTGAAGAAGTTTTATGAAAATATTTTCTTACTACATGTCCATGTATTCTTATATTTTTACTTCTCTCTTTTTTCCTCATTTCCTTTCTAGGTTACTTAAAACATGTAATTAGGACTCACTAAATTAGGTTTATGACCCACCAATGGGCTCCCAACCTTCTCTACACTTACATTTGAAAACCATTGCTTTTGAAGATACAGGAGATCCATTCCTAGACTGCAAAGTACTCAGGTCTCTGTCACTATAGGAAGCAGCTGGCTGACTCTGATTTTAACACATACACACATATTTAGCTACGTAGACACAAACACAAATATTTCTCTTAATAATAGTCCTTGGAGGTAATCTTTAAAAAGGGAAGATGATGGTGATTCCAGCACAGAAGCTTGTGAAGGTGCTTTCCATATCATTTAAACAAGACCACCTTTATGCCAAAGGAGAATTTCACAGTAGCAGTAAGAATTTGGGGAATGGGCTGGGTGCAGTGGCTCATGCCTGTAATCCCAGCACTTTGGGAGGCCAAGGCGGGCGGATCACGAGGTCAGGAGTTTGAGATCACCCTGGCCAATATGGTGAAACCCCATCTCTACTAAAAATACAAAAATTAGCCAGAAGTGGTGGCACGTGCCTGTAGTCCCAGCTACATGGGAGGCTGAGGCAGGAGAATCAGAGAATCGCTTCATCCTTGAGGCAGAGGTTGCAGTGAGCCGAGATTGCGCCATTGCACTCCAGCCCGGGCGACAGAGCGAGACTCTGTCTCAAAAAAAAAAAAAAAAAAAAATAGAATTTGGGGAATGAGCCATGAGTTCTGCCAAGAAAGCTCTGGTGGAAGACACTCACTATTAAATTGTATAAGCTTAATTTACCCAAAACTACTATGAAGTAGGCCTATAAAATTCAGATAAATCAACTGTAGTTGATGACCTGTCCCGTAGGCAAAACAATAATCAAATGTTTTGGTTGTCTTCTGTAATTCTCCCAGCTACTCAAACTACATTCTCCTTAAAATGTAATGTTGTTGGGGCTTAGAAACTATACCCCAAAATGAAGGCCTCTAAAACAATCTCAGAAGCAAAAGTTTCTGTCTGATTGTTTCCTGTCCTCCTGTCTCCCACCCCTCATTCTCCCCCGAGGCTAGTGAGAGTGACTAGATTCCTTCTTCCCCAGGGCGAGTCATGGGTACCAGAACTCCTTTCCCCCAAGCCAGCCACAAAACCCAAAAATATTACTGTAATGTTCCCCTCAGCTTTCTGTGTAAAACTGGCCATAAAGAAATGATCTGACCTATGTTGTTTGACTGTAGCTCATAAGACTCCCCAGTTCCAGAGAGGGTCCTGCCCCATACCCAAAATGCTGCCCAGAGAGGAAAAGAAGAACCTAAACACGCAGGTCTTGCTGTGTCTCCTAACTCAGTCTGTTAGCATTAGATCATAACCTTTTTGCCCAATCATATTTTTTCATGGCTGTACATATGTGTTAAGCACAGCATGAACCTGAGCACAAAAGTGGACAGTTTCCTCTGTATCTTTAGATCTTCCTTCTGAAGGCTCCTGTGTCATGTAAAACTATGATTAAATAAATTTATATACTTTTTTTACCTATTAGTCTTTTTTTTTGTCAGTTGCTTTTCAGGGAACCTTCAGAGGGCAAAGGGGAAGTTTTCCCTTGGTCCCCACAGTAAGAATCAACTCTATAAAAATTAAAGAAACAAAACAGAATCTGTTTTAAAAGATCATTTTTAAAATTATACTTGTTTATTCAAGAAAAAGGTAAGGCACGTTGTAAAAATTTTACTAGAAAAACGTCATTAAAATGTGAAGTATATTTATATATTTTGTATTTAAAAATACAAAAAATTAGCTGGGCATGGTGGCGGGCTCCTGTAATCCCAGCTACTTGGGAGGCTGAGGTAGGAGAATTGTTTAGCCAGATTTAATTTCATACTTAAGAGTTCATTTTTAAAGCATTGCCACTTAAAAATATTGTTTGATTTCTTTCCTTGTGCTCTTTCCCAATTTTGAAGAGTTCTGTTGTTTTAGGATCTACCATTCTTAGGGCAGGCTATTATCTGATTGTTTAAATATAGTGACATGGAGTTTCAGGGGTACAAAAATCCAAAACCTGTTAAAGAGTTTTTCCCCTGACCTTTATTCCCCCTATATTCCAACCCCAAGAATATATGAGCATCTTTTCCACACTGCATTCAGCCACCTATCTTAAGACTGAAAACATCTCTTGTCTAAAATGTCAATGGTCTGAGCTGGCATTGGTTTCGTGTGTTGGAAAGAGAGTTTCAAAGGGGAGCACCTACCATTTATGGCCAAAATTCTTTAGAGAACTCCGAGCTCCCACTCCAGCAAATGGAAATGAGTGAAATGACCTCTGTCTTTTTAAAAGTAATCTTTTATAAACAAAAGCTTGCTAAATCCAAGATAAAGCTTACTCATAAACAGTCTTATGACAAAATTGCACTTGGCATCCTAATGTGGCAAACTGTTATTAAATCTTTTGAGTTTTCTTCTGCAAGTTTTAGAAAACAAAAGAACACAACTTTCCCAAAATATATAAGGAAAACATACATACCAAAGGGTCAAGTTGGTAGAGTTCCTAAATTAATGATCTTCAAGTAGGAGATTTGTTTATGCTGCTAAATTTCTCTCAACATTTAGAGAGAAACAAAAATGTTAAGCAAATGTCCCTTAGAAACAAGGTATTCATGTTATCGACATTTTATTTTTTAAGAAGGAAAAATCATTAAAGGTACAGGCAATTTAGAACTGGTTTTTTTTTTTTTTTCTAGAATATCACTTATACCAATTTTCTCAAAATGTGTTTTCTGAAAAACTTTGGTATGCTTATAGGTGAATTAATAAAAGATTTGGCCAATCTAATACAGTGATATTCATTCACTGTGTGCTCCATAGACCCCTGAGGTTTCATGGGTACACAGGAGATCCATTAGTTTAAAAATGTTTTCATCAGCCTGGCGCGGTGGCTCACATCTGTAATCCCAGCACTTTGGAGGCCGAGGTGGGCAGATCATGAGGTCAGGAGATCGAGACCATCCTGGATACATGGTGAAACCCCATCTCTACTAAAAATACAAAAAATTAGCTGGGCGTGGTGGTGGGCACCTGTAATCCCAGCTACTTGGGAGGCTGAGGTAAGAGAATCATTTGAACCCAGGAGGCAGAGGTTGTAGTGAGCCAAGATCGCGCCACTGTGCTCCATCCTGGGTGACAGAGCGAGACCCCATCTCAAAAAAAATTTTTTTTCATAATTATTCTAATCTGTTATTTGCCAATTTTTGTTTGCTGATATCTGTAGGGATGATGTTCTAACTGTGATGATGTTCTAACTGTAGTCATTGTATTCATCAGTGCCACGCATTCACGGTAGATAAGAATAATTTCACTTAAGAATATTTGTGGTGAAGCAGTAAAAATTATCAATTGTATTAAATCTTGCCCTGTAAGCACACAGAACCCTTCTGCTGTATAATAAAGTACAATGTTGATATTGAAGAAAGACAATTTTGTGACTGGCTTGCCATCTAAACTAGCCACTTTAAAAGTGAGCACAATTTTTACTTCAAAAAAATGGCTAATAGGCATACTTGAGTATTTGGCAAACAAATCTACAAAATTCAAAAACGAACACAGTAGACCTGTCTTTTCAGGGAAAACAACTGACATTGTGGCCAATGTTATAACATTTACAATTTGGGATGAAAAATAGATTTTTGGAAAACATGTATCTGTTCCTGTGTGTTCAAGAGTTTCCCAACAATAAAAGTCTTTTCTATTGGTGCTAATTTAAGAGTGTAATTATTATTTTCATTGCTTTTGATATTGTATGATGAAATACTTTGACATTGGAAAGATTACTATAATTCAGTGAATTAATATTCTCCAACTGTTTAGAATCATGCATGGATTCAGATTTATTTAAGATAGAGCAGTGGATTTTAATGTGTATAACTAGGAAATACTTCAGAAATGCCAAATGCATTGAAGATTATGATAAGACCATTTATAGAAGAGAAATGCTGAAAGATAATTAACATGAAAGATGCCAAATGAAGTGTTTCGCACTCATTAGATATTCAAATATTAAGTCAGACAGAGCAAGGAAGGGGAAACAAGATGTTCCTGGACTGCAGATGGCGGTATTGTAGGCGGAAGTTTGGCAATACCTAAAGATGCTGAACATGCACATACTCCATGACCCAGCAGTCTCACTTCTTGGCTTATGTCCAAGAGAAATTCTGGCATAAACATATATGAAGACTTCTTATTGAAAGCTTGTGGCACATAATACTGAAAAAAGAGAAACATTGCCAAAGTTGCCAATAGAGAAATGAATGTATACTTTATAGTAGATTTGGGTGGTGGAACACTTTACAGCTGTTAAAATAAATAAATAAGATTTATATTTAGCAACATGGCTAGAACTAAAATAATGTTGCATGACAAAGAAAAACAGAATGAAAAATGTTACATGGTATATAATGCCCGCAAAACGTAATGCCAAATATTATTTATGAATACACTTACATAAAGTAAAAGGTAAAGTAAAATTAGTATGGATATATATCAAATTTAATGACAATAACTGTTTTGATGGTAGAGGATAGGGACTGAACCTATAATGCACATATTAGGGATTCCAAATTTACCTGTGTCATTTACTCCTCAATAAATAGAGGAAACTGATGTTACAATTCTGTAAGACTTGGGTATTTTGATATCGCTTGCATAAAGATTGTTATAATATTTTAGTAATATGATATTTTGTAAAAACATGTAAATAAATAGTAAAAAAGTGAATGTGAGTTTATAAGTTGTATGTAAACATTCTTGAACTACAAGTGAAAAACTAATTGCAAAAATAAACAGATTGCAATGAAAAAGCTAGTAAGTAACAAGAAACAAAAGCTACCAAACTCTCAGCCATAACTAATAGTTAGGGGTTTGGGAGTGAGGGTATAAAGGAAGGAGGAGAAGGAAGAAGGGAGAAGTCAGAATAAATTTATAGCATTCTATGAGTATCTTCTTGTCTCAATCTTATTAAAATCATCAAACATCTAGCAAGATAGTAATCTTCACAAAGTCAAAATACCAGTGTAAACCGAATTCCAGAAAGTTAAAACAAGCCCCAGTGTACAAAATGTTCTTTTACCTTTAGAGCATTTAAACATGCATAAAAGTAGGGAAGACAGAAATTTAGACTTAGAATACGACCAACAGGAGATCCTCCACAGAATAAGCCGATACTGCAAAAGGTAAGAGTGAACCCCAGGGCTGCTGTGGCACCGCTGTTGGGGCACTGTTCATGCAGTTTTCCATGTCAATAGTGCCTGCTGGGCTATGCAATGTGTCAGTATTGGGAGAAAGAAGTAAAAATGTCTCCATCAACCACCTCTTAAGGAAAGTTGTGGAGAGGCAGAAAGGAATAAAGATTCAAGAAAGCAGTGAACATGTGTACATTTAAATGAGCAATAGCTGTGCAAAAGAACAGTAATAGTGGGAATAAGTAAAGAAGGATGTAAATGAAGTCAAAGTATTCAAATTTCTTTGTGCTATTTGGGAGGAGAGTGAAAGTACTGGACAATAAGTGCTCTCTAGGTGGGAAGGGAAGTGGGAGGAAGGTGCTAGGAGGGAGAAAATAGCATAGGCAAAGTTTCAAATTAAATTTAAAATTTAAAGCATCTGTTATGTGTATATATTTGTGTATTGAGGAATATACAAAAGAATGATCACTAGAATTAATGTTTTTTATCCCTCTGATGGATTTCATTGGATACCATGTTCCAGGCACTGTTCTAGGAATTGATTTAGAAATGACTTAAGAAAAAGACATGCTTTCTAAGACAACACTTTCCAGAGAGTTATCGTAGAAAAGTGGACTTACAGATAACTTTTTCATTTCTTTCTGCTATTTTTAATTTATAATTTAATGGGAACAATTTCAATAATAATTTAAAATAAAGCCATTTTTATTAAAAGATAACAAATTATTTGCTTTAAAAATGGCATTTAAATTTGAAATAAAAAATCACATTTATTGATTTTCATATGTTGAACCAACCTTGCATCCAGGGAATGAAGCCTACTTGATTATGATGGATTAGCTTTTTGATGTGCTGTTGGATTTGGTTTGCAAGTATTTTGTTGAGGAGTTTTGCATTGATGTTCATCAAGAACATTGGCCTGAAATTTTCTTTTTTATTGTGTCTCTGCCAGCTTTTGGTATCAAGGTGATGCTGGCCTCATATACTGAGTTGCAAAGAAGTCCCTCCTCCTCAATTTTTTGTAATAGTTTCCGTAGGAATGGTACCAGCTCTTCTTTGTACATATGGTAGAATTCAGCTGTGAATCCATCAGGTCCTGTGCTTTTTTTGGTTGGTAGGCTATTTATTACTGATTCAATTTGGGGGCTTATTATTGATCTGTTCAGGCATAGGCAGAAAATTGAAGTTGGACTCCTTCCTTACACCATATACAGAAATCAACTCAAGATGGATTAAAGGCTTAAATGTAAAACCAAAACTATAAAACCCTATGAGACAACCTAGGCAATACCATCTTGGACGTAGGAATGGGCAAAGGTTTCCTGACAAAGACACCAAAAGCAATCACAACAAAACCAAATACTGACAAATGGGGTATAATTAAACTAAAGGGCTTCTTCACAGCAAAAGAAATAAACTATCAACAGGGTAAACAGACAACCTACAGAATGGGAGAAAATATTTGCAAACTATGCATCTGACAAAGGTCTAATATCCAGCATCTATAAGAACTTAAGCAAATTTACAATAAAAAAGCAAACAACCCCATAAAAAAGTGGGCAAAGGACATGAACAAACACTTCGCAAAAGAAGACATACATGTGGCCAATAAGTTTATGAAGAAAAAAGCTCAATATCACTGATCATTAGAGAAATGCAAATGAAAATCACAATGAGATATCATCTCACGCTAGTCAGAATGGCTATTTTTAAATGGTCAAAAAATAACAGTTGCTGGTGAGGGTGCAGAAAAACGATAATCCTTATGCGCTGTTGGTAGGAGTGTAAATTAGGTCAACCATTGCGAAAAGCAGTATGATGATTCCTCAAAGAGCTAAAAGCAGAACTGCCATTTGACCCAGCAGTCCCATTATTGGGTATATACAGAGGAATATAATGCATTCTACCATAAACACATGTATGTTTATTGCAGCACTATTTACAATAACAAAGAAGTTGAATCAACCTAAATGCTCATCAATGACAGAATGGATAAAGAAAATGTGGTACATATACACCATGGAATATTATGCAGCCATAAAAAAGAACAAGATCATATCTTTTGTGGGAACATGGATGGAGCTGGAGGTTATCATCCTTAGCAAACTAACACAGGAACAGAAAACCAAATACAGCATGTTCTCACTTTAAGTGGGAGCTAATGAAAAGAACTTATGAACACAAAGAAGGAAACATTAGACACTGTGGTCTACTTGAGGGAGGAGGCTGGGAGAAGCGAGAGGAGCAGAAAAGATAACTATTGGGTACTGAGCTTAATACCTGGATGATGTAATCATGTGTACAACAACCCCCCTCCGATGACACGTTTATTTGTGTAACAAACTTTCACATGTATCCTCAAACCTAAAATTAAAAAAGAAAAATTATCAACACTGTCAGCCCTCCATATCTATGCATTCTTCATCCATGCATTCAATCAACTGTGAATAAAAAATATTTTTAAAAATAAATGAAAACAACACTGTAACACAAGTAATGTAAACAATTGCAGTATAAGATCTATCTACTTAGCATTTACATTGTATTAAGTATTATAAGTAATCTAGAGATGATTTAATGTATATGGGAGTATGTGTACAGTTTATGTGCAAATACTTCATGTCCAAAACTTGGATGTTAGCTAAATATGTTACAAATACTGTAATTTTAAACAGGAAAATACCATGTTCTTGATCAGAAATCAGCACACTACAACATGTGGACCAAATCTGAACCATTGCTGGTGTTTACAAATAAAGTTTTATTGAAAAACAGCCATGCCAATACATTTAAGTGTTATCAATTTCTCTTTTTGTGTTACAATGACAGAGTTGAGTAGCTGTAATACAGACCAGGTGGCACTTAAAGTCTGAAATATTTACTATCTGGCTTTTTACAGAAAACGTTGCTAATGCTTTGTCTTCATGAATATAAAAGTAAAAATATGTTTTCAGTTTAATGTAAAAACAAAAATATATTTTTAGTTCATCCCCACAATATGATCCCCTCACTTTTCCCTGTGAGCTATGTATCCATACAAAACACGCACATTCATAAACACGTAGCTAACATCCATTGAGTAGTACGTGTCAAGTATTTGTTTAAGAAATTTATGTGTATGATTCACTTGATTCTCACAGCAATCTCATGCATTGTTATTTTGCTTTACAAATAAACTGAGGCTTTGGGAAACCATATAATTTGCACAAGATGACACAACTAGTTCAGTGACATATGTGGGATCTTAAAATGTCTACATGCTTAATCTTCTTTTTAACTGGCAGTCTCTACCTGACAAAAATTAAAAGTGTTCTCTGGATGCTTAAATTGTGAGTGTTTTTTTCCTACTCTTTTCATCTATATATTTTTCTTTTCCTATAATGAACCTTTACTATTTTATTATTTGTTATTTGTTATTGAATGTGTTATTTTAAAATGGCAAATATTCAGCAGTTGTATAGTTGCAAATTGGTCAAACTTAACTACTATCATTTGCTGACTATTTTTGCATCTTATCCTACAGGAAAGCACAATTACATGTTTTACAGCATCTTCAGTACTGAATAAATTATGTAATAATTGTCAAACCAAAGTACAACTTGTGTTTTTTGTCATTGATTAACCTCTGGTAGGACTAAGAGATATAACTTAGTATTTTTTTTTATAAGATGCTAGTATTCTTAGTAACAGTCCATGAACAAAATAATAAGAAATGAGGAAAGTAAGATTTAGCTTTTTTTTCTTTTCCAAATTTCTTGCAAGAGTCCTTTATATTGTCTATTGACAGTTTCTCAGTCTATTACCCCCTGCATTAAAAATTCCACCATCATTATTCTGTAAGAGAGCATTGACATTATAAGCCAGTGACCTTTTTTCAGACATCAATAGTCTCGATGTTTTTTTCTGTGTCATTTGATGTTGTTTATCACCCTCCCCTTCAAATAATCCTCTTCCTTGACATCTTTTGTCTTGCACTATCCTGGCAATTCTCTTCACCTGTATTTTTATCCACCTCTGCCATGCCAGTTCCTCAGCATCACATGCAGGGTATTCATGACTGCTCCTCTGTACCATTACATGTTCTACAGGTTCCCTACTTTCACTTCATGTCTTAGCAACACTGAGCAAATTTTGGTTTGTTGAACAACCATGATCTTACCACTTTTGTGCCCTTGCTCATGGTTCACACCATTCTAGTACAAATTTTCTCCTTTCCTCCCATGACTAGTGTCTCCTTATTTGTTAAGCCTCTACTGAAATGTTACAGCCTCCAGAAACATTTCCTTAATTTACTAGAGATACGATTTCTTCCTCTATCAGATCTCCATTTTAGATTTTTATAACATTCTATTTATATTTTGACAGTTGTATTCTACTACTTTTATGCCATTTATCTGCATTTATCTGCATTGGGCAATATAAGGGCTTATAATGACTGTATCTTACTTATTTTTTGGAAGTTTGTGTAGCAATACTACATTGAACACCACATATGTGCAGTAACAATTAGTCAATATAGATACTTGTTTAAACAAATATTATGAGAATGACATGGTATATGTTTTTGATCACGTTGCAATGAGTAAATATGTGTATCATAAAATCACTGGTAAGCACATCTGAAGGAGTCCTTGATTTCCATTTTCAGCCAATATAATAGGGTACAAGTATATAAGAAAATACGGAATTCTTAAGGAAGTTATGCTTTTTACAAATAACTCACAATTTTGGGCATTTTCTTACCATGACAAAACCTGTGTGTGATTATAACATATATAAATGTGCTTTACAATCTGTATCCCATTACTGTATAAAAGTTCAAGTGCTTTAAATTAGGTATCACTCCTGTATTCCATTAATTGGAGATACTGATTGTAATATATTTCAGAGATTAACTACACTTTTGGCATTTAAAATGGTGTGAATAATAAGTTATTGCAGCTGGCTTTAATGTTTTTATGTTAACAGAAAGTTTATAAGCAAAGAGTAATTTGAATGGATAATTTTTGGAGATATTTAATTTATTATGGAGTGTTACCTCGACCTTTGTCTTGAAAAAAAACTTGTGCATTTCATTTATCATAATTAATCAAATCTAAGCTATCACCTGTCTTAATTTGGGATACTCCCAATTGCAGAGATGTTAAAATGTGAAAGAATCTGCATATTAGAACTGATGAAACATGGTATTTAGGCAACATTAAGTAATTATTGAAAACATTAATCAATTAGTTAACCACTTGTTGATTACTACTACTGCTTCAATACTTTTGTAATAAACAGTTGGCCCTCTGTATCTGTGGGTTCAACCAACCATGGATCAAAAATATTTAAAAAATGCATTGCATCTGTATCAACCATGCACAGAGTTTTTTCTTCTCATTATTTTCCAAACAATGCAGTGTAACAACTACGTAGATAACATTTACATTGCATTTGGTATTATAAGTAATCTAGAGATGATGCAAAGCAAATAGAAGAATGTGCATATGTTATATACAAATACTACAAAATTTTACACAAGGGACTTGAGCATCCATGAATTTTTGTGTCCACAGGATACAAAATATCCTGGAAAAATATTCCCCATGGATAACAAAATATTACTATGTAATTTTTTATAAGTACATGTATATTTTGTTAAGATAAACACATTCAGATTAACTTTAATGAAGATTAATTTATTGAATAATATTCTCATATACTAAATTTTAAAAATAGTATGATGTGTTGCATAAATGTTAGAAGTTACTTTTTAAGCTATTTTGTTTAAAGTTTTTTAAAGATACCATGTAATTTTAAAGTTGGGCAATTAAGATAAATTAGTCAATAAGAAAGTAATTTGTTCTGTATTGGTCCAAAATGGTTATTAAGCAATAAAATCTAATAAATATTAGAGGAATATCTTCTTATGCCTTTGATCTCCAGTTCCTAGGTACACACACATTTCCAAAGCTTAGAAGTCTTTGTGAAACTGGGGAATAAAAGGGAAAACAGATGCCGTTTATTAAAACTGTATGTTCAATGTTGAATCCTTAGGAAGAAAAAGGTTTAGCTACATGAAATGGTGACAGAGCTAACATATAGTCAAGATTGAAGAGCTGATAATAAAAGCTGGAAGAACCTCATTACTTTTGCGTTCTTGCATTAATATTTTCTGTTTACATTTTTATACGCAACCAGATTTAGAAACATGAATTGCCAAGATTATAAATTTAATACATTTGTAGTTTTAAAAATACATACCATCCTGATATATCAATCTATGGATAACAAAATCTCTGTTTAAATAGAGTTGGATTCTGTATATTTTCTTCATAGCTTTGGTGAAAGCAGTAAATCTAAAAATAATAAAAGACAGGGAAATCAGTCTTAGAAATATGATCATTAAGTACTTTTACAAAAATATTTTGAGGCTTTAAAAGTTCGGTTTTCGAATGTTTGTATACATTTTGATACCTCATTTTGAAAAGTTTTAAAAAACTGTGCTAAGACCATTTAAGCTTTTCTCTGCAAATAGTCTTGAATATTTCCATTACAATGATTCCTGCTGGGTGGGAATTAACCCACATTTAGATTATTGAAGAGTGCACTTTTCATTAGTTGTATTATCTCTTGATTCTTCTGCTTAAACGGAATTGGATTTTGCACCTTTTCTTTACAGCTTCAGTGAGAACAGTAAATTACCTCTTCAAGATGTTTCAGTGAGGGCCAAATGTTCCATTATATCCCAGGGGATTAATAAGAAACTCTGCATTCACAGCTGTCTGTATTATAAGTCATTGGATCTAATAAATATTGCTGTACTGTATATCCATTATAAAGGTGATTTTTCAGCTAAGCTGTCATAATATTATAATATGATTATCCTATATTCAATGATCAAATTATCAGTTTGATTTTTTTGAAATTACAAATTAGGCTAATTGTTGAAGTAACATACCTTTTAAAATGTATTTAAATGATAAATCTATCCCAACTTTCATGTACATAATTTATTTTAGAAATTATAACTAATGTTACTGTATTTTTACTGGTTTGTGTGTATGGGTATATATACTCATATGATTAATGTATATCACTGATGTATTAAGAGAGCAAAATATGTAGCTTATTTGGTGACAGAGTATGCCAGAAAAGGAGAGAACATTTCAATTTGGTCTTTAATCTCTTTGCTTTAATCCATATTTTAACCCACTTAATCCATTTGTTTAGTGTATATGGCAAGTGAAAACATAAGAAAAGTTTTATATCTCATGTCTTAATTCATTCTGTAATCTGCCAACCATTCCAGACTATTATCCAGTAGGCAGAGGCAGGGACAAATCTCAATCAAAGCTTCAGGAATGTAGAGTCAGGAGAGTTGTGTTGTGACTTCAGTGTTATACTTTATCACTGTGTAACTTTGGAAGTGCCACATCTCAACAGACTTCAGTCTTCTCAACCTTCATATTAGAACAATAAACCAGTGATCACTACTATTGCTTAAGTATAAAATATTTTTATAACTCAATGCAGATCCTTTATTATCACTGAAAAATCAAAGGTGTATCCTTTTAGAAAATAAATGTTACCCATCTTTACTTATTGAGGTCAGTATGTTTGCACTTCATTTTCAAACATAATCTACTCAGTTCCCAAATTTTCTTCTGGAAAGGTATATACATCTTATGAAAGTAACATTGGGAGTAATTGAAACTATTATAACCAGGAAATTCTAAATATGGTCATGTTTAATCCCAAGATTTGGAACCACCCAAAAATAATTTTCTAATAACATAATCCCCAATTATGCCAATAGAAAATAAGAGACTATCCACCATTATCTTGAGTTCAAGATTAGTGCAACCATATTTTTAAAGAATATTTATGAAAGATGAGAGAGCAACATTTAAGGATAAGTAAAACCTCCAAAAAGTAAGTATTCACTAATCAAATTAGATAAAATTTTGAAAAGATTTGGATATCTTTGAAGTTCAGTTAGAGACCTAATTTCGTGCATGCAGAAGTCCACTGGTAGACTAGGTTAACCGGTAACAAAGAGGTAAGGCTTTAAAAGCCTTCTGTTCCTTCCCATTCAAAAAAGTGTATTAAAAATTCTTAGGTCCGGAGTGGTGGCTCACACCTGTAATCCCAGCACTTTGAGAGGCCGAGGTGGGCGGATCAAGAGGTCAAGAGATTGAGACCATCCTGGCCAACATGGTGAAACCCTGTCTCTTCTAAAAAATAAAAAAATTAGCTGGGCGTGGTGGCAGGTACCTGTAGTCCCAGCTACTGGGGAGGCTGAGGCAGGAGAATCGCTTGAACCTGGGAGGTGGAGGTTGCAGTGAGCAGAGATTGTGCCATTGCACTCCAGACTGATGACAGAGTGAGACTCCATCTCAAAAGTAAATAAATAAATAAATAAATAATTCTTTACTTTGACACTCTTGCTATTGCTCTTACTAACCTTTAAGTTCTTAAGTAAGTCAAACTAATTTTTCTTCTCAAATAATTAACTTCTGAGCTGTCTGCCTTGAATACTTTATTCTCTTCTCTTGGCTAATCTTACTCTTCCTTCAAAACTCTATGTACTCCACCATTATAATCCTTTAATATACAATTTAGTCCATAACATAACTTATTTGCATTTTTGAGTATTTGTTTCACTGACAAGACAGACATAATATCTACTTGGGAGTAAAAACGTATTTTGTCGATCCCTATTTTTTCAACCACTTGGCACTATACTAGGCACATAAATAAATAATAAATATTTGATAAATTTAAACAAATGAAGTAAAGATATATGGTTACCATACTAGGAATTGCTTATTATCTTCCAATATCCACTTCACTTTATCCTTTAGTACAGAATAACTTGAAGTTTTGTTATGCAAGTAATTACCAAGCTGAAGACGTTCCCAGACTCATAGTAACTAAGTGTGTCCACATGACTAAGTTCTGGCCAATGACATATGAACAGTAAAGCTATAACTTCTGGATTCAGCCCTTAAAATAAAAGAACATGTCCTCCCCTTGCCCATTTTATCTTCCCAGTGGCTGAGATCTCTATGTGGTAGTGAGAGCTGTCAAAGCCTTTTTGGAACAGAACATTTTGAGGATGGTAGAGCAAAAAGGGGAAGGACCTGAGCTTGTTGATACTGTGCAGTTGGTATCAGGTATGGGCTACTTCCCTCAGATTTTGAAAGGAAAGACAAATGTATTTTCCTTAAGCTATTGTGTTCGTCTATTTTGTGCTGCTGCAACAGAATATCTAGGACTGGCTAATTTATAGTGAACAGAAATTTATTTGGCTCATGGTTCTGGAGACTGGGAAGTCCAAGATTGAAGGCTCACATTGGGCAAGGCCTTCTTGCTGCATTATCTCATGGTGGAAGGGCAGCAGGGCAAGAAAGGATGAGAGAAGGTGAGAGGGAGAAACAGAGGGAGAGAGACAGAGACAGAGGGAGAGAGACAGAGACAGAGAGAGAGAGCGAGAGGCAAACTCATTATTTTATCAGAAACCCACCCCTGATATAACAAAACCACTCCTACAATGATGGTATAAATTCATCTCATGACCTAATCACCACTTAAAGGTCTCACCTCAACACAATTGCACTTGGGATTAAGTTACCAACACATAAGCTTTGGAAGACACATTTAAACCTTAGCCACTATTATAATATCTGCATTGTTTTTATGGTAGCGGAAACCTATATCCTAATGAATACTTTATGTTGGGCAATATTTCAAACCTTGTTATAAACAATTACTATATACAAAGAAATGCAATATGGATATTGGATTGTTTAAAGGAAAACGTGGCAATAGGAAAATAACTTTCTAAAACACAAAGCAAAATATGTTTCAAAGGAAGTGTGGCAGAATTTTAGAAAATTTTGAGGATAGTCCAAATGTTCCTGAGTTTTGGCTCTTTTTTGTTAATGATCTGCGTAAGTGATCTGGACATGGAGACCAGCTGCAACGATGTTTAATTAGATGATATGCAAAGATGAAGGCTGTAGTAGTAAATGCAAAGGCAAAGTGAATAAGGGGTTAGAGTCTTGGTGGTAGAAAAATTACTTCATGCATGTGGGAAAAGACTAAACAAAAAAGAACAAGATTTAAAATAAACCTGGATTTAAAATACAAATGAAACAAATTTTAAAAATTATTGAACTATCTTCTTAAATTTAAATAATCAATATATTGAAATTATATTATCTCATATATTACAAAATAAAGCTACTGTGGTATAATTAATAAATTATTATTTTTGCATGTGCATATCTCTTTGAGAATATGCTGATTTGACTGGCAGATGTTACACTGGTATGTAAGATAATTTCACTAATGGATATAACATTTTGACCATATTTAGAAAAGGGAATGTTTTGTGAAAAACTTGACACAAGACACCAACACAATGGGAAAATCTGAATGAGTTGTAGCTATCAGGTAGCATTCTTTTTCAGTGTTTGTTTTAAATAATAAGATGTATGAGGGAAGAAGATTTGGGTTCCTATAATTGATTGCTTTGATAATTGTGCTAAAGTCCTTTTAATGTTGTTTACTTCTAAATATGTTTCAATATCATTTTTCCAGAAATAACATGGAATGCTTTTCATTATTTGAGCATTAACAAATGTCAATACTTTCATAATATCTCTACTTTTGTCTCTACCCAGGACCTCCCAAATATCTAGTTCTTAAATGGTGTGTTTATGACAATAAATGGTGTGTATTAGTTTATTTTCTAAGTTCATATGCTGAGATTCTATGAATCTGTTTGAAGCAAACATTACTGAGGTGCCTAAATATATGCTATAAATGCATCTCACTCTAATTGCTGTAACAAGTTTAAAGTGTTTAACATCTAGAGTTGCTAGAAACACACTTCTCACTGGAGCAAACTTTTATCCTGCCAGCCACCACTAAGGTTGCCAGGGTTAGCAAAAAAAAGGACACACATCTAAACTTGATTTTCACATAAACAATGAATAACTTAAAATCCTAAGTATATCCCATGCAGTATTTTCCCCATATATTTTTAAAATATTTGATTTTATCTAAAATTCAAATTTAGCTAGAAATCCTGTATTGTATCTGGCAACAGTATCACTCATCCCACAAAGGCATGATCATGAAAGAGTTTGCCCACAGGAACTTTCAGGTGAAGGGGGACCAAGGACTGATTCCAAATGGCAGTCCATAGTGCGTCAATCTGAAATAAGAGATTAAATACTCATTGGAAGAACAACTCTTATTAGGCTTTTGGCTTCTGGGTTCAGACTAAATATTTGTTCCAACTCTTCTGAAAATAATTTTAAGAGGTTTTTTTAAAGGGATCAAAAGGTGTATCAGAAAGCAAGGAACTACTGAATCTCTTAAGATCAGATAGAGAGTTCAATGTCACCAGAGGTTAAGACCCAACCGTTTTACTGCCCTGCTGTTCCTCTACCCTTCCCCGCAACCCCATCTCCATTCCTCTGCTTTTGAGGAGGTTGGGGGCTGTGGGGAGAAGGAGCTACCAATGTATAGTGGGTGTAACTACTGTCTGCATACTCACAGGCTAGAAGGACATGAATTAGAGTCAGCTACTAGCAAGACGAGGGCTCCTGGTGAAACACGCTTTATACGCTGAAGAGTGTGAATTGGGAAGTCGGAATATGGTAAAAACCCGTTCAGCCTTGGTCCTAGGCCGCTAGCCCCCTCTGGTGCCTCACAAAAGAAAACAAAAATCCTCTAAAGAAACATTTATTTTCATCCTCGAACTGTGTCTCAAAGTAATTTTTCAAACACTAGCTAGCAAGCAATCAAATATAACAACCACCATAAAGAAGACACAAGCCAGGATCAGCAAATACAGTAGAAAACAGAAACACACCTCCAATAATTCCAGATATTGCAATTACATTATTAGATACAGGTTGTATACAACAACAAAAACCTATGCTTTCCATTGAATATTGTGAATAGTGCTGCAGTATATACAACAGAATACTATTTATTGATGAAAGAGAACAAAATCCTGTCACTTGCAACAACATGGATGTACCTGGAGGACCTTGTGATAGGTGAAATAAGCCTGGCACAAAAAGACAAATGCAACATGATCTCGCTCATAAATGAAGTCTAAAAAAGTTGATCTCCTCAAATTAGAAAATAGAATGGTGGTTACCAGAGGCTAGAGTAGTTAGTGGGGAGGAAGGAATGGGGAGATAATGGTCAAAAGATTGTTTGACCAACATCTAAACATTTTACTTTACAATCTCCTAATGTAAAGCGATGTTGAGAACATTTTCATCAAACTTATTTGTCATCTCTATATTACCTTTGGTGACATGTCTGCTCAGATTTTTTTAATTTAAATTAATAGATTTTGTATATTCTTTAATTGGGTTGTTTACTTATTGTTGAGTTTTAAGTGTTATTTATATATTTTGAATACAATAACTTTATCAAACATGTATTTTTTTCCCAGTCTGTGGGTTATTCTTTCCTTTCCTTAACAATGTCTTTTATAGGTAAATTTTAATTTTAATCCAGTCCAGTTTGTAAATTTCTTTTCATAGACCATGTTTTTGGTATGGTGCCTATAAATGTATCAACATACTTAAGGTCATCTAGATTTTCTCTTGTATTTCTTTTAGAACTTATACTTCTGTGGGATTTTTTTGTTTTCATTTTTGCCTGTTTTTTTTTTTTTTGTATATGAATGTCAACTTATTCCAGTACTATTTGTTGACAAAAAGTATCTTTTTTTAAAAAAATTGCTTTTTCTCGTTTGTCCAAAATGAATTGACTATACTTCTGCAGGTCTATTTCTGGGTTCTTTATTCTTTTTCTTTGAACTATGGGTCTATTTTCTCACCATCAGTACTGTGCTGTCTTGTAGTACCTTTATAGTAAGTCTTCAAGTTGCATGGTGTGAGTCCTGCAGTTTTGTTCTTCTTCAGTATTTTCTTGGCTATTCAGGCTCTTTCATCTTCCAAATGAACTCTACAATCAGTTAGTCAATATTTATAAAATAGCTATAAATGTCAAATAGCTCCAGTTGACTGATAGTGCTGATTAGGTTAACTGTGTCTTTACTGATTATCTGCCTGCTTGAACTATCAATTATTTAAAAGGAAGCTTGAATACTCTATAATAGTAATTTTTCCTATGTCTCCTTTTAGTTATATAAATTTTGCCTGACATATTTTGACACTCTTTCATTAGCTATATACATGATAAAGACAACTATGCCAACTTGTAGAATTGATGCATCATTACATGATGCCCCTCCTAATCCATGATAATATTTCTTGTTCTGAAGTGTTCTCTGTCTAAAATTAATATAGCTACTCAAGCTTCCTTTAGATTAGTGTTAGCATATCATGTCTTTCTCCACACATCTATTATTGAAATAGCAGTCTTTATATTTAAAGTGGGTTTCTTGTAGACAACATATAACTGGGTCTTGTTTTTTATCCACTCCGATAATCATTGTCTTTAATTGGTAGATTTATACCTTTCATATTTAAAGTGATTATTAATTATTTAGATTTATATCAATCATGTTTGTAACTGTTTTCTATTTATTGCATTTGTTTTTTGTTCATTTTTCCTGCCTCCTCTGCCTTTAATTGAGCATTTCATAAAATTCGATTTTATCTCCTCTCTTAGAATATTAGTTGTCTTAGTCTGCTTGTGTTGCTAAAGGAATACCTGAAGCTGGGTAATTTATAAAGAAAATAGGTTTATCTGGCTCATGGCCCTGCAGGCTGTATAAGAAGCAAGTCACCAGCATCTGCTTCTGATGAAACCCTCAGACTGCTTGCACTCATGACAAAAGGGGAGGGAAGCCACCATGTACAGAGATCACAGAGTGAGAGAGAAGAAACCAGGAGAGGGGATTTCCAGGCCTTTTAAAACAACCAGCTCTTATGGGAACTAACAGAATAAGAATTCATTCATACCCCCAGCAATAAAGAGCATTAATATATTCATGAGAAACTCACCCCTATGACCCAAATACCTCCCACTAGATCCCACCTCCAACACTGGGGATCAAATTTCAACATGAGGTTTGGAGGTTCAAGTATCTGAACTATAGCATCAGTTATACTTCTTTTAAAAATATCTTTATGATTGCCCTAGAGTTTGCACTATACATTTTTAACTAATCTAAGTTCACCTTCAAATAACACTATACCACTTCACGTATAGTGCATGTACCTTATATTAGAGCATTTCAAATTCCCTTTTCTTATTCCTTATGACATTGCTGAATTCATTTTATTTATCTATGTGCTGTAATCACACTATATATAATTACTATTATCAATGTAAACAGTTCTAATTTTTTTCTTTCCAACTTTTATTTTGGGTTCAGAGTTACATGTGCGGGTTTGCTACATAGGAAAATTGGTTATTACAAGTGTTTGGTGTACAGATTATTTAATCACCCATGTAATTAGCATACCTAGTAGGAATAAACAGTTATATTTTAAAGTGAGAATAAGAAAAATGAAGCATTTTATCTTCATTTATTCTTTCTCTGAAAATCTTCCTTTCTTTATTTAGATGAAAATTTATGCCTATATCACTTTCCTTCTCTTTGAAATACTTCTTTCAACATTTCTTGTAAGGGATATGCTATTGACAAATTCCCGGTTTTTATTTTTTCTAAGAATATCTTCATTTTTCTTCACTTTCAAAAAATAATTTTATTTCATATATAATTCTAGGTTGGCGGGTTTCATTTTTTAATCCTTTAAACATTTCCCTCCACTTTCTTCTAGCTTGCATGCTTTTTGGTGAAAAGTCTGCTGTAATTCTTATGCTTGTTCTTATACAGATAATGTGTTTTTTTCCATCTGGCTTCCTTTAGGATTATCTCTTTGTCTTTCATTTTCTGCAATTAAAACATAATATGCCCAGGTGTAGTTTTTGTTTTTTAAGTGTATTTATGCTTATAGATGTTTTCCAAGCTTCTTGGATCTCTGGTTGTGTGCTTTTAACTATTCTTAGAAAGTTTTTGGCCATTATTACTTTACATATTTATTTTATTTCTTTGTTCTCTCTTCTCCTTCGGGATTTTCCATTACACAAATATTTATCTTTTGAAATTGTACCACAGTTCTGGTTCTTTTCTGTGTTTTTATTCTTTTTTCCATTTTAATTTGGGGAGTTTTTATTGATATGTCTTCAAACTTACTGATTCTTTCCTTGATCATGTTCAGTCTACTGATAAATTCATTGAAGACACTCTTAATTTCTGTTACAGCTTTTTTGTTTCTAGCATTTCCTTTGATTCTAAAAGTCTCCATCTTTCTACTTACATTACTTTTCTATGCTTGCATTTGTTGCATTTGGCCTCCTTTTTCTATTAAGGCCCTTAACTATTGATCAAAATTTTTAAAAAGTGTGTTTTATTTTTAGAGCAGTTTTAGGTTCACATCAATATAGAGAAAAAGATACAGAGATTTCCCTATACCCTTGTCCCCATATACACATAACATCCTTCACTATTAAACTCCCACACATGAGTGGTACATGTTACAATCAGTGAACCTACTTTGACATATCACCACTCAACTTCCATAGTTTACATTACTACTTTCTTGGTACTGTACATTCTATAGGTTTGGACAAATTTATAATGACAGGTATCCAGCATTATAATATCATATAGGATAGTTTCAGTGCTCTAAAAATCTTCTGTGTCTTGCCTATATCCTACTGCCTAATATCTGGTAGGCATTGATCCTTTCACTGTCTTTATGGTTTTGCCTTTTCCAGAATCCAGTATGCAGAGTTTTCAGATCGGCTTTTTTATTTTTACTTAGTAATATGTGTTTAGGTTTCTTCATGTCTCTTGGCTTAATAGCTTATTTCTTTTTAGTGCTGAATAGTATTTCATTATCTGGATGTACCTTATTCATTTATTCATTCATCTACTGAAGGAAATCTTGATTGCTTCCAAGTTTTGGCAATTATGAATAAGCTACTATAAAACTCATGTGCAGGTTTTTGTGTGGACGTAAGTTTTCACCTCATTTTTATAAATATCAAAAAGTACAATTGCTGGATCATATGGTAAGAGTGCATTCAGTTTTGCAAGAAACTACGAAACTTTCTTCCAAAGTAGCTGTACTATTTTGCATTTCTACCATCAGTCAATGAGAATCCCTTTTATTCCACATTCTCACTAGCATTTGATGTTGTTAGTGTTTTTGATTTTGGCTATACTAATAGGTGTGTTGGGTTATCCTGATTTAATTTGCAGTTCCCTAAGGATATCTCATGTTGAGCATCTTTTCATATGCTTATATGCCATCTGTATATCTACTTTGGTGACACACCTATTCAAGTCTTTCATCCATTTTTATTTGTTATCTTATTTTTGAGTTTTGAAAGTTCTTTATATTTTTGATAACACTCCTTTATCAGATAAGTCTTTTGCAATATTTTCTTCCATTTTGTGGTTCATCTTCTCATTCTTTGGGCAACATTTTTGTACAGCAGAAATCTTGAATTTTAAGAGAGTCTCACTAATTAATTTTTTCTTTAATGGATTGTACCTTTGGTGTCAAATCTGAAAGGTCATTGCCATACTCAAAGTCATCAAGGTTTTCTTCACTGTTATCTTCTAGGTGTGATAGGTTTGCCTTTTTCATTTAGGGCTATGATTCATTTTGAGTAAATTTTTTAAGCCTGTAAAATCTTTGTCTAGATTAATTTTTTCACATGTAGATGTTTGATTGTTCCAGCAATATTTCTGAAAAGACTACATTTTCTCCATTATATTGCTTTTGCTACTTTGTCAAAGGTCAGTTGACTACATTATGTTTGTCTTTTTCTGGGCTCTCTATTTTGTTCCATTGATCGATTTGTCTGTTATTTTGCCAATTTCACACTGTCTTGATATTGTAGTTTTTATAGTAAGCCTTAAAGACAGGTGGAAGCAGTCCCCCAATTTTACTCTTCTTCTTCAATATTGTGTTGTCTATTGTGGTTTCTTTTGCATTCCTATATGAATTGAAAATCATTTTGTTGTTATCCATAGAATACCTTGCTTGGATTTTGACTGGGATTATGTTGTATCTATAAATCAAGTCAGGAAAAACAGATATCTTGGCTATATTGAGTCTTCCTATCTATAAAAATGAAATCTCTCTTCATTTATTTAGTTCTCTTTGATTTCAGTCATCAGAGTTTTTGTACTTTTCTTCATGTAGATCTTCTGTATATTTGTTAGACTTATACATATATGTTTTATTTTGGGGGGTTCTAATATAAGAGGTGGTATCATAACACTTAAAATTTAACAAATTATTGGTATATAGAAAAGTGTTTGATATTTATATTTAATTTAGTATCCTGCAAATTAGGTTATTTGCAATTTTTTATTGATTCTTTGGAATTGTACATGTTGATGAACATGTGATCTGTGAACAAAAACAGTTTTTTTCTTCCATCTTAATCAGTATACCTTTCATTTTATTTTCTTGTATTATTGAATTAGCTATGCCTTCCTGTACAATGTTGGAAAGGAGGGGTGAGAGGGTACATCTTCATCTTATTCCTAATGTTATCAGTAAAGCTCCTAGTTTCTCATCATTAAGTACAATGTTAGTTGTCAGGATTTTTTTTCCTAGATTTTTTAAATTATGTTGAGAAAATAACCTGCTGTATTCCTACTTTGCTGAGAAATATCACGAGTGGGTGTTGGATTTGGTCAGTTGCTTTTTTGCATCTATTCATATAATCTTGTGAGTTTTTTCTACCCTGTAGATGTGCTAAATTTTATTAACTAATTATTAAATGTTGAACCAGCCTTGCATACCTGGGTCAAGATGTATAATTTTTTATACAGTCTTGGACTTTTTATACAGTCTTGGTATCTGATATTTTGTTGAGGATTTTTGCATCTCTGTTCATGAAAATAATGGTGTATTGTTTTCTTGTAATGTCTTTGGTTTTGGTATTAAAGTAATATAGTCCTCACTGAATGAGTTAAAAAGTATTCTCTCTTCCAGTATCTTCTGAAAAAGATTATAAGAGTTGGTATAATTTCTTCCTTAAACATCTTGTAGAAGTCACCACTGCTTCCATCTGGGTCTAGTGTTTTTGTTTTCGGAAGGTAATTAATTATTTCTTCAATTTCTTTAATAAATACATGTTATTCAAACTGTCTATCTCCCATTGTATGAGTTTTGGCAGATTGTGTCCTTCAAATAATTGGTCAATACTATCTAGAGTATCAAATTTGTGGACACAGTGTTGTTCATAGTATTTTTGTATTATATTTTAATGTCCATGGGATCTGTAGTGATGTCTGCTCTTTCATTTCTGATAATAATTTGTGCTATTGCAGTTATTTTAAATCTGCTGTGCTATAATTCCAAAATTTGTGTCATATATGTTTCTTATATTTGCTTTGTCTCTTGAAATTATAGGTTTTTGTTCTTGTCTTCTAGTGTGCCTGGCAATTTCCTTTTATATATTTTTTTCAATGTTGTATTGAGCAAAAGGAAGTGAGGTAAATAGGTCTTAATGTGAAGTTCTCTGTTAACCGTGTTTTCAGGTTTGAGCCCAAGCCGAGGTCTGAGGGGAGTCAGTGGGTTGGTGGTGGGTAGCTGGATAAACACTGGAGGAATCATAGGTAGTTGCAACATGGCTTTATTCTCTCTCTGGTCACAAGCTGTATGTACAGCATTAGCAGGGTAATTATACCTTTTACAGACAATAGTGGCTCTGAGCCAACCATGAGCTCCCATGAGTGGTTACCTAATGTGCCTCATGTGGCATGGTTACATAATGTGTAAGGTTGGCACCTGTGCTCCAAACTTGCTGAGTCATGCTTCCCCAGAAGGCTGCCTCAGCTTACTCCTGACTAAAGTGTAGCCATCTCCCTTATACTCCATCCCCTAGGCCAAGGGTGTCTTCTGGGTAGGGACATGTGCCCATAGGGTGGAGTCCTGAATCCATAACCAACAAGAACAATACAGAGAGCAACAGCTCACTACCTGGATCCCAGGTATGCTACTTATGACTACTAGGGTCGAGCATAGGCCAGATCTCAGGGATGCCCACCATCTCTGCAGGGGATCATCAGTAAGGCTCTCAACTGCCCTTATCTCCCTTTATCTCCTTGCAGGGCTGCTGTTATGTTCTGATTGTCAGGGATAAAGGTACACCTTGCAGGGCTGCTGTTATGTTCTGATTGTCAGGGATAAAGGTACAACATTGTGCTCCTAAAAGGACACAGGTGCCTCCTTTGGCAACAGTTACTATGTTTAAGACCATTTGGTTTTACCACACCACCTTTCTGATCTGATCAGCCTCATCTGTTAACAGGAAGAGGGCCACTAGGGTATAATTCAGAGCATGAGTGGTGTGGTCTGCAAGAGCAGTAATTTGTGCTTCTATAGTTATGACACCCACTATAGGGTAGTCACTGCTAAGGGGCAGGGGGCTCAATGCACTCACAAAATCCGAGAGCATAGCACCTCCCAGTTATGCTGGTGTCTGCACAACGTGGGGAGAACAGTGGCAGGTACATAAGGCCACCCCCAGGTACAACATCCAGTCCAGTTCACTGGTAGGTAAGGCAACCCTGTGTCCCCACAGATCCATCAACTCTCAAGGAGCACAAAGTCCTTCAGGGCCCGACCTTGGTGGGGCCACTTGTTCCATCATACCTTTGGTGTGGTGATGTGTTATGCTTACACAGGCTGTGACAGGTATCCATCTCACAGTGGTATTACCCCAATGTTGATCTATTCACCATGGTGCTTGGGCTGGGGGTACTACATGTTCCCCCACTAGACAGCCCCACCCATCATAAATGCTACCGGTCAGCCAGGGAGCAGGCACACTGTGGAACTTGCTTTGTCCAAAGCTTGCCACATTCATTCCAGGAGTCAGCCATGGGACCCCATATCTCCACCCATGTCCAGTTCTCTGCAGACACTGAATGTATGTGCCAAGGCAAGCCATTCATGGCTGTTGTTGGAGGGGTGGTGCAGATCCAACTGTTGGAAATATTGGTCACTGCAGTGTAGGTGTGGACCCAGTCCATGATACAGGTGGAGCGTGTTAACCTGCAGTCAAAATGACAGATCAGGCACAGGTACTAACAGAGGTAAGTTACCTCTCTCAGGCAAAATACAGGCTAAACTTTCATCCCTGAATAACAACGCAGCCACCAAGGGCTTTTGCCCTGGGTAATGGTACCACAACTTCTCAGCTCCCAATTGTTCCTTTGGGTCCTGTATCTGTGACAAAGTCATGGGGGAGCTCATAATAGGCCACACAGACTGTACATACGTCCCCCGGAGGAGGGTTCCTTCTCTCTTCATTCCCCTATGAACAGTCAACCACAAGGGCCATGTATTAAACACCCAAGTAATGGCATGCAAGTCATACTGTAGGCCCTCCCCTCAGTGAGCTACGATGACCAACCACTGGCAGTGGGGGGCTTGGAGGGTCCATAGCCACAGCTAGGTTTTTGTTCCCCTGGTTTCAGGGGCATTGGGGCAGGCAAGAAAAGGTTACCATTCTTCCCCATACCTGGTCAGAGGAGGTCATCCTTGGTGTGTATCTGCAACTGAATGGGGACAGCGGCCCTATGTAACGAAGCCTCCACTGGGGCTGGGCTGCCTTTCTGTGGCCATTCATTCAAGGTTTGGCTCACCAGGTCCAGCCTGGAACTCCAGCCCCACAAAGATGGGGGTATGGCATGCAAGTGTAACTCATCCTTCAGGAGCCCATTATATCACTCAGTCATACCTGCAGCTTGCAAGTTGTATGGCACATGAAATACCCACGTTATGTCCAATTGTTGTGCCCACTGTTATACCAGTTGTCCAGTGAAATGTGTTCCCCTATCACTCTCAACAGCCAGAGGGTTACCATACAGGATACATAAATGTTGCAGGGCCTGGATGGTGTGCTGTTGGTGGGACACCCTGCAAGCGTAGGCAAACAACAGGCTTGTGGCCATGTCCACAGCTGTCAGCACATGCATATACCTTGCGACTTCGGCAGCAGCTTGATGTAGTCTACTTGACACCTGGTCAAGGGCACTTGCCCTATCGTCACTTTTTGTGTTACACTGGGCAGCTGCCTCCATTTAGGGTATATATGAGCACATGCTGGACATTTCTGACAAGTCTCTCAAATGTCTTACATGGACAAGGACAGACCCCAACGCTTATTGACCTGTTACATCAGTTCACCCCCCACATGTCCCAGTTTCCAGTGTAGCCACAAGATGCTCTTCCATTTCGGAGATGGAACAGGAGATACAATCTCCTCCCTTGTTCCACAGATTAAGCATCCAGGCGGACAGGGGTTCCCCTGATGCTGGCGGCACCGCTTGCCTGATTCCTGCAACTCAATTGGGGTATAGGCAATATATGAAGTGTGTTGCATTATGGTAGGGGGTCCCTGAGCCCGCCCTTTGGGCCCCAATGTCTGTTCATGATCTACCTTCTGACGGACCACTGCACGAGCCCGCAATGGGGGTTCTTTCTCCTCGGTATCGGACTGAGTGGGGGTCTCCAGCCAAGATGATGGCCCCAGGCCTGCATTCAGAGCGGCCTCTAATACTTTTTCCAAGCTCTGAAGCTGAGCCTCTAGGTGCCCGCCTGAGCCGGGAGGTCCCTTACCTGTGCTGATCCCTCAGGAGCTGGGTGTGTACTTCTTGTAGCACAGTCCAAAATGCCCATCCAACTCTGCCGGCAAAGGCTCACTCTTTCTCACTGCTCTGTGCTTCCAGCTGCTTCAGTGCCTTCTCCATGTTCATAGGGGACCCATCTATCGCTGCCCAGGTTTCCACCAGAGCCCATCTGACCAGTGCAGCTGCCACTGGGTACCGCAACCCATGTTTCGGCCACATGGCTGAACAGGAATCAGCGGGGACTGAAGGCTCACTCACTTTGGGATGCTGCCAGCTATGCAGTTGTCAGGTTCGAGCCCAAGCTGAGGTCTGAGGGGAGTTTGTGGGCAGGTGGTGGGTAGCTGGAAAAACACTTGAGGAATCATAGGTAGTTGCAACATGGCTTTATTCTCTCTCTGGTCACAAGCTGTATGTACAGCATTAGCAGGGTAATTATACCTTTTACAGACAATAGGGGCTCCGAGCCAAGCATGAGCTCACATGAGTGGTTACATAATGTGCCTCATGTGGAGTGATTACATAATGTGTTGGGTTGTGCACCTGCACTCCAAACCCACTGAGTCACGCTGTGCTGGAAGGCCACCTCAGCCTACTCCTGACTAAAGCACAGCCATCTCCCTTACATGTGCTGTGAGTTAAGCTGGGTTTAATATTTGCTGTAGCTGTATGTTCCAGAGGCTTCCATTTCCTCTATTGTCCTTATTTTTATCTCCCTTGTTGATGTGGGGATTTCATAGGTACTTTTCCTGAAAGAAAACTTGTGCCTTACAAAATTTCAGCTTTAATTTCTATTATTATACTGTACCCCATTGGTGTGGTGTCAAGGTGTGAGAAGAGAAAGCATTCTATAATTTCACCATTAAATCTCAGTCTTCTTTTAGTAAACCTGTGTCCATGTGATGTAACTTACACAGCAGATTTTAAGCATTTTCCTTCTTAAGGTGAGATAGGAAGAATCTAAGGGGCTAGTGTAGGAGAAATGTAGTTCCCCTCAGATGGAATAATAATCTGGTAAGGCCAGGCATGGTGGCTCATGCCTGTAATCCTAGCACTTTGGGAGGCCGAGGTGGGCAGATCACGAGGTCAAGAGATCCAGACGATCCTGTCCAACATGGAGAAACCCTGTCTCTACTAAAAATATAAAAATTATCTGGCCGTGGTGGTGCACGCCTGTAGTCCCAGCTACTTGGAGGCTGAGGCAGGTGAATCATTGAACCTGGGAGGTGGAGGTTGTAGTGAGCTGAGATTGCACCACTGCACTCCAGCCTGGTGACAGAGCGAGACTCCATCTCAAATAATAACAATAATAATAATAATCTGGCAAAATATTTTCCCATGAAGAGAAAACCTAATCAGGTTCCTGAAGGAAGAACTCAAAAGTGTGGGAACAGCCTTACAACTACATTCTTTCAGGAGTTTCTCTTTCTCATTTTCATTATAGTCAGCTTCTAGCAATTCATCAAAATTATCGTCAGGTGTTCCTACTAGTGTACTATTCCCATGGCTTCCACCCCAGATAAGCAAATGCTGGCTGTGACTTTCTGGATTTGCCTGTCTCTTTAGATTGTGGGGATGTGGTTTTTTCTTGCAACATCAATTCTCTCATGGGTCCAAGAAAAGTCATTGACTTTCATTTTGTTTATTTATTTTTATTGTAAGAATGGGAGTGATGTCTCTTAAGCTCTTTACAAATCTGAGCTGAAACCAGAAGTCTCCATAAGATTTTTATTTCTGTTTAACATGGCAGATTCTGGAGAATATAAAAACCATTACCACCAATAACAACCAAAGAAACCCAGTTATTAATTATCTAATATGCCTCAAGCTATTCTAGGTTTTGGCTGTGTAGTATTCTTGAGCACAACTGGATTAAAATCAGGTATTGCTTCATTATAACTTTTACTCCTTGGTTCTGTTTACCTGAATAGGGCTCTAAAAAAAATCATAACAGTAATAACCTTTGATTGCATATAATTTAGCAGTCATTTTTAAACAGAGTCTTCTTAGAGTTGGAAGGTAGGGCACAGTGGGGATATTGTGGAATACCTTCATTTTTTACCAAGAGTATTTGGATTTTAAGCTCACACTTACTTTAGTTAGCACACTGCTTATCCCTATTTCCATTTACTCTCCTACTTTTAACTGAGTCATTTCTAAAGGAGATACAGACCTACTAGTATTAAAAAGTGAATTATACTAAGAGATAAGAAATAAAACCTCTGCCAAAGTTTCACAGATAGTTAAATCTGTGACAACAATCATTTATGTCAGCAAATACTATTTTCCCATTAAATTAGTTACTCATTTATTCAGCAAGCACTCCTTAGTAGCAACTTTACTCTGAGTTCTGTTTTAGTTATGACAATAATTAAAACATATTTCTTACTGTTGATATCAAAATCTATTATTGAAGATGTACATATTAACAAATTAATCTAATACATAATGGTAAACTGAATGTTAGTTAGAAATATGTACCAATAGAGCAAATATTTACAAGAACCACATACTATAAACATTAATACCTTTTATTTAAACCATATTGTCCACTTGTCTTGTTATGTGTTATAAATGTATATCACTCATACATACGTTTTCCAACTCTTAAACATTTGTTTTTTTCACTCAATTATTTCCAATTTTACTTAAATGCATACTAAAACATAACCTCAGTGAGCACAGGTTAACGTTATTTCTGGGGGTCACATTGGTCCATAGGGGATGAATAGGAGATAGGCACCTTTATCTAATTTTGCTCATGGATGGTATCCCACATTGCAATTTATTATACTTTACCTTGTTAATTCTAATGTTAGAGAGAGCTGATACTCTTGGGTCTTATAATCAGAACTATTTTTTCCAGATGGCAACAATGTATATATAAGTAATGTGTATATATGAGCTTGCATATGGATATGTTTGAAGGAATCAAAATTGGAAGATGATGAGAAGAAAGTAGAAGACATTTCTATGAATCAATTTTAACATCCTTGTTGATTCTGTGTTTTCAAACATTGGGTCTTGTCATTTGATACTATTAATGAGAAGATAAAAGAATAACTTGTAGCTAAGTATAGTTGCACACATTTCAAAACCATCTGGTTTTAATCTCAATAGACATCTGGAAATCTTAATTATATTTTAATAACTTGTTCTTAAAATAAATTATTGTTTTACTGTGATTTTCAAAACATGAAAGAATATATTTTGTAAATTATTCTTGTGTTAGGTGACTTTATAATGTGAACATTATATGCATAAATATTATAATATAGGTAGACCATTTGCAATCAGGTTCAGATTGTTGGTTTTTTTTTTTAAAGGAAAATGTAAAAAATAATGAAAATATGTCATTGGAGTGGTAGAAATCATTATGACAAAAAAGTTTGGAAACTTATTGTAATAAGTTCAGGAGATATAATGAGGATCAGGATTATAGTTGTGACAGTGGAAGCAGAGCGAATGACACATTGTACTTCAAGTCATGTAAAGGATGAAGTGGAGTTGAGATGATCTTAATAATGGCTATCATTTATTGAACATGTAAGTGTAGGGCATTGTACCAAAATATTTTCAAGCATCATTTTACTTAGTGATAACAATAAAAATGATATAAATACTATCCTTTTATTTTAGTAGATGTGAATATTAATTGTAAACATGAAATTATTTGTTCATTATTGAACAGTGGAATTGCTGGAAGTTGACCACAGTCAAACCTCAGAGACTCTCAAATAGTGGTTGCCACTGTTGCTATTGCACCATTTCAAGCCTAGATAACAGCACTGCCATTAAGCCAAGCATGTGGCAAATGAGAAATAGTATGTCTGGAAGGGATAATAATAAGTTTCACCCAGTGCTCCTTTATGTTTGAGAAGCCTATGAAATATCTAGCTGGATTTTTTTTTCATACAAAGTTAGAAATCCTATCTGCTCTATTACAATGACTGTCTGTAATGCATATTAGTGTGCACTCAATTGCTTAAGTAGGATATATACCATTACAATGCAGAATTGCTTTGACTTATAAGCAAATTTCCCTAGCATAGTAATGTTTTCCATCACAAAGAAGGCACAACTAAATACAATGTGCACTAACACAACTAAATACTGTACATGATGTCCATTCACTCTATTCTCCTTTGGCCCACAAGATCTTTCTTAGAGTGTTTATGGTAAGCGTTCTCTACTATGTTTGTAAGTTTTGATGTCTCCATAATTCAGCAAAGTCAACCTTTTCTTATACTACTGTAAAATTGCCTCTACCATTTTTAAGGCCAAATGTTACATTTTCTGGAATACTTTATTTATTGGGAATTTGACATCTCTTTTAAACTGCTAGCTATTTTTATTATTTTGTTAGTGCCCTGGTACAAAGTAATATAGCTTTTTAGTAGTCCACTTCAGTCACAGTTTTACCTTAAGTCCTGTTACTTTCAATGCGTGATTTTATGAATTATGAAGTGTGTTCAGTAACCCAAATATTGTGTTATAGCAGAAACACCTGAGTGAGTTTGACACATAAGAGAAATGCCAAGATTGATACATAAATTCAGGAGAAATGATCATATAAGAGGAAGTTGAAGTGATGGAAGTAAATCCTTCTTGAAGACAACTAGAAGAGAAAAGATCTGATGATAGAACTCTGGAGACATTTGCTGAGAGATTGAAGGAAGCAGAAATCAATGAGAGAATTGGCTCTTCTTGGCTCCTTTGTTCCTTGTATTATATATTCATTTATTCAAATAAATATTTACTGGGCGAAGTCCTCGAGAGAGAAGATTGCAAAAATAATGTAGTCATTTCTTTCATGCTGTTTTAAATTTTAAAATAAGCACATATTACATAAATGCTATCATTAAATCAGATTACCTTGAATTTTCCATTAGCTTCTTGTGAAGTTTATTTCCCACTCAGATGGGATAGGAAGCCCTACTGTAGGCTTCCTATAGAACCTGAAAGAATGGTTGGGTGGCATTGCTTTGGTTCCAAGGGCAGAAACTGGGATGTTCTGCTTGCCTGATTCATTTTCCAGTCTGCGTTTACCAGGTATAAACACCTTAAAGGGAGTCATCATTCCTCTGTACATTAGCCAAAAGACACAACAAAGCAGTAGGAACTAATATACTCTGTCCACCTCTTGATTTTCTTTTGGGAGGCACCAAGTCATTAAAGCATATATGTAAGTATTTGCATGCATTGATTGAGCTTGATAGGATAGTGCTGCTTGGCAACCAGTGTACTTATTTGCATTTATTTTTAGTAAGTTTTTTACAGCTCTTGCCAGTGTTTCCAACCATGATCAATGTGCTAGAATAGAGAATCTATCTGTCTCAGTCAGGCTGGTCTCTTTACATAAATATTCCAGGATATGTGTCTTCCATTTTCAGCCAACAGGATATATCCTTTAAATTTAAACTAAGAAATATTAGAGAATTTGGGGTGATAGATTCAATTGTGTAAAGCAAATTATTGATAAATATAGTACATTTGAATTTTATTGATTTTAAATTTATAGCATCAATTTGGTTAAATTGATTAAAAAATTTGAGGATTAAAAAAAATTTTATCCTCAAAAAGCACCCCTCTTGACACCTATATGTTATGAATATGATATAATTCAATTCTCATCTATGACATTGAACATGATTTTAGGGTCTTAATAATAAGATAATTAATTATTAATAGCTTAGGAAAAATAGCTTAGTCAAACTAAATAAATGTGTATGTACACACACATGAATATATACACACACACACTCACAGATGGAGAAATTTACTTGTTTGATATATTTACTTATTAGCTGTACCTTATCAAATAGTACGACTCTGAACTTAGGCTGAAAAATTACATTGATTATATACTGCCCAAAGTAGTTAGTATTTTTCCATTCCTGACCATTGAGAATATTATGCACTTGATTTGTTTTATCTGCAATGTCAATTTTTGTACTGATTATTATTGATAATAGTTTTGGTTTTAGCACCATCCCTACCAATATATTGATAAGAAGCAAGTTAAATCTATGGCATTTTATTCAGTTTGGAATTGGTCTACTTGGTGAGTGATTTTATGTACATTCTCACATCGGTTAATACAATTTAAGATTACTAGCCTTATTCAAATAGATAATTCTACAAGAAACACTTGTCAATATGGTCAAGTGGCATCTATAAGAAATAGGTCATTTAGAAAAGTGAAATGAGGAAAATATTGATATTTTTTAGATATAACCAAATGTGTTTTCCTTTATATTATGCCAAATTGTAATACACTGTGGCCACCACCATGAGCCTATGGGGAGTACTGCCAGGTTACTGCTGGTGTCCTCTTAAAGCCCAAGGGCTCTTCAGTCAGCTTGTGGTGAATGATGACTGACCTAGGACTCACCCTTTGGGGCAGTGGGCTCACATCTGGCTCAAGGCAGGTCCAGAAATGCCATCCAAGACTGAAGTCCTGAAGTTAGGGACCCAAAGAGCTTGCTTGGTGCTCTACCCCACTGTGGCTGAGCTGGTACCTAAGGTACCAGCTTTTCCAAAGCAGAAGTGGTCTCTCAACATAACCACCACAGCTGAGAATGTGCTGAGCTTCATTTGCAGTCAGCAAGTTTCACCCAAGTCCCATAGCATACTACCAGGTTAACACTGCTGGTTATAACCGTGGTTATTCAGAGACCAAAGGCTCTTTAGTCAGCAGTTGATGGGTGCTTCCAGGATTGGGGCCTTCCCTTAAGATAGTAGGTTTCTTTCTGTCCCAGGGTGTGTCTAGAAATGTCATCTGGGAGCTCGGGTCTGGAAAGGGTGTCTTAAGACTGACTGTTGCCCTATGCTACTGTTGCTGAGGTGGTATCCACAATGCAGGACAAAGACCTCTTTACTCTTTTCTCGCTTCTCCTCAAATAGAACTAAGGAGTCTCTTTTGGAGCCACAGGATATGCAGCCTGGAGTCGGGGGAGGGGTGGCAAAGCATTCCTTTAGCTGCCCCAGCTGGTGTCTCAGTAGGTTGTGTGGCCCCATCACTATCCACTGGCTCTGAACCAAATTCAGCACTGAGAACCACCTAGGAGTTGCAGTCTTTGTGGTCTAGACTGCCTTTAAGTGTGTTTAAAACCCCAGAGCCCTTTAGCTCATGGTGCTGAGGCTTACCAGAACTCAAGTTCCAACCGCTGTGATGGGCACTTGCCCCCTGGCTAGGGCTGGTTTAAATATTCCCTCCGTGAATGAGCATCAGCTGAGTTCAGCCCAGTTTGGCTTTCTACCATGAAAGGGCACTGCTGAGTTCAATGTAATGTCTATCCTTTGCTGCATTCTCCCCTTCCCAAGCATAGAGAATCTCTCTTCATTCTACAGGCCACTGCTGGGGGATGGGGGAGTAGTAGCATTGGTGATCCAAGACTGTCTGCTGCCCTCCTTCGTGCCTCTTTCAGCTATATGAAGTTAAAACTAGGCACTGTGAGTGCTCACCTGATTTTTGTTTTTGTTTATAAAGGGGTGTGTGTGTGTATGTGTGTGTGTGTGTTTGTGTGTGCGTGTAGATAGTTGTTAAATTGGTGTACTTGCAGAGGGAACAATCAGTGGAACTTGTATTTGGCCATCTTGCTCCACCCCTCCTCCATCGCTCCAGATTGTTTTTTATCACTGACTTGTGGGAATTCTATATGTATTCTGGATATGTTATTTATTGGAATATATGTGTGTGTGTGTGTGTGCATATGTATATATAAACACACACACACACACACACACACACGTAAATTACCATATATATACATATATAATAAATACTCTCTCCCAGCCCCAAGGATGCTTTTTTGCTCTCTTAATAATGTCTTTTGATGAACATAAATTCCAAATATTAATAAAGTAATATTTATTAATCATTTGATGACTAATTCTTCACTTTTTTCTGCTTAAGAATTGTTTTTATGATTATAAAAATAACTTCTTAAGTTTTTTAATTAATTTTTATTGTTTTAACCATAGCATTGACCTAGAATGCTATTGTAACATCTTGTGCAGGTGTATGTAAAGTCATCTGACCTCATCTATACAATTCCATTGGACAAATTTTAATTAGAAGACCTGTTGTGCAAGATGTAGGATTTTAATTTTAAAAATTAAAAATTTACTCAGACTCTGGTATAATTTAAGGCAAAATAAAGTAACTTCTTAATTCAAATAATTTCCTGTGCAAATATAGAAAAAGGATAAATAAATGTTGACTCTGAGATCAATGACAACTTCAAAGGTGTGCTGATATTTGAGTTGGAAATAGAAAGATGATAAATAATGACAAGAAGAGCATAATAATACTTAAGTACATTAAAAGCCAGGAAGTAATTTGGGCACTTTAGGAAATGTAAGTTAATAGGGGGATATTGAGAGATTAAGATCAAAAGACAATTTGAACAACCACAGAGAACATGTCAAAGAATCTGGTGTTTATTCTTTTGGCAATAAGTGGAATGGAAGTTATTCATGTTTGGGAATTAAATTATTTCAGTCACGTTTTAAAAAATTAACACAGGAGAGAATAAGATGTAAAAATTGAGGCCATCTTTCAAACAGTCTAATTGAGTGACCTGGACTATGATAGAACCAGTGGGAATGGAAAGCAGCGAGAGAAGTCGTACTAATTTAACAAATAAATATTGGTTAAGTAAAAATTACATTTAACTGACTGGAGACTAACTGGATACATGAGCTATGGCAAAAGAGATGTTTAGAGACAGTGTTAATTAGAGATGAAGGGTGTGGCTTAAATAAAAGAAGTTAGGATGGTTTGCTCCGACGAACGAAAGAAAAAAAAAAAAGATGTGATGGCTAATATTAAGTGTAAGCTTGATTGGAAGTGGAGAATGGTTCCTTGTGAACAGAAGTTGAACATGTTCAGTTGGTCCTGGAGATGGGCGAGCACCTGCATCCTTGAAGAGCTTTGCGACTGCCCTTCTCTGTATACCAGATCTTACAGTCACTGAAATGAAAAACTTAAATGGAATGGGAATAATTGGATTCTGAGGTGGCAGAGGCCAAGTGGCAGCACTCAATTGTCAAAGCAAGATGGTTGTAGTTACCATAATGGACAGCGGATGCAAAGCAGCAATCAGAATAGTCTGACTCCTGTAGAGCTCTGACAAGGGCTAATTAATCACAGTGTTCCTAGAAGTGAAATTGGTAGTAAGCCTACTGTATTCCTACTTAATTTGCATAAGCAGAAAACTTCCAGGTCAAGTGGACTAAAGAATAACTTGAATGATAGAAATAGAGACTCATGGCCCCTCAATCAATTTCCAGACTTGAACCAGTTTACAGACCCAAAACTCCATGAATGAAGGGGAGGCCCCAATTCACTTGAGGAAGGACCCCACTACACTACCGATAATTTATACTGTTAACCTTTCTCTCATCCTTCCCCAAGGACACTTCTGGCCTTTTACCAGGGTAACTGTGTTTTGAGAAAGGAGAATTATCAGACCTTTCAGGGACTACTGTACGCTGGTTCCGAGCTGACATTTATTCCAGGTAACTCAAAACTTCACTGTGGTCCTCCAGTTAAAGTAGGGGTTTATGGAGATCAGGTAATTAATTGATTTTTAGCTCAGGTTTGGCTTACAGTGGGTCCAGTCAGTCCCCAGAACCATCCTATGGTCATTTCCCCAGTGCCAGAGTGCATAATTGGCATAGACATGCTTAGCAGCTGGCAGGATCCCCACATTGGCTCCCTGACTGGTAGGGTAAGAGCTATCAGGTGGAAAGGCCACATGGAAGCCATTAGAGATGCCTCTACCTAGAGAAATAGTAAATCAAAAACAATGTCTCATTCCTGGTGGGATTGCAGAGATTAGTGCCACTATCTAGGACTTGAAAGATGCAGGGGTGGTGATTCCCACCACATCCCTGTTCAACTCTCCTATTTGGCCTGTGAAGAAGACAGATGGATCTTGAAGAATGACAGTGGATTATCACAAACTTAACCAAGTGGTGACTCCAATTGCAGCTGTTAATTTACACATCTCCTGGTACCTGGTGTGAAGCCATTGATTTGACGTATGCCTTCTTCTCCATTTCTGTCCATAAGGCCCGCCAGAAGCAATGTGCATTCAGCTGGCAAGACCAGCAACATACCTTCACTGTCCTACATCAGGGGTATATCAACTCTCCAGCTTTGTGTCATAATCTTTTTTGCAGACATCTTGATCACTTTTCCCTTCCACAAGATATCACACTGGTCCATTACATTGATGACGTTATGCTGATTGGACTCAGTGTGCAAGAAGTAGCAAATACACTAGACTAATTGGTGAGACATTTGCATGTCAGGGGATGGGAAATAAATCCAACTAAAATTCAGGAGGCTTCTAGCTCAGTGAAATTTTTAGGAGTCCAGTGGTGTGAGGCCTGTTGAGATATTTCTTCTAAGGTGAAGAATAAGTTGTTGTTTTTGGCCCCTCCTACAACCAAGAAAGAGGCATAACCCCTAGTGGGCCTCTTTGGATTTTGGAGGCAACACATTCTTCATTTGAGTGCGTTACTCCAGCCCATTTATCAAGTGACCCAAAGGGCTGCCAGTTTTGAGTGGGCTCCAGAACAAGAGAAGGTTCTGCAACAGGTCCAGGCCACTTGGGCCATATGATCCAGCAGATCCAATGGTGCTTTAGATGTCAGTGGCAGATAGGGATGCTGTTTGGAGCCTTTGGCAGGCCCCCATAGGTGAATCATAGCAAAGGCCTCTAGGATTTTGGAGCAAGACCCTGCCATTTTCTGCAGATAACTATCCTCCTTTTGAGAGACAGCTCTTGGCCTGTTACTGGGCTTTGGCAGAAACTGAACGTTTGACTATGGGTCACCAAGTTACCATGTGACCTGAACTGCCTATCATGTACTGGGTACCTTCTGACCCATCTAGTCATAAAGCTGGGCATGCACAGCAGCATTTCATCATCAAATGAAAGTGGTATATACATGATCAGGCTCGAGTAGTTCCTAAAGGCACAAGTAAGTTACATGAGGAAGTGGCTCAAATCCCCATGGCCCTCACTCCTGCCACCCTGCCTTCTTTCCCCCACCCTGCACCGATGGTCTCACTGGGAGTTCCCTATGATCAGTTGATAGAGGAAGAGAAGACTAGGGCCTGGTTCACAGATGGCTCTGTACGATATGCAGGCACCACCTGGAAGTGGACAGCTGCAGCACTACAGCCCCTTTCTAGGACATCCCTGAAGGACAGCAGTGAAGGGAAATTTTCCCACTGGGCAGAGCTTTGAGCAGTGCACTTGGTTGTGCACTTTGTTTGGAAAGAGTAATGGCCAGATGTATGATTATGTACTGATTCGTGGGCTGTAGCCAATCATTTGGCTGGATGGTCAGGGACTTGGAAGAAGCATGATTGGAAAATTGGTGACAAAGAAATTTGGGGAAGAGGTATGTGGATGGACCTCTCTGAGTGGTCAAAAACTGAAGACATTTTTATGCCACGTGAATACTCACCAAAGATTGACCTCAGCAGAGGAGGATTTTAATAATCAAGTGGAGAGGATGATTCGTTCTGTGGACACCACTCAGCCTCTTTTTCCAGTCATCCTGTCATCGCCCAATGGGCCCATGAGCAAAGTGGCCATGGTGGCAGGGATGGAGGTTATGCATGGGCTCAGCAGCATGTACTTCCACTCACCAAGGCTAACCTGGCTATGGCCACCACTAAGTGCCCAATCTGCTGGCAGCAGAGACCAACACTGAGCCCTTAATGTGGCACCATTCCTCAGGGTGATCAGCCAGCTACTTGGTGGCATATTGATTATATTGAACCTCTTCCATCACGGAAAAGGCAGTGGTTTGTCCTCACCAGAATAGACATTTACTCCAAATATGGGTTTACTTATCTTGCATGCAATGCTTCTGCCAAGACTACCATTTGTGAACTCACAAAATGCCTTTTTCACCATCATGGTATTCTACATAGCATTGCCTCAGACCAAGGCATTCACTTTACAGCTGAAGAAATGTAGCAGTGGGCTCATGCTTATTGAATTCTCTAGTCTTACCATGTCATCCTGAAGCAGCTGGATAGATAGAACAGTGGAATGGCCTTTGAAGTCACAATTACAATGCCAATTAGGTGACAATACTTTGTAGGGGTGGGGCAAAGTTCTCCAGAATGTTGTTTATGCTCTGAATTGGTGTCCAATATATGGTACTGTTTCTCCCACAGCCAGGATTCACAGGTCCAGGAATCAAGGGGTGGAACTGGAAGTGGCATAACTCACCATCACCCTTAGTGACCCATTAGCAAAATTTTTGCTTCCTTTCCCCATGACATTATGTTCTGCTGGCCTAGAGGTCTTAGTTCCAGAGGGAGGAATGGTGCCACCAGGAGAAATAACAATGATTCCATTAAACTGGAAGTTGAGGTTGTCACCTGGCCACTTTGGGCTCCTCCTTCCTCTAAGTCAACAGGCTAAGAAGAGAGTTGCAGTGTTGGCTGGGGTGATTGACCTGGACTAACAAGATGGAATCAGTCTGCTACCCCACAGAGGGGGTAAGGAAGAGTATGTGTGGAATACAGGAGATCCCTTTGGGCGTCTTTTAGTATTGCCATGCCCTGTGATTAAGGTCAATGGGAAACTACAACAACCCAGTCCAGTCAGAACTACAAATGGCCCAGACCCTTCAGGAATGAAGGTTCGGTTCACTCCACCAAGTCAAAAACCATGACCCTCTGAGGTGCTTCCTGGAGGCAAAGGGAATACAGGACGGCTAGTAGAAAAGGGTCATCATCTGTACCAGCTATGAGTACAAGACCAGTTGCAAAAACAAAGACTGTAATTTTCATGAGTACTTCCTCCTTATTTTGTTAAGAACATGTTTTTGCATGTATACTCTTGTACTAAGAAAATAACTTCATTTTATTTCCTTTCTTTTTCCTTTATCATGTGACATGAGATTTATTGGCTTCATATCACCATTTAAGTGTTGTTAACTGAATGTAATAGCATTAAGGTTAAGGATTAGTCCCCTTCAGTTTGTATGAAGGGTAGCTGTATTATGCTAGGTATAAGGCCCTTTTATTGTTTTTATTTGGAGATAAATTATGATTTCAGGAAATGTGTATGGGTTCAAGCTGACATGGGGTTGAACTTGTGATGGTTAATATTAAGTGTCAACTTGATTGGATAGGAGGATAAAAGTATTGTTTCTGGGTGAATCTGGGTGTTTCTGGGTGTTGCCAGAAGAGATTAACATTTGAGTCAGTGGACTGGGAGAGGAAGACCCACCTCAGAAAGACCCACTCACAATGTGGTTGGGCACTATTTCAATCGACTGCCAGCATGGCTGGAAAAAGGAGGCAGAAGAAGGTGGAAGAAGCTGACTTGCTGAGTCTTCAAGACTTCATCTTGCCTCCATGCTGGATACTTCCTGCCATTGAACATCAGACTCCAAGTTCTTCAGCTTTTAGACTCTTGGACTTACACCAGTGGTTTGCCAGGGGCTCTTGGGTGTTCAGCCACAGACTGGAGGCTGCACTGTTGGCTTCCTTGCTTTTGAGGTTTTGGGACTTGGATTGAGTCACCACTGGCTTCCTTTTACCTCAACTTGCACATGGCCTATCTTGGGGCTTCACCTTGTCATCATGTGAGTCAATACTCCTTAATAAGCTACCTTTCATATATACTTATACACTATTAATTCTGTCCCTCTAATTAGTCCCTGACTAATACACAAGGTAAGATTTAATTGAAAACTTGAAATCTGTGTTTTCTGTAATAATAACTACCATTTATTCATAAAACACATGCTTTTTGCTTCCAGGATGCAATGCCACTCAGTCCTCACAAAATAATTATAGGGAAATGTTAGTATTAACATTAAACAGATAAGAAATCTGTGGCTTACAGAAATTGTGTAATTTGTCCAAAGTCCCCTAGTTAGTAAGTGGCAGAATCAGGATTCAATCCCTTTTTTCATTTCTCATGCTTTTTCTGCTGATGTTCACTTTGTTGTTGTTGTTGTTTTTTGTTTTGTTTTGTTCTGTTTGTTTTTGAGACAGTGTTTTGCTCTTTGTTGCCCAAGCTGGAGTGCAGTGGTGCGATCTAGGCTCACTACGACCTCCGCCTCCCAGATTCGAGTGATTCTCTTGTCTCAGCCTCCTGAGTAGCTGGGAATACAGGTGCCCACCACCAGGCCCAGCTAATTTTCATATGTTTAGTAGAGATGGGGTTTCACCATGTTGGCTAGGCTGGTCTAAAATTCCTGACCTCAGGTGATCCGCCCGCCTCGGCCTCCCAAAGCACTGGGATTACGGTCATGAGCCACAGCGCCCGACACACTTTGTATTCTAAATGTATGTTTGGCAATTTGTTAAATGAATGCTTAACTGAGTAGACCATTTATCATGTGAATGAACATGGAAGGAATGAATAGCACCTTAAATAATCACCAGAACCCATCCATACCCTCCCTTTAGTTACAACTACAGATGTGTGGGAAGACCAGACAAAAAGTCAGGAAGGTAATCTCATTACGTGTATGTGAATGCTGTCTTTTACCATACTCTGTTCTTTTAAATTTCCATGCAAGAGAGCTGTCGATTATACAAGTACACAATTTTGTTTCATATCAGATTATGAGAAAGAAAACTACATTTCATTGAAAACCATTATTTCTATGCTAGTCTGAAATTTTATAGTTCTTACATATCCTAATAATAAACATAAATTTGATTCCCTTGAATTCTCAAATCTGGGATTACCTGAAAACCCTGACAGGCTCAGCACCATCGTTGTCCTTACTTTCTGGGTAATGAAGGGGGTCTGATGAAATACCTCAGGAGACCTGTAATGAAACCCACCAAGCATTGAGTCCAACTCTTGTACTCATGAAGCTTAGGATTCATGTCTAATAACTGGGTTTGGGGATTGGTTTTCTGGTGCTCCAGTCCTTTTCTACAAGTATCTGGGTCTCAGTGCTTTAGTTTCTGTCTTATAAATGATCCTTTACCTTGGTCCCTCCAATATTAAGGCCTTGTCTTCACTTTTCCCAGGGCTCCAAAGGACTGAAATCGCAATATGCCTATGCCATCTGTTCTTCATAATACATATTGACTACTTTTCTGTGTCGCCACATGTTGCCCACTCTTGGACTTTCTGTTACTAGTCACAGCTCACCTGCAAAGGTATCCAAATCTCACTATATTCTGAATAAGTTGGCTACCTCACCAGACCACTGCAAATCACAGATTCCACTCTTCTGTTTGTTTGCTTTGAATTTTGTTCCACCATTGAGGTCAGGGAATATATGTTTTCTGTGTTTCTTTACTTTCCCATATTGCCTATATAATGCTATGTACATTTTTGTAAAAATATGTTTTACTTTGATTTATATAATTTTGTCTGATTGTAGAAAAATGACAATTACAATCCTAATCTCCCACTGAACTCCTCCATGGGTCAAACTCAATGACCTCTTCTACCTCATGTAAGATTGAAATATAATTTTGCCAGTAAAACACAAAATAAGTACTATATAAGAGTATATTCACTTTATTTACTTAATAAATAATTACAAAAGTTAAATATTAGTTTTTTTATCTGTAAAATGGGAGAAAAAATAATTTTCACTTTGTACAGTTATTATGATAATTACATGGGTTTGGGTTAGTACATATAAAGGGTTTAGAACAGTGCCTGGAAAATATCATGTGTTCAATAAAGGTGAATTAGTTTACCTATGCTTATTCTAATTTGGGTAAAAGACTTGTACAGTACTGGGCACTTTGTAGATACAGAGCAAAAACTTTGAGTTACCGATTTTAAAAGTAAACTTAACTTTAGTTAGTGATTTCTACAGAATATTTAAAATCGCTGTTTAGAAAGAGTATTTTCCAACAAATAAAAAGTAATTCTGACTCAATTTTTTATATTAAAATCATGTATGAGCCAAAAATAAAATAAATAATTCAACTTATAGAGTTTAAATAAAAATAAGTATTAGCATATTTATTATAACTGCAATGCCTGGTGCTTTCTCTAAATCTAAAAGAAGAATTATTTTTATGTCTTCTAATACCGGGATTCAATATCAACCTACAAAGCCTTATTATGAGCAAATGCTAATAAATTCAACTGTGGTTATAGTGCATAACATGAAGTAATAGCAAATCTTGGATATTCTATTTTTTGTAATACCAATATAATGTCCCCTTTATTTTCAATTTTATACAAACAGGACTTTTTATTATTTTTTACCTAACTGGTTTAAGTAAATTAAAAGAATTTTGCTTTTATTCTGTAAAATTTTTTTCAATGGTAAAAAAGTGAAAACATACATCAAAGACTCATAAAAGTTCAATAAAGGAACAAATGTATTTGTATTTTACATATCAGTATAAAATTGGGAAGAAATGCACAACGATCTCTTAAATTTTCCCCTCAAAGTATTTGTTCATACCTTAAACATTTGATTTTAAAACATTTTTCTCCTTAACTTAAGTAGTCTAAAACTTGAAATGGATCTATAACAATAATGGTGGCATCTGGAAGACATTTTTAGCAACAGACAAAGCCAAAAGTCAATGGAATGCAACATGTGGATAAAATATTATAACTTTAGCTATGTGGTTAGGTATTTAAATGCCCTTTGGCAGTTGATGCCTTTCTTTTGATATGCAACCTTAGAAAGCTAATGCTATTACTGCACTGATATATCCAAAATATTTACATCTTGACATCTATCATCGGATGTCATTACTTTCCAAGACTTCAACTAGATGGTATTGTATGTGATGAGAGTAGTTCTTTCATTTACTTAAATTTTATTATATTTGTGAATTAAACCCCTTGAATGTCCACAAATTATATGGTATTTGTTAAAAAACTTTGGGTAAATAATTCAGGAAATAGGTTTATTCTATGTTATGAAAGTCAAATGCAGGGTATCAGAGTAAATTTAAACCACTAGACCATAACGAAATAAAATGCAAATATGCTGTCTGAGTCTGCCTTTTTAATACGTGGAAGACTGCCCCAGAGAGGGAGTGAGAGGGAAGAGACAGATGGCATTTAATATTAAGGATGAAATTTGCTCTATCCCTTTGAAAGCCTCAGTCCTAAGTTTTTTACTTCATTCCCTTTTGAGATTTTAAAGTCTTTTTATAGAGTCTTCTTATGTATCTTTTTAAGCTTTCCATTTTTCTAATCTCTCTCTGTACAAATGTGTGGGCATATGTGTAATTTATCTATGTACTTATCTATGTTTCTTTATATCTATCTCTCTGCCCATCTAATTTACCAGTCCCTTTATCTGTTATCTACTTAGGATATACACACAAAAGAAATTAAGTGGAATATAGAAATTATCCAAATCTAAATAATTACAAGGGTAGTTCTGTAGTTAGGAGGAGAAAATAAAACTCTCATTTTAAACTGTGACTTTCTAACTAAAAACAATTTGAAGTGACTGTAATTCTTTATTTTACATTTCCTATCTCAAGAAGGATTTTTCTCTTCTCTTTTTTTCTTTTCCTTCTCTGACTTCACCTCAGCAGATGAGTCACAAAGGCAGTCTTAGAACTCTCTTCCTGTCTTAGGATTCTATCAACAGAAGCTGAGCTATTCCAGAAAGGGCCTACTAGACAGCCCTGCATCTTAAGAATATCATGCAGAATATTGAAGACGGACCCCTATCTTTTACCATTTATGAAAATTTACTCAACCTGGATCCAAGATTTTAAATGTAAGACCTCAAACTACAAAAATACATAAGGCAACCTAGGAAATAGTCTTCTAGACATCAGCCTTGGCAAAGAATTTTTGGCTAAGTCCCCAAAAGCAATTGCAACAAAAACAAAAATAGACAAGTGGGACCTAATTAAACTAAAGAGCTTCTACACAGCAAAATAAACTATCAACAGAGCAGACAGACAAACTACAGAATGGGAGAAGATATTTACAAACTATGCATCCAACAAAGGCCTAGTATCTAGAGTCCATAGGGAAATTAAATAAATAAACAAGCAAAAAAAAAGCCCCATTAAAAAATGGACAAAGAACATGAACAGACACTTCTCAAAACAAGATATAAAAGCAGCCAACACACAGGAAAAAATGTTCAGCATTATGAATCATCAGAGAAATGCAAATCGAAACCACAATGAGATACCATCTCACAGCAGATAGAATGACTATTATCAAAAAGTCAAAAAACAACAGAGGTTGGTGAGGCTGTGGAGAGAAGGGAATGTTTATTCACTGCTGGTAGGAATGTAAATTAGTCCAATCACTGTGGAAAGTAGTCTGGAGATTTCCCAAATAAATTAAAACAAAGCTACCATTTGACCCAGCAATTTTATTTCTGAGTATATACCCAAAGGAAAATAAATTATTTTACTAAAAGGACACAGGCATGAGTATGTTTATAGCTACACTATCCACAATAGCAAAGACATGGAATCAACCCAGGTTCCCATCAATGGTAGATTGGTGGTACGTATATACCACGGAATACTATGCAGCCCTAAAAAATAATGAAATCATATCCTTTGCAGCAACATGGATGCAGCTGGAAGCCATGATCCTAAGTGAATTAATGCAGGGAGGAACAGAAAACCAAATAATGTATATTCTCACTTAAAAGTGAAAACTAAACAATGAGCACATGCGGACATAAATATGGGAACAATAGACACTGTGGACTACCAGAGGGGAAAAGGTTCGGGGGAGAGCCTGGAATGAAAAACTACCTAGTGGGTACTATGCTCACTGCCTGAATGATGGGATCCATACTCCAAACCTCAGCATCAGGCAATATTCCTATGTAACAAACCTGGACATGTATTCTATGTTTCTAAAATAAAAGTTGACATTAAAAGAAGATATCATGGCGATTCCTCAAGGATCTAGAACTAGAAATACTATTTGACCCAGTCATCCCATTACTGCGTATATACCCAAAGGATTATAAATCATGCTGCTATAAAGACACATGCACACATATGTTTATTGCAGCATTATTCACAATAGCAAAGACTTGGAACCAACCCAAATGTCCCTCAATGATAGACTGGATTAAGAAAATGTGGCACATATACACCATGCAATACTATGCAGCCATGAAAAAGGATAAGTTCATGTCCTTTGTAGGAACATGGATGAAGCTGGAAACCATCATTCTGAGCAAACTATTGCAAGGACAGAAAACCAAACACCACATGTTCTCACTCATAGGTGGGAATTGAACAATGAGAACACTTGAACGCGGGGTGGGGAACATCACACACCAGGGCCTGTCATGGGGTGGGGGGATGGGGGAGGGATAGCATTAGGAAATATACCTAATGTAAATGACTAGTCAATGGGTGCAGCACACCAACATGGCACATGTATACATATGTAACAAACCTGCACGTTATGCACATGTACACTAGAACTTAAACTATAATTAAAAAATAAAAAAAATAAAATAAAAGAAGATATCATGAAGACAAAGAGCAGCAGCTGGACTCTTTTCATTATTCTTAATTTCTAAAATTCCGAATACTACTTTTAACCCCATGGTGGATTATTATAGCTCTTCTCTTTGGGCTACCCTACAGAAAACCCAGAATATAACTCAATACTTAGTTCTTGGACTGTTATCAATCCTCTGGCTCTTATTTCTCATTGAACAAGAAAGGAACTATTTCAAGACCATGACTATATTCTTGTTGCAGATTTTCTCTCACTTAACTGTCATGCTCTTGTAAAGTTAGAGGCTGACATTTTGACTGATCTGATCAAGGATGAGACGAATTCATTCTTTGTTTTGACATGGAGTCTCACTCTGTCACCCAAGCTGGAGTACAATGGCACGATTTTGGCTCACTGCAACCTCTGCTTCCCAGGTTCAAGTGATTCTCCTGCCTGAGCCTCCTGAGTAGCTGGGATTACAGGTGCGCGCCACCATGCCTGGCTAATTTTTTGTATTTTTAGTAGAGATGGGGTTTCACCATGTTGGTCAGGCTGGTCTCGAACTCCTGACCTCGTGATCCACCCACCCTGGCCTCCCAAAGTGCTGGGATTACAGGAGTGAGCCACCGCACCCAGCGGACAAATTTATTCTTTTCTTCAATGTTTTGATGTGGCTTCCAACAATTTTCCTCTTTTCTCAACTCTAGGGTAATAAAAATTGGCTTGGTGAGATTTATTAGTAAAAAATACTTACAGTCACTCAAATAGCATAGATGACATTTCTGTAGAGAATATGCAAAAATAATTTTCCTAGAAATTAGATAAGAGTAGAACTCTTACATTTTAACTACAGTTTCATATGTATTTACTTTTTCTTTTTTTTTTTTTTTTATTATTGAAACAAGGTCTCACTCTGTTGCCCAGACTGGGGTGCAGTGGTGTGATCTCAGCTCACAGCAGCCTCAGATTCCCTGGTTCAAGCGTTCCTCCCACTTCAGACTTCTGGGTAGCTGGAACTACAAGTGCATACCACCACACCAGCTAACTTTTTGTATTTTTTGTAGAGACAGAGTCTGATCCTGTTGCCCAGGCTGGTCTCGAGCTCCGGGGCTCAAGTGATCAGTCTACCTCGGTCTCCCAAAATGCTGGTATTACAAGCGTGAGCTACCAGGCACGGCCTTTTATTACTTCTTATTAAAAATGCTAATTTTTTTCCAGTTGTCTGCAATTGTTACCATACTCCATCAATAGAGTCAGCATCTAGAAGTAATAAAATCATCAGCTTACTAATACATGAACAACATACAAATAGAACTTTTTAAAAAGTATTTAATAATATGGATGATCCATCATATTTTGACTATTGTTTTGTATTTTAATTACCAATTTTTGAAAACGTTGCCTAGTTCTTCTCATTGTCTACCAACTAGAGACCACCTTCCTAAAAACGGAAAAAAGAGACCCTGCCCCCATAGCTAATAACTTAATTATATTAGCAATATTCTAAAATAAGTAATAAATGCTAAGCTATACTCAGATGAACAAAAGTCCTAAAATCATGTATTAACATATTGCCTATTAACATTTCTGCCACATTTGGGATTTCAAATGTATACTTACAGTGTGATTGGACAAACTTTTTCAAAGGACTTCAAAATTAAAGATAATCACAATTTTATTTAGCTTACAAAGATCATATTTAAATTCAATTTATTCTTATAAAAGCTATTCTGTAGTTTCTCCTTAAGATATAGCAATCCCAATTTAATATGTACTACCCTACCATCTTAAGATAGAAAAATATCTTAGCCAATAACTGGTTTTGGTAATGGTTTTAATGTTACAATTTTTAGTTGCATAAATATATTTATTGCTATCAAGTGGTCTCTAAAATATATTGTTTTAGAGAGGCAATATTATTTTACAATGTATTATTATATTACATAGGTAATATTTGGTGTGCATGTCTTTTTTTTTTTTTTTTTTGAGACGGAGTCTCACTCTCGCCCAGGCTGGAGTGCAGTGGCGCGATCTCGGCTCACTGCAAGCTCCGCCTCCCGGGTTCACGCCATTCTCCTGCCTCAGTCTCCCGAGTAGCTGGGACTACAGGCGGCCGCCACAGCTCCCGGCTAATTTTTTGTATTTCTAGTAGAGACGGGGTTTCACCGTGTTTGCCAGGATGGTCTCGATCTCCTGACCTCGTGATCCGCCCGCCTCGGCCTCCCAAAGTGCTGGGATTACAGGCGTGAGCCACCGCGCCCGGACTGGTGTGCATGTCTTATGAAGTGCTATAATGACATAAAAATCTTGCAAATGATTTTCTTTTGCATTTCCTAAAACCTAGGAATGTAGTAACAATATTCAAAGAAACTTACTTTAATTTTTAAAAAAAGTATATCAGAGAAGAGAATGAAACTTCCATTTTATCAACATGATGCATTAGACACAATAAACCACTGTCTCTGAAAAAAACTAAGACAGTAGACAAAATGCTTTTAAAGAACATAAGGTGAGAGAAAAGTGAGGAATCCTAAAAAGCCTGCAACTAAGAGGAAAGAGAACCCATAGTAATAAACAAAGCAATGAATCTCAATTCACTCAGGGTGATTGTCTATGTTCCTGATTTTGGGTTTTCTCAGCCTCCCAAGTTTGTTAACACTAAGCTTGTATTGTCATAACCTACCATGTTAGAACACAGGGCACAGAAAATATCCTAGGTGAGAAATCAAATAGACCTACTTCCCTAAACCTTGGCGTCTAAAAGGCTATTTCCTCTTTGTAAGGATAAACTAGGGGGCCGAGCATGGTGGCTCACTCCTGTAAATCTCAGCACTTTGGGAGGCTGAGCTGGGAACATTACTTGAGGCCAGGAGTTCTAGACCAGCCTGGGCAATATAGTGAGACCACGTCTCTGCAAAAAAAAAAAAATTAGCCAGTCATGGTGGCTGGCACCTGTAGCCCCAGCTACTTGGGAGGCTGAAGTAGGGGAATTGTTTCAGTCTAGGAGTTGCAGGGCACAGCTAGTTGTGATTGTGCCCCCACATTCTAGCCTGGGTGACAGAGCAAGGATCTGTCTCTAAAAAATTTAAAAAATTAAAGGACAAACTAGAACACGTCTTCCTCACCCTATTCGCAGCCTCATCAGGGCAGTAATAAGGATTGTCTTTCCTCAAATATTTGTATTTTTCGAGGAACAATAGAGTCCCCTGAGAATTTGTAAATTTAAGCCAATTTTCACTTAGGATTTCAGTCAGGATTGACAGCACCTAGGTGGCCCTAAAATATTCCAACCAATGATTGTTTAAACCATATTCATTCTGATAATTCCCCTAGATACTGGTGTTCTCAGTCTGTTCTCCCACTGCTGTAAAGAACTACCTGAGACTGCGTAATTTATGAAGGAAACAGTTATAACTGACTCTTAGTTCTGCAGGCTGTAGAGGGTTCTGCTTCTGTGGAAGCCTCGGAAAACTTACAATCACGGCAGAAGGCGAAGAGGAATCAAGCACCTCTTCATGGTGAGGGCAGGAGGAAGAAAGGGAGCAAAAGGAGAAGTGCTACACACTTTCAAACAACCAAATCTCATGAGAATTCATTGACTATCATGAGAACAGCAAGGGAGAAATCCACCTCCATGATCCAGTGTCCTCCCACCAGGCCTTCTTCCAACAATGAAGATTGCAATTCAACATGAGATTCGGGTGGAGGAAACAGAGCCAAACCATATTAATATTAGGCAGAAAAAACACATCTTTGGAAGATCCAACCTTCAATTCAGGCCTCGACATTTTCATAAATGAAGGTCTATGTTTAAAAATAATGTTTTAAATGAATTGAAAATATCATTAAAATGTAATAGACCATATAAATGGAACTATATGTGTGTATATATGTATATACATTTGTGTATATATGTATATACATTTATGTATATATGTAAATATACTTGTGTATACACACTTGTGTATATATACATACACACTTGTGTATATATACAACTTTTAGAGTAAAAACTATAATTATTAATATTAAGAATTCAACATTTATTATTAGAAGCAGATTAGACAAAGTTTGGTTTTCTCTCAGGTCCTAAGAGCCATCTGCATCTTGTGACAGCCTCCGTTTTCAAAGCCAGCAACAGAGTCTCCCTCATGTTTGATCTCTTTTATGCTTCTTACTTATTTTTCAGGAAGAAACCATTTCTTTTTCAGAATTAAGTCAATTTCTCCAAAGTTAATTTCTCTTTCTAAAGTCAATGGTGTCATATAACCTAATCATAAGGGTGATTATCCCATGGGATTACACAGGAGGTGTATAATCTCTGGGGACGAGGATCTGGGAGCTGTCATAGAATTCTGCCTGCCATAGATAATATGAAAGAGGAATTAAGCTACATGGAGAATAAACAATTTTAATATCTAATCACTGGAAAGGTGAAATATTGAGGAGGCAATATTTAAATAGCTACTGGTTGATAATTTTCAAGGAATTAATGAGAAAATTCTAATATTGCGTTATAGGAAATCAAATAACACCCAAGCAGCATAATTATACAGACATACACAACCAACCACAGAAAAAAAACCATAATGTTTGTACCAAATATCAAGGAAAAGGTATCTTAAAATCTTAAGCCACCAAAGAAAAAATTTACTACCTAAAAGGAAATGAATGACAATTGTTGACTACTTAAAAACGACGGAAGGTAGAAGGAGTATGAAAATACCCCCAAGTAATGAGATAAAATATCCATTCTCTAGCATTAAATACACTGTAAAATTTACTTCTCAGAACAAGAAAAAACAATTTTAATTTCAGAAGAAAAATTTCAATTAAACTCTAAACAACAGAGAGGATTGCCACCAACAGACCCTGAATAACGGAAATACCAAAGCTATAATTAAGGGGGGGGGGGAAATGGATCCCATTAGGAGATATGAGGTACAAGGAACAATGCTAAACAATGAGCATGGAAATTGGTATACATAGGGATACATACTAATACACATTTTATGTATAAAACAGTTAAAATTCTATAATATAATGCAATAAATAACTAAAAATAGGATGTGATTTAGAATAGAATGAACACAGCTTAAAGTGTTTTAATGTTCTCATAGTGATGTGATTAAGGATGAAATTGTTGGTTATTTTTGAATATTGATGAACAGAGTATGTATGTTAAATTTTTTAGAATAACCAAGAAGAGGATAGAAATATAACAGGTACTACAAATACTAGAAAAGGAAACTGTACCACGAGAAAGCAACGTTTAGTCATAAAAAAGTAAAGAACAATTTAAAAAGGAATAAAAAGGGGGATGAATATTTTATAAATAAATATTTATAAATATAGTACTTTATGAATAAATCCAAATAAATATACAATGACATCAATTAACTGACTCCTATAGCAAATATTATAGGCTATAGTTAAATAGAACCAAAAAATAATACTATATGTTGCTTATAAGAAACATATCTAAAAGGTAAACTAAGTTTGACCATAATAATTAATCTGATTAACAGTGAGTTGGGATAAAATCTCTGTAATCTGTTTTATGCAGCATTTAACTAAAGCATCCACTAACATGACTCTAAGCAGCAGTATGAGACCAAACTTCAGTGTTGACCTCAATCATGTTCCCCAGAGACAATGTCTGACCCAATCAGCTGAACAAAGGCCATAAATGCTCAATGTCTATCTTAGAAAGCTAGATGGCTTTCTGCTTAATTTTCTGTACTGACCTTTCTACTTGGCCTAAGACGTTAATCCAGATATAGCAGGATGTGTTAATGATTGAACAAATACTACCTTGGTCCACAAAGAAGTCTAGCTAGTTCTGTCACCAAAAACAGCCTTGTCCAATGAGTTGAGACTGATTTGAATGTCTTTCATGTTGGAGTTGATACCATTAATCACATCAGCTAAAATCAGGGACAAATTTTATACCACATCTTCTAACTGGACAATGTCCATGATAGGGATCATCCCCACAGAGCATGTAGCAATACCAAGTCAACTATACCAATGGCAAGTTCCCACTGGTCACCAGAGGTAGCTTCAGTCACTTGAGTACTACATATCTATGGACAGTATTGCCTTGAAGACTTTTGGTCTTTAATGTCTGTTATGACCATCCTTAATATGCAAATCATTGTGTTTTCAGTAGGGAGGCAAATTAATGCCTGACTTTAACAGTCCTACCTTCAGCATACCTGACATACAATGGTGAAACAGCGCAGGGAAATGCAACAAATACTCCTACTGGCAATTGAAAGAATCAGAGCAAAACAGCAGATAGTGGTCCTTCAAACTTCTGAGATCTTCTTGGGCAGATACTTAAATAGCTTGCCATCCTGGGAATGGGATATGTCTCATGTTCAGCTCTGATTCTGCTCCTTGGGAGTAGCCATTTTTATCCTCATTCTCTTTTGGTGATTCTTTCTTTTCCATTATCATCTTTAGCTACCTGTGAAGTGATTATGCAGTTTCACATGCTCTTTGGAGACTGACGAGCTTTTTCAACTTGCTTCCTACTCTTAGAAGGTTGACAGCCCAAAGATTGGTTATTTTGATTCTTATATATTTTTAGTCACAGATTCTGATAGCTCAGCTGGTGGTTTTATTGGCATTACAGCTGTCTACAATTTTTAGTAGATGTATCTAATTCTTCTTAGCTCCATGTGCCATAACTGTAGCCATTATTCTTTTTATAATATAATTCTTTAATCTTCTGTATTTTGTCTCCTTCCTCAGATTCTCCATCGAAAGATGGAGATTGTATCCATCAGGCTTTGTATCTATCAGGATTGTATCTATCAGGCTTCAGAAACAATACAGTTAAGTTTTAGGAACCACTTCACCCCAAACCCCATCCCAAACATTTTGGCTAATTGAAATCACATATTAGGGGCCACCTTAATTGATTCAAAGTTTTAACAATGAGTATGGTCTTTTTGACCACTGAGGAAGTTGAGATGTTAAGTAATTTACCCAAATCACAAAGCTAATAAGTGACAGATCTGGACATTGAACCTGGACAATGCCTATAGATGCTACACAGTTAAACATTGTGCTTCACTGCTTTTTAATGATGATGGCTATCATTTACTTTCCATAAAGCAGGCCAGATGTGAGCTATGTGGACACCTTCACACTGGCTACAGCTGAGCACAATCTATCAAGGAAGTTACTCAGAAGCTTTTACTCAAGATCATTATATTGTCACAGAATCTTTTGGGTGTTGCTTTTCCAGCTGGAAACCTCTGTGGCTGGTGGCACTTTTGCCTAAGTTTAGCTGGTGCCCTCTGGGCTCATTCTGCCCACAAGGCATGGCAGGTGGCTCTTGGCTCATGCTACTGGCCCAGATCCCATACATACTAGGGGCAAGCCAGGCATGGAGTGGTGAGGGGTATGTGAATGAGCAAGCACAGGGTCCAGCCACTGGGTACAGTCAGGCACGCTGACTGCTGCAGTAAGATGGGCAGCTCCAGGCACTGGCACAGGCACAGGCTCTGTGCAAGCCTGTGGCTGGATCAGATGCACCACAAACAGCTTCCACTGTGGGCACCTGCATCTGGACAAGGGGAACATGGTGGCACCTGGAAGCTTGGAGATGAGAGAAACTACAGAGCCCTAAAGTGGGTGTCATAGCCACGGCTCTGGGAGCCCCTAAGTTTGGGCTTCCTAAAGGGCTTCAGCTCTTCTGTACTCCTTGTTGCCTGTAACGTGGCAGGTTGAGAGGTGTGTTTCAGCCCTGTTTGTCTTACAGCAATTTCAGTCTTGCCTTTCAGAAGGTCCTGAGTTCTTGTCCTGTGCCCAGAATGCATGAGGTATGTGGACAACTGGAGGGTGAGCAAAGTGGAGAGGAGCTTTACCGAGCAACAGAACAGCTCTCAGGAAACCCAAAGTGGGTAGCTTCTTCCACAGGCATGTCATCCTGATGAGTGTCCAGCTCTCAACAGAGAGGAGACCTGGAGTGGGTAGCTCCTCTCTGCAGGCAGGCAGTCCTGATGAGTGCAGCCCTAAGCAGAGAGAAGACCCAAAGAAGTTAATGCCTTTCCACAGGCAGGTCGTCCCAATGAGTCGAGGAGACCCACAGCTGGTAGTCCCAAGATCTCTGTGAGCCTGGCTAAGTCCGGGGTGTTTATGGGCTCAGAAACGATGGAGTGCATGCTGAACCATCCAGGCGCAGCCATGGGTGGGCCCAGAAAAAGCACCTAAGTTCTCACTCCGGGCTGCAGACTCCACCAGGAACTGGCAGCCCGGCCCCCAGGCTTCAAGCTGTTCCTGGATTGAAGGAGGGTTTTCAGCAGAGACCTGCCCCTTTCTGTCCAGGTACCTTTCTACCTCCTGCTGTCATTAACATGTCATCCTTGGTGCCCTGGCTGTCCATGCCATGGGGTGTCTAGAGGCCTGCGCTGAACTGCCCTCGGTAACCCCTTGACTCTCCCCTGTGCTCGTCGGTGCCCAAAGTCGGGAGGGGGCTGAGGCGACAGGGGGCTGGTGTGTCAGCGCTGCCATGAGTATGCACACATCTAGCAGAGGTGTGACAACACCCAGGCTCAGCCATAACTTTGCTGAGTGGGCACTGGGATTGGTGAGAGGCCAGGGTGTGGGAGCAGGCAGTTCTGAGTCTGCGGGGGCAGGGGAGACTTCTTGGACGCGGAGACCACAGTGATGCCTGGGTCTGGAGCTACTGCTGGGTTGCTGCAGCTGTGCAGAGGAGTGTGTGGTTCCTACCCCACTGACTCAGTAGGGAGCAGTCCCACCTGTTCCTGGTCTCCACCAGCTTTGTGGAGCACACAGCCCTGGCCATGCCTCCCCCGCTGCAGCCAGCATCTTGGCAGAGGCCACTCCAGATGGGCTGCCTCTGCCGTCAATATGTGAGTTACCTTAAATATGCTTCTGCTGGAATGTAACTGTAATTTTTCTTTTCAATTTCTTCAGCTCCAAGGAATATAAACCTATTTTTAAAATGTTAACCCTGAGCACTCTAGAGTTCTAAAAAATTTAATCCTGACAGGGAAATGATTTCCCTTCCCCAGATTTCCATAAAGATAAAAAAAAGTGCTGAATAGTTAAGAAAAAGCAGAGGTTGTATGCATATTTACAAGGTGGTGTGAAGATGCATTGGGATATTAAACCATATTTGAGGAGACCTCAACCCTCACATGTGAACTTTCCTGTATAAGCACTCAAAACTGTATTTCTGTTTTCCCACCTATACATAAATTAATCTAATATTACAGAAGAACTAATTAGGGAAAGTTATTAACAAAGCTTAAATACAGGTATAATATAATGTAAAAGCAGCTTATATCTTGATATTGATATTCTTTACTCTTCTTCCCTTGGGATCTACCATCCGCACCAGTTCCCAGGCTATTCCTGATGCTTTTCATCTAGTCCTCAAGCAAAAAAGCCACATATATTTCAATATTTGTTTTCCTTGGAAAAATGCACTTGTCTTATTTTCTAGCTTTGTTCTCTTCTAAGGTACAAATAATAAATATATGATTAATTTATCCATACTAATGGGTGGATGAATACAAATGGCTAAAATGGTTAAATTCCATTTTAACATGATTTAAAAATTTTTTCTAGGGTTTCTATCACCACAACCCAAGGTATTGTGATAAAAGTAGTAGTAATTACAAATAATCTTCAGGTTAATTGGATAAATAACTTCAGAAAATTAGTCTGAGTACTATCCAAATTATCTGATGCAGGGAGACATCAACTCCACATTTATGGTCATTATTAGGTTAATTAATAGCTCTCTTAAAGGATAATGATCCCCAGGAAGTGACTTAGTCTTTACAAGTTTTACTGTAGAAGATGCCATTCCCTGTAAAAGACTGATTGTTCTGAGATCTATTTGTTTTCTTTATTCCTTCCTGATATGGTTCAGCCGTGCCCCCACCCAAATCTCATCTTGAATTGTAACTCCCACAATTCCCAAGTGTTGTGGGAGGAACCTGGGGAAGGTAATTGAATCATGGGAGCAGGTCTTTCCTGTGCTGTTCTCATGATAGTGAATAAGTCTCACGAGATCTGATGGGTTTAAAAATGGGAGTTTCCCTGTACAAGCTCTCTTCTCTTGTCTGCTGCCATATGAGACTTGCCTTTCACCTTCCACCATGATTGTGAGGTCTTCCCAGCCATGTGGAACTGTAAGTCCATTAAACCTCCTTTTCTTCCCAGTCTTGGGTATGTCTTTATCAGCAGCATGAAGATGGACTAATACACTCCCTTACATGTGGAAATTGTTACAGTAAGACTGACCAGTGTTGACAATTCTGGTGAAAATTGACCTTTACTCAGTTGATTTATGACATCTCAGCAAGGCTTTGTCATCGTTAACAGCAAAATATTCAGATAGATCCTCTAAAATAGGGCCCATACGTGTTATTTTATTGAAATCCAATAACTGATTTTTCACATAATAATTTCATGCAGAGAAAGAGAAGAAAACAAGAAAAAATTATAGCTTCCTTTTCTTGAGTCTCAGTTTTATATGAAAAATATTTACTTTGGAAAATTTACTTTGAATATTCACTTACATAACCAATAGTAAGCCCCTGTTAGGTTCGAAAAACAAAATAAACAGTAAAAATCATTTCATAGTCAATATGTAAAGTGACTAACTGTCCTGGCTTTCCCAAGACTGTTATGGTTTTGAAACTGTAAGTCTCACATCTTGGAAGTCCCCATAGTCCAAAGCAAACATTCCATATAACTATTTGCACACCTACTTATAATAAAATATTATTGCAGTAAAAAATTAACTTCAAATAATCTGCTTTACAGCATTAAGTAGTTTTCAATTATCCAGAACTAGCAACTTGCTGGCTAATGTGGCTTCTGAAATGTTCTGCTTAATGTAACATCTATTGCTACATCACAAATTGCCCCAACACTTGCCATCTCAAAACAACACAGTTTCTAAGGGACAGGAATCTGGGCATGACTTAAGGTTGTTTGACTGAAGGTCTCAGTTCCTTCCTTGCAAATGGTTGAAGGTTGCGCTCAGTTCCTTGTCAAACGGGTCTCTCCAACATGGCAGTTTGCTTTATCAAAATTGGCAAGAGAGTGAGTTTATTAATAAGACAGAAGTCACAATCTTATGTAACATAATCATAAAAGGAATTTGCTATATTTTATTCATTAAAAATAACTCTCTGGGTTCAATTCTCACTCAAGGAAGGAAATACACAAAAGTATAAATAGCAGGAGGTGATAACCAAAGGAGGCCATCTTCAAGTCTGCCTGCCATGTCTGGCACTCAGAGACTTTAAGACAAATTAGTTGTTTAGATATAGATATAAATATAGGTATAGATAAATATAGAATATTACCAGCATGCTCCCTTTCAGTCATAATTTTGCTTCCAAAGGTTAATCAGACATTTCTGAATTCTCTTACTTTACACCTCTGTTTCAATTCTGTTACCTTCACCTCTTTTTGGTCTTCATATGAATGGAATCATAGAGTAAGTACTCTTTTGTTTCTAGCTTCTTTTATTCAACATTTTGTCTTTGAGATTCATATATACTGCTTATGATTTTGATTACTATAGAGTATGTACTGTATTAATATATCATGACTTATTAGTATATCCTACTATGTCTTAATCAAAGAATAAATGTCATAATGAATCATCTTGCATTACAAGGTTTTATATCTCAATTTCCTTTGTTAAACCTTCTCCCTACTTCAGTCCTTTTTCACTTTCAGTTCTTCCATATGCTTCTGCCATTCTAGTCTTGACTCAAAGGGAGAGATTTATACAAACTCATTTCCACAAGGTGTTCCTGATTTAATATTAGAAGATATTTAATATCCTCTAATACCACCTTTAGGGATTTTGCCATCTAAAATTACAAAGGAATATCTCTAAAATACAGATCTCTGTATTTTAAGAAAAGGCACCTCCTAGGTGAGAGAGCAATTTGGTGATGAGGTGGGGGTGCTAGCTGATAAAACACATTGAAAACAACATACTCACTTCATTTAATAGAAATATAGGTTAGACTTTCAAAACTTTTATCATTTAGAGTTGCAAAATAATATGTATTATAGAATACAAAATGGAACTTTGAATTGAGATGATAATGTGATATCAGATCTTTAACCAAACACTCCAAGGTAAGGTGCTCATTCTCTCAGTACACCATTGAAATGATATTGAAATAAAACAGCAGAGATGCACACATGCACTCTTGGAAACAAGATGCTGAATGTGAACCATAGAGACAGCTAAAGAGGAAACACAAATGAACTACAGATTCAAGAGAGTAATTTGAAACTTTTTTTGAAAATTTTAAGCCCTTTATTAAATTCCTTCAAAGCTTGTTAGTATGTTAAAAGTATCACAGGTACTTCAAAATTATTTCTCCAAAAAATGCTGAACGTGTGTTCTAAGTTCTCCCACTTAGAATCCATAATTCTGAATAAGCCTGTTGTAACCAAATTTAGCATTTCTCATTCATGCTTGGGGAGCCATATCCACTTTTATCTTAAAACATCTATGTATATGTGCACGGATTTTCTAAAAAACAAACTGAATATTCAGTTATAGGTGTGGTAATTTTCCTTTTTATGCATTTGGAATTTCCCATGTGTTGAAATCCTTGCTTTACTTTTAGTTTTGGACAGCAGTCATATCTTCCAAATAATCTCAATCAACACGATGTGCTGAGGAGGAGAGGAGGGCACTCCCCTAAAGTTATGTGCCACGAGGAAATTTCAACACTTTCACAATCTAGCTTATTTTAAATAAACAAAAAATGGAAGTGGTTCATGCATAATAAATCCCTGCTGGGCTGTACTGTGTTTTCATGACTAATTTCTTTTGCTAACCACAGCTTCTCAGCCTATGACCTTTAAACGGCAGGCATTCTTTACAAAAACATGGGCTCACTGTCAGGGCTGTGCCTTTTCTTACTCATGAACTCCCTAGTGACTTGTTAACTGTCCAAACATAGATGTCTTCAAACAACTTATGGAAAATGCACTTGTAGGACTTTTTTGGTGCCATGAAGGGAACCTTCCTATTATAAAGTCAAAAACTAAAATAATAATAAAGAATAAGTTGCTACTCGAAAGACTGATCTGACACATTTTATTTTTCTTCACAGAAACAATTCTGGTAGGGACATTGAAGCATATTATCTAGTCGTCTCTTCATAACTGGGCAGAATGGCAAATCATCTCAGCTGAGATTTCTAGGTGACTTTCTGGAGGATAAGGGGGGAATTTGATGTAGGTGCTAGAATCTCCTACTCCTTCTACCACATACCTATTTTATGACTCCTTAGCAACCATTGACTCCAGGTCTTTTTGTCAGAGACACTTGTTTAACATTTTCTACTTGCTCCGTTTTCTGTTAGTTAGCTCTGCTATTTATTATGGATGTCTTTTAACTGCTTTTGACCTTGTAAGAAAAATCTCTCTGTTTCAGGTGTAATTTACTTACATAAATAATAGTGAAGTTCTCATCAAAACCAGGAATTATCATTGAACTTCTCTCACTGAGTAATTAGCTCAACAACAGAACTAACATTGTTCTCAAGTTTCATGTTAATCTCTTGAAAGTTGTAATTTGATTTTTCTCTTTCAAGAGTCTCTGTTATTCAAGCACAACATCTTCTTTGCCTTCTCAATGGCTGATAATATCCTTAGGAATCTAATGACTGTGCAAGTGTCTTACTTCACGTATTCACCCTTTCTCTTCAGCATTCATAGGTAATATATAGAAGCACCTTTTTCCAGCTTCAGTTTTCTTGGAGGTATTGCACAGTCATCCATCTTCGGAATTTGCCTCTGTAAGTACACTATTTTGTGTTATTTTTCCCTTCTCCATCCATTGCTAACTGGAGCATAGTTGGATAAAGGTATCCAACCCTTTGGATTAATGAATGTGATTTGTTTGCTTCTCTTGGCAGTTTGGAATAAGGATAAAGGGGTAATAACTATATGGCTGCTTGTGCTGAAGCTAAAAGGAAGATCACATATTACTGATCTCATTCGTAGTTCTTTTCCCCCACTGTGCTGCTGTTGTTTGCATGCCTCTTTTTCAGCATGTAAAAACATTTTCAACTTGCATTTTATTTTATTTATTTATCACTCCCTGCAGTAAAAAAACTCTTGAGGGTAGGTGCCATGGCTTATTCACTTTGAATTCTGATCTGTGTCTAGGACGGTGTCTAATAAATAGTATAGTATAGATTAAACAATTTTGCTGCTTTAGTCAGGTTGCATTTATGGCCTCTTTTGCTGAGTTGTTTTATTCCTCCTGAGATGTATTACAGTGACCTCGTAACTTAATCCCATTACATTTATTTATGATCCTGATAACCAAGACCAATTTGAATTTTGAACATGTTTCCTGCCAGCTATTGCTCATAGCTCTGAGACCAAAATTTGTGTGGTGTCTAATTTATCATTGATGAAAACATCAAACACCCCTTATGAAATATTATTATGTACGCCCTGAAGTTGGAGCATTGTTTCACTGATATTTACTTTTTGTTACGTCCCTTAGATAACTGTACACCAACCTTATAGTTTTATAGTTTAAATTCTGTTTACTAGTTTAGGACTAGTATGCAATGTTGAGATAAGATAAAATGTTTTTTACAGTTCAAGTAAAGCAGAAGTAAAAAGGTATCATCTATCATCTGAGGCTACTGTTGGTTTATAGAAGACAAAAGTATAAACATACAGTATATATTGAAAACAAATAATTTACTTAAAAATCTTTTTTTTTTCTGTAGAGGTCCCCTTTAAGAATCTTTTCACAAAATGCTTAATGATATGACAGTTGTTTTATATGAAAATGCAGAAAGAAAACTCAACCAGTAAATGTGTAAAGCTCTATGTTATTCCATAAGTTTATTTTTCAGATTATTTCAAGAGAGGAATTTATTCCAAAAAATATTTATTGATTATCTACTACAGGGCAAGTGTTATTATTCAACGTCCTAGAGATACAGCAGTTAAAAATCAGACAAAAGTCCCTGTCCTTACAGAATTTTACATCTTTGTAGGGGAAGAAGATAAATATATAAATATGGCATTAATGGCTCTGGAAAATACTAATAATAACAGAGATGGGGTTATAGATTATTAGGGGAATGTGGCACAGCAATTTCAAATAGGGGGCTCATGGAGGCCGCACAGAGCAGCAAGGATCTGAAAAGGAGAGGGACACTATGTAACCATCTAGGGAAGAGCATTCTAAAATTAGGCAAAAGCAAATCAAAAGCCTCGAAGCTCTGAGCCTGGGGGTTTAGGATAGGCAATGAGGCCAGAGAAGCTGGAGTGGGTAGCTAACAGGAAGAGCACTTAAGGCTGAGAGGTAATGGTGACTTTGACAAGGTTGTTAGCCATGCAGGTGGTGACATGGGCGTGGCACTATTATGGGTGTACTTTGAAGTTATACCTGACAGTGTTTGCTGACAATTGGATGGAAGTTTTGAGAAAAAGAGAAGAATCCAGGAAGACAAAGGTTTGGGTAAAGAACCTGGATTATTTATCTGTGTAAATAATGAATAAAATGCAATCAAGGTCTAGGTTTCTACATACTTTTATTATCTCATTAAAGTTTTGAAAATTCTGATTGGAAGTATCAAAAAATATTAATAAGATGAAATGACTTATCTGGCATTATGTAATTTTTCCTTTATTTCTCAAGGTATTTTAACATTAGAGTTTTTTTATTTGCCTTTTCTTTCCTGCTTTGAAATTCTGTTTCTAATACAGTAATTTTTCAAATTCTCAATTTTAAATTTCCATTGTTCTATATTATCCCTTCATACTTTTCCTAATTGATTCATATTTGTGTGACATACTTAGGGCAGAGTTTTCCAAATATGCAAGTTAAGGCTAAACCAGTATGATCATTATGGTGTGGTTGGCGTTGTACTCATTTTGAATATTTAATGCTTATTATTCACATCCACATTTGGGGCAGATAATACTTTCTCTAAGGATTAGAAATTAAGTCAGGTTAATGCATCTAAGGCTCTGCAGCTATTAAGCTGTGAAATTGTGTAAAAATGATTGGCAGAGAGATCTTTAATACAGGAAACCCATAAGTACCCTGTTAACTACTTAGGCAGACAAGTAGAGTGACCTAAGAGTGTCTTAGGTCACTTTTAGCAATAGGGATATAAATCATGCATTCTCTTGGCAGTTTTTCATTTTTGTTATGACTTACAACTTCATTTAGTGAAAATAGTGCTAGACTTATAATCATTTCTAACTGGCTTATTCCCAGTTTACAGTTTTATGGTTTTGCGATCTTGGACAAACGTTGTTTATTCTCTGTGTCTTATTTTATCATTATTATAAGGGAGAAAATAAAAAATTTTTTTGTTTCACATTTTTGAAATGGGAATCAAATGTCATTTCTGTAAATGCCTTTGGAAAGTTAATTATTAAACTGTAAACGGTTATAATTTTATATCAAATTCTCCCTTGAGCCTTAAAAAATGAATTATATTAAGTTATATTAGCCTCTGATGTTTCCAGCTTCTAGCACAATTGTGGCAGGCAACTTTGGCCTGATCTCCAGGTGCAGCAGCTTTTTGCTAGCTACTTTACTTTTCAAGGGTTAAAGTCCCAGACGAACCTTCTTTCCCTTAGTGAGATTTTGCCCCCAGTATTCTCTGAGAAAAAGAATTTCCAGCCAGGAAATGACTGCTGAGCTCAGTTCATTTCCTTCAGGATTTTCCTACCTGTGGCTTCTGCTATCTCTGTTCTCTAGAGGAACCAGGTCTAGCCCAGATCATTTCATTTCAGAGTGAAGTAGCTTTCGTGGATTGCTTTATCCCTCCAGATTGCATTTTTCTAATTTTTAAATGTAGTCATTAATACTAGCAATTCTAAAATTGTATCGACATAAATGTAATATACTGTGATTTGCTGTGAAGTAAAAAGGAAGTCATTTATTACTAATCAGAATCTACTATGTTTGGAAATAATTTAATTTTTCTATTTGTTTTCGTGGGTGGAGGAAATTTTCTATTTGTTTTCGTGGGTGGAGGAAAAGGTGGTTTGCAAATGTGATATACAAATTATTTTTATCTATAAGTGTGCCTTGTGATGGAAAATATTGAAAAACATTGGTTAGGACAAATGATTTCTAAATGGTACTTCTAGAAATTCTGATATAAAACTCAAGTTTTTAAAAAATCACCTTTTCTCTATAATGTTTAATTCTGGGGTCACTTCATGACAGCCAGGTGTAAGTTAGGCCTGAAAATTGACTGTGATGAAATGAGGAATCGGAGAACTGGAGAAATAGCACCAACCTCCTTCCATGCAGGCTGGGTGCATGCTGGGTGATTAGACATGAAAGCAGAGAATGAGAAGAGAATTGGGATCTGCAGGACTCACTTTTTGTTTGTTTGTTTCCCTTAATATCTAAATCCCTAGAAAGTATTCTCTATACTCGTTGTCTCCAGTTACTTACTCCTCTACCATTGTCTGTTAAACCTATTCTAATTTGACTTTCACCTCCCCAGCATTTTACTTGAGCTGTTCTTATTGAAGAGACTAATGATTTCTATGCTTATAAGTCCAGTGGTCAATTCTCTGTCGTCTTCATAGTTGACCTGTAAACAGCATTTGATAAAGTGTTTGAAAATCTTTCTTCATTTGGCTTTTGGCACACAACACTAACCTGATTTCTGTCTACTCCTCTCTTCTCCTCAGACCTCCACTTTTCTACTGTTTTTCCCAATCTCCAAAGGTTGACATAATCTTTTCTGTTTTAGTTCACTCATTAGCTCCATCTCATCTAGTCTCATGGTTTTAAATATTATCCGTAGGCTTATCAATCTGAAATATATGCTGCTTAGTCGCTCTCATGCATCCTGGATTCATATATCAAACTGCTGACTTTAAATGTCTGATAGATATCTCAAACTTACCATACCCTCAAAGAAAAATAAACCTCTAGTCATTCCTTCAAACTTGCACCTCCTGAATTTCTTCTTCATCTCAATAACAACTCTATTCTTCTGTTGATTGCTTAAACCAAAAACATTGGTATCATTCTCGCTCTCTTTCTGGCATCAGACTTCACGTCTGAAAAGAGAGAAGACACTGAATGGCATTTTCACACCACTGCAAACCAACACCCATAGTCCAGGGAAGTTATTTCTCCCCTGTAAAAAGGACACATTTAAGGAAATAAAAAATTAATATATGTTGCACATATTCTATTAGAAAACAATTTTAATCACTTTAAAAAACTAGAGGAGTAGATGGGGGAAGAGATTAAGAAGATAGAAAATCTCAACTGCGAATCTTTCTGTCTCTCTCTCTGTCTACCTATCTACACACAAATATACCTAAATTAAGATTTAAAGACTTAAGAAATGCCTATCCATCTGAGAAATAGCAGGAATTGCCTCAGAAACAATTTGTGAACTAATGCCAAAAGAATCAGACTTTTGCTGCACACTCTTCAACTCCTTAATTTACATTTTACAGACACCACTTTTTAGATACATATTGTATGTATCATTTTTAAACTTCCAAAAGTTAACTCAGATTTTGATATTAGTTGATATGTTCTAAACTCTATAAGTATTACCTCATTCAGTCATGATAATAAATTCACGACGTTGAAACTGTAGCTATTCCAATTTTACAAATAAGAAAACCAAGGCACAGAGAGGTTAACTTGCTTCAGTCACATAGAGAGTAAGTGAAGGAGCTAAGACATTAGCAGAAGCACACTAGCTTTACACTACACCCTTAACCTTTGATAAGCCATGGCTTTCTAAATATACAAACCTAATAGTTAGTGGATGCTCCAAAAGTATGTGGTGCATGTTAAATACACATGCATTTATCAAATTTCTAATAAATATTAGTTCTCATCTTTACCATTTATTTATTCAATTAATAAAAGTCCTGTGCGAGTAGGCACTGACTCAGATAGCTCAGGCGCTAAATTCTTTAGGGCCTAGATAAAGGTCTGGCAAAAATTGATGCTCAATGAATATTTGTTGAATAAATAAAAACACAGTGTGCTGAACCTATAAAAGTTAAAAAATACATATTTTATGCTTAGAGCTCAAATCTTTGGTTGATTATGTGACTGAGTGACCAATATACGTAAGACTGCTATTAAATTGATCATTAATGACATGACTAGAGCAAGTGCCATTACACCATCTCTGGCCTCAAAATCAGCCCACTGGTATATCAGACACAACCTTATCTAAGAATTGTAATTTGTAGGCATTTATTAAAGCCATTAACAAATTAGAGTTAACATTCTCCAAATAAAGAGGAGAAAAGGCAAGAGAGAGAATGAATCAATGATATCCTCAATGTTTCTGAGTCTGTTAAGGAGAAAGAAAGAATAGGAATACATACTTAGCGTAAAAACCTTGGAGTCCTATTAAATAGCAATTATTGTGCCCTCCTGGAAAAGAAAAAAAAAATCTAGGGTAATTAAAATGTTGGAAAGGAAGTGGTGCTGGCTCTTATTTCAATTCTACTTCACCAATTGTCTTTTCACTGTCATCATAAAATTATATACAGCAAAACCAAATACTCTCAACTTCTACCTGTTCATCGATACCAGTTGTTATGCACAGCCTAAAATAGCATCTCAAGAATATGTATGTCTTTTTTCATTCTCAAAGCTACATAGAATTTGTGAATTGATCTTTTAGTTTTGTGCACTTTAAAACTATTTTCTGCTGAAATAAGTCTACTAGAATGCACCGATGCATATTTTACACAGCCTATTTCTTTACATCATAGTCACCATAACTTTTACTACAAATGTCTTGTGTACCAAGAATGTATGGGCTTCACAGACATGCCCTTGCTATGGATATCCACAAAAAAAATCATAAAAGTCTAAATATTTGATATGCTTGAAAATCATCATGAAAGTCTAAATATTTGATATGCTTGAAGCTCATTATATAAAAAATTTTTTGTGTGTATTTTCCTCAATTATAGTCTTTCTTAAAGTTCTGAGCCTTTTGTGTAACCTAATAAATGAAATATCCATCTGGCCCCAGGATAAATATGTTCTGCATGCTATAGTAAAGTGCCAGATCAAAATTCAGGGCTTAGAAACACATGTTCTAGAATTGAATCCTTGAATCCTAGACCACTTAGTGAAATCAAGCATGTGATACCTGGATCAGAGCATGTAGAAGTAAAGTTCCTGAAAACATTTTTGGGTAAACTACGTATCCCCCTTCACCTAAAGGGATATTTGCCAGCTTTGTAATGTGAGGCCTTGTAGGAGGTGGTGCTTTAACTGCACCACTTAAAAATCTAGCATGTGACCAATATAACTTGGGGAATATCTGACCCAGGAAATCTTGAGGATTAAGAAAGCAGACCAATGCTATGGTTTCAGGGCCAGGACAGTTGCCACAGGATTGGAATCAGACAGTACTCTGAGTTTGTTACAGCAAAGGATGTGTGACTGCTTCCTATGAAACAAGTGGGTCACGTGCTAGAGGGTGCTGGTGGCAATGTAGTATCTTCTTTGGTCCTTGGCCAATGGGGTCACATATAAGGACAAAGAAATCCAAGCAGCAAGAAGCTGGAGGTATACAAGAGCTTCCTAGGGGCTTCCTAAGGATTTAGAAGCCATCATTTGAAATAGAGACTTATCTATCTGCCTCAATGGAAGTACGGGTGGCGGAACCCCAAGAGAATCTCTGAAAAATGTTTGAAGTGTCCCACTATAAAAACAGATGATTTTAAATCTTTGCCAGGTCCAGCACCAGCTTAAAATAGAACCCATCAGTCACTAGTTGAAGTAAAATCTTTCTTATTCCCTTGATTCTCCTCTCTCCCATGCTTACGCAGAGTAGGAAAAGAGAAAAGCCATGCATTTCTTAAACCAAATGTCAGAGAATATCAACTGCTGGCAAGATGTAAAAGTCTTTCTTTATAATGGAAATTAAATATTAAATATAGTCTTGGACTGGATATTTTAAATTTCTGATTTGACAGTCTCTGTTTTCACTAAAAGCAATAATAGAACTCTCAATTACCAATAAGCAAACAAAAAAGTCATGAGATCTGCCCAAATTTTACCCATTGGCACAGGAAGATACTTGTCAATGAAATAAATTTTGAAAAGAAAAGGGGAGATAAAACTAAAGTTAGCATTTTGATTGCAATTTATAGCTTATGCATCATGCTTCTACAAGATTTATGCCCAAGTATATGCTTCCTGAATATATAAATATGTATATACATATATAGCTATACATTTGTGTGTGTGTGTATATATACACACACACATATATATATATATGCTTCCTGACAGTGGCATTTGTAAGAATCTGAGAATATAATCTAGAATAACATAAAGCCAGCAGCTAAAACCTAAAAGATGACAACTTAACTTCAGACATTACCTATGATTTTTATACTTGTTTCTTTTAAAAATCTTACACAATTCTAGTTAAATGATGAAGACCAATCTGAGCTCCTGTTGTGTTTTATTTGTATTTACCTAAAATTTTAAATTAGACTATGGTTTTTGTTTGCTTTTTGTATCTAGAGAATTAAGTACTCTAAGGAAGACTGCAACTATATTACTCTATTCGGTAGTTGGTAAATAATAGTTGCACACAAAATTGGAAGAACTGTAAATTCTGGAATTAGCCATAATGATCTGATGCTTTTTAAAAATTGAATTTGTTGTTAGTATCTATTTTAACATATTTTAAAAATATTTTATCTGTTGTATGTTCATGTGTTGTAATGCCATTAAAATGAGCATGTAGCTAGCAAATCTTCTGTAAATGTTCTTACAATCTTGTGGAAGAACATTTTTAAACTTAAACAAATATGAATATAAGCTGAAATTTCGCAACTTAATTGGTCTTTGACTTAGGACTTCACTGAATTCATTAGTAAAATGACAGGAAAAATAACTACAACCCTTTTGAATTGCAGAATCACAGATTGTAGCATAATGGACAAGCCTCCTTTGTTAATAAATGCATAATAGAAATGTATTTTAAATTTCCTTACATTTATACTTCCTATTTCTATATCTCTTTTCTCTTAGGTAAGAAGCAAAGTAGCAGGAAGTGACTATCTTAAAACAAGTAGATTATAAACTGGCATTCCTCCCTGTGTTATGCAGACTTTTTTGCAGGCTTTCCTTGGCTTATTCTTACTCAGCTATATTTTTAAGAAATGCATGTGGTCATAACCAAGCCTTTAGTTCTCTTTGCTCTTCCTTGATTGTTAACATTATTTTGAACAACTGTCCTGCTTTTTCCCATTGTAGCCATATCATATGAAGCAACACATTTATCAAATAATTTTAAGTTTACTTCACCACTATCCAAAGGCAGTGAATAAAGTTGTTTGCTTGTTTTTTCTCACTGACGAACCAAAATCAGGTATTCTGACATTTCTACTGCATGGTTGCCTGCAGAGATAATGAAATCCTCTTTCATTCACTGCAGATTCCCCTGGGGCTGAGTTTCATCTGCTTCCCATTATTGTTTATCCCTGCCACGTGGAGAGTTTACATCACATCCACTTTCAAAGGGGCAGAAATGATACTTTGCAGTTACAAAGGAGAAAGCATTTGGATCAACAATCTCCAGTAAATAAGTGATTTCCTGGCATTTAACCCTGAGTCATCTTAATTCATCCATTTTAAATTTTCTATGCACATTGAAGGTAGAGAGACAAAACTGAATTCGATTTCCTTAGAATTGTATCTTCTGGGTGAATCAATAAAGTCATCAATGCTTCTATATTCACTGATTTAACAAATCTTGTTTGCTCAGTTAATCCTATGCACTGTGCATAATAGGCCCTATACAAAATTCACCCTCTAAGTTTTATAATATTTCATTAATAATTATGCATATCATACATTATCACAATGGGAGAAATGCTTTCAAATTCAATAACTTATTGTTGGCAGATTTATTTGATTAGTGTGAAAAATTAGCCTGGAACTTTAGGCTTAGAGTATTGAAGGCAATTCCTTGTGTTTGGTGAGAAGAATCAGAGTGTTAGACTAATGATATACGATGACTTTGCCCAATTAAATATAACACACATCTTAATAATTATTTTACTTATTTATTCATGTATTTACAGATATTTTTCAAAATCTTCTAAAATCGCTTAAAAGGCATTATTACATAATGGTTAACAAATCAAAATTATATAGACCTGGAATCAAAACCTCATTCAACTATTTAAATTATTTAATCTGGTTCTATGCTTCTCATCTGTGAAATGGAATATTACTACTTACTTCATACTTTATGGGGAATTTTAATTGCATTTAGAGCATTAGCACTTTTAAGACTGGCTCAAATAAGTGTTTAGTAAATAAGTGCTATAATAATATAATGTTCATAGATGCAAAAATCCTCAACAAAATACTTGCAAACTGAATCCAACAGCACATCAAAAAGTTAATCCACCATGATCAAGTAGGCTTCATCCCCGGGGTTGCAAGTTTGCTTCGATGTATGCAAATCAATATATGAGATTCATCACGTAAAAAGAACTAAAAACAAAAACCACATGATCATCTCAATAGATATAGAAAAGGCTTTTGATAAAATTCAGTATACTTTCACGTTAAAAACCCTCGACAAAGTAGGCATTGAAGGAACACATTTCAAAATAATAAGAGCCATCTATGACAAACCCACAGTCAACATCATACTGAATGGGCAAATGCTGGAAACATTCCCCTTGGAAACCAGAATAAGACAAGGATTCCCTCTCTCACCACTTGGACTCAACATAGTACCCAAAGTCCTAACCAGAGCAATCAGACAAGAGAAAGAAACAAAAGGCATCCAAATAGGAAAAGAAGAAGTCAAAGTATCTCTCTTTGTCTATCTCTCTTTGCAGACAATATGATTTTATACCTATGAAACCCCGTATCTTGGCCCCATAGCTCCTTCAGCTGATAAATAATTTCAGCAAAGTTTCAGGATACAAAATTAGTGTACAAAAGTCAGCAGCATTTCTACACACCAATAACATCCAAACTGAGAGCAAAATCAATAATGCAATCCATTCACAACAGCCACAAAAAGAATAAAATATCTAGGAATATAGTAACCAAAGTGGTGAAAGATTTCTACAATGAGAATTACAGAACACTGCTTGAGGAAATTAGAGATGACACAACAAATGGAAAATCTTTATGTGTTCATGGAAAGGAAGAACTGATACTGTTAAAATGGCTATACTGCCCAGAGCAATTTATAGATTCAGTGCTATTTTTATCAAACTACCAATGACATTCTTCACAGAATTAGAAAAAATATTTTACAATTCATATGGAACCAAAAAAGATCCTGAATAGCCAAGGCCAATCTTAATTAAGCAAAAGAACAAACCCAGAGGCATCCCACTACCCAACTTCAAACTACACTACAGGGCTACAGTAAGCAAAACAGCATGGTACTGGTACAAAAACAGACACATAAATCAATGAAGCAGAATAGAGATCCCAGAAATAATTCCTCAAACCCACAATCATTTGGTGTTTAACAGAGTTGACAAAAACAAGTAATGAGGAAAGGACTCTCTATTCAATAAATGGTGCTGGGATTAACTGATTTATCATATGCAGAAGATTGAAACTGGAATCCTTCCTTACACCACAGACAAAAATCAACATAAGGTGGATTAAACCCAGGAAGATAACTTAGGAGATACAAAGTTATCACATTTCAATATAATAAGAGCCATCCGTGACAAACCATCTATGATATATTTGTATGGATATACAAATATATCTCCATGCATATATATATATATATATATGTAAATCTTTTGTCTTCTGCTATCCTTGAACAGAGGATTATATAAAACATAATGCATGCCCAGCAGTTGTTTTAATACAGTTGAACTTCCTTTGTTCAACAAGAAGAAGCAAATTGCTCTTCCTTTGTATCTGCCTTTTAAAGAAGCTGTGATTTGTGATTCTGCAGTTTTTGCTTTAAGCGGTACTTCCATATGTATCCCCACTTCTACTTCTGCATCCCTGAGTTGATGCATTGCCGGCTCAATTTCCCATACCCCATTGGTTTCTATAAAAAGTTAAGGTTGGTGTCTTCTTATAGCATTCCTTTTAAACCTCTGGAATCTTCATGTCCCAAATTGTTTTTCATAAATATTTACTTAAGAATCCAATAGCAGTCCTTTTCCGTTTTACTATTTTCTTGGTTTCTTGCTTGGTAGATTGGTTATGTTATTTGGCTACATTTTAGGTTAACCTTTTTTGAATTCAGTGTTGACATAGTTGGCTTATAGACTATAGTTGGCTTGGTTTTGAAAAGACATGCAGAAAATGAGCAAGAACTATTTTAAAAGGGTTACATAATATGACATAGTAACAACAGAAAAAATGGAAAAGGGTTACATAGCATGACATAGAAAGAAAAAATAATATTTGCTGAGATACAAAATAAAATAGAATCATATCGGTGATAACACATCTTAACAGAAGTACATACCAATCAATGTTTTCAATTATACAAAATTCTTCCATCTGGTACAATTCTGGCAAGAAAATAAATACTAAGGTGGAGAACTGAATCTCATTTTACAGAGTTAATAACAATAATAAAGAAGAGTAAAAAAAACTATTCTCGTGTGCTAATTTCTTTTGCAATAGTGTACAGCTGGGTTTTATCTTTTATTGTGTATATTATTTAAGATTTATTTTTTTAAAAAGCTTTGATCATGTAGTTTTTCTACATCTGGTTCTATTTGACACTTGCTATAGAGAGTGTATGAAAGGTCATGAACATTAATACCCCAAAGAGAGAGGATTTCTATAAAATATACATGTATATTATTTATGCACACTTTAATTGCCATTTCTATTGTCTTAACAAATGTCTATCAGTATGATATAAAGTGGTGTAAAGTAAACTGGTTAAACTTATGTTACTTTAATTCTGAATTTCACTTTTGGTTATTTAATTCCTGTTTTATCAATCTACTATATTGAAATACGTTCAAAAATATATTTTTTTTTATTCTGTTACTTAACACTGGCTGGAAAGCAGTATAATGAGGTTAATACCAGACTTTGCTGTAATCTGGGACTCTGTGAAAGTGACTAAACTTCTCACAGACCCAGGTAACTTAGCTGAAAAAATTGGTTTAAGCATAGCCTCACTTCATGGAGTGACTGTAAGGATTTAAAGACATAACGCACTGCAATGCTAGGTCAATGCAGGGAGTGGACAGAACAAGCTCCTCTTCCACCTATCTGCCCTAAATATCCATTTAATGTAATTGTGACAACATGGCTGAACCTGGAGAATTTATGCTAAATGAAAGAAGCCAGTCACAGAAAGACAAATATTGCAAGATATCACTTATATGTGGAATCTTAGAAAGTTAAACACAGAGTATCAAAGACAGAATGGTGGTTAACACATGGGCTAGGGCAGAGGGGAAATGAAGTGATGCTGGTCAAAGAATACAAAATTTCAGTTATGCAGAATGATTCAGATCTGGAGGTGACTATGGTGTATAATATTCTACTACATACTTGAAATTTGCTAAAAGAGTAGATTTTAAATAATCTCACCACAAAAAGAAAAAAGGTAACTATGTGAATTGAACAGTATGTTAATTAGCCTGATTGTGGTAATCAATTCACCATATATATATACCAAAACATGTTGTGTAACTTTATTGCCTACAATTTTATTTGCCAATTGTACCTGAATAAAGCTGGAAAAGTAATGAGATAAAAGAAAAGATATACACTGAAACTATCCGGAAAGGTAGATTACACTTAAGTACTCAAAAATGTTAGCTGTTATTATTATTTTTCTTTACAAATACATTGCTCATGTCCATAATTTATTTTAAGATAAAGTGCATCTGTATATCACTGTTATCATAGCTGTCTATGTTATCAAGCAAGATTTATGATTAGTGAATTTCAGAATCTGCCCAAACGCTATGTTATTTTGTTTCAAAATAAATGTTCTATAACTTACTCATTGAGAGAAAAATTTATTTGAAAAATGTAAAGTATAGAAGAACAAAAAATAGGATGCTATCTTTCTATTATAAAAACAGAAAATAAGATTATACATGTATATATGTGTTTATTTTTTGTATGCATGCATAAACACACACACATATGCATACGCACTCAAGAAGGAAAAGACTAAACAATGATACGTGATAATGGGGATGAGAACAAGACTCATAGAATATTATATTTTTCAACATAATTTTGACATTAGAACTATGTACATTTTACACATTTGAAATATAAAAGTTATAAAAAGAAAAAAATGCAGTTAATAAGTAACATAACCATGCAAGAGAATACATTATTATTTGAGGTAACTTTACAACATTGTGCTAACATGACTGTATCTGAAGCCAAATATTCTATAGTGAGATATACTCTATTACTTGAAATAACAGTTATTGTATGTTAGAGATACACCCAATAATTAGATACCTAAATCTCTTACTTGTGTCAAAATATTATGTTTTAAAATATTATGATGTTTACTTGTGTCAAAATATTATGATGTTTTAATCTTTTACTTGTGTCAAAATATGATGATGTTTTAAAACTTTTACTTGTGTCAAAATATTATGATGTTTTCATATTATGATGTTTTGTGCTAACATGACTGTACCTGAAGGCAAATATTCTATAGTGAGATATACTCTATTACTTGAAATAACAGTTATTGTAGGTTAGGGATATGCTCAATAATTAGATACCTAAATATTTTACTTGTGTCAAAATATTATGTTTTTAAGTTGGAGATTAGCCCCTACGATTTCTTAATAATAAAATGACATGTAAATGGCTCAAACTTTCCTAACACTTGATTTTCTTCACTTTATGGAAAAAGATATTGATTATAAATATCTTATTTATTGATATAAATTGATATAAATTAAGTCATATGTTAAAACCACGTTAAATGTTACTACAAAATATGACGCAAAGTATTTTTCTGGTACTGAATGCGATCAAAATAACAAAAGGGGCATTGAATTCCATTTGCACTCTTTCCCATGTTGGAACTTAGTTTTACTCTTTTGATTAAAATATTTGTTGGCTTTGAATTTAAAATGACACTGAATATAGTTTCAGTGAGATTTTTTTCCTAATTTCTTGATCAACTTATTTCCCTAAATCCATAGTTGTCTTGTGGAGATCGTAAACACCTGCAGCCATTTCCAAGAACTATACTTTTGAGTTAAGGCCTCCAAACTAGAAAATATATGGATTTCTGATCAAACTGTCATTCTAAGTTTGTACATTTTTGGCCACTCTTGCTTCAAATATAAGCAATAATAGGTAAAATACCTAAGGGAAAAATCAGAATGACATAGTTTTCTTTTACAAAACAAAAAAAAAAAAATCAAAGTACCATGAACAAACAAGGAAAACTACAGAATACAAAGTACATGAGTGTATATAACATAATTATCACATATATGTTAGATAATAGCAATGTTACATGTAATGGACAATAAGATATACTGAAATGGTAATTCATAAAGCCGTTCTAGTCCAGTTTTATTATAACTTAATGTGTCCTTTTGGTGAAAGGGATTTTTACTAGACCGTCTGTCCAAGTCTTAAACTAGAGAGCATTGTCTGTGTTTTTTTTTTTCTTTTTTCTTTTTTTCTTTTTTTTTATTATTATTATACTTTTAAGTTTTAGGGTACATGTGCACATTGTGCAGGTTAGTTACGTATGTATACATGTGCCATGCTGGTGCGCTGCACCCACTAACTTGTCATCTAGCATTAGGTGTATCTCCCAATGCTGTCCCTCCCCCCTCCCCCCACCCCACAACAGTCCCCAGAGTGTGATATTCCCCTTCTCAATTTTTGAGACAAATTTCTCAATTTCTTATTCACTTTCAATAAATTGTATAGTAATAAATTACTTTTGATTTATTAGGAAATTATTGAGAATATAATATTGCTTAGGATCAGGAAGAAATAATTCAGAGAGAAAGAGTTTATACCTGTGAATGACAATAGAGATGGTTGGAACTTTGATTTCATAATTTCAAAACATCTTATAAAATCTATAAAATATAGGAATGGAGATACTTTTTTTCTCTTGGTTAAAAAAAAAATTCAGTTTTTAAAGTAACAAATTCCACAACAAAAATTTTAGGAATTACAACGTAATTAAAAAAATAGAAAAAAGTTTTCATATTTTCTTTCAGTCTTTTAAAACTATTTTATATAGTTGTGACTAAATGCCGTATGTTTGTGTTTGTACAGATGTAAATGTCCTAACATTTCCTTCATTTTCTATTTCATATTCCACTTTTTTCCTTAACATTACAGAGTAATATTTTTATGTTATTATGAATTTGTTTTAATTCTGTTAGTTACATAATATTCTGTAAGTGCTATTTGTTATTAACAATTATTGTATTTTTGTACACTGAGGAATTTCCAAATATACCTCTAATGGACAAAAGATAACTTGATCTTTTACTTCAATATTTTAATTACATTTATAAGAATAAATTTCCAGAAGTGGGAATCCTGGGTCAAATGGAACATTTTTTAAAACAAATGGAATACAAAAGTAGTCTTTAGGTGTTGCCACTTGCAATTCTCCAAATGACTTAAATATCACAACTCAAATGTTGTAGTGTTAAAGCATTTTTTTCCTTTTTATAGCTGTACAACCATCTCTTGATCAGCAAAGAAAAAAAATTAAATGTCTGCAAATCTTACATTGATATAGACTCATATTTTCAGCCTGTTATGATGATTGCCATCAAGGGAAATAAATATAAAAAAACAATTAGAAACTGGATCATGCTGTAAAGGTTTTGGAAGGCAGCTGAAGAAACGGGCTTGAGTAAGTTCTTTGTCTTCATTTTCCTTATCTGAAAAATGAGCTATTAATTATTTCCATAGCGATATTCCTAGGTTAAATAATGTTAGATAAAGCCACTCTTCTCTGGATGTCCTTGCCTTCCCATTCCATTTTCAAAATCAGATATGAAGACGCGTGTACCTGTGGATTAAACACGAACTGTGAGCTTTCCTGTCTTTGGCCAGGAAGAGTTCATTGCTAGGGTATTTGTAGTCAAGACAAAGCTTCATAATTGAGAACTGCTGGCTTCAGGTCAGAAACATGGACAAATGACTCAGTTACCCATATGTCCAGAGAGGCTTCAGTGGATGGATTCTCTTGGTATTACAATATTTATGTATCATCTTTTTCATAAAAGATGAAATTTTCTGAAAATAAAGAAAAATTTTCCTTCCCACAATTAAAAATTGCTGAAGGAATTTTCTCTGTTTTAAAGGGAATTATCTTTTCTCCCGTATAGTATTTTTTGTATTTAGTATTATAAATTAAATTTTATAATATTTCTACTACATGTACAACTTTATTTTTTAATCAGCATCATTCTTTATTTTAAATATTCTTCGTATTTTAGTATCTTATCTAGAAAATATTCCTACTTAAATTAATTCATTACTTAATAATTGTGCAAAATTTTAAAAATTATTTTCTATAATTTGAGCCTATTATGTTTAATCAGTCAAAATAACAATGGGAATTATCAAGGTTTACTTTTAGAATACTTGACTATGTTTTATAGTGTAAGTACAGAACTATGAATCAAAAGTCCTAAGTTTTCAAAGATGCTATCACTTTATTATAAATTGATCTCATTTAATTTTCATCCAAAGTCTAGACATTGCTTTATTACACATTTTACAGGTAAGGTAATTTGGCTCCCAGAGATTAACTTTGTCTAAAAAATTCATTCTTCTATTATACCATCCTACCTCGTATTAAATATTGGGTAGAAAGAGGGTAAAATATTGAGCCCTAGATGAAAATATAAGCTTGTATTTTATATGTTAATCTTGATATTTACCATGTCTTGTGATGTGCTTCTCTATACAGAGTTTTAAATAGTAGCTTGGATGGAAAAAAATCTGAGCAAAGAAAAGGAAGAAAGGAAGGAAAAGAAAGAAGGAAGGAACAAAGGGAGGGAGGGAGGGAGAGAGGGAGGAAGGAAGAGCAGGCTAGAGTGAGATTTATGGACATACCAGCCAGAGTTTGAGAGAATTATGAGAAAAGACATGACTATGATAACTTATAAATAAAATGAAAGAAGGAAGTTGACAAAGGTAAGCCTGAAATAATAAAATATGTAAAGGAATAATTTAAACACACTCGATATTTTGTAATAGTTTATGAATAGAGCTTGTGTTCTACCACATCCTGGCTTATGAGCTGAGCATCATGCACTGCTTTCATTCAGTTCCACGCAGATGCAGCATGTTGCTTTCTTTCCAATACCTTCATTGTCTCTACATGTGCCTTCCAGTGCCCTACGATAAATTCTGGGAAAATGTGAGTTCCCTGGATTATTGAAAAAGATGGTTGTCTACAAAGAATAATTTAGCAAAATTTAGCAAAATCTTGTGCCAATGGCAATTATCTGTCTTATTGGGTAGTCCGTGGGCAATTGCCAATGACAAGTCCTCCCCAAGTCAAATAGAACTTCTAACATACTCAATGGTGTGAATGGCACTCACTTGGCTGCTGAATACATAGCCTGCAGGTTCTAGAAAAATTTCCTTAAGGCTTCTTATGCTTGGTGAAAATAAAATTTACTTAAATTGAGATTAGGGAGTTTTTCAATATTGATACTACTTTTATTCATGAGATATATTCAGGTTTGGTTTCCTAGTCCTATGTAAATCTAGCCCTTCTCTCTCTTCCTTTATTTATAATCTCAGAGTCTGGAAATTTCTTCTAAGCAAGATAGCAAAACTCAGAAAACATTTGGAAAAGATTGGACAATTCTACTAAAATGCAAAGCAAATAAAGTAAAAAATCTCTATGCGGCAAAAAATTACCTACATAGAGTTAACGATTAACAAGAAATTTGGAAATACACTCACAACTCAGTTAATAGCTATTATGCCAAAAAATCTCATATAACTTTGTTTAAAATTACCAATAATTAAATGACATAAGTGGCAAGAGAATGAGCAGGCACTTTATAGAAAAATAAATTCCAGTGGTGAATATATATGCATACTATATTCCCCTTACAATTAAGTAAAAATTATGATAGGCTTAATTTATAAGATTAGTAAGTATGCTAGGAGTTTCCGATAATAAGTGATAGCAAAACTTTAGAAAAAATGGTCACTTTCCTACAGTGTTGGGAAAGTGAATTGGTGCAAACTTTCTGCATGACATTTTGACAATGTAAACATGTATACACATTTGGTCACAGCAATATTGCAGCTGGGAATTTACCTGTTGAATATATTCCCAAAAGACAACTGTTTAATAAGTACCTTTATGTTACTGTTTCTAATAGCAAACTGTTAGAAAAAAAAAATCAAAACATTCAATAGAATATTCTCTAAAAAAACACACCGGAGTTATGTTTAAATAATTTTGCTGCTGTTTAAAAGAAGTGGGAAGATTTGCTCTGCTGAAACTGAAGTTTTTCACATACATTTTAAATTTGGAAAAAGCAATGTGCAGGACACTGTGGATAGTAAACTACCTTCTGTGTAATAGTGGCCACCTTGCTTTTTTTTGGAACACATAATACAATCCAACTGTTTTATCTGTATCTTTCACATAATCACCTTCCCATCTAATCCAAGCTGTTTCCCTGAGCCTTCAATTGTCTTGCACTCTGTTATCATGGATCTAGTTCACAACAAGAATTTCATTACCGGGCCAGGCGCGGTGGCTCACGCCTGTAATCCCAGCACTTTGGGAGGCCAAGGTAGGCGGATCATGAGGTCAGGAGATCAAGACCATCCTGGCCAACATGGTGAAACCTCGTCTTTACTAAAAATAAAAAATAAAAATAAAAAAATAGCCAGGCGTAGTGGCATGCGCCTATAGTCCCAGCTACTCAGGAGGCTGAGGCAGGAGAATCTCTTGAACCCAGGAGGCGGAGATTACAGCGAGCCGAGATCGCACCACTGCACTCCAGCCTGGGCGACAGAGTGAAACTCCGTCTCAAAAAAACAAACAAACAAACAAACAAACAAACAAACAAAAGAACAAAAGAATTTCGTTACCAGACGCGTTCCTGCTCTATGTTTTGAATCACTGATTTATAGCCTCATAAATATTTTGCATTAAGCCTATCTGAATAAAACAACACACTGCTGCGCTCATATTCAACTTCCTTTGTCTGCTTTTTATTTGTTTGATAAAGCTTCTCGTAAGTAATCTGGTAATTAATACAATTAATTAATTCTTTAGAAGTGTGGTTCTTTATATTAAGCCACACAACATGACCCAACAACTTTGATAAATAGCAATGCTTTGCTTTGGACCCTGATGACCTTAAAAGTATAGTTATTTATCTCCACCCCCTCTAAATGTAGCAGCTTAGAACAAGCATTTATCTCAAAGTTTCTGTGGGTCTAAAATCTGGGAGCAGTTTAGCTGGGTGGTTCCAGCTCAAGGTATCTCAGGAGGTGACAGGCAAGCTGTTAGCTGCAGCTGTGGTCCTCTCAAGGCTCAGCTGGGTCTGAAGACACTGCTTCTAAGCTGGTTCACCTGGTTGTTGACCAACCTCAGATCCTCCTGGCTGTTGGCTAGAGGCTTCCATTTCTCCCCACATCCCTGCCTGAATGTCTTCTCAGGGTGGTGGCTGGCTTTTCCCCAGGGAGAGTGATTCGAAGGAGAGGGCAAATTCAAGATAGAAGCTGCAGTCTTGTTATAATCTGATCTCAGCAGTGATACACCCCATCACTTCTGTCATAAGCTGTTAGAATCAAGTCACTAGGTCCATCTCCAACTCAAGGTTAATCATCATTAAATATCAAAGAATTTTTGTATACATTTTTGAAACACCTTCCTCAGAAAACAGAACCATTGAATTGTCCATTTGTTCTTCAATATGTCATAATTTATAACTTCAAATAAGTAACTATGGATAAAAATGAATCTATAATAAAACAACATAAAGAGCACTGCTCCACCTGTACATTGCAATATTGTTGGTTAATCACTAATGTAAATAATCCAGCATTGATAAATAGCTTTTCATTAGGTATAAAACATGCCCTTTGATTTAGGCAATTTCCTTCACATTGACATTTTTGTATCTTCCCATCAATCAAAATAGCTATATGAAGAGTATTTTATATCCATATATTTTTTAGGGAAACTGAAACCTCTAACCAAAAACGTTCACACTTTTCAGAATTCTGCAGGTGTTACTTCATCTTTCACATTTTTATTAACTTGAAAACATGTATACAGTATTTCATATATTTGGAGAGCAATGAATAATTGAATATTACTTCATGGACACAAAGTAATTGAAAATATTCAAAGTCAAAATGAATCTTAATAAACTTACAATACTTAAATTATATTTTCAAAAAAGTAAATATTTTCAGTTTTATTTAGATTCATATAATTTATTTCCATCCACAACCATCACATTGGATGTTTCCCACATGTCGTGAATTAGGCAAAACTTAAATTAAATTAACACATTTTTATCTGAGGATTTTTTATGTGATAATTTACACAAGTGTTCCTACACTTTTTCCTTATTCATAGTATTTAGCCTATTGCAGAGGTAAAGTTACATATTTTACTGAACTCCCTGTATGTCTACTCTTTCCTTTCTAGCTAAGGAAAGTATGTCATGATGTTGCTGTTTTTTTAACTATACATATCTTTCATCCCTATATCTATTCCTCTTTTATAATAGTAGCTTTATACAAAATCCACCAAGAATATTGACAGGGGCCACAGGAGCAACTGAAATACGAAACTCTCAGGACAGGATGTCTCAGTGGATTAGATTAAGAACATTGGACTAGGAAATCTAATGACATAATATATCAGGAAAACCAGGAGGAAGACAGGGAGCTTAAAGTAGTGTTTCAGAAGGGTCCACAGGACTGAGAAATGGGCTTGAAACAAGGAAAGATGGTAATTCTAGTCCTTAGTTAGAGTAAAAGGAAAGCTGTAGAGTTACTCAGGTTAGAAGTTAGACTAGAGGAAACCCAGAGGGTGATTAACAGATCTTCAGTAAAATGCCTGTTCAAAGAAACAAAACAGAAACATACTCATTGGCTTGACCAGGTGCTAGAGCAGCTAGACTGACTCAACACAGGGTTGAATGAGCACTGAATTACAGTATTTTATATATATATATTATATTTATATTGTATATTTAAGTATAGAAGGCAAAATGTATATACTATACTGAGATTAGGAAAAACTAGTTTAACTTTTACATATGCTACCAGTTTTATATGGTATATCCAAAGCATGCAAATAGCCATAATATTTTGGTAGCATCTAGGGACTTTCCTACATGCTCGTCTGACCCATGTCAGAGTTTGTGAATGTCACCTCTTGCTACAATCAGCCCTCTATCACATCTATTTGCACTTAGCACCCAGTGTTCACAAGTTTTTCTACTCTATCCTCTGGAATGTTAAGGAAATTAACAAAGAAAATATTTGCACATCACACTCCCTTTCTAGTAGGATATGGAATTGCTTTTTGTCTGCACAGCTGTGTTAACAGCAGCAGCCTCTTGCATATTCCTCATTGAATTCCAGCCTCAATGATACCTTTTTCTCAAGTCACTTAGGTATTTTGGATTTTTAAAATACTTATCTGCATGGTGTGCTAGATCCAGCTCTCATTGGTTTGTAAGAACTGATTGTTCAGTTTTCAGGAAATTTATAAAACTGGGATTAAACTGTTAGTAGCTAGAAATGGGCCTGGTGGAATATTAATCTCTATCACCACCCTGAGTCCCCACACAGGCCTTTGGATCTCAGGAGGAGGCTGCCTTCTAATAGTCAGTCTGCTTTCTCAGCTGATTTCTGCCAAAAGTTTATTTTTGGGAACCTGGCTTGCAGACCTGCCTTCCTAACCTTTTGGGAAGAATGGTTTTGTTGTACCCTTACTCTGCTTGAAATTACCATATTCTCTGCCTAAACTTTTACAGTTCTCTCCCTTGTGCCTCATACATGTCTACAGTTAGGATAGAATTCTTGGGCCCTTCTTTAATTCTGGTTTGTGATTATTAACTTCCTTGAGTTACCACTTTTCCCTCCTTCTTTTCTATCTTCTTAACACTTTCTAGCCCTTTCAACCCCTATCTCACCAAAATTTCAGATGAGAGCTGAGCACCACACAATGCTCCTGAGAGCCAGTGCTGATGAAGATAAAAACCTTTGTAGTTAGGCAGACGTGTGAGAATTTGATTCCTTCTTTGATGCTTTACTGGCTCTTTTTTCTACCATAAGTTTAGAAAACTCATTTTTGTAACCTGTAAAGACTGAGACAATAGGGCTCATTGTGCACACAGAATTCCAGTCTGTACCAGATCAGAATCATATGGATCATTAATCGGGAATATGGAAAAAAGTTTCCTTGGCACTATAACAAAACACCTATTTGAAAAGTCAGAGTCAATCTGTCAGCATGGCTACATGATGTCACACAGATTGACTTGGTTTTGAAAAGTGAATCAACCATTTGTTCTGAATTTAGATAGATAGGGTGATGACTGCCAATTGAATTTTTAGTTGAAATCACTGAATGCCTTACACATATTAGCCTATGAAATATTTATCTAGCAAAATTTAGTAAGTCACCTATAAGCACATATATTTTTTTAACATAGTTTATTGATCTAATTTCACAGTCTAATTATAAATATTGTACAACTATTCAAGTAATATAGAAGTATAAAAATATACTAAAGTTCTATTGAACTCTACTTGATCTTAATTTTGTACTTTTTTCCAAAGAAATTTATTGTCAACAATTTAATATAAATTCTATTACTAAAATGCCTTCTTATATTTTTAAACTCTATTATAACATATCACTTTATAACCATTTTATTTAAAAATCTATCTTTTTATCTTTTCATTTCATTACATTACATGCATACCTTACATTCACTTCATTCTGTTTCTCCTTTATTGGACGCAAAGTGTTTTAAAATGTGGTATACCACAACTTATTTAATAATTTACTTTTCAATGGATGCTTTGATTTTAATTTTTTACCATTACAAAAATATTAAAAGTTGAAAACCTGGAATATAATATGTAGCTGCATACTTTCGTAAAGTAAATTTCCAGGAATGAGATTGCTAAGTCAAAATATATATTCATACTAAATTGTGTAAGATACTTCCAAATTGTTCAACAAAATGTATATAATACACACTTATCTTCCTGTAAAAATCACATTGGAAAATCTACACTTTACCATTTTAAAGTTGTCAATCTCATTTTCTAAATTAATATTTTTACTCAATAGGTGATATGATGATGTAAATTTATTGTTGATTTTTCTTCTCTTCACTGTTTAATAAAAATTTTATCCTAAAGTATCAGATGTGAAAGGATGGAATAGTTCAGTATTTAGTAGAGCACTGGGCCCATAGGAAGAAATGGGGATCATCTGGTTAAAAATAAGTGCTGCCTGCGAGGGTCACGTGTAAAAGAACAATGACATGAATATTTAACACAGGAGTAGGTAATCCTTGGGGCATAAGGTATGATTTTCCAAAGAGGTGGCCTGTACATCATTAACATTTTCAGAATAAATGTAAAGTGAGATGAGGATAGCAATCAACCTGGAATGTAATATTTTGGAAAATACTGAACATGAGGAAGAACGCCTTAGTGTGTGAAAAAATTCTTGTCATCGAGCTATAAGGAATTCCCAAAGATCTTTTTTCCTCCAGAAATGAGATATAAAAGCCATATTGTTAAATAAGTACCAGGGTAGATTAATGGATTTAATGAAGGGGTGAAAAATAGGCAGGCAGGGAAAATACCAAAAGATCCAGAGATAGAAACTAATATACACATACTTAAAGGTAGGGTTGCTCATAATTATAAATTTGGTGATTAGACTTGATATGTAATAGGAAGTTCTCATTAGTAGCTTCCTTTTCTTCTTTAAGAGTAATTGAAAGTTGTAATTATATGTTACCTTTACTGATCATTTGGGCTTACTCTCTTTTTTAAAGGTCCACATAAAAATCAACAATATTTAGAAATACCTTTATCTCTTGCTGCTTCTTCTCATCTCCAGGAGACAGTCTTCCTTGGCCTCCCAATCTAGCTTCACATGCACCTTTACTAAGTTCCCATGGAATTATAACATTTATCATGCTTTATTATAAATCTAGATTTTTTCTGTATTTTTGCCTTCTATTCTTATTCTTTTTTTAGCATTTTAAAATTAAGATATATTTCACAAAACACAAAATTTACTCTTGTAAAATAAATTAGATTTTTAGTACATGTGCTATATTGCTCAAGCACTATCTGATTCCAGAACATTTTCATCACACCATGGCTATTAGCAGTTGGTTCCAATTCCCCCCTGGCTCCTGATCCTCTGGCAATTACTAGTCTATTTTCTGTATATATAGATTTACCTATTCTGGACATTTTATACAATTGGAATCATACAGATTACAGCATTTTGTGTCTGGCTTCTGTAACTTAGCATAATATTTCCAAGATTTACTCATGTTATAGCTTGTAACACTACTTTATTCTTTGATTTGGCTGAATAACATTCGATTGCGTGGATCTACCATTTTTTAAAATACATTACATTCATCAGCTGATAGAAATCTGTTTATTTTTTTCCATTTTTTGGCTTTTTGAATTGTGCTGCTATGAGCATACATGTACAAGTTTTTGTATGAACATATGTTTTTAATTCTCTAAGTAAATACCAAAACTTAGAATTGCTGGGTCAAATAGGAATTCCATGTTTAATATTCTGAGGAACCATCAAACAGTTTTTTTACAGTGGCTGCACCATTTTTCATTCCTGCCAGCAATATACAAGGGTTCCAATTTCACTACATTCTCAACAAAACTTATTTTCCTTTTATTATTTTTAGTGTAACCATTCTAATAGGTGTAATGTGGTGTCTCGCTGTGATTTTGATTTCCCTAATGTTCAATATCGAATATCTTTTCATGTGCTTATTGGCCTTTTGAATACCTTCTTTGAAAAATGTGTATTCAAATCTTTTGCCCATTAAAAAATTGTATTTATTTTTTATTTTTTGGTTGTAAGACCTATTTTTTTCTGGATACTAGGCCTTTGTCAGATATATTTGCAACTATTTTCTCTTATTAGGGTTTCTTTTCACCCTCTTGATAGCATCCTTTGATATACAAAATATTTCCATTTCTATGAAGTCTTTGATTGCTTGTGCTTTGGTATATATCTAAAAAATTGTTTCTTAATCCAATATCTCAGAAATTTCCACCTAGATTTTCTTCTAAGTGTGTTATAGTTTTAGCTCTTATGTTTATGTATTTTATCCATTTTGAGTTAATTTTGTTATGGTGTGAGGTTGGGGTCTAAATTCATCTTTGCAGGTGATATCCATTTGTTAAAAGACTATTATTTTCCAATTAAATGGTTGTGGCAACCCTGTCAAAAATCAACTGACCATAAATTTATATATTTGTTTCTGGACTTTCAAATCTATCCCATTGGTATATATATATCGATCCTTATGCCAGTGTGTTGATTACTGTAGCTATGTCTTATGTTTTGCAATTAGGAAATGTGAGTTTAAATTTGTTCTTCTTTTTCAATTTTTTCTGTTATTCTGTGAACCTTGAAATTTTATATGAATTTTAGGATTAGCTTCTACATTTCTGAAAAAAAAAAGTTGCATTTTTGACAGGGATTTTTTGAATCTCTATAGATTCAAAAATCTATAGAGATTCCAAAAATGGCAATAAGGAATATTGCCATTTTAAGTTTATTATGTCTTCCAAGTGCATGAACATTGGATGTTTTTCCATTTATTTAGATCTTGCTTCATTCTTTTCAACAGTATTTTACAGTTTGTAGTGTACAAGTCTTGTACTTCCTTGGTTGAATTTACTCCTAAGTATTTTATTCATATGACTGCTGCTTTAAATGGAATTTTTTTTAAATTTTATCTTTGGATTGTTTGTTGCTAGTGTATAAAATGCAACTTTTAAAATACTAATCTTGCATTCTAAGACTTTGCTGAACTCACTTATTAGCTCTGTTTGTGTGTGTATGTATTCTTTAAAGTTTGGTGTATATAACACTATGTGATCTGTAAATAGAGATACTTTCGCTTCTTTCTTTTCTATCAGGATGACTTCTATTTCTATTTCTTCCCTAATAGCCTTAGCTAGAAAATCCAGTACTATGTTTTCATAGAAGTAGTGAAAGTGAACATCCTTGTCTTGTTCCTAATCTTTAGGGAAGAACTTTCGGTTTTTCACCATTAAGTATGACTTTAGCTGTGAGTTCTTAATAAGTGCAACTTACCTTTTGAGAAAGTTTATTCTATTCATAATTTTTGAGTGTTTTAAGTGTAAAATGATGTTTGATTTTGTCAAATGCCTTTTTATATCCATTGAACTGACCATGTGAGTTTTTTGCCTTTGTTCTATTTATATTGCATACTATACTGATTAATTTTCATATGTTGAATCAACCCTGCATTCTTAGGATAAATCCTACTTAGCTATAATGTACAATACTCTTGGCATGCTACTGGAGTGAGTTTGACAGTATGTTATTGAGGATTTTGCATTCATATTTATAAGTGATAACGGCTTGCAATTTTCTTGGGATATATTTGACTGGTTTTGGTATCAGGGTAATAGTGGTAATAGTGGTGTCTCATAATGAGTTAGAAAGTGTTTCCTCCTCTTTTTTGGGATGAGATTGAGAAGAAGTGGTATTAATTACTTAACTATTTGGTAAAATTCACCAGTGAAGCCATGTAGTCCTAAATCATTCTTTATTTAAAGTTTTTGATTACCAACCAATTTCTTTATTTGTTATGGATCTATTTAGATTTTCTATTTTGTTTTGAGTCAGTTTTAGTATTATGTGTGTTTATAGGAATTTGTCCATTTCCTCTGCGTTATCTAAATTTTTAGCTTCTGCAGACCTTGAAGGTCGGCAGGAAATGATGACTTATCACTTTATCAGGTCTTTCCTGAGCAAGCAAACAGCTGTGTACATGCATATGGCTTTCTAGATTCCCAGGAATATGATGGAGCTTTTGGCAGGTTTTAGAGACATATCATTACCAGCTTTGCCTCATAAGCATTTTGATTATTCTATCTTATTTACCCCAACAATCATCTATTGCCTCAGGCAGCAGCATCTAAGACATGAATTAGCCTGTAAATATTCTTGACGAATGCCTTTTCCTTGTACCCTAGAATCAGCTTCAGCACTGGAATAGTTCTGAGTTCAGTAAAATAAAGAGAAGCATTTTAAAACATTCTTCCAAAGAGACACCAGCCAGATCAGAATACATAATTAATTAAAATTCTTTGTACATGAGGTCTGTTGGGGAGTGGAGTTTGGATTCCTCTTGTACGGAAAATATGGGTTGTTCTTTTAATGACTACTGCTGAAGTGGGAAATGGGAGATGGAACTAGGGTAAATCCATAAAGTTTACAGCTCCTACCAAGAATCTCCCATTTTTCCCAAATGAACATTCTCTTAGTTGCTGCAAGCTTTCAGTTAATTTCCAGAGTTCTGTTGATTCTGATAGATTTTGCCCATTTTTAAATTATACTTTTAAAGTGCTGGAGTTTGATGTTCTTAATTCTGCCATATTTGCTGATGTCATTCCTTATTCAATCTTGAAGTCCTGGCAGCTTTCTCAGTATATGAGACAGTAAATGATGGTTGACAGAGAACACTTCAACATATGAATGAACTTCAGGTTGTGCAATCCAGATTAAAAAATAGCTCTTCATTATATGTAATTATACGCAAAATAATGTTTCAATGGATTAGGATGGTTAAGATATAACATTATTTACCCCCAGTATTTTAATTCCTAAAATAATAATTCTCATGAGGGTGACACATTATCCAGGCTGCCATTATGTATTGCTCTCACACTGGCTATTAGAAAACATAACCAGTTATATAGCTAAGTTTGTGTTCATAAATATTTCTAAAGTCTATTTATATGTAGCATGAGGTCAACCTAATAGGAAACACAAGAAAACATGGCCAATTATTGAATGCTGAAAAAAGGCTTAACGGCATATTTTAGCAGAAAAAATAGCTATTATCACGAAACATACACTTTTTTAAATACTCTAATAAAGAGTTTGAAGAGAAAGTTTAGAGGTAGTAAATGTAATACCAATAATATTGTGTTTTATATTTCAAATGACCATCATCCTATGCAATTGAAAACATTGGTGAAGAAAGTCTTGGGAGTTCTACAAACATCCCAAAGTAAATCTATTTGTTATTTACCAATCTTGGTAAATTTTAAACTAATATTTGGATTAAATATTTATTTATTTTTTACTGGGAAAGAAGAACAACTTCAGTATCACAGAGACCCTTATCAATCCCAATAATACCAATTGACAGTTTTGTGGTACTAGGCAAGACATTTCATTTTTTAGCCTAAACTACTTTATCTTTAATATGAGGATAGAGGATTAATCTAATTGTTCTAAACATTGAATGTAATTGAATATGGAGAAACCATACTCTGACATTGCCTCACATAGAGTTGACACACAATAAATTGGATATGCATTTTCAAACTAGAACAATATCTATCATTTTTAGATTTTTTGTATGTGAATTTTCTGATTTAGATTAATTTTTTAATATGTAATAAATAATATTTAGCAATTTTATTTTTGTGCATTTTTCCCTGAAAAATGGATAAAATGTGAAACCCATAAATGACATAGAAGGAAAGATGGTATTTGCCAAGAAGGAAAAAAAAGGGTAGTTAAATATTCAAATGCAATTGTGATTAGCATCTGGACACCATGCCTGAATAAAAATAATTTTAATAAATATATTTGGAAATACTATAACATACAAATATTTGGAATGTGGTTATTTCCAATGTTTTATATATAATTAAAGTCTGCAAGTAAAAATAAATAACCATGAAATAAAAATAGCACCAAAAACATGGATGAGGTCTGATTTTAATTATAAACGTTGTAAACTTTTGTGTAAATTTTTTATAAGCGAATTTAACCATATTTACTATTTGTTTGAAAATTCCTATTTTCCTAACAACAGAGGACTGCATGCTCTTAAATCAAAGCATAAAATCATTATTCTATCTTTTCAACAAAAACTGATGTAGGACCTTTCATTGGTTTTCACTGTACAATGGGTAAGCTCTTCTTATTATCATAATTAATCCTGTGATTTGCTATGTTAGAAGGCTTAAATCACTGAAATGTAATTTCCACCATCACAAATAGTGGCCTAGATTTTATGATCAAGGGAATACATGGCATGCATAAGTAGAATGCTACTATGCATCCTGGAATCCACTGTATTTCATTATACTTATATTCTGTCTTACTGGCAGTCTTGGGCAAGCCTAAGTACACCTTTATTAACAAGTCAATAACATAGCTCTGTGTTAAGCTTTTGTATTGATCTAATATGGTTCACCCTGGTATGCCAAACAGGTCCACATTTCAAAACAACCTCTTTCTTAACTGTCTCTGATCTTGGGAGTCTCATGTGTAAAGTAATAGAAACATTTCTGGTTTTAGCAATGTAAAGGTCACACCTGCCACAATGAGGAAGCAGTATCTTGTTTTATGCGTATGAGAGCCAGAAGCAGGAAGGCATGGCCAGCATCATGACTAACCCATTGCTTTGTTTGGTAGAGCCACCTTTTTCCTTCTGGATCCCTTGCATCTTGGGTGCTTTTTTTATATGTACTGCATGTCCTTCTTGTGTTCAATTTTGCTGCTAGCTAATTCCTGACAATGGCTTAAACTATAATTGAGGAGGTAGCTGATGGAAATTAGATGATGAAATGAAAATGGGTAAAACAAATAACACTCACGTATTTTACATAGCAACAGTTAAATAAATTAAGTCAACTACTCAAAAAATATAAGGAAATTATGAAATGCATAGCTAGTTGCATTTATAGTTCTAAAAAAGAGAAATTCTCTCCGAGTTTCTACTAGCTCCGAAGTAAACTGAATCGATCTTACTCCATATAGTGAGTCCTATGGGTCTCTCCAGCTTCATATTAGATAATGGCAGCCCTGCTTTCCTATTAAAATGGAAGAATCTGATGTGACATTTATGCTTGTTTATTAACTAACTGCTGTAACAGAAACTCACTCATATAAAAGTGTTTATCAAATAAACTTTATTAGCTTTTAGCATAGTTGAGAATAAAAACCATGGCATTTGAGACAGTATTAGGTAACTGATTAAGGAACCTCATGAGAGATTATATTAGAAGGGAAAGTGGACTGGTTAGTTTTGTGGGGGAGAGAGTGGCCTGAAGTTGGTGGTATAATCCACTGACCATACAATAAGCCTAGACAACTGCCCCTGAATATAAATCCAATTTTTAAAATGTGATGTAGTACCCAAGAATAAGCCATAGCCTATCTTTCAAGTGATTTATTTATTTATTTGAAAAATCTGGCTGTTTTGGTTGGTTTTTCAAGGATAGAAAGACATGTATATCACTTTCTCCAGATTTGGAGTACCTCCCTTTCTGATTACATGTTTGCTTCGTAATCCTTTCCTCAAGAATGTCTGCTATTCTACTCTTAAAAACTTCCTGAATATTAACCCAAACCTCTCCTTTCTATGTTTTTTCAAAAAATTGCTAGAAGAGTTGTAATATTTGTATTATTATTTTACTACCCTAGCATTTCATAAATTGTGTTTATGGTTCAACATTTCTTATCTCTATCTTTTTTGCTATTTCAATCTCTAGTTACAAAGTTTGGAGGCATTCTCTTTTTTTAAGTAGAGATATTATAATATCAGCAAAATATTATCATTTCCATGGTGAGTCACAATGCCTCTAGGAATTCAGCAATTATAGTAAGTGGGTGAAGGAGGCCAGATGCTGATTGTGGTGATTTCAGAGCACCTTATCTAAAGAAGCAAAGCTCCAGATAATTTACAATCACACAGAAATGCTCAACCAGTACTGTTGCATCTGCAGGGATAGAAACAGAACCAATAGGATCTACCTCTCTATCTATCATCTGGCCAGCTTCCTGTCTATCTATCTGTCTGTCTATCTATCTATCTATCTATCTATCTATCTATCTATCTATCTATCATCTGTCAATCATCAAAGGGAAAGAGAGATATTTATTGCAAGGAATTGACTTACATAATTATGGGGATCTGCTTCTGTAAATTTGAGATCCAGAGGGTAGTCTGTCAAAGGGGCAGGCTGGAACTCTCCTGGAGAAGCTAATGCTTCAGTCTTGAGACAGAATTTCCTCTTGCTCAGGAATACCTCAGTTCTGCTCTTAAATTATTTCAACTGATTGAGCCAGTTTCTCCCAGATTATTGGGAATATTCTCCCTTACTTAAAGTTAAATGATTGTTGATCCTAATAAAATTTACCAAATATTTTCATAGCAACACCTAGATTAGTGTTTGATTAATAGGCTAAACATTTCAAAACAATATTTAAAAATCAGATGATTTGACATTTTAAAGTCAGGATTTTCAGTTTTTCTTGGAAAAACAGATTTGGCAACTGTGATGGTCAATTTTATGTTTCAGTTTCAAACAAAAGAAAACAAATTATTTTCCATTCAAATATGATGACTAACTGTCTTGGTTTGCCCAGGACTGAAATTGTCCTGGGTGAAACGAAATGGTTGATCTCCCTACATTCAAACAAAACATATCTCTTTTTAGACTGTGCCCATGAAGTTAAGGCCATCCTGAATTCCCATGAGATAAAGAGGTGCCTGTGGAACTAAATAAGCTTGAACAGAGATTATCGGTCTTATGCATATGTTGCATAAGACTTACTTTAGCATATGTTGGGGACAAAACATTTTTTCATCAATAACATTCCTGCTAGAATAATGGTATTGGTTAAGGTGGGCAGGGGATGAGGGTTTTGGGAGTGAAAGATTCCTTAGTGAAATGTTTATCAGAAAATTTATGGAGGCACAGCTGGGGGAAAGCTCTAACTTAATTCTAACATCTACTTCTCTTTCAGCAGGACAGGCCACCAAGTATGCTATAGGTATACATGGGTCTCCTGTCTTAGAAAATTATTAAATTCATCATTAAAGAAAGTTAAATCTAGCATGAGAACTAAAGGATTGGGGCAAATTTCTACATGTAAAAACTCAGAGGGCAAATGAAGACAACAGGAAATATAATCTAGTTGGATAATGTATATCTTCAACAATTTTGCTCATATTAAATATGACAGGGATTTTCTTGGTTGGGTATCACAACATCTTAGGATGTAGGCTGATAACAGTATTAAGCTCAGTTTAATAAAATCAATTCTATTAGAGGATACCAAAAAGATATGTTTTTACAAGATTCTTTCATGATTTGAGTGCTTTCTACTTATGGTCAAGTTTTATTTATTAAAGAATGAGGCATTTAAGCTGAACACATTCTTCAACAAAAGGCTACCTTATTTCTGGAAGCAGATATACTACCAGCTGTGTGGCCACAGCTGACTCATTCAACATTCCTTAGGTTCAGCTTCTTTGACTTTAAAATAATTTTCATAACCTGAAACTGACAGCTACGTTTTAATGACTAGATATCATAACATATATGGTGAAATGGACTATTTCTATTTCTTCTCTTTAGAGTAGAAATGTGAACCTCATTCAGCAAAAGTTTTGTTTGTACTTGTCTTATGTATATGTCTATAGAAGCAGCATTCTAAGAAATATTTAGAGTAATTGGTTCAATTGTTGATTGGCATCATTGTATTATGCAGTTTGTCTATGAAATATGCATAGTCTTAACTCATTTATTTTATAGAGTGGTTCCCTGTGTTCTGGTAAAAGCTTTATTTTCAAGACTTCTTTATAAAATAAAAATGTAAAGAAAAACCTAGCTGTAAGACAATGTAGCTTTTGAGGCCCTGTAATTGGAATGAGTCCACTTTAAATCCTTTAAAGAGGATCCACTGTAGGGCAAGTCTGGTGCCAACAGCTGCGGTAATTCCAGCTCCAATAGTGTATATTAAAGTTGCTGCAGTTAAAAAGCCCGTAGTTGGATCTCGGGAGCAGGCGTGAGGTCCGCTGCGAGGCGAGCCACCGCCCGTCCCCACCCGTTAACTCTCGGCGCCCCCTCGATGCTCTAGCCCTGGATGTACTACTGAAAAACTATTTAACAAATCTCAAATTAACAGATTTTATGTTTAGGACTATTTGACTTTTCAATGGTTTTTGCAAAATAAAACAACAAGATTATAAAATAAAACCTGTATCAAAGACATAAATACAAAACTGACAGAGGAAAGGCAGTCTATCAAGCTCTCATGTTCTGGAAATGACCGCTTGAGAACATGAAAGTGGATTTTGTTCTCTTGCTTCTTTAACCTGATTTATAGTTGAACACTTACATTTTAAAAATCCATAATGTAGTTTTGAATTAATGATTATATTGATCGTAATTCTTTCTTCGAAAGAGATTTTTATAGACAGATTTATTCACTATAGCTACTTCTAACCACCAAGAAATTTAATATCTTCTCATATAATGTTTTTGTATAATATAATGACCTCACTCTACACTCCATGCCAAACCATTATTCAGTATCACAGTAGACTTTCAACGGGTAACAATACTGTACCATGAAGCCATCTATAAAACATGTTTTTTTTTTTTGAGATTTCCTTTCATTTGGTGTTAGAATCAAGGCATATGGGATACATTTAGATCCAGTTTGCTCTAACAACGAAACTTGTCCGACTTTAACAATCGTTGAAGCCATACATCATTCTTATAATTAAGATTTGTTTATTGTTCCCAGTTGTAATGAATGATTGATACAAATACTTGTCTCTATCTGGTAATAACTAAGTTTTATATCATCACATGCTAGAGTCTCAATTTTAGAATTATATTTTACTACGTAAAATACTTTTCTCTTCAGCAAATTACAATCTTTAGATGGAGATATAATTAATGATATTGGAATTCAAATCACATGGAATACTGTGTATTATCAAGTAAATTCATCAAAATACAGTTTAATTAGCTCATTAATTAGTTCCCCAAAATTACTTAACAGTTGTGAGGTTCTAATATGTGCTTAACAATGCAGATGGGAAGAGATATAAAACATATTTTCTGATCTCAATGCTTTTTCAATTAGGTTAAGGTAAGCAGGGAACATTTTTTAAATAATTAATAAAATGATATTGCATATTCCAAGATCTGTATAAAGTTCCTGAGGACATAGAAGAAGAGAAAGCTCTGCATACTGTGGTAGAGAGAAGGCACTTCATGAAGAAGCAAGAAACGGAGTTTGTTTGAAGAATGGGTCCAGTTAAGACAGCAGAGGAATACTTAAAATGGGGAAATGGTAAGAGCAAAAGGTAAAGATGTGAAAGCAATATGGCATTCAAGTGACAGCAAAACTGGTTTCCTTCTGAAGTTTGATTCAATTAGAAACAGAGAGGCTTTGGAACCTGAAATGACAAAGCAAGATTAAACTTAATTTTATAGACAATAGAGAGCCAGCAATTGATCAGGGAAATACAACAAAGTATTATTTGATTGATTGTATTTTTTTCATGAATTTAGACTATATGAATAATTAAGTAGGATGAATTTAAAAGTGGGGATAACAATTAAGTGTAGGCATTGGTTTAATAGTACCCTTAATAGAGCTACAGGGCAGATTTGAATTATAGTTTGAAAAGCTAAACAATTCTATTATCATGATTAATAATATTTATAAATTGATAAATGAAGTGAATAAAGCCTGTGTACCAGAGCAGTACTACAATTTTTAATATTCAAAACTGTTTTTCAACTATTTAACACCAAAATAGTATATGCAAATACTTATGAATATATAAGATTAACTTAAAGTAGTTATAAATAATTTTATAAATATATTGTTCTTAAGTAAAAAGTAATGTCTTTCAAGTAAATAGGAGAAAACAGATACTAAAATTATGTCAAAATGTATCTTTTATTTTATCTTTTCAAGTCACCAACTAATTCAAAATAAAAGTGTTCAAAAGTAACTGTGCACAGTGGCACGTGCTACAAGTCCCAGATACTTTAGAGGAAGATTGCTGAGGCCAGGAGTTTGAGGCCAGCTTGGGCAACATAGCAAAACCTCATCTCAAAAAAATATATATGCTTGAAGGAAAATTATACAGATGATGTAATATCTAATTTATTAGAAGGTGGCAAATCACCAGCCTAAGTAACAATGGATTTCTTAAAAAGTAGTAGATATTTGTCTTTAACATAGATTGTTATCTTTATCTTTATTATTTTCTTATTTTAAGGTGTGCTTCCCTTAAAAAATCATAACAATATTTTAAATATGTTCAGATTTCATATTATAAACTTCATTTTATAATAATGTCATGTAACTTTTAGATTGACATAAGCACGATTGTTTATTGTATTAGATGTTCTGTTTTAATCTGTTTTCATGCTGCTGATAAAGACATACCTGAGACTGGGATATTAACAAAAGAAAGAGGTTTATAGGACTTACATTTCCACATGGCTGGGGAGGCCTCACAATCATGGCAGAAGGCAGGGAGGAGCAAGTCACATCTTAAGTGGCAGCAGGCAAAAAAAGCTTGTGCAGGGAAACTCCCCCTGTTTAAAAACCATCAGATCTCAGGAGACTCATTCATTATCACACGAACAGCACAGGAAAGACCCACCCCCATAATTCAATCACCTCCCACTAAGTTCCTCCCATGACATGTGGGAATTGTGGGAGTTACAATTCAAGATGAGATTTGGGTGGGGACACAGCCAAACCCTGCCACTTATATAATGAAGATACACTTTATTTTGCTTATTAAAGCCCCTTATTTTTACTCAAGATAAGTTTGACTAAAATAAAGGTAAATGGCACGCCTGGCTAGTTTTTTTGTATTTTTAGTAGAGACGGGGTTTCACCGTGTTAGCCAGGGTGGTCTCGATCTCCTGAACTCATGATCTGCCCGCCTCGGCCTCCCAAAGTGCTGGGATTACAGGCGTGAGCCATCGTGTCCGGCCCTTGTTTTGTTCTTAAGCACTCAAGACAAAAAAATTAGCCAGGCATGGTGGCGGGCACCTGTAGTCCCAGCTACTCAGGAGGCTGAGGCAGGAGAATGGCGTGAACCCGGGAGGCGGAGCTTGCAGTGAGCCGAGATCTCGCAGCTGCACTCCAACCTGGGCGACAGAGCGAGACTCCATCTCAAAAAAAGAAAAATTGAAACAAAACAGGGGTGAGGAACAGTGAAAAATCTCTAGGTTCTGGAAGAGTCAAGGCAATTGTTAGCAAAATCTATGTTATGACCATGGGAGTAGATACGGGAGGAAGGTCATTGGCAGAGAGGAGTCAGGAAGTGTTGATAGAACAGGCTTGAAAGAATCACTTCCATATATAGAGAAATCATCAAGGACATGTATGGGGCTGATTAAGACAGGAAATAATTGTTGATATAAAGATCAACAATTAGTGGGGGCTTTCCAGGAGAATTGCAGGCTCTGAGGGTCCCTGCTTCAGTTACATTCCAATGACAAAGGTCAGGTTGTGGAGGGAGAGCAGCACTGAGAATATGAGCATCTACATAGAACCATTAAAATTAGAATGAATTATTAATAAATGCATATGTGTCAGTGTATAGATTGATCCATATTCTAATTTTTGCTTTTTAATTTTATTTCCCACAAAATTATGTAGAAACCCTTCATTAAATTAGATTTATAATTCTTATGTATTTCTTTCTTTTTGGGGGGGATGGGGGGGATAGGGTCTCCCTCCATTGCCCAGGCTGGAGTGCGGTGGTAATCATTGCTCATTGTAACCTTGAACTCCTGGGCTCAAGTGATTTTCCTGCGGCTCAGCCTCTCAAGTAGCTGGGAACTTGGACTGCAGGAGCATGCCACCACACCCGGCTAATTGTTGTATTTTTTCCTTTTGGAGATAGGGTCTCACCGTGTTGCCCAGGCTGGTCTTAAATCCCTGGGCTCATTCCTCCCACCTTGGCCTCCCAAAGTGCTGGAATTACAGGCATGAACCACCACACCCAGCCTAATTCTTACATACCTCTAATCAAATAGAAAAAAAGGTTGTAGACAGCACTTTTCAGTCAAATAAAGGGTCAGCTTCCATTTTTTTATGGATTATTTAACTCACATTAGACTACAGGCAGTTAATATAAAAATGAGACTCACAAAAGCCAAACAGCTTACTGTTACTATTAAGCTATATGGGAATACTAGCCTTACTTTGGTCACAGAGAATAAAAACTCATTTAATGAACCTCCATAAAGGTGATTTCATTTTAAGGATACAAAGAATGTAAGGCATTAGAATTATTGAAAGTGTAGCTAACCCTAATGGAAACTGGAATACCATGAAACAGTTTTTTCTCACTGATTGTCTCTCCCAGGCTTCATGTTCTCTTTGATCTCAAAATGTTCCTGAATGCCCATTCTCTGTTTATTGTCTTCATTTTGGCAGACCAGCTCATTATTGCTGCTCAAAAGTGGCAGCCTCGGCCCCTGAACCTTCTCAAAGTAAACTCATCACTACCAACACACTATTTTGTCTCATATCCAAATACTTAGGTTGGAAAATCTGTTTTGGTGGCTTGTTTACCATAAACTAATCATCTGGATCTAGACGGAATAGGGGGTGCTGATGGAAAGAGGAGTTTATGAAAAAATACATTATGCAGGCTTACTGATTCCAGACTGTTTGAGGGATAAGTTCTCCAAGATGGGGCATAGGTTAGGAGGAATGATTGGTCTCACAGTAAAGAAGGAATTATAAGACAGTATCAATAAATCAACTGAGTTGATTACTACTTTGGAGAAAAAAATTCATAATGAATGTCCAATTTACTGATGACATGCTATTTGTTAATCATGTATTAAAACTACTTTCATAAACATAAATTTTATGTATTTATGAATGATATAGTTAGACATTGTGTCACCACCCAAATCGCATCTTGAACTGTAATCCCCGGGTGTTGAAGGAGAGACCTGGTGGGAGGTGACTGGATAATGGGAATGGTTTCCCCCACACTGTTACTGTGATCGTGAGTGAGTTCTTGCTAGATCTGACGATTTTATAAGGGGCTCTTTCCCTTTGCTTCCTACACATGCTTTCTCACCTGCTGTCATGTAAGACATGCCTGCTTCCCCTTCCACCACAATTGTAAGTTTCCTGAGGCCTCCCTAGCCATGAGGAACTGTGAGTCAAGTAAACATTTTTTCTTTATTAATTACCCAGTCTCGGGTAATATCTTTATAATAAAGTGGTGTGAGAATGGACTAACACAATGAACGGTATTGACCTTGAGTGGAGAAATGTGACTCCTAATTTAAATTTACTACACTAAATTATCTGAACATCTCAACTAAAGTTTCTAGGGCACATTTTTAAGGGTGATGATAAAATGGGATCCTTCATAATATGAAAGATAATCTATGATGAATCTTTATGATAGTATTTTTAAGTTTTTATAGCACTTTATAATACTAAACAGTTTGCAGAAATTAAATTGTTTCCTAGTTATTATCATACCCCTAGACTCAGAGTTCTACTAAATCCAGAGATACTGTTATCTATTGGATTCATTGACCTTCTTGTATTTGTGAAACATAAATTCCATGCAAGTCTAGTAGAATATATTTTTCTCTAGGAGGCTAAAGATAAGCATGTGTTCAAAAGAATTAAAATAATTTTGAGAACATTTAATATGATAGGAAATAACCCTAAATTTCAAGATTAAAGCTTTTTTGTTCAGTTTGCTTTTTCTTTTCCCCAAATTCCAACCAGGTGGCTCCGGCACATCGAAGCTCTGAGTGTTGTTTAATCCTCACTAAGGGCACTGAAACACGATAAACCACGTTAGTAAAATGTGTAATTACCATTTATTGATGCAAGACTGTTTGTCTATGGCATACCCAAGAAGAGAAGTGATAATACAATTACCACTCTCTATTGACAAGGAAAGAGTTTTTCTTTCTGTTTTTAATGTGATATTTTATTTCCTTTGACTTTTTCCTTATCTTTTTAAATTGTGTTCTGTATGTTTTAAAGAAGAGCTCTATTTCTTTTCTAAGCTTTTTTTTTCATGTCAGTTAAAAATTCACTAAATTAATGCTAGGTTATTTGTTGAATTAACTATTTTTAAGCTGATGTCAGAAGATACTGATACCAGAGGATACTAATGCAGTATAATTTGCCCTTTGTACCATACCTACTCCCACCCCAAACATGCACCCCAAATATGTACATCTGGTTGTGTCTAATTTCCCAGTCTTTGTTATTTGTTTATATCTTTTAACTTGTAAACCCATGAGGAAGAGATAATTCATTCGTATCTATAAAGAACAACATTTGTAGTCAGTACTCAAATGTGCTTTTAAATATTTTAGATTATTTTGGAAACCAGTCATGGGGAATTTAGGATATGATGTAAGACACCCCACAGGTTGGTTAAGTACCAAGCCTTAGGACACTAAGAGTTGGTCTGTAAGCCCATCAGTGTTGTTCAAAGGCATAAACATCAAGAGCCAGAAAAGAATGATTTAATTGAATACGAGGGAAAGAACAACATATTTAATTAATCCAATTTTTCTTCTGCTTGTTATTGGTCACAGTAGACACAGGCCAAATGCATATTTGCAGTGATTCCAGTATAAAACTCCTTTTACTCAAGTTTTTCTTCCTCCACTCCTTGGAAACATTAAATTATAAGTAAAAATGAAATGTTGGAGTAAATATTATGAAGTGTGCAAGTACAGTAAACCCTGAGTTTTTTGATCTTCAAGAAAAGAAATCAGGTAATATAACCACAGGTAAAAGCTGGACTTTATAAGTGACAACAAACCAATTGTAAGGTTTTACACATATATGACTTAGGAGAGTCTAAGGAGTAAATTAAAGCAGAATATGAGATAAAAAGAAAAATCATAAACTCTGGACTTTGATTATAGGTATATAAAAGAAGAGTCGACTAAAAAAAAAACAAATCTGTTTTAAACCCATTACTTAAGAGACTCAAACAGATTGCCCTTCTTAGGCCTGAAACCTGCATTTTGGGAAGCTGTCACTGTACAGCATTTGTGCTTTGGCTAAGTAATTGAACAATCATAGTAGTGAACTGGGGGAAAAAAGTATTAACATGTTCTAGTCATATTAAAATATTCTATTTATAATTACTAGTATAAATTAAATAACTATTATAATAACCATGCTTATACAACAAAACAAATTATAAATATGGACATATTTGCACTTTTAGCATTCTAAGGCTCACATGAATTATTAGTTCTATCGTGTGTTTTTACAGACGAGGAGCTGAAAGAAATACTCTTATGAGATGTCATACTTTATCTACTCATCATTTTACAGCATTGATTTTCAATTTGTCCTGGCTTTCCAGTCCAGGGTGTATAGCATATCTTTTACACTGCCTTGAATTTATTTCATCCTGCTTTCTTCTTTGTGGAATTTAATCAAAATTTCTGTAAGGCTTCTGCAGTTTCTATTTTCTGGTTCTGACTTGAGAGTTGGATATTAGAGTTTTACATGAACCATAAAGGTATAAATTGTTGTGTGAAGCCTTTAATCACATTAACTATCTTATTCATCAAAGTCCTGACAAACTCACCATATTGCTTAAAATTTAGCATGCTACCTCTTTTTGGTTTTAGGAAATTGCAAATTAACTAGTTAGCGGTAACTCTTTTGCCTAGTAAAGAATAACAATCTAGGATCAGAGGCCGGGTGCAGTGGCTCACGCCTCCAATCCCAACACTTTGGGAGGTCAAAGTGGGCAGATCACTTGAGCTCAGGAGTTTGAGACAAGCCTGGGTAACATGGCAAAACCCCATCTCTAAAAAAATACAAAAATTACATTAGCTGGCATAGCGGTGACTGCCTGTAGTCCCAGCTTCTTGTGAGGCTGAGGTGGAAGGATGACTTGAGTCCGGGAGGTGGAGGTTACAGTGAGCCAAGACGCCTACCGCACTTCAGCCTAGGTGAGAGAGCCAGACCTTGTTAAAATAAAATAAAATAAAATAAAATAAAATAAAATAAAATAAAATAAAATAAAATAAAATAAATACAAAAGAAGGAATATAAAAGAAATAAAAAGAAAAGAAAATTCTGTTTCTGTTATGGCTTCCCAAATATTTCCACAGCTTTGCCCATCCACAGGTGGTCTCACCAGTCTATCACAAACTTAATTCTCATTGTCATGCTTATTAACTGTTGAAACTTAATGTCAGAAGGTACTACAGACTCCGTTCCATTAATGAGCAATGCCCCTGCCATCCCAGATCTCTAACTGGTTTACAGAGGTGCTCCTACCTGCCAAGACTGCAATTGTTTGCCACCACCGTGTCCTGGATTTTGTTTCTTTAAGATCAACACTTGACCTCTGAGCTAGGAAGAGTCCTTCATAACATTACATATGCTCCATCTTAAAACATTCCCATTAGATTGAGGTTGATATGTTACCCTCTTAAGCTCTCAACCTTCCTATTCATGTCACCTACCAATTCTCACTGTTATTTTTCTCAGTAAGCTTTTGTTTTATAAACATACTGTCTTCCTCTAAGCATATCATCAAAAATTAGCCAGGTGCCATCGCTAATGGCAGAGGCCTGTAGTCCCAGCCTCTATGTTTCAAGTTCTTGAGACAAGGTCACCATGTTAAAATGTAACATGGATTAGTATAATTGTAAATAAGATTTTATGAACAAGTGCTTTGGGATCTCTCCTCAGAGATGGAATGGACCACCTCCCAGTTAACAGATCCAATGCGGAGACTGATGTTGGGCCACATGACAAGAGAATTTTAAAAGTTTATTACTCACACAAGGGCCTTCTGGGGAGAGCAGGTTAAGTGCAAACCAATGTGGAATGGCAAGAACAGGGAGTAGAGAGTATGTTGGGCCTTTATGGTCGCTAGAGGCTGGGGCTGGAGAAGGGATTCATGCAGCGTTAGGGACACAGGATCAAATTTACCACCAGTGCCAACAGCTCAGGAGCAACGCGGGTTTTCCTTTAATAAAAACAATACCAGATGTATGGTGGTGGGGAAGGAGAAGGTAGAAGCCTAAATGCTTAGTGCTGTCATCAGTGGGTCAACAATCAAACAAAAATCAAATTAGCCCATTGCAGTGGCTCACACCTGTAGTCCCAGCTACTGAGGAGGCTAAGGTGGGAAGATCACCTGAGCCTAGGAGTTCAAGGCTTCAGTGAACCATGATTGTACCACTGCACTCCAGCCTGAATGATAGAGACCCTTTCTCTAAAAAACAAACAAACAAACAAAACAAAACAAAACACAGGAAAACTACCACCAAGTGGAGTCATACTATTTTATCAAGATTGGAAAAAGTCATATGTGTATATGTCTTCTCTCTATATATATGTTTATATGTTTATATATACATTACATATATGTCTTAACTAACTTAGTGAATTCAAACATGGATAGAAAAAACTCTTAATTATGTCTTTTCTGATAATCACTTTACCAAACATTTATGTTTCTGAATTCCATCATATTATGAGAATATTCTTTTTTTTTTTTTTTTTTTTTGAGATGGAGTCTCGCTCTGTCGCCCAGGCTGGAGTGCAGTGGTGTGATCTCTGCTCGCTGCAAGCTCTGCCTCCCAGGTTCACGCCATTCTCCTGCCTCAGCCTCCCCAGTAGCTGGGACTACAGGCGCCCACCACCACACCCGGCTAATATTTTTGTATTTTTTGGTAGACACGGGGTTTCACTGTGTTAGCCAGGATGGTCTCGATCTCCTGACCTCGTGATTCGTCTGCCTTGGCTTCCCAAAGTGCTGGGATTCCAGGCGTGAGCCACCGCGCCCGGCTGAGAATATTCATTTAAATTTGGCCCTGACATACATTAAATAAGGGGATTATGCTGTATATACTGGTTTACTGAGCAAATTTATAAAATAACTATATAAGAGAATTAAGCATAAATTCTAAATAGGGTTTAATAATTAGAATTGATTCTGGAGAACTGTTGGTGCGTTCCTTTCTCTAATTCAGGGCAATAGGATAGAAGGCCTACAGAGGTCATGGACACTTTCCCAAGATCTGTGATGTGAAAACACCTGTCTTCTGGAATATGGAATACAATCTAAAATAATTACTCCCAGGAGACTGACTATCCAAGTGAACTGTGTGCCCTTGGGTAACTGAAGAGGCTCCCTCTAATAGAGGTCTTTAATATTCTTCACTCTGCTATGGAATTTGCTTTATGCAAGTTGCAAGCAGGTGAAAATTATAGCTTTCCAAAGATGTTCAACAATTATAGATATATTACTTATATAAATGCAGCTCATTAACAGAAACTAAAACTTTATTTTTAATACCGTGATTCAAATATTTGAAAAAAGTGGAAATCATCATTCTTAGTAAACTATCGCAAGAACAAAAAACCAAACACCGCATATTCTCACTCACAGGTGGGAATTGAACAATGAGAACACATGGACACAGGAAAGGGAACATCACACTCTGGGGACTGTTGTGGGGTGGGGGGAGGGGGGAGGGATAGCATTGGGAGATATACCTAATGCTAGATGACGAGTTAGTGGGTGCAGCACACCAGCATGGCACATGTATACATATGTAACTAACCTGCACATTGTGCACATGTACTCTAAAACTTAACGTATAATAATAATAATAATAATAATAATAATAATAATAAAGTGTTTAATACTGCATATTTAATTTTTATTGACACCTAGCACCTAGATCTTGGTTTCTTTTTTTTAACTTTTATTTTAAATTCAGGGGTACACATGCAAGTTTGCTATATAGGTAAACTAGTGTCATGAGGGTTTGTAGTACAGATTATTTTTGTCACCCAGGTATTAAGCATAGTCCCCATTAGTTATTTTTCCTCATTGTCTCCCTTCTTCTACCCTCCACCCTCTGAAAGGCTTCTGTGCCTGTTGTTCTCCTCCATGTGCCCATGTGTTCTCATTATTTAGCCCCAACTTATAAGTGAGAACATGCAGTGTTCTGTTTTCTGGCCCTGTGTTAGTTTGCTAAGGATAGTGGCATCCAGTTCCATCCATGTTCCTGCAAAGGACATGATCTGGTTCTCTTTTATGGCCACATAGTATTCCATGATGTGTATGTATCACATTTTCTTTTTCCAGTCTAGCATTGCTGGGCATTTCTGTTGATTCTGTGTCTTTGCTATTGTGAATAGTGCTGCAGTGAACATACGTGTGCATGTGTCTTCATGACAGAATGATTTATATTTCTTTGGGTATATACCCAGTAATGGATTTCTGGGTTGAATGGTAGTTCTCTTTTGGGATAACTGGCTAGCCATGCAGAAGATTGAAACTGGACCCCTTCCTTACACTATAGAGAAAAATCAACTCAAGGTGGATCAAAGACTTAAATATAAAATGTAAAACTATAGAGACCATAGAAGACTACCTAGGCAATACGATTCTGGACATAGGAACAGGAAAATATTTCATGACAAAGATGCCAAAAGCAATTGTGATAGAAGCAAACATGGACAAATGGGATCTAATCAAACTAAAGAGCTTATGCACAGCAAAAGAAACAATCAGCAGAGTAAACAAACCACCTACAGAATGAGAGAAAATTTTTGCAAAGTATGCATCTGACAAAGGTCTATTGTCCAGCATCCATAAGGAACTTAAATCTACAAGAAAAAAAACAACCACATTAAAAAATGGGAAAAGGACATGAACAGACACTTCTTAAAAGAAGACATACTTGCAGCCAACAATCATATGAAAAAACGCTCAGTATCACTGATTGGTAGAGAAATGCAAATCAAAACCACAGTGAGATACCATCTCACACCAGTCAGAATAGCAATTATTCAAAGTCAAAAAATAACAGACACTGGCAAGGTTGCAGAGAAAAGGGAACACTTATACACAATTGGGAATGTACGTTAGTCGAACCATTGTGGAAAATAGTGTGGCAGTTCCTCAAAGTCCTAGGTCTTGGTTTCTAATATCATTCTTCAATAAAAGAAACCAGGGCTTTTCTGGGAAGTGACTGAATCTAGGACTGGTACAGGAAATATATGAGACAAGTCTGGGGCATCTTATAGTCCCAGGAACTAAGAAAGTGCTCACAAAAATAGTATTAAAAAACCCATAATGATAGGGTGTATTAAAGAGCTATGATAGCCAACCAAAAGAGCTCCCAATAGCCAAAGATAGAAAATGAAAGGAAGATAAATAAGGTAGTATTGGATTATAATCCAAAGTATAAAATAAGTATCCACAAATCCATACTAATGCAAGTAAATTAATTAATTAAATAGAGGAGAACAGATAAATCTCTCATGCAAAAGAATTCCAAATAACTTATCTAGCTGCTCTACTCTTAAGGAGGGGGAACATAATTCTCCTCTCCTTAAATATGGGCTACATATGGTGGCTTTCTACCTACCATACAGTATAGAAAATGAGAAAACAAAAGAGCAAGTTTAAGTAGAGAAACTGCACAAACACTACATCAAGCTATGTCATCAAGGTTCAATACTGATAAGTGGTAAGTCATCCTCATAGTATGCACCTTTGTTATGATGTTATGAGAATGGTACTTTGCCTCTGTGACCTTTCCCTCCAAAACAAATTATTTCTGTGTAATCAGGAGTAACCATCAGATAGATCCAAGTTAAAGGACACTCCACAAAGTACCTGACCAGTAATCCTCCAAACTGTTAAGGTCATTAAAAACAAGGAGAGTCCAAGAATATATCACAAGCTGGAAAGACATGACTTGTAAACCTAATGAAGCATACTGGATAGGATTCTGGAACCCCAAAAGAAACTGTAGGAAAAAAACTGAGGAAATCTAAAGTAGAGGCTTTAGTTAATAATGACTCAATATTAGTTCATTAATTGTGCCAAATGTACCAAACCAATACAAGATATTAATAATAGGGGAAATTGAGTGTGGGGTGTGTGGAGACTCTCTGCAGCATCTTCATATTAATATAGCAAATCTAAAATGGTTATAAAATGAAATCTTATTAAAAATACTTTTGGGTGAATGATCCACACATTGAAATATGTTTCCATAATGCATACTATTAAAGTTTGAAAACATCATGCACATCATGTTTACTTTCTTTTAGAAAAAATCAAGAACTTCAGAATAATTTCTTTATATTTTAATATTTTATTTAAAATATTAAATAAAATAATAGCATAGCTTTTACCAAGGTTTTTAGAACAAATTTTATAATTAAACTATAAATTAAATGAATAAGATTTTTTAGCAATGAACAGATGTGTGGTATCCAATAACTCCTTGGATTTTTGACAATAGTCTAGGTACAATTGGGAATCTTTGTAATAGTATGATCATTAATTCTTGCAATAAATAATTCTAAAGTGGATTCTTTGTTTATTAAAAAGATAGTTTTTAAATGAAAACTACACACAAGGGTATTTCTAAGTTGTTTTAATTATTTCTTCTAAATATTACAGAATTTAAAGTCTTCCTCAAATGTGAAACAGGTTTATAATTTCAAAAAAAGTTAGGTACCTTTTTAAAAATACTAAATAATTAAGTACTGAGTAAAGTACTTAACTTGTGTGATATTTATGTCATATATGAGTGAATATACATATATCATAGGTGTACAGTATTTACAAATCCAAATATCATGTACTTCCTAGCAGTTTAATTACAGAATTTAACTTAAAGAGTTAAGAGATTAACTTCTCCAATTAATTTATTATGCAGATGCAAAAATTGGTAGCAACAGTGTGTAACTCTTATCAAATATTAATATTTAGATGAGCTGAGCTGATTCTACAGTTCAGTCTTTCTTTATTCACAGTTCAATACTCCTTCCATTCCATTTCATAGATCCAGTTAGCAGAGCAGTTATCAATCAGCCATGTGGAAAACTGTGTAGAATGTGTTAAATAGAAGAATATTATACCACCAAATGAGTGAAAATCATACACATTTTTTTCTGATAAGCACATTGATTTTAATTCACATTGTTCTATGAAATTATCTGTACTCTGAATTCTAAATTAATCTTTTAGTATGTTTACTATTAATAATGACCAAAACTTCTGCTCCCAACTCTTCATGATTGATTCTCACTCAATCAAAATCGATCTCTAGTAGTCATGAAGGGAGCTTTTAAATAATTTTATTTTAGAACCCTGTCGGCATTTTTAAGTGATAATGTAACATTATTGGAACATGTGTTTGAAACTACTTTTAATCATCCTGTAAGATTTAGATAATTCTTAGTTTGATTTATTTATTTATTTTTTCTCTTTTTGTCTTTTAACCCCTACTGGAAATCCTTGTTGCATTTTTCTTTTCTATTCAGTACTGCCTTTGAAAATAACTAGAAAAAAAAAAAAGAGTTGGAGTGTAAAATGTACATAGTTGGGATTTTCAAAGGCAAAAGAGAATCTTGGGAACAATTTATTCCTTCTCCTGTATTTTACAAATTGGAGAATAGAGTTTCAGAGAGTTAAAGTAGCTGCCAGAATACACAAAACCGTAAGGCTGGAATCTGGAACCTGGTTTCAACTCCTGGTCCTGAGCATTTGCATGATTTCTAGGTAATTTGTAAAGAGTATAAAAATTCTCTTCTCACACTCATGCACACTCACAGGCACACACACACATTCACAGTAACACGTACACAAAAATATCATGCAGGAACAGCTGTGATATTTTCTTCCAGACTGGTTGGAATAATTTGGAAATAATTATTTGGAAATAATTTACATAGATGCCAATTTTATATTTATAGTCATGTAGCCTAATTCCTAGAATAGAAATATGAATACATTCTTTAAATGGCTGCCAAATTTGTGTATGTGCTCTTTTTGTATGTAATTTGGAATATGTTATTCTTACATTACACGAAAAATTCTATAGTTGACAATCTTCCTTGCAAAGCATCAAGCCCCATTGACAGTTTTTCACTGATGTCCACTTTCAAAATTCATCTTAGTTCTTTAAATGGGGATTAATCCACAATTATCTAGCGTGTGTAAATTTAATGTTTAGTTATAGTTATTTAAAATTTTACCAGTCTTTAATAAATTACTGCGTTGAATTAAAATAATTAAATTCCAATTCTTAATACTATTCAACCTTATTTGGTGGTTAAAGAACTCTGGAAAGAGCTATTAATGAGCTATTATTTTTCTTTTTTGTGTACACGTGAAATGTGTATGCGTTTGTGTACGTTCTAACAAATAATGACAGAAAACTTGTGGTAAAGATATTCAGCGTATTCGGTTAAAGGGTTGCATATTTGCAAAATGTTGAGAAGTATATCTGAGAACTCTGAATTTTTCTCTTAATTGTTACAATTATAGTTTGAGGAGGTAGGCCAAAAGCTCGCGTGGCGGGAGTATTCCATTTGGCTATAAAGCGCCAGGAAAACAAAATTAATCTTACTCAATTTATAGCCTGACTCATACACTCTACACTGATCTCAGTCTTATCCTAGCACAGCAAAGTCATGTTTCTTTTTCTTTGGATGAATATTTTATGATAACCAATTGAAACCACAAAGAGTGAATTAATTAAGAGAAGAGACTTTGGGATCACGTTCTGCCTAATAGTCCCTTAGGGATGCATTTTCATCAAGACTCCACCTAAAGGGGTACATGTTTTAAGAATTGCCTATTTTCATTGCATGTATTATTGGCATATTAAGTTTTGACTTTTTATGAACTTCATGTTCCCCTTCCTAATCTCCTGTAATTAATGTCACACCCCGAAGAGAGTAAAAATGGATTAAAATTGGCACAAATATTAACCTCTATTTGTATTGTAGTTGTCATGGCCATTCTAGCAGTTATGCAGAAGAAAAGGCATGGCTTTGTCTACAGGATGCCTGATTGGCTCATAAATCCATAAGGTATCATGGAATAAAAAGTCACATTGTTTCATGTGTTCATGTTTACCACAAATACTGTACACACAATACCCTTCTTTTTTTTCTTAAAAAAATGTTTTTTTGCTTTTTTTGTTATACTTTAAGTTCTAGGGTATATGTGCACAACGTGCAGGTTTGTTACGTATGTGTACATGTGCCATGTTGGTTTGCTGCACCCATTAACTTGTCATTTACATTAGGTATTTCTCCTAGTGCTATCCCTCCCCCATCTCCCCACCCCATGACAGGTATGTGATGTTCTCCTTCCTGTGTCCAAGTGTTCTCATTGTTCAATTCCCACCTATGAGTGAGAACATGCGGTGTTTGGTTTTCTGTCCTTGCGACAGTTTGCTCAACACACATACACTTCTAAAAGATCATGATTTGTATGTCATGTAGAAACAAACTACATTAGAAATCAAGCTGATTATAGTGGACAAGGCTTGATCTGGGGTTGATTCTTAAGTTTGTCAAATAAGTCAAAATTTTCATATTCAATAACTAATCTTCAATTTTATTTCTCAGAAAGAGGGATGTATACCACTGTGAAAAGATTTTACTTCTTCAAGCTAGAGAGATCTTAACCTTATCTTGAATCTGCCACAAGTAGTTGTAGGATCTTAGGCCAGATTTTCAACTTCTTGTAGACTCAGTTTTTTCTTTGCTAATAGAACTGACAACATTGCTATGATTGTTTGCTAAGACAATGGACATATGCAGCTGGTACAGTGATAGTATATAATTAAATATTAAGGAATAAATAACAGCTACTCTCTTGAGAAATAATTTTACTATCATGTGAAATTTTCGTTAGAATGCTTACTATTAAAGGTAAGAGCAGAATGATATCAAGATATTCTATTGTAAGCAACTTGAGGACAGGGCCCTATTTGTTTATATTCATATGAGTACTGTACAGTCACTAGAAAACAATAGGCATGCTGTGCAATAAAATTAAATTAATTTTAATAAACTATTACATAGTTTGTTAGCTTTTGTGAGATTTCTCCGTTTGAAAAATAGTGAAGGTCTTTTTCATTTATAGAGTGAATGAAATTCACGCTTAATATGATAACCATTAATTAGATTTAATGTAAAATGACAAGTTACATTTATGACAGAAATCTTATACTGAGAAACTTCAGTGAGCAAAGGGCAATAAATAAACGATGAAGATATTCAAGTCTATGTCAAGACAAAATTACATTTTTTAAAAAGTACAGTTCTATACATTTGTGGCTTTCTTAAGTTAGAAGAAAATTTGACTGAAAAACATTCAGAAAACCACTAAGAAGGTAAAATATTTCTACTGAATCCAGGATACTGGGCTATACTAAAAGACAGTTACCTTCTGAGCCACAGTTCTGCTTCACGTTATGGCTTAGATCCATAGAAAACAGTTTATTTAAAAACAAATATCCGTCCTATGGTTAACAGATTTTCTTGATGAATCAGCTAGTTCTGGCTTTGTATGATGCTCTGATCTATAGAGTTATTCATTTTTACAAGTGCAAAATATTTTCTTAGCAACATGGAAACTAAAGAGTAAAAGTAACTATCGTATACTGTATCCTCTATACCTTTCATAAAAAGTATTATTACATAATTTGATCATTTGCTTTTGCTCGATGTTAAGTTTATAGAAATTGTATTCTTTATTCCAAAACTTTTATGTCAAAACTTACATAATGGGGAAAAGAAGGTAAGATTCAGAAGTGTTAAATGGATATTTACCAGTTTAAATGTAATATAAAGATCACTTTCTGAGTCTGAATTTTATTTTATTTATGCAAGACCATTATTCTGTACTACTAGTGTATTATAATCTGTAACCTAAATGCAGGTAATTTTAGTGAAAAATTAAGTGTTTGCATATTATTATAGATACCTATTTAGCCATTGAAGATAGATAAATTATCAAGATTTGAGATTTGTCACCATTAGAGGCTTTCCTCACAGCACTTCTACACTTCTGAATTATTTTACAAAAGTAAGGTACTCTAAATTAAAGAATAATAATATTCATAATTAGTGCGCTTAGCTCAGTCCATTTAACACTCATTTCTTTTCTGAACTTTTTTTTTCTCATTTGCTATATGCAGTTTGTTTCATTCCAAGAAATAAATTGTTATTTCTTCTCTTATTTTACAGATGTGCATATTTAAAATTAGGAAGCATAAATACGTAACAGTGAAATGGGTATTTATTGTTGTGCTACCAAATTATTTTTATGTAAACTTGAACAATTTTGAGAATGGAAGTGACAGATAATAAATACTTCTGGACAGCAAGAGTAAACTGGAAATGTTTTTTTGTAGGCAGACTGGTTTTTAGGATCACCTCAATAATGTGGGATCCAAAATAGGGAGAAAAGGCTGGGCACTCTGGCTCATGCCTTTAATCCCGGCACTTCGGGAGCCTGAGGCAGACAGATCATTTGACGTCAGGAGTTCAAGACCAACCTGCCAACATTGTGAAACCCCACCCCTACTAAAAATACAAAAAAGAAAAATGATAAGCTGGGCATGGTGGCACATGCTTGTATCCCAGTTACTTGAGAGACTGAGGCAAGAGAATCTCTTGAACCTGGGAGACAAAGGTTGCAGTGAGCTGAGTTTGTGCAACTGTACTCCAGCCTGGATGACATGGTGAGACTGTCCCAAAAACAAAATAAATAAAATAAGGAAAAGACACAGAACCTATTATATGATAGACCTATCATATGGTCTATCTTCAAGAATATTCCATGTGCTGATGAATAGTATGTACATTCTGCAGTTGTTGGGTAGAATATTCTGTAAATATCTGTTAAGTCCATTTGTTCTAGGGTATAGTTTAAGTCCATTGTTTCTTTGTTGACTTTCTGTCTTGATGACATGTCTAGTACTGTCAGTAGAGTATTGATGGCCCCACTATTATTGCATTGTCATCTATTTCATTTCTTAGGTCTCGTAGTGATGTTTTATAAATTTGGGAGCTCCAGTGTTAGGTTCATATATATTTAGGATTGTGATATTTTCCTGTTGGACTGGTCCTTTTATCATGATATAACGTCTCTTTTTGTCTTTGTTAACTGCTTTAGCTTTAAAGTTTGTTTTGTCTGATATAAGAATAGCTACTCCTGCATGCTTTTGGCGTTCATTTGCATGGAATGTCTTTTTCCACCCCTTTACCTTAAGTTTATTCAAGTCTTTATGTGTTAGGTGAGTCTCCTGAAGACAGCGGAAACTTGTCTTGTGAATTCCTATCCATTCTGCCATTCTGTATCTTTTAATGGAGGATTTAGGCCATATACATTCAATGTTAGTATTGAGATGTGGGGTATTATTCTATACATGGTGGTATTTGTTGCCTGACTACCTTTGTTTCAAGATATAGAGCTTCTTTTAGCAGTGCTTATAGTGCTGGCTTGGTAGTGACAAATTCTTTCTGCATTTGCTTGTCTGAAAAAGACTGTATCTTTCCTTCATTTATGAAGCTTAGTTTTCCTGGATAAAAAATTTCTTGGCTGATAATTTTTTTGTTTAAAGAGTCTAAAGATAGGACCCCAATCCCTTCTAGCTTGCAGAGTTTCTGCTGAGAAATCTGTTGTTAATCTGATAGGTTTTTCTTTACAGGTTACCTGATGCATTTGCCTCACAGCTGTTAAGATCCTTTCCTTCATCTTGACTTTAGGTAAGCTGATGACTATGTGGCTAGACAATGGTCTTTTCGGGATGAATTTCCCAGATGTTCTTCGGGCTTCTTGTATTTGGATGTCTAGATCACTAGCAAGATCAGGGAAGTTTTCCTTAATTATTCCCTCAAATATGATTTCCAAACTTTTGGATTTCTCTTCCTTTTTGGGAACACCAATTATTCTTAAATTTGGACGTTTAACATAGTCCCAATTTCCTGGAGGTTTTCTTTTTAAATTATTTTTTCTTTGTCTTTGATGGATTGAGTTAATTTGAAAGCCTTGTCTTTGAGTTCTGAGGTTCTTCCTTCTGCTTTTTCGATTCTATTGCTGAGACTTTTCAGTGCATTTTGCATTTCTCTAAGTGTGTCCTTGATTTCCAGAAATTGTGATTGTTTTTATTTATGCTATCTATTTGACTGAAGAATTTTCCTTTAATATCCTGTATCATGTTTTTGACTTCAAGTTGGACTTCACCTTTCTCTTGTGCCTCTTTGATTAGCTTAATAATCAACCTTCTGAATTCTCTTTCTGACTGTTCAGAGATTTTTGTCTTGGTTTGGATCCATTGCTGGTGAGCTGGTATGATCTTTTGGGGCTGCTAAAGAACCTTGTTTTGTCATACTACCAGAATTGTTTTCCTGTTTCCTTCTCATTTGAGTAGACGATGTCAGAGAGAAGATCTGGAATACAAGGGCTGCTGTTCACATTATTTTGTCCCACAGGGTGCTCCCTTGATATGGTGCTCTCCCCCTTCTCCTAGGAATGGTGCTTCCCAAGAGACAAACTGTAGTTATTGTTTCTGCTCTTCTAGGTCTAACCACCCAGCAGAGTAGCGGACTCCAAGCTGAAACTGGAGAATGTCTGCAATGAGTCTTTTGATATGATCCATCTTCAGGTCTTGCAACTGTGGATACCAGCACCTGCTGCAGTGGAGTCAGCAAGGGAGTGAAGTGGACTCTTTGAGAGTCCTTGGTTGTATTCTTGTTTAGTGTGCTGGTTTTGTGTTGGTTGGCCTCTAGCCAGGAAGTGGAACTTTCAATAGCTCATCAGCTGTGGTCCTATATGCAGGATGCACAGTTGCCCTAGGGACACCTAGTTAAGTATTCAGATTTGTCAGGCAATGGGCAGGGCCATAGGGCACCCAAGAGATTATGACCTTTGTCTTCAGCTACCAGGGTGAGTTGAGAAAGACCCCAGGTGAACGCAGGGATAGGTGTGTCTGAGCTCAGCCTTTTCTTGGGCAGGGCTTGCTGCTGCTGCTGTGGGTGTGGTTCCCAAATTCAAGGGAGTTATATTCCCAGGAATATTGTGTCTCCCTCTGCTGAGTCATATAGGTCACCAGGGAAGTGGGGGAAAGCCAGCAGTCACAAACCTAACCCCACTCCCACACAACCTACAGTCCTAAAGGCCATGCCCACTCCCATGGTGCCCCAACAACAGTACCTTGTCATCCAGTGAACAGGGCTGAGAACTTGTCCCAGACCATGAGCCTCCCCATTGAGAAAGCAAGCAGACTCACACTTTTTCAGCATCTCAGGGAGCCTGCAGTAGCGATGCAGCTCCTTCAAAACGTTGTGGATTCTCGCGGCTTTCCTGGTATGTTCCTGCAGTAGTTCTTGGAGAAAAAATTCACAATGTGAGTCTTTGCACGCTGCTCTGTTCATCGGAGCGGAAGCTACAAGCTAGTTCTGCCTCGATTTTCCAGGACTTCTTATCTGTCTTCTGTTCTCACATACTCTGCACCACACATAGGTGACTGAATCTATTCTCAAGGCTCTAGGACTGCCATTGTTTTTCTGTTCCTGGTCATTACACCCATTTCAGACCACACTATTTACTTGGTTCTATTCTGGATCTTTTTTTGACTTTTCAAGACTCCAAAAATCCTGCCTAGAGACACTCACCCATTCTAGACTATAGATGCAAATCTCTGCATGGAAAAAGAACACAACTGCAAGAAATAGAAGGAAAAATTTATTTTGCTATCATCACAACTAAGTGTTTATTATTAAACCAATATTTAAATTTAAGTCAACTCCATAAACATTTTTTAAATATTTTCTTTATGCTAGGCATAACGGTAGAAATAAAAATATACATTATCACTGCTCAAAGAGTATGCAGTTTAAAATGAAGATTTGCAAGTAGAATACTGAATTGCTATTTAGGCTTATGCATGTGGAAAAAAAAAAAAAGAAAAAGAAAGCAATATCTAAGGTATCCAGGTGTAGCACCAGAGAAGCACCAATCTACTCTATCTGCAGATAGAATTCAGTTCAAAGTGGAATTGACTCATTATGCCTCGAATTTTTTCATGCATTTCTAATAATTTTATTTAAACATTAAAAAAATTTAAGTAGAGAAAAAAAATATAGTTCTTAGAAATGTCCTCTAAATTTGTCTTACAGGTCGTTGACAAACCACTAGGAAAACTGAAGCTTAATCATTACCTTGATAGAATGTTCATCCTTATAATTTTGCTCTAGATCATGAGAAATACACTTACTGAAACACATTTCTAATTTTTTTAAATGCCAAGTTAAATTTTGTCAGCATTCTAGATCATGAGAAATACATTTTCTGAAACACATTTCTAATTTTTTTTTAAATGCCAGGTTAAATTTTGTCAGCATTCCCTCGCTTCGCTAAAAGAATACTGACAACATACATTATAACCATATGGCATTTCTCTCATCTCAAGGATAATGGTTCACTTGGGATATTATTGTAAAACTTTTAAAAAACTTGGCTAGAGTAAATGATTTCTCAGAACCACACCTAACTATGATATAATACAATGAGATTGAAGGAGAAAGCAGCCAAGTTTTTCATAATAAATACTTAAAAAGAAAAGCCTTTTATTCCAAACAAGGATTCTATTTCATTTTTCACATATAAACATTCTCTCCTATGGAAACCTAAAATAACTTAGAAAGTTGGTAGAATTGTTAGCAGTTGAATAATTAATTACAAAATAGTTTTCATGGAAGCATATGCAAATAACTTTTTTAAATACTTTTTTTTTTGTTTCATTAAATCCAATAAACTAATCTGTGTCTTAGGTCTATAATAGAACTATCAAATACTGAGTTTGAATATACTGTGTATTTAATTTGATTCTCAGTACAGTCATCTATTATAACCATAAGAAGCATCGTTCTTATGAGTTTTACATAGAATAAAACCAAAACACAACACTATTATGATACTCTAAACACGACACTATTATGATACTCATTAGAGGTATTATATTTCAAATGTAAGTCTAAATGTACTTCCTTTAAAGGAAAGCAATTATAAATATTATTATCCGTTTAAATGTTATTTGAACTACTTGATTTTAAATTTGTGTTTAGAATGTTTAACAAAAATATTTGTTAATGTTTCTTACAAAGCCTTCTTATATTTTCTAAAAATCCCAAAAGAATTTTAAGCATGTTTATTCTCTAAAGAATTCGCATTTTAAATAAATAGCCTGTAAAGAAAAAAATGAATTTCAAGTATTTATTCTACTTATATTTATCAAAAATTAATAAGTAAATAAATGTATTTTTATACACTCAAAATTAATTTCTAAGAAATATAATAAACGGTGTGTTTCACTAATGACCACACCTAGAAACAAGCAAATAATTTATCTTCCTTTCACATTTGTGATAGACTTGCTATAACTTTCATATCATTAAATCAGCTTTAATCATTCTATACAAGATTACAATTGAAGACAGATGGTTCTGGGTAGCTGGCAATTGATTATATGATTGTGTAAACAGATAAGATAATATCAAATGAAAGAAATCATGGTGACAATCTTTCTTTAGCATTTCAGACATTCAGCCTGTAATCCAGTTTAGGTGGATCAAATTTAATGTGGGAGAGAGCCCTTCTTACTTTGCATATAACACAATATGAAAGAGCTATGCCAGCAGAGATTTGCATGTGTACTACCATATGTATTCTATCTTGCTTATTTTTTATGCCATAAAGTCTCTATAAAATAGAGCTATTAACAGCACGATCTCATAGGGTTTCTGTGAATAGTGCCTGCTTCCTAAGTAGCTGGTATGTACATACTAACTACTGTTGTTATTGACCCATTTCTCCTTTTTTTCCCTCTGATCATTCCTAGGAACTAAAAATTTTACTCATTCTATTATACAAAGCATTTGAACTCCCCAGGCTCCCGTGTATGTCTCATATTTATGTCTCCTCGTATGTCTCTTATATGCCCCTATAATATTCTGTGTATCTTCCAATATAATACTTACACTCTGCTGAGTTTGTCTTATTAATAGATTGGAAGACCCACTAAGATATAAAATATGACTATCTTGACTATAGTTGTAACTGGAGTAGCTAGCACTGATATATTACTAAGTAAATATTTAGGTAGAAAAGAGAGGAAAGCAGGTAAGAGTATTCTGGTTGTTAATTCACTTGTTAAGTACAACGACCCAGTTCCTTACTTACTTAATTCTGATTTTCTGTAATCTACTTCCACTACAGGTTTAAAGACCCTTGCTTATCACACTTGAGACCAGATATGTTTCAAAATGCAATTTATTTAGATTTTGGAAATTTATATCTGCTATATGTTATGTAACACCTCCACACGAGAGTGTAAGCATCACTTTTAGCCAAAACATTAAAATAGTGAAATAAATATCTACACCAAGCTATGCAGGTAAAAAATTGTAAATACCTTTGTGTCAGTCTAAACCAGATCCACTCTCCCTTCCTTGCTTCTTTCTGTCCTTTCTCCTTTTCAATTTTTCTCTTCCTTCCTTTCTTTTCTCTTCCGTCTCCTCTTCCTCTCCTGCCTATTTCTCTCCCTCTCTCCTTAATTTTCCTCTTTTATCTAACAAACAAGCTAGGTCACTTCACTTTTTCCTACCAATATAATGTTTTTAGAAATAGATCTTCAGAGCTTTTTGGATTTTAAAGTTGTAATTAAAGAATGGTAACTTACCATGTTAGAGTAGTTAAGAAATAATGAGTTGAAAATTTCACTTGGATTGGAGACCAAATATTAAGGCAGGAATTTATCAAAAGAAAGTTACGGATTAAAGATAAGATTTTCTAACAGTTTTTTGTTTAGTATAAAGCTCTTTACATTCTGTTTCACAAAGATAACTACTCAAGCAAGTGAACCCAATTTTCTCATCATCTAGAATAAACCACAGACTGAACAAACACCTCATTCAGTGCTATTCAAAAAGTCAAATATGAACTGAACATTCCCCCATGAAGCCCCTGCTTGGGAATAAAGATAATGTTACCTGATCAGGTCGACCCCAAATCCTCTAATTTAATAGTCTGTGACAGATCTCCTTATTTTCTCTCAGGATGCACTTTGTCATTATTTCATGTATTCTTTTACATCAATCTGGATGACTGCTGGACATTCCCTGTCACTTTTCTCCAGGCTTTTAACCTTATGTCCCTCTACCGTCCCCTGCAGCATGCCACCCTTTCAGGGCTCCATGGAAGCCAGCAGCCACCTTGTCGTTGCCAATCCACTTCTTGGGGTCATGGTTCATAGCACTGTGATTTATTCCATTGTTTGAGGTTACCAGCATTGCCTCACATCAATAGTATACCACCCTTTCACTTCATTTTTTTTGTGAATATTCTACAAAAGAATTGCTTGGGCCCATTATTTTTTAAAAATATACATTATTTTTGCATTTTAATATTTTATTTTATTTTATTTTATTTTTTATTTTTTTTTTTTATTATTTTTTTTTTTTGAGACGGAGTCTCGCTCTGTCGCCCAGGCCGGACTGCGGACTGCAGTGGCGCAATCTCGGCTCACTGCAAGCTCCGCTTCCCGGGTTCACGCCATTCTCCTGCCTCAGCCTCCCCAGTAGCTGGGACTACAGGCGCCCGCCACCGCGCCCGGCTAATTTTTTTTGTATTTTTAGTAGAGACGGGGTTTCACCTTGTTAGCCAGGATGGTCTCAATCTCCTGACCTCATGATCCACCCGCCTCGGCCTCCCAAAGTGCTGGGATTACAGGCGTGAGCCACCGCGCCCGGCCAATATTTTGTTTTTAACATAAATATTTTTTTTTCAAAGAGTGACAAAGTATGTATCCATACTGAAACTGAAAATATTTTCTATTCTGTATCTCAGACAGTTGCCATGTGCAGCGGCAAATCAGACAGGATTCCTTTTTTTTCACATGGAGATTTTCCAAAGAGATTTGTATTGTTATCCCATTTTCCTCATCCCTCAATGGCCCTATCTTAAATTTTGCTTTTCAGTGCCTCCCATCCCTACGTACACACTAAGCATTTTTATACCTGCCTGAAACTTGAGTTTATTTTCAGGAAGATCCAACCATTTCTATAAATTATTGTATTTGAATCCACTTCTCAAGCATATCATAGCCTCAATTTTGACATAATAGTGACTTTCCCTATTTATTCAGTCATATCCAATAGAAGGAAGGAACTTGAGGGTTCATAGGTGGAGAGTTTAGAATTACTCGGTGAGTTTTTCTCATTTTACTCTTTGCCCTGGAGAATTGGCTACAATTCTAAGTAAGGCACCTTGTCTCTGTATTCCACCCCATGAATAATTATTCTCTTGATGAGTGACTGCTATCAATGCAGGTGTGTTCTGTTGAGGTTTTTAAAAGATTGAAAAGCAGTTAATTAACTGTAGAATGATGTCTATACATTATTTTCTTTGTCAAAAATTATGAACTCTTAGCTTATAACTTAAATAACACAGTTTTCACCAGTAATATTATCTATATTATCCTAGCAAAATATATTGTGCTTTGCATTTATAACTTCATTTTGATGTTGAGTCAGTACCAGCAATTATAAAAATTATTTTGAGAGTTTGGGTAGGGTCAAATTTTAGTCACAAGTGATTTATTTTTTCTTGTGTTATCATAAATATGTTAGGATTTTGCCTGCTACTAAAAGGAAACAGATGTCAAAAATTCCTACTTGTCTTTTAAGCTAGTGGTATACCCAATGTATGATGAAAAATGTATTTATGTGTATATGTCATCACATACACACTTGTTACTTCCAAAGTTTAATATAAAAACCTTTAAAATTATCTAACTGGTGTAACTCATTCCATAGAAGTATTTTTTTGTGCAAAAATCGATACTTATAGATGTTTAAATATGGCTAATACAACATAATTCTTCAGAGTGAATAGTTTAATAATAACTATTCTTTACCTTCAGTTTACACAAAGAATACTGTATTTTAAAGGATGATAAGATTGTGGCTCTGGGGACACTTGTTCCATATTTTGTTAAAATTATGAAATGAGTTTAAGACACTGAAATATTTGTATTATTAAAGATCAATTGTTTTATTTTAAAACGGAAGAAAAAATATTAAACATAGTTTACATGGCCGGGCGAGATGGCTCACGCCTGTAATCCCAACCCTTTGGGAGGCCAAGGCGGGTGAATAACCAGAGGTCAGGAGTTCGAGACCAGACTGACAGATATGGTGAAACCCTGTCTCTACTAAAAATACAAAAATTAGCCAGGCATGGTGGCGTGTGCCTCTAGTCCCAGCTACTGGGGAGGCTGAGACAGGAGAATTGCTTGAACCTGGGAAGCAGAGGTTGCAGTGAGCCGAGATTGCACCACTGCACTCCAGCCCGGGTGACAGAGCAAGACTCCGTCTCAAAAAAAAAAGGAAAAAGAAAAAAGTTATACATGATGCATTGAGCCTCACCAAAATGACATAGGAACACGTAAGACTAGACTCTGGTGTTTACAAAATTCCATAGGCAATAGCAAATGAACGTACACAAAATTTGAGTTGACCTTGTCTAATACACTGCAGGTATTAGGTTATTTAAAATATTACAGCAAATTTAAATTGTTCCATTTCAAGAATGGAATAGACACATCACTTAGTGTTGCACTTTTAGAAAATCATAACAAGCTTTAAAAGATACAATACCAAATTTAATGTCTCAAATATCAAAATGAATTTATCTAGAATTATTTTTATTTTAAATTTTTTTTCACAACAGTCACAATAAAAAACAGTTTTATGTAATACATTTCCAATTAAATGATTGGTAATCTATTGATTATGAATCTATTAATGTTGCAATATTTTGTGTGACAGTATGTATTTTCAAGAAAATGTATAAACAGTTTGAAGCCTGAAGCACTGGAGTAGTTTAATTTTTAGAAATGGATTCACTCATTTTCTGAATAAGTATTTTTTAATTTCTAATTTTGTTCCAGGTAGGATTCTAGAGGCTGAGCACACTATGGTAAATGAAACAGATATGAGTTCCTGTCCATATAGAACATATGTTCTCTTTGGAAATAGAGAAAATCACCAACCAAAGAGATAAATGATAATTACAAGCTGTAACATAGGCAAGGAAGGAAATAAACAGGGCGATGAGATACATTTTAACCAGAGGCTATATTTTAAAAAGTACATTTGTGTTACAATCTGAAAGATAAAGAATCAGCAAGTCATGCACAGATATGAGAGAAGAGCATCCCATGCTTAAAGGACAATAAACTTGAAGACTGGAAAGTGGTAAAAGGATCCACATGTTTAAAGACCCAAAGGAGGTCAGTGTGGCTGAAACAGTGTGTGCAAACAGAGGTGAAATGGAATGTGCTGACAATGCAGAGACCAGAGGCAGTTCATGCAGTTTTGGTAACAAGTTCAAGTGCAATGGAAAGTCACTGAAGTCTGTGGGAAGTAGGGAGTGGGTTGTCATAAACTTATTGAATTTTTTAAAAGATTTCTGTGGATGATGAATACAGAATGAACTGGGAGACCTGGGCGTGGAGTATGATCCAAGCTGTGGTCACAGTAGAGACAGGGCAATGTAGGCAGTAATGATAAATTCTTTGGGAAAGGAACGAGTAAAAGGACTTGATTATAGATGAGATTTGGAGGAAAAGAAAATATGTTTCTTATGTTTTGGCCTTGAGCAACTGAAGAAGACAAAATGTGAAAGGAATACTAAGAACTCAGTATTAGACATACTTAATTTGCAATTTCCGTTGTAATCCAAAAGAAGATGTCTAAGTAGTTTTATATAGAAATCTGGAAGTGAGGTGAGAGGGGTAAGCTGAAGATATACAATTGAAAATATTCTGGAGATTAATTTAATAATCTAAAAACTACTTAGACTTTTTAATGCCACATTCATTTGCCACATATAATTATTCATTCAAAAGGCACATATTCTCAGCTTACTATGACATAGGCAAAACATTCCCGCCTTCATGGATATTACATGGAAATCAATTTATCTTTTTTATCCAGATTAATTTAAATAACATATTTTGTTTTTATTTAAAAAGAAATAATTATGTGAAAAGAGAAAAACTTACTTAGACTTTCAAAGAATTTGACAGATCTCCATATTAAAACTATTTTAAACAGAATCAGAAAGGAATGGAGGGCAATGGCCAAAATCAAAGCAACAGTAGCCACAGAGCAGTGTCAAAGTGAACACTCTGAGGCCTGCAGTTCATAATAGTACTATTTGTCAGAGTTTTATTTAGAAGTCTTATAAATGATGCATAAGAAAATGTGAAAAATGAAACCTCAATGCTGTTAAATGTTCTTAAATGTAGTTCAGAAAGATATGTTACACAGGATCTTTCAAAGCTCTTGTATGTGAGATTAAGGGAGACAGCAACTTGGTAAATGAGCTTTTGGGTAGATGACGACAGAAACAGTGCAATTGGGGGGAAGGACACATTATATACTTATAAAGTAATGGCTTTGACTTCTCAGCTACGTCGTCTATGTCACACCAGGTGGTTGATGCAAATAGGAAAGGTTAAAATTCACGATGAGACTTAGCAAGTCAAAGTGTGAAAATAACAAATAAGAAACATTCAAGGGAACAGTAGGTATCTAGGATGTACTGAGAAACCAGAGCCCAATAAGGGGCAACAGATAAAATCAAGGTAAATAGTTAAGATTTAGCCATTTTCAAATGCAATGAGCAGCCTCGTTCCCCGCTTTTACTAATGTCTAAGCTTTGCCACTGAACACACTTTAACTTTCTTAAGTTTTATTTGAGTCCTAGACTTTAAAATTAATACTACTTATAGCCAAGGATAATTAAGGAGTCAGAAGCTCAGTGACATAACATCATGCTGAGGTCTGCTGTTCCTTCCATAATGCAAAGCCCAGTTTGAGCACTTAGGTTCTCACTGTCTTGCATGAGAATACAAGCTCATTTTGAGACTTGCTTCAAGAAATTTAGCCTCAGTCTTGAAACTCTCATGAGTACTTGAATTTTATATAGAACCACAGCCTGCATTGTTTTCTTTAGAGGTGGGAAATTGCATTCAAACCTAATCTATGTATGACTTGTTTATGGTTACCAACTACAAAGTAGGATGGCCATACCATATACATCCAGTAAAACTTGAATCCAGGCAATCAATTTTATTTTTGTAGTGTATGTCCCAAATGTTGCAACCCAAGTGTTGTTTATACTAAAGATTATTTGTTCTTTGTCAGAAAGGCAAGTTTAAGTGAGAATTCTGTATTTTTATTTGCTGCATCTAGCATCTCTATCATCAGGCCTTCCCGCCACCAACTGCCAGCTTAGTCCTCAGCTTATTATCTGGAGCTCAATTACTGTGCCAGTTAGTGTCAGCCAACTTCCCCTGAATGTTGTCATCAGCATCATTGTACCATATCTCTAGCAGCTTCTCCTGGGATCATCTTTGTTTACCTATTTTACCACATTTCTGGTCTAAAAATCTAGTTAAAAATCAAACATTATATCAAAAGTGCTTTGGATTATAGTGGTAGGTGGCTATGATGGTCTTTCCAGCATGGGCAATTGGTGATAAACCTCCCAAATAAAAAATGAGGTTGTTTAAACAATTCATCTTAAAGACAGATTATGATCAAGGAAAGGTCAATAGAATCACTATAACTTATTATCTGAAGACACGAATTTGGTTTAATTCTGCCTTTATGCCTCACTTCTCCTGGCTCAATGTCACTGGGGTGAGAGGCATTGTATTGTAATCTAATAAAGTTATTTGGCATAACAAAAACAGGATTATTGCGTTGATATTTGGTTACAGTACCTCAGTAAAAATATAATAGAACTAAAGGAAGTTTCAGATTAAAGAAACCAAAACACTTTTTCCCTGAGTAGGACATCTGAGAACAGGTTTAAATATATCACATACCTTCCAGGAATGACTTCCAAAGACACACAACTCCATCAGACTACCATCAGAGCCAGTCCCACCGCTACTATCAGAAAGCTACCACATCCAGAATCACAACCTCATTACCAGAATCAGGAACCCCACACATTCAGGCATGTTTCATAATAGGGAAGCTGTACTTGCTACTGCTGCCACTGATATAACTATACCTCACTTATAAATTGCACTGGCCAAATGGATGCCTCGGGCGCTGCCTCTTAACCACCCCAACACCTGAGACTGGATACTGAAGCTGCTGCTTACTTACTTCAGAAAACTGCTAATCTCCATATCTGTACTTACCCATAGAAATGCAGTTGCATCAAAAGTTTAGTATCTGCTCATACCTACCTTCCAAATATCATGTAAAATCTATTTCCTGAAACTAAACACCTTCCGGAACCTCATTTCCAACGTGGTCTCAGAAGCACAGCATAAGATTGCCAATACCTAAATGTAAGAAGTACTAGGTATATTTATTGGCTATATTTATTGGGTGCCAATATACCATATACTATGTATATGGTATAATACATACCATATACTATGTATATGGTATAATACATACCATATACTATGTATATGGTATAATACATACCATATACTATGTATATGGTATAATACATACCATATACTATGTATATGGTATAATACATACCATATACTATGTATATGGTATAATACATACCATATACTATGTATATGGTATAATACATACCATATACTATGTATATGGTATAATACATACCATATACTATGTATATGGTATAATACATACCATAATATTTTATAAAAACCTAAAATCCTATGTTTATATCAAATACAACAGCCACCTGATTGTAAAATGCTGATATTAAATAAAATGATCTTAAGTAATGTAAATTGTAAGAGTAATTTTGTTAATTTGATGTGACAAATGTCAAAAGATGCCTATTGGAAATCTGAAGCTGCAAGAACTGCATAGACACAGTCACGGGTAAAGGACACAGTTTATTAACAGAAACAAGATGTTTTAGGTTTTGTGATCATAACCTTTTGAGATTAATGTCCAGCACAGCATATCTCTACTTTTGCTGCCCAGTATACTCACCTAAGGAACTCTGGAAACAATACTGATGTCCAAACTACTTCCTAGGCCAATCCAATCAGAATTTCTGGATGCCCAAAGATTCCAGGGTGAATCTAATCTGCATTCAGTTTGAGCATCAGTAGTTTCGCATGAAAATCAGTTGCTCTGAAAACACAACTTTGTTCAATACAAATTTGAGAAATGTTGAACCCATGGGTCTGACCTAGAATACCATTTATTATAATTATTAAAAATGGATTCTACATAGAATCTTTATGATAATTTTAGGCACATTTCACTAGGAAAGGTTTAACTGTGATTTATATCACACGGAAAATTTGACTTAGACATTTCCAAATTCATTTGGAAGGAGAAAAAAAATCATCTGATTATCTAATAGTAACAAATAATATTTTTTTAAATGTAAGAAAAGGACAAATAAGATTATAAATGGGAGGTTATAATCACAAACTAGGCTTGGCTTGGAATTAATTTCAGAGATTAAAATTCTTATTTTGCATGGATTAATTTATGCATTTTTGACAAAAGTTATTGCACTTTGTGAGAAACTTTTCTTAAAATAATAACCTTGGAAGTTTAAGAAAAGTATTTATATATTATTAATAGAATATAATCTGTTAAAAATGGGAGGGGCAGGGGTTGAAAAACTACCTGTTGAATACTGTGCTACCTATCTGGGTAATGGGTTCAATTGCACTCCAGACCTCAGCATCACACAATGTACCCATATAACAAACCTGCACACATACATTCTGAATCTAAAATAAAAGTTGAAAAAGTTGAAAAAGAAAAAGAAAAATAGGCTGTATCTAAATACTAAAGCTATATATTCCCTGTTATATTTTAGTTATTGTATATTAAATATAAATATATATTCCAGAATTCATTATGATCCAATACCTACGGAAATTATTAACATTTTAGGAAAACTGTATATGAATTCTTCTAAAAATCTCAGGATCTAGAAAAGTGTATTGCATGCTATAAACACTTAATAAATTATTTTTTTAGTAGATTCATACTGGAATTATCCAGCAAGGGAAAAGATAATCACTACCAAGTGAGAAAAAGCACATTATTCATCCTCATGAAATTCTCTTTACATAAACCAAAGGGTATTTCTGCACAGTATTAAGTACTTTTCTAGGGTGGAGTTGCATTCCTTTTTTTTTCAGCATTCCTTCATAGTTTATGAAATGTCCCACTTGGATTTTATAGATACTTATCTTACAATTATTTTATTTAATAAAGCTTTCAAAACTTACAAGTAAAAAGGCAAAAAGAGGAAAGATTAAAATTGTAAAATTAAGAGAATGGTACACTGCCAACAGGCAAAAAGAAGAAATATTAATGTAAAGGATTTAAATAATCCCTTCTGAGATTTATAATTTTAAAGAAAGCAATTGAAAGTAATCCCCACTTCTCATGTTTTAAGATCTGGCTTATTAATGTTTTCAGCCATTTTTATATCTACTAGCCTGAAATTTTTAACAGCCTGATTTAAAAAGTACCTACATTGCAACACAGCTTGACTATTCAACCGTACCTTGTAATTGAAAAAACAATTATTAAGCTTTCATATTCACAAATAAGTCTCTCTGGGATTTGATAATTTATCAGTTTATGTTGCTGTGTTGTAATACCCATTGGAAAATATTTATAATATTTAGATATTTGGACCATTCTGATGACATTTTTCCCTCCTTAGACTACTTTACATAAGCAGAAAAGCTGACACAGATTAAATTTCTCTGAAAGATACCAGGGATTGGGTTGCGTAATATTCATCCAACAGCCATCCAGCATGCCTTCCAAAATGGCAATCTCTGAAAAACTAAAAAGTTTAGGAGACTCCTTTGCAGCCGGAGTGCTAGAGCCCTCCAGGCAGAAAAACTCTGGTAGAGAATTAGGAGAAAAGGAAACAATTTGAGGCTGCAGGAGAGGATAGGTACATTGCGTAAACACATAAGAGTAGGCATGTTCTTCTGAGACAGCCCTGGCAGGGATTCTAGCATCTGGTTCCTGTTGTTGTAGGTGCCAAGTGGCATGAGCCAGATCCCACAGGGTTTCCACCAGAAGAATCTTGTGGATGAGTGTTTCCTTTGGCTGCCTTCTGGGCAGTATCTAGCCACCCCACCCACCTCCAACTCCTCCAAGGATTCTATAAGCCACAAAATATCCTCTAGAAAATCTCTTCCTGCTTAAAATAGAATGAATTATGTTGAGTTCATCTCAAAACCCTAACCAAAGAGTCCACTAAAGATTGTTGGGCAACCAGTCCTACTTAAATACTTTAGGAACTTGGGAAGATGCTTCAGCAATACATGCCAGTAGAATTGCTCGGAAGTATGGTCTAGGTTGAGTTACATTATGACTAGAGCTGTTGCCAGCAGAAACTTTTCCTATCAACTCCAATGTCTTATAGGAATATCCGTCTTTATGTGTCCTCACCCAATAAATGCTGCTTTAACTGTAGATTCAGCCTTAACTAAATATAGGCAGGTAATGCTTATCAAAAGCATTTTACCTGAAAAACCAGCAGGATTTGAAGTAACTGCTTTCATATCTAGTCAGTCAAATGGTGGGATCACTCACAGAGTTATTCAATTATTAAATGCAGTGCCAATCACAGACCAAACTCCTGATTCTAATTTGATTTAACTCAATAAACGGCATAGGTGCCTCGACGAAGAATCCCATTCCTTTAAGAACTGGTTTCTCTAAGCTAGTGCCTACTTGCAGTGATTATTCTTTTCTCTGTTTGGTCACCAAGACACTTTTTCACAAAAGTGGAAGTCTGTATATTTTATGTTATAAACCGGAGGGTACAACATTTTTAAACAACATGTACATAATGTTCTTTACATAAAGAACAGTATATATAACTGTTACTTCAGTGGAAAAGATGTGATTAGCCCTTATCTACAAATATGATCTAAAATGACTGGCAAGTTTTTTTGCATATAAAATATAATCATGTTTTCCATGAATGTCCATCCACTCTTGATAAGAGGCATAATTATGCCAGGTTAGCTTTCTATACTTGATGGTACTCTTTCTCTTCCTGGATCAGATTTCCATAAAGAGTAAAATTCCCGTTTTCTTAGTAGACAAATAATCTGCCAAGCCAACCTGATCTATTAGAGCTATAACCAGGTTATTTTTGTGTGTTGGTTAATATTAAGTGTCAACTTGATTGGATTGAAGGACGCAAAGTATTGTTTCTGCGTATATCTGGGTGTTGGCAGAAAAGATTAACATTTGTGTCAGTGGACTTGGAGAGGAAGACCCATCCTCAGGAAGACCCACCCACAACGTGGGTGGCCACCGTCCAATTGGCTGCCATCATGGCTAGATAAAGCAGGCAGAAGAAGGTGGAAGAAGCTGACTTGCTGAGTCTTCTGGCCACCTTTCTCCCGTGCCGGATAATTCCTGCTGTCAAATATCAGACTCCAAGTTCTTTAGCTTTTATACTCTTGGACTTACACCAGTGGTTTGCCAGGGGCTCTCGGGCCTTTGGCCACAGCCTGAAGCCTGCACTGCTGGCTTCCCTACTTTTGAGGTTTTGGGATTCGGACTGAGCCACTACTGGCTTCCTTGCTCCTCAATTTGCAGATGGCCTATCATGCGACTTTACCTTCTGATCGTGTGAGTCAATTCTCCTTAATAAACTCCCTTTCATATACACGTGTATCATATTAGTTCTGTCCCTCTAGAGAATCCTAATACAACTTGCTAGTAGCAGTAAAGAAGAAATAGAAGAGCTTGTCTTTGAACAAGATTTTTTTTATCACTGCAAAGTTAGAGGGATGCTAAAAGTATCCGAAAATTACATCAGCATACATCTGCAGGGAGTCTAAAGGATATAGAGACTAGTGGCATACCACAGTTTCCTTCTCCCACCTTTGCCCTAGGCACCATCCCAATACATATAACCTTCCTCACATCTATAGCTAACATATAATAGTAAGGCAGCTCTTTTTTTCAAATTTTTATCTTTATTATTCTAGTTTTCTCAAAAAAATTGAAGCGAACCAAATATTTGAATGTTGCACATTGATTCTGATGACTCCTTGGCGTGTACTGTCCCAAATCTGACACCTTATGTGATGGTTAATAATAGGTGCCAACTTGATTGAATTGAAAGATACCTACATAGCTGGTAAAGTATTGTTTCTGGGTGTGTCTGTGAGGGTGTTGCCAAAGGAGATTGACATTTGAGTCGGTGGACTGGGAAAAGAAGACCCACCCTCAATATGGGTGAGCACCATCCAATCGGCTGCCGGCGTGGCTAGAACAAAGCAGGCAGAAGAAGGTAGGATAAGTTGGCTTGCTGAGTCTTCTGGCTTTCACCTTTCTCTGGTGCTGGATGCTTCCTTCCATTCTTCCTGACCCTGGACATCAGACTCCAGGTTCTTTGATCTTTGCACTCTTGTACTTGCACCGGTGGTTTGCAGGGGGCTCTCGGGCCTTTGGCCACAGACTGAAGGCTGCACTGTTGGCTTCCCTGCTGTTGAGACTTCTGGACTTGGACTGAGCCACTACTGGCTTCTTTCTTCCTCTGCTTGCAGACGGCCTATTGTGGGACTTCACTTTGTGATCGTGTGAGCCAATTATCCCTAATAATGCCTTTTCATATATACATATATCTGATTAGTTCTGTCCCTCTGGAGAACCTTGACTAATGCATCTTATAATCTTAAGGAGATATGTCTTCTAACAGCATTGGGGTTCGACAATCATCCCAGAGGAATAAGGCTAAATATGACTAGGATGATTATTGCATTCTGGCCCAGCTTCATACCCGGTCCTGTATGGCACAGACTCCATAACTTCAGTTAAAATTGAAAACCATGGCTTTGATGAATTGATATCTTGCTGAGAATACGATCCACAGAATAGTGTTACCTACACATTCATGGGGCAATCATTAACTTTACTTTATGAAGTAAAGTTACAAAAATTAAGAATATGATTACTTGTGAAAAATGCACTTTTAATTTAATTGCGAGCCTATGTTGCTATAATCATGGCTGAGTACCAGGCAATTTCCACATACCAGTATCTAATCAGGGAACTGCTGGAAAACAGAATGTATCACAAGAGGCCAGCAGATACTTCTAACTTACTTCCAAATCTTGTAAAAATACATCTAATTGGAGTAATCTATTTCTCCAGAATCCTAATTATAAGAGATAATGGAAGATAATGTTTTCAGTTTCTTAGCATCTCTAAAACAGGCAGGCATTCAAAAGGAGGGTACTACAGAGATTGAACAAATCAACTCACAGTTTTTGCCAAAATAATATTTGACATCTGTTGGCAGGAGGACTAGCTCTGAAACTAACATGCATACTGTTAACTAGACATAATGGACATTACAGTCATCAGGAAGACTCAGAAGTTGAAAACTAAACATTTTGCATTGCAAAAGTGCCCTTCTACGGCCAAGTCCACAAACAAAAGAACACTCAGTCACCCAAGCAATAGTGATAGCTCAGAAATTCAGTACTTTTATTGTGAAAGAAAAATGTAGGAGTCCTGAAATATTGCATTAGAATTAAGTTTTACTTGTCAGACAAGGCAAATATCAATAGAATTAAGGTGGAGGTCTAAAATGTAAGTTTTCATTTTCTGATGTAATATTTCACTTGTTTTTATACCAAGGGGGTATTTGATGTTAGAAGGTAGGAAAAACCTGAGAGTTTATACTTTGGTGAGCCTATATCAAGGCTCTCAATTTAGTTTATTTAACAATAAGAAAAAGCCTCTTAGCATATGAATGTTAAAAAAATAATTAGACCTAAAACACTTCAATATGCTCCTAAGTATTTATATTAGGATCAAGGAACTTGTTTATGCTTTGGGTAAAAAATATTTCAGTAGCTCACTAGAAGTAATTTACAATGATTTATACAGAATTCTTTCAAATTCTTAAACAGAAACACACTCTCCATATGAAAGTACTTCCTATTGGCTAGCAGCAATAAACTGGCAAGTCATAAGCCATCAGTCGATATTTTATTGCTGTAAATTCACTCAGGATGTTCTAGTCATGAAATAAAGAAAAATCAGCAGAGTTCTACAGAAATCCACGAGCAACTAAATTCTAACAAGCTATCAAAAGAACATAAATACTGACATTGAAACCCAGTGCCCTCTGGCATATAGAACAGGCTGTAAACTGATTTTGAAAACAAAAATCTAAGATATTCTTTATTTAAAGAAAAGGCCTCATTCAGTGATTGTAGCACATACTGAAGGGACATTCAAATTAACATCAGTTAATGGGACATTCAAATATGGTAAGAGTATGAACCTGCAGGCCTATATATGCTTATTCTGAATATTTGGGTATGAAGGTAAAATATCAAGACAGTGTATAAAATGTTTATCATATAAAAAGTGCTCCGTTAAAATAACACTAATATTCTACTTTTATCATGCAGGGAGTCAAATAGGTTTTTCCATTGTTAATATTTCATCATGTGCTTACATATTATTTCAAGATATTATTAAATCAAGGATTAATCCATGTCCCATTGATCTAGTGATCTAGTGATATTTAATCTCCTTGCATGTGTGTGTGTATATATATATATACATGCTTTCCACCTCAATATTGTGGCTTGATGTGTTAAATAGAAAATAAAACCCACATGGTTTTCATTTCCAAGACATTATATGAGGTAATGTGTAATAGGAAACACATGAAATGATGAAGGCTTGAGAGAATAGGTATTAGAATGATAAGTCCAAGGATAAAATGACTTTGTGGAAGAATCAAGAGAGCCCTGGGATAAAAGAAACCTCAGTGAGCAGATTCTTTTGGTGGATACTTAAAGGAAACGTAATTAATGGTGTGAAATGCTAGGATACAATTTATCAAAGAACATGACTCTGAGAAAATAGGATCTTTACAATTAGAAAGCTACTAATAGTTACTGTGACCAACACTTATGACTTGAGTTATAAATACCTGACCCTGTTGCAATTTTATTATATTTAGGTAACATCAATCTTACCAACTCACAAAGGATCCTCTTCAACTAGAATAGAGAAAGGCATTGAGATCATATACCCTGGTTCTCAACTGTCTTAATTCGCAGTGCAATTCTTTTGACAAAGTATTATCCTAGGTTTAAGTACATAAATATACTCAAAGATATATGAGCAAGAGGGTTGGTAATTGAAGGGATCTTTCAGATTGGATGTCAGGGCCTAGAAGATTACCTCCCCTTTGGATTAAGGCACATTTCATGGGTGCCTGCCCAAATTTGTGGCGTCAACCTGGGGTGTAGGAGCTGCTTAAATGCTAAGGAATGTGCATTTCCCCCAGCTGGTCATAAAGGTCATAGTACTCTACTTCTGCAGATGACTCAAGTATTAATTCTTCTTCCACTGATACTCTACCATCTCTCAGTTCTCCCTGGGTAGGCATCACTCTTCTGCTTCAGGATTGCCACCAATTCCAGCTTCCTAATATCCACAATAAATGATAGTGATAGAGAAAATAAATATTCTCTTTACATAGGTATTTTAAGAAGGCAATAAGATAAGTGTACTTGGATACTGGGATGCACAGGTTTGTTTGTTTTTTTTTCCAATCTTTTTTTTTTTTTAATTTCAATAGGTTTTGGAAAACAGGTGGTGTTTGGTTACATGAATAAGTTTTTTAGTAGTGATTTCTGAGATTTTGGTGTACCTATCACCCGAGCAGTGTACACTGTACCCAATGTTAGTCTTTTAACCCTCACCCACCTACCACCTTTTCCCTCGAGTCCCCAAAGTTGATTGTATTATTCTTATGCCGTTATGTCCTCAGAGCTTAGCTCCCACTTATAGGAGCTAACATATAGTGTTTGGTTTTCTATTGCTGAGTTACTTCACTTAGAATAATGGGCTCCAGGCCGGGCGCGGTGGCTCACGCCTGTAATCCCAGCACTTTGGGAGGCCGAGGCGGGCGGATCACGAGGTCAGGAGATCGAGGCCATCCCGGCTAAAACGGTGAAACCCAGTCTCTACTAAAAATACAAAAAATTAGCCGGGCGTAGTGGCGGGCGCCTGTAGTCCCAGCTACTTGGGAGGCTGAGGCAGGAGAATGGCATGAACCCGGGAGGCGGAGCTTGCAGTGAGCCGAGATCCCGCCACTGCACTCCAGCCTGGGCGACAGAGCGAGACTCCGTCTCAAAAAAAAAAAAAAAAGAATAATGGGCTCCAATTCCATCTAGGTTGCTGTGAATGCCATTATTTCATTCCTTTTCATAGCTGAGTAGTATTCCATGGTAGTAGTATTCCATATATATATATGGAATATATATATGTGGAATATATATATATATATATATATATATATATATATGGATACACACACACACACATGCACACACACACACATATACACTGCATTTTCTTTATCCACTTGTTGGTTGATGGGCATTTGGGCTGGTTCTATATTTCAACAAATGCGAATTGTGCTGCTATAAACATGTATATGCAAGTGTCTTTTATATATAATGACTTTTTTTTTCCTCTGGGTAGACACCCAGGAGTGGGATTGCTGGATCAAATGGTAAATCTACTTTTAGTTCTTTAAAGAATCTCCAACCTGTTTTCCATAATTGTTGTACTAGTTTACATTCCCACCAGCACTGTAGAAGTGTTTCCTTTTCACCACATCCATGCCAACATCTATTATTTTTTGATTGTGGCAATTCTTGCAGGAGTAAGGTAGTATCATATTGTAGTTTTGATTTGCATTGCCCTGATAATAGTGATGTTGAACATTATTTCATATATTTTTGGATATACAAAAGAAGATCATTTCTATATGTCTTTGAAGAATTTTCTATCATGTCCTTAGCCCACTTTTTGATGGGATTGTTTGGGTTTTTTTGCTGATTCATTTGAGCTCTTTGTAGATTCCGGATATTAGTTTTTTGTCAGATGTATAGATTGCAAAGATTTTCTCCAACTCTGTGGGTTGTCTGTTTACTCTGTTGATTATTTATTTTGCTATGCAGAAACCTTTTAGTTTCATTAAGTCCCATCTATTTATCTTTGTTTTCATTGAGTTTGCTTTAGCATTCTTGATCATGAAGTATTTACCTCAGCCAATGTCTAGAAGAGTTTTTCTGATGTTATCTTCTAGAATTTTTATGGTTTCAGGTCTTAGATTTCAATATTTGATTCATCTTGCATTGATTTTTGTATAAGGTGAGAGATAAGGATCCAGTTTCATTCTTCTACATGTGGCTAGCCAATTATCCCAGCACCATATGTTGAATGGGTGTGTCCTTTCCCCACTGTATGCTTTAGCATGCTTTGTCAAAGGTCAGTTGGCTGAAAGTATTTGGCTTTATTTCTAGGTTCTCTATTCTGTCCTATTGGGCTATATGCCTATTTTTATACCAGTACCAATCATGCTGTTTTGGTGACTATGGCCTTATAGTCACCTATCTGCCTCCAGATTTGTTTTTTTGCTTAGTCTTGCTTTGGCTATGTGGGCTTTTTTTGTTGTTGTTTCGTATGAATTTTAAGATTGTTTTTTTCCAGTTCTGTGAAGATTGATGGTGGTATTTTGATGGGAATTGCATTGGATTTATAGATTGCTTTTGAGAGTATGGTCATTTTCATAATATTGATTCTACCCATCGATGAGCATGGGATGTGCTTCTATTTGTTTGTGTTGTCTGTGATTTCTTTCAGCAGTGTTTTGTAGTTTTCGTTTTAGAGGTCCTTGGTTAGGTATATTCCTATGTTTTGTTTATTTGTTTGTTTTGCAGCTATTGTAAAAGAGGTTGGGTTCTTGATTTGATTCTCAGTTTGGTCGTTGTTGGTGTATAGCAGATAAACTGATTTGTGTACATTAATTTTGTATCCTGATACTGTGGTAAATTCATTTACCAGTTGTAGGCGCTTTCTAGATGAGTCTTTAGGGTTTTCTAGGTATACAATCACATCATCAGCAAACAATGACAATTTGACTTCCTCTTTACCAGTCTGGATGCCCCTTATTCCTTTCTCTTGTCTGTTTGCTCTGGCTAGGACTTCCAGTAGTATGTTGAATAAAAGTGGTGAAAGTGGGCATCCTTGTCCTGTTCCAGTTATTGGGGGAATACTTTCAATTTTTCCCCATTCAGTATAATGCTGGCTGCGGGCCTGTCACAGATGGCTTTTATTGCCTTAAAGTATGTCCCTTCTATGCTGATTTTGCTGAGGGTTTAAATCATAAAAGGATGCTGGATTTTGTCAAATGCTTTTTCTGTGTCTGTTGAGATAATCATGTGATTTTTGTTTTTAATTCTGTTTATGTGGTGTATCACATTTACTGACTTGCATATGTTAAACCATCCCTGCATCCCTGATATGAAACCCACATGATCATGGTGGATTATCTTTTTGATATGCTGTTGCATTCAGTTAGCTAGTATTTTGTTGAGGATTTTTGCATCTATGTTCATCGGGAATATCGGTCTGTAGTTTTCTTTTTTTGCTATGTCCTTTCCTAGTTTAGGTATTAGGATAATATTGGCTTCACAGAATGATTTAGGGAGTATTCTCTCTTTTTCTAACTTTTGGAATAGTGTCAGTAGGATTATTGTCATTCTTTGAATGTCTGATAGTATATAGCTGTGAATCCCTCTGGTCCTGGACATTTTTGTTGTTGTTGGTAACTTTTAATTGCCATTTCAATCTCATGGCTTGTTATTGGTCTGTTCAGAAATTCTATTTCTCCCAGGTTTAATCTAGGAAGGTTGTATATTTCCAGGAACTTATCCATATCTTCAAGGTTTTCTAGTTTATGCATGTAAAGGTGTTCATAGTAGCCTTGAATGACCTTTGTATTTCTGTGGTATCAGTTGTAATATCTCCTGTTTTATTTCTAACTGAGCTTATTTGAATCTTCTCTCTTCTTTACTTGGTTAATCTTATTAATGGACTATCAATTTTATTTATCTTTTCAAAGAACCAGTTTTTTGTTTTATTTATCTTTTGTATTTTTTGTTTCTTTGTTTGTTTCAATTTCATTTAGTTCTGCTGTGCTCTTGGTCATTTCTTTTCTTCTGCTGGGTTTGGGTTTGGTTTGTTCTTGTTTCTCTAGCTCCTCGAGATGTGACCTTAGATGGTCTATTTGTGCTTTTTCCAGACTTTCTGATGGAGACATTTAATGCTACAAATTTTCCTGTTAGCACTGCCTTTACTGTATCCAAGAGGTTTTCATAGATTGCGTCACTATTGTCATTCAGTTTAAATAATTTCAATTTTCCATCTTGATATCATTCTTGACCCAGTGATCATTCAGGAGCAGGCTATTAATTTCCACGTATTTGCATGGTTTTGAGGGTTCCTTTTGGAGTTGATTTCCAATTTTATTCCACTGTGATCTGAGAGAGTACTTGATGAATTTTCAATTTTCTTAAATTTACTGAGACTTGTTTTGTGGTCTGTCATATGTTCTATCTTGGAGAATGTTCCATGTGCTGATGAATAGAATGTATATTCTACAGTTGTTGCGTAGACTGTTCGGTAAATATCTGTTAAGTCCATTTGCTGTAGGGTATAATGTAAGTCCATTGTTTCTTTGTAGACTTTCTGTCTTGACCTGTCTAGTGCTGTCAGTGGAGATATAGAGCTCCAAAATTGTACATTAAGTTCCCCTTAAGTATTCTGCTTGAGAGTAGATTATATATTTACAGGAGGAGACTTTACAAAGCCTTGTGAAGAGCAACTACTGGGAAGAACTTATTTTAAGAAGTTCGTTATTAACTGAAACAAACAACATGTATAGAACTGTAAGCTGAACAACTACCTAAGCTTGGAAAAGGCCGGTAATGTTGAATAATGACTTTCCAAAGTGGAGAGACCTCACTGGAAACCCAGATCATTAAGTACTTGTCTCCGAAAGTCCATACCTTAAGAGTAGGGCTAATCTGTCCTAGATTAAAAGCTACTACGAACCACCATAATCAAGCTTGAAAAACAAGCTTCAAAGAGAGTAAGCTGATTTACAAGTAAATTCACTGACTTTCAGAAAAAAACCCAGTGTTCTATTAAGACAATAAAACTCAAATATTGAACGATGCAGTACATATAACTATATTCAACCATACACAATAAAAAATAGACATGCATAAAAGTAGGAAAATGTAATATATAACAGGAGAAAAAATCGATCAATAAAAATAGAGGCAGATACAATAGATGATGGAATATTAAATAATAATTTTAAAGATACCAATATACTGAAGCATCTCAATGATTACATTGCATATAAATTCATTAGAACTTTCAACTCTTAGACTGGATAATAAACAAACAGAACACAATTATGTGATGTTTTCAAGAAATTCGTTTTAAAAATGAAAAGGTGAAACAACAAATGTCATGTACATGCTGACCATAAGAAAGCTGGAATAGCATAGCAATATCAAAGTAGACTCTTTACAAGGAATACTTCTAGAAACAGATGTTTTATACTAATGATAAGAGAGTAAACTTATCAATAATACCTAACACTCCTAAATATATATGTCATGTAATAGGAGTTTCAAAACATATAAAGAAAAAGCTGACAGAACTACAAAGGAAAATAGAGAAATCTACAACTGTCATTGGAGAGTGGAATACTATTTTCTTAGTAATGAATGGAGAAACTAAACACAAAATTAGTAAGGAAATGAAAGACTTATATAATATTATAGGACTATTTGAACTTGTAGAAATCAACAGGACACTGCATCCCTAAACAGGAAAATATTCATTCTTTCATGTGTACATTGAAGATTCCCTAAGACAGACCATGTGCTGGGCCATAGCAAAAATATCAAAACAAATTAAATATTTTGAGATCATCCAGATCATCACATTTTGAGTATAGCCTCTGAACATAATGGGATTCATTTAGAAATCATTGACAAAAAGGATATTTGGAATATCTACAAATATTTGGAAATTAGGCAACAGAATTTCAAATAACATAAGGGTCAAACAAAATTAGGTAGGAAATATTTTAAAATATTTTAAATGTAAATGAGAATACTATATACCAAATGTGTAGGCTGTATTTAAAACTATGCACAGTGAGTATAAATAGCACTAAATGCCAGGAAAAATAATTTCAAATTGGATGAAAGGAAGGTGATAGTAAAGACATGAGCAAAAGTCAATACATTAGAAAACAGAAAAACAAGAGAGAAATATATCGAATATCAATTAATTGAAAATATTAATAAAATTGATAAACATTTAGCTCCACTCGAAAAAAGAAGAGTGAAATTAAAAGTTATCATTATCAGTAAATAAAGAGAAGCATCACCATAGATAATATAGAAATTAAAATTATAAAAAGGAAATTATTGAACAATTTTATGTCAACATGTTTGAAAGCTAGTGGGTGATTGCTTGAAAACACAATATACTAAATTAACATAAGAATACATAGACAAATAGGCAGGGTGCAGTGGCTCACACCTGTAAACCCAGCACTTTGGGAGGCTGAGGCAGGCAGATCACTTGATGTCAGGAGTTTGAGAACAGCCTGGCCAACATGGCAAAACCCAGTCTCTACTAAAATACACACACACACAAAGAATAAATGGACAAATAGACAATTTGAAGTCTTACATCTGAAAGGGAATTTGAAATTGTAATTAAAAACCGTTCCAAAAAAAAAAGAGAAAGCCCACACTCAGGTGACTCCACTTTTGAAGTCTATCACACACTTCTATAGTGAAGAAGTAATATCAATTTTATCAAGTTGCTTTAATAAACTAGAGAAATAGTGAACATATTCCAACTTTTTGTATGAGTTCAGATAATTTTAATATCAAAATTGGAAAAACCAATTATAAGAAAACTCTAAAAATTTTTTCCATGAATTAAGACATAGAAATCTCTAGACTGTTAGGAAATTGATTCTATAAATAGAAAGAAAAGGGGGAAATGCAACATTACCAAGTACTATTTATCTTAGGATGTAATAAATGCAGTTTAATACATTAAAATAATAACAGAAAACTTATATGATCATCTGAATAATAACAGGAAAGGTATTTATTTACTTATTTTACTTTTTTTTTTTTTTTTTAGACGGAGTCTCACTCTGTCGCCCAGGCTGGAGTGCAGTGGCAAGATCTCAGCTCACTGCAAGCTCTGCCTCCTGGGTTCAAGTGATTCTCCTGCCTCAGCCTCCCAAGTAGCGGGGATTACAGGCGCGTGCCACCACACCTGCTAATTTTTGTATTTTTAGTAGAGATGGGGTTTCACTATGTTGGCCAGTGTATTTAAAAAGTTACCACACATTCATGTTAAAAACTCTTAAAACCTGAGAACAGAAGGAAACTTTCTCAACATGTTTAAGAGTAGCTGAAGACAACTTACAGCTAATATCATACATGACAGTGAAGAACTAAAAACTTTCCCCCAAAGATTGGAACAAGTAAAAGTTCTTGACTATTTTTATTCATCATTTTACTGGAGGTGATAGCCTGTGCAAATATTCAACAATTATGATAGTGCTAAACCTAAGAAATTTTTCTAAAAACTATCAAGTTAATAATAAAATTTAGAATGGTCACAGGACACAGAGTCAATATACAAAACTCGAATTTATTTTTGATAATAACAATAACTCATTAGAAAATAAAATATATATTTGATAGCATAAAAAAAAAATAAAAATTCATAGGGCTAATCATTTCCAAAACCTGCATACTGCATCTATTTACAAAAGTCTCAAAAAAGGAAATTTAAGACCAAAATAGGAAGTTTAATAGTGCACTTGAATTTGAGGGTAAAGTATGAGGTACAGTAGGTAATGATGACTACAGGTAAAAAGGCAGTCAAAGGCAATTGCCTCAAGGAGGCTACATGAGATATTATTTTTCTGGAAAATGGAGATCCATGATAAAAGGCTTGTCTCTGCTTCATATTCACAATTAGTGCTAAGCAGATCATTGTGCACGTGTGTATCTTCTTGTCCCATATACACTTCTTAACATTGCCAAACTCTCTATTGAAATAAAGACCTCTTGCCTTTCAGCCCCTAGACCTGATGCTGAGTTAAACGGAGCTCGCTCTTCCCTTTTTCAACCAGTTATTTATTACGCAGACTCTGTTCTAGTTCTATGATGAAATGTTTTGTAGACATATGTACTTGGGTGGCTCTATTTTCATGCATTTAATGATAAATTTTGCTTACAAATATTTGTGAGGCTTCAGAAATATGACTGACATATTTATAAGCTACAATGTCTAAATTAAACCACAAAAGAAAGGTGTCTGTGTATGCTGATAGTTCCTTGAATGAACTACATTACAAAGTGGCCATGGGTCTTAGACCACCCAGAAAAAGCCATTATAATGAGATGAGATGAATTTGCAATATGATGTCTTTGGACACTGCCTTTTCGCACCACACTAATTTGACTTGGTTTGCTCTCCATTTCTTATTTCTTAATTTCTTCTTGAGTTTTGAGGTTTGAGACTTTGGTTTTTCAGAATGAAGCATGGCCTTTCCAGATCGTCTATCCTGATAATTTGCAATTTTAACAAAGATTCATATTCTTCTTTGGAAATGCTCATAGTAAAACCCCAGGATATTTATTTTATCATTTATTGATAATATTCATGTGAGGACTTAGCACAATAGAATATAATCTTACTTGTACATAATTTGGAACTAGTTTATGCCCTTTTTCTTTTGCCATGTTGGAAACTGTGAGTTTTAGTGAAGAACAGATTTACAGCAGCTGTTGTTAATTAGACCAAAAAAGTACTCTTATTTTTGCTTGTTCATTAGCAAATTATGTCAACCAATGTATGTTACTTCCAAGTTAATTTTTAAATTATAGGAAATAATTTTATTTATTTATGACCTTTGTTGTGCATTTGAATTTCAACTTCATGTGGTGTATTTCAACTGTAATCTTTGATATTTGAAGTCTACATTTTTTTTTTTTTTTTTTTTTTTTTTACTGGATCTCAGTATCTTGCTAGAACCAATGACTGATATTTTGGGCCACAAAAGAAATCTCAGGTATTTGGCTAGCCATTGGAATTACATATGAGAGAAAAAATAATGTTTTTTTCCTTACGCATCCCAAGGTCTGTGGCTGGAACCCATATAACAAAAGACAGAGTAACAAGAAAAAAGTGTAACAAATGCATTAACCAAAGTTTTATGGGGAACGAAAACCATTAGAAATGAGGACCAAACACCCAGGGGACAACTGAGTATTTTTGTGCTTAGATTCAGTAAAATCATGTAGAAGTATGATGGGACAAAAGGGTATGGTAACAAATTGGGGGAGAGGGACCCAGGAAGGCCTCTGCGTTGACTTTTCTTGGCCTCAGAGTATAATGCAGTACCCCTTTGAGATGAAGTTCTTACAAGCTACTTTCAGTTGAGGTAGGACAGAGAATTCCCTTTTGGCCAGGTCTCACATTGAAAGGCAGGAGGAACTCAGAGTGACCTTCTTGCTTCTTAGGCCCTCCCAATCACCTTCAGTTCAAAGTACTTTGGGGTAGCATTTTCTGAACCCCTAGAAAGAGGAAACAGACAAATGTTGAATTTGCTACTTTAACTACAAATTGTTTATATGTATTTCTTTGCCAATTCTCAGTTTCCAATCTTGTAGAATAAAAATGGGGGATAAGTTTATATCTGCTATTTCTGCTATATAATCAAGAAGTTATGTTCTTTTCTCTAATAGATAATTTGCAATGATTATATATTATTTTGGTTAATAAATATTATGGACTAGATCTTATTTTAAAATTTTATGTATATTTTAATTTGCTATAATCCTTACAACTTCAAGAAAGAGATTTACTGGCCAGATAATGTCCAAATTCACACAGGTCAACAGGAGCCACAGAGAATGGAACTGTGGGCTTGAATTTCATCCGTGTTTTCTGTTCTTCTCTGTCTCTCATCTCCACTTTTGCCATCTTGCTATCTTCCTTGTCTTGTAATTTACACAGACCTTCATCATCCTAAAATATTCTGTCAGCAATGTTTAACATTGTTCAAGGTTAATAGTGAGTGAAAAACAATGTATAGATGTGCTTATATTAAATATTAGCTCCACATAGAATGTTTTCCAGGGATTGATCCAGACTGTGTCAGGTGCATCCCTGAACCATCTTCTATGACCAAGCCAATAAGGGGCCAAGATAGGGAGAGTGTGAGGGAGTATCCAAGAATAACAAAAATACCACACATAGCTTAAGGAGCATTTAGTTATTCAAATTATTTTAAGTACTACTGGTTAGTTTATGAAGACATTTTTTCCCAGAAAAAATTATAACTATTACAAGATATTAACGAGATTTCTAAGATCTTCTCTGGAAATAATTAGGAAGTATAAAAGTTTATGTCTCAAAATAACATTAATTCATTATCATAGTTGGATAATTATTTTTAGTTTAAAATTGTTACATATCTTATTTAAAAAGCTTGTTAATTGTTAAAAGCACAACAACATACTCCTATTACGCTACCATTTAGAGATATATAAGGTTAACATTTTAGATGTAATTCTTTCACTATTATTTTAAATTGTATATAAAATGTATTAATTTTCTTGAAATTTTTTTACAAAAATGTACATTTACTTATATACTTTTGCTCCTTAGTACTATATTATAAACAAATATTCACATCATAAGATATTTTACTCTAAACTTATTTTATTGGCTGCACAATACCCCATCAGATAGCTCTACCTTTGTTTATTTAACGAACCCCCTATTGTTGGATATTAAGAAGTGTGTGTAATAATTTGATAAACAATCCTCTAGATAAGTACTTACGCATAAATATAATTGTTTTCTTTTGTTGTTGTTTTTGGGTTTTTTTAAATTTTTTTTTGACACAGGGTCTGGCTGTGTCACCCAGACTGCAGTGCAATTGTGAGATCTCAGCTCACTGCAGCCTCCACCTCCCAGGCTCAAGCTATTCTCCCACCTAAGCCTCCTGAGTAGCTGAGACTACAGGCGCACACCACCATGCCTGGGTCATTTTCATCTAGAATTTCTTTCTTTAGATAAATTTCTAGAAATGATAAAATCTCAACAATTTATTAAGTCTTTGATACACATAGCAATATATTTTATTAGTTAAATAAGTGGCTAGTCATCTCAGACAATTCAATTCATAAATCAATGTCAGGTTTGTATCAGGTGTTTCATCAATTGCCAAGTGGAAGCTGATTATCTTTTATAAAATTAGAGAGTATAAGAAGAAAAATCAGGCAGGATATAAAATACTAGCAAGGCATTTTAATGAGAATTGTACTGACTAGACTGTTATTTCAGCATTGTCTGAAAGAGTCTGATTTTACATTGAAAATTTTTGACATATTTCAGTGAGAGATATGTGGGAGAGATAAGGAACGTATACTCATAGGAGTCAGGATGATTATCTTCATTTTAGCATTACAAGGCCTGACAAGTCTGAAATTTAGAAAAAATAGGCCTCAGCCTGAACACTCAGGCAGGAATTCGCACTGCAGTCTTGAGGCAAAATTTCTTCTCTAGAAAACCTCAGTTTTTGCTCTTAAAACCTTCAACTGCTTAGATGAGGCTCCACCCACATTATTAAGAGTAACCTCTTTTACTTAAGTCAACTGATTGTAGATGCTAGCTGCATCTACAAAATACCTTCCTAGGAACATCCTGATTAGTATTTGATTAAATACATAATTAGTATTTGATTAAGTCCCATAACCTTACAAGTCAACATATAATACTAACCATCGCAAGGGCTTACACATTACAACAATTAGAATATATAAAGACTGGACACTGAATTCTATGACCCTAGTAAATCCTGAAATATACTGCATGTCCTTTATGAACATTTTCTAAAGCTGTAGTAATCTGCTGTTCGCATATTAATTTATTGTTTTAATACTTTAGTGCTCATACAAACAATAGAATCAGGCCTTTGTGTGAATTTCAAATGTAAAAATTACCACAAACTTGGTGGCTTAAAAGATTTATCAAACTTTTGCAGCATAAATGTGTTTTCGTATAGTTCCAGAGGCCAGAATTCTGAAATTCCGGCTAAAATAAGGTTGTTGGTAGAGTGGCATTCCTTCTGGATCCTCCAGGGGAGAATCTCTTCCTTGCCTTTTCTAGCTTCTAGAGTCCACCTACCTTTCTTGGCTTGTGGCCCTTTCCTCCATTTTAAAAACCGCAAGTGTAGCATCTTAAAATTTTTCTCTTCTCTGAACTCTGCTTCCATCATCTCATCTCCTTTTCTGAACTCTGACCTTGCTGCCTTCCTCCTATAAGGGTTACCTTTTTTATTGCATTGGGGACATAAGAATAATTGAGCATAATCATCCCATCTCAACATTCTTAACCATAATCATATCTGCTAAGTACCTTTTGTCATTTGAGATAATATATTCACAGGTTCCAGAGATTAACACACAAACATTTTTTGGGTACCATATGCTCGTATAATTTCTCTGTATTTATTGTCCTGAAAAAATAGATAATTGTTTAAATAGCATAGGAATATTTATGTTCATTCTATGTTTAGCCTCAATTTCAGCATATTAGTTTGATTAGCCTTCAGAGAGAGGTACTAACATTATTAGAAGATAACTCTCAAAAGGTAAAATAATGACTCTTATACAAATATAACATAAACACATGCCAAAGATCTAATGTAACTGATTAGTTAATGAGAGAACCAGTTAAATAGTTATTTCAAAGGAGAAATCAAAAGACCACATTTACATGAGTCAATCAAAAATGCTGAAATTAACTTACAAGAAGATGCAAAACTGGCTTTTTTCCCCCATTGGATATGAAGGAAGATTAATTGCCCTCCACTGGACAGAATTATTTTCATGTCTGTAGTCAAGAATGCTCTCCTTTCCTATCAGTCATTCACAACTCAGTTATAAAATAGCTCAAAGAAAATAATGTTGCCAAAACTAGATAAACTGGAAAGGTATGCTGTTAAATCATTTAAACTCTTCCATTAAAGTCACTCAATAATTTTTTAGTGAATTTCAAAGTCTTTCACAATGTTTTCTGACAACATTTTTACTAAATTTACATTTAGTAAATGTATCAAAATGGAAAAGAAAGGCGTATCTTAAAGTTTACACTAAAAGTCAAAATTAAAAACAGGAATAACTCTTTATTTAAACTTTATGTTTAAATACTACAATTCTAAGGGCAAAACAATGAACTAATGGTTATGAATGAATTCAAAATTCTGTGTTCTACTTGCAGCAATATAGTTATCCTCAATTTAGTGATTTTGAAAAAGTGATAAAATTAGACTGACTTTTATTCTCTAAAGTTTACTTTAGATTTTATTTCAAATTTTTTTACATTTACAATGTTTTTACGTTCATTTTCAAAGCACATTAAAAAGAAACAAAATGTATGCCTTCACAAGTACATTAATTCCTAAAATGAAAAATGTTTAACATAACTGCTAAATTCTAAATTCTTATTGTCTAATAAAATAAATTGTAGAAGAGAAAATAAATTAGAAGAGAAGAACTTTCACAGATATGTTTTGTTTCACCAGGATTTTGAGATCTAGTGAGACTGCATTCGAGTGAAAATAGGAACAAAAATTTGTGCAATATTTTTACTTTATATTATTTTAAGAACCAATTAATACCTCAAAAATGCCAACCTTTAAAAAAAATTTCTATGATTAGCAATCACAAACTTACTTATTTACAAATATTCTGGAAGTATCTCTTGAACAAAGTTCTTTACTATTTCCCAGTTATCTCTTCTAAAGTTTTAAAGTATCATTTTCTATTCACAGTCTATGTTTCCTTACCATCCACTCAGGCCACAGCTTCAGAAGTTCTACAGAATATCAGCCTTGACATTCTAATGTGATAAATGAATTGACTTTAACTTTCTTTCTCCTTTACTTCTTTGCAGCATTTTTATTCTATGATGTCTTTTCCCCTAGGACTGAGGACTTAGTTTAGTTTTAGTATCAGTTTCCTAGGACTGCCACAACAAAATACTACAGACTGGCAGAGTTATTTATTTCTCACAGTTCCGGAGTCTGGAAGCCCAAGATCAAGGTGTCAGCAGATTTGGTTTCTCCCGAGGGGTCTCTCCACTTACAGATGGCCGCCTTCTCACTGTATCCTCACAGGGCCTTTTCTCGGTGTGTGTACACCCCTGGTATCTTTTTCTTTTTTTCTACAGAGTTTTGCTCTGTTGCCCAGCCTGGAGTGCAGTGGCGTGATCTTGGCTCACTGCAACCTCCACCTCCCAGGTTTGAGCAATTCTCCTGCCTCAGCCTCCCGAGTAGCTAGGATTACAGGTGTCCATCACCACGCCAGCTAATTTTTGTATTTTTACTAGAGATGGGGTTTCACCATGTTAGCCAGGCTGGGCTCGAACTCCTGACCTGAAGTGATCTGCCCGCCTCAGCTTCCCAAAGTGCCGGAATTTCATGCATGAGCCACCACGCCCAGTCCCTGGTATCTTTTCTTATAAGAATGTCAACCCTATTAGGTTAGGAATCCTGCTTTATGACCTCACCTAACCTTGATTACTTCTTTAAAGGGCCTATCTTGAAATACAGTCACATTGGAGGTTAGGGCTTCAACATATAAATTTTGAGGAGACCTCATTCAGTCCATAGCACCCCTTGGCTTCGATGCTGCTGTGTTCTCTAGATTTGTCTATTACATCGCTGACCCCTCTTCCCCAACTCTTCATTTTCATTCCTGTTCTCTAAAAGCAAATGTTTTCAAGACCTTCTCTTTTCTTTTATTTTCTCCTCTATGAAGTACTTTCTCTTCTTTTCTATCTGTTTTTCATTTTAGTCAGTATTATTACTTCTCACAGTTTCTAAAATAATCTCATTAATATTGGCACCATGATTTATTTTCCTGGTTCCAATCTCCCTCAAGGTTCAGATTCACAACTCTTGCTGTGGGAAATATTTACCTATGCACCCGCTTTACATGACAAACTCAAACTTTCCAGAGCCATACTCATCATTTACATTCCGAACTTACTCCTCGTTGAGCTCTATTTTCTGAGCACAGCTGTATTCTGCTACCCAGATCAATTCCTGAGTCACCATTGCCAATACATTATTTCTAATACATTTTTCACATCTAAGGCCTCCATTTTACTTCCTTTGTTATTTCCACATTTCAGGTGTTTATTGTGAGATCGATTATTTCATTACTCTCTTTAACTGTTCTCCCAACATCCAGTCTCATCCCTGAACAGCAACACTGGTTGATGTGTCCAAAACATAGTATTAATTTCATTGCTTCGCTGCTCTTCAATATTCACTAACTTCCATAAGGTGCTACATAAAATTTAGGGAGCCAGATACTGGCTCTCCAGTATCTGGTTCCTAAAGACTTTTCTGAATTTATCTCCAAGTATATGTCAGGATCTACCCACAAGTGACTATTCACTATTTTTTTCAAGCATGCCTTGCACTTTCCTGACTGTAGGTATTTGGCTTTTAGACTTTCAGAAATGGTTGAAATAAAAAGAATGGCAATTTTTAAGTCAATTATGTCTGAAAATGAATTCTATCTTTCCCATAATTTGTATCTCTTACTTTGGTCAAGTACTTAACCACTTTAAACAGTTTCTTTCCTCCTTTCATCTCTACTTAAAAAAATACAAAAAATTAGCCGGGCATGGTGGTGGGCGCCTGTAGTCCCAGCTACTCGGGAGGGCTGAGGCAAGAGAATGGCGTGAACCCGGGAGGCGGAGCTTGCAGTGAGCCGAGATCATGCCACTGCACTCTAGCCTGGACGACAAAGCAAGACTCCCTCTCAATAAATAAATAAATGAATAAATAAGTAATTTTTTAAAAAAATTTAAAAATGAGGAAAAGAGTACTTAAATTACATGTGTATAAAATACTGCAAACTTTTAGGTCTTTTAATATACTTTTATCCTCTGCTTCTTACTTTATGATAATAGGATTCTTTAAATTTTTACTATGTAGTTCTTATTATTGCTTTGATAAACCTTTCCCATACTAAATTAATTTTTAATTGATGTTCTTTTAAATGGATTTTTTTTTTTGAGACGGAGGCTCGCTCTGTCGCACAGGCTGGAGTACAGTGGTGCGATCTCAGCTGACTCCAAGCTCCGCCTCCCGGGTTCACGCCATTCTCCTGCCTCAGCCTCCCGAGTAGCCGGGACTACAGGCGCGCGCCACCAAGCCCGGCTAATTTTTTGTATTTTTAGTAGACACGGGGTTTCACCGTGTTAGCCAGGATGGTCTCGATCTCCTGACCTCGTGATCCACCCGCCTCAGCCTCCCAAAGTGCTGGGATTACAGATATAAGCCACCGCGCCCGGCTCTAAGTGGATTTTTAAAAAGATTTTCCTCCTTAGGTTTTGCAGTGCTATATGTGCTAGATACAAAAGATGCTGCAATTTATTTTGGTAAATCACTGGGCCACATTAATGGCCCAGTGGATAGATTTGACAAAAGAACTTACATTATAAATGATCAAAGTTTGGGTATAAAAATTGAGGAACATTTATACTATGGCCTATCCAATAGATTTTTTAAGCAGAAACATACAAATAATACAGTCATTGGCAAACTATCAAAGAGGTCTATCCAGGTTTCTGGTTAAATGCATCTAGATATGGCTTTTGATTCTAAAATCTATGCATGAGAAGACACAATCTTGGTAAAATAAATGTTGCTCTTAGTGTATTCTCTCCTTCCAAAATGCTTTCTGTAATTTTAACTTTGGACTGAAAATACAATGATGAGTCTTATCATGGTTTTAATAAGTCACTTAAGTGGCATATACTCTTTTCTTAAAGGGGTGACCTTCATGCCTTCTATTAATAGCTTAAATGGTCAAATATGGTTTTGTATATTTTAAATTTATAATAAAAAGCAAAAAGGATTTATACTAGTGACAACACATCTTTAGGGTAACAGAATGGAGAGAACTACATTTTAAAGAGGCACCATAGAGAGCAATCAACACATGATTCTTATTAGGGTTAACAATTTCTTTATGAAAAATATATTAATTTGTTTTTGTGTGTGAATACAGTAAAACTTGAAAAGGAACCATGAAGAATGCTTATGGATATATTATCCACTTTTTTGGTAAAAAGTCAATAGGACTTAAAAAGCTATTATTAAGACTATTTATGGCTTGTTTTTGCTCTTAGTTGTCAGGTGTTTAAAAAAGCAGTTGACATGGTACAACATATATTAAACCATAATAAATGAATCATTTAAAGTTTGCAGATACTTTATATACACAGGTCATACAATTTGCAAACTAATAAAACAAAATTAAACAAGAAAGCAATTCTGTATTTTGTCTGATTTGGAGAAAAAGAATTTGGCTTGAATTAGAAAATTCCATTTTTCATTTTTCACTATTGTAGTAATTTTTGTCTATGGCAGTTAAAAAGAAAACTTTTGAGGTGGGTTATGATTTCAAACATTTAATACCCTTTCACCTCTCTCCTCTCTTCTCTTTTTCAATTTTTATTCTTCTTCTTTTCCTTTCTTTCTTCCTTCCACCCATCTTTTATATATTTGTATTTTGTATGCTTACTGCAAGTAAATCACTGTGCTTTGAGAGATGGAGGTGAAGAAATAACTACATCATCCCTGACTTCAATGTACTTCATCTAATGAAAGAAATTACATATAAGCACAAGACAGCAGTACTTTGAATTAAGTACTGTGATCTGAATGTATAGTTGTAGCACACTCTGGAAAAGAGCTTTGAGGGGTGATGGTCAGATAAAACTTCAAAGAGGAAATGCTGCTTGATATTGTTTAAAAGAAGGAATACCGATCCAGCATACAAAGACCAAGAGGCCATTTCCAGTAAATACCACACGTAGAATTTATTCATGTTTGCTAAAGCCACATTTTATAAGAGGGATTTTCATGTCTATGTTTATGACTCAGAGTACTAGAATAATTAGTGGAGCCACATCTGGAGCAGACAAGGAGTTAATTCTTCAGCTAAGAAATTTTGAAGACTAGCAACAACAGCAACAGTAAAACTAATGGAAAAACAACATCCCTATAATGAAGAATATGAATTGTATATGGTTATAAGATAGCTTACTAAAACAATTATATTCAACATCTAGAAATAGTACATAATGGCCTTCAATTGTTTTCTCTACTAAAATTAATGAAAACCAATTGCCAAGTCCAACTATGAGACCTTCCATTTTATCTTCTACTACTAATTTCTCATCCTGCATTCTTCCCATACTGCTGTCCCATTTAATAGATTCTCAGTCCTTTCTTGGTCTCCTCAGCTCTGTCCTGGAATGGTCCATTTGTTATATTAGAAACTTTATCCCTAATTTTAGAAAACTCTTGTTCTTTTTGTGGAATGCTAATAAATGTATGGATTTTAGGTACACAGACATTGTCTAATGCGTTTAAAACATGTTTTCCTCTAGTGCATTCCGTTAAATGCTGCCACACGCTACTCATTATCCTAGAAATGGTTTCTGTCTTTTTATATGGACCTGTAGCTTTATGTCTCCTTTGAACATTGTCTGTTAGCTGACTCCCTTTTTCTGTCTGCTTTATACTTTGCTAGAGTTGGAAGAGAGCTGTTATTTCTGGCTTCTGAGATAAAAACATTAATTTCCAGGTACCAAGCTGAAAATAGATCCCCAAATACAAAGAAATATGGATGCCATTGTATTGCCTATTAAATAGCCCCTCTTTCTGCAGGAGCTTGGATTTTTTTTATTGTTCAACCTTCTACATCTACTAACAGTAAGCTGACTCAATCGCTGGTTTAAAAGCATAAAACAGCATGGTCAATTCAGGAAACAGAAGGAACTTTTATTTATTTATGGCTAGACCAACTGACTAGGGAAGCAGTAGGAGACAAAGCTAGAGGGTAAAATATAGGCTTAGTAATGGTAGACTCTGACATATGCTAAATATTTCTGCTTTTTACAGTAGACTGTGCAGAGCTACTAAAAGTTTTTCAACAGAAAGCAACATTTTCAGATTTCCATTTTAGCTATATCACTCTGGTAGGGAAGGGATTCGTTTCTTAGAAGTGATATTTACAAAAATACAGGTAAATTAGAAGTTACTCTAAGACTGCCTGCTCGAGAAGAGGTTGATAAGTGACATTTTGATGAGGGCATTCTTGATACAGTATATTTGATGCTGGGGCATTTGGATTTTATATATATATATATGTATATATGTATATATGTGTGTGTGTATACATATGTGGATATGCGTTAGATTTTATATCTGTCTTTCTAGATGTAGACATATACATGCATATGCATAGATTAAAACCTTAACTCAAACCCCCTTCCTATCTGCTCATTTGTTAGTAATGGTTTTTATGACCACAGTTTGTACACATCTGACAACCCTCAAACTCACCCCATTTCTTTAATACTTATGTTTCCATATCAAAATAAAACATACTAAAACCCGTTTTTTGTTACCAAATCACTTGTAAGTTTTAGGTCTTTAAAAATATAATTCTGAACAATTGAAACACATTAAAATATACCTGGCTCAAACAAATGATTGAGATCACAAGATCAAGTCAAAGCCTTTTGTTTCCATCTTACACTTGTCAGGTTAGGAAAGAACAATGATTTACACTGACCAGAAAAAAAAAGAAAAGAAAAGAGAAGAAAAAAACACATGACTTAGTTGTTAAAAATAGAGTACTGAATTCTGACTATTGAAGTCTTTGGAAATTTCATGGCTGGGCCCTGTGAGTTCATTCTGGATGATACCAAAAGTATCAAGGCGTAGCCACCTCAGAAGTTTTGAGATGAGAAAAAAAATACTGATTTTAAAGAGAATGGTGAATTTACATACATTTGATTAGTACTGATTTCATTTCATGGAATTTGCTTTTGCTTTAATATGGGGTACAAAAGTGCACCAAGAGTGAGGAAAGAGAGATGAGAAAGCTAGGGGCCCCAGAAGGAATAGGGTCTAGGGGTTCTCCTGCAGAGCTTATTTGGTGATTTTGATACAATAATAAATCAATGCCCTCATATTTTGATATTACCATGTTGACTGCCAAATGGCTGCAGCATATTAGCAGCAAAATTGCTTTATTCAGATGAGAATTTTGAACCAAGATTGTAAAAGTAGGAATTAAGAGGGCAACAAAGATACGGGAGGCATTGTTGAGTTGAGAGAATAAACAGTTTTAGATTTGATATGCACAACGGCTAAAGAGAAGTTGAGAAGTCTAAAACAACTCACATGTTTCTGATTTTGGAATTAGAAGGATTAGTGCCTTTTATTTTTAAGGTATTTGTTAAGCATCTGTTGTGTGCCAAGACTGTTCCAGATGTTCAAAATAGTGCGGTAAACTAGACAGACTTGTCCTTCTTTTCATAGAAATTTTATTTTGGTGAAGCAGAGAAATCATAATCAAATAAGCAAATAAAGTTTGGCAATGGCACTTAAAGTGAAAGAAAGGGATATAGGAAAGGGTTATTTTCAAAAGAGAAAGAGGAGGACTCATTCAGGACATGACATCTGAGCCAAGACTTGAGAAAAGTGTGGAAATGAATGAATAGTATTTATATTGCCTTTGGCCTAATTGTATTTATATCCTGGGCTTTGGGACAGGTTCTAATTTGCATGCCTATCATAATGTTAATTTATTATTATTTTTTCACAATCCAACTGGGGAGCTACTTTTCATCACTCACTAAACCAAGTTTTGAAAGCAGTGCGGCTGGCAGGCAGTCTTTCGTTTTCTATTACAATATTGTTGATAACTTCCTTTTCCAAACTTTACATGCTGTTCTAGACACATAGAATCTGAATCATGATCCCTAGAGTAAATACTCACTTCTTATAAGAATGTTGAATTCCCGAAACATAGAAACCAGTCATTTCTCTGCTCTCCCAGTTACTACCCTACAGGTGAGAGTTTAACTTTTGTCTTACATTAAGCTCACAGCCATGCCACCAACTTATTTCTATAGAGTTTGTTCAGATTTTCAAAAATATCTTTAAAAACTTTGGAATTTTAAAATGGTTTTAGTGATGAATAAGGAAAAACTTTTGTTGCCGTATTTTTGACCCTGCTACACGTTTGGTGATTTAAGAAAGTAAAAGGGTGATTGCAGCCAAATCCAAGTCTGTGTTTATGTTGTTATAGAGGGAGCAAGTAAGCATGATTTATATATACATGTAAAGTGGAAGATGGAGTCCAATAGATAGATGGATTCAGGTGTTTTCATATTCATCAGGTGCATTCCTGAAAAGTCCTTTATTCCATCTTTATTGAAGTTGATTAGTAAGTTACTTAAAATGTTAGAAGTTATGTTTTTGAGGATCTGAACTCTTACTACAGCTGAAATCATAAAATTATCTATGGTGACTGAACTCTGACGATGGCAAAGCCAAATGAAAGCAATATTATATTAATTATTATTAATTATATTACTTTTTCTTTATTATTCTGTTTTTTTTTTTTCTTTTGCCCTATCCTCTTGCCTAAATTACTCGTAGAATAACACTCATCAGAACTGTGGTTAATAATAACCTCAGCATAATTTAGCATGGGCTAGAAACATTTGCATTCTAGGGATGAAAACCACTTTGCAAATTGCTTAAGTAATATGATACACACTATTCAAGGAACAAGTCTACTGCTGGGCTCTATACAGCTTACTTACCTGTGCTTTGTAAACTGTAAATAATAAATGCTAATATTCCAAACAACTTGATTTCAAATAGTTTGTAAACCAAAAGAAAAAATTTTACAAAACAAAGTTCTCAACCATTTTTTCTATTATTACCATGAGAAATTCATCTTCTAGAATGATCTGAACTCAGTACTCATTCACGTGTGCACATTTCAAGCACAGACTTCTGCATCTATGTTTGTAATCTTAGATGTACACACATACATATAAATATATACATAAATGATATAAAGTTTAATGAAATGAAATTTCCTTACATTTTTTATAAGTGATACACGAATATTTTCTATTCTATTCCATTCTTCTTATTTTTAAAGTTTAGTTTTTTAAGCTAAAGTGTTTTAAAGATCATTAAGCTAATTCCACAAATTGCTAGTGGCTTATAACCCACAATTAGTAAAATGGCTGTGCATATTCTGATAACATGTATGAGTAAATAAAGAAAGAAATGAATAATGGAAAAAAAGAGAGAGGGAGGAAATAAGGAGAGAAAGAAGAAGGAAGAGAAACATCTCTCTGAATACAAATATATGCTCTCTAAGCTTCTGAAAATAGAAAATATATGGAAGGGTACAAATCAACATTAACAATGATTACCTTAGTGAGGTGAGAGTGAGGATTGAAAAGGCATGAGTGTCTTTTATATTTGTGGTTTAAAATCCAATATTTGTATATGTGTGTATATACAAAAACATATATTATTTTTACATATATGCATACTATATATGTATATACACATATAGAGACAAATAAAAGTACAATATTTATGTTTATATGGAGAGAGAGAGACAGAGATATGGGGAAAGAGAGACAGAAAACTTCTAATTGTTAAATTTATTATGCTTCAATAGAATTTGAAAAACAACAACATACAATACAGGCTGTCACTTTTGCAAAGTTTAATAAACATCTTATGAAACCACATAACAGCAACCAACTTCCTGACAAAAATTAGGATGGAGGCTTTTCTTTCATGTTAAAGAGAAAGAATCCAAGAGTGAGAAAGGTGATCGTGGAGAGTTCTGGTGAATACGTATAATACATCTCACTAATGATAATATACACCAAGAGTGTGTGATTCGCTCAAGTCCACTTATTTAGTGTCAGAAAAGTATCTACAAACAGATTTACTAATTCTCATTCTAATGTTTTCGTTTTTTTTTAACTTCGTCACTGAAGAATGACTAAGATTTATCTGAATTATATAATAGGTTGTTCCCTAAAGCATTTTTGTTGATTTTTTTTTGAATTATGACCCACTATTACTTATAAGGTCATGCCGAATATAGTGGGATGTAAATTGAAAGCATCGAAGTTCGGCACAGTGGCTGGGGACTAATCCCAGAGACTAGAGAGGCTTAGCCAGGAGGATTGCTTGAGCCCAGGAGGTTGAGGCTGCCGTGAGCTATGATCATGTCTCTGTACTGCATCCTGGGTGACAAAGAGAGGTTTCATCTCTAAAAGACAAAACAACAACAACAAGAAGACCACCAAGAATACTTTAAAATTGACCTATGTATCAGAAGTGACCAAATTCGTACTAAAAATTTCCAAATCCACATGAATAAATTTACAATAACTCAGTAAACTCAGCCACTTATTTATATAGTCATTGTAGAATCATTTATTTCAAAATATTTTTAATTCTTGAATTGAATGCTTGCTTATATGGATGTAAATCTTCCAATACAGAATGATTAAGTCAATATTAAAAATATTTCTATGTGAAGATATTTTAATGTATATTCCTTAGTTGTTTGCCAATGTGTTGCTATTTTTGAAAGTGTCTAGCTCAGTTACATAAGCAATAAGTGAGTGAGTGAGAGAAAGTAGGTGAATGTGAATTAACTTGACAACACTCCTTTTATTCTTTCTTTCTAGAAATAAGTTATAAAACCACTAAGGTAGGAAGAAATTTTGACCAGTGCAGACAGCTTCTTATTTTAGTGTTTTGTAATTCCTCTAACCTAATTTGTCTTTTATTCTCTCTAAAGGCAGAGTTCTAAGATGAACTTTCCTTCTTGTTTGAACTACATATGTTTACATGAATTACCTGATCGTATTATCTTGGAATCAGAAAAAAAACCTTTATCTCACTTTACCTTTATCTTTATCTCACTTTTAAGTTGTGTTGCATTTTGTAACCACTTTATGCAGTGTCAGTCAAATATTAAGTTCTCCACAAATATTTGTTAAATTAATGAATTAGTGATGATTACTTGGTTTCTTAAATGGACTGTGGATAGGCAGATGAGTAATTAGTAGCCCCTAGCTGAATCTATTTCCAGAGGACTTTCTAGAAGTTACATTAGTACAGAACTTAATTTATTTTCTAAGAAGCAAAGCTTTTGTGGCTCTTTCAATTATGCAATTTTAAGGTATGAAATGTTCTATTATTCTGGAAGAATCAGGTAATAAGATAAATTTTAATGTTATTGGATTTTGTTTTTAGCAAGGCAAACACCTGGGCCTTAAAGTATGTATGCGCATATAGTCTTGATACCTATTTCCCACATCCACCGGTTTGGAACATTTTTTAAGAATACTAGAAAAGTAGTGAGAAATTCTTATGGAGGCTAAGAGTTCTGCAGCAAAAAAGAGGCTGAGGATCTCCTCCTTTCCCCTTTAAATTTCTAATTCATTACTTAATTTCTATTGTAAGGGATTGGTCCCAGCTGATCACACTGGAAGGAAAGTAAGATCCCAGGAGAACCTCAGTTTAAGGGAAGGAGTTAAAACCCTTGCCTGGGCTTTCAAGATTAGAGCCTATATGGCTGTAAGGGAGAGCTAGCTCTGATCATCTCAAGGCACTGATACTGGAATATCTTCTGATCATGCTCCTTGGCCCTGTGGTTATGCTGTAAAGGTAAGGCTGTTGCACAAGTGTAGCTGACTGTAACACTGGTAAAAAACTGTATCTGCTCTCCAGTCTTAAAGTCTTATAGCATTTGTACTGCTATAACAAAACATCTGAGACTGTAAAGAACAGAAATTTATTATCACACAGTTCTGGAGGTTTGGAAGGCGAAGAGCAAGGTACTGGCAGGTTTGGCTTTCTGGTAAGTCCTTTTCTTTGCCTCCAAGATGATGCCCTGTTCCTGCATGCTCTGGAAAGGGGAAATTCTGCATCGTTACATGGCAGAGGCAGAAGGGCGACAGGACTGAACACTGAAGTCTCTTTTCTAAAGGCCTTAATCTAATTCAGGTGCCCTCTACCCAAGATGATCACATTAGCTGTTAAGTTCTAACACCTGAAATTTGGAGGGAACACATTCAAACACAGCAACCCCTTATGCCCTTCCAAGTCCAGAGGAACCACTCTGGACTGGCCTGGTTGTGGGGAGAAAACCTACAGTACTACCATCCCTCTTAGAGAAGCCTTCAGTAGTTGTCATACTCTGGAAGTGAAGTGGACCACTTTGCCTCAGGGCCTTTGGAAGCAGGACTCAGCTACAGAAGTGTGAGCCGAGAGGTGAGGCAAGGGGAGGAGAGGAGAGGAAACGGGAGGGGAGGGGAGAGGTGGGGAGGCAACACTGAACCATTGCACCCTCTGTTTACTGATCTTAATGTACCCCCATTACCCTAGTGCTTCCTGCTGCAGACAGAATCTGACGCCAGAACGCCAGAGTTTTGTATTCGCAACTGATAAATTGAAAATACAAATTATGAAGTTAATCATTCAAATTTACATTTTGAAAACTGAATTGTTAAGGAAGGAGTATTGGGGGAAACTGAATAGTCTTTTCAGTTCAGGGCATGACTAAGGGAAGTAACATGAATAGGAACTGGCTTCAGGTGTATGTAAGAACCTGGGTAAAGCTTAATCTAATGACAGAGGGGAAGAACTACCTGGAGTAGCAGCATCTCTTGTTTTGCTCTGCACTCTTATATCCAAGTCCTCACAGATACTTATCTCATTTCAGGGACTTAGTCTTTGCTCTTTTTGCTGCCCGGATTTTTCTTATTTAGGATATTTGATGGCCCTTCTTCTTCCTCTTTAAAAAAAAAATTAAGAAAAGAAAGGGTCTTACTCTGTCATCCACACTGGAGTGCAGTGGTGCAATCATGGCTCACTGCAACCTACAGCTCCTGGGCTTAAGCCATACTCCCACCAGAGCTTCCTGAGTAGCTAGAATTACTTGTGCCCACCTAATTAAATTTTTTTTTTTTTTTGCAGAGACAGGGTCTCGCTACATTGCCCAAGCTCTTCTCAAACTCTGGCCTTAAGAAATCTTTCCACCTCAGCCTTCCAAAGTACTGGAATTACAGGCATAAGCCAGTGCACCCTGCCAGTGGCTCCTCTATACATTATGTATTGCTATACAGTGAATCATCCCAATACTTAATGGCTTAAAAGATCAGCAGACTGTGCCCTACATACCTAATCCAGGCTGACACCTGCTTTTTGTTTTGTTTGTTTGTTTACAGCATGTGAGCTAAAAAGGCTACTTACATTTTTCAGTGGTTGAAAACAATCAAAATAAGTATAATATTCCCTAATATGTAAAATTTATGTAAAATCGATGTTTTTATTATAACATATCCATGCTCAATTAACTATTAGCTATTAAGGCTACTGTCATGCTAAAATAGCAAAGCTGAGTATTTGCAATAGAGATGATATGCATGGAAAAGCCTAAAATTTCTCCTGTCTGGCTGTTTAGAGAAGGTTTTGCCAATTCTTATCCTAAAACAATGGTAATTATTTATTATCTCATGGTTTCTGTCAGTCAGAAATTCAAGAGCATCTCAATTGGGTAATTCTGCCTTGGGTCTCTCATGGGGTCACAGTGAGATATTGGTAGAGAATGCAGTTCTGGTAAGGCTTGGCTAGAGCCAGAAACTACCGACCATGAGGCTGACCACCAGAGTCTGCCCTTGGTCTTCAAATTATCATATATCTTCACACACAAAAAATAAACTCATCCATCCGAAGGCCCTAAAGTCTCTTCCCTGTAAAGCATCAGCTCAAATTCAAGGGTCTTATCTTCTAGAATAGTGTCAGTTGTGCTTTGCATCTAGTTCCTTCTGACCTGTGAACTGATGGAAACTGGTTATCTGGTCCCTATATACTCAACATACAATGGTGAGGCAGGCATAGCAAAACTGCACAAGGCAGTCCTGATCAAAAAGAGGAAATATGAAAGGCACACAGGAGTTACTTGGTCAACAGCAATTCTGAACTCTTGCTGACACAGTTGCTTGAGACACATCTCTCATCATAGCCAGCTACGACTTGGGCAGCCTTTTCTTATAGTGAAAGAGGGGCATACTCACAGTTTCCAGGAACAGAGTGTGCAAGGTTGTTTGAGAAATCCTAGGAAACTATGCGCTTCCTCAATGAGTCTAGAGAGATTAGACAAATCAGAGGTTTTGCAAACTTGGCCAATGGGCTTAGAGAGCTTTTGTCTTCTTAGAGATAGTATGCCCTCATTGTGCTAAATTTGGTTTAGCCTAAGAAATACAAATGTAGACGTTGCAAAAAGCAGACTTTCCTCTGAGAAGAACATGCTTGTTTTGCTTTGCTGCATCTGAGGTCTTGTGAAGGAAAACTTGTAAATAATTGTTTTAATGCCTCTCTGGTGTAGCCTAAATGTTTCCCTGACTTTCAACATCTTTTAGACTTCGCAGATTTAGAAATGATAAATATTTAATGACAGACTTACAGAATGAAGTTGAAAAGGGTTAAATTGAAGGAAGATAAGAAAACATCTAGGTCATTACTCATCCTTTCATAAAACCTATTTTAGAGCTGTAAGAAAGAAATGAGATATCATACATTTTTTATAAATCACCTAGTAAACCCACAAATAAATCAATGACTTTTTTTCAAACTGAAAATAGCTTTTTAATTTTAAGTAATGCATACTAACTATGGAAATTAAAACAAATATATAAAATGTTATTTAATACTATTAGAAATATTTGTTATTTAAAAAATGAATAATATAAAAGTGTAAAATATAAGAAGTAAAAAGGCCTACTCTCACCCTGCCTAATGTAGAAGTAAATACTTCTGACTCTTTCATATGATCCAGTCTGACTGGCTTCTGTGCCTCACAATATGTCTTTCTTCAATAGATTATATTACTAAAAATATTATTCTACAACTTGCATTTTTCATTTTGAAAGCATAGAGATCCTATGTTTCATGTGTGTGCATGCAGTTTTTTTTTTTTTTTTTTTGAGACGGAGTCTCACTCTGTCATCCAGGCTGGAGTGCAGTGGCGTGATCTTGGCTCACTGCAAGCTGCGCCTCACGGGTTCATGCCATTCTCCTGCCTCAGCCTCCTCAGTAGCTGGGACTACAGGCACCTGCCAGCATGCCTGGCTAATTTTTGTATTTTTAGTAGAGATGGGGTTTCACCATGTGAGCCAGGATTGTCTCGCTCTCCTGACCTCGTGATCTGCCCACCTCGGCCTCCCAAAGTGCTGGGATTAGTGCATGTACCTTTACCCATTTATTTAATGACTCAAATTCTTTAAAGTTCAGTCCACCTTAACCACGACCATATCCCTCACACTAAGTGATGTAAGATGATTTTAATGTGTGTTAGAACATTATAAATAAGTTTATTTTCTAGACAACGTCTATTTTAGATTTAGTTTCATATGTATTTATTTCATAACTTTATGATTTCTCATAATAGGTTGGACATGCGAAAAGTGCTCAGTAAATATTGTTTTTCCTGCATGCCATTTAAACTGAACTAGAGGCAGTTTACTGTACATTTAAAAGGACTGGCTTTGGCGTCAGAAGCCTCTGGGTTCAGATCCTGGCTTTGCCATTTTCTAGCTATGTGATCTAGGGCATGTAACTTAACTTATAGGTGCCACTGTTTCCTTATTTGTATAAAATAGTTCCTACTCTGACAATACTAGTATTTCTCTTTTCCACATTTATTTTGCCTCCTACTATCCAAGCATTCTCTTATCTCCTAACACTGCTGGCTGTCCCTTCTGCCCCTGGAGTAACTATACGGGCTACAAAACTGCCTCCATTATTCCAGTTGTGTTAGAAGCCACAGTTTACTAAACACTAAGATTTATCTATGCAAGAGCTATGGAGGAGGTTCAGACTCCTCCAGCACGTTCAGACTCAGATGAAGAGTGCTTTCGCGTATGTGGTTCATCTCGAAGAGCAGAGGCTTTAATGCCCTGTGGGGAGAAATTAGTCTAGTGACAGAGAAGAGGCAGAAAGAGCCCACAGATAAATTCCTTTCCCTTAATCTATCCAACGACAGTTTTGAAGTATTCTGTCATGAATGGTGGAGGATATCCCCCATGACTGAACAATCAGCTGGTTTCCTTGTGAATCCATGACCAGCTCAGTAATAACAACTGTAACTGTCAGCTACCTTTGCTGTCCCTCCTTTGCAGTCTGATTTTTCCTTTTGACTTCACTTTTGTCAGGCTGGGGTTGCATCTCCAGTAAGGCCTTAGCACATAAAATTTCACTCGTTTTCTAAAGAACCTAGGCTAAGACGTATCTAAACAGAGCTAACATGAGGACTAGTACTTAGAAAAATATTTGCAATGTAGTAAATTCTATACTTAAAAAAGAATCACTATTATATTACAAAAGAATACAAATTATATTTTTAGTATTTTACATGAATAAATGATAAATATGATATGGCATCATTTCAAAAGGACCTTCTAGCTCTAAACATTATGAGTTTATTTACAAAGTGATTTTTACACACACATCCAAGAACACACTCTTACATATACATACATAACTCCAACATATTTCCCACCCCCACACTTTAGTTCATTCAACTTGATTATTTAATCTATCAGATTTTTTTTCTTTTGGTAGGTAATTAATTTACACTGTTATTTATCAGATATCTGTCAAGTAACTAACATGCACCTTGTATTGAAAGGTGTTGGAATACATTAGAGAGCAAAATATTGTCCCTGCCTTTATGACCAAGGCTGCTTATATTGTTCCTTGTAATCCTCATGTTTGCATATTACTTCTTCCTGGCAATTCTCAGATGTGTCCCTCACAGTGATTCTCAGGAATTGCTGACCTCTTTACAACCCTTCTTCTTAGACTGGGATGCATGTAGTCTGTGCTAAAACAAAGGTTTGATGTTCCTGGCTGGAATCCAGACAGTCAAGGCAGTTAAAAGAAATATGGTTTGTAACCACTTTTGCTGTTGCCTGCTGTCTAGAATGACCTACTCATCACCTCCAGGTCTTGTTGATTTTTCAAGTCTTGGTGGCTTGTTACAATACGACTGGGGTTGATTTTTCAAATATAACTTTTGTTAAGGGTTATCAGACAGCAAAAATTGCCACTGCCTCAAGAATTATAGTTTCAGTAATCTACCTTTCAATACTCATACCCAAGGCAATTTTTCCTGAAGTGTGTCAGTGACAGACAGATGGGTGAATCAGGAGAACGTTTCTCCAATCAACCCATGCTGATTCCTGATACAGTTTGTTCTTCCAAAGAGTGTGATAATTTCTATGACTGAAGATGCCCAGAGAATTAGTCTCTAATTCAGAGGTGCAAGAAAGAATTTACCACTTTAAGAAAACTAAAAATAATTTGATAAAGCTGAACATCTGAAATCAACTTCACCTGAATTTTACCATTCTAGACTTCAAGCATTTAAGCATTGTTTGGAATATTGTTAATAAAACCAAAATCTTTTTCCCATGGGACTCAATTGTTTGAAATAAGGTTCCGATTTTAGCTATTTTATAATACAGAAGCAGTAATATGCTACAATGATAGTAATAATAACATTCTTTTAGAAGTTTCTGCATACATTTATGTATACACATACATATTATAGTACTTAGTGCTCTTTTATAAACCTTTATAGTGGTGCTTTTCAACATACTTTGAAATTGTTGTTTACTTTTCTGCTTCTCCCTGGATTCTAGGCTCCTTAAGTATAGGCAGGGACTGTAGTTGCCCAACATTTTATCACCAGTATAACCAATTTGGTAAAACTGTTTGGCAGCATCTACTAAAGTTCAATATACATATACTCTAACTCAAAAGTTTTACCCCTAGGTATACATCCAACATAATTGCATGTGTGTATGCATCAGTAGATTTCAACAAGAATGTTCTCGACTAGTGATGCAAGAAATACTTTTAGTGTCATGTAATCAATTGATATATTTTATTCATAACAATGTACTAATAAAAATGTAAACATAGATATTATGAGTATTCTCCCCAAATCTTATGATGTATCTGTCTGTATATTAGTCCATTCTCACATTGCTATAAAGAACTACCTGAGACTGGCTAATTTATAAAGAAAAGAGGTTTAGTTGACTCACAGTTCCACAGGTTGTATAAGGAGGCATGGCCGGGAGGCCTCAGGAAACTTACAATCATTGCAGAAAGCAAAGGGAAAGCAGGAACCTTCTTCTCAAGGTGATAGGAAAGGGAGAGTAAAGGGGGAAGTGCTACATACTTTCAAGCAACCAGATCTCATGAGAACTCACTCACTATCATGAGAACAGCAAGAGAGAAATCAGTCCTTGTTCCAATCACCTCCCACCATGTCCCTCCCCCAACATTGGGGATTACAATTCAACATGAGATTTCGGTGAGGACACAGAGCCTAACCATATCATTTGGCCCCTGGACCCTCCCAAATTTCATGTCCTTCTAACATTTCAAAACACAATTGTACCTTCCCAATAGCCCCCCAAAGTCTTAACTCATTCCAGCATTAACTGAAAAGTCCAAGTCCAACGTCTCATCTGAGACAAGACAAGTCCCTTCCACTTATGAGCCTGTAAAGTGAAAAACAAGTTAGTTACTTCTAAGATACAATGGGGGTTGCAGGAATTGGGTAAATGCTCCCATTCCAAATGGGAGAAATTAGCCAAAATAAAGGGGCTACAGGCCTAATGAACATCCACAATCCAGTGGGGCTGTCATTAAATCTTAAAGCTCCAAAAATGATCTCCTTTAACTCCATGTCTCACATCCAGGCCACACTCATTCAAGAGGTAGGCTCCCATGGTCTTGGGCAGCTCCATCCCTGTGGCTTTGCAGGGTACAGCCAATGCCTTTCACAGACTGGCACTGAGTGTCTGTGGCATTTCCAGGCACACAGTGCAAGCTATTCGTGGATCTACCATTCTGGGATCTGGAGGATGGTGGCCCTCTTCTCACAGCTCCACTAGGCAGTGCCCCAGTGGAGATTCAGTTTCAGGGTTCCAATCCTACATTTCCCCTTGGCATTACCCTAGTAGAGGTTCTCCATGAGGGCTCCACTCCTGCAGCTGATTTCTGCCTGAACATCCAGGCACTTTCATACATCCTCTGAAATCTAAGTGGAGGTTCCCAAGCCTCAATTTTTTTCCTCTGCACACCCGCAGGCCCAACACTACATGGAAGTCACCAAAGTTATGTCAGGCACCGTATCCTGAGGCTGTACAGAGAAGTGGGGCCCTGGGCCTGGCCCATGAAACCATTATTTCCTCATAGGTCTCCAGGCCTGTGATGGGATGGGCTGCCACAAAGGTCTTTGAAATGTCTTAGAGGCATTTTCCCTTTGTTTTGGCTCCTCTTTAGTTATGCAAATTTTTGCAACTGGCTTGAATTCCTTCCCAGAAAATGAGGTTTTCTTTTCTACCAAAGTTCAGGTTGTAAATTTTCTAAACTTTTATGCTCTGCTTCCCTTTTAAATATAAGTTACAATTTCAGACCACCTGTTTGTGAATGCATATGAGCGTACATTGTTAAAAGCAGCCAGGTCACATCCTGAATGCTTTAGTGCTTAGAAATTTCTTCTGCCAGATACCTTAATCATCTCTCTCAAGATCAAAGTTCAACAGATCCCTAAAGCAGGGGCACAATGCATAGCAAGAGTGACCTTTACTCCAGTTCCCAATAAGTTCCTCATCTCCATCTGAGACCTTATCAACCTGGCCATCTCTGTCTATATCACTATCTGCATTTTGGTCAAAACCATTCAACAAGTCTCTAGGAAGTTCCAAACTTTCCCTTATCTTCCTGTCTTCCTCTGACCCCACCAAGCTGTTCCAACCTCTGCCTGTTACCAGTTCCAAAGCCACTTACACATTTTCAGGTATCTTTATTGTAAGGCCCCACTTCTCTGGTACCAATTTTTTGTATTAGTCAGTTCTTACACTACTATAAATATATACCTGAGACTGGGTAATTTATGCAGAAAAGAGGTTTATTTGGCTTATGGTTCCACAGGATGTATAGGAGGCATGGCTGGGGAAGCCTCAGGGAAATAACAGTCATGGCAGAGGGTGAGGGGGAAGGTGCTACACACTTTCAAACAACCATATCTTATGAGACCTCACTATCATGAGAGCAGCAAGGGAGAAATCTGGCCCCATGATCCAATCACCTCCCACGAGGTCCCTCCCTCAACATTGGAGATTACAATTCCACATGAGATTTAGGTGGGGACACAGAGCCAAACCATATCAGTCTCTAATGATAAATCATAGGTAAGTTTATTTTAGTCTTTCAGTTCTTTTAATATTAAAAACTAAATAAATTTGGAAGGGGTTTATTTTGAATGATCAGTTTTAACGTAATTTTACATGTGATCAATTATTTCAGTGAAAATTTTCTATCTGAAATCACTTTTCAAAACAAAAGTATGGAATTTATGTGCCCTTTCATTATTCACTTACTGAAAACTTGTTTGCTAGCTTTTTAAAAGAAGACTAGACAAAGCAGAGTGAATGCTTGTGAACACATTCTTTGTGTTCTGGCTATCACTATAATGTAAAACTTCTACCCACATTCAAAGAAAAAAAATAAAATGAAACAACGAAAACTCTTTCAGCAAGAGCCAAATAATTTCCCACAAACAAAAATATTAATATTTGTGGTTTATTTTCCTATTTTTATATATATTCCTACCTTTACACCACAATAAAGTTAACTATTGAGTCTCCTTATCACACTGCATAGTGGATTTAAAAACAATGTTTCCAATGCAAGCAACCTTATGACACCAAGTATTAAATAAAGGCAGTTTTATTCTGAATTATAAACACCAGATCTAAACATTTTCTGTGTATAAGAGTATTCTTGGCTCTACTGCTTCCCACTCTTTCTGTTTTTTTCTTAGCTTTTCATTTGGTGTAGTATTTGGCACATAAGAAACATTTAATAAAGTTGCTGGTTGCTCTTCTTGTTAACATAAACTAAGTTATTATTTATTTTTTAAAATTAAATTTTGTATTGAATATAACATATGTAAAATTAGCAAATCACAAGTAAAAATTTGATAAATGTTCAAAAGTTAAAAAAAGAAAAAGAAACCTTGTAACTCACCCAGATCAAGAAATAGAATATAATAGTAGCTTCCTTTTAGTAAATACAGCCTTAAAGGTAACTACTATCCGGATTTTTTATTCCCTCAGGCAAACTTTCTGGCTTTTTGGAATTGAGGTGAATGGAATTCTGCAGGAGGTTCCTCTTGTATCTGGTTTATACTGTTCAACCTTCTAAGATTCATTTATGTTGCCATGTGTACCCATAACTCACTCATTTTAATTTACTTATGGCATATAGAAACTTCATCAAAGAAGATATATGTATGGCAAAAAGCACATAAAAAGATGCAAAAATCCTTAGTCATTAGATGAACACAAACTAAAAGCACAGTAAGCTACCTAGTAGAATGTTAAGATTATCAAGGTTAACCATCCCAGTGTTGATAAGGATGTGGAGCAAATGGAACTCTCATACGCTCCTGGGATTCAAAATGGTACAGCAATTTTGGAAAACATTTTGAGACTTTTTTAAAAGGTTAAACACACAGTGACCATAGGATTCAGTCATTCCAATCCTAGGAATTTCCTAAAGCCATGAAGACATACACCTATAAAAAGTTTTACACAAAAATTAGTCATAGCAGATTTATTTATAATATCCCCAAATTAGAGACCATCCAAATGTCCATTAACAAATTGCGGTATACCGCTACAATGGTATGCTCTGAAGTAACAAAAAGGAATGTACTATTGCTTTATGCAGTGACATTGAATTTTGACATAATTGTACTGGATGAAAGAAACCAGACTTTAAAAGGAATATGTACTATGTAATTTTATTTATACTAAATTCTAGAAAATGCACACTCATATATAGTGAAGGAAAGTGTATTAATTGTTGCCTAGGAGACTAGAAATCAGAGCAGCAGGAGAGAGATTGCAAAGAAGCATGAGGCCATTTTTGAAGGTAACAGATATATTCAAAATTTTGATGTGACAACTCTACACGTATATAAATATGTCAAAGCTTATCAAATGAACATTATCAAATGAATATTTTATTGTGTGTGGTTTGTATAATCAATTCATATATTGAAACCTAATCCCCAATGGCATAGTATTAAGAAGTGGGGCCTTTGGCAAATGATTAAATCATAGGAGAAAAGCTCTCAGGAAGGAGATTAGTATCCTTACAGGAGAAGCTCAGAGAGATCCCTTACTCCTTCCACCATGTGAAGACACAGTTAGAAGGCACCTTCTATGAGAAAGCAGATCACTACCACACATGGAATCTGCCAGCACCTTGATCTTGAGCTTCTCATCCTCCAGAGCTATGAGAAATGAATTTGTTTTGTTTATAAACTACCCAGTCTATGGCATTTTATTATAGCGGCCCAAACAAATTAAGATACTGCAATTATATTTCAAGAAGCTGTTAAAATATTTTCCTGATAATTTAATAGATAAATTGATGCCCCATTAATTACCATCATGAAAAAAATTATTAAACTAAAACATTCATCTCTAGTTTTTAAAAATGTTGGTTAGTGTTCCACATACATGGGAATAAATGATACATCTTATTAGCTGAGTGTGGAATCAGTATGGCTCTGAACAGTCCAAATGACGATAAGTAAACATACACATTAATCCATTTATTTGACAGATACTTATTTTGTCTTTAATGTCTGTTCTGAGTTAGGAGTTACAAATGCAGAAATGAGCCACTGCTCCTCTCCTCAAGTTGAATTCTATTGAGGAATCAATAAACCTACATTTCTGCTCTGGTATCTATAAAGTTATGGTGGAAATGTGGTGTTACAAGTGTGCTTTTTGGGGGAACATTTCTGCCAAGAGGTGAGCAAGCACCAGAACAATTTTCTGGACCAAAAGGATGTAGTGGAGGTGGTGAACTTAGAAGGGAAAATGAGAAATGAGTTTAGTTAGAAACAATTGTGATGCTTGAAGATGATAATAAGATATTTTAGAATAGTTCCAGTTTATGCTGGAAGTTGGGGTTTGGAAGTTAGAACCTAGTGGTACTAGAGAAAGCCAAATGTATAGAAAATGTGTTCTCAGCAAAAATGTTTAAAAAGCAGCCTAAAGCAGGTATTAAAATAATTAATAAGGCAGCCATTATAGACTGAGGCAGCTCCGGTGCCCTGGGTTCCTACCTAAGCAAACAAACCCCATTCACAGTAAATGGTCATATGCTAGGAAATGAAACTTAAGCTCAACCAATCAGAAACTGCCAAGTAACCTCTAACTAGAGACTTTAAGGCTACTGTTCCACTTTAACCAATCAAATATTTTCTATGTCTTGCTTCCTCGAACACCTTATAAAAGTTTTTCCCTTATGGCCCTTTGGTGGAGCCCAAACCACTGCATTCTGGTACTGTTCCATTTATGAATCACTGTCTGTTCAAATAAACTCTCTAAAATTTTAATGTACCTAGATGTATCTTGCAACACAGTTTAAAGCCAGTCTTTTGTTACAAGCATAGGAAAGAGAGCAAGCAAAGGGACTAAGGAAGGTCAGTCAAAGAATTGAGAAATAAATTGGCAGAAAAAAATGGAGAGAAGACATACACATCACAATAAGAAAATAGTGAAATTCATTAAACCCCCATTATTTGAAGATTGGCTGTGGAAAGAGTATTCTAAAGATATTGTTAAAGGGAAAATGACCTGCAAATACCTTGTTCTGATCAAAATCTGCAGCCAATCTACATATTTCACTAAAAGAAATCAGCAAGTTATTGACAAGGAGCCCCCAAATTATCACTTAAACCTTAATTGAAAAGCCATGCAAGGCAAAAATTCATTATTCCATATGTTCATTAGAATAATTTTATATTTTCTGGTTTTATCATCTGATTGCAAATTTAGCCACTATTCATTTATGATGAAGTATTTAAAACCTTTAACATTAGAAACATTTTCCAATTAATTTCATTTTTCTGTGCCTAAACATTTCCAAGTGCTGATGAATGACTGAGATGAACTTGGCTAAAAAAGCCTGCTGAATTTTACTGGTTCCTTACCGGGTAGAAAAGCCAGATGATGCTTATAAAACAAGAATTAGAGGAGAATGGAAAAGTCAAATGCCAACAAAGTTTGAGGGAGCCTCAAAAGTGAGTGCTAAGAAAGTTGAACAAAGATAGTGGCAATACTAAAACAAAAGCTAATAGCTTCAGTATATTCAAAATCCTGAACTGAGAAAAGTAATATAGAACTTAAATTTTAAATCAAAATTAAATTGAGGTAATTTGTATCTTTAATATTGAAGGGCAGAATATATATTATGTGTCCCCCCCAAAAAATGAAACAAAGGAAACTACAGGAAAATTTAAAGATGCCTCGACTTAATTTCTCAATGAGGTTTCTTACATTTTCCCCCAAAATACTCAATATAATTTCCCTTTAGAACTGTTGACAAAAATGGAAGAAAAAATTCTTAAAAAGCTTCTATTCCCATTTATTTAAAATTTAATTGCAAAGTTTTCTTTTTTCCTGTAGATAAACAAATAACTTTGGTGGTTTTTTTTTTACATTGTTAAATAATAACATTTATTTTACCACATTAATAGTCACTGGGTGGTGTTTACATGTTCCTGTTTACGTGTGTCATGGTTTTCACCAAATATGTTAAAAAGTACGACTAGGATGAGTATCCAAACTTTTTATTTCAGAAAATATTTGTTTGGTTTTTAAAATAGTCAGATGTCAGGAATTCTTGCAAAAATTTAAAGAATTAATTTTGCTATTCAAAACAAAAAGCAAAATAGCCTTATGAAAATGAAATGTTTGACATTTTGGACAAAACATCTATTATAAAATGATATTTGGTTAAGATTACAATAAACAATTCTGTATAGTACAGATTAAACTCTCTTTGCCACAAATATGGCTTTAAAATCAAGGTTAAGTTCTTCAAAAACCAATAAAAAGAGAACTTGAGCTTCTGCCAAGCAGGTTTGCTGTTTGTCTTTTCCAAATCTCAGAGCCTTATGAATACCTGCCTGTGTCTCCAAATGGAGGCAAGCCAAACAAGAGGTGAAATATGTTTATGGCTGTGGTTCCATTGTTTCAGGAAACACGAAACACTGGTCTGCTGATGAGGGAGTTTCACATTACTTGCAATTATTGTAATACATTTGTATATGAAAATAACAATTCAAACTATTGTCCTCAGGAAATTCCTCCCCGTTTCTGAGGCTGAGAAAGATATTATCTTTTTAATTTACCTTAGGCATTTCAATATTGTGTTTGATATTCAATGAGTCTTTGAAAACACAAATTTTACCCATCCACCTAACATCAAATGGGCCGCCTCAAGTTTAAACCTGTTTTTATTTGATTTTTAGAATTGCACTTAATATGAAAGCAACAAAATGAAAGCAAACCGAAGTAGATCTGTAACCACTATCATGAAACACTAACACATACGTAATTATTTCAATGTGAGCTTCAGAAAGGCTTACTAATTGACAGTGATACTCATTCACACAACGTGGACTTGCAGATTCTAGTGAATGATGCTTGTTGTAACTTTTCATTATCCTTTGAAATAAGTTCTTTCTATGTCAGTTTCATTATAGCAACAAGAAGGATGGAACATTGTTCTATAATACAATCCTGGCATGACACTGTTTCCCTGTTTTTCAAGAGAAACATGGAGGGGTGGTGCAAGGCTACAGATGACGGGTCGGGGGAGGGGTGGGAGCAAGAGCTGCTCTAAAGGAAGTCTGCACTTTCCTAGATTGTGTGAGAGGTCCAGGCTTTTTGGTCTAAAGAGAGAGCCAAATTATACTTTCAAGACATTTTGAATCAGTTTAATCAAACTTATGGAAGAAGATAGTTCAATGGTGGTTGCCAGGGGCTGGAGAAGAGAAAAACAGAATTGCTGTTCAATGTGTATGAAGTTTCAGTCATGGTAGGTGTATTAGTCCATTGTCACACTGCTGAAGGAAATACCTTAGACTGGGTAATTTATAAAGAAAAGAGGTTTAATTGGCTCACAGTTCTGCAGGCTTTATTGGAAGCATGCCTGGGGAGGCCTCAGGCAACGTTCAATCATGGTGGAAGGCAAAGGGGAAACTGGCTCATCTGATGTGGCCAGAGCAGAAGAGAGCAAGAGCTAAGCGGGCGGTGCTACAGGCTTTTAAACAACCAGATGGCTTGAGAACTATCATGAGAACAGGAAGGGGTAAGTCTGTCCCCAGGATCCAGTCACCTTCCACCAGGCCACTCTTCCAACACTGGGGAATTACAATGTTGTTAACAGTGGAGGGTGCCCAGGTTCTTGGTGTCTTGAACAAAGAATTGGACAAAATGCACAAACAAAGCAAGGAAGGAATGAAGAGATTTACTGAAAAATGAAAGTACACTCCACAGTGTGGGAGTAGGCCTGAGCATAGGGGCTTAAAGTCCCCCTTATGGAATTTTAGGGAGTTTAAGTACCCTCTACTTGGTGTATGCTCTATGTAAATGAAGAGGATGAAATAAAGTTACAAAGTTATTTACTTGGTGTATGCTCTATGGAGAGGATATTTCCTGTTATAGCTGAAGTGTGAATTGGCCTTATGTTCCCAGCCTCCATACCCTATTTCCTGCCTCAGTTTGATAGGAACACAGAGCCAAACCGTATCAGTAGGTAAATAAATTCTAGAGACCTGCTGTACAACATAGTGCCTAAATGTAATAATTCAGTATTGCAGTATTGTACACCTCGAGTGTTAAGTATTCTTAACATAAGATCAAGTATGTTGAGTGTTGATCTTCTGTTAAGTATTCTTACCAGCACCCTACCCCAATAGATATAAGGAAACTTTGTGAGGTGATGGATATGTCTGTTACCTTGATTGTGGTGATAGTACCATGGGTGTTTGGTGTTTGCATAGATCCAAACTCATCAAATTGTACACATTAGGTACGTGAATTTTTGTATATCAATTATATCCCAAAAAAGCAGTAAAGGAATATTAAGCATAAAGAATAATGGGGAATAATGGAGTTTACATTGAGTTATAATACTTGAACCTTTTTAAAATACACATCATTTTATGTGGGATTTATTACAGGAAATGAAACTTTGTAATTTACTAGAAATAGAGATATTTGTTTCTTGTGTCCTTATGTCAAGTTATTAAATTCCAATAACATGGCTTTCCATGATGTATGATAATATTCGTCTATTTTTGTATAGTGTATAAGCTATACTTAGTGATTGCTACTGTCACTTTCTACATTCCTCTGTGAAGTTATATATTAGGTCACAATAATATTTTTACAGTTATAAGATATACTTTCTAGTCTTGCAAGTTTATTATCATCAACTAATGTTGATATAATTACTTTATAAACTATTGTACTTTTTGGTCAGCAGAGCCATGTTTGATGACGTTGATGTTAGTTGTCACTAACTTTCTAATATGGATTTTAAAAAATTATTCACAGCTATTTAATTTTGCTCTTTTTCTCCTCAAAGCCATCAGTTTGGGAATATTACCCAGACATTCTTTTCATGTTAGCTTCTGCTACCTGTTCAAAATCAATGTATTTTTCCTCATTGACCCCAACAGAATAAACCAATACATCACAATATGATATCTAGTTTAGTAGTGCTGTTTCATGGTGGAAAGAAGATGGGGGGTGATTTCAAGCAGACTCTTAAGCTATAACAGCCCAAATCACTCTCTCTCTCCCTGTCTCTGTCTCTCTCTTTTTCTCTCTCTCTAACACACACACACACACACACACACACACACACACACACACACACCCTGACCTTGCCCATGTTCAGTTTTTCAGTTTGCATGTGCTCACCTCATGTGTGGGCAAGATTCATTCAGGGTGAAACTACTAGTGCCAGTGCTTTGAAAAGAAGACCAGGGCATTCATTCACCTCCAGTGATCCAAGTGTGATAGTGAATGTACACATGCCTCTGTTGAAAAATCTGCTTATAATATTTCCAATATTATGTCATCAATTTTTGTTGTTTTCTTCATTTGAAACTCAAAGGCAAAGAATAAGTGGAAAATTTAGAAGAAAAATAGTGAATTCATCTAATTTAAATCTAATGGCTGTAAAATGGAAAGATATTCTTGTTCTTCATTTTCTATTATTTGTAACTTATCATCTTGAGAAACTATGCTTGTTTGAATGCTTAACTTAAGGAGGATATATCAGATCTATATAAAACCAGTATAGATAAACATCCCACTTACCGCACACAGTCTCAGATCTGAGAGAATAGCCATGATTAATGGGACTTATTCCTTTGCCAGCCTTAGGAGACACATATTATATCACTCCCTAAGACCTATATGTCAGGGGCTCTGAAGGAAGACTGAATTGTTCTTCTGAAGCCACACAACAAATCTGAACCTCTTAAACAATGTAGAAAACAGTTGAATCCAAATAAAGGAACTTTGCATTTCACAACCAGCATTGCTACCACCTCTACCACCTGCATTTCTCTATTTGCCTTATCAACTCCCCTCTGATCATTTAAACTCTCTTTATAGTCTCCTGTTTGTGTTAATTTTTGCTTCCTCTCTGTGTTACTGTTCTAAATTCCTACTTCTATCTCTTCTAAAAATTTCTACCAGAAATCCAGGAATCCACATTTTAAGAATATTTAGAATAAAATCCACAGTTTTAGAATATTTCTTTTCCACACTATCATAAACTGTCCTTCATGTTTGGAGGCTTGGATTCTCTGTCTGTATCACCCTCTAGTTATCTTTGTCTTGTCAAATTCATGGTCATCTTTTCTTGTTCAACAAAGCTCTAGAACCTGAATCACTTTATTTCTTTCAAATCTCCTAAATTCTCTTATTTTGGAGGACTTTGACATTCTTGTGGATGACTTTTGATAACCTCTGGACAAACTACTTTTATCCAGTCTACTTCAGTCACTTCCTCCCCTTGCCACACCCGAAGACATTGTCATTCCTGGGCACTTCCAAGTCATTCGTGTGTATTTGTGCCACTCCCTTCCTAGGCCTACTTCCACTGAAAGAGTACTTACTAATCTCGTTGTTCTTTGCACAGAATATACACAGAACCCTGCTAGGCTCCTGCTAGATCAACAGATAGGTTGATCTGTTTTGTGCTTCATGTCTCCCATAGTATGAGCATATTTGGGCAACATCTGCCTGTTACTCTGATTGATCTGCTCTTACTGTGGTTCAAGTTTTCTGCTGGACTCTATGGGGCAAATCAGATGGAATTCAATCTGTGAATGTAGTCATTTTTGGTTAATTGGGAAGGGTATAATACGTACTTTGTCTAGGTTATTTTATGTTCATATTAGTTTGTTCTAGCTCTATCACAGTACTATCCTGGTTATTAGTAAAATGGAATATCATTAATATCAGACCTTGTCTAATTTCCTTCTCAAAAGAATCCCTAGAGGAAAGAAAAAGTAAGTGTTAGGATTTACAAAACCCCATTCAGTTCATCTAAATATCTATTTAAAATTACTGTTATTTTCATGATTGTTCTATCCTCTCTTCGCACAGATCTAACAAACTGTTCTCTATTTCTACAATTCACTTTTCACTGCAAATACCACAGATATTTCAGGTCTGAGTGTAGTCATTATTCCTTTCAGTATGCCCTTTCTATCTTTGCCATTTTTCTTTATTATATTTCAGTTTATTCCCCAAGTATCATACCTTTTTACTCTCATGGCATTTTTTACATTGTGTATTAAATGACTGTCCATCTTTTCCACTGATCTCAGAATTTGGTGGGGAAATCAGGAAATATCTTTCTCCTCCATTGTATCTCGAGTTCTTTGCACATTTGGTGGTACAATATAGTCATTCAATAAATATTTGTTGAATCATTGACTGCATGCAGTAATGTATAAAAAAACTCATAAATGAAGCACATAACTGTAACTTAAACTATTACTTTCATTCTGGAATGTCACCAACAAGGATTCACTTCAATATATGAAATTATAGTTTGTGAAAAAACAAAAACAGGAAAATATGTGCTCCTGTAAATTTACCAATATGATACTGAAATCATTTTAATGACTAACTTTGGTACATATTTTAATTTTTTTAATCTTTTAATTGTTATTATTATTTTTGAGACGGATTTTCATTCTGTCGCCCAGGCTGGAGTGCAGTGGCACAATCTCAGCTCACTGCAAGCTCTGCCAACTGGGTTCACGCCATTCTCCTGCCTCAGCCTCCTGAATAGCTGGGACTACAGGTGCCCACCACCATGCCCGGCTAATTTTGTGTATTTTTTGTAGAGACGGGGTTTCACCGTGATAGCCAGGGTGGTCTCGATCTCCTGATCTTGTGATCCACCCATCTTGGCCTCCCAAAGTGCTGGGATTACAGGCGTGAGCCACCGTGCCATGCCAATATTTTAAAATTAAATTCAATGCTTTAACAAAGTATTGAAATGTAATACTTTTCATGTTCCAAAAAATAACTTTTGAAAAGGAAACATTTATTTGGGTAAATTGTGAGAAAACATATCTCAAATAGATTTTAAAATTTGTTTTCCAAGGTCAAGTTTTTATACTGCAATAAATATTTTGTTTTTAATGGATCTTTATTTGCTGTGTTTCAACAAAGGGTAAATGCTTGAGGGGATGGAAACCATATTCTTCATATATGATTATTTCACATTGTATGCCTGTATCAAAACATCTCATGTACCCCATGAATACATATATCTATTATGTACCCACAAAAAATAAAAATTAAAAAAAATTTTAAAAATCAATTCCTCTGGGAAGACTATCTAATTACTCACACAATTTTAATATGCAAATTTTAGGCTCCTTTTACACACCACACTTGGACTTCACGACACGCCTGTGAACTCCAGGATCATATCTTGTGCTTCTTATGTCACTTGGACATTGCATAGGCATTTAATAATTAACAAACCAAGACAAAAACTCCTTCCAAAACTACTCCTGACACTGTTGTCCCAACAAAGTAAGTGGAAAATCTGTATGTTAGAAATCTTGGGGTCATCCTTGAATGCTTGTCCCATTATACCACACATTAACAGCAGTTGTGTCTTTATATATTCGGATCTCAGCAATGTCTCTCTGCAGCCACCACTCCTCTCCCAGCCCAAACCACTGTTTTTACATGCATGACTGCAATAGCTGCTGAGCCTTGTTCCTTGCATCTGTCCTTGTTCCATTTAGTATTTTTTCAACACAGTAGACAGAGTTGTCTTTTTGTAACCCAAGTCAGATCATGTCACTCTTCCTCCATGATGGACTTTCATTTCCTCTCTGGCATGAGTTCTTACTAAATCACCTCTCACTTTTAATTTACACAGCCTGCCTTGCTTTTTCCTGCATATGCTAAGCCCTCTCCTGCCTCAGCCTCAGGGTTTTCACTTGATATCTCATCTGTCTAGGAAGCACTCCCTCTGAATATCTGCATTGGCTTTCCTCCTTGCCACCTTCAGGTTTTGGCTCAAATGTCACCATTTTTAGTGTGAACTTCAGACATGACTCTGTGATATTGTACTACCTCATTCCTGGATTGCCTATTTACCTTTCCACTTTGCTGCATTCCTCCATAGTATGTAGAGCCTTTTAACATGATATATCTACTCTTTTTTTCAGTTTCTCTCCTCCCATAAAATGTACCTTTAGAAAGAAAAAGGGTAGTGTCTGTGTAGACTACTGTATTCTAAGTAAACAATGTTTGACTACTAATATGTACCCAGTAAACATTATTGGCTGAATGAATAATACTCAGTTGTATTGAAATTGTACATTCAATATCTGTTGTCTTCCATATAATATGAACATTTCAGGGTCAAGAAAATAATTAATTTCTATCAATTAAGAGGTTGATGCAGGACATAAGGAGATGATGAAGTATTTGAAAGGCAATTCCCAAAGTTACATGTGCCTACATTAATCATTAGCTAAATGAACAGTCTTCCTTTATATTAAGAAGTGGAGGACTTCGATAAGAGTTGAGGTTTTGAGGTAGGAAGTCATAGAATCCCCTTCTGGTAGCTTAAGTTTTCTCTGTGAAGTCAGAGCAGAGGCCTAGTGATTGATTAGTGAAAGGTTTAGGAAAAATGGGCAAATAGTAGTTGTCATCAATATGTGAAAAAATTACAAAGAAATAGGTATCAGTAAAGGATACTGGAAAAATAGTAATTGAAATGCTAATTACAGGCTTCAAGCTGGATAGGGAGATACATAAAAACAGGAAAAGCCATATATGAAATAAGGAGTTTTAGAATTAATAGGGGTCTTATTGTCATCAGACAACCAGTGTTTGAAATGAATAATGGGAGAAGAATAAGAGGTAAAGTCCTAAATGCGTATGAATTTGTGGTTTCACTCGTGGAGTGATTGCTGTTGATGCTACACGGCCATTGGAGAAGGCTGTGACTGGAAGAAGCTTTCTGGAGGAGAGAAATATTTTGATAGTCACTCAATGACATTTATTTAATGCATACCATACTAGGCACTGGAAATTTTACATATACAAATTTTTTCTACAGAAGAACTTTATATTTAGTGAATGATAGAGAGAAAGTGCATAAAGATGCAGTGAAACAACTTGTAAGAGAAGAAAAATAGAAATTGCTCTGAATATAACCAGTTCAGCAAAAGCAGGGCAAAGGATGGATAGTCTCAAAAACTTCCAATATAACAAATCTTGCCAAAGCAGATTAACCCATGGCAAATAATTTTGATGGAATTTAAAATAGATGAACTTACAATTTTAAAATTAGAGACTATTCAACACCTGATTGAAGTTAGGTATGAAACAATATTAGGTATCTTATTTATTTGCTATTCATAATACAACACATAAATTCTGTGAAATAAATAGGAAGGCCGTGTTGGTATTAATTAAAATCCTCATCTTAAAAGCATTACTCCGAGGTGCCTGAATTTTCAACAACTCCGTGAATAGATTTTGAATACATCTCTGAATAACTAAAATGTCATTTTCAATATGAATACATTTGAAAATTTGAATATTTCAACATTAAACTGAGCATTGTACAACTGACATAAAACCAATTCTGTGATTTTAATTTATCTTTTTTTTCCAGAAATTTCAACACATTGTCTAAAATGGTTTGGTAGTGCTTCTTAGAGGTGTATATTGTTACATGTAAGATTGTGCCAAATGGAGGGATCATTTATTGAAACATAATAGGAATTCAGTACAGCTGCAGGATACAAAATCAACATACAGCAATCAGTAGTATTTCTAAACACTAATAACCAACTATCCAGAAAAAAAACTAAGGCAAACAATGCCATTTACAATATGTCTTAATCTATTTTGCATGGATAAAACAGCATACCTGGCTGGTGGGTGCGGCGGCTCATGCCTGTAATCCCAGCAATTTGGGAGGCCGAGGCGGGTGGATAACCTGAGGTCAGGAGTTCAAGACCAGCCTGGCCAACATGGTGAAACCCTGTCTCTACTAAAAATACAAAAAAAAAAAATCAGCTGGGTGTGGTCACATGTGCCTGTAATCCCAGCTACTTGGGAGGCAGTAAGCTTCCTGAAACTGTGAGCCAATTAAACTGCTGTTTGTAAATTACCCAATCTTAGGTAGTATCTTTATAGCAACATGAAAACGGACTAACACAATGTGCAATAGAATACTATTCAGCTTTAAAACTGAAGGAAATGCCATTATTTGTGACAACATGGATGAACTTGGCGGACATTAGGCTAAGTGAAATAGGCACAAAAATAAAGCATGATTTCACTTACATGTGGAATCTAAAACAGTTGAGCTCATAGAAGCAGAGTAGAATGGTGGTTACTAGGGGCTGGCAGGTTGGGTGGGGTGGGATTGGGGAGATATTGGTCTAGGGATGCAAAATTTCAGTTAAACAGAAGAAAGAAACAAGAACTGTATTGTGTAATAGAGTGACTGTAGTTAATAACAGTGTACTATACATTTAAAAATCGCTAAGACAGTAGATTTGAAATCTCACCACAAAAAATAAGTATGTGATGTAATAAATATATTTATTAGTTCAATTTAGCTATTCCACATTGTATGTGTATATCAAAATATCAGGTTGTATATCATAAATATATACAATTTGTGCCTGTCAATAAAATAAATTAATATATAGGGATATGTAAATATTTATAGAAACTTGGCTTTTTATTTCTAAAATATAGATGTTCATGATATTATAATAGAGACAGTTGCTAATAAGATAACTCTAGTAGTAATTTGTATTCAAGACAGGAAAGCTTACAGTGGCAAGCAGCAAAGTCTTATTTTATTCTCATTCCAAGCTATGCTCTGCCAGCTTTCTTTTGCACCAGCTGCTATACAACATTGTCAACCACATGCTCTTCAAGTTGCAATATGTCTTTAGGCCAAAGAGTACTAGAGCTGATATGATATCTGTAAAACTCCAAATTTAGTAATTATATATATATCTGATTTCTGGGACTTGCAGAAGAAAAGTAAACTTCCCAGATTTATCAATGACAAAAGTAATTATTGATCAAATATTTTTCATTATATCATAAGTTTTAAATTATTGAAATAACTTACAGGAATTAGCAAATCATGGTATGATATTAAAGGGAGATGTGAGGTGAGGCTTCTTTCATATGGTTTGTCATGAGTTGTTACACGGGGGAAAATAATGTGCAGTCAGATCCCACTTACACATGGTAGTGAGGAGGATGATACAGATAGTGTTTAGATATTTCAACTGGTTCAACCTCATACAAGCTTTTTCCTAAGCCAGAGTTGTTAAGAAGCAAGGCTGAAAGTAGAAAGCTACAGGTATGTGAAATCCTGCCTTTCACTTACCTAAGCCTTTAAATTCTCCTTTGTGTATTGGTCAAGCAGCTGTAAAAATATTCCATATGACAAGAATATTAAAGGAGATCAACTTTAAAGAGGTTAACAATGTTAAATTATATTCAAACTAGATCTTTATAGTAAAACATTTAGGTTGTTTGTGTCAAATACAATTTAAATGCAAAAATCTAATTGGATCTAAATGAGTTTTCTCTAACAGCATAAACTAAAAGTATATTGTAACACAGAGTCCAGGTGACATTCATGCATGTTTCTTCACCTAAATAATGATAGTCTTGGGCTAAAGTCCAACCCTGGAAAAAGGTATGTGTACATTTACAATGAAATCTGCCACAGAAGTCAAGGAAAGAAGTAGTAACAGCAGCTGGGCTGTTTTTCAAGTTAAAGACTAGTCTTTTAACCTGTTTTCCAATACAAGGAAAAGATATTTTGTTTATGTGCCATATCAGCAAGACTCAAACCAACTGAATGAAACAACAAAGTAAACTCATTCAGGTCTGATCCAGTCAAAACAAGACTGAGTAAAGTATTTCATGTTAAGTTTGGAAAATATTACCACCAAACTGGATAGGTTCCTAAAACCTGGGGCCATTTTCTCATCTGGCACAGTCGTCAGAAAACTGTTCCAAGCGTAGCGCTCAGTCCCACTGGCCTGCAAACTTTTCAGAAAACCATACTTTCTAAGTAGGTTCTCGTGAATGAGAGAAGAATCAGATTTTTTTGTCAATCTTTTTGCCATCCAGACAACTTCATGTTCTTATTTTGTGTTAAACCTACGTCTGTCTACCTGCCTGTTTGCTTCTTTCTGTCTTTTTTTCAGCTCCACAAAATTATTCAAACGCTTTGTACACCAGAAACTGTTTTAATCTCAATACTTTAAAATAATGTCTTCGTGAAAATATGGTCAGACATTCCAGTTTTACTGACTTAACATATAAAAACTTCTTTTTAGAAAGCTCTTGTTGATTCCACTTGCATTTATTTATAACTATAGTGTTGCCATATATCCAAGTATCCCTTTTATTTATTCTTTTATCTTTTTAATAAAAGGATAAATGGCATAGACAATGTTTTTTTTTATTTTATTATTATTATACTTTAAGTTTTAGGATACATGTGCACAATGTGCAGGTTAGTCACATATGTATACATGTGCCATGCTGGTGTGCTGCACCCACTAACTCGTCATTTAGCATTAGGTATATCTCCTAATGCTATCCCTCCCCCCTCCCCCCACCCCAAAAACAGTCCCCAGAGTGTGATGTTCCCCTTCCTGTGTCCATGTGTTCTCATTGTTCAATTCCCACCTATGAGTGAGAACATGCGGTGTCTGGTTTTTTGTCCTTGCGATAGTTTACTGAGAATGATGATATCCAATTTCATCCATGTCCCTACAAAGGACATGAACTCATCATTTTTTATGGCTGCATAGTATTCCATGGTGTATATGTACCACATTTTCTTAATCCAGTCTATCATTGTTGGACATTTGGGTTGGTTCCAAGTCTTTGCTATTGTGAATAGTGCCGCAATAAACATACGTGTGCATGTGTCTTTATAGCAGCATGATTTATAGTCCTTTGGGTATATACCCAGTAATGGGATGGCTGGGTCAAATGGTACTTCTAGTTCTAGATCCCTGAGGAATCGCCACACTGACTTCCACAATGGTTGAACTAGTTTACAGTCCCACCAACAGTGTAAAAGTGTTCCTATTTCTCCACATGCTCTCCAGCACCTGTTGTTTCCTGACTTTTTAATGATTGCCATTCTAACTGGTGTGAGATGGTATGTCACTGTGGTTTTGATTTGCATTTCTCTGATGGCCAGTGATGGTGAGCATTTTTTCATGTGTTTTTTGGCTTCATAAATGTCTTCTTTTGAGAAGTGTCTGTTCATGCCCTTCGCCAACTTTTTGATGGGGTTGTTTGTTTTCTTCTTGTAAATTTGTTTGAGTTCATTGTAGATTCTGGATATTAGCCCTTTGTCAGATGAGTAGGTTGTGAAAATTTTCTCCCATTTTGTAGGTTGCCTGTTCACTCTGATGGTAGTTTCTTTTGCTGTGCAGAAGCTCTTTAGTTTAATTAGATCCCGTTTGTCAATTTTATCTTTTGTTGCCATTGCTTTTGGTGTTTTAGACATGAAGTCCTTGCCCATGCCTATGTCCTGAATGGTATTGCCTAGGTTTTCTTCTAGGGTTTTTATGGTTTTAGGTCTAACATTTAAGTCTTTAATCCATCTTGAATTAATTTTTGTATAAGGTGTAAGGAAGGGATCCAGTTTCAGCTTTCTACATATGGCTAGCCAGTTTTCCCAGCACCATTTATTAAATAGGAAATCCTTTCCCTATTGCTTGTTTTTCTCAGGTTTGTCAAAGATCAGATAGTTGTAGATATGTGGCATTATTTCTGAGGGCTCTGTTCTGTTTCATTGATCTATATCTCTGTTTTGGTACCAGTACCATGCTGTTTTGGTTACTGTAGCCTTGTAGTATAGTTTGGAGTCAGGTAGTGTGATGCCTCCAGCTTTGTTCTTTTGGCTTAGGATTGACGTGGCAATGCGGGCTCTTTTTTGGTTCCGTATGAACTTTAAAGTAGTTTTTTCCAATTCTGTGAAGAAAGTCATTGGTAGCTTGATGGGGATGGCATTGAATCTATAAATTACCTTGGGCAATATGGTCATTTTCATGATATTGAATCTTCCTACCCATGAGCATGGAATGTTCTTCCATTTGTTTGTATCCTCTTTTATTTCCTTGAGCAGTGGTTTGTAGTTCTCCTTGAAGAGGTCCTTCACGTCCCTGGTAAGTTGGATTCCTAGGTATTTTATTCTCTTTGAAGCAATTGTGAATGGGAGTTGACTCATGATTTGGCTCTCTGTTTGTCTGTTATTGGTGTATAAGAATGCTTGTGATTTGTGTACATTGATTTTGTATCCTGATACTTTGCTGAAGTTGCTTATCAGCTTAAGGAGATTTTGGGCTGAAACAATGGGGTTTTCTAGATATACAATCATGTCATCTGCAAACAGGGACAATTTGACTTCCTCTTTTCCTAATTGAATACCCTTTATTTCCTTCTCCTGCCTAATTGCCCTGGCCAGAACTTCCAACACTATGTTGAATAGGAGTGGTGAGAGAGGACATCCCTGTCTTTTGCCAGTTTTCAAAGGGAATGCTTCCAGTTTTTGCCCATTCAGTATGATATTGGCTGTGGGTTTGTCAAAGATAGCTCTTATTATTTTGAGATACATCCCATCAATACCTAATTTATTGAGAGTTTTTAGCATGAAGGGTTGTTGAATTTTGTCAGAGGCCTTTTCTGCATCTATTGAGATAATCATGTGGTTTTTGTCTTTGGTTCTGTTTATATGCTGGATTACATTTATTGATTTGTGTATATTGAACCAGCCTTGCATCCCAGGGATGAAGCCCACTTGATCATGGTGGATAAGCTTTTTGATGTGCTGCTGGATTCTGTTTGCCAGTATTTTATTGAGGATTTTTGCATCCATGTTCATCAAGGATATTGGTCTAAAATTCTCTTTTTTGGTTGTGTCTCTGCCCGGCTTTGGTATCAGGATGATGCTGGCCTCATAAAATGAGTTAGGGAGGATTCCCTCTTTTTCTATTGATTGGAATAGTTTCAGAAGGAATGGTACCAGTTCCTCCTTGTACCTCTGGTAGAATTTGGCTGTGAATCCATCTGGTCCTGGACTCTTTTTAGTTGGTAAGCTATTGATTATTGCCACAATTTCAGATCCTGTTATTGGTCTATTCAGAGATTCAACTTCTTCCTGATTTAGTCTTGGGAGGGTGTATGTGTCGAGGAATTTATCCATTTCTTCTAGATTTTCTAGTTTATTTGCATAGAGGTGTTTGTAGTATTCTCTGATGGTAGTTTGTATTTCTGTGGGATTGGTAGTGATATCCCCTTTATCAATTTTTATTTCGTCTATTTGATTCTTCTCTCTTTTTTTCTTTATTAGTCTTGCTAGCAGTCTATCGATTTTGTTGATCCTTTCAAAAAACCAGCTCCTGGATTCATTAATTTTTTGAAGGGTTTTTTGTGTCTCTATTTCCTTCAGTTCTGCTCTGATTTTAGTTATTTCTTGCCTTCTGCTAGCTTTTGAATGTGTTTGCTCTTGCATTTCTAGTTCTTTTAATTGTGATGTTAGGGTGTCAATTTTGGATCTTTCCTCCTTTCTCTTGTGGGCATTTAGTGCTATAAATTTCCCTCTACACACTGCTTTGAATGTGTCCCAGAGATTCTGGTATGTTGTTTCTTTGTTCTCGTTGATTTCAAAGAACATCTTTATTTCTGCCTTCATTTCGTTATGTATCCAGTAGTCATTCAGGAGCAGGTTGTTCAGTTTCCATGTAGTTGAGCAGTTTTGAATGAGTTTCTTAATCCTGAGTTCTAGTTTAAGAAAATATTAAAAATAAAAAATTATGTCACCAACTAAATTTTTACTGCAGATAATCATAAGTTGGTTAGATTGGACCTTCATTGTGAAATGCAGTAACTTTGGTTTAAGCAATATCCAAAACCAGAAATTGGTCGAGGGGTCTACTAAATTCCGTTTTCTTTTGTTCTAAACAATTAAACATTCTAAAATTTAGGGAAAAGGACCAATGGTGCAAACATTTTAGAGCTGACAGTTGTGTGCCATATGCCATGATTCTGTTACAAATGAACAGTATTCAGATTCAAAATCAGTGTAAACACTGTGTGTGTGTGTGTGTGTGTGTGTGTATTTTACACAGCCATTTAAATATTAACCGCCTTTGAGTATTAGGGGAAAAAACAGAAACTAAAAGCGAATATATTTGTTTCCTGAATCCTCCCACCAAACCACTTTTTAAATTAATTATATTTCCTGCCTTAGTGAGGATCTTCCTATTCATCAAAGATAAAATACCAAATATAATTTACTCTCCTTCTCTACCTCACCCCCAATATTCAACAATTCCCTATTTTATTTTGATTTTACTTCCTATTGTCTCTCAGTGCATCCTTACTACTGGTTTCTGGCCTCAATGTCTCTTTCCATAAATACTTCCTCCAGGGCTTCAGCAGTGTATATTGCAATCCATGAGTGTGATGCCCTTATAAGCTGTACAGGCACAACCCAGGCAAACATACACAATGACCATAATCATAACAGTCATTACTGGTGCCTTTACTCTGGTTTTATCCATCCCCCAACAATCCTTTAATCCTCCACTAGAGTTTATTCTTTTAAGTGAAAATCTGGATTCTTATCTCCCCTAGTATGTATCTCTTAGTGAATTTTTATATGAGATAGTCATCACCATCACCTATTCATCATCCCATTCCATCCACTGAAGTTATTTTACGCTATGGCCTTCACAAATTACTTTGAGTCCTTTAAATAGATTAAAAAGTTTCTTGACTCTTTTTGTACATGTCATTCTGTCCAAAGTGCAAATTTCACTATTGTCCACCCAAAGAATACTAAGTTTTCACCGTCATTTAAGCCTTTAATCTCAGGATCTCACAATAAATACAATCACTCTTTCCTATATGCCTAATCTTCTGCTTGAGCATAATTTTAATGTGCTAACTATTCTGTAATTATATATATATTTTTAATTCAGCCACTTCTCTCACTAGAAAGTGAGTTTGTTGAAATCAGGGTAAGTATATTTTATGTTTGGATGAATTCCCCATCACAATACTTCACATGTAGTTATCTAGTCACCAATTTTTATTGAAATTAATTGTACATATAATAAAACTTTAATATAAAATGTTTCTCTTGAGGGGAGATTTTCTTTGTAAAACTATCCTTCTGAGCTTTGTGATGTGATGATTGTCTAATGTCTGTTGCAAGATTAAGGAAAATGTATTTGAATGCAAATGAACTTACACTGTCATACCAAAAGTGTGATAATTTCTTGCTCCTGAACTCACTCTCCCTACCTGCCTATTAAAATCAGAATACACAGATCTGTATCTGTACAAAGAGATGCCAAAAGACTACTTTCATGCTGCAACATGATTATGTGCCCCCAAAACCTGGATATTTATAGTATAGTATCCAGTATTTTCAATCTAAGCTGTACTGGAGCCCGAAGCTAAAGGAAAATTAGTAATACTGATGCTCCCTTTATTTAAACTTTTAAGACTTTATCATGGCATTAATTTTGACTTTTAAAAATATTATCATTTTTTTTGGACCCCCTTAAATTTTGTTCCCGAGTTGAATGCCTCACTGGGACTTGGGTGAATGAATGCTCACCCTAGTCCTAGATTAGGTACTCATCTTAAATACTGTTAGTTTGGGGGGTTTTTTTTTTTTTTTTTTTTTTTTTTTGACAGAGCCTCACTCTGTTCTCCAGGCTGGAGTGCAATGGTGCAATCATAGCTCACTGTATTCTCAAACTCCTGGGCTGAAGTGATCCTCCCACTTCAGCCTCCTGAGTGGCTGAGACCACAGGTGCATGCCACTGTGCCCAGTTGCAGCTTAAATGCGCTTTTCCTTATAAATCTTGTGTAACATTGAAGGTTTGCTAATTTAAAGTTTAAACTAAAATGTTTATGTTTTAATTTTGCATGTTTAACCAAAAAGTTTGTAATTTTAAAAATTTTCCTTCCTATGAACTGCTAGATCCCACCAAGGCCAAAAGCAAATTAGACATTTACTGACAAAGTGGACAGTTTAGATTAATGCTGGCATCTCATATTTCACTTGATATTTTTGTACTCTCCCTATTCATGTGAAAACCTTTAGCAAAGCCACTAAGGAATCTTAATATCTTTGTCAGTTTTGATTATTAAATAAATGCTTATGGGGTATGCACTGGAAAGCATGACACAGGCATCTTAGGGGGCATGGTGGCTTATATGCACAAAGTGTCTGGACTTGCTGCTTGTATGCTGAGGGACTTCCAATAAGGAAAATTTTTATTTCTCTGATGCACAGTTTGAGAATACATGCAGTAGAAAAACATTGTAGAAAACTTAGATTTCATTTGTTTCTTGTATGAGTCTGAATTGTTGACTTACCAAGATTCAGTAATATTTAGACGAGTTTTATACTTTGACTAGAAGTTATTTGGGGGGAAGGAAAGCTCAAGTGATTATATGTCCCTGTCTGAGAGGATATTCATCCTTATCAAATTGCCCTGTGCTGTTTTCTCTGCTTGGCATTCCTGCCAGAGATTGCACTGGCATTAAAAGGCAATTATTTCTCAGTCTTAGAATCCTATAAGATCTCCAGAGCCACATTACAAAGAGAAATACAAACCTCCTACCAGAACTGTGCTTACTGGGATTCTTTCACAGTGCAGACTGGGCTATGTTGTAGTCTGCAGAATGCCTGGCTCTTTGGCAAGAGGAGAGTTTCTAGTATTTTCGAGAGTAATTACTACAAGTGAAAAAACCTTCATCTCTATCTCTACACTTTAAGATCTTTTTTCAAAATTCCTTTGAAAATATTGTCTCAGAAATGTAGTTTTAAAAAATATGTGTTGCTAAAATTATTTCTATAAGACTTAAAAGCGAAGTAACTGCACTGATAAAGCAAAATATTTCACTTGCCTGTTTATAATATCTCTACATTTTTCATTCATATAATCAGAGCTTCAAAAGTGAGGAATTTCTTAGAAATCATCCAGCTAAGTATCCTCATTTTGTAGAAGAGGAAACTAAAGCATTAAAAAGCTGAAGACTTCCTCAGTGGCACCTGTTTGCATATTGACAAAACCTGGAACTAAGATTGGAACTTAGCTCTCCTATCTATAAATGCAAAGTGTGTTGATTGAATTTCCAAAACCATTGAGTGGAAATTTCATTACAACTTCACCAAAGATAGAATGCTTATAAAGAGGGTGTTCTAGTTAAGAAAGGCTTCTTCTCTCGCCTATAGGACAGCCATTAAAAATGGTAAGTGCTATGGACTGTTTTCGTACCCCCAAAATTCAAATGTTGAAACCCTAATCTCCAATATAATGTTATTTTGAAGCGAGACCTTTGGCAAGTAATTAGAGTCAGATAGGGCATAAAAGTAGATCCCCCATGATGGGATTACTGTCTTTATATGAAGATGAAGGGACCAAAGCTTTTTCTCTTCACTATATGAGAATGCAGTGAGGAGGTCATCATCTGTGAACAAAGAGGAGGGCTGTCATCAAGTTCCCAACCATGTTGGCACTCTGATCTCAGACTTCTGGCCTCCAGAACTGTGAGAAATAGATGTTTGTTGTCTAAGCCATTCAGTCTATGCTATTCTGTTTTAGCAACCCAAACTAACTAAAACAGTGGAGGAAAATGTTTATTAGAAAAATCACAAGTGTGCAGGGCCTCTTACACAAAGAACTTTAGCTCTACTCCATGTGAAATACACAAAGAACTTTAGCTCTACTCCATGTGAAATAAGGAGAATGAGGAATACTTAAATCTAGGAGCGAATATGACTCTGGCTCACTCATACAAGGTTACACCACCTACATGGAGGGTAAAGATATTCCTCTCACTGCTGCCATTACGTCCCTGCTTCCTATCTCCTCTAGGTAATTCTTCACTATGATACACATGCCCCTATGCACTCACATGTGCGTGCATCAGCACCTGTGCATGTGTGCAAACACCCATACATACACGCATACACATACATACACACCATTCATGTCCTCCACGAATCATATTTTTTAGAGACAGCACCATCAAAATATATATTTAGAATTAAGAAAGAAAATAAATCCCCACAAACAAAAACAATAATTATTTACCTCACTTTGCAAGGATGTAGTTCTGCTAAAAAAAGTTAAGAAATAATCAATATTTCAATTAAAGTTTGAGATTAATAGAGACATCACAGTTTTCTTCAAGGATAATAGATGAGAAATTGCTTTACATTTATGTAACATAGAGAATAATCCTAGGGTTTTTTCCAAAACAAATTGATTTCTTCTAAAGTTTAATTGCTGTATTCATCTCTAGACACAAATATTGCTGGTAATTTTAAAATTACAATTTGGAGCTTCAAAAAAAATTTGTATACAGGTTCTGGTTACCTGGAAATGTATTACAGCAAGAGTTGGTGTTTAGTTGAGTGTGGGATATACTGTGGTTTAAAAGTTTCTGACAGCCACTGGATGGAATGTGGTGCCTATAAGACAATCCAGGACTTACTTCCATAAAATCACTTGACATATATGGTTATGGAACTTAGATGAAGGATATGTGATAATGATGATAATAGTGAATTCATCAACACAGAAATGGTAACTGAAACTATAAATGAGTAGACAAGATAATGAAGAGAGCATAGGCAGAGTTAGAATAAAAAACATGCAAAAGACTGTGTCCTGAGCATCACAAATGCTTAAAGTATAAGATTAGGAGACCAATGGGCCAAAAAAAAAAAAAAAAAAAAAAAAGAATGGAATGTAGAAAATGGTAGTTTTACAATGAAGAGAAAGCCCTTTAAGAAAGAATCAGGTCAATGGTATCAAATGCTGAAGAGATATTAAGTCAGATGTGGACTGAAAGTCTCCCACAAAACTGAGAGAAAAGCAATCCTGTGATGCCTTTTGAGAGTAGGCTGGGTGGAGTGGAAGGAGGGCAATACAGATGGCAGAGGGTAGAGTGCATGAAAAGTGTTCACATTGGACAGAAAGTGTTTAGAGTTCTAATTAGAGAATATGAGACACCAGTGGTGGGAAAGGGAGGGGTTTCATGGGGGGTAGTTAAAATTTAGGTTTTGGTAATTGTTTTATGCTTTTCATTCTAATATGGAAGAAGTTTTTGTTGTTGAAATACTGATGGGCGATAGCCAGAGATTAGGTGGAAACTGAGAATCTTAGAAAGAAAAGAATATTTGTGTAATAGTCTCTGGGGAAAACAGATCCTGGGCACAGGTCTTAGATAAAGGAGCGAAGGCTCCTCCTGCCGAGGAGTCAGGGAGGGGTACAGAGGCAGATCAGTTTGCAAGACTGGTGTCGGATGTTAGCAGGCCTCCTCTGATGATTTTTAACTCTATGAATGACGAGGTATGGCTCTTTGCTAAGAATGAGGTGAGGAATTAGTGAGTTGAGAGGTTTGAGCTTTATGTATATCCTCAAATGTTTGTCCGTCATCCAAATATTCATTTTTTCCCAAAAACATAGTTTATTTTGAACAGCCTCTCTTTTTTCCTTTACTCTTTCTGCCAATGGTATTTTAATTCTTCTGATTTTCCAGCTTTTTTATACTCCCTTCTCTCACTCTCCTTCCTCACTGCCCACCTCATCCAGAAAGTTCCCAGTCTCAGGGATTGTGCTTATATATGTATAAGCATGTCATTGTTCATTTCCCTTGTTTTAACATTGCATCCATAATCTATAAAATTCCTGTGTCATTGGAAAAGCTTTCTTCTTGGTCTTACTAGCTCCCCTTCTTTTCCCATCATCCCCTGCATTGTGGGCAGACTGCTAAAACACTGCGTCAACTTGTCATTTCCTTTGCTAAAACTTTCATTGTTTCCCCTATGCTGACAGGATAAAATCCAAACTCTTATCATGAAACACAAAGCTCTTTATTATTGGCCTCAGACTACTTGTAACAATTTATGTCCAACTAATGCCAAGAGATTGGTGATTTCAACAACAAAAAATTTATTCTTTCTATCCAAATCTTACTTGTGTGTTTGTATTTCACTGTTTTTGTCATTCTTTTTCTCAGTTTGCAATGCAGCCTCAGTACTGACCAATTACATAAACATCTGGCCTTTCAATACCTTATATGCTGAGAACTCCACCTAGGCTGTCTTCTATCCATTTCCTTCCTCCAGCACTTAAACCATATTACTTATGCTATTTATCGTTGATTTGGCAATATTATAACTTTTTGTTATATGTTTAATATTATATGTTAAAGTTTAAGAGCCAGAGCTCAGAAGTGAATTTCCTAAATTTAAAATGACTCAAGCCTGGCATGGTGGCTGACACCTGTAATCCCCACACTTCGGGAGGCCAGGGCAAGAGGATTGCTTGAGGCCAGGAGTTGGAGACCAGCCTGGGCAACATAGTGAGACCCTGTCTCTAAAAAAAATAGAAACTTAAAAAGTAGCCAGATGTGATAACACACACCAATAGTTCCAGTTATTGGGGAGGCTGAGACAGGAGGATTGCTTAAGCCCAGGAGTTTGAGGCTGCAGTGAGCTTCCATCATACCACTCCACTCTAGCCTGGCTGACAGACCGTATCTCTAAAAAATAAATAAATAAAAGTAAAATCCATTTTCTTGCCAAATAAAATGTGATGATTTTCTGTAGCTTCACAGAGCCCAATATCCAGGCAAAGATACAGAGTCAAGGTATGTTGGAACAGCTCTGTCCATGGAGGATTCCCAGCTCTTCCTACAGTTTGCATACTTCCCAGGGCTATACTTATTTTCTTATGTGGGAATTGCAGGAACACACAGGCCCCACAGGTACCGTGGTGCCTCCTGGCTACTCCAACCAGCCTTATCAGAGCCCTCACCCTTCTACCAACCCTACTGATTTGATTAGTCTTTGTGTCCACACCCAAATCTCATCTTGAATTGTAATCCCCATAATCCCCACATGTCAAGGGAGAGACCAGATGGAGGTCATTGTATCACTGGAGGGGGTTCCCCCTTGCTGTTCTCATGATAGTGAGCGAGTTCTCATAAGATCTGATGGTTTTATAAGGGGCTCTTCCCCCCTTCGCTTGGCACTTCTCCTTCCTGCCACCTTGTGCAGAAGGTGTCTTGCTTCCTTGTTACCTTCCGCCACGATTGTAAGTTTCCTGAGGCCTCCCCAGCCATGCTGAACTGTGAGTCAATTAAGCCTCTTTCCTTTATAAATTACCCAGTCTTGGGCAGTTCTTTATAGCAATATGAAAACAGACTAATACACCTATTCTTGTAGATCCTATGTACCACCTGCAACAGTGGCTCAGTGGCTATGTGTACCAGCAGGCCTTAACCTATAAGTATGGCCTGAGCTCCACTCAAAGATTTTCACACCTGAAACTGTGGCAAACACCCATAGGTACTAAGACTCCACTGAATACTCAGGGTATCCTATCCCCACCTCTGGGACCATATCAGGTTTGCAACAGGCAGAGATAAAAGTGACCATGGGGATGCTCAGAGCATGGTTCACAGGGAACAGCTGAGTTCACTAGAGTGAGCCAATGAATCTATGGGTCCATGCTCTCCTCAGACTGTGCATGGCTATGTGTATACTATGGAGCTATATAGGGCAGGATTCTCCTTCAGGCATTCAATCAACTGTCATCCCACCTGAGCAAAAGCAGCAGCAGAAACAGCAGTAGCAGGACCACATCTGATGACCGCAGCAGCAACAGCAACAGTGACAGCAATGGCAGCAACAAGTAGCTTCTCCCCCACCCCATCCCCGGTTCCAGAGCTAGGGAATTGTGTCCCGGATGTGGCCCCACCTTTTCCTTCCTCTTTATTCCCAATCCCCTTTTTAGGTCGGTACCAGGAGTGGTTGGGGCACTTCCCTCAGGCATTTTTAATGAATTTTTAGTATTTTTGTTAATGTAAGGCCTTGAATTACGGGTTTTGTATATTATTTACATAGAGACCCCAGAGATGATACACATAGCTTCTCTGCACAAAATATCTGTGAAAATAAAAAAACAGTTGTTCAGAAATTACTTATAACAACATGTAACATAAAAATTCATGACATTTAATGAATTCATCAGTATTCATTAAATAGTTTTTATATCCAAATTATAGCGTTTAATGCAGAGAAAGCTCATACCTTAATTATACTCAAAACACACACACATATGCCAATATAAATATATAGGAGATACATATATAAGCACAATATGTCTAAAAGTGAAATTATGTTATTCCTTTACCCACTAAATCTGCTTTTCCTTGATTTGCAATCATCTCCCCAGAGACCTCAAACAGGAAATTGGAATCTTAGTAATCCTTGACTTTTCTGTCTCTCATCCCTTGCCTTCCCCGTACCTCTTCCTAACCACATGTCCATTTAAATAATCATCAAGGGCTGTCAAATCTAGCTCTGAGATATCTAGGGAATATGATCCTCTCTTTATTCTCATAGTTTCTCTCCTCCCATCTACTTATACTCCTTTAACTTCTCTTCTTGCCTATGTTGTAAGCTCCACTTACTCTATCTTTCACACCACTTCCAAATTTATTGTTTAGACACATAAAAGACACTTAATACATACTTGTAGAAAGAATTAAAGACCTGAATAAAGCTAATTAATTATGGCACCAGAAATATCTCAAGTCCATATGGTGCTTTGATGACAATTAGAAAAAGCTACCCTCCTTCAAGTAGAAGTAAATAAATACAAATGAACATATTTTTTTAAATGAAATATATAAATTAGAATATTATTGCACAACATATTGTCTTGCTGTTGGGGAGTTTTCCAGAGCTGCTAATGTGCCCAGACTTGCCCAATCACAATGCCCCACCCTGTAGGAAGCACACGTGCTGACAGCCACAAGTACCCTGCATCCTATTCCCACCTATGGGACCCTATCAGACTTGCAACAGGCAGAGATAAAAGTGACCGTGGGGATGCTCAGAGCATGGTCAACAGGGAACAGCTGAGTTCACTAGAGTGAGCCAATGAATCTGTGGGACCATGTCCTCCTGAGCCTGTGCATGGCTATGTATATGCTATGGAGCTATATAGGGCAGGATTCTCGGTCAGTGACTCAATTGTGAAGGCTAAAACTATCCACACTTAGTCTTAAGTTCTCACACAGGTAGTATGTGCCTAAAGTATGAATTCATTCTGTTAAGATGTCATCCACAGAGTGATGATACCCTTGTGCAAGGCACAATCTAAACATGCAAAGACAAGGCTTTTGTGTTATCCTTTCATTTCTCCCCATCTAACATCAGAATATAATCCAAACAACTTGTGGCATTTAACTCACTTGGAAGTTTGGTCCCTACATACAGCCATAGCCTTATCTGCCACTACTCCTATGTACAAAGGAAGATCTACTCATGAGGAACTATTTTCAGATCACCAAAGAAGGCTATAAAATAGTATAGTGAGATGGTGGCATAATGATTAAGTCCCAACTCTATCACATACTAGCTGTGTGACCTTGAACATCCCTTAATTTTATGTTTTCTCATTATTATTATGTTATGCTTGTTTAATCTGATCAGATGTCCTCCGTTAGAATACACATTGCCTCCTTTTGATTTTTAAAAATTCCTACGTATGCATTAAGTAGGCATATTGAATGAACACTAATAATACAACATGAAAAATAATGAGTCATGCAACAATTTTTGCTAAGATACAGTTGTTGTTCAAAGGTATGAGGGTGATCAGAGAAGGCTTAAGGAAAGAGTTACCAGGCAGGCTGGGCCTGAAAGGAGGGTCTTTCTTTTCTCCTCACTGGTCACAGGAAAAGTGCTTTTCAGTTAGGAAAAAATACAGTGAAATAGAAAGCTATGAGGCTTATCAAATGAAAGAGATTATTTTCACTAAATCATAAGTATGAGAAAAAGGATAGAGAAATAAATTTAGAAGGATCCTTTAAATCCAAATCTGTGGGTTCTAGTTTAACAAGGTTGGCCTTAATCCTATAGGTAGTAACAGTTCTTATGTGTTTCTTAAATAGAGGGTAGATAGCACCAGAGTTGTACTTGAGGAAAATTTATCTGGTAGTGATGAGTAAGATAAATTCTGTCTCTACTAAAAAATACAAAAAATTAGCCAGGCATGGTGGCAGGCGCCTGTAGTCCCAGCTACTTGGGAGGCTGAGGCAGGAGAATGGCATGAACCCAGTTGGCAGAGCTTGCAGGGACCTGAGATTGCGCCACTGCACTCCAGCCTGGGCAACAAAGAGAGACTCGCCTCAAAAAAAAAAAAAAAAGAGAGAGAGAGAGGGGCTATCTTTTTTCATATACAACGTGGTCCTACTCCAAAATTTTTCTTCATGAGGAATCCTGTGAATCAGATAGTATCACCACCCTCATCTACATACACACACACACACACACACACACACACACACACAGCAAATTAGTTACCAATTCTTGGCATTTCTTCTTATAAACAAACTACATCAGGCAGTACCTTGCTTATGTTAATTATGTTAGCATTTAATGAATTAATATATGAATGTTTTTCCATAAGGCTTGGCACATAACAATTGCTCAATAATGTTTATTACTGCTGTTAACATTTGCCAGTTTTTTTTAACATTTTTCTACTCCCCAAAATAAAGCTTAAAACTGTCCTGTTCCCTACTTCTACTACCATGGCCTTGGTTATGGTTCTTGCCACCATTTAGAGGGACTGGTGCACTAGTGTGCCTACCGGTTCTTCTAAGCCTCACCTTGACTTTTCAGCCTATTCTCCACACCAAAGGCCAAGGCCAAGAACTTGGTGTCCTTCACTTCTCTTTTTCTTTCCCCTTCTACATCCTATACATGTAAAATTTCTTCTGGTTCTACTTCCAGAATATATCTGAAATCATGCTGCCTCTCACTAACTGAGCCACAACCACCATTGTCTCCGGAATTGATGGGTTCTTGGTCTCACTGACTTCAAGAATGAAGCCGCAGACCCTCGCAGTGAGTGTTACAGCTCTTAAGGTGGCGCGTCTGGAGTTTGTTCCTTCTGATGTTTGGTTGTGTTCAGAGTTTCTTCCTTCTGGTGGGTTCGTGGTCTCGCTGGCTCAGGAGTGAAGCTGCAGACCTTCGCGGTGAGTGTTACAGCTCTTAAGGTAGCACGTCTGGAGTTTGTTCCTTCTGATGTTCGGATGTGTTCGGAGTTTCTTCCTTCTGGTGGGTTCGTGGTCTCGCTGGCTCAGGAGTGAAGCTGCAGACCTTCGCAGTGAGTGTTACAGCTCTTAAGGCGGTGCGTCTGGAGTTGTTCGTTCCTCTCGGTGGGCTCGTGGTCTCGCTGGCTTCAGGAGTGAAGCTGCAGACTTTCGCGGTGAGTGTTACAGTTCATAAAAGCAGTGTGGACCCAAAGAGTGAGCAGTAGCAAGATTTATTGCAAAGAGCGAAAGAACAAAGCTTCCACAGTGTGGAAGGGGACCCGAGCGGGTTGCCACTGCTGGCTAGGGCAGCCTGCTTTCATTCTCTTATCTGGCCCCACCCACATCCTGCTGATTGGTACAGCTGAGTGGTCTGTTTTGACAGGGTGCTGATTGGTGCGTTTACAATCCCTGAGCTAGACACAAAGGTTCTCCAGTCCCCACCGGATTAGGTAGATACAGAGTGTCCACACAAAGGTTCTCCAAGGCCCCACCGGAGTAGCTAGATACAGAGTGTCGACTGGTGCATTCACAAACCCTGAGCTAGACACAGGGTGCTGATTGGTGTGTTTACAAACCTTGAGCTAGATACAGAGTGCCGATTGGTGTATTTACAATCCCTGAGCTAGACATAAAGGTTCTCCAAGGCCCTACCAGAGTAGCTAGATAAAGAGTGCCGATTGGTGCATTCACAAACCCTGAGCTAGACACAGGGTGCTGACTGGTGTATTTACAATCCCTGAGCTAGACATAAAGGTTCTCCATGACCCCACCAGACTCAGGAGCCCAGCTGGCTTCACCCAGTGGATCCCGCACTGGGGCTACAGGTGGAGCTGCCTGCCAGTCCTGCGCTGTGCGCCCGCACTCCTCAGCCTTTGGGTGGCCGATGGGACTGGGCGCCCTGGAGCATGGGGCGGCACTCATCGGGGAGGCTCGGGCGGCACAGGAGCCCACGGAGAGGGTGGGAGGCTCAGGCATGGCAGGCTGCAGGTCCCTAACCCTGCCCCGCCGGAAGGCACCTAAGGCCCGGCGAGAAATCGAACGCAGCGCCGGTGGGCTGGCACTGCTGGGGGACCCAGTACACCCTCCGCAGCCGCTGGCCGGGGGCTAAGCCCCTCACTGCCCAGGGCCAGCAGGGCCGGCCGGCTGCTCCGAGTGCGTGGCCGCCAAGCCCATGCCCACCCGGAGCTGCAGCTGGCCCGCAAGCGCCACGCGCAGCCCTGGTTCTCGCTCGTGCCTCTCCCCCCACACCTCCCTGCAAGCTAAGGGAGCGGGCTCCGGCCTTGGCCAGCCCAGAAAGGGGCTCCCACAGTGCAGCGGTGGGCTGAAGGTCTCCTCAATTTCCGCCAAAGTGGGAGCCCAGGCAGAGGAGGCACCTAGAGCGAGCGAGGGCTCTGAGGACTGCCAGCACGCTGTCACCTCTCACCATGATCCGTACTATAGATTTCTCCTTCCAGGATTACTATGATGTGCTCCTGATAGAACTCCCTGCTTTAACCCTTCACCCTCAAAGTCGATTCTCAACACAACAGCCAGACGGAACGTTTAAATCATAAGTGAGATAACGTCATTACTTTACACAGCACAAAAGACCCCTTTGCATTCATAGGGAAAGTTAAAGTTCCTAAAATAGCCAACAACATCCTACGACACTCTAACCACCACTATCCCGAGCTACACACAAATAACTTACCACTTGCCTCCTCGTCTTCTCTCCACTGCACTGACACTGTCTAGTCACACAAGCCTCCTTGCTGTTTCTGGACAGAACAGGCCTTCTCTCCACTTCAAGGCAGTTATCTTTGCCTACAATGACCCCCCACATATTGTGACACATCTCCTTGACCTGTACAAGATCTACTGTGAACTTTAAAATTTACTTTAAATTTACTCTAAAATTTCAACCTGCCCTGACTCTGTAGCTACTGATCACCTTCACTCTCTTCTATGTTTCACCTTTTATTACAGTGGGATGCTTTAAAAATATTATATTTAACAGTTTATTTATTTATTTATTTATTTATTTATTTATTTATTTATTTATTTATTTTTTGAGATGGAGTCTCACTCTGTCGCCCAGGCTGGAGAGCAGTGGCGCCACCTCGGCTCACTGCAAGCTCCGCCTCCCGGGTTCACGCCATTCTCCTGCCTCAGCCTCCCGAGTAGCTGGGACTACAGGGGCCCGCCACTACGCCAGGCTAATTTTTTTCTATTTTTAGTAGAGACGGGGTTTCACCATGTTAGCCAGGATGGTCTTGATCTCCTGACCTCATGATCCGCGCGCCTCGGCATCCCAAAGTGCAACAGTTTATCTCTTACTTCTAGAATGTAAGACCCATGAGAATGAGGATTTTTGTTGTTTTTCTGTTCAATGATACACACCAAATATTTAGAGCATTCCGTAGGATGTATTGGGTCTTTGATTAATAAATATTTGTTGAATTAATAAATTAACTTAGGTTTACTCTGTGAAATACATTTACAATGATATTGAAAAGAAAGTCTTTGGGAGGTATTGAATTCCCATGACAGAAAAAATTCAACCTGGGCAGGTTCTTCAAATTGGACAGTTTTGGGTGATGCTAACATTGAAAAGATAATTGGGTTCAATGACTGTGAAGTCTTCCCACTTGTCAATTATGTGATCCTTGAAGTGCAATCAAGGAGCACTGATGTGTAGATGGGAAAAGCATTCATAGAATAAAATAATTATAAAAATATGTATTCAGTAACTATTATGTGCCATTCAGGCTGCTGCAATTGGGCTACAGAAGGGGAACAAGACAAAGATCCTACTCACATAAAGATTAAATCTAGGGAGAAGACAGGCAATAGACAATTAAATGAGCATTTAATTAATATAAACATTAAATTAAATGATAATTTCAGGTCGTTTTAATTGCTATTAAAACAGGTAAAATGATAGAAAGCAAACCAACAGTATTGAAGCTAACTAGATAGTTTGGTGAGGAAATACTACTTGAGCTAAATCCTGAATGTGGAAAAGTCACCAGAGCAAATACTGAGGGAGAGCCACAGGAGAGAAGGACAGCAAGTACACAAAGGTCCTGAGAGTGACATAGCCTATTTGGGGTACAAAGAGAACGCCTGTGGCAAGAGTGAGGAACATGGCAAGGGGTTGAGGAGGAGAGCAGGGCTGGGGTGGTGGAGGTCACTGGAGGTGTCTCATTACTTTTGGATCATTATTTTGTTGCATCTGTGAAAGAAACACTTCATTTAGACAACTATATATGTTTAATAACACACTTGCAGCCATTATGAAGCTTAGGTATAATTATTATTTTCTTATTAGGCTTTTATTTTTGACATTTTTCTTCACTTCTGAAATAAAATAGGCTCACTCAACTTTCAATATTTTTTTTCTTAAGCTAAATTTACCTCTCTGGGGCTAAAATGTTCTCCTTTATTTGATATTTTCTGCCTAAATGTAGTGAGAAAGCCAATCCTTTACTGCATATAACTATTTTTCTGAAGTTTCAAAAGAAGACATTATTCTCTTATACTCTGAAGATTTATTTGTAAAACTTCTACAAGGAAGGAAGGGAAACCACAGAAAATTTTGAAGCAGGAGATGAAAAGTAAACACAGTAGCTTGTTGAAACATGGTTAGCAAATGAAGAGGAAGGCTGTAGAAAAAGAACTAAGAATTCTTTTCAGACCTGGAAAGTTGTTGGAATTAAGAACCCATGAACTGATAAAGTCGGGGTGAGAATGTTTCAGTTAAAGTCAAATAAATAGATTCCAAGAGACAAGGAAAATTGTGAATCTATCCAATCATTGAATAATCAAAAAAATGCTTTTTTATCTTTTGTTTTTTAAAAATGTAATTCAAAATTAATTTAAAAACAACTTTAAAATTGAGCTTTAGCTCTCGATATTATTAAATTATACAAGATGATCATAATATTTAAAAGTATATTGTTGATGACCCTTTATTTTCTAGAAACATTATCTTGAGTTATAAAACACTTATTTTTATTAAAAAAGACAAGAGAAATGAGACTTCTTTTTTCTTTTTTTAAGAAAAGTAACTGTCTAGCTATTTTATATCTGTAGTTTAGTTCTTCAGAAATAAAGCTGACATTTTAGTTTTTGTCAAAAATATGTATGGAAGATTTTGAGTTTAATTTTTTATGAAAGTATTTTTAGAACATAATTTAAAAATAAAACAGACATACTATGTACATCTAGAAATATATCTCAACAACTCATGTATCTGTCTAAGATATATTCATATAAATTAGGATACAGCAAGACAAACTATGTATATCTACATAATAAACTTGGATAATTTATGTAATTATCTCTATTTTGAACAGTTTAAATGCATTTTTTCTGCATTGAAAGTAATTTTTAAAATCGCAGTATCCTTCTCTCATTTGTTCTTAAATTACCCAGCCCACTAAAAATATTGAAACATATGTTTGACACATATATGATGCAAATTTTAGCAGCAGTTACCTTTGGGACTTGGGAAAGGTGGAGGGAGATTTAAGGGTGGAGGGAGTTGGAGGAGGAGAAACTCTCATATTTTACCCTTTGTATTCTATATAGAGCAAATTTATTATTATTATTTATTAAGTATGTATTATAATGTTAGATTTTTAAGGACAAGTAAAAATCTTGCTACAAAGAACTAAGAAACAGAATCTGCCTACGGATGTTTATTGCAGCTTTATTTATAATTGCCCAAACTTGGAAGCATCCTAGATGACCTTCGGTAGGTGAGTGAATAATTAAACTGTAGTGCATCCAGACCATGGGAAGAAATGAGCTATCAAGCCATGAAGAAACATGGAGGAAAACTAAGGGCACATTATTAAGTGAAGTAAGACATCTAGAAAGGCAACATACTGTATGACTGCAACTATATGACATTATTGAAAGGGCAAAACTTTGCAGACAGTGGAGACAGTGGTTGACAGGGCTTGTGGGGAAGGAGGTATGAAGAGGAAGAACACAGATGATCTTTAAAGCAGTGAAAATATTCTGTATGATACTATAATGATGGATACATGTCATTATACGTTTGTTCAAACCCATAGAATGTACAACACCAACAGCAAACCTTAATGTAAACTCTGGGGTTTGGGTGATAATGATATGTTGATGCAGCTCCGTTGATGGTGGCTAATGTACCACTCTGGTGAAAGGTGTCGAAAATGCAGAAGGCTATGCATGAGTTGGGACAGGGGTATATGAGAAATCTCTGTACCTCTCAATTTCGCTGTGAACCTAAAACTGCTCCAAAAAATTAAATCTTACAAAAACAGAAACAAAGAATACCTTTAAAAGGAGCTCATAGGATATTTGAAAAATACTTTAATCTTTGAATATAATATAACTTTTTAAAATGTTAACATAAAGACTTAAAAGCACTCTAATGTGGAGAAAGATCAGAATTTAACATCTCTTAGAATAATTTTTACAAAGATGTGTATTTTTCTCAACATACACAATGATTAAATCCCCAAAGAAAAGAAACCTCTTTACTGGGGCTAATTCTTTTTGGAATGTGTGGAAGTACATTATAAGGACTTCATGGTGATTTTGTGACAATGAGATGGAATAATCAAATGCAACACAAGATTTTTCCAATAAAACACACAGTGGATCTGGCCTCTGTACAGAAAATAAATATCTCAGGCATCTACAACTAGCAAGCCATTTTTTAAAATTAGACCCTGACATACAACCATGACTGATAAGATAAACTGCAGACACAATGTTTTTTTGCTGATAGGAGTAATGTTTTTGAATTCTTGAAATTCGTGTCTGAATTAGAATGCCTCATGTGTGTTACCTATTGATTTTTAAAAGGTTTATTAATATCCAATACTTACACTCTGTTATGATTCTAATACTAAGTAATCATTCTGAAGGGGCTTATAAATTTCTTAATTGAAAATTTTCTATTGTATAGTTTTTCCCCACTACAAAATAAAAGACTGTGTATTATTTAAGTTATAGTAAGTATTATGGCAGCCTGTAATATTTTACATTCTTTGACTTTAAGTAAATGTGGATTAGTATCTATGTTCCAACCTTTGCCCAATTCCATCCCTGTAATCATGAGGCAATATTTATACCTAAGACAATTCTTATCTTTGGAGTTTTGTGGAATGGCAACATGTGGGCAAATAGGATTAGGAAACCTGGTAGCGTGTAGTAAAGCTCATGAAGCTTCCCCTTTAACCAATATTAGCTCTCCTACCCGCTTTCTGGATTACTAGCAGTATCCTAAATGAGTTCAAGTTTGATTAGAAACCCTTAGATCAATGTGTATGCAAATATTTAAGCCCATGGTTTCTCTGTCATTGAAGGCAGAGTAAACGTAATTTTTTTTTTTTTTTTTTTTTTTTTTTTGCTCTGCCTCCCCTCCCACCTCCAAACCTTTGCCAAGGCTGTTGCCCTATCCTAGGCTGGATTCCCCTTTGGGCTGCCCCATGACTTGTCAAAAACATATCCTCAAAAGTTTAAGGGACTCTCAAAGCTGGATTTTTCTCAAAGGTGTCCAGAGCACTTCTTTTTTTTTTTTTTTTTTTGTCATCTAAATTTTTTTTAAAATTATTATTATTATACTTTAAGTTTTAGGGTACATGTGCACAATGTGCAGGTTAGTTACATATGTATACATGTGCCATGCTGGTGTGCTGCACCCATTAACTCGTTATTTAGCATTAGGTATATCACCTAATGCTATCCCTCCCCTCTCCCCGGCCCCACAACAGTCCCCAGAGTGTGATATTCCCCTTCCTGTGTCCGTGTGTTCTCATTGTTCAATTCCCACCTATGAGTGAGAATATGTGGTGTTTGATTTTTTGTTCTTGCAATAGTTTACTGAGAATGATGATTTCCAGTTTCATCCATGTCCCTACAAAGGACATGAACTCATCATTTTTTATGGCTGCATAGTATTCCATGGTGTATATGTGACACATTTTCTTAATCCAGTCTATCATTGTTGGACATTTGGGTTGGTTCCAAGTCTTTGCTATTGTGAATAGTGCCGCAAAAAACATACGTGTGCATGTGTCTTTATAGCAGAATGATTTATAGTCCTTTGGGTATATACCCAGTAATGGGATGGCTGGGTCAAATGGTATTTCTAGTTCTAGATCCCTGAGGAATCACCACACTGACTTCCACAATGGTTGAACTAGTTTACAGTCCCACCAACAGTGTAAAAGTGTTCCTATTTCTCCACATGCTCTCCAGCACCTGTTGTTTCCTGACTTTTTAATGATTGCCATTCTAACTGGTGTGAGATGGTATCTCATTGTGGTTTTGATTTGCATTTCTCTGATGGCCAGTGATGGTGAGCATTTTTTCATGTGTTTTTTGGCTTCATAAATGTCTTCTTTTGAGAAGTGTCTGTTCATGTCCTTCGCCCACTTTTTGATGGGGTTGTTTGTTTTTCTCTTGTAAATTTGTTTGAGTTCATTGTAGATTCTGGATATCAGCCCTTTGTCAGATGAGTAGGTTGTGAAAATTTTCTCCCATTTTGTAGGTTGCCTGTTCACTCTGATGGTAGTTTCCTTTGCTGTGCAGAAGCTCTTTAGTTTAATTAGATCCCATTTGTCAATTTTGTCTTTTGTTGCCATTGCTTTTGGTGTTTTAGACATGAAGTCCTTGCCCACGTGTAATCTTAAACATTTCCCCAAGTACGACATGTATTTATTTGAAAATTGTGCGTGGGAGTGTGAGTGTATGGAGGTGGCGGGGGGGAGGGGGGGTTAAGGTATCATTCTAATGAACAGTAAAAAGAGAAACTAAATTTAATTATTGAATTGTGTTAAAAATGTACATTCTCTGTAAGTGCTACCAAGAACGGTAAAAAAAATGAAAATTTCCAAATATTATTTTTCTGATTCACTCAAAATTTATTTATTTTAATTTTTATATTATTATGGATACATAATATGCTAATATATTAATATAGTACATGTGATTTTTTGATACAGGCACACAAAGTGTAATGATCAAATCAGGGTAGCTGGGAGTATCCATCACCTCAAGAATTTATTATTCTTTTTGTTAGGAAAATTCGAATTCCACCCTTTCAGTTATTTTAAAATATATAATATGTTATTGTTAAGTATGGTCACCCAAGTATTCTTAAGAGTATTTTTCCAAAACCAAGCAGGGAGAACAAGTTTACATGGCTATTACGATGATATAAAGATATGAAACTGTGAAAGCATATAAACTTGATAGGAATCATTTAATAAGGGCATACGGTCACTCGTTTTTAACCAATTAGGATTAAGAAACAAATGAGATTACTCAATTGGTCAGGGTCTATGTTTTTTTTCTGTGAACATTTACTCATTCATTTCACAAATATGCGTGAGATGAAAATACAGTGAAGAAGAAAGTTGAGGTTCTGATGCCTGCAAGCTTAGACTCTAGGACTCTAACATAGAGCTAGGTTAATAACATCATTTTGATCGAACTACTGTTGACGTTTAGGTGATTTATTTCCAAGACTCTGTGGCAACTTCCACTTTTTAGTAAAGGGACATTTCTTTGGAATTTTTTATTTTTATTTTTAAAACAGAAGACATTATGGGGAAATCCTGAGTAGAAGCCTCTTCTGCCTCCACTTGGGTTCATCTTCAAGAAGGTACCCTCATATCATTAACAGGCAGGAAACTTAACTTCCCGAGCGCCTGTCATAAGAAACTCTTCCCTAGCTATCAATGGAAGAAGAAAGGACCCAGAACACTAGCAAATCTCTTATTCTGTGATTCCCTAGTTTTATGGGAGCCCCTTTTTATTTATATTAAAATATCTTAACGGAGAAGTTAGGATGGGAGATAATTTTCATTTTTTAAGGCTCCAAATTGTATTAAATTTCTATTCAAAAGTTCATTGCTGAATCACTGCCTTGGAGTCAGAGTATTTGTTCCAAATTATTGATTTGGTTAAAGAGATCCACAGAGATGAGCAACTTATTGATTCCATGAAAATACCTTTGGTTCTAATATTTCATATTTTTTCACATTGGTGGAAAACAGGGACTTGGGACATATGTATGTTTTCTCCATCTAGCTTTCTGTAAGACTCAAGGCTCTCCTAATACATATGCTCTGCTTTCTACTTACGATCTTTTTCTTTGGAAAATATCTTTACAATATCAGCTAAATGAGATTAGAAATAAGATATCAAATTCATCAGGAACTCCATACTGAATAGATAAGAGTCTGCTTTCTCATACCAATAATGTTGGTGCCCAACTCAGTAGAAACAAATAAATAGGGTAAGTGTCCAGTAATTTACTTTTCAATAGTTATTTGTATTTCAGATCTTTACTCTGGCTCTTTCATAAGCAGCTTTCACATCAACATAGCTGAAATTCTTATCTAAAATCCATAAAGCCCCTGGGAGAATGAAGGTTAAGGAAAATGATTTTAAGGGAAACCACATCTTTCTCTTGAAAGTGATTGTATCTCTTAAGAGTTTTATATAAATAACTCAATCAAAAGCTCACCTATTTGAAGGCTTTTTTTTCAAGGCGCAAATATAAGATTAACTTCATATGGTTTATTTATTTTCACTTACTTGTTTACCTATCATTTTCTAAGTGCCCCAAATATATTCACCTCTCAAGGCTTGCTGCTTTCTGGACATAGGTATGTACAGAGAAGTCAAACAGTAAGTAGATTGCACCTACAAGAAATTGGCTCTTGATTAGCTCTTTGTAACCATATAGTTGGCGACCTCCCAAAAAGGAGAAAAGAAATGTAAACTCTGTTTTGCTATATGTTTCTATGTATCTTCTAATTAGATGTAATTAGTCAAAAGGCCAAGAAGTTTCAGACATGTCACCAACATGAATGAATATAACATTTTGAGTACATTATAAATGGAATGCATGTGTACTAAATGTAGGTAGAGGGAACTTATTTTAAAATCACTAGTCATATTTAAAGTAAACTTTAAAATAGTAATATTGTCATCATACAACGTATTACCTATAGATGTTACAACTCTTTTAGTTTTTGGAAGAGGTTACAGAAAATATCAGCCAAAGGAAATAGGAAAAAAAGTTAACATTATATGTTTACACTGGTTAGCATATTTGTCCCAGAGAAACAAGGCATATTTGAAGTTCTTCAAGCAGATCAGCAGGCCCAATATTTTAGGAAGGTTGGGTTTTGGCTTGGGGCTCTTTACCTCTCTTGAGACACAGAGCTTCCTGAAATTTACAAGGAGTGTTGTTCCTCCTACTCAGGAAAATGAGATGTATGTATACACACATAAAATACTTGACAGACTTTGTGAAACTCAGATTATCTGGTTTAGAAAAAAGATAGAATCAGATGCACATAATACTTTCTAATGCACATGCTCAATTTGTACATCTAAAGACAATGATAATTTCAAGGTTAAAATCATGTGATTTGCTAAATATTTACTGTTTTATATTAAGGAGGAAATCTAAAATTTGAAAAACACTTCGAGTTTAAAAATTGATCAACTATTTTGGAAAGCAATTTGCAAATGTGGATCAATAACTTTTGAATGAGCATGTCTGCTTTCAGAAATGTGTTTTAGAAGAATAATCTTAAATGCAGATTCATGTACAAAAATCACAACAATAATACATTATATATCAGAGAGTATGTATTTAGTATTTCCTGTATGCTAAGTTGTTTCTTCTCTATGTGTTTTACTCGCTAAATCAACAGCAATTGCCATATAGATGCTATTGCCTACTATTTTAAGAAAAAAACCATGACGCTTACAGGTGTTAATAACTAGCCCCACATTTCAAATGCTAATTGTCATAGTTGAGACATGAATCTAGGTCTACCTGAACTTTTGCTCTTACGGTACACTTTTTAGAGCATGGTTTCTATTAAAAAAATCAGAAGCAGCATAAATGTCCAATATTCATGGGAAGTTTAGGCACCACATAACTGTAGCTATAAGATGGAATACTTTTAAAAAGATAAAATAGATTTAATCAAACATTTTAATACTGTGAAAATTCTTAGGTCATAAAATTAAGCACATTAAAACAAACTCAAAAATATACGTGCCCTATGAACATAGTTTTATATGAGACTGACGACATTTGTCAAATATTAGTAAAAATTGCTTTTGGATTTTGCTTCTTTTTTCCTGTACATCAAAAAAATCATGCAGTGCCCTTCTAATAATAAATATAAACATTTTAACTATTTTTGTAATTGTTACTGATTTCAAAATTCTTTAACCATCAAAGAGGGCCCTTAAATTTGAAACTGACAGCAGAACTACGTGCAATGTCCCTGATAAGAAAGCTGAATGTGCTCCCTAGTGGCCACTGTGTTGTTAAAGTTCTCTGTTGTACTACTCCCTGTGAGGGATTCGTATTTACCTTCATCTGCTATGTGATGGTGGTGGGAAGGAACTGGGCATCACAAGACCAGGATAAACTGGCTGTGTTTTCTAACCAGGAAATAAGTTGTTTGGAGCACTTTATTTGTACGTCTCCTTGGGGAAAATTTAAAGTCTGATCAATCCATTTATACATAAATATTTAGCAACATTTAAAATTGTACTAACTTCTCTATTTTGTCTGCTTATATTTTAACACGTCTTTGTTTTGAGGACAGCTTAGCTTTTTTGCTACACAAACTAAATTCAGTGCTATTTATAGTACTTTATTTCTGAAGCCAATCTATATTTGAGGCTAAAATGTGGTCATTGAAATGATGAAAAGAGCCATGAAGTGATGATATATAAAGACATACGTAGGCTGGTCATGGTGGTTCATGCCTGTAATCCCAGCACTTTTGGGAGGATGAGGCTGGAGGATGGTTTGAGGCCAGGAGTTCTAGACCAGCCTGGACAACAGAGTGAGGCCCTGTCTGTACAAAAAGTAACAGTAAAATTAAAATATTAGCCAGGTATGGCACCTGTAGTCAGCTACTCAGGAGGCTGAGGCAGGAAGATCACCGTTGCATCTATCTTCTGTTCCAGGCTACAGTGAGTTATGATCGCACCACTGCACTCCACCTTGGGTGACAGAGTGAGACCCTCCCTTTAAAAAATAGACACAAATATCTAAATGGTGAATAAATGCATGTGCATAGTATAGAAAACCACAATACCTTAATAACATATATTACATTATTATTATGAATATAATTACTTGAACACAGGAAGAGACATAGATGTACTCTTGGTTGGGAAGATTCACATTATAAAGATATTATTATCCCCAAATTCAAATCAAAAGATAATATATGTCATATAAAAATCAAATAGGAAGCAAGGCTTAGGTTTAGGTTGGGGGCTTTAAAGTCTGGCTTGAAGTCTTAGCTTTAATGCCCACTTGCTGTATAACTCTGGAAACGAAACATAACAGTTCGGAGTCACAATATTCTTGTTTCTATAATATTGATAATAACAATATAATGTTTACTTTGGAGAATTATGAGATTTAAATGAATTCCAGGAATACTTGGCACAAAGAAGAAACTCAGTAAACGGTACAAAGATAATTATTAATTTTAACTCATTTGCATTCAGAATTCTAATAAAGTTAATTTGTTTTCTGAAAATTAGTAAAATTTATCTTGAAGAATAATTACTTAGAATAGGTAAGATATTCCTTAAAAAGAATGAAAATGGAGGAAAGTTGTCCTTCCCAATAATATATGTACATAAGGAATCAGCGAATGTATCTTCAAATCTATGAATTAGAGTAATATTTTGCTGATAAAAAGTTAGGTAGAAATGTACAATACAGTTGTATCTTAGCAGAGAGTTAGGTTCTAAAGCCAGTGTGTAGATCTAAATTTACTTATAGTGAACCTTATCTGTAAAAATCTCTCAGGAATGTGTTATGATGGAAACAACAGCCCTGAGTAAATTAGTTAATTTCTATATAAGGAGAGTGTTTTTACAAAACATACATTCTTCAACTACTAGACCAAACTTAGTGTTGGAAGAACTCACTAAAAGTGGCACTGAGTGGTCTTATGAACTGAGACCAATGGAGGAAACAAAGAAAATGGAAAGGCATTTCTTGTCTACTCTGAGTCAGAAACATTCTGCTGATTGAGCAGAAATGCCTGAATTGTTTATATATTTTCTTAACTTTTGTTCTTCCAAGTTATGTATATTTCATTTTCAAAAAGTTAAATGTATGTATAGTGGAGGGGGATCTTTGAAAAAAATGCAGAACCATATCATAATATGCTATTTTAAAAATACTGGTAGTGAAGACAAAGGGCAAATAATCTTGGGAGTTTTAGGGCCCCGCCCACTGCCGGTTCCTCCCCATACTACCATAGCTGAGGCTCTCTGGAAAGTGCCACCTCCTGGCAGGAGGCCAAACAGCACAAAAATAGAGCATTAAACCACCAAAGCTAAGAACCCTCATGGAGTCCATTGCACCCACCTCCCTGCCACCTCGACCAGAACAGGCACTGATATCCAAGACTGAGAGACCCATAGATAGTTCACATCACAAGACTCTGTGCAGACAGCCCCCACTACCAGCCCAGAGCTGGATAGACTGTCTGGGTGGCTAGACCCAGAAGAGAAACAACAATCACTGCAGTTGCACTCACAGGAAGCCACATCCATAGTAAAAGGGGGAGAGTACTACATCAATGGAACACCCTGTGGGACAAAAGAATCTGAAAAACAGCCCTTAGCCCTAGATATTCCCTCTGACAGAGCCTACCCAAATGAGAAGAAGCCAGAAAACCAACCCTGGCACTATGACAAAATAAGACTCTTCAACACCCTCAAAAAAATCACACCAGTTCACCAGCAGTAGATCCAAACCAAGAAGAAATCCCTGATTTACCTGAAATAGAATTCAGGAGGTTAGTTATTGAGCTAATCAGGGAGGAACCAGAGAAAGGCAAAGCCCAATGCAAGGAAATCCAAAGTATAATACAAGAAGTGAAGGGAGAAATATTCAAGGAAATAGATAGCTTAAAGAAAAAACAATCAAAAGTTCAGGAAACTTTGGACACACTTTTAGAAATGTGAAATGCTCTGGAAAGTCTCAGCAATAGAACTGAACAAGTAGGAGAAAGAAATTCAGAGCTCAAAGACAAGGTCCTCGAATTAGCCAAATCCAACAAAGACAAAGAATAAAGAATAAGAAAATATGAACAAAGCCTCCAAAAAGTCTGGGATTATGTTAAATGACCAAACCTAAAAATAATTGGTGTTCCTGAGGAAGAAGAGAATTCTAAAAGCTTGGAAAATATATTTGAGGGAATAATCGAGGAAAACTTCCCCAGCCTTGCTAGAGACTTAGACATCCACAAAGAATAAGCACAAGGAACACCCAGGAAATTCGTCACAAAACGATCTTTGCTAGGCACATTGTCATCAGGTTATCCAAAGTTAAGATGAAGGAAAGAATCTTAAGAGCTGTGAGACAGAAGCACCAGGTAACCTATAAAGGAAAAAGTATCAGATTAACAGCAGATTTCTCAGCAGGAACCCTATAAGCTAGAAGGGATTGGGGCCCTATCTTTAGCCTCCTCAAACAAAACAATTATAAGCCAAGAATTTTGGATCCAGTGAAACTAAGCATCATATATGAAAGAAAGATACAATCCTTTTCAGACAAACAAATGCTGATATAATTTGCCATTACCAAACCACCACTACAAGAACTGCTAAAAGAAGCTCTAAATCTTGAAACAAATACTGGAAACACAACAAAACAGAACCTGTTTAAAGCATAAATCACACAGGACCTATAAAACAAAAATTAAAGTTAAAAAAGCAAAAACAAATAACAAAAAAACCCAAAGTACACAGGCAACAAAGAGCACAATGGATACAAAAGTACATCACATTTCAATACTAACATTGAATGTAAGTGGCCTAAATGCTTACTAAAAACATACAGAACCGCAGAATGGATAAGAACTCACCAAGAAACTATCTGGTGCCTTCAGGAGACTCACCTAACACATAAGGACTCACATAAACTTAAAGTAAAGGGGTAGAAAAAGGCATTTCATGCAAATGGACACCAAAAACTAGCTGGGGTAGCTATTCTTATATCAGAAAAAACAAACTTTAAAGCAACAGCAGTTAAAAGAGACAAAGAGGGACATTATATAATGGTAAAAGGCCTTGTCCAACAGGAAAATACCACAAATCCTAAACATATATGCACCTAACACTGGAGTTCCCAAATTTATAAAACAATTACTAATTGACCTAAGAAATGAGATAGACAGCAACACAACAATAGTGGGGGACCTCAATACTCCACTGACAGCAGTAGACAGGTCATCAAGACAGAAAGTCAACAAAGAAACAATGGATTTAAACTATACCTTGGAGCAAATGGATTTAACAGATATATACAGGACATTTCATCCAACAACCACAGAATACACATTCTGTTCAACAGCGCATGGAACTTTCTCCAAGATAGACCATATGATAGGCCATAAAAGAAGCCTCAATAAATTTAAGAAATTTGAAATTATATTAAGTACTCTCTCAGACCACAGTGGAATATAACTGAAAATCAACTCCTAAGCCACGCAAATACATGGAAATTAAATGACCAGCTCCTAACGGAGCACTGGGTCAAAAATGAAATCAAAATGGACATTTAAAACTTCCTTGAACTGAACAGCAATAATGACACAACCTATCAAAACCTCTGAGATACAGCAAAGGCAGTGCTAAGAGGAACGTTCATAGCCCTAAATGCCTGTGTCAAAAACACTGAAAGTGCACAAACTGACATTCTAAGGTCACACCTCAAGGAACTAGGGGAACAAGAACAAACCAATCCCCAAACCCAGCAGAAGAAAGAAAATAACCAAGATCAGAGCAGAGCTAAATGAAATTGAAACAAAAAAAATACAAAAGATAAATGAAACAAAAGGAAAACATAAATAAAATTGATAGACCATTAGCAAGATTAGCCAAGAAAAGAAGAGAGAAAATCCAAATAAGCTCATTAAGAAATGAAACAGAAGATATTACAACTGACACCACTGAAATACAAAAGGTCATTCTAGGCTACTATGAACACCTTTATGCACATCAACTAGAAAACCTAGAAGAGATGGATACATTCCTGGAAAAATACAACCCTCCTAGCTTGAATCAGGAAGAAATAGATACCCTGAAAAGACCAATAACAAGCAGCAAGATTGAAATGGTAATTTTAAAACTACCAACAAAAAAAGTCCAGGACCAGATGGATTCACAGCAGAATTCTACCAGACATTCAAAGAAGAATTGGTACCAATCCTTTTGACACTATTCCACAAGATAGAGAAAGAAGGAACCCTCCCTAATTCATTCTAGGAAGCCAGGATCGCCCTAATACCAAAACCAGGAAAGGACATAACCAAAAAAGAAAACTGCAGACCAATATCCTTGATGAACATAGATACTAAAATCCTCAACAAAATATTAGCTAACAGAGTACAACAACATATCAAAGAGATAATCCACCATGATCAAGTGGGTTTAATACTGTGGATGCAGGGATGGTTTAACATACACAGGTCAATAAATGTGATACACCACATAAACAGAATTAAAAACAAAAATCACATGATCATTTCAATAGATGCAAAAAAGCATTCGACAAAATCCATCATCCCTGTATGATCAAAACTGTCAGCAAAATTGGCATACAAGAGACATACCTTAATGTAGTAAAAGCCATCTATGACAAACCCACAGCCAACATAATACTAAATGGGGAAAAGCTGAAAGCATTCCCACTGAGAAGTGGAACAAGACAAGGATGCCCACTCTCACCACTCCTCTTCAACATAGTACTGGAAGTCCTAGCCAGAGCAATCAGAAAAGAGAAAGAAATAAAGGGCATCCAAATCAGTAAAAAGGAAGTCTAACTGTCACTGTTTGCTGACAATATGATCACTTACCTTGAAAATCCTAAAGACTCCTCCAGAAAGCTCCTAGAACTGATAAAAGAATTCAGCAGAGTTTCCAGATACAAGACTAATGTACACAAATCAGTAGCTCTTCTATACACCAACAGCAACCAAGCAGAGAATCAAATCAAGAACTCCACCCCTTTTAAAATAGAATCAATATTGTGAAAATGACCATAGCCAACAGCAATCTACAAATTCAATGCAATCCCCATCAAAATACCACCATTATTCTTAACAGACTTATAAAAAACAATTCTAAAATTCATATAGAACCAAAAAAAGATCCCCCATAGCCAAAGCAAGACTAAGCAAAAATAACAAATCTGGAGATATCACACTACCTGATTTCAAACTATACTGGTTTGGTGACTATAGTCACCAAAACAGCATGGTACTGGTATAAAACTAGGCACATAGAATAATGGAACAAAATAGAGAACTCAGAAATCAACCCAAATGCTTACAGCCAACTGACCTTTGACAAAGCAAAAACATAAAGTGGGGAAAGGACACCCTTTTCAACTAATGGTGCTGCCATAAGTGGCTAGCCACATGTAGGAGAATGAAACTGGATCCTCATCTCTCATCTTATACAAAAATCAACTCAAGATGGATTAAGGACTTAAACTTAAGACCTGAAACTATAAAAATTCTAGATGATAACATTGGAAAAACCCTTCTAAACATTGGCTTAGGCAAGGATTTCATGACCAAGAACCCAAAAGCAAATGCAATAAAAACAAAGATAAATAGCTGAGAGCTAATTAAACTAAAGAGCTTTTTGTATGGCAAAAGGAACAGTCAGCAGAGTAAACAGACAACTCATAGAATGGGAGAAAAATCTTCCCAATCTCTACATCCAACAAAGGACTAATATCCAGTATCTACAATGAACTCAAACAAATCAGTAAGAAAAAAGCAAACAATCCCATCAAAAAGTGGGCTAAGGACATGAATAGACAATTCTCAAAAGAACATACATACAAATGGCCAACAAACATATGAAAAAATGCTCAACATCACTAATGATCAGGGAAATGCAAATCAAAACCACAATGCAATATCACCTTACTACTGCAAGAATGGCTATAATCAAAAAATCAAAAAACAGTAGATGTTGTCATGGATATGGTGAACAGAGAACACTTCTACATTGCTGGTGGGAATGCAAACTAGTACAGCCACTATGGAAAACCGTGTGGTGGTTCCTTAAAGAACTAAAAGTAGAACTACTATTTAATCCTGCAGTCCCACTACTGGGTATCTACCCAGAGGGAAAACAAGTCATTATTTGAAAAAGATACTTTCACATGCATGTTTATAGCAGCACAACTCACAATTGCAAAATCGTGGAACCAACCCAAATGCCCATCAATCAATGAGTGGATAAAGAAACTGTGGTGTATATATATGATGGAATACTACACAGCTACAAAAAAAGAATGAATTAACAGCATTTGCCATGACCTGGATGAGATTGGAGACTATTATTCTAAGTGAAATAACTCAGGAATGGAAAACAAAACATCGTAGGTTCTTACTGATACATGGGATCTAAGCTATGAGGATGCAAAGGCATAAGAATGATAAAATGGACTTTGGGGATTTTGGGGTAAGAGTTGTGGGGGCAAGAGATAAAAGACTACAAGTATAGTGCAGTGTATACTGCTCAGGTGATGGGTGCACCAAAATCTCACAAATCACCACTAAAGAATTTACTCGTGTAACCAAATACCACCTGTACCCCAATAACTTATGGAAAAGCAAACTTAGAAAAAATTAATTAATTAATTTTAAAAAATAGACATACACACAATTTTTTCACCTTTATAAAAATAGAGCAACTATATACAAAACAATATAGTGCATATATCTATATATTTAATGGGTTTTAAATTTATAAATGAGAGTTTGAAATGATATAAAACAAGTTCTTAATTGTGGTTATTTCTGTGGAAAAAAAGTTGGGTGGAAGGAGAGATTTTCCTTATATCTTTAAACAGTCAAGGAGCATGTATTACTTTGATAATAAAGGAACATATATTAACATATATATGTTACATAAATAGAATAAAGAGAGAGACCACCATTAAAATAAAACTTTAGGAACTTTTTAAAAATATGTGGCTTAAAACAAATTAGGGAGTAGGTAAAGATGGAATAACAAGGTAGAAAAATTGCCATTGCTCAGATGAACAACTGCATTCAAATATTGCATAACTAAAGCTATAAATGTATATTTCTATGCTTCTCTGTGTGTATATCACAGTTGTTAATTTCTATCCAATCTGCTTCCCAGTTGTTTCTGGAATCCACCACTGCCTCTCCACCATTACTGTCATTACCCTAGTTGAGTCAAGGAAAAGCAAATTGTCTTTGAGAAAGGTCAAATGTACGGGCATAATTTGCTTAAACCAAATATAGGTTTTAAAATTTAAAATTAACTACCAATTCATATAATTGTAAGATTATTATTTTTGGCTCCCACTATAGGGTTACAAGATCTAGAATACTGCCACATTCCTACAAAGCAATGAGCTTTAGGAATTGAGTAGATGCCATCTCCTTAGATATGATATGTGCTCTCAGTTTTCCATAGTACTTATCAGTCCTGTTTCATTTATTTAAGTAAACTGCCTGACCATTGATATTAACTGGCATAAATGTGTCTCTCCAAAGTATTATGATGGCCTCTGTGATGGTTAATATTGAATGTCAACTTCATTGGATTGAAGGATGCAAAGTTTTGTTCCTGGTGTGTCTGTGAGGGTGTTGCCAAAGGAGATTAATATTTGAGTCAGTGGACTGGTAGAGGCAGACCCACCTTCAGTCTGGTGTGTGTGTGGGGGAGGGGGTGGGGCTGGCACCATCTAATCAGCTGCCAGCATGGCAAGAATAAAGTAGGTAGAAGAGAGTGGAATGAACAGACTTAGTGAGTCTTCCAGCCTTCATCTTTCTCCCATGCCAGATGATTTCTGCCCTTGAACATCACACTCCAAGTTCTTCAGCTTTTGGACTCTTGGTATTACATCAGTGGTTTCCCAGGTGCTCTTGGGCCTTTGGCCACAGACTGAAGGCTGCACTGTTGGCATCCTGTCTTTTGAGGTTTTAGGAATGGAACTGGCTTCCTTGCTCCTCAGCTTGCAGATGGCTTACTGTGGGACTTGTGTGATCGTGTGAGTCAATACTCCTTAGTAAACTCCCCTTCATATACACATCTATCCTATCCTATTAGATCTGTCCCTCTAGAGAACCCTGACTAATACAGCCTCAAAACTGGTCTGGAATTACTCCAAGCTGCCAATCCTATTTCTATTAACCAAAGATAATGTCACTCTTGGGTGTAAATGAGGCACTTACAAACCTGCCATCATTTTTCATCACTTTACTTTCTGTCTTTTTTCTTTGACAGTCTCTCTCTGTCACCCAAGCTGGAGTGCACTGGCACTATCTTGGCTTACTGCAACCTCTGCCCCCTGAATTCAAGCAATTCTCATGCTTCAACCTCCCCAGTAGCTGGCACTACAGGCTCATGCCACCATGCCTAGCTAATCTTTTGTATTTTTAGTGGAGACAGAATCTCACCATGTTGGGCAGTCTGGTCTCAAACTCCTGATCTCAAGCAATCGCCCACCTTGGCTTCCCAAAGTGCTGGGATTACAGGCATGTGTGATCATGCCCAGCCCCTTCGTCACTTTACTTCCCTTGCGTTTCTTGTGCTTTATCTAGAGTTCCTGGTTTCTTTCGTTGCTCCTTCCTAGACTCCAAATACACGTCTCTTATTATTCAGTGAAGCTAGTGTTTACTGAGTACAAGCCACATGCCAGGCTCTGTGCCAGGGACTATGGATATAAAGCTCAGAGGCCAGCAGAAGGATAGAAAATTAAATTATCAATTTCAATAGTTGATGAAAATAGATCACTTAAGAACAACAACTAGCTTTGGCTCCAGAAGGGTAAATCAAAGAAGGCTTCAAGAATGAATTGTTGGAGATAAGTTGGGATATGAGCTGAGTATATGATATTCATAATATGTGGATTGACTTCCTCTTGAGTGATGCCTAGTCAGGTAAATACTAGGTGTAGCTTAAAAAATTAATAGTAAAACAACCATTGGATATTTTTAAATGTGTTTTATTTCCAGAATGTACAACATAGTATATTAACATCATTAAGGCATAAATGTTGTTGAAATTGATAAAGATTCTTTGCTTGACCAAACTTTAGTCAGGCTTCTAGACCTTTTCTTAGCCCCATATATGCACTTACTTCCTTGTAAAATCCAGTTTTAGCAAGAACCCTGTTAAGTCATTTTAGCAAGAATCCCCTGCCTTTAGTATCCGATCACCCTCAATGTCTAATCAGATTCCTCATCCTCCATCCTCCAGGTAAGTTCTAATCACCTTGGCCTGTAATCAGCAAGAATCCTGTTAGATTCGTTTATCAAGAATCCCCCTTACCCCTGATATTTCCTCTTGGAAATTTTCCTTCCCCTGACTCCCACACAGCTCCTTGGCCATAAATTCCCATTTGCCCATACTGCATCCAGAGGTGAGCCCAATCTCTTCTCCCCTACTACAAAATCCCATTGCAATGATTCCTATACCTATCGCATAGATCCTGAATGAAGTTGTCCTTACTGTGCTGTAACAAGTGTCATTGAATGATTTTTATTTTTAATAAGATATATGTAATTACTAATAATCTCTGGTTACTAATAATATAGTTTTTTTTAAAGATTGAATATAACCTATCCATTAATTTGGAAATGACAGACTCTTATGTTGCATGTATAATACACTCATATAAGCTGAAGTTTCAGGTAATAGGAAAAACATGTGTTTGTGTATCTCAAATCCCCAATTACTTCAAAGGCAGCAATAAAAAGTGCCTGGAGAAGGAAGAGTAATGTATACTAGTAAGTTCTATAGCTCCATCTGCTGCTTCATCTTACTATTGCATATTATTAATACTTTTTATAAATACTATGAATTTTATAAAATTCCCATTTTGCATGGAAAAATGTCCTAATTCTACTAAATATTTCATAGAATGTTTAATACCAACGTAGTAATGTGTGGTTAAATATTCTCAAATAATAAGGTAAATCAAGGAAATTGGCACTCATCACTAATCAGAGCCTTCTCAAATGTAAAATATAATATTTTAAAATAAATTAAGATTATATGTATTATATATTGTCATTAATAAAATAGTTATATATTTCATAATATATTATAAATTTATATATAGATGAAACCTATATATTTCATAAATATATGTGCATACATAAATAAGTATATGTACACATTCTTAAGTCAATACATATTGTTCTTTTTAAATTCTATATTATGCCATGCTTTCCAAATGAGAAGAGTAGCTAAAAGAATGAAGAAGGATTTTTTTTTTTCTTTTGAGACAGGGTCTTGTTCTGTCGCACAGGCTGGAGTACAGTTGTGTGATCATGGCTCACTGCAACCTCAGCCTCTGGAGTAGAGTAGCTGGGACCACAGGTGTGTACCACCACACCTGGCTAATTTTCGTGTTTTTCGTAGAGACGGGGTTTCATGTTGCCTAGGCTGATCTCCAACTCATGGTCTCAAGAGATCTGCCTGCCTCGGCCTCCCGAAGTGCTGGGACTATAGGTGTGGGCCACCATGCCCAGCCAGGGATTCTTTATACCTTGAGTATCAGCAATAGCCTCAGAGACAAAAATAGGAGGAAACATGCCAGGTGAAGAGAATTGATTAAGCAAGATGTGGAAAATGGGCATACAAAATATAATTTCAGTAAGTAATTTAGAGCATCTGAAGCATCATTTTCATGTAAAAAATTAGGGAGAAAAAGAGAGAAATGAAGTGACAATGTGTATCTGATGGGTCCTACATATCTAACCAAGGAGTTAGTTCATGTTTATGTGAAAAAAAAGTACTCATATAACCTTTTAGGTGCTGTAACGGATTATGTGTGTGTAATATTATTGGGAGTAAGATTTCTGGAGGCAGTGAGTCCAATTTGTAGGCTATTGAAGGGGCAAATGGAGAAATTATAATATCTAAATGGAGTAGGGTAGCAATGGCCATGAAAATGAAAAAAGTGCTGGATGTTGTGAATTTAAGATCTGTTTCTGCTATTTTTTTTTCTTCTGTGACACTTCTCCTTCCCTAAGGGATTGTCTGATATCAATTTTTAGAGTGGTTGGGTTGGGGGGGATGAAATAATGCGTTGTTATACACAGTATATTACATATGTGTAAGGCATGACATCTTTCATGTTGGCAGATGTTATGCTACAGCTGAAAGAACAAGTTCACTGGAGCTAAGCAGACCTGAATTTGAATCCTCAATATAACTTGGGCATGTTTGTTGACTTTTCTGAGGCTCAGTCTCTTGTCCAGGGAAGGTTTAACTCTACCATTTCCCTACATACATCTCCAAGTCAGGGCTTCCAGACCTTCCCTGTTATCACTAGCCACTCCCCAAGCAGGCTTGGTAGCCAGGATGGGCTCTGTCCTCCCCAGTGGAGGCTATCTCACTCTTCAGAATGTGTCCCGCTATGCAATCTCTCCCTCCACATGCGCCATCCATGTCTTCTTTCTCTTATAATCTCTCTTGTATACTTTGTTCTTACACAGATATTTCAGAATTTATGACTAGGTCAGCACATCATGTTTCCCAATATATGAGTACTTGATTTGTATTAGTTTTTTCTATTTACTTATACACTATTGATTGCATCCTCACCGTAAACAATGACGAAACTAATATATTGTCCTTCCCCCCACCTCTTCCCTCTCTGAACATTCCAATTTTAGTTAATTATGTTGATTGCTTGGTCACCTTTTTAACTTCAATTGTCTCAAATTACTTAATTGATGTTTAACCCTTGCAATAAAACAAAAGGGAAATGATCTCATTCCACTTCTACCTTCCTTCCTTTTTTTCTTATTTATATAATTTGTACATAATCTGGGCTTATAACATTTACAGTCTGTTCTGTATGTATAATCCTAACTTATGTTAGGAAATTGCTATAGTTAAAACGATGTCAATTCTCAATTCACTTCTCTCCATGAAGGAGTAGCCAGGACTGGTGTTGCATACTTATCTTAAAAAAAAATAAAAGAATGAGATGAAATATACAATCTAATTTTTGGTCTGACACATTGGACAACAGACAGCACAGAACAGTGACCCTGAGGGAAAGGGAGCAAGGTCAACCCTGGGATTGCCACAGCTCACTGTCTGGAAACTTCTGTCCACAGTACAGACAGGTGGAATCTAAGCAAAACCTGGTGATCTGGGTTGAAGAGATACCCAGAGTGGAGGTCAATGTGGCTAGAATTTACAGGGCAGGGAAACAGGAGAGAGCAGCCAGAAAAAGGCAGAGCTTAACACCCTTTTGTGAGATTATTTCAGCACAGAACATCATGCTTAGTGGAGGAGCCTTTCAAGCTCATTAAACTATTGCAGAAGTTTTATTAGAATGTAATATAATGATATGTTTGCAAATGCCAGAGCATTTAAATTAGACTTAATATTTAATTTCCTTCCTCTTCTTAATACAATGTTTTATTGAAGGGCTCTAATCAGACAGCTACAACGATAGTAAGAGATTGTATTTTCTGGGAGAATAGACAGTGTGGTACTGACAGATAAAGATAGAAAGAGGAAGTAGAGTTTGAGCACCTGATGGCCAGATGTGGGTGCACTGTGTTAATAAGCCATTTCATCAACATTAACAGCCTTCTGTTATAGAGCAGAAGATTGCTTGAAGTTAGATCATGTAAGGAAGTTTCCTCAAAACACTGAAGCAGATGGAAAGCTGCTTGAATATAACTTCACTAGCTGCACACAGTTGGACATCCTCATTTAGGCAGAAGAAAAGACTTCAGCAGAAAGAAGGGCTCAGGTAGGCATGAACCATGCAGACCTGTCTTACAAAGCATTTGTGAGATCATTTTAAAAAATAAATGCCTAAGATCTTAGTCATATTTAGTTTGTTTTGCACATTTTTCCAAATCCCAGATTTTTTAAATGTTATAATTAATCAGATAAAGATGTGCTCAATACAATTCAAAGCTATTCAGGTAATAAGAAATAAATCTTCTAAGATAAAAATATTTTGCATTTCTTATACCTGCTTGGAATTTGTAAGAGATTCAAATTATGTTTAGTTCATTTTTCAAACTAATATTTGATATGGAATACTTTGCTTAATTATTCTCTAAATCTTACCTGAACAGAAGGAAAAAACAATTAAAAAGTGTCCTTTAATTTAGCATGTATGTCATATATGTTGCCACTTAATTTTCTTATTAACCAATAAATGAAGATATCTTCATTTCCATGTTTCATTGAGAAAACTAATGTCTAAATGGATTGAGTAACCTACCTGACGAAGACTGCAGATCTAGTAAATGGTAGAAACAAGTCATAAACCTGAATTTAAAATGTAGGATGAGAAATGAGAATAGCCATAAAAGTCACTACTAAAATGAATATACAAACCTTTCAATTATCAAAATACACAAACACACACATACAAGGATAATACAATAAAGATTAAGGGGAAAAAGTAAAAACAGAAAGCATTACATAAGATATGATGCCAGAACCTAAACCAAATATGTTAATCATGTGAGTAAATATTAATTGACTCCAAGCAGAAATTGAAGAAAAAAAAAATCTTATCTTTCACTGGACCATAAAGTAAAAGGTTGTACAGTTGCAGACAAGCTCAGCAAGGCCTTGGGGAGGCTATGAGGCATCTTGCTGGTCCATGGAGTTCCTTGTCTCCCAAGACTGGACCTCTCTTAGATCCCTGCTCCCTTCAGTCATTGGCTGGGAACAGCGCATCCATACTCAACAATGACTTTCAGAGTAAAGATGCTGGGTCCTAGGTCAGTCATGCTCCCAGTGTTGGAGGTGTGCAAGCCCCATTCACATAGTTGCTTTACAGAAGCATTGTTTTAGAAATTAAAAGAAAAACAAAAGAAAAAATAAAACACTAGAATAATATTTAAGACTATGCAACTGATTCAAATAACCTTCTGAAACCACAGATCATTTAATGAGGATGTGATGGCTTCTTCTAAAAAAATGTAATAGTGTTTTGTTATTCCCTTGTGGCAGGTTTTGTGTTTATTTTGATGTTTATAATGTAAGTACATCAATAAGGTTACTTTTTATTTGTTTGTTGATCTATTTATTGATCACAGATAATTAGGCAGAATAGCAGATGTGCAGAATGGCAGGCCATGTGTGATTTTTGTGTGTGTGCAGGAGGGGGCATGAAAATATATGTTTATTATAGCTTTTTGTCATATTCCTTGATCCTTCACCAATGTTAGATGAGTGAAAACAAAAGCAAAAACAAAAATTGGGGAAGAAAATCACTAGAAATCATTAGAAATTGAGTGAAACAAAAATAAGTGCTATAGAAAATTGCAGAAAATGGTATGCATCATTCTGTTTTAAATGAGCAAAATATACTACCATATATTTTGGACATTCAACTGATTTTTTGCTGCTAAGCAGAGAAACAGAAGTTACATTCTGAGTATTATGGATAAACTATTCTGTAACAGTAATTCTACGAAACTATTGCAGAGCATGCTAGGAAAAACAGATTCTGGGGATGATGTGTATTATGATTCATTTATTTACATTGCAGATGCTTAAGACACACACACATACACACACACACACACACACACAGCTCAAAACAGAAAAGGAAGTCAAATGAGGCTTTTCACTTATCATAGCATTATTAGATAGAATCAAATTTTAATGCAGTCCACACTGCTTCTGAATAAGCTTATGTTTAGCTCCCAAATCTCAATTATTGATAGTCTCTTATGATGACCCAGGAGAATTCTTAAACAATGAATCTCATTTTAGTGGTTGAAGGCACTCATTAGCTGAATCTGCTTGGGGCTGATAACTGATCACTACTTTGAGTAAGTCTTAATCTTTTCTTGTAATGCTCTCTCCTGGTATAACTGCATCTCTGTTTTCACATCCAGTCTTCCAAAATGCTCGCTACCTTATCCACTTCAGAGATAATAACAACAATTTCCATATGCATGATCTCTGCAGTCATCAAATGAAACATCTAGAGACGGTCACAGTATCTAGTCTAAGGAGGTCAGATCACTATTGCTGCCGTTAATTCAATGTAATTAGCCATCCTTCGCATTTGCTTTTCTTATGTTTCCACATTGGCCAATACAATCTTTAAAAAGTGAGTAGTCACAGGAAGGCATCAAAATACTCAACAAGTATATATGGTTGTACAGAGCCCACAAGCCCTCTACACTAGGAAATTTAGAGATCAGGCAAAGAATTGCTTGCTAAGATATTTAGCACATTTAAAACATTTTTTATTTTTATTATAGTTTTATTATAGTATCCTGGGTTAGCAACACAATAGTTAATTTCTGTTTTGTCTTCTGGAGAGGGCTTAGTAGTAGGGTTGGTTTAAGATCCCACAACTACAACTTAGATGAATCTGCTCATACCCACATTTAGAATTCTTCATCAAACCGCTTCTTATTGTTCAGAAGGCTCTCTGGTGAGTAGACACAAGAATTTAGCTTTTTATTTTTTTGAAATGATTCATGATTCTCAGAGCTTTAGTGCATCAGGTAGATACACATAAATTAGAAGAAAATTAGTGTATTTGTAGAAGTGACAGAGATATATCTTATTTGTACTGTTGTAATTATATACCATATGCATGCATTACTTTTTTTAACATTAAATAATCCATTTACAATTCTTATGAATGCTGAGACTTACCTTGTGTACTTCGAGATTCATATGCTGGAAATTTAATCCCCAGTGTAACAGTTTTGGGAGGTGGGGACTAATGGGAGGGCTCCACTCTCTTGAATGCCACGATGGAGATGTGGCTGGAGGGCTTAGGTGGGTCTCCAGATGCAGATAAGACCCTCACCCCATCCAGTGTCCAGGTTCTTGACACCATCACGAGAAAGAATTCAGGGAACACTCAGAAGGAAGCAAAAGGCAAGAAGCTTTTATTGCAAAGTGAAAGTATACAGTTAAGAGAGAAGTGTGCACATGTTCGTGAGAACGAGTTGTGCTCAATGGAGTTTGAGTTTCTAATTTTATGGGCTCTTTTAATTAGGGGACAGAATAATCATGAGCTTTTCCAGGAAAAGGGTAGAGAATTTTTAGAATTTGGGTGCCACCCATTTTTATACTAAATATGGATAGGCTCGGATCTGTCATGGTATTGGTAGGTGAGTGATTTAGTATGGTAATTAGTCTACAGTTAGGTTTGGGGTAGGACATTGGTCAAATCCAATGCCACATTGGACCCAGCCAGCCTCAGCTGCTTAGCCCCTATCCTGTTTGTTAGGGTCTTATCAGCCCAGGCCCATCCTTGCCCTTATAGCTAATTTTAATAGCTCCTGTCTTGCTGCTAGGTGAAATTGCTGCCTGGTATTTTCCTACTTCTACTGTGACCACCCAGCATTCCTGCTTTATGGGTGTTTCTTTAATTTGGGGGTAGAATAATCATTAGGTATTTTGGAAAAAGGGGATTTCAAGGACCCCTGGTTACCGACTCCTTTCTCCCTTATTTGGGTTTGCTTGGAAGAGTCCTGCACATGTCACCCTGACTGTGTTATTAGCTGTTTTCTCTCTCCTACTTTGGGTTTTCTGTAATCCTGTGGTTTCTCTGTCTTTTTCTTGTTTTTGCTGTTGTTTGGGTTTTTCCATCCTCCTGAGACTATCCAGTGCTATTCCTATCTCAAAAAGAGCTTGTGAAAGTGGGTTTTCTCTCTTCTGTTTTTCTGCCATGGGAGGACACAAAGTTCTTTTCTTGCTCTTCTATCTTCCACTCTGTGAGAGTGCAGCTAGAAGGACTTCAGCTCATGCTGCTGCTTTGATCTTGGACTTCCCGGACTTCAGAACTGTCAGAGAATAAATGCCTGTTTTTCTACAATTTACACAGTCTTTTGTACCCTGTTATAGCAGCACAAAGTGGTGCACAAGGTGTTCTAAGACCCCTTGGAAGCATTTTTTTAAATGAATGGGTCATTTTATAATACTTTTTGATTTATAGGTGATGGGTTGATGATGGGTGCAGCAAACCACCATGGCACACATTTACCTATGTAACAAACCTGCACATCCTGCACATGTACCCCGGAATTTAAAAACAAAAGTTGTAAAGATAGTGCCAAGACTTCCCAAATACTCCGTATTCAATTTTTTCTTGTTTTGTTTTTTTTTTAAGTTTAAATTTTTCATTTTATTGATAAGAAAAATGAGACTTGGAAGAGGCCAGGAGATACTGACTAGTTTGGGCCTATCCCATGCCAATTATCTTGTGAAATTTAGTCATTGCTGTTTTTATTATTATTATTATTATGCTTTAAGTTTTAGGGTACATGTGCACAATGTGCAGGTTAGTTATATATGTATATATGTGCCATGCTGGTGCGCTGCACCCACTAACTCGTCATCTATCATTAGGTATATCTCCCAATGCTATCCCTCCCCCCACCCCACAACAGTCCCCAGAGTGTGATGTTCCCCTTCCTGTGTCCATGTGTTCTCATTGTTCAATTACCACCTATGAGTGAGAATATGTGGTGTTTGGTTTTTTGTTCTTGCAATAGTTTACTGAGAATGATGATTTCCAATTTCATCCATGTCCCTACAAAGGACATGAACTCATCATTTTTTATGGCTGCATAGTATTCCATGGTGTATATGTGCCACATTTTCTTAATCCAGTCTACCATTGTTGGACATTTGGGTTGGTTCCAAGACTTTGCTATTGTGAATAGTGCCACAATAAACATACGTGTGCATGTGTCTGTATAGCAGCATGATTTATAGTCCTTTGGGTATATACCCAGTAATGGGATGGCTGAGTCAAATGGCATTTCTAGTTCTAGATCCCTGAGGAATCACCACACCGACTTCCACAATGGTTGAACTAGTTTACAGTCCCACCAACAGTGTAAAAGTGTTCCTATTTCTCCACATCCTCTCCAGCACCTGTTGTTTCCTGACTTTTTAATGATTGCCATTCTAACTGGTGTGAGATGACATCTCATTGTGGTTTTGATTTGCATTTCTCTGATGGCCAGTGATGGTGAACATTTTTTCATGTGTTTTTTGGCCGCATAAATGTCTTCTTTTGAGAAGTGTCTGTTCATATCCTTCACCCACTTTTTGATGGGATTGTTTGTTTTGTTCTTGTAAATTTGTTTTGAGTTCATTGTAGATTCTGGATATTAGCCCTTTGTCAGATGAGTAGATTGTGAAAATTTTCTCCCATTTTGTGGGTTGCCTATTCACTCTGATGGTAGTTTCTTTTGCTGTGCAGAAGCTCTTTAGTTTAATTAGATATCATTAGTCACAACTATATTAGCCACAACTAATGAACCAATATTAATACATTGTCATAAATAGAAGTCTACACTTCATTCAGATTTCCTTCCTTTCTATCTAATATCCATTTTCAGTCCCAGAATTCCATCCAGCATTCAATATTAAATTTAGTTGTCATGTTCTTGGAAGCATATTTCAACTCTTATTTTTCAACTTTTTCAATATCTATTAAAACAAAATTTTTGATCTTTCAGAATAACATTCTAAAATATTTTTACAATTATTTTAACATTTGAATGGTACTTTAAAATAATTTTATATACCTTTAAAGTTAATTTAAAAAAATCTCACTAAAATTTATAAAAACAATTATATGATGATACATAATTAAATATGGTATGGATCACATCATGTTATTGGAATATTTGGAAAGCATAAGGTAACAAAAGAAATCTCTGTAAACTCCCACTGCCAAGACGTAATAATTTGAAAATTTTCATTATAGTTCTTGTTTTGCTTTTATCTAGGTATCTATTTTTTTAAAAAAATACAAATCACATTGCGTTTAGTTTTCTTTTTCCTACTTAAAATGTAGACTATTTGCAAAAAGCACTTTCTTTGTTACAAAAATATTCTACTCCTATATAAGCCTTTATCTTAAAACTCATTTCCCTACTGGTAATTTAAGTCTGTTTCAAATTTTTCTCTTTATATGTAATTTCTAACTGAATTTTTTGACAATAAATATGTATCTCATTTTCAGACTTCTTTGGGAGCTTTGCGTTTATTTATCATTTGCCACTTTTCAAACAGAATTTGCAAGTGCACCAAAAATGCATATAATACATTTAGTACTTATTCTATGATAAAGTGTTAAGGTAGATTACTTGAAATAAATTACTCCATTAAGTAACATAATCATTGTAAACCTTTTGATAACCATTTGCAAGTTCCAGAAAAGTTTTACTGAAAAGTACTGTGTGAAAGTGTTTTCTCAGAAACCTCACCAACGCTGGATGTTTTCCTTAAGAAAAGTTAGTTTGTTAAATAAAAATATTACCTTTTGTATACTTGAAATAGAAATTGAAATATTGAAATATTTTTAAATATTTCTAGTCATTAGAAGCCCTTTTATAAACTACTAATTTATATCCTTTATCCACTTATCTATTATAATGCTGGGGGCTTATCATACCAATCTGAATTAGTTCCAAATAAATTAAAGTTATTAAAATCTTTAATATATTTTGTGTTCATATTAAAATAAATTCAGTTGTTCAGACACATTGAAAACATTAAATGTTTATGTACTCAAAATATTAGTTTTTATCTGTAAAATCTCCTGTGGCTTTTAAGGTTAAAATGTATTTAGTTTTCATTTACAAATAAATATGATGTTTCATTTATTTTATTTTATCTGTAGTAAATGTTAATCTTCCATGGGCCCTGAGCTCCCTCTACTTCTTGCCAGTTATGCCAAAAATATAAGGCTTTGACCATTCCTTACCATTTTCTGGGTTGAATTTGCAGCCAGCAATCTTGAATGGTGAGGTAACCTATCCACTCGAAAAGTAGGATTGCCTACTACTTACAATAAAAGCAGTAAATTCCCAAGCTCAGATTCCCAGCTGCAATAAAAAAACACATTGAATGCACAGTATCTCCCTGGACCCTTCCACCCCGCCCCACTGGGACTGAAGGCGGGGGTGGGAGGGAAAAGGAGAACAAACGCAAGTAAGATGATTTTGCTACTTGCTGCATTATGCCTAAATAAAGTCTTTTGTCTCTGATACTGGAATTGTGTGTCTTCTGCAAGCATCCACAACACAGTAACAAGCTAACTTAGTTGGTAAGCAGAATAAAACCCCAGACTCTGGCCATTTTGACAAGCATGAAATGTTGGCACAGACAGAATTTTCTGGGAGGGGAAAGACAAGAGCTGACCTGGACTGGGTTTGAAGCTATAAGACTCCCTAGAATCAGTTAATAAATACTTTTGCCTAGGAGGTGGGTGAGGAATACTAGTAAAGCCCCCTGCTCTTATATCTGTGAATGAATCTGAGCAGCAAGAAATGGGATTGAAATGTCACTTAAATGGCTCATGCTTTTCCAGGTAGGAGGAAGAAGGATGTTTTCATGACAACAGGGAAGTAGGTGGACATATAGCTAAAGGAAATGGTTTCAGCAAGTTGGACTTAGAACTTTAATTGCACAGAAAATATTAAAAGACTGTTGAGCCTGGGAGACCAAGGGTACAGTTCCTTAAAACTGTTAAGTAAATGCTAAGTCTAGTCAAGTCTGGAGCAAAGCTGCTTTCCCCTTCCATGCACTCTTACATGTCCCTCTCTCTCCTTTGTACTGACCTCTCTTGCTTCAGGAAAAAAGGCTGAGTATGCTAAGGAACATTGGGAAGAAGAAGCACTCACAATTTTATAGCTATGTTGAATACAGGCACACAAGTCACTATTCTAGTTGAGTTCCTCGAGAGGGTATGCTAAACATAGAGGTGGCCATAGGGCCAAGAATTTTGGGGAGGAACCATAAAGGGAGGAAGGTGGAGTGGCAGAAAAGGGTCCCCAGACTCAAGTCTGGAGATGCACTTGAGAGGAGAAAATGCTTAACCTGAAGCTGCAGACTGTAGGGAAGAAAACATCATTTCTCTTCTCTCCCTTTTTAGATTCTTAGTTGAGACACTCTCCTGAAAACTAACATCAAATTAATAAATGAAAAACAAGCAGAAGCTTATTAACAAATGCTGTACCCATCATTTGGAGAAGCCTCAGTTCAAAAGTATTTCTCTCAGAAAGCACTGGCTTGGGCCTTGATTAAATAGCATTTCAACAAAGAGGCATAAATCCTATAGAGTGACAAGACAAAAAAAAAAAAAAAGAGCAGTTGTAGTCTTTTAAAAAGTGAAAAAATGTGGGAAGACAGTAAATCTGTTTCCAGATTTTTCTGGTGCCTGCTGGTGCCTTCTCTGGCCTGATAAGTGCTGTCTACAGTAAGGAAGGATTGATGTCTGGCCATCAGGCAAACAGAGGTTGAGGCAGAGTGCTTTCTTGCGTCCTTGATGTTTTTAACTTAACAATCCTCAATATTTCAGGGAAAAATACTTGTATTTCCTTCAGGACAGAGAAAGAAAAATAATTTCCTCTATGACCTCTTCCCACATCTTAGTCCCTCGTGGCCTTACTTCCCTGATTCCTGTACTTTTGTGTTACAGAATAGTATAATCTCCCAGTGGCTGTGGCTAGAGCCCCTGACCAGTATAGTTAAACACTTTGGTCTATGTGCTTGAGAAGGAAAAATGTACTTGGACTCAACTAATAGATTTGGGCAAATTGCAGTGGAAAAGGAAAATTAAAGCGACCTCAGGGAGGGGAGGGGGCAGCCTTTGGGGCTATTCAATGTACTGTTGTAGTTTCCACTATTGGATGTATAATTGGAATTAATGTGCTATGTGCTTGTACTGTAAGTGCTCATAAAGTCTAGAGTTAATTTTTCTGTGCAGGTACTGCGCAATGTAGAGTGGTGATTCCTGTCTCCCCCTATGTGGTCCAGCAAAAACAGAATAGAATCCAGGAGGAAGGAGGAAAGAAGAAAATCACAGCTTTCGTGATCATTTAGCTGACAGTTGCTGTGGGAACACTAGGAGTGGCAACTTCCCAGTACAAGGGCGCCACCTGCCTGAAGCAAGTAAATTCCTTCTAAACGGAAGAGAGTTTTTGTCCTGCTGAAACTGAGCAGCTGCAAGCTGGAAGTTTTGAGTCCTCCCATATTAGGGTGGATCAATCAGACTCCATGACTGACAAGAGACCAGCAAGCCTTGCTGATCAAATGAAATGGTATAGTTGGCTTGGCCCTGGTGGCATCTCGGTTTTACATGAAGTGGTTGCACCTACCCTTTTAGGGGAAATTTTATTTCTCATTCTGCTGTCTGAATCAAAGCTGCAAGCTCAATGGAGGCCTTGATTTACAGAGTTTCCTCTAAAGGCTTGGACCTGATTCCCTGATGATTCAGCTGAGTTAATAGCTGATAGTGTCCACTGGGTGGCATCCCCAGTCTTTCCCCGATAATAACTCTGGAAGACCAACTGCAGTAAGTTTCAGAACGAGGGGCTGAATTGAAAGCCATCATCACATCACCGTTGCCTTAGATAATACTTTTAAAGACTATATAATACTTTTAAATAATAATTTTAAAGACAAAATGTTCGATTTTGACTCTCTCTTAGACAATTGCCAATAGCATACCCAACTGCACTGCCACTTGGAAAACTGGCGAACTGTGGCAATAAGCCACAGCTGCCTATCAGATGTTTGAGTTGCTTAAATACCCATGCTAATAACCTGTTCTCTGATAAGACTGGCTGAAATCCAGCTCCGAATAAAACCTGCACTGCCTAGATGACCATGACTGCCAACTAGCTGCAGCATTAAACCGCACATGACAATTCATCCAACATTAGAGACTGCGCACAAAAATAGACTTTATGTTTTGATAAGTTACTGTTGCTTATCAGACTTTTGACTCCTGCTGAAAGATAGCCATTTGTCCAGTGGTAAAGAAGGCCACAGGATGTAGAGCCTATAGTGACCCCACCTGCTCCTGACAGATTGACTACATTGGACTTTTGACCTCCTCTCAGGGTTATCAATGATGCCACACTCATTGCTGTTGACATGTTATCAAGTTACATTATTGCTCTTCTCGTCCAATTGGCCAATTCCAGCCACACTACTATGGCCCTTGAAACTAATCTGTGTCACCTTTTCAGGTTTCCAGGCCATTTGCAGTCAGAAAATACAGTGTCTTTTATCACAAAAGCCAGTTAACAATGGACCAGTAGTCAAGAAATGTCATAGATATTCCACATTCCCTACCTTCCATAGACATCTGGTATTACCAAATGGGGAAACAGCCTCCTCAAAATTCAGCTCAAAAATTTCTGACTCTATCTCCCTCTTCCCCTACAAGTCCCTATACTTAATAAGGCAGTTTGGGCATGAAATAGTCATCTTTTTGAATGGATCATCTCCTCTTAGCCATTTCCTGAGTAATGATCAGGACAAATGGAGTGAATGGTTATATAGACCTATATTAAAGATTCAGGTTCTGCACTGACAGTACTTGGGTTTGATGCCTTCTTCATTCCCTTGACAACCACCCCTTAGGGTTGGTAAATCTCTGGGTGGAAGCTGAGACAAAAAGGGGTTTGAGCACTCAAACTTAATTCTAATTGAGCTATTTTGATTATTGGAACAAAATAAATATCATGACCACTTTTGTGAGCTACCTCGTCTTCCTGCATTGAGTCTCCCTTAGTGACCCATGCAGGCCAAGTTGGGAGATATAATAGATATAATGCCCTTGTCCTACATGTGCCTGACCCTTCTAGATAAAGATCTGGGTGAGAATCGGGGATGACTGGAGAAAAGTTGAATGTATAGCCATTGAAATGGAACATGTGGATTTTTTAGTAGTGGAGGAAGAAAAACCCTGGCACATAGGGAACACCTCAGCTCCAGGAGACTCAGGAAAGAGCAGAACAATTAATGGTCCCTTTTCCCCATAGGTCTAGCACCACAGTGTGGTTAATCAAGAGGCAACTACACTTGACAATCTGAGTCAGTGCTGTGTTTGTCCAGAGCATCCAAGTGCTATGAAAACAGAAAAACTCATATGTATATGGTTTGTCCTCTACCACTCTGCTGTTCTTGATGCCCTAATAGCAGCTCTGGAACATGGAGCCTCATTATGTATAAACAAACCTATGGATCTGCACAAACTTGTCTTAATTTTCCGAATGCTACAAATCCATATGTTTCTCCTGAGGCCCAATCAGCCTTGGATAACACCATGTATGATCATCATGACTGAAGATCTTCGGTGATTCTGCCTATTTACTTACCCAAATCAATGTTATGTGATCCAAGTCAAGTTTAACAGCAAATCCTGAACTGGAATAACCAGTGCCCCTTCATGTAATGTTTGTATACTGGGGAGATTGGCAGTGGAATGTCTCTGGGGGGTGGCTTTTTGGCCCATCTATTGCTTGCTGTAATTATTGACAATGACAGCAAAGATCAACAAGTCAGTCTTAAGTCCCTTGCAGGGCTCTCCATGTGCTGAAATTTATATCATATTCTGTATCCCTTCATCTAAGGCTTTACAGTATGAGCCTTATTGTTTCCAGGTGTAACACTTGTATCTTAAAAACAAAAAACAAAAAACAAAAAATGATACAATTTCAAATCTACTGTTTTCAGAAATCTAATTTGAAAATAATAGTTGAACACTTAATCTTTTGTTCTACCACAGTATTCCCTGTCCTGAGAAATTAAGTAAACGTTTCAAGAAGTAAAGTACATCACATCACTGATTCATTGATGGAGCACTGCAGGGCAAAATGATTTACTGAGATTTTTTAAAAGGGGTGAGTTTTCTCTCTTCTGTCAGTATTGATTAGATTTTCAGAGGGAACCTCTCCTTCAGAACAACTAAGACAGGTTTTTGAGCGACTTCTATCTTCAAGCAACCCATTAAAAGGATTAAGGGAGATAAGAGTAGGGATCTGGGGACTGGGTAATAGGATAACACTCAGGGTATATGTGCCCAGAAGCACAACTATCCAGGCACTGGGGTCCTGGACCCTGCACCAGCAGTAAAAATGGAAGCTTAGTATACAACATGTGCAGCATAAAAAATCAAATTCAGTAGATAAAATTCCTTTGGGAAAACTGATTAACAATATGATGACAAAGTTGCTTCTTTACCTCTTACCTTTGAGAAAGTTATTCCAAGATTGTTCAAAATCAAATGAGAGATAAATGATAAGTAAAATAAATAAAAGAGGAAGTACTTTTTAAACATGTCAGAAACCACGAACCAGGCCAGGCACGGTGGCTCACATCTGTAGTCCCAGCACTTTGGAAGGCCGAGGTGGGCAGATTGCTGAGGCCAGGATTTCAAGAACAGCCTGGCAAACATGTTGAAACCCTGTCTCTACTAAAAAAAAAAAAAAAAAAAAAAATACAAAAATTAGCCGGGAATGGTGATGTGTGCCTGTAATCCCAGTTACCTGGGAGGCTGAGGCACGGGAATCGCTTGAACCCAGAAGGCGGAGGTTGCAGTGAGCCAAGACTGTGCCACTGCACTCCAGCCCAGGTAACAGAGTGAGACTCTGTCTCAAAAAAAAAAAAAAAATGCACAGATGTGCAAAGACTGTTAAAGATTATTGCCAGAATCGAGTTAATTCGACATGGGTATCTAGAATATAAGGTGAAGTACTGAAGATCAATATAAAAATTTTAAAACCTAATTGGAAAAATATGGATGAAAATATAAATCCATTTTTCATGGAAGAGAAAATAAGGATTGCCAAGAAGTATGTTTAGGGTGCTCAACTTCACCGGTAATGAGAAAAATGAAAGTAAAGAAACAATGAAAAATCACTCGATACACATTATGTAGGCAATGAATACAATACTGGTTAAGCCAATGTTTATGAGGATGAAGTGTAAACTTGGGAACATTCTAGAGTGCAGTCTTGAATTAAAGTTGTGTATATCCCATGGTCCTGTAATATCTCTTCTAAAAAAGGTTTCACCAGAGAAATTCTTGGATAGATGCATTAAAAGGCATGTATAGACACTTTATTCAGTATGGTGTGTGTTTAATTGCAGGATCTGTTGCTGTCTATTACTAGGCATTTGTGAATACAATTTGGTGAATGCATAAGAAAGAATATTATATAGCCACAATATTAAAGCATCAATGTGGGTATACATAAAGCAATATGGATGGCTCTTAATAGAATAATTTTGAGTCTGAAAATAGCAACAGAATATGATTCATAACTATTTCATTTATGGAAATTGAAATATACACACAAAACATCATTGTTTATTTTTCAATTTAAGTACCTATATCAATCACATTATAATGAGCCCCTATTGCAGGAAGAAGAGAAGGCATGAGCAATGGGAGGAAATGAAATAATATAAAATAAGAAAAAGGCCCAGTACAGACGAATGATAATTACTTTTTATGAACCAATGAGTTGTGAACTAAATTCATCTCTACTTGAGACCCAAATATGGGTGGCGGTAGGTCCCCATTAAAAGCCTCTCCAAAATTCTTAAATTTCTAAGAGATATGTTAACAGAAACATTCAGTGAGTTAATTCAAATGATTGACTAATTTGGGGACTTTGAGATACTAAAGTGAAGCGAAGGAGGAAGTCTTTTTTTTTTTTTTTTTTTTTTTTTTGAGACAGCCTTGCTCTGTCACCCAGGCTGGAGTACAATGGTGCCATCTTGGCTCACTGCAACTTCCGCCTCCCAGGTTCGAGCAATTCTCCTGCCTCAGTTTCTTGAGTAGCTGGGATCACAGGCATCCGCCACTACGCCCGGCTAATTTTTGTATTTTTAGTAGAGACAGGGTTTCACCATGTTGTCCAGGCTGGTCTCGAACTCCTGACCTCAGGTCATCCACCTGCTTCTGCCTCCCAAAGTGCTGGGATTACAGGCTTGAGCCACCACACCCACCTGGCCAGGAGGAAATTTTTAGTGTTTTCAAGCATATAACTCTCCCAAAGCTGACAAAAGCAATGCTCATTAAGTGGCAAGTTCTGTTACAGTGAGCTCTGGAATATTTTAAAAGATGCCTTAGAGGCTCAGTGAATGAAGCTTTGGTCTCCTCTTTCAAGAAAGCAATTTTGTATATATTTGCTTTAGTAAGATTTAATTTGGCACAATAATCTATCATAAAAAATTATTTCCATTTTATATTTCATTACAAACCTTGAACCATAACTGAATTTAATACTCTGACTTTGGATTACATATAATGCTTTTGTAATATATGAATGTTACCTTTATAATGTCTTCCTATTTTATTTCATCAAGAAAATAATGGCAGATGTAAGCAGTTATTCTTTGGTTTGTGCTAAAAATGGAACACAACTTAGTACTACTTATTATTTTAAAGTGCAAAGAATTATGTAAGGAAGTTATATTTGAATATTATAATAATTTTGTTTTAATGTTTTAGGATTTCATGCAGAAATATGAATCATCTGATCTGATTAAAAACATAGTTAAATTATTACATTTTAAAATCACTTTTAGATTTTTAATATAGCAAATAACAAATTTAAATACTAATTCAAATTTATTGCATTATTTTCTCTTAGTACATGTACTATAACTCTTATTATGTCTTTCATTTCTCTGATGATAATACGGATTTTGGAAAAGTTGTTTCAATAGAAATATAGTGAAAGATATATAAAAACTCTAAAAATTAAATTATTAAATTTAAGATATAGATGGTGGGGATGATCAATTTTATCAGGTATTGAGAATGGGAAGTATTCATTAAACTAGCCCAGCAAAATTCTTGCTAAAACTGGATTAAGTGTGCCAAGGACTGAGCCCAAGGTTGAAACCTAGTTGAGAAGAGGGCTCAGAGGAACCTGACTCGAATTTGGTCAAGGAGAGGATCTTTGTCAGTGATAAGGGATTAGAAACTGATTTGTTTTACGGTGTTCAGGTAAAATGGAACAGTGACTTGTTCAGGTAAAATGGAACAGTGACTCGTTCATACAAAGAATGTTTTCTGCTCAGAAAACAGAAACTTAATGCTACAGTCTTCGCAAGACAGTCTTGGTGCCAGCACGGTCAAGGGTGAGGACCCTTTTCTGGGTTGCAGACTACGAGCTTCTTTTTGTTCCTCATGTGATAGAGAGCAGAGCACATCAAGCTCTTTCCTGACTCTAATGTGGGCATAATACCATTTCTGAGGTGTCTGCCCTCAAGATCTCATCTAATACTAATGTTCATCCAAAGGCCCTACCTCCTAATATCATCACATTGGGAGGAGAGTTTCAACTATGAATTGTGGGGAGACACAAATATTCAGTCCATCACAGAAAATATACTCTAGCTCCTAAAACAGAGGTCCTGCTGCTTTGGATAAAATATTCTTCACATATTAATTCCTTATTTCTGATTCTGACAAATCACTTCTATGTTCATCTATCAAAAAGAAAATTCCCATTGAGGTATTTTTTTTAGTTAAAAAAATGTAGGTATAAAACATTAGATTGAACCCTATGAAGTTTCCAGTAATTGACACATTTTGGCCTACATATAACAAGAAATTTTAACCAACATGGCACATGTATACATATGTAACAAACCTGCACGTTGTACACATGTACCCTAAAACTTAAAGTATAATAATAATAAAATTTAAAAAAATAACAAGAAATTGTATAGGTTTCAATTTAATACCACATGTCCATTTTATAAAGCTGGGAAAATAAGGACATGTGGACAAAAATATTTTTCAGTAATTTTATCTTTTAGTTATAATCACTAAAAATGTTTAAGTATATCTCTTCAGACTCTTTTTCTTTTTATAGAGTTGAGATTATGTTTTATGTTACTTATGTTTTAAACTACTTTTTCTAGTTCATAAATATCTTAATATCTTTTTAAAAGTGTCCCTGAATGTTTCTAGATAGTGAGAAAATATTCCACTGATAGATGTAATGTTGGAGGTTTTGGTTGTTTCCAATATTTTTGCCATTGTCAATGATGCTTCTATAAATCGTTTATATATATAACTGCTTAATAGTTATCCATATTCTTGATCAAATTACTTTTTATATGGTGTCAATTTAAGCTCTCAGTAACAAGATTTTAGAAAATTCAACTTATTATACTTACATCACATGAAATGCTACTTGTAACTTGGTAAAATCTTAAGTGATATTAGAACCAAATTGATGCTTGAATATGCATTGTCATAATTTCTAATGAAAATAAACTTCTGCTGGGAGCAGTGGCTCACGCCTGTAATCCCAGCATTTTGGGAGGCAAGGCTGAGGTGGTTGGATCACAAAGTCAGGAGATCAAGACCATTCTGGCCAACATAGTGAAACCCCATCTCTACTAAAAATACAACAATTAGCTGGGCATGGTGGCACATGCCTGTAGTCCCAGCTACTCAGGAGGCTGAGGCAGAAGAATCGCTTAAACCTGGGAGGTGGAGGTTGCAGTGAGCCGAGATCGCACCACTGCACTCCAGCTTGGTGACAGAGTGAGACTCCATCTCATAAAATAAAAAATAAAAATAAATAAATAAACTTCAAACAATGTGCTTACATTTACTGAAATCTTTGCACATTTCTGTTTTCCGTTATGATTTTTAAATATCCAAATGGTAAAACAGGACATTTTTATCAGTTTCCATATTCTGTGTTTTAAAATTATATTTGTTATAATAAAATAGTAATTCATATCATCCAAGTCCAAATTTATTTATTTTACTGTTAACAACAATACAATAAATATTTATAGAAGCCCAGTATAGTCTGGGAGAAAACAGTTTTGGGTTTTCCTAAATGCTGTCTTCTCTGACGCTGTCATTTGAATCCGCTTATAATCAGCAACCATTCCTTGAGTATCTGCTATGTGAAAAGCACATCTTCTGACTGCAGCTCCATGAGATAAATGTAGGGCAAATGGACAACAAAATTTCAATTGCAATTCCAATTTCGAAGTGAGTATCACAAAATAAGCATACCTCTAACTACCTATTAAAAAGTAATTCAGAGGCCGAGTGCAGTGGCTCCTGCTTGTAATCCCAGCACTTTGGGAGGCTGAGGTGGGTGGATCACTTGAGTCCAGGAGTTAGAGACCAGCCTGGGCAACATGGTGAAACCCTGTCTCTACAAAAATACAAAAACTAGCTGGGCGTGGTGGCAGGCACCTGTAATCCCAGCTACTCAGGAGGCTGAGGCAGGATAATCACTTCAGCTGGGGAGGCAGAGGTTGCAGTGAGCTGACGTCATGCCACTGCACTACATCCTGGGCAACAGTGTGAGAGTCCATCTCAAAAAACAAAACAAAACAAAACAAAATGTAGGGTTCACTTCCAAGATGGCTGAAAGGTACAGCTTCAATCTACAGCTCCCAGCGAGATGGACAAAGAAGACAGGTGATTTCTGCATTTCCAACTAAGGTACCTGGTTCATCTCACTGGGATTGGTTGGACAGTGGGTGCAGCCCACAGAGGGTGAGCCAAAGCAGGGTGGGGTGTCGCCTCACCCCGGAAGAGCAAGAGGTCAGGGCATTTCCTTTTCCTAGCCAAAGGAAGCCGTGAGTGACTGTACCTGGAGGAACAGTACACTCCTGCGCAAATACTGTGCTACTCCCACAGCTTCACAACCAGCAGACCAGGAAATTCCCTTGCTTGGCTCCGCAGGTCCCATGCCCACAGAGCCTTGCTCGCTGCTAGTGCAGCAGCCTGAGATAGACCTGGGAAGCTGAAGCCTGGCAGGGGGAGGGGCTTTTTCCATTGCTGAGGCTTGAGTAGGCAGTTCTATGCTCACAGTGTAAACAAAGTGGCAGGGAAGCTTGAACTGGGTGGAGCCCAGCGCAGCTCAGCAAGACCTACTGCCTCTCTAGAGTCCACCTATGGGGGCAGGGCATATCTGAACAAAAGGCAGCAGACAGCTTCTGTAGACTTAATCGTCCCTGCCTGACAGCTCTGAAGACAGTAGTGGTTCTCCCAGCACAGCGTTCGAGCTCCAATAATGGACAGACTGCCTCCTCAAGTGGGTCCCTGACCCCCGTGTAGCCTGACTGGGAGACACCTCCCAGTAGCTTCCAGAAAGAAGGAAGCTTCCAGAGGAAGATCAGGCAGCAATATTTGCTGTTCTGCAGCCTCCGCTGGTGATACCCAGGCAAACAGGGTCTGTAGTGGACCTCCAGCAAACTCCAACAGATCTCCAGCTGAGGGTCTGGTCTGTTAGAAGGAAAACTAACAAACAGAAAGGAATAGCATCAACATCAACAAAAAGGACATCCACACCAAAACCCCGTCTGTAGGTCACCATCATCAAAGACCAAAGGTAGATAAAAACCACAAAGATGGGGAGAAACCAGCACAGAAAAGGTGAAAATTCCAAAAACCAGAACACCTCTTCTCCTCCAAAGGAGCACAACTCCTCGCCAGCAAGGGAACAAAACTGGATGGAGAATGAGTTTGACGAAGTGACAGAAGTAGGCTTCGGAAGGTGGATAATAACAAACTTCTCTGAGCTAAAGGAGCATGTTCTAACCCAAAGCAAGGAAGCTAAGAACCTTGAAAAAAGGTTAGATGAATCGCTAACTAGAATAAACATTTTAGAGAAATGCGTAAATGACCTGATGGAGCTGAAAACCACAATACGAGAACTTCGTGAAGCACACACAAGCTTCAGTAGCCGATTCAATCACGTGGAAGAAAGGATATCAGTGATTGAAGATCAAATTAATGAAATAAAGTGAGAAGACAAGGGTAGAGAAAAAAAGAGTGAAAAGAAATGAACAAAGGCTCAAAGAAATATGAGACTATGTGAAAAGACCAAATCTATGTCTGATTGGTGTACCTGAAAGTGATAGGGAGAATGGAACCAAGTTAGAAAACGCTTTTCAGGATATTATCCAGGAGAACTTCCCCAACTTAGCAAGGCAGGCCAACATTCAAATTCAGGAAATACAGAGAACCCCACAAAGATATTCCTCAAGAAGAGCAACCCTAAGACACATAATCTTCAGATTCACCAAGGTTGAAATGAAGGAAAAAATGTTAAGGGCAGCCAGAGAGAAAGGTTGAGTTACCAACAAAGGGAAGCCCATCAGACTAACAGCAGATCTCTCAGCAGAAACCCTGCAAGCCAGAAGAGAGTGGGGCCAATATTCAACAATCTTAAAGAAAAGAGTTTTCAACCCAGAATTTCATATCCAGCCAAACTAAGCTTCATAAGAGAAGGAGAAATAAAATCCTTTACAGACAAGCAAATGCTGAGAGATTTTGTCCCCACCAGGCCTGCCTTATAAGATCTCCTGAAGGAAGCACTAAACATGGAAAGGAACAACCAGTACCAGCCACTGCAAAAACATGCCAAATTGTGAAGACCATCAAGGCTAGGAATAAACTGCATCAATTAATGGGCAAAATAACCAACTAACATCATAATGATAGGATCAAATTCACACATAACAATATTAACTTTAAATGTAAATGGGCTAAATGCCCCAATTAAGACACAGACTGGCAAATTGGATAAAGAGTCAAGACCCATCAGTGTGCTGTATTCAGGAGACTCATCTCACGTGCGGACACACTTATGCTCAAAATGAAGGGATGGAGGAAGATCTACTAAGCAAATGGAAAGCAAAAAAAAAAGCAGGGATTGCAATCCTAGTCTCTGATAAAACAGACTTTAAACTAACAAAGATCAAGAGACAAAGAAAGCCATTAGATAATGGTAAAGGGATTAATTTAACAAGAAGAGCTAACTGTCCTAAATATATATATGCATCCAGTACAGGAGCACCCAGATTCATAAAGCAAGTTCTTAGAGACCTGCAAAGAGACTTAGACTCCCACACAATAATAACGGGAGACTTTAACACCCCATTGTCAATATTAGACAGATCAACAGGACAGAAAATTAACAAGGATATACAAGACTTGAACTCAGCTCTGGACCAAGCAAACCTAACAGACATCTACAGAATTCTCCACCCCACATCAACAGAATATACATTCTTTTCAGCACCACATCACACTTATTCTAAAATTGACCACATAATTAGAAGTAAAGCAAATGTAAAAGAACAGAAGGCCCAACAAACTGTACAATCAAATTAGAACTCAGGATTAAGAAACTCACTCAAAACGGCACAACTACATGGAAACTGAACAACCTGCTCCTGAATGACTACTGGGTAAATAACAAAATGAAGGCAGAAATAAAGATATTATTTGAAACCAATGAGAACAAAGACACAACGTACCAGAATGTCTGGGACACATGTAAAGCAGTGTGTAGAGAGAAATTTATAGCACTAAATTCCTGTAAGAGAAAGCAGGAAAGATCTAAAATCGACACCCTAATATCACAATTAAAAGAACTAGAGAAGAAAGAGCAAACAAATGCAAAAGCTAGCAGAAGACAAGAAATAAGATCAGAGCAGAACTGAAGGAGATATGAGGCACACACAAAAAAGTAATTCACAAACTCACAATTTCTTTTTTCTTTTCTTTTTCTTTTTCTTTTTTTTTTTTTTTTTTTTTTTTTTTTTTGAGACAGAGTCTCGCTCTGTTACCCAGGCTGGAGTGCAGTGGCACAATCTTGGCTCACTGCAAGCTCCGCCTCCCGGGTTCACGCCATTCTCCTTTCCCCTGCCTCAGCCTCCAGAGTGGCTGAGACTACAGGCGCCTGCCACCAAGCCCGGCTAATGTTTTGTATTTTTAGTAGAGACAGGGTTTCACCGTGTTAGCCAGGATGGTCTCAATCTCCTGACCTCGTGATCCGCCTGCCTCGGCCTCCCAACACAATTTCTTTAGCACCAGTCTTTAGAAATGACTGTGGGAATAGTTCAATTTATTGAGAAATACCTTTCTCCTCTTGCTTTATTTGGTGTTGTAACTCCTTCTTCTACCTTAGTTATTTCTATGCAGAGGTAATTTTCTAGTTGTAGAGTTAGTCACTGATGGACGCCACCTGATTATAGCAAGAGAAGGACTAGAATCATCATGTTCACTAGCACTAGGTTCTTGTGTCAGAGCACAGGACCAGGTTTCTGGAGGCTTCTATTCTGCCAGCAGAGCACAACATTTTTCAGTCACCAATGTGAGGTACAAAGAATGGGGATGATCAATGCCTTAATTCAAAAGTGTGATACATGTTTGACAATGAACAATTTATAGGTTGAAAAAAAAAAGATGTGGCAAGAAGTTCCATGTAATGAAACTTGAAAGCTTTTTAACATTCTGCTTTATAAAAACAGAAACATGAATCGTATAAAAACTGAACTAGTTTTAGATATTTCTTAATATAACATTTTCAAGATAATTTATGTAGAGCATCAGTCTAAGTGTATATTTACATTAACATGTAATAGAAAAAAGGGGATCAGGTCTGATCATCTTGTAAAGAGTTATGTTGGTGGTTGGAAGCGTGGAATTCAGACAAATAGATTATATTATGATTTGATGACAAATTATTACTTTTCTCATGACATTGTATGCATAAAAATATGCATTGTAAGAAATCTATGAAAAACTATGGGACTTCAATTCAATAGAATTTCTCCCTTAGGGTGGCATATATAAAGATTCATAAGAATAAGCAGAAGTATAGTACGCTAAGAAATGGAAATGTTATGAATTTGTAAGTGAAGTTTCTTTTAGTGCCACTAGATGGCATATGTTAGCTGTAAATCTCCCTTGAATAAAGTTTAAGATTTAACGTGACTTGTTTCCCCAGAGTATCCAACACATTTTATTTTAAATATTAATGGATTTTTATATGTTTTCTCAAATATATGACACTCAATACAATTAATAAATAATTGGAAAAATATCACATGATTATTTTTATATCAAGTTAAAACAAGAAGAATTATGTCATCTGCAAACAATTTTGTTGTCTTCCTTTCTAATTTGAATGTATTTTAGTTCTTTTTCTTGCCTAATGGTTCTAGCTAGGATCTCCAGTACTATGCTGAATAGAAGTGGTGTTAAGAAGCATTTTTGTTTTGTTTCTGGTGGTAGAGGAAAAGCTTTCAATTTTTAACCATTTAGTATGATGTTAGCTGTTGGTTTGTCACATATAGCCTTTATTATGTTGAGGCAACTTCCTTCTATACCTAGTCTGTTAAGAGTTTTTATCATTGTCAGGATGGCTGCAATATGGCGGAGTAAAAAGTCTCAGGCTACACACACTCCCCCCACCCCTTGTAAGCTTATCTAGCAATTATCCATAGACCAGAACATCTTCTTCAAAAGCCCAATATTGGAAACGAGCCTGAGACAATGTGGTACACATACCTAAGTGAAAATTGAGTGAGAAGGGTCAGAAGAATGGTCTCCCCCCCCGCCACCACGAAGTTGGCACAACACTGGTTGAAGAGCATTACCCTGGACCCATAGTTTCTGCAGTGGGGAAAGAGAACTGGAGGCAGTCATTCAGCTTCCCTAGCATTTTGAGATGCTTTCTTTCCAGGAATCCCGCCTGTCTCACCTCATAGGGAAAGAAAAGGGTAAAGGCATGGCTAGACCACCTGGGGTCAAGTAGAAACAAAGAAAGAAGGCAGAGGCCACAGTGACTAGCATATGGATCTGTGTGGCACCTCTGTGTTCACACCAGCTGCGGTGCCCAATCAGAGTTACCAGCCAACTTCATAGCCCACCCAGAAAGCTGAACTGATCTTTTTCAGAAGCACAGTGGGAAGTTCAGCCTTGCTTGAGTCCCTAGATGGCTAGCCTCCATGGCCAGGCACACAGCCTACTCTAACAACCCTGCCCAGGTAGGGAGATGCCCCCCTCTGCGCATTTTGAGAATCACACAGGCTAGATATCTTGGGTCAAGCAGTGGCTCCACTCATCCAAAAAGCTTGCCTTATAATCCTGCTGAGGCAGGGAGACAGCCACATGCATACATTTCTAAGAGGCACAAGGGCTAGACCTGTAAAACCTAGGAGTCCAAAGAGTAAGTAACTTAGCTCAGCCAAAAAGCCTGCCCAACAACCTCCCGTGTGCATTTTGCAGGAGTGTAGGAACTAAACCTGCTTGACGCAGGAAGTCAAGTAGCATCTTGACTCAGGCAAAAGTCCACCCTACAGCTCTGACCTAATGGAGGCAACCCTTAATCACACATTTTTAAGGAGCATAGGCTCTTGTCTTGCCCATCACAAGCAGCAACTTTCAAAGCCCAGCCTGAAGCCCTGCCCAAGTGCAGATTCCAAATAGTAAAATTGCCCAGCCAAGGAATACATCTTCTGACTACCCTGACCAGAGAGCATCACAGTACCAAGCCGGCAACTCTTCCTAATAGCGGAGCCCAACCAGTAGCTTCCTCTAATAGCAGAGCCCAACCATTGGTCTCTGCCTAACCAGTGGTCTCTCTGGACAGCAGAGCCCAGCCATCAGAGCAAAGGCAGTGGCCCAGCCAACTAGAGAAACCACAGCAAGTTCTGCCTGGAGTTGTCAGCCCTTTCAGAATCACAGGCTAGACTATTAGTGAAGGTCTGTTCCTACAATGAACACCTGTAAAGGCCAAACGAATGGACCATTTCTTCAAATGCACAGCAAATGCAAGGACACAAGTATTATAAAGAATCAAGGAATCATGACACCTCTACAGAAACTAATAAAACTGCAACAGCCAGAGGCAAGAAAAAGCTAAGCTCAAGCCCAGGACATATAAGTATAGTGGAGCTCCAATGAAAATTTAATTCTCATGGATGTCAGCTCCACCATGGTCAGGATCTTCATTATAAAGAAGTGAATCCTGGAATCAAGACGTCTGAAATGAGACACTTGATAAACTTGAAACTCAGACTTCTCTGAACTTTGTGGGCCTACAAAAGTGGCCTATTCCTCCCTGTTAAGAACTAGTGCTACCTACTGGCTTGAAGACAATCCCTTGCAATTTTACTTTCAGGTCATTCAGGATGAACCTCCAACTCCTCTCCTGGATATCAGACCAATAACTAGGATCAAGTCAAAATATAACCCAACTGACAAAGAGCTGATTCTATGGGGGAAGGAGAGCTGTGCACCAAAGAAGCTGCAAAACCTAGCTAGAGTGTACCAGCAGAAGCTGGGAGAGTACATATGGGACTAAATCCTGAGGGTGTCCAGGTTGAGGGATCTAGAGTTCTGGAACATAAAATTAATAAGGAAGAATTTATCAATATGAATATTGATTAATACCCTAGCACAAACCACAAGAAACAGTGTTAACATATTCCTGGAATCTTGGAAAAATGAAAAGGCCACACCAAATGAAGAATTATAGAATTCTCATAGCAAATGGTCAAGAAGGGATCAAACAGCTCACAAAAATGAGATTCTAGAGTAAATACACCATATAAGGGTAGAATACTCACCTCCAAGCTGTGTTCCACAGGAGGACCCACAGAAACTGCACTTACTAAATCAATAAGAAATTCATTGGTGAGAGTGGCATCACCATTGAGAACCTCAGTGGTAGCTGTTTTCTGTAGGCCAGGGCTGATAGTAGGAGGGGTCATTATAGAAACTGGGCACAATGATTGCAATGGTGATATTAAGATGCTAGAATGAGAGAAGCCGTGCACTTAAGAGTCATAAATAACGCCTGTAAATCCCAGTACTTTGGGAGGCCAAGGCAGGTGGATCACGAGGTCAGGAGATCATAATAAATAGTCATAAATAAGAAACATCATAATGAGAAACATGGTCAGAATAGCAGCTGGAAGTACCTGATCCAGAGTTATGGAGATTGTTACTAGGACATGTTGTTCCATGTACAAGATTGATGGACAGCCAGTTAGCATATTTCTTTTTTTCTTTTTTTTTTTTTTTTTTTCTGAGACGGAGTCTCACTCTGTCCCCAAGGCTGGAGCGCAGTGGTGGGATCTTGGCTCACTGCAAGCTCCGCCTCCCGGGTTCACACCATTTTCCTGCCTCAGCCTCCCAAGTAGCTGGGACTACAAGTGCCCGCCACCACGCCCGGCTAATTTTTTTGTATTTTTAGTAGAGACGGGGTTTCACTGTATTAGCCAGGATGGTCTCAATGTCCTGACCTCGTGATCCGCCCACCTCAGCCTCCCAAAGTGCTGAGGATTTTAGCATATTTCATAATTTATACAACCAAAAAGTAACTCAAAGATTCATGCTCTAAAGTTTTAGGGCAGCCACTCCAATAAAAAGCCATAATCCCATGCCCAGTACCCACAGCTGAGATAATTTGCAGACCAAGAGCTCATTAACTGAAGGAGCAACTTCCTCGTGAGGAAGAAAAATACCTTTCAACATCACAGCCTGTGTATATGGCAGTAATTGCCCCAGTGTTTCTTTCTTTCTCCAAGGGAATCATAGGCCATTTAATTCTATAAGTGATCAGTGTAAAGGGCAATACCAAACATTTTAAGAACTATTGGACACAGTGCTCAAATTGACATTGATTCCTATGGTCTGAAGCATCACCCTGGCCTCAGATTTAGGACTCATGGGAGCCAGGTAAAATAAACAGAGGCCCAGCCCAAGTCTAGTTCACTATTGGTCTGCTCAGCTCATTTCCCATCTGATGAATATCTCCATAGTGCCCAGATGTATAATTATATACGTGCATGTGGATATACTTGATTGTTGGCAAAATCATGTTAACTCCTTGGCCTATGGCAAAGGTCAAATGTACATCTTCAAAACTGCCCCCTCCATGGAAAAGAGAGTAAATCTAATACAATATCACAATCCGGGGGTAGGTGGTGCATGGCAGAGACTTGTGCTACCTGTAATACACAAAGAATGATGGTGGTGCCCATTCTAGCCCCATTTAAACTGCAAGTCTTTCCTCTACAAAAAGTAAATGGCTCCTAGTGGATGAGAGGGTGCTACCTCACACTCAACCAAGAAGTAGCCCAAATTTTAGCTGCTGGGCTGAGTATAGGAATTCTGCTAGAGTTAGCATCAATATCAATATTAATAAAGTTGCTATCGATACCAATACTGCCTCAGGTAAATGGTATAATTATGGACATTGATTTTGTGAGTGCGTTATTTTTATCCATGTGAAAAATGCATTCACATTCATGGAATAAACAATAATATATATTTATGATGTTGCTCAAGTTTGGGATTAATTCTCTCACCTTCTGTCACAATGTAGTCCAAAGGGACCATGATTGGACATAACATCACATTGTTCCATTATATCTATGCCATCAAATTAATTGTACAGATGAGCAACAGGTAATAATAAAGTTGGAGGCTTTGTAAGACATACGCACATCAGAAGGTGGGAGATGAATCCTACAAAGATTCAGGGGTCTGCCACCTTAGGATATTTCTTATTGTCGTTCCCACAGTTTGGAATATGCTGTATGACATACCCTCTAAAGTAAAGGAAATTTTTACTTTGTACTTCCCACCCACTAAGATGGAAACATGACACCTCGTAATCTTACAGTGTATTTGTTCATTCTTACACCGCTATGAAGATACTGAGATGGGGTAATTTATAATGGAAAGAGTTTTATTTGACTCACAGTTCCACATGGCTGGGGAGGTCTCAGGAAACTTATAATCACGGTGGAAGGGGAAGCCAGCACTTCTTATATGACGGCAGACAAGAGAGAAGTGAACGAAGGAGGAAATTGCCAAACATTTACAAAACTGTCAGATCTCCTGAGAACTCACTCACTATCACAAGAACAGCAGGGGGGAAAACTGTCCCCATGATTCAATCACATCCCACCAGGTTCCTCCCTCAACACGTGGGGATTACAATTCAATATGAGATTTGGGTGGGGACACAAAGCCAAACTATATCATACACCCATCTATTTACCAGGTGACATAAAAAGCTAACAACTTTGAGCAGGGCTTAGAGCAGGAAAAAGCTCTGTACTAGGTCTAGACTGTAGAGTAAGCATTCCTACCTCCTGGACCATATGACCCAGCAGGATTCTATACTACTATAAGAATCCATGGCAAAAAAAGAATTGTGAAGTTAACGAGAAACCTTCATAAAAGAATGACCATGCAAACCCATAGAGCTTAAAGGTAATGGCAAGTCCATGCAATCTGCAGCAGAAAGCCCTCCACCATTGAAAATAAATTTAAAATTTTTTTAAATCCCAGTGTGCTAAAAATAAAGAATTTGATCTTATCATAGAATATTAAGTGACCCTCTGGCCACAGCTACACATCATGAACATTCTATCAGAACAACTAAATCAAAAGTTGGGTGAAGCCAACAACAACTCATGGTAAAACGGAAGTACATCTGGGATCAGGCCTGAGCCGAGCCAGAGGGCACACACTAGCTGCATGCTCTGGTGACTCACACCTCCAGGTTTGCACTAACACCTCTCCCTCAACCTAAGGTTACTTTGGGTGTCCCAGCTGACAGAGGAGGGAAAAGGCTGAGTCTGTTTAATGGGTGAGCTAGCTCAGTATATGGATGCAAACATAAAAAGGACTTTTGCTGCTATAGCTAGGCTGAAAAATCACAACTATTTAGTATCTCCCTCCATTAGTCTATTTTGGATTACTTATACTCTAGGCTAGAACCTCTGGTAAGTTCTCTTTGCTACTATACCACAGTTCTATTTCTGCCCAGTCCTGCTTCTCTCACAGCCTAGATGTTATTACCCCAAACAGACTTCCAGTAAACATCCTGCAAGCAAGTATCTGCCTAAGCACTGTATTTTCAGAGAAGCTGCCTAAGCACTGTATTTTCAGAGAAGCTGACTTAAGATACTGTGTGTCTTGAGACGTACACTTAGGAAAAATTTGAGCAAGTTTGTTTTTTTTCAGTATTGCTACTCAAAATAGCACCAATTTTGCTGTAGAACTCTAAAGTTTCTGAGGTATGTTGGGAAATTGGAATTAAGTAAGCACATGGGATATTTTCAAAATTTATCAAAGGTCATCATTAAAATGGTACAAAATTTTTTATCACTGATTGTGCCTTTAGAAAATAAGAATCAAATCCAGTTTCTGAGTAGTCTAATAAAAAAATCAATCGTTTTGTAACATATTTTATAAATTATTTTATATGAATATCTATTTTAAATACCTTAATATTAGTTATTGAAATACAATCACAATCTAAACACAGTTGGAATCCTCAATTTATTTTCTATTGGTGATTGTCTAGCACTGTAAATGTTTTAAGCAAAACAAGCACATCTCTATGGCATATAAACCTTAGCATAGTTGCAGCAGTAAAATTCAGACCTATCAAAATATGTGACATATTACATAAAAATATTCAGCTATGTGAAAAAATGGATATAGTTTTATTGTTAAAAGCTGTGATTTTAAAAGACCTTTTCAAAGAAAGCAAGTGACATGAAGATATGGTGACCTTTATGCTGGTTAAAGTCAAGTGTCTTCCATTGGCATCACATTCTTTTCTTAATTGTTCAACATCTTGACTTCTCCTGTCTTACTGTCAAATAGTTATTGTATTCCTGTCACTGAAGAAAAAAACAAAAATTTTTCTAAGTTATAAAATTTATTAAAACTTAAATATTTATGAAAAGTTGTTAACATGCTTAAAATATTTTAAAACTGTCTTAAAATTTAAATATTTAAAGTTAAATATTTTTATAAATATAAATTATTTATAAATTAATATAATTAATTATATTAAATTAAAATATTTATAAAATATTTATAACAACTTGAATGTCTGTTAAATATTAGACATATAAAGTTCACAAATAAAAAGTAACAAATTAAAATATTTCATAATGCTAATATTTTGGGCAGATAACTTTTATACTTAATTATTAAGTATAAAAGCAGTATATATGCTTCAAAGAAACCTGATTATGATAAAAACCAGAATCAATCTTTGGCACCACTTTAATCAATAATTAACAATATCACAAATTCTTTATAATATATGAACAAGGAGAGAGGGTGCTTATCACTCTACTCTACTAATGAATTTTCTTGACTCTCCTTCAAGAAATCTGACAAAGTTACCCTGTGCTCTTGAAGGCATAGCTTACTATTATTTTTTTTTTAGAAACTCTCCTCTCTACTGTCAGTAGCATCTGCTGACTCCATCTCCCAAAACCTTGCAGAATTTTCTCATTCAAAGATTAGGAAAGAGGTGAAATCTTCAAGATGATGCAAAGCATACACATAGTAGGTGCACATATATGTACACCCAAACAATGTGATGAATCATTAAAAATAGCCTAATCCCCGTTCACTCATTCATTCAACATATAGTTATTGAGGACATTCAACATACACAACAATCTCTGAGTAGTTGGGATTTCAAAGCTCTGGAGCCGAACTACTGGAATTTGAATTGTCTCTATATTTACCATCCAGGTAACCTCATTCAAGTTACTAGACTTTGCTCTGTCTCACATCCTTACATGCAAAATGGTACTGGTAAATATATTACTTATCTCCTAGGATGGAAGTGATCATTAAATGAGTTTATGCATATGCCTGGCAAGTTAAATTTGCTCAATAGTTGAGAAATGTTTGTCAACTTCTGATAGAAGAGAAGCAAAGAACTTGTGTATAGTGCCTCTTGGGTATAATGCAATATGAAAATATATTAATGTAGGAATGGAATTGACATTTTGATAAATTTTCCGTGGCATACATGATGTTTCTCTAGGTTTGTTTGGTAGCATGTAATAATAGTAAGATGATATTTTTAATTATACATATTTATATTCAAAGTATACCATAAATAATAAGGAGCAGATATACTTTATGTGCTTTATTTTGTTTTATTTACATTTTATTTCTAAACTCAGCCAATGAAATGTTTCTCTTCATCTACATAACCAACTGTTTGATGTTTTACTTCAGCTATCTTTCCACTCAAGGAACAAACAACTCACTCTTCCTATTGGCTCCCTCACCCTCATCCTTATCTATTAGCTCCTGCTTCACTTATTTTATCTGTACCTTTTAGAGTTCCTCTCACTTGTACCTTCTGATGGGTTCCACCTATGCCAATCATAAACCTATCATCAGCACTTGAAAAAGAAGGACATTAAGAGAGTCAATCCCTCTGCATAGTGCAGTGTTTCTCAAGCCTGCTTGCATATTAGAGTCACCTGAGGGGAAAATGGTCTTTTTAACACATCCCACCCCTAGTCAATAAATACTTCTGTTAGTAGTACACAGGCATCAGTATTTCTTAATAACACACATACATCCTATTTACATATGAGGAAACTGACGTTCAGACAGACTAAATGGATTCCCTATGACTGTGTAGAAATTAAAGGATGAGCTGTGACTCCAATTGAGCTCTATCTTATTCTCAAACACTAATTGTTACCTCTACATGTTTATGCCTAAAACAAACCTTATCTATTGTTTACTTCATCTATGGTTCCAGTAAAAGTTTCCCCTTAGCTTATTATACACACATGTGCACACACTCACACATGTACGTGTGAGAGATACCACATCTCTGCTCTACTCTAGAGCAAAAAATATTTTTATAACTATTGCTTAAAATTATATTGTGTCATCCTGCACTCCCATATCTTCCTTCTCTTTTGCTAGAAACCCTCTGGAAAGGACAACTTACACCTGATTACTTATTTCCGTTAAGTCATTAATCCCTTGTACCATGATATTTACCTTCTTAAAGGTTACTAGCAAGCTCTTAAATGGCAAATCCTCTCTTAAATAAACATACTTTGAGTGCCTAGTATTTGCTTTGCACTGGAGATAAACATTCAATTAATATCTCTTACTGTCTTCCAAGAAGTTTACAGTAAGAACGACAAAGAGGCCAATGATATTATATATGGCGATAAGTGTTTGAGGAGTACAGTGGAGAGATGCCCATTCAAGTAAGCTTATAAAGGGGATGTGATGTCTGAGGTACCTTGCTTTGCAAGTAGAAGTTAGCTATTTAAAGAAGAGTGAAAGAGGTCGGAAACGATATAAAGAGAATATGTGCAATAAAGTCCTATGCAAAAGAATAAAGGCATGGCATTGTGACAAGCTTTGTAAGCTACAAATCGTGCTATATTCCCAGGATTAATATATCTGGGATTGTATAGGTCTTAGGGATAATAAAGAACATGCTTGTTTTCATCAACTAAGAATTTGGAATTTGGGCAATGGGAAGTTGGCCCAACTATTTATTTTCTTAAAAACTGGAATATTACCTTCCTCCTCATGGTTTCATGAGTATTACATGTTAGTGTGCTTTTTGCTCACTGGCACTTAGTACCTACTCACACAGTGTGGCTCATAAATATTTTGTGTCATTATACAGTGGCAGTGTAGGCACTATTTGAAGCTTTTTAAGAAAATGTGGAACAGAAACCCTGAGGTCAATTAGGAGCCTACTGCCGTGGCAGGCAAAAGTGATTAATTAAGGCTATTCAAGTGGTAATGGAGATTAATGGGAGATAACAGAATGCAGTTAAATCTACTTAAGAGGGGGTTTGTGAACTTTCAGAATATAGTTTCAAGGAAAATATTTCAAGAATTTATGAATTATTGTGATTAAGAAAAATTAAATAGTGGATTTTTGAATAGTAGAACAACTTATTAGACTTTTAAACAAAAGTATTTATAATTCCTTTAATTAGGCATCTTTCATTAACTAAAACTGAACAATACATTAATTAATCACACCATAATTCTTCTCTCAGCATGGTGAAACTTTTTCCACACTTTGGAAATACTTTTTTAGACATAAGAACATTGATATTATAATGTGCTTCTTACCAGGGTCAATTCTGCATCCATCATGAACTATTCATGGCTAGAGGAAATACTTTACAATTATTATTCCATTTTAAATTTGTATTCCTATATAGAGAGGCTGACATTATCAATGACCTTATAATTCCTAATAGGATTACCACTTTGATATTCACAGGCTCACTATACTAGAATTATTTACAAAACAAGAAATCTGACAACTGAATCAAATGATTGTCTTGTTTACTCCTATTACTCATGTTTTAAGTAAATACACTTACAACATAGAGGATGCTTCCTTATAGTTTCATAGCAATTTACTTGTTGATATTAAAGCTTTACCCAGGCCATATCCAAGACACTCGTCACTATTATACCATGTCTCCAGGGCAGCTAAGAAACATGTGCACTGTTACATTTTTATTGGCTCCATAACAATAGATTTAGAGAAATCAGGCTTGGGCCACATCTCTCCTAAATTGTAGGTCATTGCAGATATGGATAAGGTCATTTCAATGAAATGTTGGAGCATAACCCCCTTTGGAGTGAGTTGAATAGATATTAGAAGGCAAAACAAATTGTATATAGCTAGTCTAGAAAACTCTTTTAAAGGGTATTTACTATGAAAATAACAGAAATGGGTTGGTTGCTGAAGGAAGGAAGGGGGTAGAGAAGGTATTTTGAAAGTAGAATATTTTAAGTCACGTCAGACAATGTGAATAATCCAGTAGAGAGAGTAGAATTTTCCATGAGAAGACCAGAGAGATGGGTGTCCAAAGCATAACCGGAGAGAACAACCTTAGAAAGGAGCAAGGAGTCTTCTGGAATGAGAAAGGTCAGGCTTTGTAGTACTGATGCAGACATGTTTGTAGAGTTGGTTTTAGGAGTCAGGGAGAGTTTGTGAAGCCAATTGTGTCTTTTTTGTTTAGGAAATGTGAGGAGATACCACAGATAAGAGTGAGAAGAGATGGAAGCATTAGAAAACTGTGATACTGTTTTTACTGTAAGGGGTAAAGTGAATTTATGAAGGACCTAAGGTTAGGTGTGTCTGTATTGAGCTGCCATTTGAAGGAATGGTCATCAATCCGAAATGAGTTCAGAGGGCATACTATGTTATTTTCAACAGGAACACACTGCTGCTTAGGTGCAGTCATAGAGCAGACTGCACCTAGTTGGATTTCATCACGATTGAGATTTTTTCCTTAAGTTTTAAGGAGGCTGTTGGGACAAAGGAGTTAAGAGTTTGCAAAGACAGTAATTGTGCTGGACAATGGAATCCAAACCATATAAGAAAAGTGACACATGAAAGAAGTAATGGATAAAGAAAAAGTAATAGGGTCATCAGCTTAGACCCTTAAATAAGCATATAAATATTTTGGATTAAGTTGGGTAATGATCAGAGAATGGGCTCCTTTGTAATCTAGATTTTTTTGACAGTGTTGCAATTACTGATGATGACAAAGTCTTGAGTGAGACCATGAGAATGGATGTTTGGAACAGGGAGAAGGACCAAAGAGTAGGAAGAAAGGAGTTAAAAGAACTGATCAGCCATTATATTGGTTGGTCGTTTTTGTGGAGTTTCAACATGCCAAAAAAACATGCCAGGAAAAGTAGTAGCGAAAAAACCCTGTGAACCAGAAATTAAAGTCATTGATGATTTTGAGGATAACAGTGATAGCAATTAATGGCTGTTAAAATCTGATGATAGATACCTCAAAAGGCAGCAATTTGTGAAGGAAGAAAGAGACATATTCCGGAAGAGGATGAAATGGGGAATAAGTAAGTCACTTATTCCATCTTTAAACTCTATGATATTGGGATGTGTATGCAAGTATGAACACCTCCACAGCAGTGTTCTTCAAGGTAAAAAAATCATTAGTGCAGGAGGTGAAAGGAATAGTATGGTGGGAAACACATATACAAGCATATGTATGTACATATATATGTATGTGCATAATGTATATTAATATGGTGCGATAAATGCAATTATGAAGCATGTATGGGTTTCTCTAGATATATCTAACTTGGTCCAGGTGTGAGATTGGAGAGGGTGGCAGTATAGATATCTGAATTTAGTTCCAAAATATGACAACGGCAAAGAAGGAGAGACAGCTGGGTGAGGTGAAAGGGAAGCTTGCTTGTAAAAAGTCTGGGAGTTTGTACACGGTGCTTAATGCCAGGACTGTGAAACCTCTTTCCCACTGTTCTCCATCTAGAAAAAGACATATATTCTTCATGTGACCCTCCATACTAATTCTCCAAGTTTCCTCTGACTGGTTTAGCTCACTTGTTGTTCTCTGAATTCCTACAGGGTGTATTACATGCTGGCATGCACAGTTATCAGGAATTAATAAACTACCACACATAATTCCCTACAATATTTTTCATATCTTTTCACAACTAAAATATCAGTTCTTGAAGAGTGAAGACCATATTTTGTACTTCTCTAAATTTCTTAAGTAATCCATAGATAACTCTGTAGAGCTCTACAGTTGTGTTGCATAAATACCTGTTGAATTAACCTTATAGATCAAATTGGGTACAAATTATTTTGATATTAACTGGAAAATATTTTACCAACACAAAGACATTGAGTCAAATATAATTTTATGTAAAAACTAATTCTGTAATTGAGCAAAACTATGTGGTTTGGGGTTAATTCAAAAGAAATATATGTTAAATGAATGTTTCAGTGAGAGAAATCCCATAAGACAATTTGGCATACAGTCAATATTTGTTAAATATCTGAGTGTTATAAGGATGAATGGGCATCATAGGTATCCTTAGCTACACCTCTACTAGATTATCTATGTAATTTAATTTCACCTAATATTTTTCAGACTTCAATAGGGAGAAATACAGAACAATAGAAAATTGAATGCCATCTCACTAATATACACCATCAATTGAGTCTCCTACTGATATATCAACATTACTATATTATTTCCCCCATCACTGATGTCACCAATGTCAATCACTTAAAATTGAATTCGCTCTTTCTTTCTTAATTTCCACCTCAACAGAAATGTCTAAATTCTCTCATTTTTGTTTAAGAGTTACCATTCAGTATGACATATTTGCAAGTGCTTGTTTATTGTCTGGACACTATGAAAAATAAGAGTAGCTATTGTAATAGCTATGACATGTTTTTTCTCTTTGTCCTTACCTGATGATTTCCAGGCAGCAAGTTTGGTCTCATGTTTGGTTTGGGATCACTACTCAATAAGTTTCTATGCCCATAAAAAAAATTAAGACATACTGGAAGTATTTATTTTATCCTTTAATACAAATAATATATTTTAGTGCTTTTCTGCATAAATCCTAAATAATTTAACAGTTTAGATTTTTTATAAAGAAGTAGGTAAGCAAATACTACATAATGCTATATTTAAATAGCCCTTACATTAACTGTTGATAAACTTCTATATATAATAAATCAATCATTTTGTGTTCTTAGGTTCAAAATTAATAATTCCAGTTAATATCTTTTCTAGATAGAGATAATGGATCTTGATGCTGCTCTGAGTAATAAATTTATATATTTCATCTTAGATTCTTGAAAAACAAACTGTATTTGTTCTAATTTCTGTGGCATTTATCACCCCTAATCATTATATAAATAACTTCACTTGAAAATAGTAACAACCTTGTAGAATTGGCAGAATACCAGTAGCAGATCCCAGTGTTCATCTATAAATCTGATTTTGCTCTCTGCTATTTCCCCATGCCTAGAAGAATATTATGTAGTCAATAGATATTGTTGAATGAACATAGAGTCATTTTTGAAAATTCCTCTGTTAAAGAATTTAGGAGCAAAATTTAAACTTCTAAAATGCTAATTGCTGTGATCTGAATGTCTGTGTGCCCTATAATTGATATGTTTAAATTGACCCCTAAGGTAATGACATTAGGAACTGGGGCTGTTTGAGAGATACGTCATGAGGGCAGAGCCCCTGTGAATGGAATTAGTGTCCCTTACAAAAGAGGTCCCTGAGAAACCTCTCACCCCTTCAGCATGTGAGGTTGTAGTGAGAAGGCTCTGTCTAAGAGGAAGCGGGCCCTCACCAGACACCAGATCTGCTCCTACCTTGACGTTGGACTTCCCAGCCTCTGGAACCGTAAAAAATAAATGTTTTCTGCTTATAAACCACCTATCTTATGGTATTTTTGTTATGGCAGCCAGAATGGACTAAGGTACCAACCACTATTTTGTGGTTCTCTATGTGAAAATTAATAAAGCATTAAGGAACTCATCTTACTGCCTAAAATTTCTTTCTTTAAAGCATCGACTCTGCTTTTACCTTGGTACCAGTCCAGGCCCTTTGGTCGTGAGACTTGGTTGGCTCTGGTGATGTTTGTGACACTGGGGAAATAATCTTGAAAAAAATGGGAGAACTACAGTAAAAGAACAAAAAACAGGGGTGCAGTATGTTTGAAAAAAGAAACTGAATGCTTATTTTCTGATCAAAATTGTCAAAATTTATCAAAATCAACTCCCTGCTTTGATCTTAATCAAATAGCCTTAAACTTCTAGTTAACCGTCCACATGTAAAAAATAAAACAGTTGCACATAATGCCAATAATAATTTATTTTGAATGTGAAAGTAAAAATGTCCTTAAACTATTTTAATAAAATCCAATAAGAAAATATCAGCTCCTCAGAAAAAAATATTTCAGATTACTCTGCCGTTTCTACATTCAGAAAAAAACCTATGAACATGGTAGATGACACTGGAATATCTCAGGAGAAGTTTCTAGTGTAATAGATTCCATTCTAGTGGAATATCTGGGGAGAAGTTTCTAGATACACTATGGTAGCACTATTATTCTGCAATATTCTTCTTGTCTATTGCACATCCACAGATCTCCTTCCATGATACATCTGAACAAGATTTCATTCAGGAGTTAGTTACAGGGAAAAGGAGGAAATGGGTGCAACACTTACTTTTAAACCTACTTATTACACTTTAATTCACTATATTTTTGGACAAATGGTTCCTTTTTAAAATTAAATAATAAATTGCTTATTTATTCAGACACTTGATATCACCATTATAAATCCAAATATTGTGCTAAGGTATATATCACCTTCAAAACAAAAATTCAAATTTACTATACTATTTCCATTTTACATAAAAGTGGCAGCTTCTCAGTTGTCCTTAATACATTTTTACTTTCATGCTAATACAACTATTATCTTTAGGTTTTATTACTTTACCTTGCAGAATCTATACTCCATATTCCGGGATAAAAGCCAGACTTTTGTTGGTGAGGAAATATAGTAGTGTTCATATAATCCTGTTTCCATTTTTATGCCTCTCAAAAAAAAAATCACCCTTAAATATAAACTAAATTATATTTTATGTATTTCCTTTATATTTTCTTCCATTCATTCTTCTACTGCCAGTTTCAGTGGCGTGTTCTCTGTGAAACATTCCCTGCCCAATCTCTCTGAGCCAGAGTTAAGTATGCCATAGAAAGATATTTAAATTTCAATTACCCTGTCTTTTTACTCTCTCTTCTAATCTATTGTAACCATTCATTCTCCTGAACCCTTTCTAGTCAAGGCTGTGCTCCTGGAGGGTGAGTACTTCTTGTTAGCATTTCTGTATTCTGCTCACCTGGCACAATCTTATCCCTGAAAGCTCAGGAGACATTTCCTGAATTAATTCACTCCTTCTATAATTACTATTGAAATTTTTTCATCTTACCTTTTTGAGACTTCTGTCTATCCTTTGACAGGAAAATATAGGCAGAGGACTTGATCTTATTTAAATATGTACCAACTAAATTTCATCTCTTCCTTTTCTATGGGAATATTAAAAATCTCATTTCTTTCTTTTTTTTTTTCAGACGAATGGTTTTAGCTTGAATCATTTGATTGATCACTTAGCAAAAGAACATTAGCTTTAGAACCAGAAGATCTTGGTTAAAATCATTTATCTAAATCAAAAACACTGATGCTGTTACCTATCTCTCACCATTGTTGTGATTATCAGCACGGATAACATCAGTAAAGCACTTCTTAAAGTAATAGCTGCTCAATGACATTTTCTCCAATCTCTTCTTTCTACTTTCATCCTGCTCTTTTTAAGGCATCGTTGATGGACTTTATGAGCCATGAACAAATTCAAATAGAAACAGCAATTAAAATCTTACTCTTTGAAGAGGCACCATGCAATAGTATAGAGGCACATCACAAAAAGAGCTCCTGTTAATAATGCAGGAATCCAGTTATCAGGGATCCAATAATATGAAATCTTTATTAATACAGAAGTAGTAATCTGAGAAATATAATAAATATGAAGTATTAATAGCAGTACAATGGACAAAACTATAAAGACGTATATGCTGTGTAGAATATCTTGCATATTTCACTCTATTTCTTCTCTTTGAATAATTAAAAACAAATACAGCAAATTACAAGACAAAATAACTAACATCTCTTAATGTCACAAAAAACAAACATCATTGTTTTTTAGAAACAAATGTCTGTTTATAATATTTCTTCTGGCCAGAATTCTTTCTCCTGTCTTGCCTTGTTGGTGAACATTTGTTCATTATAATGGTTATCCTCTACCATTGCTCTTGCAAGAAGCCTGACTTTGGGGTAGAAATTACCATACCCACGCCCTCTTTTCTTATATTTCTACTGTAACATCTAGAATACCTTGCCACATTTACTTCTTTTGTGATTCTTCCTACTAGGAAATAAACTCCTATTAAACAGAACCATTCCTTGCTCATCTTTGTGGATTCTCTGTAGTTCTTGGCACAGAAGACAATAATTAGTGTTGGCTCAACGACAGATAGAATGAATCAGCAAGTTTTTAATAGGGCAAAGCATTATTTCAAAAATGGGTCAGACCATTGTAGCCCTTTCCTGCTTCCTATCATAAAAGCACAAAAAGTTTTTTACCCAAGTAATTTTCCATTACTATCTAATGTGTGACCATTTAAGAAGCTAGCAATACAAAGTTCAACACAGATTTTAATGTAAAGTCCATGACCAAGCAACATTACCTTCCCAGCAGATGGCAGCATAAGATAGGATAAGTTTTGTGAACACTCAAGTACTAGGTGTCTTTTCTTTCCTTCCTTCTTTCTGTCTTTCTTTTTTTGTGTGTGTGTGAGGATGAAGTCTTGTTCTGTCACCCAGGCTGGAGTGTAGTGGCAGGATCTCAGCTCACTGCAACTTTCGCCTCTTGGGTTCAAGCGGTTCTCCTGCCTCAGCCTCCTGAGTAGCTGGGATTACAGGCATGCACCACCACACCCTGCTAATTTTTTATATTTTTGGTGGAGATGGGGTTTCACCATGTCGGCCAGGCTGGTATAGAACTCCAGACCTCAAGTGATCCACCTGCCTCGGCCTCCCAAAGTGCTGGGATTACAGGTGTGAGCCACTGCACCCGGCCAGGTGCCTTTTTTTTTTTTTTTTCAGCTGGAGTCTTGCTCTGTCACCCAAGCTGGAGTGCAGTGGTGCGATCTCGGCTCACTGCACACTCCACCTCCCAGGTTCAAGCAATTCTTCTGCCTCAGCCTCCTGAGTAGCTGGGATTACAGGCATACGCTACCATGCCTGGCTAATTTTTGTATTTTTAGCAGAGATGGGGTTTCACCATGCTGGCCAGGCTGATCTCCAACTCCCGACCTCAGGTGATCTGCCCGCCTCAGCCTCCCAAAAGTGTGTCATTTCTTATGCCAACATAATTCATGAGGCTGATTTCACAGAAATAATAAAAGTAGAAAACAGACCTCTGCAAAGAAGGATCAGTCAACAATGGTAGTAACAGAAAAAACACTACTTATACAATTGAGTGAGAGGACTCCTGATTACTTTGTCGAATTTTGATAGTTGCAGAGATCAGCTACTATAGGACTGAACATTCTGTTTTATACAACAACAAGGGCATGTCTGGACAAAGAAAGATCGAGAAAGGCTCCAGTAGTGTCAGGTGAAGTATTGTGGCCTTGTTTTCTTAAATAAATACTACGCTGTATTTCCAGATCATAGACTAAAAGAATGACAGACAACTTGATCACCACACTTAATCACCTAGCTCTATTTACAGCTCGTTAAGAAATAATACCTGCACTAAGCACAGGTATGGGGAAGAATGTCACGACTAATATAAGTAAAGATACCACAGCCCACACCTGTTTAACTTGCTTTCTCATTCGTTCTTCCGTCCTTCCTTATGTCCCTCCCGACTTCCTTCCTTTTTTTCCTTCTTCCCTTCCTTTCTCTTTCTTTTAATAAATATTCGTTGAGCAGTTACTACATTTCAAGAATTGCCATATGAAGGAAATAAAGAGCCTGACAAAGGTGTTTGTGAGAAAACGTTTGAAAACATACTCTTAGAACATGTTTCTTTCTTCATTGGGCACATTTGGTGACAGCACGGCAGATTAAAACCAAAAAGAGTAGGGGTAGCATTTATTTAAAAGCAACTATTTGTCATGATTGGTGCTGAGCCTTTTAGCTATATTTTTTAGCTATATTATTAACACAGCCTTTTAGCTATATTACGTGCCCATTCTAAAAGAGATGTTTTCAATACCACCAATTTATGAAGGAGGAGCTGAAGCTCTGTATGTTAACAAAAGTTCCATAGCCACTAAGTGGCAGAATTGGTATTCAGATAAAAATTCATGTATCTCCACTAAGTGGCAGAATTGGTATCCAGATAAAAATTCATGTATCTCCAAGACCACGTTCTTTTCAGTGGACTAGGCAACATCCCCCAAAATGAGGATATATGAGAGTTTTGAGAAAACAATCCAATTCCTCTATCAAGGTGTGTAGGCATCATTTTGTAAATCACCATTATATTCATATAAAAGTAACTACAAATTTTCATCCATGAGAATTTAACTGTGTAGAGCAAGTTCGAGGCATTTGAAAATTGCTTAAAGGTTAGTTGAAGGAATCATCCTAACTTCCTGCACTTCACTTGCCTGACAAAAAAGGGTAGATTTCCTGATTTCTGTTTTCTCTGTCTTTTATTTACCTCTCTCTCATATACACACAACTAAAGCTTTTATCTTAATTAATTCACATTTTTTTCATATTTCAAAATCTAAGATAAGTAGGAATATTACATTTTTCACTAGTAATGTAAAAGCAAAATCTTTGTATAGGGATTAAATAGAATATTAATGGTTTATATTTATATAACATTTATTACAAGAGCTTTCATATCTCTTGTTTCATTTAATCCTCACAAAATTCTTTGTACAATACATATAGCTATTCTAATCTAATAGCTTTAGTAATCCATGTACACAGAGTAAATCCATTTACACAGAGTAAATACTGAAGTGTACATTATGTGCAAGCTGGACCCTTTCAGCATATCCTTTTTCAATTGGTGAGTCAAAACATTTTTAAAGAACCAAATTTGAGGATTAGCATTTGATCCTCTCAGCACTTCCATAGCTTATTCCATTATGCCTTTATGTTTTCATCGTTTGTAAACTCTTTGGAGGCCCCAGTAGGTAGTAACCACGAGGGTAAAGGCAAATGCCTGGCCTTATCTCTGGCAATTGCCTGCTGCCTGAACCTGCTACCTCCAGTCTTCTCTTCTGCATTCTATCTTTCACTCGTCTGGTTTAGTTTCAATTATTCATTTACACTTCCTAGGAATCTAACATGGCTTTGTATTGACTACAAAACAAAGTCTAAAACCCATACCATTGACTCTAGGCCTTCGTCAATCTACCAAGTATCTCCCTTTTTGGCCTTGCCTCTGGCCAGTGCTCCTCACATGCTCCAGACATGCTTGGTTTCTTTCCCTTCAAGAAAAGACTATGCACTCCTATATCCATGCTCCTCAATTTCTACCATGTTGAAATGTCTTTGCTTCTCATTCTATCCATCAAAGACCTACATAAAATACAAATATCTCTTCTGGGAGTTTCTCAATATTCTTCAAGTCAGAATTTGCCATGTTATCTGTCCTACATTTATTTACACTTCCTTTACAGCACTTGTCCAAATGACTTGTAATTTGATTAATTGGAAATCAATCTCTATACTTATTATGGCTTCTAAGTCTTTGCATAATATGATCCCTGTCAATCTCTTCACCTCGTTTTATTATCTTTTTTCCAACTCACTTGCCTTACAAGTGAGGAGACTCTTCAAGCCTTGACCATTTCTCTGTCTCTTTGCCGGTCTTTCTGGTTCTACCACTCACTAAGTCTGTGACCTTGATAAAGTTATTTAAACTTCTGGTGTCTTCATTTTCCCCTTTGTAACATGGACAAAAACGGCTGACACTAAATATGATTTAATCAAATGATTTTTTAATGTGGAAATTTTACATATAAATAGATTTATAAAGATCATTTCCATGACTAGGAAGTTTTTTGTCAGATATTAATTAAATTAAAATACTAAAATTTGATACGATTATTGCATCGTAAAATTTCTGAAAGTTATTTTAGATTACGTATATAGAATTATGCAAAGTGTACCTTTTTATATTTACTTTTAAAATGTAACTTAAAACTTTTTTTCCCACAGCTTACAGTTTTGCCTAAGCAGAAAATATGAAGATACTTATACTTGGACAATTGAGCCGTTACTCCTCCCTGTCAGGAACATGAGGAGTGATGAAATAAATGGCTAAGGATTGACAGGACGCTGGTTTTTGTATGTCATCAGACATTTATCTCACCATTAGGTAAATCACGAGTGAAAACAAAAGAATTTCCCATCTGTCATGTGGTCATGCACTAAGCTTCTTACAGCTGTGCACAGTTAATTTGGTTTGATTCATAACCTTAATTACTTAACTTGTTATATTTTACAGAAAAGACAATAATAATAATCTTCCCTGTCATGAAATCTTTCGTCAGTGGGCATTATAGTCTCAGCAGATGTGCAAGGCTATGACCTAGAAGAGTAAAATTTATACTATTTCTACTGGCTTCCAAATTATTTCATTTAATTCTCACTGGAAGAAGATTATTTAAAGGGTTGCAATTAAGAAATTTTCTTTCAAGTATGTCTAATGGATACTTCTCATGATCTGTTTCAAATAGTGGTAAAAATTCTAATTTAAGAAGAAATGCTGGTCTTGCCCATTTGCTAAGAAAATTACTATAAAATTTAATAAATATTAAAACATACTTTTTAAAATATCAGTATAAATAATAAATAAATATAAAATAAATAAAATAATAAAATAAAATATAACATTTTTTTCCTTAAGGAGAACTGTGAATGAGAACTGGAGGTTTGGTAGCTATATCAGCAATCACTTACACTTGATGTTTTCAAACAGTCTTTCTGTGTTTATAATCAATTAATAAACATTTATAAAATAAAATAACAATTAATAAACATTAATATAATGCCACTAGCTATTAATCACATTCTATATTCTGGTCACGGCACCAGGAGAGGCTTCTAAAATAGCTTTTAATAATTTCTATTGAAAATTGGAAACTGAGGTTCAATGGTGGTGAATAACTCAACCCAGTTTTACAGGATCATCTAGTGAAAGCTGGAATTCAAACCAAGACCTGTCTTATTCCTAAGGCCACACTCTTTCTGTTGCACTACTTGGACCTTAAGATTGCTTACTATAAATGTAAAAACTGTTTTGATGCAATCTATGTGAAATTGTTGTTTGCATTTCTTTAATTTCAAAATTTCATTTGAAAACTTTACTTCCCTTTGATTAGAAGGCCTGGTCATATTATAAATGATTGAATATGATTAAAATTTAAAAATTAATATTGTCAAAATTGTTTTCTGAGCCTTGTTACTATAAAAAAGTTAACTGCTTTTTTCTTTTACTATAATATTACTCCTTGAGCTTCTTATTCATTCTTAATCCTATGTACTAATTCAATTAATATATGTCATGCAAATTAGAATAAATGCATGAAAAGAAAAAAAGGAAAAAATATTTACAAATATAAAGACAGAAATTTTAAGCCATTAATTGCACAACTAGTATTTTTCTCGAATGAAAGGTCATTATTTAGGAGATCAAAACAAAATGATCCAAACCTAAAAATTGTTTAAATCTCTTTAATCAGTGACTTGTCTCACTTTGACTATCCACATCATTACACTGGAATGACATGGGGCTTCCTTTATATTGTGTAAAATATTAAGTACACTATTAGTTTCTAGCTTATAGGTAATCTTTAAAAAATAAGTCAATTCTGCTAATAAAAACTAGTGTAAGTAGTGTTCTCTTTTTAATAAGGTAAGACATTATTTTCCTTAAAAATAAACTCTAGCTCTTACGTTGAATGGCCTAGGAAGACTTCATTGAGTATCTTTAGGCAGCAGTCATCAAGTGGAATCAGAAAAGGAAATGTATATCAAATGTATATCAATTACAGGATGTAATTTGCTTATGAAATGACAGGCAGATATATGTCATGCTGGTTTTCCTTGACTTTGTCTACACCCTTTTAAATAGCTCCTTCCACAACTCTTCTCATTTTTTTCTGTCTGTTTCCTTCTGAGAGTCAGATGGACACAAAGACCAATAAATAAATTAATGTAAAATGTGATTCTCACTATTTATTCATGCAGCTTGTTTTTTATAGAGTGGTTAAATGTGAAATAATACACACAGAAATAGTCAAACAGTTGCATAACTTATGTCCCTTATCAAACAGAAGAAAGTGAAATATTTTGAGGGTCACCAAGAGAATTTGTTCCCAATCCACAAATAGAAGGGTGACTTAGCCCCTTAGTTCCCATATTCACAATTTAAGAAGAATGATTAGATAGTTTATAGGTTGAATATCAGAAGTCCCAAGATAAGCAGCAAATATTTCCATTGTCCCCCAGTAGGTCTAAGGGATCTTTTATTGTTGTTTCACACAGGGGTAAATACATACATCATATCTCATCATGCATCTGTCCTGTATGCTTGGCCAGACCAGATAAAAATGGGCATGCTTTCTTTTTAATATGTTTTGTCACAGCCTCTCCAATTTCTGGCATACCATAAAGGTATTATTTTCATCATCATCAACTCATTACATCAATGCTTCTTTACTAATTTTTTCTTAGAAACAATTTGAGGTAAGAGAGGCAGATTTGTTATAATTCTGCTACTACATTTAAAGATATATTATTTAATATATTTTTTATCCCTCTTACAAAAATAATATAAATCAATATTGGATGTCTGGGGGATTCATTTTTCTTTAAAAAGCATGCATGAGTTAATCAAGTTTGAAAATATAGAAATACTAGTATAATGGAGCAAACATGTTCTCTGGAAATAGACATATCTGGGCTAAAATTATGACTTACACTTAATTTGAGCAAGTTAATTTTTTTGTTTGGAACAATGTTGCCTAGTTTGTAGAGTTTCTATGAGGAAGAAAATACCTTATGGAAGTTTATAGCATTCAGTAGGCTAACAATTTGTGACCATTATTATCCACTACTATTATTTTGCAATTTAAGTCTTCATCTTAGGAGAAGACAAAGAATAACAAGAGAACCTTAATTCATGGGTTAGAGACATCAGGTGATCATTGAAATAACCACAATGAGCTCCACTTCCTAGGTTGACAAGGCAGGGTGGATATTAAAGCATAGTTGACAGGAAGTAATATATTTCTCTAATCTCTACAGGTGTTTTGGATAGAGTCTAGTGAATATTAGACTCAGGCTAGCAGATAGTGCTGGTGGCTTCCATGGGTACTCTGACTTCAAAAAAATATCCATATCATACATAAACATTGCTAATTTCTCTTAAATTTTCTTCCTATTCACCATAAATTTTTCTGCCTTTCTATGTCTACTAAAGAATAAAACAGGTCCAATAATATGCTGGTAAACCAACTCTTAAAATGTAAAACAAAACCAAAAACCTGGTATGTAGTATTTGCCAATTTTTGTGACATAAATATTCCCATCATTACCTATTTCAAGCTACCAAATGCTTAGCAACAAGACTACAAAATTTCTGCATGCTTAACAATAGGCTCTCTCAGCTGGGATAAGCCAGCTCCAGCATACTACTGTTCCAAATTATCAGCTGAAAACAAAGTGCCAAGAGTATTTGGTTGTAAATTATCTTATGAGGTATATGTAGTAAGGGTTTGGTGTTTGATGAGTCAAATCAGCCTTGGAAAAGTAATGTGCCTGTGCAACGAGCACAATAGAAGAAAAAACATATAAGGTTACAAAGATATAAGTCTCTGGTGTGTCTAAGCAGCCATAATATCCTCAGGATTCATCTTTAATGTCCAAATTAAGTGAAAAGCACTAAAAATTCCAGTTTTGTCACTGTACGCAGCTCTTAAACTTTTTTTAGTTCTTCACTGATGGTTTAAAACCTTTTCATTACTGATTTGCATCATGAAATATGAATGGTTGAAATAATGAAAAGATTGGACAGAGTTATTTATAGACCTTCTCCTTCCTAGTCTTCTGCTTATACACTGTTTATGTTGAAATCAGAGTAAAAAAACATAGTTATAAACTTTGATGATTTAAATATACCTTTCTTTCATTTTGTCAAAGTGGACATTAGTTCTGGAATTTTTATTACGGGCTCAATTTGCTACATAAAGATAGTTTCAGGAATTTTGATTCATAATTCCTTGGGGATCACATTTGCAGGAAATAGTGTCTAGCCAGTTACCTCATTGTCTCTTTAGCCAATCTGGACTCAAATTGGAAGAGTTTAATTCAGTTCATGAAACATGGCTTAATGTCTTCTCTACCTGCCCTGAGAGAGACCTTTGAATAATCACGTATAGGTTCAAAGACTAAGGTTAATCAGGAGACAGGTATGGGTTCAAAGACTAAGGTTAATCAGGAGACAATATACAACAGTTTTGTTTATTTTGTTTAATTTAGGGTTGGGCTTATTTATCATCAGCTTTTTTAACTAAGTTTTTCTACATTTAAGATAAAAGGATTTCTTTCTATTCTCCTTCCTAGGTTTCAAGGTATTATTTTATTTATTCTAATGTCTACTAGTGCATGCCAAATATTGACATATTTAAGGAATATATTATGTAAAACTTTCCCTGTAGCTATGTGTTAGTGACTTTTACTATATACTAATAGAAACATATTTTGCTCATGAAAACATTTTTTTTTAACAAATTCAAAAGCACTGATAAACTCTTGTTTTCAGTCAGTGTTTTGCAACCTGGATTCCATGGATGGGTTTTACAGGCTCTAAAATTGAATATAAAATTCATACATGTACACACATGTAATATGTATGTGTTGTTCTAGAGAGAGGAGCCATAAGCTTTCATCAGATTTTAACACAGTTCATGAACCTCCCCTCCTCCCAATTATGAACTATCACATACCTTTCTGATAACATATGACATTGGTCTTTGATTTATCAAGTACCATATTTGGCATTGTAAAATGTGCAATGATCTTTATTGAACGCTTTCAGTAGATACAGTTTATGGGATGCTCTAATTTTTTTCTAAAGAAAGTAGAATGAAGTTTTCCTTAAAAAATCTGCATTTATAGTGAATTTCATGCTGAAGTTGTCTCCCGTAATATTTGTAGTGTAATTGAATTTGTTCTTAATTACTTTGAACTTTTTATCATTAGGCCTTTTTTTCCCTCTAAAATTCATAGACATTGCTAGCAATCTGGCTTTAAGAATGTTCTATTTCTGAAATAGACTTTTATAGTTATATTTTAGAAGCAGATAAAATTCTAGCAGTATATTCTAACCACTCAGAAATGTTTTTAAGTTTTCATATCTCATCCAATATTCTAAATAGAAAGATCTGCTTTGTATTAATAATAATAAAATATACAGTCTATAATAATAATGGCTAGGTCCTAACAGAAATTCTCTTTCCCATGATATATCATAATACATATATTCTAATGCACACATTTTAAATAAAATAGATGGTGAATTCTATTAATTATGTATATTTTTGATGGAGCAGTTCATCTTCACATAAAGTACTATTGCCTTGGTTTGGAGCCTAAGTCTTTCATCTGGATTATTAAAACAAGCTCCTAACTCGTTTTGTGAGCACTTTATCTCCATCCACCAATCTTCCTTTCATATTTTCATATTTTTACATCTTTATTCTAAAATCATTCATACTTAGAAATAGCTGATACTGTCACCCTCTCTTGTAATCTTTCTTTAGATCCTCTCTGATTGGAAGACAAAGTCCATCTTCCTTAGGATGTTGTACAGGTATCTTCAAATTTATGCTGTAATAATCCTCCACTTTCTGAACATGAATGTTTATTATTTAAACCAGTTACAGTTGGATATTCCACCATTTATAGTAAGAAGGATTTTCTCTGACTTTCTTAACTTTGTTCGCCAACACCAAGCACAAGGTTTGACCATACAGTTGGGAAATAGTCAGATAGTTGGAAATACAGGTGACCTTTATAACATACTGATATGGTTTGGCTGTGTCCCCTCTCAAATATCAACTTAATATGTTTTGTATCTCCCAGAATTCCCACATGTTGTGGGAGGGACCCGGGGGAGGTAATTGAATCATGGGGGCTGATCTTTTCTGTGCTATTCTCCTGATAGTGAATAAGTCTCACGAAACCTGTTGGGTTTATCAAGGGTTTCCACTTTTGCTTCTTCCTCGTTTTCTCTTGCCACTGCCATGCAAGAAGTGGACTTTCATGACTCTGAGGCCATGACTCTGAGGCCTCCCCAGCCATGCGGAACTGTAAGTCCAATTAAAACCCTTTGTCTTCCCAGTTTCGGGTATGTCTTTATCAGCAGCGTGGAAATGGACTAATAGAGTAAATTGGTACCACTAGAGTAGGGCATTGCTGATAAATACCCGAAAATGTGGAAGCGACTTTGGAAGTGGGTAACAGGGCAGCAGTTGGAACAGTTTGGAGGGCTCAGAAGAAGACAGGTAAATGTGGGAAGGTTTGGAACTTCATAGAGACTTGTTGAATGGCTTTGCCGAAAATGCTGATAGTGATATGGACAATAAGGTCCAGGCTGAGGTAGTCTCAGATGGAGATGAGAAACTTGTTGGGAACTGGAGTAAAGATGACCCTTGTTACGTTTTAGCAAAGAGACTGGCGTCATTTTATCCCTGCCCTAGCAATTTGTGGAACTTTGAACTTGAGAAAGATGATTTAGGGTATCTGGAGGAAGAATTTTCTAAGCAGAAAAGCATCCAAGGGGTGACTTGGGTACTGTTAAAGGCATTCAGTTTTATAGGAGAAGCAGAGCATAAAAGTTTGGAAAATTTGCAGCCTGACTATGCCATGGAAAAGAAAATCCCATTTTCTGGGGAGAGATTCAAGCCAGCTGCAGAAATTTGCATAAGTAGCAAGGAGCCTAATGTTAACCTCCAAGACGGGGGGTGGGGGTGGGGGGTGGTGGGGGGGTGTGGAAAATGGCTCCAGGCCATGTCGGAGACCTTCAGGCCAGCCCCTCCCATCACAGGCCCAGAGGCCCAGGAAGAAAACGTGGTTTTGTGGGCTGTGCCAAGGGATCCCGTACTGTGTGCAGCCCAGGGATTTGGTGCCCTGTGTGCCAGCTGCTACAGCGTGGTGGAAAGGGGCCGACATACAGCTCGGACTGTGGCTTCAGTGGGTGGAAGCCCCAAGTCTTGGCAGCTTCCACGTGTTGTTGAGCCTGCGGGTACACAGAAGTCAAGAACTGAGGTTTGAGAACCCCCGCCTAGATTTCAGATGTGTGGAAATGCCTGGATGTCTAGGCAAAAGTTTGCTGCAGAGGCAGGGCCCTCATGGAGAACCTCTGCTAGGGCAGTGCAGAAGGGAAATGTGGGGTCAGAGCCCTCACACAGAGTGTCTGCTGGGGCACTGCCTAGTGGAGCTGTGAGAAGAGGGCCACCATCCTCCAGACCCCAGAATGTTAGATCCACAGACAGCTTGCACCGTGCACCTGGAAAAGGCACAGACACTTAATACCAGCCCACAAAAACAGCCACGAGGGAGGCTGTACCCTGCAAAATCACAGGGGTGGAGCTGCCAAAGACCATGAGAACCCATCTCTTGGATCAGTGTGACTTGGATGTGAGACCTGGAGTCAAAGGAGATCATTTTAAAGCTTTAAAATTTGACTGCCCCGCTGGATTTCAGACTTGGATAGGCCCTTTAACCCCTTTGTTTTGGCCAATTTCTCCCATGTGGAATGGCTGTATTTACCCAATACCTGTACCCCCATTATATCTAGGAAGTAACTAGCTTGCTTTTGATTTTACAGGCTCGTAGGCGGAAAGGGACTTGCTTTGTCTCAGATGAGACTTTGGACTATGAAATTTTGGGTTAATGCTGAAATGAGCTAAGACTTTAGGGGACAGTTGGGAAGGCATGATTGGTTTTAAAATGTGAGGAGATGAGATTTGGTGGGTCCAGGGGCGGAATGATATGGTTTGGCTCTGTTCCCACCCAAATCTCAACTTGAATTGTATCTCCCAGAATTTCCACTTGTTGGGGGAGGAACCCAGGGGGAGGTAATTGAATCATGGGGGCTGGTCTTTCCTGTGCTATTCTCGTGATAGTGAATAAGTCTCACCAGATCTGATGGGTTTATCAGGGGCTTCCACTTTTGCTTCTTCCTCATTTTCTCTTGCTGCCAACACGTAAGAAGTGCTTTTCACCTCCCGCCATGATTCTGAGACCTCCACAGCCATGTGGAACTGTAAGTCCAATTAAACCTCTTTTTCTTCCCAGTCACGGGTATGTCTTTATCAGCAGCGTGAAAACAGACTAATACATGTACCCAAATATAAATAATGGCTAGTCAACGCTGCATTTAACAAATGTTTAGAAATATTAGTTTTTTAAAGGCTATCGTAAAATATATAGGTGTGTTTGTGTGTTTACTCACTCTCAAGCAAATGTAAGTGATAACCTATCTGCATATCATTTTCCCTTCTTACACAATGAATTAGTTGAAACACAGAATTTCTAAGGTTACTTCTGGTTTGGTTACACTTTTTGCACATATGTCTCCCTGCAGAGATGTGCGTATTATATTAGTACACATATAAATATAAAAGCTGATACTGGTTATGGAGAAAAGATGGACCATTTGCTACAGTCTTTGGTAATAAATTCATAAGTCACAGGTTGGTAATCATTTCAAGACAGTATTAATTGGTTTGCCTCTTTTAGCAAGCCTAATGTAGATTACTAAAGGAAGTATATAGATTAGAATACCCCTTAGCTCAACTACAAATTTTAGAATCCTTTCACATCTTGTTGCAAAATTTGTTTATCTATAATGTTTTATTACAATGTCTTCTGCTTTGCTAGATTTTGCTTTACTAATTGGGAAACTGAATGATGGAAATCCATGTGTTAACATAAATTAGGAACTTTTTTTTCCTCGATGATACAGGCTAAATATGATCTCTCCCAAAGGAGCAAGATCTATTATAGCAGAGAAAATTGACTCAAAATTAAAGAGATGAGGTTCATGTTGAGCCAGAAATGAAAAACAACATTTTTTAACTGTTTGAAATTCTACGATAATACCTTACAATATCACTGACAATATAACTTAGTCTTAGGCAATATTTACCTGACTTATCAAACAATTTTAATATATATTTGTGGAATATGAAAGAAAGTTATATTGTCATATGCCATGGAGTGGGGAGCAGGACTCAGAAGCATTTTGCTGATGACCAGGAGAATATTCATGATTTAAATAATAAATTATAGAGTTTAACTATATAAAATGTATGACTAAAAGCTCTAAAGCAGATAACACAGTTTTAGTGAAGCACTAAATAAGTGAGAATATTTTATCTGTGAGGGTAATTTGAGGAGCACTTTACCATATTAAATACTAATAGTTTTACAAAGTTCATGGGCATCTCAGATTATTTTCCTTTCAATTATTTTACAACTACTTTTTATGATACCTAACACATACACAAAAGTATAAAAATATTACAATAATCCACCAGATAGCCATCATACAATACCAATAGTTGTCAATGTATACTGTTTTATTTAATCTTTATTCTTTCTTACTCCTCTCCACCCCAAATTATTTTAATCCAAAGGTTAGACATCCTATCCTTTCATCCGTAAGAAGTTCTTAATTCTAAAGTATTCAATTTTCTAATTTTTTTTCTTATTCTAGTTTTGTGTTGTCTTATTTATGAAATCTTTCCCTATTACAAAATTAATAAGGTAGTCTCTTAAATTCTTTCTAAAGTATAGTTATTTTATTTATTATTGCCATTTTATGTCTATAATGCATTTAGACTTGATTTATAGGGGATTGTTTCTACTATGTCTATATGCATATCAGTTGCCCAGTATAATTTCTTGAAACTCTCATCTTTTTACCATTGCTCTGTAGTTTCATTTTGACAAACATCATATGACCCCATGAACATTTACAAAATTGAATCATGTATCAGACTGTAAAGCAATTCCCCATCTATTTCAGTTGATTGAAGTCACGAAGGTTATAATCTCTGATCCTAAATAATTATACTAAAAATTGAAACAGATAACTAGAAAATTCTCCATATCTTTAGAAGTTAAGGGAACAGAGAATATTTTAGAATGAATGAATAAAAATACTATGAGATCCAGTTAAAGCCAAATTGAAAGCTTATATATTTGCCCCTAAATGTATTTTTTGCTGGGTATAGAATTCTAGGTGGAGTTATTTTCTTTCTGTTACTCAAACATTTCAATTTTTCTAGCTTCCATTATTTTTATTATAAAGTCAGCTGTCTTGTGAACACTCATTTGAAGGAAATCTTTCCTTTTTTTCCACAACTGATTTTAATATTTCTTGTTTTATTTGGATTTTATGTAGATTTTCTATGTTGTGTTTAAGTATAAATTTCTTTTCATTTTTTCCTCTAGGGAATCATAAGACTTCTTCAATTTACAGTTTGTTATCTTTAATCAATTTTGAAAATATTTAGACACTGCTTCTTTTCCTCTCCCTGTCTCATCTCTCAAGTTAAAATAAACCAGCTCTTCTCTTTCTCAATTTTATGTCCTCCCTCTCCGTTAGTAATTCCCATCATTTTTGTCTTTCCATATCTCATTCTAGATAGTTTCTTCTGACATATCTTCAGTTCTTAATTGTCTCTTTGGCTGTTTCTAATCAGCCATTAAATCCATCTATCAAGTTGTAATTTGTTATTGTATTTTCAATTTCTAGATATATTTGAACTATTTTAACATATTCTATTACCGTTATAGTCTCCAACACCCTAACCAAATTTCAAACTTGGTTTACATTTCATGAGCTTAATAATAATTGAGTTTATGTTTGATAATCCATTACTTATAGCTACTGTGTTTCTGCTTTTTGTGGTTCTGTTACTTCTCAGTTGGTTATAGTATCTTATCTTCTTATGTGCCTGGCTATATTTAATCATGTGGTGTGTCAATTGGATTGAAAAATTATTAGACTAATTGGAAGGCTAGAATACTGTTACTGTGTTACAGGGAAAATTTTAATTTGCTTCTTTGAGACACTTGGTAGAATGACCAGTCCTATACCACCCCAATCAATTTTTTTCCCTGTGGATCAAGAATATTCAAATTTGTATTATACTGATTTTGTATAACTAAGGCAAAACTTCTTGACTATTAAGTCAACCAATGGGAAGGCTTTTCTGTAACTTTTTAAATAAATGTGTTATGGACTGAATGTTTGTGTTCCCTCAAAATTAACATGTTAAAATCCTCACCCCTCAATGTGATGGTATCAGGAGGTGGGACATTTTTTAGGTGATTAGGTCATGAGGGTGGGTCCCTCATGAATGACATTAGAGTCCTTATAAAAAAGACCCCAGAGAGCTGTCTATCCCTCTTTCCACGGTGTGGGAACATAGTGAGAAGATAGCCATCTATTAACCAGAAAAAATACTAAATGTGCTGATACCTTAACATGGGGCTTCCCAGCGTCCAGAACCATGAGAAATATGTGTCTGTTGTTTATACCACCTAGTCTATGGCATTTTTTAAAAGCAGTTTGAACTGACTCAGCCAAAGTGTATATCTTGTCTTCCCGTCAGACTGCATATTTTTCAAAAAAACAAGCTTGTTAAATATTTTATGAGCTCAATATGGTGTTATTTACATTAAAAACCTTTATAAGTTCTAATTTAAATCAAGAAAAGTATACTGTGATGAGAATCAACAGAATTACTAATAATTCTGAACTAAATCTTGAAAGGGCCCATAAAAATGATTAACATTGATATATTTACTTTGATTCAAAATTAATGCTTAATGGCTTCAATAATTTCTCCTTACACTGATGATGAGAATCCAAATGTATTAAAATAACTGTTTTATTGATGTCTTTCATTGCCAAAACACAAGGTTAACTCCTGTGAGAGTTTCCAGGCACTTTCTATGTTTATGACTAATTCAGATGACTTTAGAATTATATTTCATCACTAAGTACTTACTGTAGTTGTAGTTGTTTTTGTGGAAGAAGTTGGCTGTGTTGTGGTCCAGGGAAGGACATGAATTATGACTGTTGTAGTGGCTGACAGCTGACTAGGCTTATCCCACCTAATTCATCAGTGACTTCAATAAGTAGCTGGAAAGTCATAGGGCTCTGAACCCCTTGAAATACCTCATACTGGAAATTTTGTGTGACGGCCAGAAAGGAGGATTAACACCTAGTCTCCTAAGTGTGAATTGATTATTTGTATTTCCTGAGAATGATTAGGTAATAAAAAGGAAATAAAATTACATTATGTATTGTGATTTCGACTGTCTTACATTTTTATTTTAAAATATGTTTCATAATATATTTCCAATGGTTACAAAATATCTCACATGAGTATTTTGTAAAATAGCAGAGAAATAACATTTTTGAAATTATATGACTTACCTCCTACAATTGAATAGCTCAGATGTTCCTGTGGAGAATCTTTGCTAAACAGTTGAGCTGAATGAAAGGACTCAACAGTGGAATAAATTTGAGTTTCCAAATGTGGTGGATTGCATACAGGAGGCTCATCATTCATATTCTATAAAACAAAAATATATTCTATTTCAGGTTATGTCTTAAAAATCTTGCTGTACTTCATAAATTATTTGCCTAATTTTAGATGCATTATTTTCAGCTTTATAACTGCTAATGATTTATTGCTCATCACTTACAGTTCATCTTGAATAATATATTTTAGTGTTTCATCACAGATACTTTCTAGTTTGGGGATACTCAGAAGTAAATTCTACATCTTATTTTTAATTTTATGAATGAGGAATTAATTTTTATTTAATAGATGCCTATTTCCTATGTAATAAGGCTAGGACAGATAATCATGACATTTATGAGATTATTGAATTTTAAAGTTAGATTGGAAACTTAGTGGTATAGACATTATTAATCTTTAAATTATTATAGACAGTATTAATAATTTCCCTTTATTCCAGAAGATACATGACATGAAGTCTCTTAAACAATATCTCAGGAGCATTCACCACCTAAAAGGAAGCGTATTTCACTATTAGACAATCTTGTTGTTAGAAACATTCACTTTTAATGATTTCAAGTCCTTTTTTTTTGCATGTAAACGCAGCATAGATTTTGTTCTAAAGAAATTCACATTCTAGTATATCATGTGACTTGTTTCAAACATACCGATGATTTCAGCAATTAGATTGACAGCGGAATTATATTATCTTTGGGAATGTTTACATTATTTGACTCTAGATTATAGAATCAAAGAGCCTAAGCTTTGACTTTGATACAAACTGTCTGATAAGCTACTTGCCACCATCTTTCTTCTTCCCTGTAACGGACATTGCTAGTCTATTAAAGTAACTGTTTCATTGATATCTGTCATTGCCAAAACATACGGATAACTCCGTGAGAGTTCCCAAGCATTTTTTATGTTTACAACTAATTCAGACTATCTAGAATTACGGTTCATTCCTAAATTCTTACAATAGTTATGGCTCCTGAAGAATATACACAGTCTCAGAGTTATTTTCAAAGTAATACTCAACGAAGACACTACTAATTTTTCAGAATGAAATGTAAAATCAATCCAATTTATGCCCTTGATTTAAGAAAATGAAGTGCCTACTTCAACTTATACTTTCCTTACTTTCCTTAGTAATACTTGAGCATCCTTGGGCTCTTCCTCTTTGAACAGTTAGTTTCTTAGAAGCCCACCTGAGAGTGCAGAGCAAATTCCACTGTATTTTTCTCTCCACTGCAGATGCAGCTTGGTTTGCTGGATTGTCTGCTGGAGGCCATAAAGGACAGTTGCTAATATTTAAACTCAATTTCACTATTTAAATACTGATTCCTTTAAAATTAAGGCATTGTTAACCATATTTCCCAGGAAATGACACATCATTAGTCTCCCTCTCTCCTTCCAAGTATAGCTTAAAAAAGGGAAAGATAGCATCTGTTCATTCACAATATTTTTCATAGCTGCTTTAGTAATAGTACATAATAATAAAACAATTAATATTTATTGAATATCTACCTACATTAATACATATACCACACAATAACACCATGAAAAATATCCTGTAATAGAAAGTGAAAACAGACAAAATAAAATGTGCAAGCTCAAACACAAATAGAGAGAACCTGAAGTCAAAACACATAACTCTACAGTCCAAATTTTAACTGGTGTGCTATACTGCCTCTCTACTTAATACTGCTTTCTACTTCACCATTATCAGAGTTTACACTGTTACCAAATGTTCTGCTTCTGTTATGTGCTCTCAGAAAAAGTCTCCTTTATATCTTAAAAGATATTCTGAATAGTGTCACTTCATTGAAAGAGGGGCATTTCTCAGTCTTTTAAATGATTGTTCAGTTTCCATGCTCTCAAAGCTGTTTCACATCTAACAAACTCTGGTTTTTCTGTTTTATGATTTCTTTATGTTTAATTTTTTTTTTTTTTTTGAGACAGAGTCTCACTCTGCCATCCAGGCTGGAGTGCAGTGGTGTGACCATGGCTTACTGCAATCTGGACCACCTGGGCTCAAGTCGTTCTCCCATCTCAGCCTCCCAAGTAGCTGGCAGCATGCTCTATACCCAATCAATTTTAAAAAACTAAAATTTGTAGAGATGAGGTCTATATTGCCCAGGCTTGTCTTGAACTCCTAGGCTGAAGTGATCCACCTCCGTTGGCCTTCCAAAGTCCTGGGATTACAAGCATGAGTCGCCATGCCAGGCCATAAGCTTACATTTTAAATAAAATTCTAAACACTTTCCCCTTGCTGATCAAATATTTTTTAAATTAACCAGCCATACTTGTAACATTTTAAAGTGAAATTTTAGTTATAAAACACTTTCAAATCAAACACAGGTATCTAGGTTTGTCTATGAAAAGAAAAATTATTGCCCAGTATTTAAACTAAACTCTCATTTCTTCCTATTTGTTTCTTTCCATTTCATAAGAAAGGAAAAATATGTACATATATATTTCAAGAAAATGCCTGTATAAAACCAGATGTGGAAAAGATATTGAAGGCACAAACAGAAAAACATTGCAGAAATCAATAATCAATAGCTATAATAAGATGTGGGTGGAAATTACTGTTAAAATACATTTGTTTATTGTATTATCTTATATTCTGATTTTCCCTGGAGTAGAATAAAAATTTCAGAAAAACTGTTTTCCTTTGGGTTAGAGAGAATTTGCTATTAATATGAACACACACTGAAATCCACTCCATTACTTAAATAACTCTCACGTCCTATAATACTGTTATTTAATTTTGTATTATCCTTAAGATGCCCCTCCCTCTTAAGGAAATGATATTTCTTCCATGTAAGGAATGCTTAGTAACCTTTCTAGGAGTAAGCTGAGAGTTCTTCAGATAACTATATTTTTTGGACCTACTGATCTACATAGCTTTCTTGCTTTGCAGAGTGTGAGTGCTAAGTTATAGAGTTTTATGCTATAGATACGTTCATACAAACTACAGATACATTTCACATACAAACACACACACACACATATATATCTAATGGCTGAGATCCTATGATTACAGAATAATCAAGCTGTTTTAAATCCTCAAAACTGGACATTGGCAGGGTTCCTCACCTCTACAACTTTGCATGATGTGTCTCTTCACAGAAAATTCATTTTACCACTCATTTGCCCACTGGACTTACTCATTCCTTCACCTTTTCCTCTCTCCTGAAGTATTCATTTGTGAAATAAAGCAGATATACTGAACTACTAATACTACTGATTGGAATATGCAGCAGGTCTTCCATGAACAATATATTATAAGACAATATATTATTTAAATTTCAATTGTCTCACACTAAAAAGTCATAGAATAGCACTTATGACCTCTAATGGCTTGATTATGGGGGTTCTAGCGTAGTATCATCACTGTAAGCATAGTGTCAATTTATAAAGAAGCAATGAGAATTGTTTAAGAACAAGCACTTTATGGTTATAAGAACAAGAATTATTAAATGGGAAGAGCATGAGTTAGTTAATTGAATTGAAATTATCCATGGATTTTCTTATGAAGCTTGTTACCTTTAAAACTGAATCCATATCAATACTATGCAGCCATAAAGAAGAATGAGTTCATGTCCTTTGCAGGAACATGGTTGAAGCTGGAAGCATCATTCTCAGCAAACTAACATAGGAACAGAAAACCAAACACCGCACATTCTCACTCATAAGTGGAAGTTGAACAATGAGAACACATGGACACAGGGAGGGCAACATCACACGCCCGAGCCTGTTGGGGGTTGGGGGGGCTAGGGGAGCGAGAGCATTGAGACAAATACCTAATGCATGCAGGGTTTAAAATCTAGATGACGAGTGGATAGGTGCAGCAAACCACCCTGGCACATGTATACCTATGTAACAAATCTGCATGTTCTGCACATGTATCCCAGATCTTAAAGTAAAATTTTTTAAAAAAGGGAATCCATATCTTTAATGAGGAATCAACAAGCCTAAAGAGAGTAAGCATTATTAAAAAGGATAAAGTAGAAGGACAATATCCTTAGTGAGTATAATAATATTCGTTATCCAGAAATTGTCAAAAGACTTTCAAAAATATTTATATGATTATTTATGGCTTTTATTTATTGGTGGCTTCCAAGTTCATCTCTTGACCTAATTTTCTAGACCTGTAATTTTTCAACAATCTTTTTGCCATCTCCTCTATATTTTTGGACTCTGAGAACATGTTGGAAGGAAGAATTATTCCTTCTCCAATATCATTATGACTACCCTTTAAGCTAGTTCTTAACATTAAGCACTAGGAGACTCTGCCAGTCTTGAATCCTCAGTTCCCATTTCTGAGGTGCTGTTTCTATGACATGGGCTTTAATATATTATGCCAATGTTGCTTGCCAGAATTAATCTTGGCAAAAGACCATGATTTCTCTAACTGAATCTCCAGTTACAACACAATATAGCACATCCACGTTTCTAAATGTTCCCAATTAAAATATTAGAACTATTGGTCTGTGGAAAATTGTTTGATACAAATCTACAAGAGAGAGAGAAAGTTTTTAGCTATTTATAACCTTTAAATAATTGGAATTATTAAACTTCTGGAATGCTCATACTCTAAAATTTTGTTACATTTATTTATTAAATAAATTTCAATAACTAAAACAAACAGCCAATTTATCTGGGATATTTTTAAAAACTGTTCCCTATTAAAGAGACATAAATTAAGTTGGAATTATCTTTAATAAGAAAAAGATTTTAATTTCTGTATTGTTATATACTTAGCTAATATATTATACATTTTTAAATATTTATTAAAGAAACCAAAGCTATCTATATTTTATTTTTAATACATGATCTCAATATAGAAATTATAATTTTAATATTATTTCTTATTATTTTCTTCTTGCATTCTGGAGATAGGATAGATTTTTTAAGTGTAAAATTTGTGTCAATTATTAGAATACAAATAAGATAAACTTCTGGACAATTTGGACAGCTAAGAGCCATTTCCTTAATATAAATTTCAGTTAAATGAATTATTTTACATGAACGCTTAGTAGAGTTGAGCCAATTTTTAAATAATAACATGCCAAGCGAAAATGGACACTATATACTGTTTGCTATTACCTGAAGGAGGGTAGTAGTCATAAAATTATGAAGCTGAGAACTCACTCTGCAAGAGGAAAGTAAGAGCCTGAGTACTTGTAAATAAGGCATTCTCTTGCAGAAATGTTTAGAGAAAGTGTGAAATTTTTATATTTCTTTTAACATGATAGACAGTTATTTGTATGAATATTCAATGCCTATTGGGGGTTCATGGACAGACAAACAGGTTTATATATTACCCTTAGTGTTTTAAAATTTTGGCTCTCATAGATTAACAGACTAAATGGTGATAATTTTGGCAAAACTCTTTGAATGTAATATTCTATAAATTATATTACATATAAGTTGGTGACAAGTTCATGAAGCTTTTATTTTGGTCTCTACCTATATATTTACCAACTATAAAAAACAAAATGGAATTCTGAATTTCCCAAATCAGGTAAAATTAGTAAATTTTTCAGTTCATAAAATAATCAACTCTATTAAAGAATCTCACTGTATTTCATGTTATTTTTAACTATATTTGACACCAAATCTCTCAAGAACAAACCCATCTTCAAATGTGAAGAATACTTACTATATATTATAAAGATTACAAACACCATCACTTTTAAATTTATACAATACTAATTTAACATAAAATGATTCTTTACATTTTTGTTAACATAAACTAGTTTGCTTTTATTCTTGTTGAAATTAGTACTTAACCTGGGCAACTTCTATTATTTACAGTGATATAATGTTTTAGTTTTAACTAGAACTTTAATAATCAACATTAGAGTATGCCATAGCGGTTAAGCTCAAGGAGTTTGTTTCTATTTGATAAGATAGAACTGGAAACATGAAACAAAAACGATGTGCTAACTCCAGTGTTACTGTTAAAGTTCAGAAGACACAGTGATAACAGTTAAGAAACAGTTTATAGAAGACTAACAGGCAGTAACATTCAGAATTTACCATAATGTCATATAAATATTTTTGGCTTGTTTACATTTTGAATAATCAGACAAAAATTCTCTAAATTTAGGATTTTATTATATATATTTAAAAATAAATGTATAAGCCATTATTAATTAATGTAAACTCAAATTATTTTATTGACTTTGAAAGGTAGAAGAAATTTAGAGATTTTCTAGATTAGAAGTCATCAACTGGGCTGTACATCAAAATTTGTGGGGCCTTTAAAATGTAGCTACTCAAATCTTAACTATTCATGTCTTCTTCCCTATTTAATTTATATATATATGGAACTAAAGCCTCATCATTTCAAAACACAGTTCAAGTAAAAGTGTTTAACACCAAAAGGCGTTTCTTTTTCTATTGGCATTTATGCTTTTGCACCTGTAGCTGTCTCTATCTTTTGGTACGTATATGCATATTTATATATGTATTTATATACATATCTATGTATATATAATATTATACCTGTTATATTTAGGTATATATTTGTATATCTATATTTATATATGTTTATACTTGTACAAATATATATTTGCACATATATAATTACATATATTTATAATCGTGTGTGTGTTTGTGGTTATAGACACATATGCACATGAGGGGATACTTGGGGATACCAGAGCATAAAATGCTAATTATAATACCTAATTATGTATGTTTAAGACATGGACAGATGAGTGAGGGAGATGTCTTCATGTAAAGGCAAGATAAGTGCTTTTTCTTGTTTCAAAACAAATGGAGAACAATATAGTACATTTATTATTCCTATAAATGAGAATAGCTGTGATCTCTGGTGAAGAGCATACTCTGTGACTTGGAAAGGAAGGAGATCCCAGAAGGCATTTTTGGTACAGTGGTGCACAATCAATCAAACCAAAGAATTCCCAAGTTCCTAAACTGGACATTGGTAGCTTGATTGTTTTTGTTTGTCAATGTAACATGCTCTCTGCTAAATAAAAAAATCATAAATGTAATCGCAGTATTACATTTGTAAGTAATTGTACATATAATCCATAATATAAAACTACCAAACATTAATAATGTGTTTGTACACTTTTTAAATATTGTTCTAGAAATTGTGGGAAAACATAATACCATATGGCAATATGTCTAACTCCAAAAAATGAACATTATAGTTGTGAGATAAAACATTTATATATTAAATCTTTAAAAAATTCTGTATGCTAAATCAATCACCTGAGAGTGTTTTAGGTTTTTAGAGCACAGAAAGAGACAGCAGTTAGAAAAGAATTCTTACAGGAAGTAGAGGAGAAAATACAGTACAGAAATTCATCTTCAGCTAGAAAAAAATTACAATTTATTATTATTTTCTTTTTTGCCATTATAAATGGTCAGATAAGAAAACCTCAAATCCTTTCAAAAATTATGTTTCCATTTTAATTTTACTAAATAAATGTATGTCCAATTGTTGGTTAATGTAAGATCCAATTTATTTCACATAATTTGAGTATAAGAATTAAGTTAGAGATTAGTCTGTTTTTGAATTGTCTGTTCCAGAATTATCTGAAATTCTTAAAAATTAAAAATACCTAATTTTCCAAGGATTCTAATTTTGTAGGCCTATGATGGGTTCCAACAATTTCTGTTTTGAGCAAGCTACTCATCTGATTGTGATGTGCAGAATGTGTAAGATCACTGTTTCAATGAATTGTCCAATAAATACTAAATATGGTTGAGGATTTGATGAAAAATTCCAAGTCTTTGCAGTAGAGTTCAAGATGCAAAATGATAGTTACAGATTCCTAAAATGTTCCAATTCCCCAATTAGATTTAGGTTCAAGTATTTCTATTTGTTATATGAACTTTGTATTTGCCTTTTGTAAAGTGACAGATTTTCCACTATAAACTGTATTTTGTGAGTGCTTTATGGCTTTATTTTTTCTAACACTAGTATGATGGATTATGTATGATTCATTATATGATACAAGTCATGATTCAATTTTGCAGACTAATAATCTAAATCAACAAGAGCTATACTAGCACTACTACTATTCATATGATACATTTCATTGAGTTTACATGAAATTTCAGTAGAGCTGTAAAGTTAACGATTTATTGTCCGCATAAATGTAGCTCTTAGATTTGGGTTCCCATTTTTACTAAGTTAATGAGAACTAAATTTTTTATCTGCGTGGAGAAAATGTTTAGGTGGCAATTAAAAAAAATCATCTGGAACATGCGCTTAAATATCTCTTTAAGTTTTATATATCAATATTTTTTTAAAACCTTTAAAAATCTCAAATGGAAACTCAGAAAAACATGATGATGCTCATCAGATAAAAAGTTAAGAACAGTGGGGGATAATTCTTTAAAATTTGTAATCAAAATACATAATTTTTACTCTAAAATATTCTTAAGTGCGTTGACTGTGTGCACCAGTGATTTCCAAAGAGCAGGTTGTAGTACTATCACCAGCATACATTAATTGAATGAAAGTAATCAAAAAGTCTATTTGAGAATTTTGTTTTTGATGGTAATCAGATCAGCAGCTCTGAAGGGCTGTACTGCTACAAATAAAAAGGTTCTAGTAAAATATTATGATTAATGTGTACCATGGGATCTATAGAATTGACATTTTATGGTCAGGAGAAATTTTTTTTAAAAAAGAGAAATTGCAACTCAAATTTGCAAGTAAATGATAAAACTGGCCAGTGACTTTATCAGCACTTCAATCCTGAGGTTCAGATTTGAAGCAGCAGGAAATAAGATAGCTGAAAACCAGGTACAAAAGGCTGCTTGAAGAAGATTACAGTAGTTTTTAATGGGTAATGAGCCCTGTCTCAAAACAGAAGCAAAAGGTAAGTTCTTTTTGGAAGAAGGCATCCTCAGCTTTCACTCCAGGATTCCCATTAGATCACTCATATGTGAATCAAAACCAAAGATCTCATAGAGGAAAATGACCCATTAAATGAGCATTTGCTAATACAGCCAGTAGGAGTTTAGGCCTCTAAGTGCTTCATATATTTAAATTATTAAGAGATAAATATAAAGTGTTTAAAAAGTAAAACATAGACTATCAGGAAAAAGAAGCAAAGACTATAAAAAATGATCCAAGCATATTTAAAAAGAATTAAACGTAACTTTTAGAAATTAAAAAAAATGGTTTAAAACAATGAATAGGTTAACAGTAGACAAAACGTAGTCGATGAAATAATCAGTAAATTGGAATGTAAATGTAAAGAAATTGCACAGAATGTAGTACAAAGAAATACAAATAAAGAGGAATGATTAAGAGAAATGGAGAATCAAATGAGAGTGTCTCATATCTAATTGGTATCCAAGTTCTAGAGAATAAAAAGGAAGGAAAATATGCACCATTTGAAAGCATGGTGACCATATATTTTCAAGAACAGATAAATTCACATATATAGAAAGCATAATGTACTTCAAACAGTATATCTAAAAATGAATCTATCAGAACACATCATAAAACTAACACTAAAGAAGAAAAGATGTTAACAGAAGTAGTATTTGCCGACTTCTCAATGATTGCTACTATTAATTTGTGTTAATTACATTATCTTTCAAGAATATTTAAAATAAAATATTAAATGAAATAAAAAAGAGTTTATCATTACTATTCCCACATTCTAAAGGCATTTATAAATATTTATTTGAAGAAAAGAAAAAATCATCACAGAAGGAATGTCTGAACTTGAAGAAAGAAGGAAAAGCAAAGAAGTGGGGCAATGTGTTGGTACATCTAAACCTACAACTTTCCATTTCTGCTTAAAATCAATGATAATAAAAATAAGTAAATAGTGTTATTAAAAATACAAACACTGAATACATATTAATCATATGTATATCAAAGAGACAAAGGTAATTTAAGTATTTTAAGATTTTGAAGTTGACTGGGAGAAGCTTTCAATATTTAGTACGAATGTTTGTTAAGCTTTTATACCAGTTTTCCAATTATTGTCTTTCAGCTTTAAATCACTCTTTTTGCCTTGATTGTGAAGCTGGAGTGCTCTAACTTTTGAACATTTCTCTTTACTAAGTGATATAGTTCTAGGCTTTGTGAATAGAGAGTTCTGGAGTTACAGTACCAAGCAAAACCCTCAGAAGTATGCCTCTCTTCCAAGTTTCAATCCTCCTTTTATTATTTTTTATTTTTGTCATGGGATTCCAGTAATCCTCAGACAGTGTCCTACCCACTATCTGCTCACATTCTCCACCTAGCAGCTTCCAAGCAACTCCAGGAAATGACTTCCACTGGTAGTTCCACCTACACCCTCAGGCATGCTCTCAGAGCAGCATTGGTGGGCTGCTTTCCCATCAGTGGACTACTTTCCTGGCAATGCCAGCTGTGTCTTCAGGGTACTCTGTCTGTTTCTAAAGACCAGTTCAGGCCAGAGCCTTCTGGCAGCTTTCTTTACCATGAAGAGGCTGCATGTTCTTGTAGTAGCTACATCCTCCTCCAGAGGTAATATTCTCAGCCTCAGAGAGGGAGGCCCTCTCCTAATCTTACAGTGTTTTCACTGTCCTTTCTTCCTGAGCCTAGAGTTAGTAGCTATTCTTTTATACTTGCTATTTTTGAAACACTTAGTGTTTTCTTATAGCACCTTTGTAATTCATTACAATTTATTAGTTAAAACATCTTTATATTGAGTTTTAAACTGTATATTATTTTATGGTCTGCGTTTTTAAATTGGCAAGTTGCATTTATTTACATTCATTGTGGTGGTTGATATATTTGAATTGACTTGTATAATCTTACTTGTACTTTTTAAGTAAAATTCTTTATATTAAATTTTACCTGTTCAAATGAGTAAGGTTTTTGTCTATTTAATGAATTCATTCTGACTGGTTCAAGAAAAATTTTCAAGGTGACCACTAACTGATAAAAATATAATGTATTATTCTGAAACCAGTGGAGGGAAAGAATAGAAAAGAATTCAGTGTACCAAAAGAGAAAAAAATTAAGAAAAGGAACAATAGACAAAGTTTTTAGAAAGTACAGCTAAGATCATAAAAGTCAAATTCGGATATATCAACAACTAAAATAAATGTAAATGTACGCAGTTGCCAATGAAAAAAATACAGACCACAATATTGAGTTTAAACATTAGACTACAGAGTTACACAAAGAGCGTTTTACATAGCAAAAATATGAGGACACAGAGAGGTTGAAAGTAAAATGAAAAAGGACAGATAGTTGATAAATACAAATGGCAGGCCAGTATTAGGTATAAACAGCATTCATATATTAAAGAATAAAAGAAATGTGGTCATTAAAGCAAATATGCATAGTTTAAACAAATAAGCATAGGAAGAGATGCTCAACATGTTATTAGTCACTAAGGAAATGCAAATTAAAACCATAACGAGATACCACTACACATTTATCAGAATGACTAAAATAAAAATAGTGACAACACCAAATGCAGGTGAGGATGTGGTGGAACTGAATCACTCACACTTTGTTGATGGGTATGTAAAATGGTCTAGCTGCTGGACCAAGCTTGATAGTATAGTCTTCTTATTTTTAGTTTATTTTGTTTTTGGTTTTCTAGTTTCTTGAGGTAGTAATTTAGGTTATTAATTTGAAACTTTACTCATTTTTAGCATTTACTGATATAAATTTACTTTCATGTACTGTTTTAGTTGCATCCCATACTCTGATAGTGAATTCGTATTTACACATTGAAGCATATTGATGATAAATGTTTTAAAATCCTCCTCAGACAATTCCAAAATCAGATTCAACTCAGTGCTAAAGTCAGTTGATTGCTTTTTCTCATTCCATTTGTGATTTTCTTACTTCTTTGTAATACAGGTGATTTTCTATTGTATCTTGAATATTTTCTCTTATATAAAAAGATTCTGGGTCCTAATTAAATTGTTTTGCAGCAACAGCTGTCATGTTTAGGTTTAACACACGGGCATTGCTCACTTTTGTGAGCTGTGTTCCCAATGACTAGTTTAATTATCAGATGCTTTGCAATGTTATTTCAGTCTAGTTTGTATATCTGGTGCCACTGGGACTTTTGCTGTTCACTTTGGTCCTTTCTGAGGTGGTAAAAAGGATTTTCCCACTGGGTGTCGCTCCATCAAGAGGTGGATCTGAAGTCCACAGGGACAAAGTGTCTTTCAAGCCTGATGACTCTGTCTGCAACTTTCTAGTTACTTCCACTTGCCCCAGTGTTTACTGGTGGAAGGGAGGAGTCACAGGCATACATAGATAAAGATGCTTCTTTGACTAGGCACTTTTTATGTTGAAAAGCATTGCTTTTGCCTTTAGGAGACATAGACCACTTTCTGGGTCAGGTCCTTGTTGTACTGAGAATTCCCCCTTGCAGTGTCTTCTGCTGTCCCAGTGTCCCTAGGCAGTGGAGGAGAATCTCAGGCCTATGAGGTTGAAAGGTATCCCAGGGCTGGCCACTTATAGTGGTTGTGTGTCTTTTGCTTGTTCAGCTTACCTGCCTTGTTGTCTCTCTGTAAGAGATCTAGTCGCAAGAGAGCGCTTCTAACAGCTGCTTATTGTTGGTGAAAATCCTGATTAATCCTCAATTTTTTTGGACATTGCTGACATTGTCAGAAGGATTCCCATTCCCTCCTGAGGAGAAATGAGTACTCTGTAGGCTGCCTTCTGTTCCTAGGTTGGGCTCAGGAAATAAAGTCTGGTTTACCTTCTCCTGTTGGGTGGGAAGACGTGAGGTGATATGCCAATATATTGTTCCTCAAATCCTGGGGTTCCAAGAAAGAATATATTCTTCCCATCTTTCAAAGTTCTTCCTGGGTTGCTTCTTGTGTTATTTCCAGGGTTCACAGTTTTGTCTGGCAGGAAAGCAGGGAGAAAATGGACTATGTGATCTTGACTGGAAGTTAACCTGCTCTTATTGAAAAGGTATTTAATAATTAGTCTATTCCTAAAAACTCCAAGACCAGGGAGAAGGCAGAGGTCATAGAACATTATGGACCTTAGGGAGAGAATATTAATTTGCAATTGGTTCCAGGGTTCTTTTTATCTATTTAACTATCTTAACTTTTACAGACATTCACCAAATATTCAATAATCTTTCCTTTCTCTGGAGAAAAGGGAATAAAAAAATCTTTGTTAATTATATTTTTCTTTAAAGTCACAATAAGATTTTCCTTCAAAAAGTTTAATTACACATTATTGTGACAAATGACATATGCTGTGCTTACCAAATTTTTGTGAGACATCTTTATCTCAATATTGTCAGTTTATTTTTGTATGGTACCATAAAATATCTGCTCAACCAGTGAATCTGTCTCAAATGAAATAATGGATCTATGAATTAATCTCATCATTACTGGTTATTTCTGTCATAAGGAGACTATAAAAGGGACATTAATACCCCCCTAGCTTGATGCAGACACTTTTGTGTGCAATCCCACACAATCCTGCTTGGGGCTGCAAAGTAAAAAGAAATTCCACAGAGGGCTGAAAGCAGTGTGGTAATATTCAAATTTTACATAATGTTGTTTGAATTGAAAATAAAGAGGTTACTAAACAGTGCTCAAAGAAATCAGAGATGACACAAACAAATGAAAACAACATTCCATGCTCATGGATAGGAAGAATCAATACTGTTAAAATGTCCATACTGCCCAAAGCAATTTAAAGATTCAGTGCTATTCCTATTAAACTACCAATGACATAAATGACATTCTTCACAAAACTAGAAAAAACCTATTTTAAAATTTATATAGGACCAAAAAAGAGCCCAAATAGCCAAGGCAATCCTAAGCAAAAAGAAAAAAGCTGGAGGCATCATGCTACCTGACTTCAAACTATACTGCAGGGCAACAGTAACCAAAACAGCATGTTACTGGTATAAAAATAGACACATAGACCAATGGAACAGAATAGAGAGCTCATAAATAAGGACATACACCTACAACCATCTGATCTTCCACAAAGGTGACAAAAACAAGCAATGGGGAAAGACTCCCTATTTAATAAATTGTGCTGGGATAACTGGCTAGCCAGATGCGTAAGACTGAATCTGGATCCCTTCCTTATACCATATACAAAAATCTACTCAAGATGGATTAAAGACTGAAATTTAAAACCCATAACTATAAAAACCCTGGAAGACAACCTAGGCAATATTATACTGGACATAGGAAAGAACAAATATTTTGTGATAAAGATAGCAAAACCAATTTCAACAAAAGCAAAACTTGACAAACTTGATCTAATTAAACTAAAAATCGTCCACACAGCAAAATAAACTATCAACAGAGTACACAGGCAGCCTACAGAATGGGAGAAAATATTTGCAAAGTATGCATCTGACGAAGGTCTAATATCCAGCCCCTATAAGAAACTTAAATAAACTTACAAGCAAAAGATAAACAACTCTATTAAGAAGTGCATAAAGGACATGAACAGACACTTCTCAAAAGAAGACATACAAGCAGCCAACAAACACTGAAAAACTGCCAATATCACTGATCATTAGAGGAATGCAAATCAAAACCACAATGAGATATCATCTCACACCAGTCAGAATGGCTATTATTAAAAGTCAAAAAAATAACAGATGCTGATGAGGTTCCCGAGAAAAGGGAACATTTATATACTGCTGGTAGGAGTGTAAATTAGTTCAGCCATTGTGGAAATAAGTGGGGCAATTTCTCAAAGAACTTAAAACAGAATTACCATTTAACCCAGCAATCCCATTACTGGGTATATACCCAAAATAATATAAATCATCCTACTATAAAGAAACATGCACACATACGTTTATTGCAGCACTAATCACAATAGCAAAGACATGGAATCAACCTAAATGCCCTTCAATGGTAGACTGGATAAATAAATGTGGTACATATATACCACAGAATACTACGCAGCTATAAAAAAGAATGAGATTATGTCCTTTGCAGCAACATGGATAGAGGTGGAGGCCATCATTCTAAGCAAACTAACACAGGAACAGAAAACCAAGTAACACATGTCATCACTTATGAGTGGAAGCTGAACAATGAGAACACAAGAATACCAGGAGAAGAATAACAAACACTGGGGCTTACTTGAGGATGGAGTGTAGGATGAAGGAGCGGATCAGAAAAACAATCTATCAGATACTATGCTTATTACCTGGGTGACAAAATTATAGGTATGCCAAACTCCCATGACACACAGTTTACCTATTGTAACAAATTTGCTCATATACCCTTAACCTAAAATAAAAGGTAAAAAAAGAAAAGAAAAGAAAGGAGTTTGAAATTAATATATGCCTAATTATGAGGTTTTTCCTGCCCCCATTGTTTCATTCTTCTACCTGCCTTCAAGATATCATTATCATACCCTAAAATCCTTGACTTGACTACTACACAATGTGTGTCTGTAACAGAATTGCACATATACTGCATACATTTGTACAAATTTAAAAATAATACCATCATCAAATATAACCTTCATCCTGAAACGAGTATTCAATATTGTCTTGCTTTGTTTTAACTTTATAACTTTACAAAGTGTCTATAATGATGTTTGTAATCTTTTGGTACTCGAATTATTAGCCTAATCTTCCCCTTTAATTAAGTCATTAAAAAAAATGAATGGCGTATTGCTAGGTCCCATGCATATTGCTGGGTGTTATTACTGGTCATTTCACCATAATTTCTTCATTTTGACAACTGCATTGCTATTTACCATTGTTTTTACACAACATCAAGATCTTGGGTATTATTTTGTATGGTAGGTGCTAATTTTTAATAAAAATGACTTATCTAATGAAAGAAGGCCATAGCATAACAATGATGACAGTGAGTCATGAATGTCCAATTTTGTGTACTTGAAGTCAACTTTATGAATTAAATGAAAATGTCCTTTCAGGCTTTTGTTTCCAAAAATCTGGCAGAAGCCTCTTTGTATTATTCAGAATTTTTCAGAGAAACAGAACCAATAGGAGATGGGTGGGTAGGTAGATAGATAGAGAATTGGCTCACATAATTATGAGAGGCTGGAAAGTCCCACCGTCTGCTGCCTGTAAGCTGGAGAACTAGGAAAACTAGTGATATAAGTCAGTCTCCGACCAAAGGCATGAGAACCAGGGTTGAGGGGATGGGGTGGAAATCTGCTGGTATAAGTCTCAGAGTCTGAAGGTCTAAGAAACAGGAGATCTGATGTCCAAGGTCAGGAGAAGATGGATGTCCCAGCTCAAGAAAAGAGCAAGATTTGCCCTTTCTCTACCTTTTTTTCTGCTCCGGCCCTCAGTGAATTGGATGACATTCACCCACATCAACAAAGGCAGACCTTTACTCAATCTACGGATTTGAATGCTAATCTATTCCAGCAACACCTTCACAAACACACCCAGAAATAATGATTTACCAGCTATCTGGGCATCTCTTCAACCAGTCAAGTTGACAGATAAAATTAATTATCACAATCTTCTATTACAAAATACCTGAAATGATAAATCTGAGCGTACAGAATTGAATTTACAGGATAGAAGGGGAAGTTTATAGATGTCACCCATGGAGAAGAAACTGAAAGCCAGAGCAACAAGAGTGCAAACTCACTTTGCAAGGACACTAGAGGCTCAATTTGGGCAGCTTTGCACATGGCCCAAACGGTAAAAAGGCTTGCCATTTATGGTTTGCTCAGGGATTATGGGACGCTAGGCATTGAGACTGTGTGAGAAAAGAAGTTAAAACTGGAAAGTCTGTGCAGAGTCACAAGTCATGAAAGCTGGTACTCTCACTGGGACTAGAACTACATACATTCCACAGCAAGAAAGATTTCTCAGCCCAGAGATCTGGTAAGGAAAATCAAAAGTTCATTTAGATAAATTAAAGTCACAAACTTGTGTTTGTTCTGGTACAGAGTTCAAATTTACCTTATTTTCATACTGTGGAAATCCTGATGAAAAGATTAATAAAAAATTTGATTCAGAGTACACGGTATTCACAGAGTGCAAGACAGAAATAAAGGCAAATTTGTTCTAGAGGGATAATTTTATGAGCTAAAAACAATGGGCTTTTTATTTTTAAAAATCCCTATAAGCGCGCAAAATGGTAAAACAGAAGTAATCTTCCAGGAAATAATAGGACTACCTAAAATAGACAATAAATATAAGTATATTTGAATTATACTTATTTTATATTAAGTAAAATTTTAAATATTATAAACCACAAGCAAAGCATAAGGCTATATGAAAAATATAAGATTTGATCAAATGTCATTATTCCTGCCTTATAATTTGGAAATTATAGTAAACACCATGTAACAAATATTTTTATGTAAGGACAGACTTTATGTTAATTATAGTTTATGATCTCACTATTGAACTCTACTCTGCCTTAATAATTATAAACAAATGCAATAAGTAATTTCCCAAATACAGACAATATGGCCTGTCAAGTATCCCTACATAGTGGGAGGCTCTCTACAACTTAGGCAAGATAAATTTGCTACCATTCAACAGCTTTATTTGAAGGAAAACAAACACTAATCTGAACTACCATATAATACAGGAACCAATGAAAGTAATGGAAAGTAATGATCTCTTTCTCTCTCTTTTGAAAATGGGTTTAGTTTGCAAGTAACAAGTCAGGGTAGCCATTTGTACAAAGGTTTGCTAAGAAAACCAGAAATGGTACTTGAATTATTACTCAAATCCTCCCTTTTAATTCGGTTGTACTTTTTGGAAATTAGTTTGAAAGACTGGAATATATCCCTTAACTGGCATAATGGGATTCAAAAATCATTCCTTTATTATGTTTTTCTCCTTAGTTTATGGGATCAATTTTCCATATGGCATTTGTAGTACTTACAGGAAAGTTTGTATTTTGGCTTTCTCCCTGGTAAAACACATGTTCTTGAGTTCTTGGAATCTGATTGAACATCCTCTGTCTCAGAGGATGCCCAAAGGCTATTTTTATGCTATCTCTGGGGTTTATACATACACAGCCTCCAGCCACAGGCTGGACTTTAATTACTTTAACTTAGGAGGGCTTTCCAGCTGAGGAATTCTGGGTGGGCATGGACATAATTTCCCTTTGTCTCTTTTTCCCCCTCATACAGACTCTTCTTTTTAAACAAAATAAAAAAGTAATAATAATGCTTCCCACCCTTGCTTTCATCCTGGCTTCTAAGATTTGCTGCATTAGAAAAACACGAGTAAAGTAGTAAGGATTAAACAACATCATTAAAAATCTAAGCAAATTCATATTCAGGTTCAAACAAATAACAAAAATAAATCTAACATCCTTCTGGCTTTATTTCTGCATTTTCTTGTTTGGGCCAAAGAAGAAAAGAGAAAACTGAGAAAGAAAACTTGCATGTGTATATGTATCCAATGTTGTTGTCATCCTAATGTTCAGAATCTCATGAGAAATCTGTTTCCCTTGCAAGTGCAGTTTTCTGTCTGACACACAGCACTAATATATTAAGATGGTATGAATGTTGACAGAAAGCAAAATGGCACTGAAGCCAACACAAAAGTCTCTGCTAAATCATAATCTGGAATTTCCTTTGTTATGGTCTGGCAAATTTCCCACTATCAAACTGGAGTAAAAATATAATACTACTGGGGATTAACCAGTATTAATTTGTCCAAATCTTTTCCATGCCCCTTAAGTTTCCAATACTATTTATTTATATTCAGCACATGGCCTTGTCTACTTTAATGAATTAATACAGGGCATTCCAGATTAAATCCCCTAATTTTTATCCCCTAACATAAAATTTCAATGACCGTTTGTCCATTTAAAAAAAAATACCATGTATCTATCATACTTTACCTTTTACAGGCACAATTTATCAAGTAAGCCTCATAATCGCTCTAGGAGTTAGATGAGAAACAAAACATTGTTCCTATCTGATGAGTAAGAGAACAGAGACTCTGAGTAGTAAATGGCTTGGCTAAGTCACCAGCCTGGTGAATGAGCAAACAGGTGCCAGCCACAGGCTTCTGCCTACCAGCCTACACATTCTTGAGTCAGAATTTGGGGTTCAAATTTTGTCTCCATGGCAGTTCCTAGACAAGGAACCTCACAGTTACTTTCTTGTAAAATAGAAATGAAACCTTTTTATCGTTTATATTTTTGTAAGAATTAAAGGATATGTTCTATACAAAGTATTTAGAACAGCAACTATATGGTATGTTGTTAATAAATATAATTGTTTTTATTTTTTCCTAAGAAATAATTTTTTCATCGCTTTGTAACCTTAGTACCCCTACTTATATTCTTTTTCTCATTATAGTCTATAAATATCCTTCCTCCTTTAAATATTGTAACTTACTCTCTACCTCAGATCTTTTCTGTCTACCAACATTTTCAGGATTCTTTATTATACATGCAAAAATGAACATTGTTACTCTAAGTATCATCTTTTTTTTTATCCTCTACTGACTCAATTTTTTTCTCTCAAAGAACCATGCATGAATCATGTAACTTTCCAGCTGGAAATGACCTTCCAAGTCATCATCTTTGTTTCACTGATTAGGCACATAGACCACAGAGAAGTTACCTCTTTGTGCAAGAAAAAAGGCACCACCTAAAAAGTAGAATGAAGCCTTGAAACCTAGTCAGGTCTCCTGATGGGAGGGAACAGTGTACTCTTTCACACTCCCACACTCGTTCTGCCTCCACTTATACACTCAATTATCCATCAATTTTTGCCTTTTGGATTTTAGCTCCACTACTCTTCTAAAAAAATAGTAACTTTTGGCTCACTCTCTTCAGAATATAAAACCCTTGACTTCCTTTTACACCTCCAGTTTGCAATAGAATGCACAAAGTTGAATTTACATTTTAGTTCTGATATGCACAGGAGGCAAGAGGGCGGGGTCCCTGGTGAGGGCTCCACCCTCAAGCCTGGAAACCCACGGCCCTAAATAAGAACAGGCATTCCTGTTTTCATGTCCAAATGTTGCCTTTTCCAAGACCACTCTGGCCCACCACACCCCTATCCTGTACCCATATAAACCCCAAGCTCCACTGGCAGAGCAGCAGAGCGGCACAGCAGAGAAGGAGAGAAAAAACAAAGAGCTGAACGTGGAGAGGCGAAGAGGCAACTGAATGTCAGAGACTGTGGATAGACGTGGCTTAACTTCAGACAACACGATTTTGGAGAGAAGCCCGGCCGGAGGCAACCAGGCTTCAGGAAAAGATTATCTTCCCACTCCATCCCCTTTCCTGCTCCCCATCCCACTGAGAGCCACCTCCATCACTCAATAAAACCTCAGCATTCACTTTCCTTCAAGTCTGAGTGACCTGATTCTTCCTGGATCCTGGACAAGGACCCAGGTAACAAGAGGGTAGGGTGAAAAAGGCTGTCACCCTGACTCTCCACTGAGCTGGTTAACACTTAGCTGCCCATGGATGGCAACTGCTAAAAGAGCACTGTATCACCCCTAGACACTGCCATGGGGCCGGAGCCCAAAGTGCTTGCCCTGGCTCCAGCACCTGCTCACCTGTGTGCTCTCCCTCCCATAAGGGGTTTGAGTTAGAAGCAGCCGAGCAAATGAGCCACACCCCTGTCACAAGTCTCTCTAAGGGGTTAGGGAACTCTCCCATTTCAGTTCTTCTGTTAAAATGTACCAAATTTTTAATTCTTATATTACCTACTAGAAATGCTCTACCAAACTCTAATTTCACCCTCTTTTCTCAAATGCACTTCCACCTTTGGTGACTGAGTTCTCTCATTTGGCTTCAATCATAACATCACTGTAAAATCATTTTATAAAACTGATTAATCAATTTAATGTATATTTTTTGAACTCCAACTATGAGACAGGCCCTATGCCACAATAGAAACTTTACAGGCTAGTGGGATTCACTGGTGTGCTGGTACTTAACAACTGACTCAACCCCTTCTCCAAAGAAAAAGAAGTCTGTAATCCATAGAGTTTGCCAAATTCCATGATGTAAATATTTTAAAAATGTTTAAGCTACCAAGGTGTTACTAAATGAAATGTTGGGAAGAGACACTAATAACAAACATTTGCAATCCAGTATGAGCTCTTTCTAACATGCCAGTGAACTTGTGAATATTCAATGGAAAAATCCAAGTAAACATATATTTATAAACTTCATAAATGCTGAGTCTAACTTGGACTTCTTTCACAAGTATTTGCAAAGAACCTAGGTTAATTTTCCATTACAGACCCCCAAATCCTCACAATATTCATCATACATTTCTTTTTCCCTTTGCAGAAAAAAACGCACTAAAAGTGTTACTACAGATATTACTGAAAAGGAGCCATTCTTTGATCTGTGTGCACCTTTTAAAAAAATTATTAAACTTCATTTGTTAGAGCAGTTTTGGGTTCATTGAGCAGAAAGTAGAGAGTTACCATATACTTCCTCTTCCCATACATGCACAACCTCCCCACTATGGATATACTGCACCACAATGGGACATTTGTTGTAATCAATGAACTACATTGACACATCATTACCAACTAAAGTTTATAATTTACATTAGGGTTTACTCTTGGTGTTGTATGTTGTATGGTTTGGGGCAAAAATATGACATGTATCCACCATTGTAGTATCATACAAAATCCACTGCCTAAAAATCCTGTGTTCTCCCAAGCTAAATCATTCCTTCTTCTCCCAAACCCCAGAAACCACTGATATTTTTACTATATTTATAGTTTTGAATTTTTCAGAACATTATATAATTGGAATCATATAGTGTGTGGCCTTTTCAGACAGGCTCTTTTCACTTAATAATATGCTTTTATGTTTCCTCCTTATCTTTTCATGGCTTGACAACTAATTTCTTTTCAGTACTGAATAAAATTCCAATGTCTAGATGTACCACAGTATATTTATATATTCACCTACTGAAGGCCATTTTGGCTGCTTCCTCATGTTGGCAGTTATGAATAAAGCAACAGCAAATATTTGTATACAGGTGTTGTATTGACATACGTTTTTAAGTCATTTGGATAAAATACCAAGGAGCACGATTGCCAGATCATACAGTAAGAGTATGTAAGAAACTACTGCACTCTTCCAAAGTGGCTGCATTGTTTTGCATTCCCAGAGCAATGAATAAGGGTTCCTGCTGCTCCACATACTCACCAGCATTTGGTGTTGTCAGTGTATTAGAATACTTTTCATCATTCTAATAGGTTTGTCATGATATTTTATTACTGCTTCAATTTGTAATTCCCTAAAGATACATGATATTGAACATCTTTGCATATGGTTACTTGCCATCTATCTATCTTCTTTGGTGAATTACCTGCTCAGTCCTTTCCTCATTTTTTATTCTGGTTGCTTGTTTTCTTATTGTTGATTTTTAAAAGTTCTTTATATATTTTGAATAACAGTCTTTTGTCAGGCATGTCTTTTACAAATACTTTCTCTCACTGTGAGTTTTCTTCACTTACTTTTGATATTGTAATTCATAGTAAAGGGAAATTTGATCTTAATGAAGTCCAGATGATCAATTCTTTATCTTCATGTATCATTCCTTTCATGTTGTATAATATCTAAAAAGTCAGTCCCATCCCAAAGTCCTCTAGGTTTACTTCTATGTTATCTTCTAGGAGTTTTACAGTTTTGCATTATATATTTAGAGGTATGATCCATCCTTAATTTTTTGAGGAAAGGCATAAGGTCATTGTCTCGGTTCATTCCTTTGCATGTGAATTTCTGGTTGTTTCAGCATCATTTGTTAAAAAGGCTATCTTTGTATTGCTTTTGTCAAACGTCAGTTGACTATATTATGTGGGTCTATTTCTCGACTGTCTATTCTGTTCTGTTATTCTGTCGTATATTCTTTCACCAGTACCACACTGTCTTGATTACTGTAGATTTATAGTAAATTTTGAAGTCCCATGGTAGTATCAATCTTCTTTCTTCTCCAGTAGTGTGTTGAAAATTCTGGGCCTTTTTCCTCTCCAAATAAACTTTAGAATCAGTTTGTCAATATTCACAAGATAAATTGCTGGGCTTTTGACTGAGATAGCATTGAATCTATAGATCAAGTTGAGAAGAACTGGCATCTTAAAAATTTTGAGTCTTCTATCAATGAACATGGAACAACTCTCCATGTAGTTTTTCTTCAATTTTTTTAGAGTCAGTTTTGTAGTTTTCCTCATATACATCTTATACATATTTTGTTAGATTTATACCTAAGTATTTCATTTTTAAGGGTGCTAATGTAAATGGTATTGTAGTTTTAATGTCAATTTCTACCTGTTTGCTGCTGATATATAAAAGAAAGCAATTGACTTTAATATATTAAACTAGGCTTGGCGCGGTGACTCACACCTGTAATCCCAGCACTTTGGGAGGCTGAGGTGGCCGGATCACGAGGTCAGGAGATCAAGACCATCCTGGCTAACACAGTGAAATCCCGTCTCTACTAAAAATACAAAAAAAAATTAGCCGGGCGTGGCGGCGGGTGCTCGTAGTCCCAGCTACTTGGGAGGCTGAGACAGGAGAATGGTGTGAACCCGGGAGGCAGAGCTTGCAGTGAGCCGAGATGCACTTCAGGGTGGGCCACAGAGCGAGACTCCATCTCCACATAAATAAATAAATAAATAAATAAATAAATGACATATATATATGTATATGTATATATATGTGTATATATATATGTATATGTATATATATGTGTATATATATATGTATATGTATATATGTGTATATATATATGTATATGTATATATATGTGTGTATATATATATATATATAAAACTAGTATCCTGCAATCTTGCTATAATGGTTTATTAGTTCCAGAAGTTTTTTGTCTATTCTTTTGGGTTTTTTTACATAGAAAAATATGTCATCTGCAAACAAAGACAGTTTTATTTCTTATTTCCCAATCAGTATACTTTTTAATTCCCTTTCTTGTCCTGTTGCCTTATCAATGATGTTGAAAGCAGTAGTATAAGAAGAAATCCTTGCTTTATTCCTGATCTTACCAGGAAATCCTAGTTTTCCACCATTAAATATGATGTTATTTGTAGTTTTCTGTAGATTTTAAAAATCAATTCAAAGAAGCACTCCTCTATTCTTGGTTTGCTTAGAGATTTTTATCATGAATTAGGGTGGATTTTATCAAATGCTTTTACTGCATCTATTGATGTGCTCCTGGTATTTTTCTACTTCAGCCTGGGGATTTGATGGATTACATTCATTGATTTATATATTTTGAACCAGCCTTGTATACTTTGGATAAACACCAGATCATGACATATAATTATTTCTATAGATTTTTGGATTTGATTTGCAAATATTTTATTGAGGATATCTGCATCTACTTTCATAAGAAATATTGGTCTGTAGTTTTCTGAATAGTGTCTTAGTCTAGTTTTGATATTAGACTAATTCTGGCCGCATGACACCTCTTTAAAATAAATAGATAAATTGTACCTTTTCACAAACAGAACACAAAATTCTTACAAAGTACTTCTGACAGCTTTGTCCAGAAACGGAACCAGCTTGCACTGTTTGTAGTTAAAAACAAGAGAGGTGCCTGCATATTAACATGACTCAAAATAAGCAATACGTTTATGGTTCTATGAAATTACTGCCAATTATTTTTGCCCCAGTGAGGTTACAGCAAGGGTCAGAAAACTTCTGTTTACAAGGAGGCATATGGTTGTGGGTATAATACTTTGGGACAATAGTATCTTCAAAATTTGACAAAAATTTGTTCTTATAAAAGAAAAAAACTTTGTCATTTATTTTATCAGTAGGTAGATTCTAAATGCTTCATAATATTGTTTTGGGTAGAAAACAAAGAAATGCAAAGCAATCATTTGTCTGTTGTCTTTTTTCTTTTCTCCTTTTTTGGGGGGAGAATTAAAATTTGCAGTCTTAAAAGTAAGACCAGTTTCCTTACTTTAAAAGATCTTAATGTTAGTCCGGTATTAACAAGACATTCATCCTGATTTTGATACCTAATTTATAAAGATCCAACCTATTTCTATTTCCTTTTATCTATCTTCAAATTGGTTCCCTTTCACTACTTGAAGCCTGAATCATAATTTCACCTAGGTCCTATTCTATACTTGCATAATCAAGTTCAAAACCTCATATTGATTTTAACTGTTCTTACTCTTTTTTTTTAATCTCAGGATTCATTTAGTTACAAGTTTCACAAACCTGGCCTCTTTAAAATAAATTTTTTCTATCCTCCAGAGCATTTTGCTTGTGACTCCTTTTTGGCCCATTTGCTTTGTACTATAGTTATGTGTAAGTGAATACTAACTTCTCCGATAGACTGTACCTTGAGAGCATATAATTTGGGGATGTTATGTCTATTAAGTTCTAGCCACTGTATTTTTCCTCTTTAAATTTGTTGAACTAAAATATGACATATAAAATAGATACATGTTGTTTTGAAAGTAAATAATTTTTTTGTCTTGAAAAAGACCAATTGAGTGTTAATGTGAATGTAAAAAAATATAAAACAATTAGAAAAGTCAAGTAGATATTGATGGTCTTAATAAGATAAAAAAAGAGGAATCAGGACGTGTCAACCAAAACATTTTGTTTTAGTTCAAATAATTTCAGCAGTAATATCCCTAAAACTAATCCCTAAAGCTGCCATCCAGAACACTGCAACAGATAATTTTTCCAAAATGTTTTATCTGGGCTGGGCGCAGTTGCTCACGCCTGTAATCCCAGCACTTTGGGAGGCTGAGGTGGGCAGATCACAAAGTCAGGAGTTTGAGACCAGCCTGGCCAACACAGTGAAACCCCATCTCTACTAAAAATACAAAAATTAGCTGAGCATGGTGGCAGGCGCCTGTAATCTCAGCTACTCAGGAGGCTAAGGCAGGAGAATTGCTTGTACCTGGGAGGCAGATGTTGCAGTGAACCAAGATCACATTATTGCACTACAGCCTGGGCAACAAAAGCAAAACTCCATCTCATTCAATCAATCAATCAATCAATGTTTTACCTGTCAAAATGTATGCGTAAGTGGTTAGACCGCTCATTAGTACTTAGATAATCTAAGCCATGTTGTTATACTCACAGTTCCCGATCTTATTTTTCATCTCAATTATCTAATTTTTGTACATTATTTCTCAATGCATGTTGTAAGGAGCATTGCTTTCCCAAGATATGCCATAAAAGTTATTCTATGGGCAATGAGTTTGGAAACTATTATAAACTATTACTCCCAATCTTCTCAGAGAAATTCATAGGGCATAAGTATTAAACACCCTGAGAATTTGATCAGAGGATTTAAAAAATTGAAATTATTGATCTCATACTTTCCTATATATATCTACATTTATCTATCTATCTACCTACCTACTTAACCTATCTACCTACCTACCTGTCTGTCTGTCTACATTATAATCTAGTTCTACTTTGATTAATGTTACTGAATTCTGGCCAGGTTTCCCAAATAACCTTTACAAAAAAGTATGCTTATCATATTAAGTAGGTAAATGCACATGACAGTGTAAAAATTAGAGAGAATTTCAGTCTCTCTATGAAACCATTCAAAGTCGAGTAAAACTCAAGTAGTGATTGTAACAGCTAAAACAATAATAAATACTAAAATGTATTCACTATGTCCCTGGCACTGTGAGGGATTCAAATTTTTATTTAATCATCTGCCAAACCCTTTGAGTAAGTATTCTTAGCAGATGTCACTTGTGAGTAAACTGAGGCCCACAGAGTTAAGTAACTTTCTTAAGTTATTCAGTCCATAAGGAAAAAATGGGAATGTCTGCCAGGTTTACCTAATGCCAGAATCCATGCTTCTAACCATTATTTTAAACTTGCTTTCCAAAATAGAAATTGACTAAGATGACATATGTGATTGCTATGATTTGAATTGAGCCCTTCAAAAATATATGTTCGAGTTTTATCTCCTGATACCTATGAGTTTAATATTTTTTAGAAATATATTCTTTGTGTATGTAATCAAGTTAAGATGAATCATGTTAGAGTAGTGTGTACTCTTAACCCAAAATAATATCCTTATAAGAAGGGGAGAATCAACACAGACAGAGACACACAGGGAGGGCATCATATGACAACAAAGGCAGAGATGACAAAAAAGACAGAGATGGGAGTAATGTGTCTGCAAACTAAGGAATGCCAAGGCCTTCTAGCAACAGCAGATGCTAAGAGAGAGGCATGGAAGAGATTATTCCCTAGCGTGTTCAGAGAGAACATGGCTCTGCTGACACCTTGATTTTAGACTTCTAGCCTGCAGAACTGGAAGGGAATACATTTCTGCTGTTGTAAGCCACCCCCAGTTTGTGTTACTTTGTTACAGCAGCCCTAGAAAACAAACAAAAATAATCAAATACACTCAGTATTTAAAGCTAATAGGATGCACATATTTCTCATATTTTCAGAAATGTTTACAGATCATTAGGAAAGTATTGTTATAGAATATAAATCCCATCCCCAAGATTATAATGCCACGAAAATAATTAAAATTATTTTAAGTTCATGCATCTGAAATAATAATAATAATAGTATGTGAATTATCATTTAGGAAATAAATATACATGCTTTTATTTAAAGATGTGTTATATATGCTTACTTTTTATTAATTTTGCTAAAATTTAAATTAAATAAAAGATTCTGTATTTCTGGTTAATAATGTATTATGGGGAATAAGTCCTGTGATTTATTTTTCCCCCACTTAACAATGGAATAATTTACAGAAGAATTTGAAATTTTCAAGACAGGAAATGCCATTTTATGTCCATTTTTGTCTCTTGGTTTTGTTTAATTATCAAATCTCTCTCTCTCTCTGTAGATACATATATGTATATTATATATATAAATATGCACACGTGCAGATAAACACATATATCTATATGTGAGTATATATTTGTGTGTTTTTTCCAAGAAATACACTGGTTTCTTGTAATGATATATAATACCCTCATATAACATTGAGTCATTAGCCCCAGGTCAATTGTATTCCAGTAAAAATAAAAGATGAGGCCAAATCAGAGACAATGTTCATCTCAAGTAGTTGATTTAATAAATCACTTAATACTGGAATAAAAATGCCAATACAGATAAATTTCAGATTGCACAGATATTTCAATATCATTTTCTGTGATTTTCAAAACACAATATTATCTTTTATTATTGTGGAAGCTGAAATAAATATTTGTTAAAATAAGTAAATATTAAACTTTACCAAGAAACCTCTGGGTTTCCTTATATTTTATCATTTACCAGTACTGCAAAAAATATCAAAGAATTAGAAAAGCACATAGTTTCAAAGAATATTAGCTGGTAAAATTGAAACCTATAATTTTTCCCCAAACCAGTTGCTTATATAAATTTTTACATAATCTTATAACCTAAATAAAACCATGAGAGCATAAAAGAAGTGTCTTGATACTAGAAAAAGATTGCTGTTGCCAGGTGTGGTGGCTCATGCTGGTGATCCCAGCACTTTGGGAGGCTGAGGCAGGCGGATCACAAGGTCAGGAGTTGGAAACCAGCCTGACCAATATGGTGAAACCCCATCTCTACTAAAAAAATACAAAAATTAGCCAGGCATGGTGGCGTGTGCCTGTTATCCCAGCTACTCGGGAGGTTGAGGCAGGACAATTGGTTGAACCCAGGAGGCGGAGGTTGCAGATCACGCCACTGCACTTTAGCCTGGGCAACAGAGCAAGACACTGTCTCAGGAAAAAAAAAAAAAAAAAAAAAACAACAAAAGATTGCTGTTTGCTATAAAAGCATGCAACATAAAGATGGGAAGAAACTTGTGGAAATTCCAACTATTTGGGAAAATCTGACTATCATCCAGGAAATTCTGCATTAGGCAAAATAGACTATACCATGTTGCAGTAACAACTAAAACATGAAATCTGATTCACTTAACTTGGAACAAGGTTAATTCTTCCCTATCGCAATAAAACATGTTAAGAAGCTCACCTTGGAAGAGTTTTCTCAAGGAGTGACTTAGAGATCCAAGTTCCTTTCATCTCATAATGTTTCTGTCTTTAAAAGACGACCTAAAATCACCTTGCAAAGGCAAAGTGGACTTTACACTTGGGTTTTTATTGCAGGCTTGGGAAGGGGCATCTGCTATATCTGAGTCATGTGGCCCCAATCTCACTGAAAAGAAGTCAGAAAATGTAGTATCCCTCTGTACCCATAAAATAAAACAGGATCTGGTAAGCACAAAATAATTTCTCTGTCATTACTTCAACTACATGACTGCAAAGCTGCACGTTTGAGAAAACATCGATAGTCACATTGCTTTTGAATATCAGTGAGGCAAGTCTAAGTTTCTTTTGTGTAAAATGATAGAGAAATATAAGTTTCTCCTAGGTTTTCTCCAGCTCTAGAATTCTCATACTTACTGACAATAAGCACTTAGGCCACAATGCATTTTTTTCTACTCAGAGTTCCTAAGAAATTTACAGATAGATAGATAGATAGATCAATAGATAGATAGATAGATAGATGTGTAGATAGATAGATTGATTTACAGACAGTAATTATGTACTTATTTACTGAATATATACATATATATACATGAAAGAAATTCTATGCTTATTACATAGAGATAAAAGATAACAAGAAAGAATCCTGCCTTCAAGGGCTTAACTACCTCATAAGATAAAGAGTGTTTATTATTATATAAGCCAGAAAGATTTCTGTGACAAAATATAGATGTAAAAAAATCACTGGGACACTGAAAAAGAACAATTAATTTCCAATTTAAATTTCTACTAGAACTGTGATGGGTTTTTTCCTTCTTCTTCTTTTGTTTCCTTCAGCTTGCATTTTTCAAAATTTTTTTCTCAAAGTGTGATCTCACATCTTATAAATAAAATCTGTAGTAGGTTAGTTCTTTATGCTATATTTTTAAAATTTTTAAGTTATGCCATATTTAGTGCATGCAAGAAATTGATTTACAGTTTCAGTTTTATATTAACATAAACAAGTTACGAAACATTATGCTTTTTAAAAATATCCAAGCTTAGTGATTTTTATGCTGAGGCTTTTATTCCATAATCTGCAAAAAATTAGAATATTTTTGAAGTGTTTATCAGTCACACTTAAGTGGTTTCTAGTTTTTGTTTTGATGAGGCAATGACGAAAATCCAATCTTAACTATGTACAAGCAAAAGAACAACAATTTTCATCACTTTCTTCTCCAGCTATGGAAATGTTTCTAGTTTATTCATTTATGGAACACTTGTATAGTGCTTATTACTATGAGCCACTCAGTACTTTACAAATATTTGCTTTTAAAAACCTCATGTCTACCTTCAGGGGTAGGCACTACTATTATCACCATTTTACAATGAGGAATCAAGTTAAGAAAGGTTCAATAACTTGCCCAGCTTCACAAAAAACCTTAAGTGGTGAACCTGGGATTCTTAGCCAAGCATTCTGGCTGAAGAATCTCTGCTCTAAACATCATGCAGTGGTATAAAAGAAATTTGGCAACATCATTGTCACTAAATACATGTGCATATAGTTAATGGCTCTAGCGGTTAGTAGGCATCCAGGTTAAAGATGAATAGATTCAGTATCCATTTATTTTTATTTTTTTGGCATGAAAAGCTTTCCAAGAGAAAAATAGCCACAGACAGACATTCAGCTCTTGGTAATGCCTTCATGCTTCAGATGGTCATTTCTGAATTTTCTAACATCTCTCTGTTAGAAAGCAAAATTCTTAAAATTTCTTTTCCAAAGAGGCAATTTTCTTATAAAACTAGATAAATTTAATGGGGTTGTTGCCATGTACTTTCAGACTAGTTCCTTAAAACAGCAGTCAGTTTTAAGAATTTGACTATTCATAAACACATTCAAAGAAAGACAAACATTAATTTATATCATTGACTCTATTAGTATTTTTAGAGGTAAAAGAAATAGCTTATATTTTTACATGTCCAGTTTAAAGCACTATACTCCTTTTAGTGTTTACAAATAAAGGGCATGTGTTTGGTAACAGTTTCTTTAAAAGAATCACTGAAGTGACAGTGATTATTTAGAAAATATGCTCTAAGAAAATTTATCATGCTCTTTGCAGGAGACAAAAGAGCCTTCCATTTTTTTTAATCCAAATTCTTGTCAGCAAGTACATGATGGGGTAATAGACAATATATGATTATGCTACTTTTTTATATATCAGTAAAGATATTCTTAATTTTTCTTCAGATCTAGGCAGGAGCATTATCGGTGAATATTGATTTACTTACCTTGTGTGTTACAGATACAAAAATTTTGTCTTTGATTAGATAAATGTACATTTCCTTGCAGTTATTTTCTTTGTTTCACAAGAAAGGCCTCCTTCTATGTGCTTTTCCTAATTTACATAAGGTACAACACTGATAGCCAAGAGAAGCCACCAAGGTCACACCCATTTAAAAGGACAAGTTTTTATAACTTTGTAAAAACTTGTTTCAGGTATCAGGACTCAACTCACAAATTATGATTTGATAAGAAAATCTGTTGAAACTTCTTCAGCTCATCTGGTCTCAGAACTATTTTTCAATTTTCCAATAAATTGTTTTTCTCACTTTTTACAAATAACGTGAGGCTCCTTGTCTTGTAACAATGCAACTTGGTTGGATGCTTCTAGTAACAAGTTCTCAACCGACACAATACTAAATGACCTACAGCTTATTTTATTACAATAAATAGTGCCCTTGTAAATATCAGGACCACATTTAATTTTCACTAATGAGCACTTTGTTGAAATATTCAGAATGCCTTGGTGATTTGAAACTAGGTACAATGTAAACATTGTAGTCACTAATTTCTAATCATTGTCATTGCAAAAATGATCTATAAAAAGTTATTTTTTCATATTTCTTTTACAAAAGGTATACTCAAATATGCCAATACTACCTAGAGCTTCTGTGCAGATTTATTGTGAAGTAAACACCATAACATATGTTAATAATTAGCATCTCAATAACAATTAGCAGCTCACTAATATAAAATAAAGCCACAACACTGTCATATTATCATCTGTACTGAAGTCAGAAATAAATCTCACAACAGGAGGAAGTAAACAATACCTGTTCACGAAGTCAACTTACAAAAGTACACTAGCCTGTGCATTGTACCCAGGTTCAAAGCCACTTCTCCCCAGTCATTTCGGGTTACAGCCAGTGAAATGGGTGTGAAATAGCTGTGCATTGGTCTGTAAGTTATGGCTGTTTTCTAAGAGTTCGTAATTTTAGATTCTGAGCCCATTTTCTGCCAAATTTTTTTCTTCAGGAATTTTCTGCTGCTTAGGTGGATGTTAGGCCTCTCTAGGGAAGCTTTGCTTTTGTTTCTGCCAGGAATTCCTCACAATAAAACACCAAGACCCCTTTCCTTTTAACGTCTTGTCTGGGTTTTCCAATAATTTGCAGTGTGCATAATTCAAACCCAATATATTTCCTTTACATTTTGGAGGACGCGTTTTCCCCTTAATTCAGAGCCTAGGCCTAGATGGGCAAACTTTCTTATTGTCTACTCCAGGCTAGCGTGTGAAGGTGTCCTTTCCAAGTTTTCATCCTGAAGGACCTCTTATTTTATGAGGTTCCAACTGCCTGCCCTTATTGCTCCCAAAGTTTTACTTCCTGTTTCCAAGTGGCTGTGAAACCTAAACCTCTTCTTTACAGAGAAGATGCTCTCAGGGCACTTGGCATCATTGAGGAGCCTCTGTTTTTGGCCCCTGAAATATCCCCTAATTTTTTTTGAGGTCACATTTCCACATTAAAGGCTAGTTATATTCTATCATACATTTCCAGGTGTTTTGTGCCAGGAAATTCTTTGGAATATTTACCTTCTAGGTGAAAATGGAAATAAATTGTAAATCGTGTAAATTGTAATACTGCTGATTATGGTGCTCCTGGTGGGGCAGGAAAATAGGGTCTGGAGGCAGGGAACATAAGGCCAATTCACACTTCAGCTATGACAGGAAATATCCTCTCCACAGGGCGAAGGCCAAGTAAATGACTTTGTAACTTTACTTCATCCTCTTCATTTACATAGGGCATACCCCCAAGTAGAGGGTAGTTAAACGCCCCAAAATTCTGTAACAAGGCCTTTGAGCCCCTATGCTCAGGCCTGCTCCCACACTGTGGAGTGTACTTTTCTTTTGAGACAGAGTCTTGCTCTGTCGCCAGGCTAGAGTGCTGAGGTGCGATCTCGGCTCACTGCAACCTCCAACTCCCTGGTTCAAGGGATTCTCCTGCCTCCGCCTCCCAAGTAGCTGGGATTACAGGCATGCGCCACCATGCCCGCCTAATTTTTGTATTTTTAGTAGAGATGGGGTTTCACTATGTTGGCCAAGATGGTCTCGATCTCCTGACCTCGTGATCCGCCCACCTTGGCCTCCCAAAATGCTGGGATTACAGGCGTGAGCCACCATGCCCGGCCTGGAGTGTACTTTCATTTTCAATAAAACCTTTCCTTCCTTCCTCGCTCTGTTTGTGCGTTTTGTTCAATTCTTTGCTCAAGAAACCAGGAATCTGGACACCCTCCACTGTTAACATATTTTGGAGAGCCAGCCAGGAGGAAGAGGTTAGCCCAAAGTTTGGGATTTATTTTTCTCCTTTCTCCTTTTCCTTTCTGCTCCATACAGGGGAATTTCTCTTTCTCTTTCTCTCTTTCTCTCTCCCTCTCTGTCTGTCTCTGTCTCTGTCTCTCTCTCTCTTTTCCTTTCCAACCGGGGATCCTTGGTGGGCAGCGCCTAAACATGGAAGCAACTGCAGGTTTCTGGCCATGGCCAGTGAAACTAAGGGGTTTCCATGCGGAGACGCCTAACTGCCAACACCAGGTTTGCTTAAGGAATCTGGGTCTGTTTGATTTTTGTTTCCTTTCTTTTTCAGTCTTTCAGTGGCTGTTTATAATTGCTCTGCCCCATAGGGGAAAGGACTTTTTAAAAAATCTTTTCTGCAGGTGTTCCCCGATCCCTGCGTGTGGTGCACCTCAGAGCAAACTCACACATGTTTCAGGGGACTTAAACATTCTTTTCTTATGCTAAATTCTTCCCTTGTCATACTCAACTGGCTAAGGACAAAAAGGCCCACCTGGCACCCAGTTCTCATTACAGTTCATGGCTATTCTTACAAAGCTCATAGTATGCTCTGGAGGGGAAAACCGGCACTCGCCGCTGGTGCCCACCTAAGGTCAGATTGGACCCCACAGGAGGACCGTCCGGGGGGCCTGCAGACCTCAACCTTCCCCAAGGGGATGCTCTCTGCTCTCCGCAGAGGTTCTGAGGTCTAGTACTAAGCCCTCCTTAGGATTTTCTCTCATAGTTGCAATGCTGTTTGGCCCCAACATTGTTTGGAATCTGGAGTTTACTGTTGAATGGGAAAGCAGAATGGCATTGCATGTATCCACGCTTTTGTTCTGCGGTTCTAAGCAGGGGGACTGATTAATGTGTGACACCCCCCTTTGGTACTGTTTGGCACCAGGGCTCTTTGGAGTCTGGAGAGGTTTGGCCTTTAAGAATCAAACTGCCAGGCCAGGTGCGGTGGCTCACACCTGTAATCCCAGCACTTTGAGAGGCCGAGGCGATGGATCATGAGGTCAGGAGCTCAAGACCAGCCTGGTCAACATGGTGAAACCCCATCTCTACTAAAAATACAAAAAAATTAGCTGGGCATGGTGAAGCATGCCTATAATCCCAGCTACTTGGGAGGCTGAGACAGGAGAATTGTTTGAACCGGGATTGGGAGGTGGAGGTTGCAGTGAGCCGAGATCATGCCACTGCACTCTAACCTGGGCTACGGAGTGAGACTCTGTCTCAAAAAAAAAAAAAAAAAGAAAAGAAAAAGAAAAATCAAACTGCTATGGAGACTGCTTTACCCAAAAGTTTGGTTCACAGCCTTTATTGGATTATCTACTGGGGCAAAGAAGTAAAACCAGCAAGCTTTTATTGCTATCTCATGGCTAAGGTTCCAAGCCATTGGATCTTCATTTGTGTGTGCATACATGTCTAGAAGTGTTTATTTGTATGTACACTTATTGTTATATGTTTTACCAAAATTGGCTTATAAGTAAAAGAACGCTCATAAATTAAGTAAATAAGTGTAAGCAGTTTTCAAGTTCACGTGACTTAAAGTGTAACTTTACTAAACAAGCTAGCTTTAAAATTATGGGTGGAATAAAAATAGAAATGCCATCAGAATTGTCAGTATACATTTTTGTCTGAATTTTATGTTTGTCTTTGCTAGATATTTTAAAATGTCAGTGTTAATTCAAGCTGGGAGCTGCTTGGGGAAAGCCTGCCTCCCATTCTATTCAAAGTCTCACTGAGATAAATACATATCTGATTGCTTCCTCTGGAAAGGCTAATCAGAAACTCAAAAGAATGCAACCATTCCTCTCACACCTACCTGTGACCTGGAAGCCCCAACTCCCCTCCCACTTCGAGTTGTCCTGCCTTTCAGGACCAAAGGAAGGTTCATTTTACATATGTTGATTGGTGTCTCATCTCCCTTGTTAAAAGTAAAAAATTAAGTACAGTGATTAGGATAAATGTTTGAGGTAAACTTTTTGTGTAAATTAAAATCTTAAAGTTATTCTTAATGCTCATTTAATATCTGGGTCATTTCCAATTAAGAAAGTGTTGTAATATGGGGAAGTATGCTACTAAAATTGTGGAGTTGTTCTTATCTATAAATGCCCATATCTAATAGTTCAGGATTTCTTGCTTTTTAGGGTTTCACTAAAGTTTCAGTTTACTAAGGATAAAATTCTGGTTAACACATAATTCTGTATACAAAATGTGCCAGAAAGAGTTATGTTATGAGTGGAAAAAGAATAATTTTGTCTAATTCAAAAGTTATCTAAAAGTTAAATTACAGATTTAAAAAGGTTGTTTATGAAACAATGTAGTAAGGAATCATTAAGTAAGGGAGAAAGATGTGGAAAAAGTTTATATAATAAAATATTCTTAAGAACCTAATAAAGAATTGGGGACATTTTGCAAATTAACATGTTCATAGTTAAAGCTCTTAGTCTTGATTAAAGTCAAATAAGAAGTATTGTAAAAAATGCATAGGCAGTTTGGCAATTTTTTTTTAATATAGTTAAGCATGAAGCTGGATTTAGCATGGAGCCAAATTTCACATACATGCTTGCTTTGCTTCACACTATGTTTACTGTTTTTCATAGATAATGCTAGAGTACTTATTGGTCAGGTGCCTAAAGTGGATTTCTTGATTGGACAGAATGTATAATGATATTGGTGAACTTAAGAATATTGAATTGTGTGTCAGGAATGAAATATTCATTATGTGGGTTTTGGGGGCCCTAGGTAACACTATAGTCTCCAGGGTAAATTGAGTAGGAAAATTTAGGGTTGGTTTCCTGTTTGTTTTTGCTTCTAGTTTTCATTTGTTTGCTGTTTATTCTCCTCTGGCTTTGCTTGTGTATCCTTATATATAAAAGCATGATGCTTTTTAGTTTCTAGTGGAAGGCTTGTATTTGGTTCTATGAATAGTTATTTTGTTTCCTATGCATTTATAGGGAGTCATCATTTATTCCATTTATCTGGAATTCCCAAGGTACCTTGGTCAGGCCGCAGTAATTAATGGAACACACCAACTTTTTATCCTTATAAACTAACTTTTTAGATTTTAGGCTAATACTTTAAGCATGTTGAGTATACTTTCATAAATAGAATTGGAGTCATATTTCTCTCTCTCTGCCTAATTTCTCCAAAATTTGTAAACTATTTGTGAATATTCTTAATTCATGGCAATATGTTTGTTTGCATACAGTCAAGCAGGGTCACTAAGGCTGCTTAGGGAGAGAGAACTCAGAAACCTGGCATGCCAGCAAAAGGATAAGAATTTCTTACCAGTCAATCTCTGGCCTCTTTCTTTCTGTGCAAACTGGTTAATCACCTCTGTAAAGTTTTAAATTAATTGGTTTAATAATAATGAGAGCTTAAATAAAATATTTTGCCAGAAAAGTAGAAAACGTACTGCCTCTTAGTTCACATGACTTTAGCAGTCTTTGGGAAATAAAGACGGTTTTACAGATTATTGGTAAAATACAATGTATTCAAAATATACACATGTGGTCTAAATTATGTTCAAATATTAGGTTTTCTAAATGCTTTCAGGTCATAAACTGCTTCTTTGGCTTTTGAAAATTGTTTAACTTGCCTGCTTTCCAGCTAGATAAGGCCAGGAGAAACGTGGAGTTGGCCACACTCCTAACTATGCTGGAAATAGTCAAACCTTAGAACACAACTTACCAGGTTTTACATTAAAGTTAAAATTGCTAAGAGTCGCCACTGTAACTTGCAGTTAATACTACTAGAAACAGTTTCACATGCAAGGTGTGTAAAAACAGTAGAATGTATTTTTTCTTTTGTAAAATGTTATAAAAGGTTTTTGCTTCTTTAAAATTTCTGCATCATCATTTTGACAAAATAAGTAATTTATGGTAAGCTGGAATTCCAAAATCAAACTTCAGTTTCAAATTTGTCTTTCTTAATGCCTGGTTTTCTGGATGGATCAGAGGGCCCCTGAAAACATCCAGAAATGAGGTAAACAGGGGTATTTGTCATGTTTAGGTACATGGAATTGCCAAAATGATGTTCAATATTCTTTAGGTTATATTTTTGTGAATAATACTAATATATGTTCCAAAATAGTATGGGATTTCTGAAATAGTATATGCTATCAATTATAATTATGGTTATTATGCTAAGTTATGGTAAACCACAGAAATAACCAAATTTCCTTGTATAAAGCTACTAACTCAAGTAGAACAAAAATTAATTAAACACCAGGAAAATACCTTGTCAGATTTTCATGTTAAACCAGCTGATACTGAAATTGTTTAAATAGTTTATAAACAGTGCTTGATCCTATATTCCTGGGCACATAATTAAAGCTTCAGGTACAGTTGGTCACTTGGTGGGCCATTTAAACAGTTTATAAAGGGTCATTGTCAATGCATGTTTTCTGGTTGTATAAAAGTTTTCCCATGGAAGAGGGCTGATATTATAACAGATTATTATGCTACACTGTATTTTCACCAGGTAAAAAAGCTTTTTATGGTTTGTATCCTCTGAGAACATCGGAGAAAGACTGTCCTTGCCATCCACACTACAACAAAACTTCAGGACCTTGGGCTTTGGGTTCATAGTCTCAAAATTGAGATCCCACCACACTTTTGGAACTGTGTACCCATTGGAATGTATTTTACCAATAATCTGTAAAACCTTAACAAGGGTAAACTTAACCAGGGAAATTTCTCCCAAGAAGAACATGGCATCCTTGATGTGAACAGCCTTTCCCAAGTTCACAGGTTAAGACTTTTACTGTCGTGAAACTCTTTTCTTTGAATATTTTTTTTCTTGCTCATGCCTCTACAAACAAACAAACAAAAAAGCGGTCTGTTATGTGCACTTATGGGGTTATACTTTTATTTGTGAAGGAGTTTGCAGCCAGCCTTATACATGGATAACCTTATCTTTGATAGATAAAGACAAAGGCCCAATGTAGGCAAGAAACTTTAATGGTACATACATTGCCTCATAATCAGTCAAAAACAAAACATTGGTTCACTCCTCTAAACCCACATCATGGGTTAAAGAGTACACTGCCAGGAGGCCTTCACTCTTCTAGAAGGGCATCATTTGTTAGGTCCTTTTTCCATGGTTTAAAGTAAAAGAAGCAATGATTAGAAATGTATACCTCATGATAGGCTCTGTAGCTAATTCTACTTTAAAGGTTATTGTTACACAACAGACTTTGAATTCTCTTGTGAAAATTATGCTAAATAATAGAATTTAGTAAACAGAAAAGTACCTGTGCAGCTGCTGACACTTGTGGCCTATGGAGAAATACATCAAATGCAGATTATAAAAATTCAGTTGTAGAGGATTAATGAAAAGACCACGTAGTCAAGCAAGTAGACTCTTCATTTAGCTCATTCTTTAATCTATTTAATTTTAGGTGGTTTGGTTTATGGGGACCCTGGGTAAGGAACATACTCTGAACTATTGGTATTATCCTCCCAATAGTCATAGTAATAGTCTCCCTGGTGAGCTGTATTCTCTCAAAGGTTTTAAATGCTTGCATGCAGCCATCTCTAGAATGTCTTATGGTCTCTCTTCAATGGGAATGACAAGAGCTGAAAGAAATGTGCAACAGTAAGGACACTGTAATCTATAAATGACATGCTGAGACCAGAAACCCAAAATGATGGTAACTAAGAGTGGTGCTGAGGCCCTAAGTTTTGGTCATACTTTCACCTAAGTGAGAACCTGACCAAAAAGGGGGAATTTTTAAAACAAAAGTCTGGGAGGCCATTGTTTTGGACTCAGCTCATGCACCAGGCCCCAACAGACCAAACCAAACCAAAATGGAGTCTTTGTGCTAAGACTTTAAGGAAACACATGGATTCGAGAACAACCAAGTTTTGTTTTTTCTTCTGCAAATCTTTATAACAAACATTTCTGACAGCATAGGTATCCACCCCCGGAAGTTCCCATTAAATATTTTAAACAAATTCATTTCCTCTAGCCTAGAGACTATCCTCCTTCAGATGATCATGCAACAAAGGTTCCAACCAGTTCCAGGTGAAGACACCACCCCTGGCCATCAAGACGCTACCCTGCCTCCACTAGATAGAGCAGGATGAGTTCTGTGATCCCCAACAGATAGGGCCACTATGCCTCAAGCCAGCATGAAGCAGTTACAGAAAAAAGATCATTGGTCCCTCTGCCTCCCACAAAGATTTATGGGGATCACATCTCTCCGTGGGGAGATGAGGCAGGAAAATAGGGTCTGGAGGCAGGGAACATAAGCCGATTCACACTTCAGATATGACAGGAAATATCCTCTCCATATGTCTGTAGGCCAAGTAAATGACTTTGTAACTTTACTTCATCCTCTTCATTTACATAGGGTATACCCCAAGTACTGGGTATTTAAACGCCCCAAAATTCTGTAACAGGCCTTTGAGCCCCTATGCTCAGGCCTGCCCACACACGGTGGAGTATACTTTCATTTTCAGTAAAACCCATCATTTCTTCCTTGCTTTGTGTGTTTTGTCCAATGCTTTTTTCAAGAGGCCAAGAACCTGGACACCCTCCACCGTTAACACTGGGATCAGGAATAGCAGGAGGCAGCAGCAATTTGTTCTTTCGTAACTTAATTTGAGTTGTCTATAATTTACATTTGAAACAAATTTGTACATCTTACAACCCCAAATGGAGCATCTTAGTGAGTGACATGCAACCTAGATAAGAATAACTATACCAGGCTGCAAGCTTTTTGAAAGTAGATAAGTTAGTTCTCAGAATGACCAGAGGCACCACCATACAGTTTGGCCCAATGTTTGCACTGTATTTTAAAAGTGAGGCTTCATGTAAAAGGAATGCATTGGGCCTTGAAGGATAAGAAGAATACTAAGAGGTACAGAAGAGAGTAAAGGATGCATTAAATTGAATTCAAAATCCAGAGTTCTTAAAGCTGATGCTATAATCCAAGGATGAAAGCAGATGAGTAGATGTCATTACGTAATGACAGTAGCCAAAAGAGATTTCAAATATCCTTGGAAGTCATAGTGGTTAGGAATTGCCTTTATTATAAAACACGTGATATGGCCGGGCGTGGTGGCTCACGCCTGTTATCCTAGCACTTTGGGAGGCCGAGGCAGGCAGATCACGATGTCAGGAGATGGAGACCATCCTGACCAACATGGTGAAATCCCGTCTCTACTAAAAATACAAAAATTAACTGGGTGTGGTGGCACATGCTTGTAATCCCAGCTACTCGGGAGGCTGAGGCAGGAGAATCGCTTGAACCCGGGAGGTGGAGGTTGCAGTGAGCCGAGATTGCGCTACTGCATTCCAGCCTGGGTGACAGAGCGAGACTCCATCTCAAAAACAAACAAACAAACAAACAACAAAAAAACAGGTGATAATTATTTGTAGGGTGAAAGTGGGATGTGTGCTGAACTTCCTTCCTTTTAAAATGTTCCTTGAAAATCTAGTGCCTGATTTTGTCAAAACAAAGGTGTGTGCCACCCAATTCTTGCTTCTGTGAAATATGCATTTTCTAGCAACCAGTTTATCATCATGATGCAGTTTATTACCATGACCTAAGAGTTTTCTTAGAAACATGAGCTTCAGATCAATAAATCAATTGGCAATAACAAATTTGAAGTTGGCAATAGCTAATGGCATCTGTAAAATTTATCTCATTAAGACATGCTAACATACATTTGGAAATTAGTTTATCTGGGAGGATATAGCAGAATCTTGTGTACGTGTTTTTTGGGTGCTATATTAGGAGTCTTTTGTTGTTGTTATTTTAGAAACAAAAGGTAGACACTCTATATCCGAACTGCTTCAATTAAAATTTTCAAGACATAGAGATCATGTGGAGAAAAATATTTAATCACATGGGAAATCATCTATGAAAGATTTCCAGATGTTTATAAAATAATGATTGCTATGATTTGAGATACTTTTCCACCACAGGAATCGTGAGAGTAGTCTTTGTGGTTATGTTTTTGTCAGATGATAGAAGGGTATTGTAACTAAAGGGCTGGGACTAAGGATTGGCTCTACTTTCAATAACTATGCTAGGTTGGTTATTTAACTCTGTAAACAAGAGCTTCTTCACACATAAAATGTGAATATTAATTTGTATGTGTTGCCAAAAACCTTCAGAAAAACCTTGTGCCAATTCAATTTGAATTCCCACAGAAATGAGCTGTCAATTCCCCATACCATTTCCAACAAAAAATATCATCTGCTTTATTTTATAATTCAATACAAAAAAAAATTAGATTGTTTCATTTTCCTTTCTTTACTTGCTAGTAAAGTTGGTAATATTTTTCATATATTAACTTTCAATTCCTGTTGAGATTTTTTCTTTCTGATTATAAAAAACACTTTATTGACTAAAAATATTAATATTTGAAATTACTTTATAAATGCTTCAAATATATTTGTGCTAATGTTTTGTTTCCTTTTTAATTTGCTTTATGCTATTTTTGGACTGAAGACAGGTTAACTGTCTTTGTAGTTAGACCTAGCAATCTTGTCCTACATGAGGTCCCAACTCTCTTAGATGTCACACAGGTTAATTTGCATATAATGAGAATTCATGCTTGCCTTGTGATGACCCTTCCTAAATTAACATTTCATAATTATTTTCATATGTTTCTTCATATTAAAGATTGTTACATATTAATTTTTTATCTTTTTAAAGTAGGAAACAGTGTTCATTGTTTTCCAAAATGGATTCTTATTCTAACTTCATTTATGTAATAATTTATCATTAACCTACTATTTTATATCTTGGATCCTAGATGTACTATTATTTTCCATTGATATATATATATATATATATATATATATGTATCTATCATTTACTAGAAATATATATTTTAATGCTATAACTTTCTAACATTTTTATGTTTGCTAAGCCAAAATTGGTATTTCTCTTAGGATACTTTGAACAGCCATTACAAAATACCATACATAGCATGGCTTAAACAAAAGAAATTATTTTTTCACAGTTCTAGAGGTTGGTAAGTCCAAGATAAAGATCTGGCAGTGTTCAGTTTCTGGTGAGGGCTCTCTTCCTGGTTTGCAGGTAGCCACCTTCTCATTGTGTCCTCATATGGCAGAGAGGGAGAGCAAGCTCTCTGGTGTCTTTTCTTAGAAGGACATGAATACCATCAGACCATGTCCTCACCTTCATTTCTTCCTCTAATCCTAATTACCTCCAAATACAAACATGAGTAATTTCCAAATGCAGTCACACTGGGAGTTATGGCTTCAATGTGTGAACTGAGAAGGGGGGGTATAATCATTCAGTCCATAACAGTATTGAACTTCCATTTATAAATAACATAAATTTTTGTTATTTGTTTATTCTTACAGATAAAATTCATCCATCTCTGCCCTGGCTTTAGGTAATAATACTCTATTGAGTTTACTTTCATATGTCAGCTTCAATCTTTTTTTGAACAAAGTGTAGTATAAAAAATTTTATTGTACTAGAGAATTTTGGCTTCAACTTATTTTTTCTAAATGATGCATTTTGATAACTTCCACCTAAAGTTTGGTTGGAAGTATTTTTAGAGAAAAGGTATTTAAATTTAGTAACAGTGTCTTCAGTAAAGTTAAGCTCACCCATCTGATGGTAGGAAATGTATAGCTTTTTGCCTACTCTCAAGAAATCAAATATTCTTTCCTGAACCAATACTTCTAGTCCCATAAGAGAAAAAATTTGAATGATTTTATACATGAAGAACAGAGATCATTTATTCTTATACCTATTGGAATGTAGGAATTCACACATGAAATGAAAGTGACACTGATAAGTTTGCAGAAGTGCAACTATGAAGGACATCTACTGAGAAACTGTGTCTTAGAGTGTATTGGGATGTATTATTGAAAGCTGGCATAAGGAGAATAGGTTCATTAGCTTATGACATCTTCTGAGTCATGGTTGAAGCCATTCAAGTCACTTTATTAAATTTCTCCCTACAAAGATTTTTGGCCTGGTTTATTGTGTTTTCCAGACATAATAAGCCTAAAGGGGGGATTGTAACAGAGTCATGACTACCACTAACCATTTTAGCTCACTAAGAACACATATGAAAGTGTTCACCATGCAAGAGTATGCACAGGCTCTAAACAATGTCTGTGGTTTTAAATATTTTTTTATGAGAAGTTATTGTCTTTTCCATAGGATCCAGTGTTAGAATTCTAACTGTTCTCAAGTAGCAAAAAGAGTGTAAACAAAATCATAAGATTAAAAAATTGGCACTATCTATAAAGGCAAATTTTCTTTCTATATGCTTCTGCCAATGAAAGTAATGTACAGAATTTTATTGATGTAAGTCTTGAACAAGCCAAGTAAAATATATTCTTGCATTAAAATTTTTTTTAGAAAAACTTAGAATTTTTGCCTCTATACTTCATGTTTGTGAGACTCTGAGGCTGATCTCTCAGAATCTTTATCAGTAAAGAATATTAAGATATTTCTTCCTTGAAAACCAGAGAGGGTGAGAAGAGGAAGACAAACCACCAAAACAGATTAAAATGTATCAAACTAACTTCTTAAAACTCTAGGATATATGTTTGCTTGCTTATGGAAATATGTTTAACCACAAAATAATCCTTCCAACAACTTCTGAAATACAACCAGAGGTATCAGCACTCTTCATCTAAGTTCAGATTTGTAAGACAATCAAATTAGTTTAGAAGTCACACAGGTTAATTTGCATATAATGACAATTGTATCAATGTATGTTACAATTAGAATATTTTTGGACCAACATGCTACTCTCTCAATTTAGATCCATACCCAAGACTCTGAAATGTAACCATTTACAACTTTCCCTCATTTTTATTTCTCTAGAATGTGCTTTCAAAGGGATAACAATGTCACAAGCAGTGACTCATTCTTACCAGAACACTGATGGTCACCTGAGCAGTACCACTTCTCTGTCTGAGGGGGTCAGGGATGGCATCGTTGTCCAAGTCTGTTACTTTTACAGCTATCTTGTACTGTGATTCAATTTCTCTGTTTAGTGAATCTAATAGCTTTATCACTCCTGATGCAAAAATAAAGGGAGACCTGTTATCCCAGGATTAGTAAATATTTTCAATTTATTCTAAAATGTTAATTCTATAAATGAAATCATTACAATAATGAATAGAAATTAACTAATACAAATCAATTCATTATATATTCATACCCCTAAAGTGTAATTATAACAGGTATTAAAGTATGCACTATTTTACTCACCTGTTAAGTCATGTTCTTGGATACATGGAAAAGCACATGTGCATAGCCTTTCTGAAGATCAATATAGCAAAGATCAAAGCTTTAGTGCTTTGCCTTAGGTAAGTAAGAATTTATGGATACAGCTAACAAATCCAGGTGAACATTAAATAGTTCAAGAGAAAGTTTTTAAGATGTTCTCATGATCATAGTTTCTAAATAAAATAAATTTCCAATGAGTGTATATGAGCTCTTTACTTTTATGATTAATTGATGTCAGCGTTTTTACAATACCTGTATCTGGTTCAATGTAAAATTTGGGAGGTGTTCCCAAATTGCCTCCAACAATGGTATATTCCATATTATTAAATGGCCAGTCTGCATCGGTAAATGTAACTTTTCCAACTAGTGTATCAACTGGACTATTTTCAAATACACTGAAGGTAAATGCTGACGCACTTCCAATTGGATTCAGTTCATTTATGCGACTCACCCTTACAATGACTGTAATAATTGCTATGGAAAAGAAAGCACGTAAAAATGCAGCTTAGGCAATAATGTGTCTTCTTCAATAATCCTTTTTTTCTTTTATTTTTTAATTAACACCTCATATTATATATTACATTTATTATATTTTATACTAAAATCTCAGGGCATAAATTATACATTTATATTGATAAGTTTTAACATTAAATTATTGCCTTTTCACTTATAAAGCATTTTAAAATAAGTTTAGGAGTAAAACATTCCATTGATTCTTTTTGAACACTTGTCAAAGCAATTGTCTTTTACAGTGTGTTTATATATAAATGCTACTATTCTGAATTAAAGATCATAGTTTCCAAAATCTGACATACTATTCACCAATTGAAATATAATTAAAATACTTCAGCATAATAATGAAATAAATGCTATTTACTATGAGAATCTGAGTATTAGTATTTTCTCTAAAGTAGAATAAACAAATAATTCCTTGAGAAAGATTTTAAATACACAAGTATTCTAAAAATGTTGATTTTTGACATTGTCTTTTAATAACTGTAATGTGCTGTATTAAACATTTGGGTTTCATTCTCTCTAGTTTGTTTTTATGTAGACTCTCAGTTTTTAAATAGTTGTGCATGAGCACTAAATAGGTTAATATAAGAATATATTGCATACTTTAACAGATTATTGGAATACTTATAAATATGACAAACTTCTCAGATCCAATTTTTAAATGCACTGGGTGTTTTCTATGTCAAACTATTTTAATATTTCAAATTGGTAATTTCTTACTTGATAGTACAGGACTTCCTTCATTAGACACTTTCACAAACAATGTATGTTTGAAATGCACTCCTGCAAAAATAGCATTATCAAAATCTAGATGTCTAGGTCCAATCTGTAGATGAAAAACAGTATATCAATGGTTCACTTTGTTTTCTTTGGTTAAAACTCTCTTTTGTCATTTACATGAATCCAAAATGAAGACATATGAAACTTATATTGGTAACTAATTAGTGAAAGTGATATTCTAGAACAGCACTGTCCAATGGGAATATAACGTGAGCCATAAATGTGTGCCACCTATGAAATTTAAACCTTTCTAGTAGCCATATTTTAAAATACACATAAACAGTAAAATTAATTTTAATAAAGTATTTTATTTAATCAAACATATCCCAAATACTACCATTTTAAATTACAATCAATATCAAAAATACTGATATGTTTACATGTTTGTTCATTCTAATTCTATGAAATTCATTGCTTAATTGAAAACTGTAGCATATCTTAATTTGGACAAAACATATTTCCTGAGCTCAAAGGCATATGTAGATAGTGGATTCCGTACTGGAGAGCAAAGTTTTATATAATATACAACTATAAATTTATTGCAAAACTAAGATGATATTACTGTATATTCTGGAACTTTGTAATTACCATACATTGTAAAAATATGCTAAAAGCAAACGTAGGGTGTCATATTTATGTGCATTTGTTCAGCCTGATTCATTTGTCATAGATTGCCATTTTCTTATACATTCTCTTCATAAACAGTTACTATGATGTGTAAAAAGTAGTCGTCATGAATTTGTGTTCTTTTGAAATGAGTTAGATCTGGGTTAGTATTAGTGGAAATAATCTGTAGGCAGCAAGCTTTGAATTGCCAGCTTCAAAATTATGCGAAAACAGAACTTGAGATCCATTCTGCTGGGAGAGGTCAAAGCATCTCATATTTTTGCTCTTTCACTTTACTCTCCTGGGAAGAATGTGCAGGGCAGGCATGATGCTTTCAGGATCTTTAATAACGTTAAATACAAAGGGAAGTGGCAAGAGTCTTCCCCTTCACAATCCTCAGGGTGGTTGTAGCCTAGAGTACGTCTGGGGCCATCCAAGGGGAGGAGTGGAAAGAATGTGATTGCGTGCTGTGTCTTCAGTTCTTCTGAGGTCTTTTTTGTGCCTCAGCCACATTCACATTAACTATTTTTCTCAACAAACAGCCAATACCTATTAGGGAGGGAAGTTATGTGTAGCAACTGGATGCTGAGTTCGTGCAAAAAAGGATAGGTGAATAAAACTGTTTTCTTAAAATTCTACAATGTTCCCAGTATTATAGAAATCAGAGTCTGTAAATGAATTAGTCAAATGGGGGAAAATAGTTTTTCATCAATGAAGTAGCATATTAAGTGATCTCTAAGGTGCTTTTCAATATTAGAATTCTGTAGTCTATATTCTAAATAGATAAAGAAAAGTAAAGAGAACAATGGCACTGAATCATATATCAGTCAGGAAGTTAATAATTTACACCAGTAATTATTTTGTAAATTTATTGTATGCCTTTTCGATCTATCGATATTGAGAGAATATGAAAATACAGAAATAAATTTAGCAATGAAAAGAACTACAACTACAATAAGGAAATAGCCAGAGGCAGACACAGCATCTATGGAAATTCTGTATGTGTCAGAGATAGCATTAGAAGTCTGTAGAAATATCACTGTGACAGTAGGTGCTCCAAATAGTGAAAAATAATTAATTGCATTCCTACTTTACTGCAGATCACAAAATAAGTTCTTTTACATTTAGAAAAAGTTAAATATGAAAGGCCACTTGTAAAAATATTTACAAGAAAATATAGGATATTTTCCAAAATATCAGAGTATATCACACCAACAATAACAAAACAAGAATGGATAAAGACATGATTATGCTTTTCACACAAAGGAAATACAAATATTTAATGTTTATCCACAGAATTGGTGAATATATGGAATGATGTGCAATCTCATTATCAATCAGGCAGAAACATGCTAAACGATGTGACAGTAGAAGTTATTATAAGAATATTGCTCAAGAGCAATGCATATCCATTTCAGGTGACAGTATAAGCTGGTACAACCTCTTTGGAAAGCAACTTGGCACTAACTCATATAGTTGAACATTTAAAAACATTATAACATGGCAGTTCTGTTCTGGGGGCACTAAGAGAAACACACAAGAATGTTCATTACAATGATACACATAACACACAAAAACCAGGAGGAAATTCAAATCTCTACCAATGGGAGAATGGTTATAGTCACACAATGGAATATTAAGATATATAATGGGACATTACAGCAACTAAGTGACTGATAGGTAGATAGACAGATAGATGATAAATAGATAGATGATAGCTATGATAAACGAGTACTCCCTGTTTGACTCAAACACGTAATGAATCAAATATCAATCACAGAAGACTGCATAGATATACCACGTTTTTAAAGTTCAAGAACTAAGCAAACATAACCATGTTATCTAGTAATATGTACATTGATGACAAAACTCTAAAATCCCCAAGTAATGACAAACACAAAATTCAGGATATTGGTTGTGTCTAGAAGACAAGCAGAGGGATGGCAAAGGGTGGCAGCACAGCTGTTAGTAATATTCTAATTCTGAAGTGAGATGATGGGCTCAGGGGTTCATTTTATTGCTATGCTTTATTACTTGCAAATATGTTACTTATGTTATCTAATATCAAATATTACCTCATAAAATAATAATTAAAAAATGAATTGACTAGTAAAAATATATTGGGGTGTTTTTCAGGTCAATGCTCATTAAAGAGAAATAACCTCATAAAATACATGATTAGTAATACTGACTTAAATAAATATTCATTTTTTATTATTTTATTAATAAGTTCAATATATTGCATATGAAATCATTTGGATTCATTAAATAGTAATTCATTGTTAAACATTACAATTACATGGCTATCACTGGTACCCTGGTGAATATCATTCCTCAATGAGTAAAGGTAAATTTAAAGTTAATATCTACTAGTCTACTAGAGCTGTAATCATTATTTTAACATAAAATTCTTGATGCTTATTATAAATCATAGTTTTGAGTGACTGCTAAGCTCTTTTTATCTCATTAATATAATACACATGCCAATGTATGGCATCTAAGAACAAATGTTTTATTTTTAATTTTTTAAAATTTGTATTTTAATTATGCCCTTTTATGAGTTTAAAACTCAAACATCATTGGAAAGCCAAACACATGTTCTATGTTCTTCTAGTAAATGTTTATTCCCTAAGCATTAAAATTGTGTCAGTTTCTTTTTTTACACACTAGCTTCTTTTCTCTAGCTGCTTTAAGATAAGGATGTTGCCACTTTATGACTCTTTTTGAACTTAATCACCCTTTGAGAAAAATACTATTGTTCTCATTCCAATAATAGTTGGAAAAAAGAAAAAGAGGTTATACCATATGCCAGGGAATTTAATAAAGATTAATATTTCATAATTTTCAGGCAAAGGTAGAAAGCCATCATAAAATACTCTGGGTCAATAGTTTTGCTTCTAGGAAATTTATGTGGCTGGTTTTATGATTTTAGTCAAATTAGAACAGGTCCACTACAAAAATTTTGTTGTTGTTTACTCATGTATTTTGTGTGCTTGTTTTATTTGTTTTCTTCTTGTTAGAGTTGCATGAATAAGGGAGATTCAAAGAAATGTTATTCAGTGCCATGATCTTCATATTCCTAATTGAGGATATTTTTAATGTTTTATTATTTTCAATGTTTATCAGGATACAAATGTAATATATGTAGTTTACAAGTATCTGTTTTGATATTCTAGTCATATCAACAATATATTCTAATTGCAAGGAATTATGAAAATGTGGCATTGATGCATCTGGCAATAATGTTACTAAATCCTGTCAATGTCTTACAAAAATGACTTTTACAGTATAATTTTGTTCATTTTATTTACTCATTCATTCAGTATTTTATTTTTTATTGATACATAGTGTACATATTTTGGGGTACATGCAACAATATATTTGTATGATTTGTAAAGATCAAATCAGTATAATTGGGATATCCATCACCTTAAATATTTGTCTTTTCTTTACACTAGAAATATCCATATTATTTTCTTCTATTTTGAATTATACAATGGATTATTGTAAACTACTGTCACCCTACTGATGAAACACTAGGTCTTATTTCTTCTATCAAATGGTAGATTTGTACCCATTAATTGCTCATTAATAAATATATATATCTCTAAAAACACTGAATATATGTCAGAAACTAGTTTAATAACAGATTTTTTTCTTTTACCATCTAATGGGAGAAACAGATGGAATGTGTGATTAGTGCTATGGTTGGAGAGATACAAAATGCTGCAAGAACCCAATGAGACGTGCCTAATCCAGACAAGAGGGAGAAGAAGTATTAGGGATGGCTCTTAAAAGAAACAATCTCTAAACAAAACCATGAGGGTTATGCAAAAGTGTGTGAGTACTGGGGATACAACATAACAGGAGGAATTTCTAGCAGTATGAATAGCATGAACAGCAGGACAAAAAGGCAGAGGTGAAGGACATCCATTGTTTTAAGATTGTGAAAGTGGTTCTGTGCCTCTCAGCCACAAAGTATAAGACAGAGAATGATAATGTTAGGGGTTTGTGTGAAATGCAACTTGGATAGAGGTCCATTTACAATGAATTCAGTATCAAAATAAGGTAAAAAAGAAGTGCTTGTTACCTGTGTCTACTCATCCAGACCATGTTTGGTTTCTTATCAGTTAATGAAAACAAACTCAACATGGGTTTGAACAACTTTTTTCACACCAATGTTCAGCCATTACCCAGGAATCTTTGTTGAACACAATGTCTAATCTAACCCCACCTATTCTTTTAAAAATATGTGAGTATAACAACATATAGCCTGACTTAGGTCTCAAAATTTATTGGAAATAAAGTTCTAAATTTCTTTAATTGGTAAAATATTTGAGCTATGGTACATCCCAGAATACAGTAATAAAGTATGCATATTAATTATCTTCATATACCATATTTGATAGTTATTGAATATATTTATTAAAAGTAACTATGGTAGTGATATGGACAGGAGGCAGGGAAATACTGGGTAGAAGAGGGTGGTCCCCGGCTAAGGCTACACCCCCAAGCCTGGGACTATGGCCCAAAGTGAGCACATGTATTCCTGTTTTCCCATCCAAATGTTGCCTTTTCCAAAACCATCCTGGCCTGCCCCGCCCCCCATCCTGTACCCATAACCCCAGGCTCCACTGGTAGAGGGGCAGCAGAGCAGCAAAGTGGCTGAGCAGCAGAGAAGGAGAGAAGAAAAGCAGCAGCTGGACATCAGAGAGAACAGCTTGACAGCAGGACTTCAGAGTTCAGTTGGGGCCAAATTCCAGGGGAAGACCACCTTCCCACTCCATCCCCTTTCCCGCTCCCCATCCCACTGAGAGTCACTTCCACCACTCAGTAAGCTCTTCTACATTTACCACTCTTCAGTTCATTTGTGCAGCCTGATTCTTCCTGGATGCTGGACAAGAACTTGGGTACCAAGAGGATGGGTGTGAAAGGCTGTCACCCTGACCCTCCACTGAGCTGTTAAGCACTTAAGCTGTACATGGACAGCAAAGCTAAAAGAGCACACTGTAACACACGCCCTCTGGGGCTCTGGGGTCACAGGTACCCCCTTAGACGCCATGGGGAAGCACAGAGTTGTACTCCTGCCAGTGCCCAGAGGCATGAGTTCCAGCCCCTGCACCCACTCACCTGCATGCTCGCCATCCTGTGAGGGGTTGAGAGCTGAGGGCTGAGCAAATGAGCCACCCCCTTCGCAAGTCCTGCATAGGGGTCAAGGGAATGGTCCCGTTTCAGTAGTTTTGGCACATTCCAAAGAAATAGACAGTATTTTATTATAGAGCCATTTGTTTTAGGAAATTTATAACCTTCCTAGTTCAGTTCCAAAGATCAAAATTGCATTCCAGCATTCATCTCAAACTAAGATATGTTGTTGGTAATTTAAGGTTCAATTAAAAATCCAGGAACAAATTCTGCCATCAGCTATTTGAATTACTGTAGTTCATTAAGAATTTTATAATCATGAAAATAAAATATTTTTCTATCTAAGGTTAATCACAGGGGCACAATCAGAGAGCAACTTAAAAATACTCTCAGTTCATTGTTTGTGAGGGTAAATGTTCCATTTGAAAAGGCATCCACAATCAAATGATACGTTATATTGTTATTGGGAGCAGTTCCATCCTTATCTGTACAAGTTAGAGAGACTAAAAGAGTTTCAACTGGGATGTTTTCAGGATGTTCAATTCTGAAATGAGTAGAATATGGAAAAATGTGGTATAACATGTTAATCTAGATTTATGCAGATGATAATATTTAATAGATGTTTTAAAATGTGCTCATATTTTAAATAGTCACTTCTGCCAATAAGAAAAGTACAGTGTTGATGAAAAATTGTGTAAGATAAGAAATTATTCGGCATCCTTGCTGAGGCTAAGGGAATTGAATTGCTATTATGCTGGATGAATAAGCAGCAACTTTAGTATTATGCACACATATTATCATTGAACAAAATGGAAATTAGTATCTCCGATTAATAATTTTATATTTATAAATGCTAGACCTCTATGTGATCTCTTGAGATTAAATATTCCATGCTTTTTCTTTACTCAGATAATATATACTTGTCTCCCACTTAAAAATAAGAAAACTGAGAACTATTGACTATTAAATTTGATGGTTAGCAGGGACTGTTTATTCTTACCAATATTCCTGTGTCCCTCTACATATCCCAGTTTCCCTACAGCTACTGAAGTAGGCTACGTGAGATGTGCTGGCAAATGAAATGCAAGTGGAAATGCATTATATCAGTTCTAGGTATGATGATTAAAATTTGGGGGTACCTTCCACATGCTGTCTTTCTCACTTCTCTTCATATGGTTGGGAGCACAAGGCAACATACTGCAAAGCCAAACAATTGAGTAGTCTAGGATCCCTGAGTCACAGCACAGAGTGCCACACAGTAGAGCCCACCAACCTGCACTACTCTTTGCATAAGGGGCAAAGAAATGCTTATTGGGTTTAGCCAATGATATATACATATGTTATTTTTTAAAACAGCAATCAGTGGTATCTTGACTAGTACACAAAATTATAATGGTATTTTTCTCTTTTTTAAAAGAATACATCTAATGTTAAGCATTTAAAATACCTTAGAATTAAAATAATAGAGGAATAAAAGGTGAGTTGTCTAATTTGTTAACATGAAAAATGTTTTAGAAACAAAAAATTCTAATACCTTCCAATATGAATCTGTAGACTACTAGCTGGAATAGAAAGTAAAAGCAAACAACTATTGGAGTGGCTACAGAATTCTTCTTTGTTCTTTGGCCTTTTGGTTTTATCAGAACATCTCTGACAAAAAGTTTACAAACAAACTAAAAGTTGATTTTTGAGTATAATGGAGCAATGGCACCATTTTTGTATGTGGATTTTCGACATTTTTTATTATAAAGTGATCAAATATATCCCTGCATTTGTATTTATAAAATATTGTTTTCAGTGGGAGAAAGTAATTCAAGCGTAGACCACCAAAAACCTTTTATAATGTATTATAAAATATCATTTATGCTATGAAAGTGAAAATTTTAAGTAAGCAGGAGCTTTTATTGTTCAACTTGCAGGACTATCAAAATTCTACTGCGTATAATTTATTTTAGGTCCATCTAAATAGTCTTTTGTTGCTGGAAGCACAGACTGCTATGGTTTTCCACAAATTTTCTATATGATATATAATAGTATTGATCATCATGTGATCATTATTAATAACAGATTATCACATGATCTGTTAATTCTGTAATCACACACTGTTGGAAAGAGATATGTTACCAGAATATCAAAGAAGAGTATGTTACCAGATTACTCCTAGACTAAGTTAAGTCTTTTTGAGCCCTCCAGTATTCTGCAGAGAACAATACACTAAGGATCAGAAAATCTAGGTTTCAGGATCCAGCCCACTATGTATTAACTGTGTAAACTTTGTGAGTAAATGAACTCCATTTTAATAATAGAAATAACATATCATACTTGCATTTTAAATTTCTATGTAATTTAAAAGCCAGAACAAAGAAAGTAAGTTTGTATGTGGCTTTAGAGCTATCATTAAGTTAATGTCAGTAAAATACAAAACGAATTATACCCTTGCATTTATACAAATATATGATTTCTAATATAATAGCTCTTTTATCTCCCTGAAAGCATGAGCTAAACAAAATAATCCTTTGGAATCCTTTCTAGCTTTAATTTTTATACTTTTTAAAGAATTAATAAAGCAGATTCACTTGTACCAGGTAGGAAATGGAAAGAGAAGCTGCATAGTGTCTGAAAATAAAGGAAAGAATGAAAGGCTTTGGCTTCATTCCAGGGATGGTACGATGCTTATCCATTTATTTTTCTCCTGCTTCTCTCTGTGCCAAAATCTGAAGACCAAACAATTAGTATCATAACTTACATGTAAATATCCTGCGAGCATTGAGGTGGATTGTTATTTACATCTTGTAGAAATACTGACTGTCCCAGTTGTTGAATGTATTCGCTCATTGTCATAAGCTCTAAAATATAATACCCAAGACTTTGGTGTGCCTATGTCTTCATAATCCAAAGGATAGGCAAGTGTGACCTCTCCTGAACCTAAAAGGCAGGCAGATGCAAATTTTTTCTTTACTCATAAAATGAATAAGTTATAAATTAAAAATAGTGGCATGGATAAAATAGTTCTAAGGATAAAATAAAGGTCAGTCATTGATCTGATGAAACTCACACGCTAGTCACAACTGTGTATCTGTAAGGAATGGTGGTTGGGTAAGTGACCGGGAAAGAGAGAAGTCTTCTTAACTGCATATTTCAGAAAATATTTCATGGGAGGGTCATGGTGGGTGGAGTGGGGAGCACAGAGTGCAGGCTAGGCTGGGTGTTGAAAAATGAGTACAGGAAATCCAGGCAGAGACGACTGAGGTGAGGTGGGGATGTTGAAGAGGGTGTAGGTGGAGTGGGTGACAGTAGGCAAAGAGAAAAACAACAGAAATCAACAAAAAGAAAAACTGACAATGTTTTCATTGGGAATTCCTTTTTAAATAATTTTATCCCATCTATATTTGCAGAGCACGTAACCCTTATGTGAAAGGTGCTCTCTCCTTTATAACCTTGATTTTTAATCTACAGGTAAAAATATAATTGATGGTCATTCTCATTTCCTGCGTTCTTAGTTTCTAGGTATTTTGGTTGTCTAGAGTGCATTCTCTAGCGGATGCATCAGGAAGAACTAATAGGAGATATTGTTTCCCATGTTCTCAAATTTTTATATGCTGCCTTTTATATATGAGGTCATTTTGTTGAATGTAAATTTGTTAAATCACATTTTGTGTCCTCAAGTTTCCTAAATTGTTACTCCGTTAACTTACAGAAAGGATTTATAGAAAAGTCTGTTAACAATGTATTAATATTATTCCCTTGTAGGTGACCTACTCTTTTTGCCTAAAGGCCCAAATACTTTTCTAAAAAATTAACATCTAATAGTTTATTAAAATCTGGCTCAGATTCAGCCATTATGGATTAGTTTTTCCAAGAACCTAGTTTGCCTTTTCAAATCTTTTATTTTAGGAATTTTTTTTGGATGATACCTCTGAGCATTTGTTGTATTCCTTTGCCTTTTGTTTGCTTCTTCAGGAATTTTTAGAACATGACTTAAGGCGTTGGCTCTTCTCTGCCTATCTTCTATAGCTCTCATTTTCTCTTTCATTTCTATTTTAGTATAATTATTAATTTTTTTAAAGTTGATGGAAGAGCTTTTTTTTCTTTCTCAGAACAATTTGAGAGTAAGTAGCTGACTTGTTGCCTCAACATACATTTCCTAATAGCAGGGTATTCTCGAAACAGCCATGGTTCATCAAAATCGGAAAGTTAACATCAATACATCTAACACCAAGACCTCCACTTAAATTTCAGTAATTGTCTCAATATATTTTATAGCAAAAGATCCAGTTCAGAATCACGTGTTGTCATGTGTCTTTAGTCTCCTTCAATATGGGAAAGATCTTCAGTCTTCCCTTGAGTTTCATGACTTTGAACTTTTTGAAGATTACAGACTAGTAATTTTGGAGAACATCTCTCAAGCTGGGTTTGCCTAATGTGAGCTCACAATGAGATTCAGGTTATGTAGCTTTTGATTAAATATCATAGAAATTATATTGTATCCTTATTGAATGTAATCAGTTTGTCTCACTACTGATGAAGTCCATTTTAATTACTTGACTCAGTGAGTATCTGCCAGTTTTCCATACTCCAAAGTTGCTACTTCGCCCTTTGCAAATAACAAGTATTTTGTAGGCTGGGTGCAGTGGCTCACACCTGTAATCCCAGCACTTTGGGAGGCCAATGCGGGTGGATCACAAGGTCAGGAGTTCAAGACTAGCCTGGCCAACATGGTGAAATCCTGTCACTACTAAAAATAATAATAAAAAAAAAATTAGCTGGGTGTGGTGGTGGGCGCCTGTAGTCCCAGCTACTTGGGAGGCTGAAGTAGGAGAATCACTTGAACCTGGGAGCCAGAGGTTGCAGTGAGCTGAGAACACGCCACCACACTCCAGCCTGGGTGACACAGTGAGACTCTGTCTCATAATAATAATAATAATAATAATAATAACAATAATTTGAAAAGAGATACTTTGAAACTACATAAGCATCTTGTTTTTCATCAAACTGTCCATTTATCTTTGTATTTATATCTAATGGACTCATGGACTCTCATTTTATGATTTATAATCTGTATTATTTATTTTGATGTTCAGATTGCTCTAGAATTGGAAAGGGGAACAATTGAAGCTGATTTCTGGCATTTTTGTTTTTGACATACCTTCATCATTCTTCAAGCATGTTCTTGCGTTCTTGCTCGTTTTACACTTTAACTACTGTGGCCTCAAAAAGAGCCATTCCTCTAAAGAGCTTCTATAGGGAAAAATGGTATTTAGAACTCATTGTCTGAGTAATAGCTGTTCTCATGGCTATTCTGATATTATGCTCCTAAGTTCTTTCACTCTTTAAGTAGGGACACAAAATGTATGTATTTATGTTTCTGTGTCTCTGCATATTTGTACACATACAATTACATCAATGTTTGTTAACTACACACACATGCACATATACATAGATATACATGTACAAATATATATATATTTTTTCCATATATATATATGGAAAAATAGAAGTTCATTCTGATGCCTTCAATTTTAATGTATCCCCACATGGTTCATTACAGTTTTCTCATTTTCCACAATTGTTACTCACATCTCTGACAGGAGAAACCATCCTTCATTTATCTTTAGCTTTTTATCAATCCCCTGGTATGTAATTAATCTCCCATCTCTCCTACCATCCCCTTCTCACTGCCAGTTCTGGCACCCTTCTCTCTGTCTTTGTATCTCTCTCTCTCTCTCCCCTTAACTTCTGACTTGCCATACCGAACCTTCTCTCCACAAGTCATCTTCCTTCTCCTTCTCAGATTCTGGCTCTCTACCAGGAGATCTTTTGGCTGATATGATAGATGGTTTGGGTTTAACCCAGCTCTTTTCATGTGTGAAAATGTACATCACCTCTTAAAAAGAGAAGACATCTTTCTTTTCTTCTTCTTGTTGTTTTATATTTATGTCTTTAGGGTTAGAAACTCCAAACTTTTGGCCATGTGGAAGGTAGGTAGAGTTACAAATGTCAAAATCCAGCAGATTGAATTCAAGTGCTGGTTCTGCCACAGAAATCAGCTGCATGAGCTTGGATAAATTAAAATATTTTCCAGGCATCATATGTTATGTGAGAATTAGGAGAGTAAAAACCCAAAGGGGTTATTATGTATGCAAAGTTATTATATATGTGATATATAATAAATATTCAATTTATGTTTACTACTGCTCTGGTTTCCATAGGAAAATTTACTTCTCAGAGAAAAAAAAATCATACAATAAAATCCCAGGGAATGCTATTGTGAGTTCGAATTGTTTGGGAGCCTCCTGGAGCAACCAGATTATACAGACCATTTCCATACTTCTGAGAAGGAAGAAATAATCATTTCTACCTCATGAAAATATGCTAAATATGCTGCTAAATATTTTAAAGATGGTTTCATCTTAATAGAATGATAATCAGGTTTATTTTTCACTAGTAAAAAACACTGTTGAATATATTTTATAAAATCATTCACAATAAAAATATTATTGTACCTTCATTTATAGAAAATTATTTTTGTGTCCCTATAAGTTCATAATGTACCGAGTGCCTTATGTCTCTATCAGTTGCTGTCAACCTGACCAACTTTGTTCCAACAGACAGATTTTCATAAATATTCATAGGTGCATCTGGTATATATCTGTGGGACAAAATGATTTTTTTTTATCAGTCAGTATAAACAAATGTATTTTTTCATTTATGTCACACAGCAAATATTTTACATTTCATATAATATGTATTGTGTAACAGTTTCAAGTCTGGCCTTCTTAATGTTTTTTCATTGTACATTATTAAATCTATTAGAGAATGTTCACATTTTATAAAATGAACTTAAATTTTCTTTTACCTGTATCCTTTTTTCAAGTCTTTCTGCTGATTGGTAAATGCTACTTTATTCCACATTACAAAATACTACAGACGTTTTTGCAATGATTTTCATTATTTTTGTGTTTGGTCATATGTCCATATCAGCAAGTGTTTTTTGCCCAAATTCTCTTAAATACCTACATTGACTTTGCAATATGAACATATCAATGTACATTTTCTAGAATATTTTCATTATTAAAAATAAATACCAGAAAAATATGAAGCTTTGGATTATTCCATCAAAAAAATATTGGTTCTCTTCTGTAGTTTCAAGGCTGAAATATAAATGAGTTGGCTTCCAGTGCATGTAAAAAGAGCAATAAAATACAACTCATCAAGGTTTACTTTCTAGATCACTTAAAATATTTTTAAAAAATTAACAGTGGAAACAATAGCCAAACACTGGTCTTTATCCTGCTATGAGAAAAATTTCTGTGGCTTAATCTTATCATTTAAATATTTAGATTACTCATTGCTTACGTAAGAACAGGACTCTTATCATTGACATTCTGGACGTTGATACTGATGGTGCTAATGCATAACTCCAAAGACAGGTTTTGCCTATTTCTCACAGCAATCACTAAATGGAAATGCTGAAATAAATAAGAGAAGCTATAATGTGGGGTTTTTTTTAAGTGCTTAAAATATTTAATTTCGGCCAGGCACGGTGGCTGATGCCTGTAATCCCAGCACTTTGGAAGGCCAAGTTGGGTGGATCACCTGTGGTCAGGAGTTCAAGACCAGCCTGACCAACATGGCGAAACCCTGTCTCTACAGAATTAGCCAAGCCTGGTGGCAGGTGCCTGTAATCCCAGTAACTCGGGAGGGTGAGGCAGGAGAATCACTTGAACCTGGGAGGCAGAGGTTGCAGTAAGCAGAGATTGCCCCATTGCACTCCAGCCTGGGCAACAAGAGTGAAACTCCATCTCAAAATAAATAAATTAATTAAAATAAGTAAATAAAATCAAAATGGCAATATGTACTTTCTCAATAAAGTTAATCCTGAACTTTGTATGAGAGAACAAAGAAAACGAACAAAGGCAATTTGTTTAGGAGTGAATGGAAAACAGCAAAGTTGACTATAGGAGAAATGATCCTATAATACCAGGGTGGAAAGTATTATTATAAGCAACTAGCCAAATGTCCTGGAAAAATAGTTGTTGCTTTTTTTTTTCTTCAACTCTCACATAGTGGTGTTATCTCACTATGGATAAGTTCTGGCCAAAACATTTGCAGTTTAGAAAGTCATGTTTTAGTTAAGATGATGTTAAAACAAACAAACACAACAACAAAACACAACAACATCAACAACAACAGACAGCCTGATAAGTCTACTACTGGAAATGTTGAGAATTGCTTAAAGAAACTGGAAAACATTTGAAATTTAAATAGTCTCATTTTCCAGGATGATTTGGTAGGAAAAAATGATTTGTTATGTGTTTTCATCTCCTTATACCTCACCCTTCTTTCCAATTATTTGCAAATTTCAAATTTGATCAGGACATTGCAGGGGAAAAAGGCCACACCAGGTCTCCACAATCACATAAAGCCAAAGAGAGAGGCACTTTTTTAGATAATTCAAGACTAAAGAAGTGTACTTTTATTTAATTACCCAGAACATTGCCTCTGTTCCATGCTGTTGAATATGAAGACAATCCCTTCTCCAACTTTTATATACAGCCACAGAAACACACACAATGATTGAAATAATATTTAACTAAGGTCTAATGAAAAAGTACACATAATGAATCACATAAGCGTCTAAATTTATTTTCTTTTAAAATGAATTTCTGCTTGATCTCAGTGAATATGAAAATGCAATTACATAAATTTGATAACTTTTTATTTCAACTTAGATATGTTTTTAAAAATTATTTTATTGAAGGGTATTTAAAGGTATTCATTGTTTTATATTCAGTTTTATAATTAGTCTCACCTTAGGATTTGTTTCATAGTCCAAAAGAGGTTCAGTGGTTTTAGAAATAACACCATTATGCGAATCCAAAGCAAAGTAGGCAGTGGCATTAATTGAAGAATTTAATATTAAAAACTGCAACACACACATACACACACAAACATGGTTAATACATTATTGAGTAAGCATGAATTCTGAACTGACAGCTTTGATGCAACGATTTGGCAAGATGTAAACCAAAATAAATTTTGCGAAGACTGCCTATAAATTAAAATCTGAACTTACTTTCAGTTCCAGACTTCAAAAATAATCTATATATTCTTTCACGTTTTAGTTGTATTTTTTTCCAATGCATTTTATACTAAAATATTAGAGCATTTTTGGTGAATAGCTTTCAATAATTTCATAATTAGTTTACTTTCTAGTGTTGCATTTACAGATTTTTCCAATATTAAAAAAAAGCTGTTCCCTCTTGAATACTCAGGAAGTATATCTAAAGGAGGCACATGAACTGAATTATTTGGAAGAAGCCGTTTGATTCCATCTCTGAATTGATTTTCTGCATGGCAAAAATAAAATATTGCCTTGGACAAAGCTATTATTTTTATGGGCATCGGCATGTTTCTCTCCATTGTTATCAAGACAAATATTAAAGATTTTGAAAAGGATTTCATAAAGAAATTATATTATAAACACTCACATCCAGATTCCAGCTCAAAAAAACCCTGCAATAAAACCTGGAAGATCTGATACCCAATGCCATTTCCAAAGAATGCATAATAGCCATTTTGATGGTCATATTAACCATCTTTCATTTGCCTGTAAGTGAACAACAAAAGTTGGCTTATATTAGACTAAAATCCTCTTAAATGTCCTTATGAAAATAATCTCTTTGTTTTCCCCCATTATTATGGTTTTAGATTTGTTAAACATCATCATTTTCCAAATGTTTGTTTTCTCTTTCCTAATGACTTTTACAATAAAATCTAGATATTACATTAATTTTTGGTAATGGAAACTATGCATGTAAGCACATAATTATAATGGATACTTTTGTAGACACCCATCCTTCACACATATGGACATATTCTAGTTTAAATGCACACACCCACGTACCCCAATATCCTAACTCTATCCTCCCAACACACACACTAACACATTCACACAAATAGATGAGCTGAACCTGATATGCCAGGAATTACATTGTTCCTGTGTTGTAATCTGTCCTCAGTCTGAAATTCACATGAGCAAAAAATGTAATCAAGTGGATTAATCAATATCTCATTATAATCAGGTAACCAGAAAAATTACATATAGACTAAATTCTCCACAGAGCTTTCTCCCAAACTTTAGTTTCAACCATATTCCCAAGTGATATTTATGTGTATCTTTATAGCAAGCATGAACAAACAGAAAAAAAAGTTAGTCTCTTCTATGGAGAATTTGACTCACTAAATTTCGGGCAGAGTATTCCAGTGTATTAATCAGATTTATGATATATTGCATCATCAAGAAAACAATTTTTTTCTTACAAATATAATTAGATTAAAGGTCATATGTATACCAGAAAAATTTCTGAGAAAATACACAGTGATGAATTATCTTAAATTTCTTCTTTACCCCCACTTAAGCTGTAACCATTTTGTCACCTAAAATTTATTCTCTCCTCTTTATGAATTATTGCTAAAACCAGAATTAATATGAAGGCCTAAAATATCCTTTACTCACATTGTATGTATAATAAAGAAAATATGCCTGATTGGGATGAATAAAAGGCAATGAACAATGAAAGAACATTCTATTCATGCTCGTAAATGTCATCAGATAAATGCCAATAGATGTAAGCTCTAGTTTTTCACAATGCTTTCAGACCATTTGAAATCTGTTTCTTTCATTTTGAAGCCAGAGCATTTTAATTCTATGTTACTAGTCCCAAAGGTTTAAGTCTCCTCTCTCACTTCAGTGACTACCATACACATAAAGAATACTTTAATTAACAGCCTGGCAAAATAATATTTTGTGCATTAAAAATTGAGCACTCTTTTGGGTTTTTTTTCTCATCCAAGTTGGGCAAAAATAAATAGATGAAAATAAAAAAACTTACTTCAACTTCCTGTCCTAGATCTGGATCTCTTGAAAGAATCATATATATAAAAGTAGATGCAGGAATGTTTTCAGGAACAGACACTGAAACACCTATACAATTACACAATCATGAACAATAATTTAAATTCAAATGTCTTTCTTTCACTTCTTGCTTCATGCTGGTACCGTAAATTACCATGCTGTATTTTCCTTAAAATGATCTTCTTCATATTTGTTTCAGAGAAACAAAAAACCCCTACAAATACTTACTCCCATTAACATCAACATTTAAAAGAGCCATCATAATTCAGGTTGATATTCCTACCTTTAAACTTTGGGCTACTGTATAGAATGGGATATAATTGCTCAAAGTCAATGGCCACTAAGATATGATTTCTACTTTTATTCTTTTATATTAGGATATTGAAGCTTTTTGTCTCCTTTCACAATCATGTACAAAAAAGTAGAGCACAGCCTGTGAAGACAGGAAGAAATGCACTTGAATTCCTGCTCCATCACTATTCTCACCTGTACAATGGGGATAAAGTACTTCTCCAATCTTAGAGTAGTTTTAGAGATTAAATAGAATACTATACATAACACATCTCTCAAATGCTCAACAAATGCTACTTGCCTTTTTCCAACCATCGCCCCTCATCCTCCTTCCAATGCTACCAACTATGATTCTGTGTAATCCCAAAATCAAATAACATAAATGCACATTTAGACTACTGATAGTTTCTTTACCTGTTATGTGATTCTACGAATACTTTTTTTTAAAAGAAAAAAGGCTTAATGTTTACTGTGCAGCTGAATCTTGGATATCAAATCCAGTGAATATTGTATCACAATCTAGACTGGGTAGTCCTGTAAGGGTCTCTTTACAGGACTTTCTAAGGATGTTATAGAACAACTTTGGTGCGACTAGGACTTGCTTATTTTGAACCTTTGTTTCAAACTGAACATGTGTAGGCAGATTCTCTAATTTAGTGATTTGTTCTGGTTAATTATAGCAACTGGATAATTAAACCCAGTAAATGAATTGAATATGTGTGTGTCAAATCAGCAGCTTGAAAATCATGTCAATGTCTTTGGTAATTCTTGGTCACAGAGACCCACAGAGTTGCCCTACTTTAAACAGAAAGTGACTTCTTGTCCTCGCTTCTCTTATGTCCCAAGGCCCACAGCCCAGATGATGGAAGAGGAAGACATCCCGATCTTGGTACTGCTCTAGCAGTTTATGCTGGTTCAGCCAAGCTTGTAGTAGAAATCGGGTCAAAATGACCTTCTTGAGATCCACGTGTATCTTTTTAAAGTTTACTATAATTTTGGAAGACTGAAAGGAAATTACAAAGAACATCAATTAAATTGTTTCAAAGTGGTCCAAAAGATCATATCTTCACAAACACCAAACCCATTCGTTGGTACCTTGCCAAGGCTCACCTAGGAGACTTTTCTTGGTTAAATTTAATTTCTGTGAACAAATTTCTTTAATATAAACTTCTATTTTTAGATATGTTTATTATTATGTATATCAGAAGATATGTTCTGATTCAAAGTAATAAATCTGTGTGTTGTGCGTTTTGGAACTTTTGGGTTTCCAAAAAGGTGATGTTTCTGAACATTGAGAAGAGATCATTCTGGTGGTAAGAAATAGAGCAGCAATGAACAGGCATCCAGGAAAAACAAAACAAAAAAGAGACTATTTTAATGAAGTTTGCCTTGTTCCACTTGCCCTCAACTTCTTTTTTATCTCATTGCCTCCCAGTTATTTGGGTAGTTTCTCTTAATAGAAATAGAGAAAGAAAAGCAGTAAAACAAAGAAAGCAGAAGGAGTAAAGTCTTTATGGTAGGTGAGCAAGTAAAGTTAGAAATAAATGGAGAGAAAAAAATGAAAAGACTAACTAATAGAGCAAATATAATTGTTGAGATCCAGTGGACCCAGCCAAAATTAAATCAAGCCAATCTATGTTTTCTGAGATCCAATCATGTGCAAAGTCTCAAGTATATTCAAATGTTTTAAAGATTGTGTTTTTAGGTCCTCATGAAAAACACAAATACACCTAAGAGTGAGGTTAGGGAACAGTATATGAGGTTGTGATTGACACAAAGTAGAATAGCATATTTTAACATTTTATCCACAAAGACATACTGATTCCAATAGATGATGCATGCTTTCTTTCATGAGGTAAGTGAAAGAATAAAATTTCATTTACAAAACTTAATTTATCAAACTTTTCAAGACTATGCCTATTGTAATCATACTGAAAGCTACCTCTATATATTACTTTAAATCTATTATAGTTTGTACAACTGAAAATGTATTTTAAGCAAGTATTTTGGAGGCAAGAATAGCAGATGAAATAACTACATACTACTAGGAGTAATGATGACACTTAAGAGGCTGAAATTTTATATAAATACAGCTAGAATTTTTAATTTAAGAAACATTAAAAATGAATAGTGGAGCAGGTTTACTAAAATGTTGGAAAAGAATAATTTATTATAATCATACAAAAATAAATGATTCTATACAAATGGTATATGTGTTTATAATTATCTATTTATATGTGGTATATATATTATTGTATACACCAAATTAAAGGAAATGTGTTTATAGTTTGTATCATGTATCATTTCATGCTTATTATTTTTTGAAGATAATCTTTAATGGTTAGATAGCAATTCATCAAATGGACATAGTGTCTTTTAATCAATTTCCTATTCTTAGACATTTTGGTTATTTCAAACCTTATACTATTACAAACTTTGAACATAAATCTTGATTATATCTCCATTATTTCTGTAAAGATGAATTCAGGGAGAAATACTCAGGTAGAGATTATAATCATTTTTAAAATAACTGTTCATGAAATAGTATTCTAGGTGGTTATTCTAAAATCCCACTTTATGAAAGTGATAATTTCTGTATACTCTAGCCAATGCTGATTTTTTTCCTATTATTTTAATATTTTGGCCAATTTAGTAGGTGAAAATTGTATTTTATTGTTTAGATTTGTATGTGTTTGATAACTTGTGAGGCTACATATCAATCCATATGTTACAGATACAATCAGAATAATTTTGTCATTACTCCTAATACCCTATCTGCCACACACAGAAATAACTATAATTTGAATTCAAATTTGAATTATAGTAACTTTATTTTTTTTCTTTTTAGGAACATGCTATGTCTCTCACTTTATTTGCTTTTATTTACTTCCCATTTATAAAACTAGAAAGCTTAAACTATAATTCCAGTTTTATTTTTAAATTTTATTATTGTCTCATGAATTTTATCAATAAAATTGACTTGTATTATACCTGCTCCTGTTGAAAAACTTGGATCACAGGAAATAGGATCATCTACATTCTCCACAAAAACTGTAAACGTATAGCTGCTGGTATTATTCCCATTATCTGTTGCCTCAGTTTCCAAAGAGTAGATTTTGGAGTTACTTGGGTTGTCAAGATTCAAAGGCTGAAGAAGAGTGATTGTTCCTGTGACTAATAAAAAGAAATAAAATGAAGAAAAATGACCAAACTAAGATAATCAAGCCTATGTTAGCTTATTTATGTTAATGATGTTTTAATTCACTTAACAATATACTTTTTTCATACATGAGAAAAGCAATATTTCGCAATTCTATGTCCATTGGAAATATTTTCTTAAAAGCTTCTGTTTGCTGGGTGCAGTGGCTCACGCCTGTAATCCCAGCACTTTGGGAGGCTGAGGCGGGCAGATCATGAGGTCAGGAGTTCGAGACCAGCCTGGCCAGCATGGTGAAACCCTATCTCTATTAAAAATACAAAAATTAGCTGGGCGTGGTGGCGCCTGCCTGTAGTCCCAGCTACTTGGGAGGCTGAGGCAGGAGAATAGCTTGAACCCCGGAGGCGGAGGTTGCAGTGAGCCGAGATCGCACAACTGCACTCCAGCCTGAGTGACAGAGCAAGACTATCTCAAAAAATAAAATAAAATCAAAAAAAGCTTCTGTTTGCTTTATGGTTACATTGTAAATATAATTAAATATTAAAAATGGTTGCATCATATTTTTCAAGTTTCTAAATTATCATTCATTTACTAAGCATAGATAGCATCCCTACTTAAAAAATATCAAACACAAACCAGAATATTTTACTTTAATTACAACAATAAATGCTGTTTTTCAGCCTGAAAAATTAGTCAAACCATATTAAAATCTTAATCATTCATTGCTTCTGCCTTCTATCTTAACTCAATCTTATTGTGTACAAAAATGAAAAATGAGCTCAAATGTCAAACTTATAAAAAAATGGCAATAACAGAACTCTTTATTTCTGGTACCATCACCTATCTTCCCTCCCAGAATTTCTCCTTTCTTGTTCAAAAATCTTCTACCTTGACCCTACCCTGAATGTCTTCATAATTTCCACAAGGCCTTGTGGAATCTCTTCCAAATTTTCTCTTGCTAGTACATCATTATTTATTAAATGGACTTCTTCTCCCACTGATATTTGCATCTTGAAGTTAAATGCATAAGTTGCCAACGACTTTCAGGATTCAAATAAATTATCTCAAATATTGAATGATTAGTATGATGGCTTTGTAATGTGCCACATTTGCTAAGCCAAACTGTATTTCTCAGAATTCTATTTTGTGTGTGTTTCAGTTTGGTGAGACACAGGGAAATTCTTGGCCAACTTGGAGGGTAGAAGGGTAGCAGCAGCCATTTTGTTTCTTACCCATGTTTTTGTTGATCTGCTGTGTTACTGTTGGTGTGAACTAGCTTCAGCTAAATCTGAAATTGCTTGACCTACTGCTGGATCTTCTTTCAGCTTCTCTGACTCTTAGAACAGGTCTGTATACTCAGCCACGTGATGAAAGGCTCAGCTTCTGCAGAACACCCACACAAGCAAGGTCAGAAGCACAAAGAACTAACATGGGTTTCAGTTGATTCTTATGGGGCCCAGCATATGCTTGTGTGTTCCAGACTACCCTTAACCTCCCCTACTTTGTATGCATCTTCTCTTCCTGACTTCCTGCCTTAGGGGTGAAAGCTTCAGCATCAGACACAAAGCCTTACAGAGACTACTTAACTCACTGCTACAGGGTACTCTTTTTTTTTTTTTTCTTTTTTCTACGAGATGAAGTCTCGTTCTGTAACCCAGGCTGGAGTGCAGTGGTGCAATCGTGGCTCCCTGCAACCTCCACCTCCCGGGTTCAAGTGATTCTCCTGTCTCAGCCTCCCAAGTAGCTGGGACTACAGGCACCCACCACCACACCCAGCTAATTTTTGTATTTTCAGTAGAGATGGGGTTTCATCACGTTGGCCAGGATGGTCTTGATCTCTTGACCTCGTGATCCACCCGCTCGGCCTCCTAAAGTGCTGGGATTACAGGTGTGACCCGCTGCGCCCAGCCTACAATGTACTCTCAGTGGTTATTTTTCTCTGGTTGTACCCTGATTGATAAAACCAGCTAGTGTGACAACCCATAAGAGAGAAATATTTCAGAACAGCAATCCTGTTCACACAGGCAGAAATCTGTTCATAATAAATATCCAAAACCTAGTCATTCTGGAAAAGTCCCAATTTTCTCAAATCAAATTGAGATAGATATGACATTTCATCCTATAATTTATAAGGATGCACAGAAGCATTTGTATTGAGTGCCTCTGAAAAATGATAGTCAGTTATAAAAGCAAGGTATTACATCACCCATTATTTCACAAGAATGTCATTTTCAGAAATAGGAAAGCAGCAACTGTCAAATACCACATGTTTGGGGAATGTTTTATTCTTCAGATTTCATTTAATTTTGAAAGGGCAGTTTTACCAGCCTAAGATCTAATGGAAGTGCAGAGATTAGATAGTGAATGTTTAGCCAAAGTAGGCTAAAAGTATTTATTTAAAACTTACAGGGGTCCAAACAAAACATTTTCTGCTGAGTCTTAAAGGAATAAATGATACTGCTATCTTCATCTCGATCTGTTGCTTTTACTCTTGCTATAATTTCTCCAACAGATTTCTTCTCAGTCACATTAATAGAATCCAAAGGAAATGGCCTTAAGAAAAAATGGCGATAAAAAATTTTGAGGATACAAATTTGAGAATTCTTACACACATAATTGCCAAGTTATGATAAGCTGTAAATAATCTTTTGGATTTATAATATCACCTTCCTCTTGTCAAGAATTTAACAAGTCCCAAAGCTATTCAAATATTGAACAAATCAATTTGTGGCACAAAGTTATTTAACTTTTTGCAAAAGCACTAATTTTTAATCACATAGTCTCTAGCACCATGTACGTGAAAGACATGACATAAGAGAGATGGAAAATGAAAAACAAAATGGAACAGTGCACCTCCATTATTCCAGATATTCAATTTATGGAATAATTGGCAACTGAACATAAAGGACTAAATATATTCGTTTTCATCTTGTTATCTGATATGATGAAATTCTGTCCAAAGTCATCACTTACTAGGGCAAGTTTCCAGATAGTTCTCATAAATATATTGCTTAACCTCTTCAAGTCGTACGGAAAAGTCCTTGATCAATTTCCAAAACATTTCTGAGAGTTACATTTAGTTCTTATTCAGCCTTTCATTCAGGCATCAGACATTTATTGATAACCTACCATGTGTCACTCCAGTTAATGTACATGACTAAGTCTTAGTACTTGTTTAGATCTCACTGCTACTGGGAAACACAAGGATAAACAGCTATAATACTAGGTAATAGATGCTGTCAGTTTGCTGCAAATTTTAAAAAGAGAGAAGACTAATTCTGGGGATAGAAGAGAGGTTCAAGGAAGTCCTCAAAGGAATGTAAATTCAAAGGAAAAGTGAGTGATGCCATCCCTTGGGAAACTTTCTTGATCACAGTAATCTAATGTGGTTTCTCTTCTACAAAGTGTTTTCTCCTTTGTGCCATAATACAATGTAAATTATAATATTTATATTCTGGACCACATTAAATCTTTCTCTTAATTAATTGTTACTTAACATGCAGTATCACTTGAGAGATGAAAAAGGTAGTTCAGGGCAATATTTCAATAATTTTTGCATTGTTTATAATATCTAGCATTAAATTCTACAAAAAAGTAAAATCAATAAGTTCATGCTTATTGAAGACATGAAGGCAGCAGAAAATTTTTCCAAAAAGTTGATGGCAACTCTATTACAAACACAGTTAGGAAAGTGATTCCTACAAATAAAGGATAAACTAAGCTCCAAATTACCTTAAGTTGTTCACATAATATAACTTAAAATGAATTTGGGGAATCAAACAATGAATTACTCTCCTTAGTCATCTGTAGAGATACAACTTAGTGATATAAGGAAAGTACTTGAAAACTATTTTTCTTTTTCTCTTTCATAATCTAAGAAGTATTTGATTCCTCTTAGATTGTAGTAATACATTTCATTACTACATTTTGAAGTATAGAAAAACATCTAACATTCATTGCGTTCATTATCTGCAAACAGTTTTGAATGCTACAACTGTACCTCCAGAGTATGAAAGTAAAATATTTTAAATTAAATACTTTAAGCTTAAGGTCTACCTTTCTCTTTATTTAAAATTAATGTAATTATTAAAAAAGCAATGTAGCAACTATGAATAATCTTCAGCAAAGGAAAAAAAAGATACACCAAGATCTTTTACCATATTACAATGTTGGTAACTTCTAAATTTGCTTTCCAGTATTTTCTAATACATAGTTTACTTTTTATCTGTGTATACCTTAATCATTGATATATAGTCATATATTTTAACAACATCAAAAAAAAATTCTGAGTAGCTACATAATCTTTATTATCATTATTTATAACACAGTCATCCTTGGTATCCATGGGTTTTATTTTCATAGACTTAACCAACCATGGGGGACAAAAATATTCCCTAAATATGGTATAACAACTACTTACATAGCATTTATACTATATTAGGTATTATAAGTAATACAGAGATGATTTAAAGTATACAAGAGGATGTGCATAGGTTATATGAAAATAAAACTACCGGTGTGGTGGCTCACACCTCTAATCCCAGCACTTTGGGAGGCCGAGGTGGGCGGATTGGAACATTTGAGGTCAGTAGTTCGAGACCAGCCTGGCCAACATGGTGAAACCCCATCTCTACTAAAAATACAAAAATTAGCCTGGTGTGGTGGCACACACCTGTAGTCCCAGCTACTCCACTTGGGAGGCTGAGGCAATTGCTTGAACCCAAGAGGTGGAGGTTGCAGTGAGCCAAGATCGCGTCACTGCACTCCAGCCTGGGCGACAGAGTGAGAATCTGTCTCAAATAAATAAATAAATAAATAAATGAAAAGAAAAAAATAATACACCATTATAAAAGATTCTTGAGCATCCATAGCTTTTGGTATTCAGGGGAGTCCTGGAATGCATGCCCCACAGATACCAAGGGCCGACTGTATATGTGAAAAGTTTATTTTAACCATTCTCCTATGTATACACTTTGAAATAAATATGCTCACTCAAATTGAGGCTTCTCATCATTTATGTTTCTAATCAAGATAATTAGTGTCCCTTGACAGAACAGACCTGTTGTATCTGTTGCTTTCAGTATAAGGTGGAAAACCTGGAAAAGAGTTTTTTAAAACTTTAAAAATACTATTTTATAATACATATATACTTTCACAATATGCATCCTGTTAGGTTTTTGTTTTGTTTTGTTTTCTCCACCTAAATATAGCTTCTTATTTTTCTTCTCATTAGTTAAAAGAAATACAAGTGCTTTCTTATTTGTATTTACTTATCTTTCCTACTTAGTTAGATTCATTATAAGTTGCTTCATTTCATATGGAATTAAATTTCACACAAAAGTCTGTGTAGCTTGGCTATATACCTCAATCCAGAAAAAAATCAAAACCCCTCCCAAATGAACAAATTCTAGATTTAATCTTAAACCAAAATATGATGCACTGAAACTACTGACAAAGCAAGCTGATTGATGTTAAACCCTAGAAATAGGAAGATGGGCTACTCTTTGGGATCCATGACACAAGGAATTTCTGAAGAATTGAGAATGTCATCAAACATTGAATATTCTTCTCCTCAGCCTGTCACTCATCTCACCCCTTAGAAACCATTTACTCATATCAGGAAATGCCCTTTTGAAAACAAAAACAAAAACCAAACACCATGGAGGCGGTAAGTATCCACTAAAAACCCTTTTTGAGCAGATATTCAATAAAACTCTACAGCGTATAAGACTCCATGCTGAGGAAAGGGCTGACAATGATTCTACCAAATTTCAGTCCCTTGGATAAGTAATTACATGTCAGATGTCATATAATGAATTGATCAGTTATTCAGTGGAAAGATGAAAGTGATCTTAAAGGACTTGGTAGAAGATAGGTTGAATGTCGGTCAAGGCAGGAGGTGAAGAGGCCCAGGAAGAGTCAGAGATACGGAGCTGAACTGTTTACATGCATGATGTCCATTTATCTTCCAGCTAACCTATCTCATATTGTAGTCCTAATACTCAAGCTGCTTAAAAGATATGTATCATTGACTTCTCCACCATCCTCTAACATACAGCACATCAAATTGAAATTTAAATGGAATTCATTGACTTTCTTCCACCATTTATGTTCTTTCAGGCCAGAAAGTTAGTATCTTCAAATATTAACTCTTCCCTCGAATTATCTTATCAGCAGCAAATTCTCTATTTTTACTCCAATCTCTTGCATTTTCCCCTTCTTGCTATTTTCTCAATTACCTTATTGAAATAATAAATTTGAAGACACTTCTGAAAACAGAAATTTTTTTACAATATTGTAAAACATTATTTTACGATCATAATAATACCAACCTTTATTTCTCGAACTACACACTTCATTTCTATGTGGACAGACTATCTCCAATAGCTGGTTTCTTTCCAGTCAGTTGTTCATACTTACATATCCTTCATTTTCCACTCAGAAAAATCATCCCTGAATGCTTTCCTTAAATTATATTTCTCATGTAAATACCATCTAATGTTCTTCTTTCTTACCATGTTAGTTTCAAATTCACCTATAAGGTTTATGCCCAATCTTACATTGGCTACCTAAGTGAGTTAACACTCTAAGTGGGGTAGGGTGTATGAATCATAATAGTTTCAATATGAAAACTTGACTGATTTAAGTTTCTTTCATTTCTTTGATGTTCAGAAAGATTTAAATTTTAATGATTTACTGATTTGGTTTTCCCAGATTAAAATGACAATTTTTTTCATAAACTTTTTTTGGTAGAACTAAAATGTTAAGACATAATCTCTATATTTGGAGTAACCATAATGATTGGATGTAGGATTTTGGTTAACTGCACAAATCCTCAGAAATGAATGACACAAAATATTAATCTTCCTTCAAAATAACAAGGTGTCTAATTTTTCATGAAGAGCTCAAAGTGATAAAAATTCTGTTTCACTCTGCATGGAAAAATAAATAAACATTTTAATTACATGATATCCAGTATCCAAATCCAGGGGATCTTCACCTCTTAATCTAACAACATCACTTATAGGATCCGTTCCAAAAGAGTTTGCTCCTTTCTTTGGTCCAGATAACTGTGTCTCAATGGTGTACTTGAAGAATAAAATATGCATTACTCGAAACTGAATAAATGAGAACGCATGGAAGATCATTAAGACATGATATTGGGGCAAATATATAGAAAGTTCCCTATTTTCACACTGATTAATTTCAGTTTTTCTTTATGATCTACTAGTATTAGAACCACTGACATCATCTTTTTCAGAATAAAGGAAAAACAATATGGTTGTTTAGCCTATGAACATAACCAAAATGTTTGCTATTTTTTAAATAGAACTGCACAACCCTTTACAGTTTTCTCACATAAGTTTTTAAAAGCTTAATTTTCTTTTTTTTTTAAATGGAGTTTTGCTTTGTCGCCCAGGCTGGAGTGCAGTGGTGTGATCTCAGCTCACTGCAAGATCCACCTCCCGGGTTCACGCCATTCTCCTGCCTCAGCCTCCCAAGTAGATGGGACTCCAGGCACCCGCCACGACGTCCAGCTAATTTTTTGTATTTTTAGTAGAGACGGGGTTTCACCGTGTTGGCCAGGATGGTCTCGATCTCCTGACCTTGTGATCCGCCCTCCTCGGCCTCCCAAAGTGCTGGGATTACAGGCGTGAGCCACCGTGCCCAGCCAAAAGCTTAACTTTTATTAAGTATTTGTTTAATATTAATTTAATTCTGCAAATTAATATAACACTGAAAGAGTGTACAGAATAAACTCACTATCACTATCATTATCATTAAAAGTATACAAAATAAACTCATTATCAGTTTTAAGAAACAAAAGAATTATAATGGTATAAACCCGTTTCAAGTGTTACCATTTCAAATATTAATGTAGTTTATAATTTATCTTATGCTCTTAATATTCCTTTTTATTTATTTGCTACCACTTCTTAGAATAGGTAAAAGTAGGTAAATATAGCCTCAAAAGTATCTGAAAACTATTTAGTTTGGAAGGAGGTAAAATTTCACTGAGGAAAAGTTTAATTACTTCTGTGTGCTTCTTTGTAATCTGATATGATTTCTAGGCTCTAAAAATAGAACTATTTCTCAAAACACTGAATTTTAAAACAATCACCTGTTTGGTTCCTATTATGTTTCTGAAAATGACAGAAGTGGTAATAATTACTGTCAGCTGGAGCACAGCGTTTTAAAAAATTTATTGAAAAGACATCATGTAATGGGAAAGATCTTGTGTTTCTAAACAATTTAATTTTGGCTCGTCCACAACAAAATATTTTTGGAGTATCCCACAGGGATTTTAAATACTTTGACAACGGCACATGTATCACTGAAGGTTAATGGAAGGAAAAATTATCTCTTATAATTGCGAAAATCAAACACCAGGGGTATTAAGTGACTTCCCCAGTATTACAGCTCTAGTTGGTGGTAAAGCCATACGTAGCCCAAGTCATCTGACAACCCCACCGCCATTTGGTGGTGCTCCATTACTTTATACTGTGAGTTACTACATTAGAAGTAGTAAACTATTTCAATGCATGTTCAGAAAGAACAGCTGCAGAGCAAGCATGCTGACTTTTGTAGTCCATTGCATTGCTAAAGTCTCCAAAACAAACTTTATAGATTCTTTTCATTTTGCCAAATCTCTAAGAGACTTCACATCCATGAATCAATTAAGAGAAAAAGCGAGTCTCTTAGGGTTAAATACTTAGTAATTAGGATACTGAAACATCAAAAAATATATAATCACATTCATATGTGTCATTGAAATAGCTAGGAAAGAGAAATAGTTCTGATTAGTTCCAAAAGGCAAAGCCCCAGTTTTGTCTCAGCATTGACATCTTCCTCCCAGTCCCCCACCTCAATTAGAAGTCATGTAATTTTCCTGTATGCCTCAAGAAAATAGCTTCTTCTAAAAATGCCATTTCCAACATTAACATGAATATTGCATCATGGTGGTTGTAAACTTCATACAATCTTTAATTATCAAATTATATTAACTGTCCTTGAAAATTTTTTGAAAAGATTACACTTTACGTTGAAGTGATAAATGCACCTGGCACAATGATCGCCACCTACATTCAGCCTATCACCATTTGCGAAGACCTCATCTGTGGCCGTCACTCTATAAATGGACTGAAATAATGGATAGTCCTCATCAATTTCTAAGGTAGCTGTGAAGCAGAAATCAAGTTGTATCAGAAAATTAAAGTATACTAGGCATTCACTATCTCTTTATATAATAAAAACAGAACAATATTAATTTCAGATTGGATTCTGAGTCTGGGACAATATTTTAATATTTTAAGATAGTAATTTATTTTTTCTCACTTTTGTGTTTTTCCCCCTGGCTTTGGATCATCCTTCCTGCCCTCACCCAGTGCCTTTTCCTTACTTCCTGGCACTATTTGAGGCAACTATAGCTTAATGAAAAAGAACATGATACATATGCTGACAAACTGTCCTATGGGAAGCCAGAGTGGTAGCTTCATAAAATATTTCTGTACAATTTCTAGACCTGATTGGGTCATAATGGGGAGGAACTCTGTTTCTTACAAAAGCACATGTGTGAACAGCTGATTAACATCCAGCTCTCACACACCTCCTAACATCTTCTCAGCCTTGACCATGGGTGAAAAGCTCAATCTAAAATATAACATGGATGCAGTGACTTCAGGAAAGAAGTGGGTAAAATTGTTCCATATGGAGTAATAAGACATTTTAAAATTTCTTATTTCTTACATACAGAAATGTGTAGACCAAATGTATATGTTGTTATAAAAATAAATTTTAACAACTTGCTCAACTAAATTTAATTTTTTCACATGTAGTTATATTTAAAGTTAATGACTAGGTGATTTTTGAGTAGCTAAAGATAATGGTGGTTACCTAGAACCATGTCTCCCAGTATTTTCTCCAAAAACAATACAGAAAAAAAGAAGAAATAATATTAGACAAAAGCCATGCCCTCAGCATAAATTGAAGACAGAATATGACCAAACTTCATCATAACTTTAAGTAAATTTTAACATGTCACGTTTCTATCCCACCATGAGCCCTCGTGGCAAGTCAAGAATGGCCCAGAAAACTACAGGTATGAGAAGAAGAGAAAGCTAACAACAAGCCTAAGATTGATGGGATGTAAAATTATTTCCAGAAAGAGTAAGTCTACTCAAAGTGTAAAAATACAAGCTGGGCATGGTGGCTCATACCTGTAATCCCAGAACTTTGGGAAGCCGAGGCAGGCGGATCACCTGAGTTCAGAAGTTCAAGACCAGCCTGGCCAACACGGCAAAACCCTGTCTCTACTAAAAATACAAAAATTAGCTGGGTGTGGTGGCACACACCCGTAATCTCAGCTACTTGGGAGGCCGAGGCAGGAGAATTGCTTGAACCCAGGAGGTAGAGGTTGCAGTGAGCCGAGATTGCGCCAAGAGTGAAATTCTGTCTTAAAAAAAAACAACAAAAAAAACCACACAAAAACAGAAAATTCTATGATGTTAAAAGTATTATCCATGCTTAGTACTGTGACAGATACATAAATGAATAAAAGCAAGTTTATCATACACCAATTTATATTTTTCTTAAGGACAAATAAATAATAACAAAATTGATTTTAAGATAATAAGCATTTTAAACAAAATAATGAATTAGCTAAAACATCTATTAGAGGTATAAAAACATCTAGAAAAGATTTTGACTCAAATAATCAGAACAGTGAACTTAAATTTAAAAAAATTTCCAATAATTAGATAAATGTCAGATTTTGTGATACTTCATAAACATAGGCCTGAGCTATTGGTTGCAAAGAGAATTATTAGAGGAATAATTAGAATAACTCAGTGCCCTTAATTAAGTCTCTGTTCTGTTACTCTTCAACTTTCTACAATAGTTGTTTCAAACCTTGCCTTTTTGACTAAAACCTCTTACACCTACCCTTCCCCTCTATCTCACTCTTCATAGAGGATCTCTCATCTTACTGCATAGAAAACAGATACCATTAGATCAGTGGTAGCTCACTTTTTCTCATGGGATCTACAAACTCACTTCTGTTGGTACCTTCTTTACTATAAAAGGCAAGAACTTGTTACTAAAGATAATCCTTGTTCATTGGGTGGTAACACACCCTATACTTTCTCAAGGACTTGTCTCTTTACCTCCCATCTTCAGTCACTCCCTCACTTTCTGGGTACTCTCTATTAGCACTTAAACATGCTCAAGTCTCTTTCATTTTAAAAGAAACACCCTTGACCCTAAGCTTACCCTTACAATGTCCATATCTCTCTCTTACCCTTCAGGGGCAGAGTCTGTACATTTCTTTACCCCCTGTTCAGTCCTTAGTTCACACTATTAGAGGTTCTGCCTCTACAAACAGAGGCTATTTCCAGCAAGTCATCAAAGTCTTCCATGCTGCCAGACCCACTGGACACTCAGTGTCCACCTTACTTAACCTCTCTTCAACATTTACACAGTTGACTCTTCCTTCTACTCTTGGCAGAAAAGGAGAATTGCACATCTATAGGAATCACCCCTAAACTTCTGAGTACCTTTGGAAAAACTGCCTGTGAAAATCAAAGTTGGCAAGTTTCTCAAACAGCCATTAAGTTCCCCGATCAGGCAAAGTCCTTATTACAGCTTTCCAAATCTTAACTAACAATTTCTTAATAATCTGCAGTCCTCTCTAGCTACTGCCCTATTCTCTCATCCTTGAGTGTATTTTTTACCTTTTCTTTGACTGGACAGAGTCAGCAGTGGGAATGGAAAACAGGAAGCAGAAGCAGGTGGTTATAAGACTCAAGGGCCCTCAGTGACCCTTGAGGTTTGACAAAAGAAAGGGGCTAGGAATTCAGGAGAGCTCAGAAGAGATGACCTGGAGTCTAACCCCTTGACCAAGAGAGTAAGAAAAAACATGAAGAGATTTCAGTTGCTTATTCATATTCATAGGCAATATCATTAGTGAAAGTGGCTGTGTATGCGTCCATGTTAGTTTTGAAAAATAACTGCACATGGTTATGAGACAACACTGCCTTTAGTAGTGAAAATTTAATAAATAATGACTTTATATCAACAAAATGGAGTAAACATTACATTTCTGAATGTAATCAATGTTCCTGCTGTAGCTTTTAAGGTGATAAATGTAACATTTGAGCACAATGTAATAGAGATGTATTCATGAAAATCCTAGTTTATTTTATAATCAACTTAAAATGTTCTTAATATGGCTCATTTAATGAAATAATTGGTTTTTGTTAGTATGGTCCAAATTTAAAAATGGTAAGTTTTTATTCATTTATATTTTCAAAAGAAATTGATAGTTTACATTCATGATCTTTCAGAGCATGTTTTCAGAGTATTATATATTTTAACTGCAATGATAAAGAGAATTTCTTTTAAGCATACACTCAAATTGAGACTCCCAACTCACTAGTACTTTTCCAGAGATTCAGCTGCAAGTAAAATCTGAATAGAAAAATCTTAAAGCTTCAAGGCATTTCAAATTTATTAAACATAAAAAATTGAAATTGTAAATAGAGACATGTAAGTGTTTAGGAGATACATAGATGGGTAGACAAGATTGACAGATGATTGATTGACTGATTGCACCTGTGCTTTGTTCCCATTTCTCACCTACTTTATTTGTCTTCAGCCTCCTCATCAAATGGATTCTCCATGTTGTAAAATTACTCATGTCTCCCTTTAAAAAGAAATCCAGCAGACCCAACTCTTGCAATCCCATATGATTTTGTTTCTTCATTCTCTCCAACTTTATGTGCAAATTAAAAAAAAAAAAGATGTTTTCTGTTTTTACAATCTCACTAATCAATCTGCTCCATTCTGGCTCCCATCCCTATAACACCCATAAAATAGTTCTCAAACTCATTAGTTGTCACTTTCCTGATATTGTTAACTCAATGCATTTTACTTGTTGTGGAATATAAGACTGCTAACCACTGGCACTCTTGAAACACTATTCTCCTTTGCCATTCATGACATAATTCCCCTTTTTCTACCACCACTTTAGCAGCTCCTTCTTTGTCTCCTTGGCAGGCTGAGTTTCTTCCCCACGTCATTAAGTGTAGGAGTTCCTCAGGGTTGGCCCTCTGCCCTCCTTTCTTCTAATTCTCTACTCTTGGGTTAAGTAATCTCATCCAAATCCATGGTTTCAATTACAAAACATTAATAGCCCTGGGTAAGACCTCCAAGCCCAACTGCTTACACAAATCTATCCTTTGATATAACAAAGGCATATCAAAAAGGACCTTTGCAAAAGTGAACTCTTGATTTTTCTCTCCAAATTTGGTATATTTCTTTCTTTTTTTTTTTTTTTTTTTTGAGATGGAGTCTCACTCTGTCACCCAGGCTGGAGTACAGTGGCACCATCTCGGTTCACTGCAACCTCCACCTCCCGGGTTCAAGCAATTCTCTGCATCAGCCTCCCAAGTGGCTAGGATTACAGGCGCCCGCCACCACGCCCGGCTAATTTTTGTATTTTTAGTAGAGATGAGGTTTCACCATCTTGGCCAGGTTGGTCTTGAACTCGTGACCTCGTGATCCACCCGCCTTGGCCTCCCAAAGTGTTGGGATTACAGGTGTGAGCCACCGCGCCTGGCCAAATTTGGTATATTTCTAAGTTTTCCTATATTTCTTGAGGATTTCCACACCAGTTACACAGATTAGAAAACCCAGTCCCTTCTCTCCTTCATTCTACTAAATTCATCACCAGCTATATTATTAAAATGTCCTAAGATTATCCTTTTCTCATCTCTATCATCTTCCTAGGCCAAACTATACCATTCCTTGCCTAGATGACTGAAATGAACGTCTTCTTTTTTCTACTCTATGGGTCTTCAAACCACCACCCTTCAGCCAAATCTAGACTATTGCCTGGTTTTGTATGCTCTGTAAGCTAAGAATAGTTTTTGTACTTTAAATAAAAATGGTTTAAAAATAGTTTAAACAATCAAAAGAAGTCTAATATTTTGTGACACATGAAATTTATATAGAGTTCAAATTTCAGTATTTATAAAGTTTTAACAAGACATATATACTCATTTATTTATAGATCATATATTGTTGCATTCTTGCTACTGAGTTGAGTGATGGAAATATATGGTGTTCTCATCACCTCAAATACCATGAATTCCAATAATCCAGTTATAACAGCATTCTGAGTACCATATTCTTTTTAATTATCATATCTACCCACCATGGCAAAACAAGAAAAGAAGAGAAAAATAAACTGAATGACACACTTTTAAGGCATGATGCAGTGTGGATTGTTTTGTTTTTAAGTTATGTGTCCAAAAACTGTTTTTATTATGTAATAACATTATAACTTTGATATTAATAAAAGAATACAATACATGTCTGAAAAAAAAGACTAAGTACTCATCCCAGTATTCCCACTTGACAGAAAAACAATGATCAGAAAAAGTAGAAAATTTAAAATAAAATATTTCATGAAGACAGACTTTATTCACAAAAATAATTACCAATGAAACTGCAGTAAAAAAAGATTCTAAGCAGTTCATTAGTTAGCTAAGTAAGGAAAGAGATTTGCTGATGGTATTTAATGTCCCATCCAATAAAGAGAAACTCCAACCCCTCCCAAATGAAAATTCACTCCTCTCATTAGCAGAGCTGTAGTACAAAATTATACCCAATTGTTACTGTTATTATCTTTTAAAAATTTATCAATAAAAATTGTAGATATTTATTTCCTTGCTTATAAGTACTACCTAAATAATAGACTCAATTTATCTTTTGGCTTGCAAGGCCTAAAATATTTACTTTCTGGCCTTTTACAATGCTTGCTGACACCTAAACTAACTTTGTCCCCTTCTCATCTTTCTCTATACTCAACAAGATGGATATATTTGAAACATCTATCAGCTTAAAATACTTCATAGCATTCCCACTACCCTTAGAACCAAGACTGACATTCTTAAAATACTCTTCATTACTTTTCAATTATCATTTTGTACCATATTACTTAGTGCCCTATTTCAATTATACTAGACTTCCCATTATTCTTAGTCAACATGTTCTATGCTGCCTCAGGGAACTTATAGTTCCTTCTGCATGAAATGCTATTCTCCCTCCTCTTGCTTATTTACTATTATCAGAGTTTAGAACTAAAGTAAACTGCCAAAACTTTAGAGAAAACTTTTCTGATATCTCTGACTTGGTCAACCGTTCCACAATCCTACACAGTATTTGATTTTGTAATACAAATGTCTCTTATTTCTATGATCATATTATAATTAAAATTCACATTTATTTTTGTGCATTTTTGATTGATGGCTATCATCCTTACTTTTTTGGAAAACTAAAATACCATTTGAACCTTAAGCGTATTAAAACTAAATTATTCTTTGTAGCATTTTTACAAGTGAAGGTTTAACTTTGTGTATTAAGTTATGAAAACCTTTTATTCATTTTGTTTCTCTCCTGCCTTGCTTCTCTTACGGCAAGTCTTTTGTAGAATCTCTATTGCTGTTTTTAATGTATTTGCTCTCCTACCTCATAATTGTGGCATGAAAATTTTTATAGGGTAAACATGTTTTTCAAATTATTCCTTAGAGAGATTATGTTTTCTTACAAACATGAAGGTCTGCACATATTTTTGTGTATTTATATAAACACACATTATATGCATAATTTAAAGAATCACTGAATCATCTCTCACTGAGGGAGTATGCCTGGCCTCTTTCATTATACATAGCTTTTAGAAGTAAACTATAGGAAGATAACGCATCATACCTGTGCCTGAAGAAAATTTGGGATCAGCAGTACAGTTTGGAGATTCGGGAACATCAATAATATTAATGGTCAAAACATGTCTATAGAGCCTCCCAGTATCAACAATCAGAAGAAACCTTATTGGATCTGTTTCATAATTAAAAATTTTGGTAGCAGTGATTACACCAGAACCTATGAAAGAGATAAGCCACAATTATAATTACCATCAGTACTTAGAAACATAACTTTTATATCTTAAAAGATTTTGGCATTACGGGTTTTAACTCCTTAAAAAAGAACTTAAATTGGAGATTATGTTGGCAACCCAAAGTCACACAATTAACAAGCATCATCTGAATCTTTAGTTGAAGAAAAGGAAAAAAAAAAAAAGGAAGTAGTTCTAAATATATTTCAGTTGCCTCACAAGGAAAATATTCAAAATATGCAAATGATAGAAAATATTAAATATTGACTTATTTTCTTTTCAAAATGTTTCATGATTCAGACTTCTATTATTAGTAAACCATATATGTCTCTTGAAAGTTTTCATCGAAAATCATTTCCAAAGATCACAGCACCATCAGTGACAGAGATCATATTATCATCACAGTACATGCCTACTTTTTATTGAGAGGAAAAAAATTGTCATTTGTTTCTGTTCAATCTCATTAATTATTATGAGTTTATCCCAAAGTCATAAAATAGATTTGACATCATTTTTTTGCTGGCACCTAGATAAACCGTATCACTGAGAATTCTGTTGTCAAAAGTGGCATATTGCCTTAAAAAGGATACTTTTATATGGTACTTATTGTAACAATAATCAATTCCCTACTAGGCCAGACTAAGACCTGGGTGTAAAATAATTAGCTGATTTAAGTGAAGATAAGAAAAGAAAGTAAGGTTGTGCCCCATTATCCATATAGAATATGCTTCAAGACCCCCAGTGGATTTGTAAAACCACAAGGGGTACAGAACCCTGTATATACTATGTTTTTTCCTGTACATACATACCTATTATAAAGTTAAATTTATAAATTAGGCATGGTAAGAGATTAACAACAATAATAATAAAATACAACAATTATAACCGTATACTCTAATAAACATCATGAGAATGTGCTCTGTCTCTCTGAAAATAACTTATATTAATGAAAATAGGCCAGTCACAGTGGCTCATGCCTGTAATACCAAAACTTTGAAAGGCTGAGGTGGAAGGATTGCTTGAGACCAGGAGTTCAAGACCAGCCTGAGCAACATAGTAGGACTCCATCTATACACACACACACACACACACACACACACACACACACACACACACACACACACAAATAAAAAATTAGCTGGGCATGGTGGCATGTGTCTGTAGTCCCAGCTACTTGGGAGGCTGAGGAAGGGGGATTGCTTGACACCAGGAGTTTGAGGCTACAGTGAGCTACAATTGCACCACTGTACTCCAGCCTGGGTGACAGAGTGAGATTCTGTCTCAAAAAAATAAATAACCAACATGATTTTCTGTGAGTAACTGAAACTAGGAAAGTGAAACCATGGTAAGAGGGCCGTACTGTATAGATGAAGAAAAGAATAATACAGACACTAATACACTTTTTAAAATTTTTGTTATTATTAGCAATAATAGGTCCACTTAATCTGGGCATTCTTTAAAGAATTTATATCAAGTTGTAGCAAAGAAACAAATGTAATCATTGAGATTTTTTTTTTTTTTTTGAGATGACATTTAGCTCTTGTTGCCCAGGCTGGAGTACAATGGTGCGATCTCAGCTCACCACAACCTCCCCCTCCTGAGTTCAAGTGATTCTCCTGCCTCAGTCTCCCCAGTAGCTGGGATTACACAGGCATGCACCACCATGCCTGGCTAATTTTGTATTTTTAGTAGAGACGGGATTTCTCCATGTTGGTGAGGCTGATCTTGAACTCCCGACCTCAGGTAATCCACCCACCTCAGCCTCCCAAAGTGCTGGGATTACAGACATGAGCCACTGCGCCTGGTGAGATTCTTTTAGAAAGTCCTGAGTCACAAAAGCTACTGATTAGAGGAAGAATAAAAATATTCTTAATTTTGAGAAAGCCAGTAATATGCATAGGCAATACTTTATAAAACTATATATACTAACTTGTCTTAGCTAATGGATTTAATAGAGACAAAATGTGAGTCTCACTGGAACAAATACATTTCTTACACATTTTTGTAGAGTTTCTTTTTCAATCTTACAAAATAAGAATCAAGCAAAATCAAATCATAACAAAATGAATAGCCCAATGCTGAATTTCTTCCAAACTGAAGTGCAGCTTATATATCCCTTCTTATAGCACAAGAAATAATCTCAAAACGCAATGTTGGATCAAAGCTGGAAGAAAGAGAATAGGTTCAACCACTGAATGGTTATTGATTATGACGTCTTCTATTAAATCTCCTCCAGCCAGATTAAAAGAACTAAAACTTGACTGAATAATCCTGTGGGCCTCCCTTCACTCCCAAGAAAGATTTTTTACCCCTTATATTTAGTGTCAAGAATACTAATTTACTGACAATGTATCAAACAACTTGCGGCACAGCATAAACAGCTGGATTCATCTAGGGAATAGAGGAATAGGCTAACAAGGGAAGAATTTTCTACAATGTGATTGATATGATTTGTGTTCCCACCCAAATCTCATGTCGAATTATAATCCCCAATATTGATGGTGGGGCCTGGTAGGAGGTGATTGGATTATGGGGGCTGATTTTTCCTTTTGGTGCTGTTGTCATAATAGAGTTCTCAGGAGATCTGGTTGTTTAAAAGTGTGTGGCACCTCCCCCTCTCTCTTCCTCTTCTTCGTGCTCTGGCCAGGTAAGACGTGCCTGCTTCCCCTTCACCTTCTGCAGGGATTTTAAGTTTCCTGAGGCCTCCCCCGAAGCCAAGCAGATGCTGCTATGCTTCCTGTACAACCTGTGGAACCATGAGCCAATTAAACCTCTTTGATTTATGAATTACCCAGTCTCAGGTCTTTATTCATAGAAATGTGAGAATGGACTAATACAGTGATACTAACTGGAACATGTCTCTCCAGTGCTATATAGCACTATGACTTTGTAGATGAGTCACCAGGAATAGCATCGGAAGGCTTTGGCATCTTAAAGAAGCCAAAGATAGACTTTGGTTAATTTAGACAACATTGCTAGATTAGGTTTCAGAGGTTAACATAGACTTCCATTGGAATAGACATGAACAAGCCTTTGGAATGCAGCCCTATGAATGAACTCAAGTAATAACAGTAGAATAATTATTCAGCCAACCCACAGAATTTTAAGAGATAAAACAGCGTTGTTTGAAGCCACTATGTTTTGAGGTGGTTTGTTATGCAGCACCAGAAAACAGATACAGGAGGCATGCAGATCTGGAGTTGGGTGAAGAATTAGAAATACAACTAAGAATTTATTAGCATAGGGACATCCACGTGTATATTACATCAAGAGGACCAACAACTAAATCAGGCATAGTCCTTGTGCTCAAGGGATTCAATCAGGGAAATAAAATTATTAAAGAAAAATGGTTTAAAAATACATAAGAGGAGCATATTCCCTGATGCTGAGAACAGGGTAGATGCTGAACTAATGACACTATTTCTGAACTAATACAGGAAAGATGTGAATGAGTTGGTCAGGAGAAGAATAGAGGAGGCAGAAGACATGCTATGTGCAAAGGCTCAGGGGAGAAGAAAGTTTTGCATTGGGAGATGCATATTTGGACTAAAATATAGAACATACAATGGGGAATAGTAACTTTTCAGTCTACAAAGATAAACAAGAGCCACATTTTAAAAAGAATTGTGTGTCAGTTTAAAGAACTTGGATTTTACTTTGGGGGAAAATAGAAAGTTAGCAAAGAATTATAGGTGGTATCACCTATATAGAGACAGCAAAAAACTGTGGGAATATGATCCTGTATGTACATTAGTAAAATTACTTTCAGTGAAGAGAAAATTGTGAAGGAATTCTGAAAGGAAGGGATCAAGTGAGAACGTTGGTGCAAAAATCTAGAAGAGGGGTGCTATGGTTTGGATGTTGTTTGTTCCCACCAAATCTCATGTTGAAATTGATCCCCAGTGTGGTGGTGTTGGGAGGTGGGGCCTAGTGGGAGGTACTGGGGTCATTGGGGTAGGTCTCTCATGCATGGCTTGGTGCCTTCTGTGTGTGAGCTGTCCCTCCCATGAGACTGGATTGGTTTTGAGGGAATGGATTAGTTTCCAGAGGGTAGGTTGTTATAAAGCCAGGATGCCACTCAGATTTTGTTCCTCTTCACACATGCCTGCTTCCCCTTTGACTTTCTCTGCCATGATTTGATGCAGCATAAAAGCCCTCAGCAGATGCCAAGCAGATGCTGGTGTCATACCTCTTGCACAGCCTCCATAAGCATGAGCCAAACTAACCTCTTTTCTTTATGAATAGCCTAACCTCAGGTACTCCTTCACAGCAACACAAAATACACTAAGACAAGAGCTTATAAGGATGTGACATGAGATAGTAATCATGGACATGAGATAAACATACCAAGGATTTAAAATCTATAGAATTTGGTGAATGACTGGAAGCAGAAGGTGTGATAGAAGGAGTCAGTAAGGCATGCCTGTCACAGAGTTTTCTGAAGGGTAGATGGCAGCAAGGCTACCATACATGATGGTGTTTATGATGTCCTGCAAAATAGTAGATGACGACTGGGGGCAAGAGTAGCTGAGGACTACATACCTTAGTGCTTGACTGCATCTGCTCCGGAGAGAGCTGTTTTACATAATTTACACAGAGGTTATATTAGAGGCAGGTTTTTGGAGAAAATAATCTGTGCAGATTTGAATAATTCAATTTAAAATATTTAAGAATATGTCTATAAAGTAGATATATTGGTCTGAAGTTAAGTCATAGTGTTTGAGCTTTGTGTGTGTGTGTATATATACATATTTATGTAATTGAGATCATCAGAATATATATTTTAATTGTAGTTAATGGATACATAGATGGGTTTGTAGTCAAGGGATAAATGCAAGGTAAACTGTGTAGAATATGGATAGAAGAAAACCTAAGTAGACCTGAATAACACAAATATGTACAGAATAAACAGAGGAAAAATTTAGGAGGAAGAAGAGGAGGGAAGGAAGAAGAGATATATGGGGAAAACTAGCAGAGTATATAGTGCCATGAGCATGTTTAAAAAACTAAAGAGTGGTTTTCACCTCTAAATTTTAAAGAGAGGTTATATATAAGATGAAGACTTAAATATGGCATTGTTTTTAACAATAAAAATATTGCTATGTATGGTGGCATGTCTTGTTGAAGTGACCTGTCACAACTCTGTTCAAAAATAAATGGAAAGTGCAGGAGTAAGAAAAATGTAGAGAACTCTAAAAATATTTAACCAGTTAGATGAAATGCCAGATGTTCTATAAAACGTCAAAAAAAAGACAAGACAGTAAAAGAAAAGAGACATAGGGCAAGAGTGAATTTTGTTAAGATAGGGAAGGCTTATAAGATCAGTTGAAAGTTATTGAAAATAATCGGGAGAGAAGAATAGAAAATATAGGAAAAGGGGATAATCAGTGTAGAAAGAAATATGAGGAGTGGGGATATGGAACTCAACCAAACTGAAAGGAATGAAAGTAGACAAAGGAAGGCATGAATCTTCTTTTGCAACAGAAGAGTAAAAAGAAGGAATTCATTGCAAAGAACTAACTATAGGAAATAGCCTAAGGAATTTCCCTCTTGATTGCTTATAATTTTCCTCAAATTTGTAAGCTGATTTTATCTGTTAAGAGAAAAAGGTTTCAGGTGAGTAAGAGATTTAAGATGAGACTGGAGAAATTCTATCATAACCAACTTGGCAAATTAAAGAGAGATCTAACTAGAGAAATATTGAAGAACTACCAAAAAGCATTTAGGGCCAAGCAAAATCTAGAGTGCAGAAGCTGGCTCATGTGATTTTTTTTCCAACAGTATTCATAAGCTTAGGCACATCAATAATTGGGTCTCAAATTGGAGTTTTCATGGGTAAAGGTTACAGAAGAAGTACAGGCCAAATTATCTGAAGATATTGTCCAGGAAGGGTTGAAAGATGGATTATACTGCCAGATTCAGAAGTAAAGAGAAGTGGTAATGACAGAGAGCAAAAGAATAAATCAATGGATTGTTGACGTCAGAGATGAAGCATCTATCCCTTGACTACAATTAAAATGTAGAGATGATAAAATGCATAGTAAGGGTAACTGAATAAAAGAATTGAAAAAGCATTAGGAGTGGGATTCTAAAATTAAGAACATGAAGTAATATTGTTCTGGGTGCTGATGAAGTTCTGACTGCAGCCATGGGAGTGTATGGATGGAAGTAAATGTTCAAGTCACAGAGCTTTAAGTAAGCTTTACACCAAATAAAGTAAAGGACCTGAGAATTTGGAGGGCTGGATAGGCCAAAATGTGAGTATCAAAGAATCCTAAAAGATGGCGGCCGGATCTGAGACAGGGAGAAACACTGTGAGTGATATATTCAAGTCCTTAGGACTCAACGGAGAGTGATTAGTACGGTTTGGTAAGGAGCCAAATATCCTGAGCTTCAATTGAGCAAGGGAGTTTCCAAAGAGGATCGGGGCAATGGTCAAGAATCAGCTCTGCGGAGTGAAAAGAATGCCGACTTCCCACTTCCTGACCCAGAGATATGAGATGTGTGGGAGAATGAATAACATGAGTTTGAGGCATGCTGCGGTCATCCCATAGGACAGCAAATTTCAGTTAATGCCGAGAGGTAGGGAAATGTCACAAAATAGGTTGAGAAAGTAAGGGATTTTATTTGTCTATTTATTTACCATATAAAAGCCATGACCATTTCACAGGACACCACTGAAAGGCATGAGAACGTAAGAAGCTTGAGAGGTTAGTTTAGGGGGCACATATTTTCCATGTAATCAGATTCAGATATTTCAATACTATTAGGTAAGTGTTATGTAAAGAGGATGGGAGGTTCATCTGGGAGTCAGGCCAAGGTTTGCAGTATCACTTCTAGCAGAGGACAAATAGGAAAAAATAAAATAAAAAAATAAAAAGCCCTGGGTCAGAATGGCAGGCAATCAGCCGCCTGAGACGATGGGCCTTATTGCAGTCTAACTATCAGAAATCAGCAACTCTCCTACTAAAGGAAGGTTTCCAGTATCTGACCCTAGTCAGAAGGAAACAGTTGTTCAGATTTTACTCAAAATTTGAGGTTTCGAGCACAGTCCTGTAGACTGAGAGAAAAGGGAGCAGGTGAATCAACAGAAGTTGGAATTGATTTCTGTGGAAAAGACTGAGCTTGTTCTATGTGTGTGGAGTTGTGTTCAGCCACTGGTAAATCATTCAAGTGAGGTGACACTGGGTGGTGAGTAAGATATCAAATTCTTTTTGTTTTAAAAGCCATTTTCTTAAATTTATAAAAATCACGTCCAGCAATATTTTGACATTTTCTGAGAATGCCACACAAATAAACACACACACATTTTTAGAAATATCTGAAATGTAAATAAAACAGCTATGCTACCTTATATCTCATTTCAGAATTAACATCTAATTAAAATTGTATATAACTGTAGAAATCATACACTGAGTAAAAAACATCATAGTAAGGAAATAGGTTGATCCTATGTCAGAGGACATCAGAAACATCATTTGCCTTTGCAATTTAGCATTGGTTGGATTCTTAATTGTGAAAACAAATACTTTTGTGTTTTGTTTTTTTTTTAAATGCGAGACACTGTCCCACTTTTTCATTGAACCTACTGAGAGTCTACCATCCAGCCACCTGGTTAGGCACAGGGTGATGTGAGGAGTACGATGTATTTTCTGCCTTCACGGACTAATGTATTAATACTTCTTCTTGGGAAAAATTCCACTCCACAGTCAGTTCTCAAGCACTGACAATATCAGGGTTGGTAGTCAGCAGACCAGGATTTGTTCTGGAGAAAACTAATGGAGAACTTCACCATCTTTCGCTGTGTTCACAGATCGAATTCGGTTGATGCAACTATCCATCCTAAAGTGTCATCTCTCACTACCATGGGCACTGCAATTCCCCACAAGCACTTTGGAAGAAAACAGGCAAAGTCAACCTAAAATTGGCTCTAGAATTTTGGCTAGGGGTTCTTTTAAAAAGGGGCACAATCTTAGCATTTAATTAGTTAATTTTTAATGTAATTTCAAACAATTAGATTATGAGCCAAGGATGGTAAACAATGCAAGGTAAACAGAGCTACCATATCGTGATTTTATTTAGTGATACTTATCTAGTTTTTAAGCCACATGGATGTAAAACTTAATAAATGATATTATTTATTTTGTTTATCTTCACTGTACCGAAACGAAAACATTTTAAAACAAAAAATAAGTATTAATTATTTTTCTTGAAATTAGTACAAACATATCTGTCTTCACTCTATTATCTTTTTTGCCATAAAGGAACAATTTTTGGTCAACCTTTTCAGAGCTTGAATTTAGGACTATTAAGAAATAACTTTGAAATGTGATGATGCTTAAATTAATTTTTGAAATTCAGTGATGGGGTAGAACTAGGTCAGGAAATTGAAATTTTTCCAATGGTATGAGACCTAGGAGACACGGTGATTCACTTTATTATTTAAACCAAGGTTAATTTTTAGTTTTTAGTTCACTTTATTTATTTAAGCCAAGGTTAATTTTTAGTTTTTATTGTTTAAATGCACTAGAAAGTTAAGTTTGCACAGGGATTGTTTTAAAATAAATAAAAGAGCTATGCTAACCCACAGATGAGCTTTGTTGGTAGTATCCCTTTATTTTCATATAAATGTTTAAAATGTTATCATTGTTATAAAGCAAAATTATCTCTTCCTATTCTAATATTATTATCATATATTTCAGGCATGTATTGGAAAACAAGTGTAAGAGAGGATATAAGAAAATCCTACAGATAATGCATTTGCTTGATTGATTTACATAATCACTGTGTTTCATAATAACTGCTTATGGAATAATGGGAAGTTTTATAAAATGCTGGCCTTGCATATATCTTAGAATGCCAATTTAATAAAGTGTGTTTACATGCATTATATACATAGATAGATGATAGATAGAAAATGGATATGTCCTCTTTCCTATTTTTCAAAGAATATCTTTTTTCGTAAAAAGAATGAGATGACTCTCACGTCATTTTTATGAACAAAAATTTTATGTTTTCAGGAAACAACACTTGTGACAATGTTGTGATATCACAAATATGGGGCAAGGCGGGAATGGGAAGCCCCCTGAGAAATTGTGTTGAATTTATGTGACTATCTGCAGCAAATTTTGACCAAGAAATCTAATGTACCACTTGGGTTCAACAAAATAATTTTCTTCAAAGTCTAAACTTTAAATATGTTCTCACTCATATGTGGAAGCTAAAAAACAGTGATCTCATGGAAGTAATAAGTACAACAGAGGATACTAGAGACTGGGAGGGATAGGAGGAAGGGAAGGAAGGATAGGGAGAGACTTGTTAAAAGCTACAAAATTGCAGCTAGGTGGAAGGAATAAGTTCTGGTGTTAAGCACTGTAGTATGACTATAGTTAACAATAATATATAGTTTCAAAAAGCTAGAAGGAGGATATTGAATATTCCAGACACAAAGAAGTGATAAAGGTGTGAGATGATAAATATGCTAATTATTCTGATCTGATCACTATACATTATATGTGTGGAAACAACATTATGTACCCCATAAATATGTACAATTATTATCTGTCCATTTTAAAAGTAAAATTAAAAAGTAATAACTATAAAGCAAATAAAAATATAAATGTCACAATTACTTACTTGCATCGATGGCAAAATCTTATGTTTTATTCAGAAAACGGTAGACATCTCCCTTTCCAGCCACATCTTTATCATAAGCACGACTTAGTTGTGTTCCAGGGAGCATATTTTCAGGCAAATTCACTGGGTTAATTAAAATCTGAATTTCTGTTTTAATGTGTGAAAACACTGAAGAGATAACACAGAAAGACTTCTTAATATCAAGAAAAATATAAAAATGAACAATTTTATCAATATCAATATTTTATCAATATTTCCATTTATTTGTCTTGATACGTTTCAAGCTGAAACTGGAGTAAAAAGTTTCATCTAAAACTGAGTAAGTTTTTTTTTTCTTTAACATATCAATATTGTTTTTCAGTGATGAATTGTGTAGAACAAACTCGCAGGAAAGTACAAGTTTAGATCCCAGCTTTAATATATCTTTAGTTTATTCCTGTGTTCAACATGAATTTAACAATTATCATGCAGAATGGTTATTTCACAAGCAAATTTTGCTAATTTCTTCCTTCAGTTTATTGACCATTTCAGTGAAATCATTTCACATGCTCACACAAGCTGTATTTTTAAATATGAAGTTTGTTGTATTACAATTTAAAATGCTAATTGAAAAAAATCAAGGAAAACACATCTCTTCTTTAATTTGCTTAATTATTTTCATTGCTTTTCTTTTTATTAGAAAGAAAAGATCTGTTTTTGGTTTAGTTGTGAGTCATTGTAAATTACATTATGCTGTACCTCTGTAGTGGAAAACAGAAATAGGCATATTCTGAAACTCATTCCCAGAATATGTAATATGACTAAAAGGAAATAATATATATAAGAAATATCTAAAACAATAATTTAAATGTTAAAAATATTAATAAACTGATAAATAATATTTTTATGACTTTTTGTTATATAATAAATATTTTTACATAGCAAATTACTCTACAAAAAGAAGACCCTTACAGAAAAAAAATACCAAAAGTAGAATCCTGTCTAAAATAATCCAAGATTAAGAGTTGAGTTTTTTGTTCATTATTTAATATCACTTTCTCTCTCTCTCTCACACACACCAATACACACACACAAACAAAAGAATGAAAATGAGAAAGAAATATTCAATGAATTAAAAGGATCTCAGCAGGGATTCAAATTCCATAACTAACAATTAAACTTAATTTCCTTAAAAACGAATGAAATATCAAATTTGTATAAACCTGTGCATATTAAAATATCTTGACGATGTTCATATTTAGACCAGCTCCCCATTTGCCCTTAGCAACGTCTACAAACATATGCATGGCTTTGGCTATTAATACAAATTCAATCTTTACACAAATTAAGCCAACAAGTCACTACGTTGTTACTCAATATTGAAGTCAATAGTTTTATTCTATTTAATTGAGTGATTATGCACGTAGGTCATATTTCAGCTTCTGTGTCTGTTTCCCGTTTGTACCTGGTGAGAAGATTATCAGCAAGGCTAGGATCATTATATATCAACAATTTAAAATGTAAGTCTTTAGAGTTGACGTGGAGTAACCTATGGATAATTTTTGGCAAGTAGTTCAGGTGATTTAATTTTTAATCCCTGTTTACCTAATAGAAGCTGTTCTGCAAGTAGAATAAAGAATTATTTTTAATATGACTGCATAAATATTTGCAAACCCTGAGATGATTCAGTATTATTTCTGAGTGGGACTAGTTGTATACTCACCGCTCTACTGTTGGCTGAGTAACTCCAAAGTTAAGCAAGACCCACTCTTAGGTAATTTGTAACCTAGCAAAGATAATGGCTGGATAAAAATGGCTATACCACAACAGAGTGGGTAACATGTTTCAGTAAAATAACATGAAAGTTCAGAAGAGTAAGGAAACACTTCCAAAAGAGGACGAAAAGGAGAAACCTTCAAAGAAGTGGTGGCTTTTCAAAAATGAGGCTTTGATGCTTTGAAGCACCAAAGTCTTGATAACAGCATCCTATTAGAAAAATAGTTTTCAGCCTGTTTCTCTCAATATATGTGCATTTCTATATTCATAAATTATTTAAATGCACCACAGCATGGTATATTTTATATGCTCATGAAATACACATGAAAACGAGAATAAATGCAAAAGAATGATATAAATGTGGAAAATATTGTATTACATTATGTTATACCTATCACATCATATTATATTGCAAATGATATAAATATACTACAGTAAATGTTTTTCTATTTCTAAAATGTTACTAATAACATTTTAGATAGTACTTATTACTACATTACTAATTTTCATAATGAGATGACAAAGATAAATCAGTTTTAAAACTCATTTTATTAATTAATTATACAATAAATGTTAAATATTAATCATACATGTATAATAAAGTACTTAATATTTATTTCATAATACTTGGAGTGGAAAAAATTAATATGCTTTATTCTTGTTGAAAACATGATTTTACATTATATGATATTACATGTTCATAGCAAAGATCAAAGTTCAGTTTATGTTCATACTCAGAGGATCTTAAAGATACAAAGGATCCCAAACATCCCTCACAAATATATGTATAAGTAAATAGGAGTGCATCATTTTATACTTAATAAATCATAAACTCATTTTTCGGTTTTATCTATCAACACTGAAAAGTATTGAATATAGCCAGCTGTAAAATATTCTTCATCGTTGATGTCAATCCGATTTTATTTCAAATCAATTGGATAGTATTTCATTTTACATTTTTACTAGTTTAAAACCTACTGACATTTTTTATGTGGAAGATTTTTACACTGATTAGAAAATTCTGTTTTCCAGTACAAGTAGGCAGACAAGTGTTTACGTAGGTGACACAACTGTAGTGGTCTCAAGTCTAGAATGATGGAAACATTTTCAAATAAGCCTCTCCATACTATGAGTTTCTTTCAGATGACAATTGCTTTCTTATTCATCAGTAAATGCCAGAATTATCTTTATGGGACTGATAAAGTACTTATTATTGTCTTTCATGAAGCAATTGTATATTATAAAATATTTTAAATAAATTTCATAGTCTTTATTGTATTATTAAATTGTATTTGTTTAATAATAAATTAACAAAGTTGGAAAACTTGACCTTTTCTAACGGAAAAATATGTAGCTCATCCTTAAATTTGACAATTCTATAAACACGATGCCAGGGAAATAAATATGTAGGGTACAAAATATTTTTATTATTATGCCTGATCTCTTTATAAAACTGTATGATTCTTAGGGATCTGGGTTTTTGTTTTGTTTCCCAAGTATAAATACTTCTGATTTTATTAAAGAAAGTATAAAACATTGAATTCTACATCTTTAAACACTGGTGTTTTAATAAATAGTCGAATCAGTTTGGTCTCTTCATAGTGCCGGTATGTCCAATACTTCTCCGACTAAGTTTTTCTTCATTGGTGGTAAATCAAGTCTGCATTCCGAATTGTAGTTTTCTTCTGGCTTTTTAATAAAATTATCTATCGCTGCTTTCGCTTTTGTTTGCATTGCCTTGCCGCTAAAATTTTTGAGTAATGATTCTAATTGTTCTTGTATTGTTTAGATTGCGGTGTTTGTTGTACTTTGTATATTCTTTATTTTTGACCCACCGCGCGCGACCCATCACCACACCGACAAAGTGGTTCCTCAAAGCAAAACACTGCGGCAGTTCCCGGTAACCAGCAGCCAACCGCCTCCTGGAGCCTATAGGGGCCTCTCCAGCCGCCACCACCTCAGCCGTCCCTATGTCCCTCAGGACCTCTTCGATTCACCTCCTCCGCCGGCCTCCTCTCCGGTGCCCGGGACACTGTCGAGCCTCACCAGCTAGCAACGACCCATGTAGAGGCCTGGGAGGCTTCTCCTTGGAGAGACTTTGTTCCAAAAATAGGCGCGTCCGACTTCGTTCCCGTCCGGCTCTGCACCATCTGACGGTGCCGTTGTAAGACTAGAGTGCGATCTGTGTTTGATGACTGCTTTCCGCTTCTGGCTTAAATTTTCCCATCTTTTCTGTAATAAACTTTATTATGAATATTGCAAATGAATGTATTTCATATATAATGCTATTTCTATAAGTAATTCTTAAACTCTTCGTTTGCTTGCATTAATTCTGGGCAAACAGCCATTATATAAAAATTACCCTTCAATTTTCCCCCATGAATTATCAATTATATTTTCTTTCCAGTAGTCACTTTTTGATGAGACCACGTTTTGCTTAGCGAATGTTTCCTTTAGTAGTTCAAAGAAAGTGATTCTTTAAGTTTTTCATTATTAAAATAGAATATTGCAGATATCATAAACTAAGACATGTTTAAAAACCTGAACTTTCATTCAACTGTAGAGCAAATTTTTCACTCTAAATGATTAATTCTAATCAATTTCTTTATATCCGTAACATTTCTTTACATCTTACAAAAATGTGATAACAAGCAATACATTTTACTTTGTCTTTTATTTCACATCATCTCTTTTAGCCAATTTCCACTGTAGGAAGAAAATTTATTACCTCAGTCAAATGTGAACTTCTGTCTTTTGCTATTTATTTATTGCTGAATTGGTAAAATTTTGTCAGATTCAAAATGTACACATAATTTATAACATTGCTAAAATATTGTATAATTTTGACTTCTTCATGTTCTGGGTGCTAAATTTTAACATTTTGCCACCTGGGATGTATTCATGCTACCATGAGCAAAAAATCTCCAGTGAAAATGTACACTACAGTTAAAATTCATTATTAACAATAGTGCATGTAAATATTTACTGCAACGATTTCTTCTGAATAATTCTGAATGTTGTTTGGCTGACTTCTGGGCAGATCAATTTTTAGCTCCTAACCCTAGAGGTAAGCATGCCCAGTGTCATTTATTTGCCTCAACTGCCTCCGCGCAAACCTTTTTATCCTCATTCTGGCCTCATTGAATTTAAATTTCTTTTTTATTTAGTGAAGAGAGATTTAGTTTAAACAAGATTATATAATACATAAATCCAGTTCAACTGCATTTATATGAAGTCTAAATGATTGCAATATGCTGAACATGAACAAGTCTGGGAGAATTTCTTTGTCCGTGCAGAACTCCTACCCTGCCTTCTACTTGTGAATGTTTGACATGAGAACGCCATAAGAATGCCAATACCTACTTAAATATTAAAGCTGAGTTTTTTCTTGTATTTGAGATTTTAAAAGAATAAATGTAAATAGAAGTTCTAATATTTCCTTCTAGCACCAAAATAGATCATTTAACACATTGCCTTGTGTATAAGAATCACATTTTGGAAAATGCTAATTGATTTAATGTTTATGAACTATTACACCAGTAAATATTTGCTAATTTATTCATTTATGAATGTATATATTCATATAATAAATGGAAGATGAAAAGGGGGAAACGAGGCATTGGTGGAGACGGTAGCACGACCAAAGTAGGATAGCAGGAAAATATTTGTTGTTTAATAAAATTCACAGGCAGTTTTCATTATTCGTTTTTGAGAAAGGCTGCAACATGACCACAAATGCATTTCAGAAAGATTCACATGGAAGGACACTGAGGGTTGATTAGCAAGATGAGAAAATGGAGGAGCAAATAGTAGATTTATAACTTTCTATGTGAGAGGTAATGAGTACCAAAAGCAAGATGTTGTCAGGAACATATAAAGATACTTAAACACTTTATACTTGTAAAACAATCTCTGGCATGTGAAATATGTACTTATATCATAAATAATCATATATACATATAAAGTACTTGCTTTATATAGTATTGCAGTACTATAAAAATGCCTGTGTAAGCTGAAATTGTGTAAATCAATATTAATAATCCATAGGAAAAATCATAATTGTTACAGTATTTTAAAAAAATTTGTCAAAACATACAAATTTTATTATAGCTTAGAAATTGATAGAGGTGATAGAAATAGTATAACAAATATTTAGTTGATACACTGTAAATGAGAATTAAAATGTTTTATTTCTTTGTTAAGAAGGATATTTCAGGAGTAGTTTAAACAGTGCTTGCTGTCCGCTATGGAGCAAGGATCTTTTCTGGGCCTTAGCAAATTATCCTGTTCCTTTCTAGGTTTGGATCAGCTTCCCACATTTTATTATTTGCACTTTCAGTGTTGTAAAATATCTTTGAGATTTCCTTTAATGTGAAGTTTTTTCACAATGTCATTTCCTCCAGGACATCATCATCCTTTGAAGCACAACCACTTACTTAATTTTGGTTAATGTCACCTTCACTAAGTTCTTCTGGCTGCATACATGTTGTTTCTCAAATAGTGGCAGTGCCAATATTCCCATGATCAGGGATTTTTTTTACCTGTTAACTCCATTTATGTTAACTTAGAATCCTGAAAAGTTATTTTCACAGTGTGGCAAATGTTTCTGCAATACTTCATGAATATTACTCAGTTTACTTTCTGAATGTCTTCATGATTTCTAATGCTTGCTTTAAGTGATATTTATCCAGAGATGAGCTAAGGTTAATTGCCTGATCTTCAGTTGTAGTGTCAATGGCTTGTCTGAAAATTCATCTAAAGTTATAGGCTCTAAAAGTTGAAATAATTCCTTGGTCTGTCCACTGACTGACTTAATAAAGTTGCATTTGGTGATAAAATACAATTTTTACATCATAACCTTAAGAAATTCAGGGTGACCTGGAGCATTATCCAGCCATAATAGTTCGTTAAAAGTTAAATTATTTTGGCAACAGTATCTCTCTACTGCTTAGAAAAAGAAGGGTGTATATGATTCAAGGAGTCACAGTGCTAGAAAAATATACTTAATCATACTCACCCTTCAACTGTGGCATCACAAACTACCAAAGAGTGATAGCTTTTATACTTTGATAAAAATAAATTCCACACAGTCTTATTAAACATATAATAAAATAAAATAATCTTCCATATGGCAGTGGAATAGAACTTAGCTTAGATTACCCAGGTCAAGTTCTCAGAAATGTTTGCATTTCAAGAATTCCATGGGATTTCCAGTGTGTAAAGTAGAAATGGTGGGATAAGCTCTCCTTCCTGGACAAAGATCAGGTAGACTTAATGTCCCTTATAAAACATTGGCGTTCCCTAAGCCCAAAATTCCTCTTCTCTAGCCCAACCCATGGCATGTGCAAGCATCACTTGGCCCTCTGCCTTACTTTTTAGGATTTGGGACTGAAGGAACCAGTGTGAATGCTGGCACTCTGGCTTCTGCAATTTCTGTGAATAATAATAATAATGTCCTGTGTATCTGACCCCAAAGTCTTATGTCTTGTACCAGTATACATGAACCTGTGGGAAATCAACCTCTCAGCTTCCAAGTAAGGCAAAATTTCAGACCCTTCACATTTCTTGCCACAAGAAACTCATTATTTTTCTAGTCACCAAAACATATTTTGTGAATGCATAAACCAGCCCCAGGTCAAAACCTGTAGAAGAGAAATCATTTCAGATGTGTGCTATGCCTTGATGGCAGAATGCTACAAACTCCAAAGTCTTACACATTTTCAGGGAAGTGGTAAAGCATCACACTTGCAATCAAAGGTACCAGATTTTTTTTAAAAAAAGCTATTTTATCTATGCACATAGTTTAACTTCCCCTGGAAATCTTTCTTCTTCATTTATAATATGTGGAAAGTTATAATAACTACCTCAGAGCTGTTATGAATATATGAGGTAATGCATAAAAGGAACTAGCCCAATACAGGATATATGAGAAACACTCAACAAATATTTTATATTACTTTAGAGTTACTTAGGATACCTCATTAAATAACTCAAAGTCTAGAATGGAATTTTGTAGACCCTCATATTGAACACCCCCATGGGATTGTGATTTGAATATTTTCGGAAGTAACCTATCCTATTCTGAGTTCTGTTCTCCATCAACACTAGCAGTAAGATTCCTACGTAATGTTATAAAGCTTTCCCTGAAGAATTAAAGCATCTTTACACGTATATATACAGGGACCTCTCATGAATGGTTGGTAACTGGAGATGGTTGCCAGCATGGTGCAATCCATCCTCCATATCCACCATCAAATAGTTGTAATTTACAAACCTGATTATGTCATTTTTATACTAAAACTTTCTTCCTACAGAAGAGAGAGTCCAAACCACTTAGCATGCAGTATTTCACATTTTACTCATTTCTTCTTTTCCCCCTAATGTACCATACATTCAGTGAATTCAATGCTTTTTCATATTCTCTTCCATACTTCCATTACAGATATGATTCTATGCCCAGAAATGCATCTCTCTCATTACTTTCTTGTGAAACTTTACAAAATCTTTAGGAGCCAGATCAAATGTCACTTCCTTAGTGAAGGCATTCATGACTTCCCCGGGATACTTAGACATTCCCTCCCTCTACTATTACCCAAAAGTGTTCTGTGTACTCTCCTATGGCATTTATTCTATGGAGTGTAACACTCTGTTTACATGAATTTTTCCCTATTTGTCTAGCTTGTGTTTGTGTTTCCAGTGCTGAGGACAAGGAAAGGCTTGTTATATATCTAATTGGCCTTTGAATGAATGAATAAACAAGATTTTGTCTATCATATTCTGGATTAAGTTCTATCACGAGTTTTACTCCCTTTGAGTCTTAAGCATGTATATTCTCTTAGAATCTAATACTAAAATCCCAAGCTCTTTGTCAAGTATGTTCTACCAGACACACTGCTGTCCCAAGTTCTTGGAAATGACCATTCTCTCTGCCTGGAAAATTCTTCCCTTAGATGTTCATATGTCTTGGGTCATCACCTCCTTCTAATTTTTGCTCAATTATCATTTTCTCATTGAAATTTACCCGCATCATCTGATTTAAGTAGGAACTCCTCTTTTTTCCCATTCCTTTTTCCCTATCTTATTTTCTTCCATAGAATTTATCATCCTTTAACATACTACGCAATTGTTTAAATTATAATATCTGTTGTCTATGTACACTCACTACTATGTCAACAGTTTTAGGGAAGGTTTCAGGGAAGGGTTGTAGTAGTTTTTTTTTTTTCCTTCAAGGAGGCATTTTCAGTAACTGGAAGAATGTCAGTTTCAATCATTATTGGGAAGAATAACCGTAAGGGACAAACTATGGCAAAGATTTTACATCACATTCTTTCTGAATTCAGTCTCCTATAAAACCTGGCTCAGAGAAAAGTGTAAGGATTCGATTTATGATATTGAAATAAATTTTGGAATGCCTCTAACACAGATTTCATAGTTCTACCTAGGACCAGACAGATAGATTTAGAGATTTGTATGTTTATATAATAGGTGTGTTTGTATGTATGTGAGATATATATGAGGGAACTTCAAAAAGTTTATGGAAAACTGGAATTAAAATACTAAAAATAAAAATATAAACTTTACTTGTCAACATAAGCTTCATCAAGTTCCAGATACTTTTGGAAGCAATAATACCAGCCATTTAGTCCATCTGTAAAGAACTGAGAATTTAACCATGTCAGTACAATCTTTTTTACATTATTAACTGAGGAAAAAAATGAGTGCCCTTTACAGATTTTTAAGAATAGGAAACAGAAAGAAGTCAGAGGAGCCAAGTCAGAACCGTAAGGTGGATGACTAATGATTTGTTATCGAAATTCTCACAAAATTGCTCTTGTTTGAAGAGAGGTATGAGAAGGAGCATTGTAGTGGTGAAGAAGGACTCCCTGGTGAAGTTTCCCGGGGAATTCTTCTGCTAAAGCTTCAGCTAACTTTCTCAAAACACTCTCATAACAAGCAGATGTTACTGTTCTGTGGCCCTCCAGGAAGTCAATAAGCAGAATGCCTTGAGCATCCCCCAAAAATTCTTGCATGACCTTTGCTGTTGACTGATCTGCTTTTGCTTTGACTGGACCACTGCCACCTCTTGGTAGCCATTGTTTTTATTGTTCTTTGTCTTCAGTTCACTGGTAAAGCTATATTTTATCTCCTATTACTACTCTTTGAAGAAATGCTTCTTGATCCCAATTTTAAAAAATTTTCATTAAAAGCGCTGTTCTTGTCTGCAGCAGATCCAGGCACAACAGTTTTAGCACCTATTGAGTGAAACTTTTGCTCAGTTTTAGTTTTTCCACAAAATGTGTGGTAAACAAATTGAGATGTCTATGGTATTGGCTATTGTTTGTGCTATTAATCATCAGTCCTCTTCAGTTAGGTCATGGACAAGATTACTTTTTTTCTTACAATTTGATGTGGATAGTCTGCCACTTTGGGCTTCATTTTCAACATCATCTCATCACTTCTTAAAATGAGTTACCATTTGCAAACTGCTGATTTCTTTGGGGCATTGTCCCTATAAATTTTTGGAAAGCATCAATGATTTCACAATTCTTACACTAAAACTTCACCACATATTTGATGTTTTTGCTTTAATTTTGGTAGAATTCACACTGCTCTTATAGGGGCTCTTTTCAAACTGATGTATTGTCTTTTTCGGTGCCTTAAACTAGGTCCTGTTCAGATATATTATAGCAAATTAGCATGCAATTATTTTGATGCAAAAATATTTTGAAATCCATGCATTGATTTGTCATAATATACAGTTTCCATGAACTTTTTGAAGACCCCTCGTGTGTGTGTGTGTGTGTGTCAGAACTGTCAGACACTTTTGTAAGCGATGAAACCAGCCATTTAGTCCATCCCTAAAGAACTGAGAGTCCTAGGAATCTAACCATGTCAGTGTAGTCTTTTTCACATTATTAACTGAGGAAAAAATGAGTGCCCTTTACAGATTTTTTAAGATTAGGAAACAAAAAGAAGCCAGGGCAGCCAAATCAGAACTGTATATGTGCGCATATATATACAAATTTGTACGCTTATACCAAGTATTGCAAGTATTAACATCTCTATTTAACATTATACAAATGAAATATAAGTAAATAATATATCCAATCAAACATTAAGTCATAAAACAATATTTTTCCCTTTCATTGATTATTTGTTAGCTCCTTCTAAAATATAGCCTAGTTATAAAATAGCCATAGATTTTTAAAGCATCTTTGAATGTCAAGAGCTAAGATAAACAACAGAAGGGCATGCTAAAAACAGTCAATTAATTTGTATTTTCTGGTGAAGCAGGAAAGAACAGAGGAGAGAAGGGGAGGGAAAGGAGATGCCTGGCCCTATTACTCATCCTGAGTCACTGATTGCGTGCCTGAAAAAGTACAGACCTTTCATGGGGAACTCAAGCTCTTTTGAACCAAAGGCTTAAGTAACCCTTGGAGAAAATGGTAGTTTATGCTTTCTGAATTATTATATAATCTTATTACTGGGACAAATTCCCATTCATTATATGAATTCTTTCATATAAGATATCAAACTAACAGATATAGAAAGTTTAATAAGAAACATTGTATTTCTCCCAGTTGATACGTTTATTTAGGACCACAGTATTTTAGCAGTGCTGTAAGACCGTTCAGGTATTTGCTTGTTATTTGGTTGGTCAGTGGGTTTCAATAACTTTGTATTCTAAAATGCCCCCAAACACTTCAAAGAAGCGAAACTTTAAAAAATTGCTGCTAATTTGTCTCTAATGAAAAAAGGTATCCAGTTTGAAAAGCACTGTTTTTGGTTTTGTTTTTCCCTAATAGGGTGTTTATGTTGACAGATGAGGAATGAAGGGGAAAATTGAGGGTAAATGATTTTTTTTCTCTTTTTGCTTTCTTAAAATGTTCTTTTCAAGGTTTAATAATGTATGCAGTTTGGAAAAGTAGTCAGGCCTTGAATTCTTAGTTATCAAGCAGTATATGGATCACACCCAATCAATCTGTCGCAAAATGAAAATTGAACAAAGTTTTGCTGAAATTGAAGTAGGCAGTTTTAAAGGATCAAAGTTAATTATACTCGTCCCTCAAATTCCCAAGGTTATGATAACAAAATAACTCATCAATACTCTTACAAATTAGGCCTGAACATATGAACACAATCTTTGTCAATTTGGTGTCTCTGTAACGAGTGATGAATCTAGCAGAACATGAGGCAAGGTGGCATTGTTTGGAGATGGAAAAAAGAATTATAACAGTCACTTCTAACATTCTCATTTGCACATTAAAAAATCAAGACTACAAGGAAGGTGTGTTGGACATTTCACTCCATTCTTGGAGAACTCAATTTATATATATGGTTTGATGGGGAACAGAACAGGAAGACGGCCAGCCTCTTAGCAGCTCTATTATTTATAGCTTCTCCAAACCCCTCACTTGTCTTATTTTTAAAATGAAGATAATATCAATTTCCTCACAGGTTTTTAAATAATTTACTTATATATAAATACAAACCTATTTACATATTTTATACTATATGTTTATATTTTAAAATTATTCATATTTGTGTATATATATGACATAGACAACAGGCATATGACACCCTTGGCTGAGAGCTATTCAAAATTTTAAACCCCATTGTCTTTCTCTGCATTGTGAGTGAAAACTGCCTCTTTATCTTCCTTTTTATCATCTTAATCTTGCTCTTTGGAGCTACCTTTAAAAAGCTTCATTGCAATTATTTTCATTGTTTCGTGAATTTGAAAAGGAATATCACAGTTTTACTTAATTGTTCATTTGTTCTATTCTCTAGGTTAAATATTACTAAGCCTGTAATTGTTTTTTAGCTGATATAATCTCAGATGCCCTCCAAAATATATGCATGTTTTTGAAAGGCATATCTGTAAATTTCTTAAGTGCAATGTCCCAAACTGTACTTGGTTATTTTGCAAATGGAAGTTGATTGGTTCAGAGTAGTATATAATCCTCTTGAGGTATACATTATACTTACATGATAACAGGGTAAGATTGCATTGACCTTTTATTTTCTACTAACTTTTGTTTGGATACTTCTATAAGAAAGACAAAATGGCTACTAATAATCATATTCAGAGATACTTAGGTTTGAGTCCTAGCTACATAGTCACAAAACTTAAAATGTATCTCATAATGTCTATTATATTATTTGAATAAATGTTGACTTTAAGTCTCATTGTTCTCTTTTGTAAAATAGGTATATAGGTTGTGCTAAGTATGGTGTCTGGTACATAGCACACACATTATGTGTGATATTAGCAGGAAATTATCATTTCTTAATTTCATTTTCAACATTATAAAGTATTCTAAGAAGCCACGTCTTACAGCTAATTTGCCTTTTTCCTTCTTGAAAAGGAACTCATCTTGATAAGCATAGTTTTAAAATACTCCCTTTCTTTTCAGTCAAGGGAATTTTAACCAGTGAAGCCTTTTCCTTGAAGATGGGGAAATCCATAATATACAGGAGATGTCTTTGATCAAACTCAATATTTTCTGCCTTGGCCATCATATATATTAAGATGGCATGGTCACTTTTCTCCAAATGGCATTAACTTTACTTAATCCTTGTTCTTGCAGATTCAAATCCAAGATAGCAGCTCACCCTGCTTACTCCCTTTACCTTCTTGAGAATCCTCTAAGACAAAATAAATATATAATAAAGGCTCTTATTTTAGTAAAACATAATTTGTACCTATCTATATTTATTGCTATCTGAGTTGTCACATTTCCACATCACAAGTACTTCTTGTCTCTGACATAGTTTTGTGATCAAATCCTCGTCATATCCTGTAGCTCACCTTTCAACTCGTCCTTTTAAATGGCTGACACATTTACATTAATACCATACAGCCTACCGTATATTTCTATTTTCCTTCTCCTTAAAACTTCACCAAAATTTTCCCCACCATCCTATAGCTTTTTATATATGTGGATATTTTCTTGATACCAAATATAGCTATATTTGATTTTTTTGTGAGAAAATCTGCCCTTTCTTTTAAATATTACAGGCACGAGCCCAGTATGACTAGTGTTAGTTATTTTCTGATTTCACATTTTTCCAATGAGTATTTATAGAAACTTGTAGATGTCTGAAACATACTTTCTGTCAATTACTGCTGTGATTATTGGTAAGATGACCATCTACTCTATCCTGGCATAATTACCAAGTGTTCTTTCACTCTCAAAATGACTGTTTTGAAGGGTGAATTATACAGTTTCTCTTATTGGAAATATAAGTTTGCTTAGAAATGTTATATCATATTGATAAAACTATTAAAAACTCAATATAAACTGAAGATGTTTTCAATCATATATATAAGATTTCAAGGCTAACTGTCGACATTGTATTTATACTCTGATTTTAAAAAGAGTTCGATTACATATTAATTTTAGTATAAACATTCTAAGGCAAGCAGCCATCAGACCCATTTGCTAATATGTTAATGAGGAAGTGCATACATGTATATTAGTTGCATTATGACAATTCTCACAGTATATGAGGATGATTATTATGGTGTCTATGCATTTCAAGATGTATTTGAGGAAAATAGCCAAACATATACATATGAATGATATGCTAATAATGTGATCATATGATCAATGTTCATATTTAGCAATATAATGTGTTCTATAAGATATTCTCGTAAATCTATATATTTTGGTTTTCCACTAGTCCCAATAACATCTCTGCTCAAGCAGTATAGAACGTTTAGATTTTTTTTTAACTTCTTCCTATTGTTCTAAACCACCTAGGTTATGTATACTGCACTTTCTGTGTCTTTTTCCTGTGGCAACTCCCACTTATCATTAAATACCATCCCCAGATGGAGTTAATTATTCCTTCCATTATCACTGCACTCCCTTCAAAAGCATTTTAATTGCCTGTTGATGTATTTCTTTCCTATCTCAAATTATGAGCACCTTGAAAGCAGAGATCATTCATTTCTATCATCATATTGTATGTCTTGCATACAATATGGAATTCAGTTAATAATGGAATAATATGTGAATGTATGAATTACATGAATGAATGAGTGAATAAATGAAAGTGTGAGTGACTTACTAAATGTGTAATGGTTATGAAATTTAGAGTACAACCAAACGTGAAGAATGCAGCCTTTTTACTTCCTACTTATAAAAATAATTGAGTGTCAGCCAGGCGCGGTGGCTCACACCTGTAATCCCAGCACTTTAGGAGGCCAAGGCGGGCAGATCACCTGAGGTCGGGAGTTTGAGACCAGCCTGACCAACATGGAGAAACCCTGTCTCTACGAAAAATACAAAATTAGCTGGGCATAGTGGCGCATGCCTGTAATCCCAGCTACTCAGGAGGTTGAGCCAGGAGAATCACTTGAACCCACGGGGCAGAATTTGCACTGAGCCAAGATCATGCCATTGCACTCCAGCCTGGGCAACAAGAGCGAAACTCCATCTCGACAATAATAATAATAATAATAATAATAATAATAATAATAATAGTAATAATAATAATTGGGTGTCAAATGGGACCATATTTTGGTATTACAGATTAGAAATCCATTTTCCTCCCAAGAAAAAAAGTGAGCAAAATGATAATAATTAAAATCAGTTTTCACATAAAAATCCAAATTCCTAGCTTCCCTTGGAAAATCATAAGATTTGGCAATACATAGTATGCATTCCTAAATGACAACCATTGGCTCGAGTTAAACAGTAGCTACTTCTTTGAGTACACAGTCCCCATCCCTATATTCTATACAGGATGTCTCATTTATTATTCGTGTATAAATTTGCCACCCAGGATTCAGTGAGTTCTATTAAAGCACTAACGTGGGATTGTTTTAAGTTAAACATCACCAATTTCAGTAAAAATGAGTGACAGACATTTTAGGGAGGAGAAAAGGAATGGAGAAATATGTAAAACTGAGGCATATTTAATGAAAATAATGTAAAAGGCCTTGTCTGAAACTTAAAGGAAGCAAAATAGTGCAATGTTTAAGAGCCTGAATTTTAGATTTGGAGAACTGATCTAGAATTTTGCTAGATTGGACAAACTGCTTAATTTCATAGAGGTTAAGTTCCCTCATTAGAGAAATAGAAGCAATAATAATTATAATAGTTTAGATCTACCTCTTAGATTTGTTGCAAGGATTAAATATAACCATATATATGTAGGCTTGGTTGAGTGTAAAGGTTTTAGACATGCCTAGACATGCTCAGACATTTATGATAGCCTAAGACAAGTCTTATCCTAAGACAAGTCAAAGACATATATAGAGAAGGGCTACAGGAAGAAGGTGAAGGAGAAGGGGGAAGCTTTCTGAGAGACAAGCATCAATGCCTGGAGCCACATCTAACAGCTTCATCCACATTTTGCAACAGTACTTAGTGTAATCTGGACATCCCAAGGGCCTCTGCTGTCTTCCCTTCAAATGTGCATATTCTGTTTAGACACAGCAGTATCTTGCAGATGATTCATTGGGAGATGGTAGGTTTCATTGGAAGTGGTACAATAAAAAGGAGAGATAGTGATACCCAGAAGCTGCCTAGCAGACAAAAGGTAGTACGGCAATAGCAAGTGTCTTCATGAGTGCCAGTGAGACACTTTCAGAAACATGTCTGAGGGTTACTTTATTAGGCAGCTAATATCCTTTGTGATAAGAAGAGGCAAAGGCCAGTAACATTTGTAAAATAGCTACTATGACATTATCTGACAATTGCATTATATAGGTAACAAAATACCAAGTGTGGTATTTTAATATTTGAAGAATTTTCTATGTATTCAGAATCCTCTGTGTAGCAGAGGTAACTTTGCATTCACCAACACCCATATCCTATTCTTCCTGATTCACGGCTACATCTGAGTCCTTTATGTGTGGTTAGTGAATGTGGAAGTGCTGTACACAATTCCAGGCCTGTCACCTAAAAACCTCCAGAATGAGCCTATTAACTCTCTGTGATGATCAGACACAGAACCATCTTCAGTGATCTTTGAGCCCTACTTACTGGGAGAGCCACACAATTTAAAGAACTTTGGTCCCTAAATGACAATGCTGAAAACTACCCATCAAACAGTAACATCTGCAATAGGCTTGAGTGAAAAAGAAATGTCTGTTGTGTTAAGCCACTGGTATTTGGGGGTTACTTACCATAACAAATAAATGTGGTCACCCAAATATTCTGAAATACCATCTCTTCAGGTCATTTCAGTTATCTGAGTCTATGTAAATAAGAAAAAAATAACAGCCAGAGCTAGCTAAAATCAGAAACCACAAGCAGTCTTTGTTCACAAGTAAGTAGTTATTTGATCTGTCCCACAACCATCATTATTTCCAATTTTGCATTGTCTACCTGAGAACTATCAAAAGCACGTCTGTCCTACTCTGTTCCCCATCTGGAAGAAAGTAGACATGTTCAAACTTCCATAGCCATTTCTGCAGTATTGTTAAAAAATCAGTGCACACTCACAAACCTGTACTTTTCTTCCTAAAATAGGGTGTTGACCTCAAACAAAAACAGGTTTAGGCTACATCTACATGGGTGACCATGTGTGGCATAAAATAGATTTTCCAGCATGCGTTTATTTGGCAATGACTTAAAAGTGCAACCAGATGTTTTCATAGAGAACAGCTCTTTTAGCCACAAATGTTTCCAATTTAAATGCATTTGTTTTGACTCTATTTTGCTGCAGATGGAAAACATCCATTTTCTTTCTTTCCATTGGGGATAGACAGTGAACGTTGGCAAATCTCATAGAGAATGATTACCAATGTAGACAAAACTTCGGTGAGAGCTGAATCTCCAGGAGAAAATTTTTAAAAGACAAGTTTGCATTTTAAACAGGTTGGCTCTTTTAAGACCATTTTCCCCCTCTAATTTGTACCATAAGTCTTAAACATCTGTATGTGTTTGAGCCTAGGGAACTTACCTTACTTTTAAGTGATAAGTCAAACAGATCTATTCAGAATGACAGCATAGCTTCCGGGCGTGCCATTGATAGTTACTGCAAACAGATATTTCAGATTTTCTTATCAAAATGTGAATTATGTAGGTGTGCTTTACTAAATTTTCTTGCAATTAGCAGGTTGAAATATTACAGGAATTGTAAATGTCTTTATAAAAATAACAGAAAAGCTTTTCTTATTTTTTCAAAAACAAACTAATGTGTACGTGACAGAGTATAAAATGATCTTGGCAAGAGTACAGATTTCTGTTTTAAGAAGCTGGGAGTTATATTTTAACTCATGAAAAGTAATGTTTTCTTTAACCAAATTATCCTTAACATTTGTTGTTTTAGTTTAACTCTATGATTTCTGAGAAGCTTTTGAAAACAAGAAGATATTTTAAAATTTTATTTCCTGTTTTAGACATTTAAATGAGTAAAAAAGGTCCAAATACTGTTTTGAGCAGTAAAAGTATTGTTTTTCCCCTGGAAGAGTAAAATCTCTGTCAGCCAGACTATAATACTTTCACAGACTGAGCACTGTGATACACATATGCTATTTTAAATGTATAGACCCTGTAAGAAGGAGCTAGAAATGCTAAAATGAATATTAATTTTTGCAGTAGTAATTAGACTGATGCAAGAACAATTGTCTGTTTTTCTCCTATGTCTTCCCACTTGCAAGTATTTCAGTTAAGATGTCATTCTTTGTGGAAAGTATTTACATATATGTTTTCTTAGTTTTTCCTTCTAGATAATATTAACTTTTGTTAGATATCTTTTGATTACTTTATCTGTCATAGATATTCCAATGAATTTTCAGTAAATTAAAGTTCATCTTTTAAAAAACCACTTCACCCACTCTTCAAACTACCTGAAAGAGTTAAGTATTCACCACCTACTACACATAGTCACTTTGGCCTCATTATACAGGATATTGTTCTTACCAATGATTATCTGTTGAGGGAAATCTGGGTTTCTCCTAGACCCCACTTAAAGAGAGGAACACTGTGAGATCTTGGCCCTGTTGCAAAACCTCTCCAGTCATTCTCCCAGTTTGTTATCACTGGGGAAATAACTTATTTTGCCAGACTGCAGAGCTGGACAGGGTTCTAAGAATGTAAAGTAGTCATAGACTGTTTAAATGATCCATTGGAATTGACTGTTGGCTGGCAGAAGTTATCGAAGTTATCTGGAAAAGAAAAAAGCCATGGTTCTCCAATTTTCCCCTAATAGTACTATGTTGTTTAATTTGTAAATTATAATGATAAATAGCAAATATTTTCACTTTACTATTATCTCAATCTGAAATACTATATATGATGTGAGTTTCTAATGGGAGAATAAAAGAGAAGACTATCTGTATTCTACTTGGGCTACATAATTCATGCTACATTTAATTTTTAAAAATTCTACAGCTCTATATTTTTTTCTAAGTAGTTTAGCTTTTTAAAATTATAAAGCATTTTCAGTAGGAATATTTTATACTATCATAAAACATAATTCTTTCTTTTTAAATTCGTTGATATTATATTATGCTTTTGTATGCATTTTTACATTACATTATGCTTAAAAGCATAGTTTTTGTGTTTTATTTAAATTAAATGTCTCAATATACCCTTGCCTCTTTTAAAATACTATTGAATGTTTTCTAACGTGTAAAGAAAGACACTCTCTCCTGCATACACAGCTTGACATTTAGTTTGTCAACTTAATATATGAGAAAAGTGTAAACAGAATATGGAAATAATCACCATAAAATTTTTATTTTTTTAACTATTATTTGGAAATAAAATCAAATTTCTAAAATTATATTAACAAATTAAATATTTACAATTATTTTTCCAAGTATCAGAAGAATTAATGTTCAAGAATTAGCCCATAGAATTAACTTATTTGGTATGGCTTATAAATCAGTTTTCAGATGAATAACATGAATTTTCCCAAGTAATCACTCTTATTGCCATTCTTGTCTTAATGTGAAAATTTATTTTTTTGTCCACTGGTTTAAAGTCTTTAAATGTAGCTAATCTATTTGAAAATATCTTGAAAAATTGCTAGGCCAGTGAGATTCATAAATATCAAGTTACTGTCTTGTGAATTACATTTTTCTTAAAATGTTTGCTTTTACTATTTCACATGCACTTAAGGGATGAATGTTAAAGTTTTTGAACCTATGTATATAGCTTTCAGTTACTTTCATAAATGTATGTGTGCCTTTTTAAAAATCAGAAATTCAAGAGAATCCAATCAATACTTTCTATTACTTTATAGTTACAGAATGTAGTCAGAGTATAGATAAATGCTACTTTGATGATTATTTGCTGCATAGACAATGAAAATCAATGTTTCGTGCTCTATGAAAGTGAAAATAACTTAATTTTAGGAATTTCAAATAAGAGTAGATTTGTGACATAATTTTCCTAAATTTAGAAAGCTATTGTTAAAATATATGGTACAAAAAGTATAAGACGATGAATGTAGTAAACAATAATTTCCTTTCATAAATGATGTCATTGACTTATGGGAATTACTAGGCTGTACATCTGGTACTTAGTGACTAATACTGAGCAATCGAATCAGAAGATCTTAATTCAGTAAAACTGAGTAATCATAAGGATGTTAAGACTTCCTATAACAACTCAATCTAGCCTATGAAAAACATGGTTCTGTAAAATCAGAATACTTGTCTTTGAAATTTATTAATATATGTTTAGCACAATTTATTGAAATCTGTGGAAAACTAAAGTTCCCATTATTCTCATCACAAATAATTACTTAAAATTTAATGTATCAGGAGCCATGAACTAAAAAATATAAAGTAGTCCCTAAAATAAATAAGGTCTGAACAGAGACTCAAGAGGATAATCGAAGAGTCGAAACTTGGTAAACAACAGACTCTTACTTTATGACTAATCTTAGTCACTGATTTATATCTATATTTGTGTAAATTGAACTTTGGCGAAAATAGGATAAATTAATAAGGCAGTAAGGCTTCTAACAGTGACCTTGGGATATTCATTATAATTATGTTCCTTTGTATTCCTTGTCTTGAAAGGGAAGCCACGGGAGCTTATATTCTTGAAATACAGATTTTGCCTAGTCTTTCTGAGCCTTCATTTAACTATACTTTATTCTCCACTCCTAACTCTTTATCCTATCACTTACTTCAAGAAACAAAAATAACAGACATTTCAAAAATACATTCTCAATTTAATGTACATGACATTCTATTCTTGTTTTGTTTCTGCATTAATGAGAATTATTCACTCATAAATCTGTATCAGCTGTTGATGTGAAAATTACTAGAATTTTAAGACAAATAGAGTACCAGACAATGATATACAATTAAAATGCTTTATGATGAAAGCCATAAAATCTTGACATTACACCTATAGATTAATTAGAAGTAATGTAGGTAGTATTCTCTGTATATGCAAATAATTTATGCTGAACATGAAAGCAAATGGTTAGAAATGAAAATGTAATCTGCAAATTGCTAAGGAGATTTGATTTCAAAATCAGAAAGCCTAGATGACCATACTGCTTCCAAATCTGCTCTAGTATTTGCATACCAATTCTATGTATTTGGCAAGTTACGTGATTTCCCTAAGCTTTAGTTTCTTTTTCTGTAAAATGGATATAATAAAAATATCTACCCCAAAGTATCAGGTGAACCAAATATGAATTTATGCAAAGTTCTTACTACAGAGCTAGGCAGATAGTAAGCATTTAATAAAAGGCTGGCTAATCTTAATAAAAATAATACATTGTAAAACAATTTTAGTTATTTTATGTTTTGTACCATCTAGACATGTCAAAAATATAGATTACTATATTTGTTTTTAGATTCATGTGGTGTAATTAGATACTAAACTGCATATGCAGACTATTGTTTATCAACTGAATCTGTCACCATATTCATGCATGTGCTGGGTCTTTTGAAAGACCAATTATAAGCAACAAAAATACAATTTCAATGCTTATGCTTGCATGTTTACAATCTTGTTAGTACTCTGTTAGCAATGAAAATTACAATATTGAATTTGTTAATATGCTGGAAAACCACCATCCCATGTATGTTATTAAAGTCATGTTTAATTGTTTCTCTAAGTGTAAAAGACAAAACTTTTTTCAGTCATAATTTACAGTTTAAAAAGCTTTAATTTGGTATCATGAAAATGAAAATATGGTGATATGTTTTTTAATGAGAAAAGGAGAGAAAGACATAAAATGTAACCAATATGGCTAAATGAATTGAAGTAAAATAAGTTGACATTGTGTTTCATGAATAACAATTGCATAGTAATTAAAGAAAAATAATATTGTTGGTATAATTTATCATCTAGTATGTGGAACTCATGTTTTGACCATTAATTAATTAACTTGTTTTGCTGAAAAATGATATATTAAACTAGTTTTCATTTGAATTTAATTTTGTTCTATTTGTAAATATGCTTGGGATTTATAGTTCTATATAGCTATAAACATTAAGAGTTTATTCTATTCTGACTATAAACCATTTCCAACCTAGTGGTATGTTCTGAGCCATTCCAAACTTAGTGGTGAAAAAGAACCATCATTTTATTTTGCTCATGGATTTTGCAAATCAGGAATTCATACAGGCCACAGTGGAAATTGCTTGATTCTGCAAAAGCATTGGCTTATAGCTAAAACTATCTGGAGGTTTCTTTACCCAGGTTCTAGCGCTGAGATGAAACTAAGAATGGCTTAGCTGGGATTATCAACCAAAGTGCCTGCAGGTGACCTCTCAATGTGGCTTGGGCTTTTCAGACATGAGTCTTCAGACTTCTTACATTATGACTTAGAAATCCAAGACCAAGTTATCTAGGAAACAAGGTGCCTGATCTTTTATAATGGCCACACAAGTCACGCAATATTACTTCTGGTATACTCTATCAGTTACATTGTCATGGAGCACTCAGATTCAAGTGAAAGAGACCTAGACCTGATTTCTTGATGGGAGAAATGTCAAAGAATTTGCCACCATTTTTGAAAACTACACTTGTGTGCCTTCTGACCATAAATTGTTTATGCACATAACACACAGGAAAAATGAACTTACTCTCTTCCAAGACCCTCAAATGACTTGTAAGATCAAGTTCATACTACATAATTTCATTATTTAAATAGAACCAGATACAGTTGAGGCTCCTCAGATGCAATTTTTTTATTATTACAGTTCATTTAGATCCATCTGTCTCCTACCACTACCACATCTGACATTCAATGGTGGGATTACTTCAACAGACATTTTTTTTTTCCTAGAGTGAAAAAGAAGGTACATAAAAGTTGCTTCTAGTTCGTAACAATTCTGTAAACCAGCCAGCCCTACCTGCCATTATTTGATTAGGACCGAGGCCTGCTCCCTGAAAATGATTATCTGCAGCATGTGGCTCCACCTTGCCATTTGTATCATGTTCACATTTTAGTTTACTGCCCATAGACATTTGAGGCTATAAAGGCCTCTTTTTATTTTATATTGTTCACATCCCTTTCAATCTAGGCTGGATTCTACTAAAAACTCTGTCAGTGTTTTATGCATCAGTATAATTCAATTCATTAGGCAAAAGCCATATCTATAAATATCTTTCACTTATGCCTTTTGCTGTCTGTCTTAAGTCCCATTACTGTGTGGGACTGCTGTATGACGAAACCCTTAAGGTTCCTAGAAATCCTATTTAATAGTATCTCCAAGACTTGTTATCCTTAAAATCCTTGGGAGGTCTTATGTCTTCCTGAAACATACTTAAGAAAAATATTTTAACTCATTTTGGGATCTTAACACAGAGTTTTTCTCCCAAACATTGGCTTCATTTTTACCCCAAAGCCATGTTTTCTTGACAGCATTCCGGATCTGATCTTCGTCTTGATGTCTTTCTTTGAGATTCCTCTGCTGGCTGGAAAGACAGTTCTGGGTTCCCTGTGTGTTTTCTCTAAATTCTACTTGAAAACGAATGGTTTGTTCTTTAGTTTATCTCTCTACTCTAAAATTTTAGTATAAGAAGCTAGAAGAAGTCAGGTGCTACCTTTTAACATCATGACTGGAATTCTTACCCATAATAGGGATTCCATTAGGTACATTTCATTTTTTTTAATGTTACTACAATGCAGTGATGTGAAATTTTCTTCTACTGCATGACCAAAGTCCCCTTTCCTCAAGCTTCCAGCAACATTTTCCTCACTTCCATGTAAGCCTTTATGGATAGGTTCCTCAAGGACAGCAGACTTCTAAGTAATTGGTCCCCCAACTAGCATGATATAGGTTTTTTAATGAAACTCCCCTAAGATTTTTGTCCTATTCCCAAATTATCTTCCTGTTTTCTGTTTTTATATAGCAAACCCCCAAACCTTAATGACAAAAACAAACAAACAAACAAAACAAACAAACAAAAAAAACAAGCAATCTTCTCTTGCTCATGGTTCTGTGTCAAAACAGGTGCTGGAGAGGATGTGGAGAAATAGGAACACTTTTACACTGTTGGTGGGACTGTAAACTAGTTCAACCATTGTGGAAGTCAGTGTGGCGATTCCTCAGGGATCTAGAACTAGAAACACCATTTGACCCAGCCATCCCATTACTGGGTATATACCCAAAGGATTATAAATCATGCTGCTATAAAGACACATGCACACGTATGTTTATTGCGGCACTATTCACAATAGTGGGTTGGAACCAACCCAAATGTCCAACAACGATAGACTGGATTAAGAAAATGTGGCACATATACACCATGGAATACTATGCAGCCATAAAAAAGGATGAGTTCATGTCCTTTGTAGGGACATGGATGAAACTGGAAACCATCATTCTCAGCAAACTATCGCAAGGACAAAAAACCAAACACCGCATGTTCTCACTTGTAGGTGAGAATTGAACAATGAGAACACATGGACACAGGAAAGGGAACATCACACTCTGGGGACTGTTGTGAGGTGGGGGGAGGGGGGAGGGATAGCATTAGGAGATATACCTAATGCTAAATGATGAGTTAATGGGTGCAGCACACCAACATGGCACATGTATACATATGTAACAAACCTGCACATTGTGCACATGTACCCTAAAACTTCAAGTATAATAATAATAATAAAATTAAATTAAATAATGAAATAATACAATTAAATTAAATTTAAAAAAAGATTTAAAGACAGTATGGTAGAGAGAGCTTGCCTCTGCTTCATAATATATGCAATCTCAGCAGGAAAAACTGGACTATCTGGGAGTAACTTAAATGGCTGGATTGAAATGATCTGGACCCTTTTTTGTTCATGTATCTTGTACCTGGGCTGGGAAGACTCAAAGGCTAGATTCATCCAGAATTGTTGAGCGGAACTGCTATACAAGGTTTCTCCATTTGGCCTGGCTTTCTCACAGCATGGGATTTTTGGGGTATTCAGACTTATATGATGACTCAGTTCTTTAAAAAGCAAGAGTTCCAGCAAAAGGTAAAACCCACATAGCATTTCATTACCTAATTTGGAAAGCCACATAAGGTAACTTGCCACATTCTTGCATATGAATTAGTCACAAGCCTGAGCAGATTCAAAAGAAAAGACTAGAATCCACTTCTCAATGGGATAAGTGTCAAAAATTATGGCACTATGTTCTAAAACAACCATAATATATAAATCATACATATAAATAATAAGCAAATAATAGTGACTTCTTGTTTTTAGTATAGAAATAACTCCATGTACATATTCTTAAAATACATGCTTCACATATTTATTGTTGGAAAACTGATCTAGATTTTTCTACAAATATCCAACTTAACATAAATATTTCTTTAGTTTATATTTGGTTTGAATATGCAACACAGTCTCCAGGAGTGAGCTGATCAAAATGTGAATATATGGAATAATGTTATACACACTTGCAAATTTATCAGAAAGCAAATTAACTTTAAAAATCCAAAACAATACCAAATATATTGCCCTTTCTTTTTATTAGTCTTTCCAATTAATAAAAGTATAGTCTTCTCTTTCTGACTTATTTAACTATTCCAGTTTTTTATATTATATCTACTTTTTAAAAATTAGAAATTCATACAAGAAATTTTGGACAAAAGTATGTAAGTTGTTTCATATTAATCTTTTAATTAAAACAGCTTTCTGAAAGCATCAGGCAGCTAGAATTTTCAGGGCCAAATACAGAAGAAGAGAAAAGAAACACAAATTGACCAGTATTTTTCTCTGCCCTTAAGATTATACCTAGACCAGCTCTGGTACCTCACACCTGTAATCCCAGCACTCTGGGAGGCACAGGCAGGAAGATCATTTGGGGTCAGGAGTTCAAGACTAGCCTGGGCAACATAGCAAGACCACTTATCTACAAAATATATATAAATAATATATATATTATAATAATATAACTTATATATTATATTATGACTCATATATAAGTGTGGTGGCACACATTTGTAGTCCCAGCTACTTGGGAGGCTTAAATGAGAGGATGGCTTGAGCACAGGAGTTCAAGCTTGCAGTTAGCTATGATCATGCCACCACATGCTAGCCTAGGCAGCAGAGCAAGACTCTATCCTGAAAAGTAAATAAATACATAAAACCGTTTTTTATTCTGAAAGCTGGAGGTGAGAAACTAAGTAGGCAAATGTTTTAGTAGAATCAAAGATTTTGTTAAAGAAGAGGATACTAATAAATCCAACAGATTTTCCGATGAGACTCAGATGTACTACATCACAGGAGTCATAGCACTGCATTATAGAAATTTACCAGGTTTTGGAAGTACCAAAGGCCATATTTGATAAATTTTGCCAAATAAGAAAATGTTATTGCAGAATAGAAAACACAAAAAGATTACAAAACTGAAAATTAAAAATACAAAAACTGGAAAGACAGCTTGAGCTCAGGAGTTCGAAGCTGCAATGAGCTATAATGGCGACACCGCAGTCCAGCCTGGATGACAGAGCAAGACATGGTCTCTTAAAAACAAACAAACAAATATAATACTATAACTGAAACTAAGAAATTAATATGTAAACAAAGTTGAAGAGAGACTTAGTAAACCGAGAGATGAGAATATATCCTACTAAATAAAGCTACAAAGGATGCAAAGTGTGGAAGTTACACCAAAAACTATTAAGCAAACATATAGAAGAGTTTTTAAAAGTCTAGCATACATGTAATTCAGTTTAGAGATGGAAAGAAAGTATAAAATTGAGAAAAAACAATATTTGAAGAGATGACAGCCAAGAATTTTCCAAAACTGACAAAAGATAACAAATTACAAATTCCAGAAGTACTACATATACCTAAGTAAGATAAATACGAAGAAAACCACATCTAGTGGCAAAATTTACATTAGCTTAAAACTAAACATAAAGAGAAACTTTTATGACAATCAGAAAAAATTACATATTAGCACCAAAGGAAAAAAGTCAAAAGCAAAAAAGTCAAATCAGTGACTTCTCAATAATAAAGGACCATCACAGGAAAAGGGAATTACTATATCTTCAAAATGCTGAAAAACATTTTTAAACTCAAAATCTATATCCATGAAGCTTATGCTAAAAAATTGGTCATAATTTTATAATTTTTATGTAGGCAATCTTTTTGCAGAAAACAAAAACCTCAACAATAAAATAGAAAAATATATAAAAGATGACCTTAACAAAAATTATGAATTTCTGTTAATCAAAAGCTATCATTAGATAAACAGACAAGCTATACAGATCAATAGAAAATGTTTGTAATACTCATACCTTAAAAAAGACTTTTATGAATACCCTAAAAATACTCCTAATAGTCAGTGATAGAAAAACAAGCAACACAACCAAAAATGGTTAAAAGACTTGAATAAACACTTCATAAAAAAATATTTTTGGTTGGCCAAAAGCTCATGAAAATGTGCTAACATTATAAGCATCAGGTCAATGCAAATTAAAATTACTACGAGATTTCATTTTACACACAATAAAAGGCTAAACAAACAAAAAGACTGATATTGCCAAATGTGGAGAGGATGTGGAGCAGCTAGAGTTGAAGTGTAAATGTTACACCACCTTTGGAAGACTGGCAGTTTCCTATATGTTAAATAGACACATGACTAAATAATTCATTTCTGGGTATTCACCCAATAAAAACATATGTTCACACAAAGACTTGTGCAAGACAGCCATAGCCATCTTATTTATAATATATATAAAATGGAAACAACTCAAATGTCAATTAATAGAAAATGGATAAATGGTGATATATTCATTTAATGGAATAATATTAAGTGATTAACAAGGAACAAACCATTTATGCAACACTGAGGATACATCTCAAAAACATTATATTGAGAGAGAGAAGGTAAATACAAAAGAATATATACTATGTGATTTCACTTATATGAAGTTCATAAAACAGGTGAAATTAGCCTAAATGGATAGAAATAAGAAAATTTCAGTATTCAGACCTGAAGGAGGATTAGATTATCCTAATCTAAATAAAGATTAGAAACTTTATTTCTTCTTCATCACCCCCCTTTTCCATTTTTAATCAAGTTAGAGATTTTAAAGTATTGCTAAAGTCAGCTGTCCTTTCACCATTCTGTTATCTAATAATAAAGTAGAGCAATAAACCAATTTTTTTTCAAATCCAGTTTCAGAGTGATTAGACAAACTGATCTCACACTAGGAAACAGCTTGAAGTGATGTAAAGTTGGGTATGTAAAGTAGTTTGAACTTAAAAAATTTTTTGTTACATAAATATATTTTAATGAATAAAAAATACAGATAAATGTATAGTCTTTAATCATTACAGAAATTGAATAGGCGGTTAATCCTCCCCTCACTCCCCAGCAAAGAAAACTGCAATTTATACATACTGACACAGAAGTGAAAGTAATGTTTTCCAACTTAGTTTAAGAATGTAGCTTTAATACCAAAACCTGACAAGGACAACACAAGTTCCAAGCCATTCCTCTCGTGAATATAACTTTTTAAAATTATAAGTGAAATATTAGCAATTCACTGATGGTATGTGGGGGCTGAGAGGAGGTATAAAACTACAACTAAGCTGGGTTTATCCCAGGAATATAAGGTTTGTTTAATATTTAAAGATCCTTCAATATAATTCACTGTATTAAAAGAACATAACAGAAAACTCATATTTTAGGTATTCAAAAAGAATCTGGTAATATCTTTTTCATGACATAAAAGTCTTTGTAAACTAGAAATATAAAGGAACTTCCTACAAATGATCTGTAGAAAATGTAAGATTAATGGTGAAATAGTGGAAACTTATTCTTTAAAGTTAGGAAGGAGACAATGCTATCTGATATCATTGCTTCTTATTTGAACATTACTAGATACTTTTCCTAGTCAGTTAAAAAAAAAAGAGAGGTGGTCAAGTGACCATTGTTTCTCTATAGTGTCAAAGCTTTTCTGCAGTATCACAGAAAAATATCCACAATTATCTGAAAATGACATTAAAACAAACTTTCCTTCCAACTACATAAGATTAAACTTCCTTAAAGTATTCAACCAAACAAATGTAGCAACAGATTGAATTAAGGAGCTGATGTAAATATTTCAAATTTCTTCTATTACTTCTATTAAAGAGATTTGCAAAAATGTTAACAATGCCATTCGGCTATTTTTGTTTTGGAAAATATTGTTATTTTCCATAAAATATTTATGAAATATTTATGATAACATATGATTTCATTATTATATTAAATAAACATTTTTAAATAGTTTCTATTTAATTTCTAATACCTTCAATATAAATGAATATAGATATTCATTTAGTAATAATTTGTTGCTTTATACACTTATGATGTGTATATATTTATATGTGTATATTTTATTTCAATATAGTGTGGTAAAATATAAAAATATTCAATGTGGAAATTATGATTTTATGTCACAGAAGAGGATATTCTAGCTTTTCCCATTAAAATATCTTACTTTTAGATTATACTAAAAATTTTTGATTACCATTTTCGAAAATGAATAGGGCCTTTACCTCTAAGACTAGAAACTGGATTTCTTCTTCATTATTCCTCTTTTCTATATTTAATCAGAGGTAGGGATTTAAAAGTATTGCTAAAGTTCTCATAATTTTTAATGAGGTAATTATTTGGCTACCCTTTAAGCATTCTGTTATCTTCATAAGAGAGTAATAAACCAATTTTTTAAAAATCCAATTTCAGAGTGGTTGGACAAATGGATCTCACTTGAGATGATTACCAGCAGGGGAGATATTATTTCAATACAATCAAAGACTACCAATGGAACACATGGAAATATACCCTGCAATTCTTTTAGGTCCTAGTCCTAAGATGTCAAGCAAAATGAGCCAAAGTCTTGAAGAAAAAGAAAAGATGGATTGTGCATGGAGAACACATATTTATTTCCTACCATAAACTAGGAACTGTCCATATGTATATTAATATTGTCAATAACATTATGAAATAGGTGGGGATTTTTCCTGCTGCTGTTAAACAGCAGAGAGTCTGTCACATAACTATTAATGATCCAGCCAGAGAGCAAATAAAAATCTGCCTATTGCTAAGGCTGGTGGCCTTCTAGTTTATCATAAATGCATCATGGTCACAAGAAGTGTTTTAAAGATGGCAAATCCCTAATCATGACACAGTTATTATTCTGCTGTCACTGGAATTATAAACTTAGAAAAGTAGTAACCAGGTTGACACGCCACCTGAAAAAAAATTCAATGTCAGTCAACACTGAGGATCCTTGGTGCCCTCAAAATGATCCATAGACTAAAATATATGAGAACTAGTATTCTAGAAGATATTTCCTTAGCCAAATTCTTGTCTTCTTTCATATAATCACATTTCAGTAAATTTATCCTTCAGATGATCTAATTCTCTCTGGATATATGTGACTTTTCACTTGGGTCTGCAGATTTGGACAAACTTATAAGGGTCATATAATATATTTCCTTTTTAGTTTGTAGCAACTTGGTCAGATTAAATATCTAGAGGTAGAAAATAAAACTAGAAAGGCTTTTTTTTTACTTTTTAAAAAATTTTTTATACTTCGAACATTTTCTCTCATGATTCAGTATTAACTTTCACTTAACAGCAATCTCAAAAGTATGCCTCTTAGTCAGTTCCCTAGGGAAAATGGTAAACCAATAAAAACAGAGACAGTATAATCATTTTTGGCACGAGAGCATAACTTATTTGAACAGATCAGGAAGCATCAATAAAATATAGTGACGCACAAGATAAATGGAAATGTGATATACTGTAGAGTTATAGACTAACAAGTGTCTCTTCTCCTAATATACATGTCAATCTAGCAAGGCGATGGTCTAAAGCTCTCTGATGTCTATCAGGTCACGGGGTCATCCTGGGAAAACATGGTGCAGATTATGTAGAAATCTGTAAATAGAACAGTGCAAATAAAGAGAGGGATTTATATCTTCATGTGTTTCAAGAGATAATGTTTCAATTGGAAAATTATAGTATTTGGGCCTTGTGGGGAATGTCACAGTTTCCGGATTTAAAAAATACCTTTGTTGAAACAGCCATTTATGAAATACCCAAATCCTTGATTTAAAAACAAAAAATAGAAAAACAGAAAGAAGAAAGGAGAGAAAACCCCAGATTTTGTACTGCATTTTTCAGAACATAAAGTAAGAGAAAAATTAACTACACCTTCTGAGATAATATCTGTGTGAAATGTTAAGCCTCAAACCAATTGATTTCTAGCAAAAGGATTAATAGTTGATATGTTAAATTTTCTCTCTATTTCAAATGCTTAAATGTGAAAACATTCATTAATCTTATCTTTGGCAAGTAGATGAATTAAATATATAGATTGATAAATAATGTTTGGCAGGCTCCAATTTTATTTGATTACCATATCATTACCCACAAGACAAATTATATGCTACCATTAAAATATCTGTAATCAAAAAACTTAATAAGTATAAAGTTTATTACATTTATCAGACTTTTTTAAGAAGAAAATCTAAGCCTGAAAACTTTTTAATTATGCATCTTTCCTGAGGCAATATATTATATATATGGTTTTTCAGTTCAAAATGTAAACCCACATCAAGGAACTCTTACTGACTTCACTTCTGAACCAGGCATTTCTCGGCACTAGGAAAGAAAGATAAACAGGATACCATGCCTGCCAGAAGAAAACTTACAGTGTCATAGGAAAATGAGGAAGCAAAAGTAATTTAAATTTACTATGGTAATTTAGGTGAGAGAGATTTGCACTGAAGAAATGTAGTTAATTAAGTTTTTAAATAATTAGAAAGCTCTTCCTTGCGGAAGTAATACAACAGCTGAGTCTAAATGTATTATACTGACTCATCGAATTAGAAATGAAGTCCCTTCCAGGGAAAGAAAACAGCATGAACAAAAGCAGAGAAGTGTGAAATAGCATAGTGCGTGCACTAATGTGTGTGTGTGTGTGTGTGAGAGAGAGAGAGAGAGAGAGAGAGAGAGAGAGAGAGACAGTCCAAGTATGAGGGAAGAGGAAGGGAATAACAGATGATGCAGCTGAAATAGCAGATCATGATGATCTTACGTGATTTTTGTTAATGGATGATACAATCAGACTTATGTTTTAGACTCACTCATTTGTGTGTATTGCAAAATTTTGAGAGGTACAAGCTGATGCATGAATCACATGGGACTCTGCAGTTACTCAGGGATAGGTAATAAGAATCCAAGATAAAGCAATATATATACAAATGGAACAAAATGGGACCTTTTTTTTTCATCATATGCAAGTGATGAAAAGTGTAAGACTTGATACTTAATTAGATGTAACTAGTAAGAGCGAGGGGTAGCCTGGTTAGCTCCCCAATCCCTATCTTAGGTGTTATATAGATGGAGGTATCACTAAATGAGATGGAAAATACAGGAAGAATACTAAGACTTGTGATTTAAAGGAGGAGAGAACAGTGAATAATGATGTGAGCGTGGGTTACATGTGAGACATCCAAGTGATATGCACTGGGTAATTTTATATATTTTTTCTAAAGGTCAAAATAGAGATAAGGTCAAGAAATAAATATCTGGCATAAAAATAAGCCCAGGATTGTTAGCTACAATTTAGAATATAATTAAGATGGTCTAAGAAAAAAAGAAAACTTTTTCTTAAAAAGCTAGTATTTGAAAGGGAGTTCTAGAATGACAACACTGCAATGGAGAATGGGAAAAAATATACATATATATATAAAGCAACCAAGAGAAAGGGTTTCAGAAAACTAAAAATACAGAGTTCAGCCATTGATTTTACATCATGAAAGTTATTGGCTCATGTTCCTTTACCAGGATAGAGTGACTGGGCTTGAAAACAGTTAACAGTTGGTTAAAAAATTGGTAAGAGGTGAAGAACCTTGAAGAATGACTACTGGTCCTCTCTCAAAAGAACTATTCTAAAAAGGGAGGGAGGCAGAGAAAAGAGGAATCCCCTACACCTCCACTGTAGAGGAGGGGAAGAGAGAGAGAATTAGAATTACTTAGAATTTAAGAATAAAAAGAAGTTATTTAGAATAGGATTTAAGAATAGAAAGAAGTTATTTAGATTAGGAGAAACTGTCAATGAAGCTGATAAAGAAGAGAACGGATAAGCAATGGTTTAAGCTCCCTGAGAAGAAAGGACATGGAACCAAGAGCTTGAACACAGAAACTGGCCTCCGTGGGGAAGGCCCCTCAAATTCTGAGAAGAAAAGAAAATATTACAGTAGAGTAACATAGATAACTTGGGCTGTGGGATGGGATTGAATTTGAGTCATATGTGACTGTGCATCTCAATTTTTTAAAGGAAAACAGGAGAGGAGATTAAAGAGAATAGATTTGATTTGGGAGCTTAAAGAAACCAGTGAAAACTATGACAAAGTATGACTGTAGGAAAGAGTTTTCCTTTACCCTCTTAGGCTCTATGGCTGGGCAAGAGAAATAAACTGACAAAAGACAAAATAACAGGAAAGAAGTGTAGACATTTATTTAATGTCTTTACTTGCATATGAAGGGCTGTATATATAAAAAATGAAGAGCCCAAAAGTAGATATGCCTGAGACAGCTTATATACCATTTTAACAAAGAGTGATAAGTTGTGGAGACATGAGAAAACAAATTAAAAGAGAGAGAGATTTAGCTAGGAGCAGTAAATTGGAGGAAAATGACTGGGAAATATATAAGGAAAACTAATTGAAGATAAGGGTTATTTTACTAGATTTGTTTGTACAGATTCATCTTAGCACCAACTCCCCAGCTCCAGTGATAAAACAAATATTCTCTCCTTGGTACAAGGACTTCTTTTTCAGAAACTCATGCCCTACTTTTCGGTAAAAAGGGAGAAGTAAGAAACCCTTTCCTGCATCTATCTTTTCTCAATTGCCTTCAGCTCAAAATAATAAATATACCAAAATGGCATATTTTGGGGTAACATATTCTGATTCCCTTCAGAGCTAAAAGTAAAAAAGGTAAAGAAACATAGAGGCTATAGTGGAAGTGAACTTTTCTATTCTACATTTTTAATTAGAACTTTCAATCCCAATGTCAAATTCAGCATAATTTCAGCACATCTCCCCATTCAAAGGATAATTTAAATAACTCAAAAATGTAAATAAATGACAAGAACTATAAAGATGTTGGTAGAAAAAGAAAACACAAGGCAGTCCAGAGACTATGAGAACTCTTGGAATATCTAAAACAAATGGAATTATGAGAGAAATAGAAAAAGGAATACTACAGTCCTGAAATTAAGAGCAACAGGGCCTGTAAGAAGTTTCATGCTGAGAGTCAATAAACTTAAGATCCTTGAGTAAGGTTTCTCGACTACTAATCATAGTCATTAAATGGAACTTCATTTTGAACAGCTCAACCAGATAGGTCCAGGGGGTTTTACCCTCAGCCTAGAAACCAAGAACTGCTATGAAAGCAAAATGAAACATCTGCCCTGGGAGTTATGCAAATATGGGTGTTGCAGACTAGGAATCATTTGGAAACTCACCTTGAAGTAGCTCTAGAGTCTTGACCAACATACTCCGAGATAAATAAAAGCAAAGATAGCTTTACCCAAGAGTGAAATACAATGAGTACAAAACTCTTCTTGGATTGGTAATGGTGGAGACCATAGCTTTCCAACTTGCTGCACATGTACACACACTGAATCCTAACCAACAGTAAGCACTGATGTAGAGCCCTCAGATGTGCTCCTCTACAGAACATGCCTATTGGAGAAATTTACCTGAACCAAAGCAGAGGAAAATTATAGCAGCTACCTAGATAATTAACCCAGCCCTTCATTTTCAAATATAAATTAGTAAGTAGACAAGGATCATCAGATGAAGAAAAGGACAAAACTAAATGAAAGGAAGCAAGATAAACTGAACTGGAAAACAAAAATAATTCAACAAAGAAAAAAGAAACTTGTTTCAAATTTGTGATTAGTGTAACAATAGATAATTAAAATAATATTAACATTAATATTAATTAAAGGTGTACTATAAATTCTTAATATGTAATTAATATCTAATTTTATAAATAAGAATAAAATGTAATTTTCATAGGCGTCCTTTTATAGATACCATTTGGTAGATAAATAAATTTTGCTACAAGTTCAAAGTGAATTTTTTCTAATGCAAATGGTATTTAAGTATAGTTGAAGCCAAAATATTAATACCTACCTTAGGCAAGATTAGATGTAGGCAGAGAAAGATCATTTATTCTAGCCTGGGTGCGATGACTCACACCTGTAATCTCAGCACTTTGGGAGGCTGAGGTGGGTGGGTCACCTGAGGTCAGGAGTTCGAGCCCAGCCTGGCCAGCATGGTGAAACCCCATCTCTACTAAAAAATACAAAAATTAGCCAAGCGTGGTGGTAGACACCTATAATCCCAGCTACTCGGGAGGCTGAGGCAGGAGAATTGCTTGAACCTGGGAGGCGGAGTTTGCAGTGAGCCACGAGTGCACCACTGCACTCCAGCCTGGGCAATGAGAGCAAAACTCTGCCTAAAAAAAAAAGAATAAAAAGAAAGATCATTTATTTTAAAAGAAAATAACTTTTATCAATATAAAAAAGTCATTAAGATGTGTCCATTTAAATATGAGACTTTTATTACAAGAAAATTTTAGAAGTGAGCAACAACTAATGAGATTAGAAAAACTTAATTTTATTGAAGTATAGATTTTGTGCCCACTTAAAAGAAAGGAAAATGTTTTTAACTTGTGTTTTTTAACAGCAGTTTTAGTTCTATGATAGTTAAGCTCACTTGGAGTAGTAAAATATGAAGCAGGCTGGAATATGAAGATGCCACACTGTCCTGGGTGCTTTTTTAATTTAATTTTATTTATTTTTATTTTTTGCAACACAGAGCGGGCAACCTATGCTACATGTTTTGGCAATGCTATTTTTTGTTACATCTCATCAGGAGGCACATAACATAAGGTTGTTCCATTTTTACTGATGTTAAGATTGATGATGGGGCCTGGGAAAATTCCTGAGACCCAGGTGCAAGCTATACCAATTAAATCTGAATATCCAGAGTTGGTGGTCAGGCATAGTAATTTTTAAAAGATACTCAGGTGATGCCAATATGTGTGTGGCAAAGTTTGGAAAACAAAAGGTCAAAGTGATTCTAGCCTCATCTATTCATTTATATAAATCGCCATTAACATTTAATTCATGGTTTCAGTGTAATGATTAATGCTTAGATTCAATATTCATTAGGGTTTATAAATGATGACTTATCAAAGTTCTATCTATTTCTGAACTCATTAGCTGGACTTCTATAAAGAAATTTTTGTCATCAACTATTTGGTTACCCTATAATACAGTTTTTACAAGAAATCCAGATAAATTTGTTATATTCATGGCTATCTTTTTATTCTAGAAATATACTGGATAACTGTAGTCCATAAGTGACCCAAGGCCTCTTTTTGTATTGCCTACAAGCTGAAATTGCTTTTCATTTAAAAAAAATTTTTCAAAGGGTGTTAATAAAAACAAGAAAAGACTATGCAACAGATAACAGTATGCAGACCTACAAAAGAAATGGAGGAAGAGGAAAGGGAAGAAAAAAGAAAAGAAACAAGAAAGAAGAAAGCAGAAGGAAGAAGTAGAAGAGACTGATGTGAATCCCAAAGTCTAAAATTCTTATTATGTGGTCTTTCATGGAAAACATTTGCCAGTCCCTGGTTTAGAATAAAGAGTTTGTGTCCTTATAAATTCTCAATGGTAAAAATAACCAGTATGTGTGTTTCATGATAAACTCATAATTTTTAACATTGCAGCTATTATTTTTTCATGCTGTATCTCTCTTATATTTTAGTCCAGTAGGAACACTTTCACATAATTTTTAGTTTTGTTTAGTTAGTTTAGTCTTGTGATGTTAACTGGAGTCCAGCAATATTTGATAGCTTCCTTTGTTTCTGGCAGAAAAAGTTCTAGAAACATCTGACCCTTTTCCTGCTCCAGAGCTGGAACCAGCCATTTCATCAAGGAGTCCTCCTTTCCTTTAGTGGGAAATTATATTTAGAGATGAAAATCTGGGTGATAATGGAATACTATGCAGCCATAAAAAGGAATGAGATCATCTCCTTTGCGGGGATGTGGATGGAGCTGGAAGCCATTATCCTCAGCAAACTAATGCAGGAACAGAAAACCAAACACTGTATGTTCTCATTTATAAGTGGGAGCTAAACAATGAGAACACAGGGAGGGAACAACACACACTGGAGCCTGTTGGGGGTTGTGGGGAGTTGGGGAGGGAGAGCATCAGGATAAATAGCTAATGCCTGCGGGGTGTAATACCTAGGTGATGGGTTGATAGGTGCAGCAAACCACCATGGCACACATTTACCTATGTAACAAGCCTACACATCCTGAACATGTATCCTGGAACTTAAGTTGAAAAAAAAACAAAATCTGGGTGATAGAGGCACTAATTGCTAATGAGTTATTTTTGCTTATAGCCTACAATTGTTATTGTTTCTATGCCTTTTCAACAAGTTAGATAATGCATATTTATTTTAGAGATGTAAAATATTAAATGTCTCTGATATTTCCAAATTACATTTAAGTCACTTTATTTTATATTTCCTTTCTCTTATGCTGAAAGCTTAATTCCTAACAATATAAACATAATTTCTTATTTGATTTATTCTATATTACAATAACAGCAACATTATTAATATACTCAGTTCAAATTACCTAGCCTTGTTTTATAGGTGATTCTGTTTAAAGACATCTCATGTAAAATATAGTGTTGATTCATTAACACTGAACTTCTAGCCAACCGCGGTGTAACTCATGCCTGAAGGAAGCCGATGTGACACATCTATTTTCTGTGTATGGCACATCACAGCCATCTTGCAGTCAGGAACATCTGTGTATGACCATCTGTGTATGGCACATCACAGAACATCTTGCAGTCAGGAATGTAGACAGCATTGCGGCACTACGCTTGGGGACCATTTTAAAAGCAAAGTCACCAACAACAAGCACAAGAATGTGAAAATGTGGCATTAAATAGACCACAAAAATGACACTGTTTATAGTACAACAACTGAAACAAGAAAGTAGAGTGTCTCCTTAGTCAGTGTCTACTGGGAATAAGCACCTTGGGCAATTCAATTTTTCTGCCACTCTTACTGTCTGCAATTAACTGCCTGAATGTCTGCAAAGGACTGTGAAAGTTTTGTGAATGTTGATTTGGAGGTTACAAATACATTTTAATGTGTAGGTGGATTCTCAAATATGGAATCTGTGAATAATGAGGATTGGCTCTGTGTGAAAGATTCATAGGTAACATATATACAGAGAAAAAATATGATGCTGGAAGAGTGAGGAAGGGTAATATCAGACTGACTTCTCAAGATTAGAAGCTTTAGCCTGTAGGAATTTTGCCATGAGACAGGAGCATTCAAGGATTTTTAAGCTGAGGGGTGATAAAATGGTATTTCTGTTTAATAATAATCACTCTATATATTGTGGGAAGGAGAGTGGTGAGGCAGAAGTTGGAGACTATCAGACCCCAGCGATGATCCCAGTAAGAAGTCATGAGGCCTCTACTAAGGAAGTGGCAATGGGCATGATGTGAAGGGGGTGGCCATGGCGAGTGCTTCAGTGTGAAGGACAAGAGAAGAGAAATCAAAGATGACCTTCTGGGTAATCAAGGTGCCATGTCATGGGACAAAATTTCAAAGAGTCAGAACCAGTTTCAACAGGGGAAAATGCAAAATTAAGTTTAGCCAGGTTGAGCTTTAGTTGCCTAGAGGTTATCTAGGTGTAAATTTCCAGAAAATATTTATAGATAGAAATCGGTTTTTAGATAACATTTAAGTAATAAGTTGAGGCCTGAGAACTGAATTTAAACAAAACAAAACAAAAATAAAATAAAACTAAGAGGTTAAAGAAGGTAGAATATACCAAAAAAAAAAAAAAAAAAAAATTCAAGCAGCCAGAATGCTAAGAAGGCAAGTAAAAGTAAAACATTTTCATGAAAACTAAGCAAGAGAAAGTTTCAACAACGAAGAAGTGGATAATAATGTTAATTATGGCAAACAAGTATAACAAGATAGGCTTGGTAAGACATAAAAGAAATTTGGCAATTAAAGACATGGTGACTCTAGCAAGGAGAGTTTCACTATAATACAAGCCAGATTTCTTTTAGGTTGAGAGAGAAACGTGGTAAGAAAATCTAGACAACCTATTGGTGATCAAGCACTTAGATTCAAGTACATCATTCAAATTTCAATTCTGCCACTTGAAAGCTGTGGTAGCCTTTGATAATTTGTTCAGTGTCTGTTTTTGTTTTGTCATCTGCAAAACCCATCCAATAATAGTACTTAATATATTTGAATACTGTTTTGAGAAGGAAATAAGTGAATGCATGTGAGGTAATTAGAAAATTTTAAAAAGTTTTTAGCCCAAGTAGAACTAAGATGTGAAACATCATAATGTACGGTATAAAATTTATTTTAAAATGAGGATACTAAAGATGAATATGTACAAGGAATATTATGAAGGCTCTTTGAAGGCATATTTCAAAGGTAAAAATAAACATTGGTTTGTGAAATTGAATTACATAACGTAATTAAACATAAATTAACATAAAAATTAGTAAGATAAATTTCTAGAAGTGATGACCTGAGGCAAAATAAGCACTTAATAACATAAAAAAGATAGACTGTGATAGCATATTTTTCTGATAAACACACTGTCAAAAGAAATACAACAATCCAAAGAGTATGTTGGCATACACACACACACACACACACACACACACACACACACACACAATGTATTTTCTGGAGAAGAAGGAAGGCATATAATCTCTATAAATATCTTTTTGCAGTAGTCTCACTACATACGTATTAAAATAGCCAAAACTTGGAGCACTGGCAACACCAAATGCTGGTTAGTATGTGGAACAAGAGGAACTCTAATTAATTGGTCGTGGGAATGCCAAATGGTACAACCACTTTGAAAGACAGTTTGGTGGTTTCTTAGAAAATTAAACAACCTCTTACCATATATGATTCAGCAATCATACTCCCTGATATTTACTCAAAGGTGTTGAAAACTTATATCTGCCCAAAAATCTGCACATAGATATTTATAGCAGTTTTGTTAATAGTAGGCAAAACTTGGAAACAAACAAGATGTCCTGTAGTAAGTGAATGGATAAATAAACTGTGGTACATCTAGACAATGGAATATTAATTAATGCTAAAAAGAAATGAGTTACCAAGACATGAAAAGGCAGGGAAACTTAAATGCCTATTACTAAGTGAAAGAAGCCAATCTAAGAAAATTACATACTGTATTATTTCAACATATGACATGGAAAAAAAGAAACTCTACAGACAGTGAAAAGAGCAGTGGTTGCAGGGGTTGAGTGGACAAAGAGGGATGAATAGGCAGAACACAAAGGATTTTGAGGGTAGTTAAAATACTCTATATAATAATATAATGGTGGATACATGTCATTTTACATTTGTCTAAACCCATAGAATATATAACACCAACTATGAACTCTGGTGTAAACTATGGACTTTGGGAAATTAGGATGCGTCAATATGGCCTTATGAATTATAACAAATGTACCACTCTGTGGGAGGACGTGCATGTGTGACAGAAAAAAGTATATGGGTAATCTCTACTTTTCTCTCAATTTAACTAGAAACCTAAAACTGTTCTTAAAAAGGTTTTAAAAAAATAAAATTTTTTAAAAAGTGTAGTCCTTGTTTACCATTAAGCAAAAACAGACAGCAGAAAGTTTAATTGGGTTATATACTTCATTTTCACAAAACCAATGTTTACTTTTAACTTTGAAATCATGTTGTCTTCAAAGAGCCTTTATAATATTTCTTGTATATATTCAACTTCAGCATTACCATTTTAAGAGGCATTCTATACCATACATTCTGATGTTTCACATCTTAGTTTAACTTAGGCTTAAAATGTTTTCAAAAGTTCTAAATTTAAAAAAAAAGGATAGATTGTACCTTTATTTGATTTCTACTTTAATAAAAATGTTAGGTTTCATTTATTTATCCTTTAACATCATGAAGTGTTGAAATTTTTTTTTAATGGTGTGGTTTTTCTGGATGCTACATTACCGTGAAACTGCAATGTTTTAAGTGTGAAAGCATTAGAGTTTCAAGTTTGATTTGGCCTGAATGTTTTTCTTTGGCAAACCTTCAACTTCAAAAACATACATGCTTATTTGTGGTTTCTTATGGTTTTGAGCCTCTTTGGGGAAAGAGTTTGGCTTAATATGGTTAAAACTATCTGTGTGGGGTGCTGGCAGGTACAAGGGGAAACACAGAAGAAACTGACTAAACAAAGGATTTTCCAAAGATGTCCCATCCCAGGAGGAAAAAAAAAAAATCATTCTTTTAACCATGTTAAAATACCCATATTAGGTACAGTTCATACTTGACAAAATTGTGCTTAATGTTTATTTTAGCTAGATTTGCCTTGGTATTAATCCAAGCTATTCAGTTTTCTTTTTTTGGAACTTACTGTTAGAATTATCTTTACATTAAAAAATGTCTCCTCTCTCCTAAGCAATCCACAGTTGTCCCACCAAACTTTAAGCTCAATTTTCCCAAATACATAATTATCAGCTTTCTCCTACCATTCCACATCCTCCTACATAAATATATTTTTATCATTATGGGAGTTCAGAATCTTTTTTTATTCTTTCACTATAATAATTCAACAAAAAATGGGGGGGTAGCTAATACATATTGTACATTTTCTGTAGGGATTGGTGACAGACATGAAGAAAATCCATTCAAAGATTCCACTATGGGACATTCAATCTAGAAAAGAGCCAAATAAAAAAAATTTTTTTGGAGATATAATTATAATTAAATTCTTGTAATGAGGCATGGTGAGAGTGATTCATAAGCAGACCTACCTTGTCTAAAATGAGAAAGCAAAGCTAAATTCTGGAAGTAAAAAGGGAAACTGTAGGTGAGAAGACCTTTTAAAACAGTAGGTGCAAAGACCACAAGGAATAATGACCTCAAGTCATTCTGAAGCTATACCAAGGTCAGTAAGGCTGGAGTTAAAGAATTGTTGACAGGTGAAGGAGGTGAGATGATATGTTGAAGTAAATACAGAGATAAAGGTAAGGATTATATCATGCAAAATTTAATACCTATCAAGATAATTATTGTGCTTTTTAGGCACTGTTCCAAATTTACTATCATTTAAACTCATTTAATCTTCACAATAACCTCATAATGTGTATATATTTTTTCTCCATTGTATAGAAGAAGAAACTTGGCACTGAGAGTTAAAAACTTGCCCAAAATTACATAGTTGGTAAGCAGGAGAACTAGGATTTGAAGGGGCTCCAGAGGATGTTTTCTTAGCCAGAGTTCTACAGTCTCACTAGCTGGACTGCTGGGCAATGCTAAGGACTTAGCCTTAGTTTCTTTTACATATACACTGTTCTAAAGCCATTTTTAGAAATGGCATGAAAAGCTACTGAAAACTTTCAAGAAAAGAAGTAATATGATTTTTTTTTTTTTTACTTAAAAAATCACCCTGATGGTTTATTCATGAGTAGAATTAAGGAGCTGAATGTGTCTACTACAGTTACTAGGTGTGCAATAATGGTGGTTTAGACTCGGTTGATGGCATCAGAGATGTAGAAAAGTGGGCAGATCTGAGAGCTATTAAGGATTTAGAATTAAAAATGATTGGTGATTGCTTAGATTTGGGGCAGGGTGATATCATGAAAATCTTTTAGGTTACCCTCATAAACAACTTTCATTCCTACATTATAGAAAATACAGCCCCCTTGCCCAAAAAAGTAAATATACTAACACATGCATATATACATGGCTATTGTTTACATACTTCATGAGACTAAGAACAACATAAAGCACAAGCAATAGACACACAGGGTTCATGGATCTCAACTTAAGAAGTGCTGCCCTATATATCCTCCGCACTGTAGATTACCTGTATCACAAAAGCATCACAGGGTGGTTACAAATTTCTTGAGATGACAGCAGAGTTAAGTTTCAATGCTTAGAGAACACAGCTAGATCACCAGAAATTTGTCCAAATAGTGAAAGCAGAGTGAAAGCAGAGTTGAATGGAAGTTAAGTATGGATCCAATTCAATAGCAGAAAACACCTAGTCTGCCAAGTAAACTACAGAACCAAAATCCAAACAGTATATTCCATATTTAAACCAGCAAGCAAAACTTAGAAATCAAATGCCATGATTCCAGAGTTTGTGTGACTGCTGTGGTAGATACTCATGAAAGGGCATAGCTAGGTGTTCCAAAGTTTTTCTTGACTATTCTTCTAGGTAACATATTTAGCCTAGTGCCATAAATTTATAATCAGTTTACAAAATTCCTTTAAAGAGTTACTAAAAATCTGACTCTCTTTTCTATTTCTACTGTAACTGTCCTATTTCACTAGACTATAAGTTCCATGTTAGCAGGGATATTTGCCTACTTTGTTCACCTCCATGTTGTCAGCATTTAGAAGAGAGCTCACATCACAGTAGTGCCTCAATAATTATTTGTTTAAAAATTGGTAAGTTTCCCACCTTCTTTGTCTTGCGTATAAGCAAACAAAATAGCATCCTGCTCAATCTCACCTTAACTATACATCCTGAAAGTGTCCAAAAGATACAACATGAATAAATACATTTTTGTCTTACCCTTCCAACTGTGATGGACTAAATTATAGGAGACAAATCCTCCTTCTGAGAATAACTATAAAAACTAAATGAAATAGAAATATATCATCTGTTAGGAAACATTAGAAAAGCTACAGTGGCAGACAGGACTTGAGGAGTTATGCTGTAGAGATAGAAAACCACAATTAAGGTAAGCACAACATTTTTCATTAATTTTCAACTCAAAGGATTACACATATGTAACAAGTGCTAGTACAGGCTTATCAATGGCTTCATACTTTTGGAAGGCTGAAGATAGGCAGAAAATAGAGATGAGCAGTACAAGGTAGCCAGAAAATGAAGGTCTGACATCACAGAGAAACCAGAACTGTAAAGACGTGAGCATGACACTCTCTACAACTTTTCCGAATGTACTTCCTGATCCCTATGCTGCATATGGTCAGTGATTAGAAAGCCAAGACTGAAGCAGCAAAGGTACGAAAGAAAAGAAAAAGAAAAAGAAAAAATGCAAACTTTAGCAGCAACATAGTGCTAGTGAGACGAAAACTGGAGCTTAGGGCATTGTAAGACAGAAGATACCTAGAACACAACCCAGACCTTCGGCCAAGACTTCTGAAGGGCCTCATCATAGGAGCAAAAGCAGACAGGATCAGTCATCCCAAGTGCTGAAATACAACTTCAACTCATTTGTTGGTGATCTGCTCCTACTCTTAACAGAATGCTGAGACCAATCAAATCTTTCCTGAAATAAGATAGTGGCACCCATAGAATAAATAATGTTATAAACAATAGTCATTAAGTCAATATAAATACAGACATATCTGGAGGATCAATTAACCAAAAAACAATAAAAAGAAGTGAAAATAAAAGTCATTGGAAGAGTGACTATGTATTACAGTTTTCAAATATAAATTTTAGATGAACAAATCTGTTCAAGAAAATATACTTTTAGAAAAACTAGAGAATTTCATCTGAGAACTTGAGGTCTTAAAAAAGAAACAAGTAGAAATACTAGAATGGCAAAACATAATAATTTCAAAAAAGAACTCAGTGGATGAGGCTTACAGTCAAATAGATACTGCAAAAAGAGGGTTACTAAATTGGAAAACAGGTTGGTAGAAATAGTTAAAACTGAAGAAAGGCGAGAAAAAAGAAAACAAATACAATTGTGTAAAAGATATTTGGATCATAGTAAAAAGTTCTGACATATAGCTAACTGGAATCCCAGAAAAACAAGAGAGAAATAGTTGGGCAGAGGAAATTTTTGAAGATTCTGGCCAAAAAAAAATTTCAAAAACTTAATTAGGTTATCAAACCGCAGAGTCAAGAAACTCTGCAAATATCCAACAGGATAAGTGTAAGAAAGCCATACCCAGCTACATCTTAATAAAACCCTGAAAATCAAAGACAAAGAAAAAAGTCTCAAAGGTAGCCACCATCTCCAATGGGCCAATAATTAGGCTGACTACTGACATTTCAATAGAAACAATAAAAGACAAAACAAAATTGACATTTTAAAATGTTAAAAGAAAATAACTAGTGACCTAGGATATTATCTAGATGATGTCATACAGAGTGTGAAGGGGAGCTATGGGTGGCTATGAGCTGTTGGCACCAGCACTGAGGTTCTTCTTATGTGAAGTGGGTGGCAGCAGAGGCTGGACTTGGTGGGGAGAGATTGTCTTTGCCCTCACAGCACTGTTTATTCCCCAGTGCTTCTGCCCTAATGCACTGCCCACAGAGGGATCACCTGGGGTTGGGTTCTGGCCTGAGACAAGAGGGCACAGGCAGTCCCCATCCAGTTGCTTACTGAGAACAGACATTCTCACCCTGTCCTCTTTTGCATAAACATCCCTTAAATCACTTCCTGGAAGATTCTCTCTTGTCCACCAGCTTCCACAGGAAGGGAGATATTGTCCTTATTGGCTAAGTTTCTATAGAGGAATTACTCTGGCTGGAGAAGTCTAGAGGATCAATACCTACAGACTGCCTCTTCAAGCAGGAATGATAGGAATTTCAGATTCAAACAGAATGGTCCCTGAATACCTATTATTATTTTGTCAGGCTCATGTATAGCTACAATAAGCCTCCCTGTACAATTCAACCATTCATCTTTATTTCATCTGCCTGCATTGATCAGGCAATCCCAGTATCACTAGTACCAGCACCAGGACAAGCTTTAACATTGTGTCCTCTACTCATTCTAGCTGGAAATCTCTCTTTATTGCCCACCTCTGTGCATCGGTGTCATGACCATTGAAAAAGACTAAATGTCATCTACTTCTGCTTTTAGTATTTCCTACTTTCCAAATGAGAAGCCCATCAGTCCCCTCAAGGAACACCAACTAAAGGCTTATGTCAGAAGTATCCCAACAATGTGGTGAGAGAGGTGGCGGGGAATGGTTTATTGGTTACAGGGATTAGGCATCCAGCAGCCTTGGCCTATCTGCCTTTCGGGTAGGATATGGTAGCAAAGTGTTTCAGATTTTAATGGATAAAAACAGCTACTGTTTATGTTGTTGAGGATCAGCTCTTTGATGTGTAACAAGCATTTAGGGCTGAAAATTTGGCTAAAACTCAAGTGCTTCAAGGATGGAGACATCATCTTAATTGGCCAACCTGTCTGTGGAGTTACACTATAGTCAACGTTGAGGTAGCACTGAAATATTAATAGATGCTTTATCAGCAGGAATGGTGGTGTTCTGTGAGAATTCACCTAGTTTGAATACATAGACTGCCAAGTAAAGCTGACAAATGTGGAAATCTGTGGATCTGATAGGCATTTTGATCCAGTTTATAATTCTTGTAGTAAAAGGTACATAATAGCTGTGTATAATGGCGATTTATCACATAGTTACACTTGACAATCTACATCCAGCAGCTTCTCTCATCATCCTAAGGAAATCAGATAGAAATCTCTGTAATGTTGCCGTATCTAATATGAATATTAGTAGTATGTTACTGGAAAAAATGATCCACACACAGCATTTGCAATGGGAAATGAGTTTTGTTCAAATATGACCGCCTTAAATGATACTGACACTCTTCTCATCAGCATAGAATGGTCAGTCCTAGTGAGCTATTCTTAGCTTAGATATCAGCACTTAATTGAAATTTTTGATCAGACTAAAGCTCCTTGTTTTTCAAGGAACATAACAGGGAGATGATAAGAACACTTGGGGGGTTTCAGAAATGTGGTACTCTTATGCCCCTATGCTTATAAAGCCATGCCAGCTGCCACCAGGAAGCCAGAGCTCCTTCAATATTTTCTCAGGACTCTCAAAGGAATAGAAGCTCCTGCTATCACCAAAGTGGTATCTTGGGACCACTCAGGCAGCTGAAGCAGCAGAGGATTCTTAAGGTGATGGTCAGCTTTGGTTTTTGTTTGTTTGTTTTTGAGATGGAGTCTTGTTCTGTTGCCCAGTCTGGAGAGCAGTGGTGTGATCTCAGCTCACTGAAACCTCTGTCCCGCCAGGTTCAACTGATTCTCCTGCCTCAGCCACAGAGTAACTGAGACTACAGACGCCCACCACCACGCCCAGCTTTTTTTTTTTTTTTTTTTTTTTTTTTTTGTATTTTTAGTAGAGACAGCGTTTTGCCATGTTGGCCTCGAACTCCGGACCTCAAGTGATCTGCCTGCCTTGGCCTCCCAAAGTACTAGGATTACAGGCATGAGCCACCATGCTGGGCCTAGCTTTGGATCTTCAAAATGAAACTCTACATGCCTCTGTTATCAAGGTGGAAATTCTATGCCATCCGCCATGGTTTGATCACAAGATCCTACCTAAAGTATAATTTTAAAAGAAAAATATGGCATTACACCCACTGCTATTTGGACCAATTACTAAACAGAATATACAAAATTTTGTGTTAAATTTTTCCACTAGAAACTAGACTGGGGAACATTTTTAACCTAAAGTATATGTTTAATTGCTGGTATAACAAGTGCTATTTTAAGATGTTATAGAAGATTCAGGAAAACCTACTAGAGGGAGATGCTTCTGGGTTATTTTGTTTTGAGATAAGACTTGGAAAATGTGAAATGCCTTCTTAATCAAGGTTTTCCTTGATGGAAGTCCTCAGCCTGAAACACATGTTGATAGAGTCTATTAGGATGAATTTAAGTCAGGAGTTCAACTATAGAAAGTGAGTCAGAAACCTTCAGCTTCAGCAGTGAGTATGTTTTTTGTGTATGTTTGAAGAGAGTAAAAAGGAAGGCTAAGTTTATTTTTGATTAACTCTGTCACGAAATAGGTTGCAGTTTTCATTTGAGCTTTTTTGAGCAAATATCATCACACAATGTAAAAACTATTTTTTATAATCTCTAATATTATACAATGCTATTTCAAAGGAATATGATGAAATATCCATATATAATATGAAGAACAACTTTGTTGTTCATACCTGCATATAAATCTTCTCTTTTGACTTCAGTAGGGGAATGGAATGATCGTTTACTTCCAGTGGGGGAATAGCAAGTATTTTAGCAATAGGATTTATCTTTTATATTTAGCAGTTAGGTATTTGGGGTTTCATGGAAATGTTCCAGAAAATGTCCCTGCAATGTGGGCAGATCAGCTTTAAAATAGGCCATTTGTAACTTTTTTTTAAATGCATGTAAAAATTTATTGCAGATGTTTTTATATGTTCAAAAACAGTTATCCATCTCATACCCTGTGTTATTTTAAAAAATACCCTGTGATTAAAGAAAAAAATGAAGGCAAAGTAAAAATGTTTTCAGGCAAAAAGAAAACAAAAAACAATGAAAGAAAGAAAAAAAAATACAGGCTAGGTGCCGTGGCTAATTTCGATAATCCCAGTAATTTAGGAGGCCAAAGCAGGAGGATTGCTAGAAGTCCAGAGTTCAAGACCAGCCTGGGCAACATAGTGAGACCACATCTCTACAAAAAATAAAAATAATAAAACAAGGAAACTTATTTTAAGCTCTTCAGGTAGAGGAAAAATCACCTGTGATGGAAGCATACAAATTCAGGTACGAATGACAAACATAAAAAAAGGGAAAATAGGCAAATCTGAATATTAATTATGTAAAACAATAATAATCTGAATGTCAATATATCTGACAAAAAACAAAAAAGACAAGAGAGAAGTAAAAGGAAAACTAAGTGATCTAGAGCCCTTGCATTGTCTTGGAAATGATGAAAATACCAATAGACATCACACTGTAGTAAGTCAGGGATATATATTGCTATCTCCAAGGTAACAATCAAAACAAAAATTTAAAGAATGTATTAAGAATAGCTATCACAGGGGAAAGACACAGGATAATTAAAAGAAAACCAATTCTTAACCCAAGATGAAGAATGAAAGAAGGAAAACAAATACAAGAAAAAAGTGATGCCAGGAGACAAAAAAGTGAAATAGTAGTTATAAGGGTAACTTGAAATTGAATTGTAAGTAAATAGTAAGTAGTCCAATGAAAAGGCAAAATTGTCAGATTCCACTAATCAATCAGCAATAGATCAACCAATTAACTTAAAGAATGTGGAAAGAAAGAAATAACAAACTATAAAAAGTATTTATTTAAATAACAAATAAATATGTAATAGCAAAAGCAACTAGCCAGATTTACCTTTCCAAAAGATGAAAAAATTGGTCATTTCTAGGGAGGCTAAATTTAAAAAAGAGAGAAGGCACAAGTTAGTATCAGGAATAGGAATGTGGATATCTCTAAGCTCCTTTTGATATTTAGAATATAATAAAGATTTCATAAACAATATCATGCTAACAAATTTTAAAAATATAAATTCAATGAATAAATTACTGAGACAAAAAAAAGCAAAATTTACCCAAATTATACAAGAAATATGAATTCCAAATTGTATACCTTAAATAAAAACTTTTTCACAAAGAAAATTCCAGACCTAGATGCCTTCTTTGAACTTTTGCAAATATTAAAAAATAAATAACATAAATATCGCATAAACTTTTTCAAGAAATGTAAAAAAAATGGAAAAACTTTCCAACATGCTTTATAAAATCAGCATAAGAGTGATACAGAAGACTGACAAAAACATCACAGGAAAGGAGAATTATAGGTTAAACTTTCTCATAAGCATTGTCACAGAAGTTCAAAACAAATATTCACTAACTGAATCCAGTATATCTACTCATATAACTGAGTATATGTTATATACTCAGCTACATATGTATATAGCCATACAGATATATACATTGCTGAGAAAAATTAATTACCCAGAATGTATACTAGTAATAGATATGCTTAATAATCAGTAGAACATCCATATTTGTTTCCTGGCCAATGAAGTAAGGACTATTATGAGAGGGAACAAAATGTGGCATCCCCTGGAACCATTCTACCCCCACTGCAGCCAACATTGTGTCTAAAATAAAAAGCAATGCCAAATCTCTGGATTGTGCAGGCCAGGATTTTAGAATGTACCCAATTCCCACATGAGCTATAGGGCATTGTGTGGAGGGAGTTCTAGTTTCAATTACTAGTGCCAGATTTGGCAGGGAGTGCAAGACTAGCTGCTCTAAATTCCATTCTGTGTTTTAATCTAAAAAGAAGTTCAGGAAATAAACCCCAAGATTCATGTGAATTGTCCATAGGATTTTAAAACTCACCCTCTACTCTGTGGTCTCAAGTTGGCCCTAACTTGGTTAATTACATAAATACTGATAATATTCTGCTTCACCTAAATGTCAGCTTCACCCAGAGAAACATAGTAGTTTTTATTAATGAGCAACTGAAAGGAATATAGGCCTAATGTATAGGACTTTCACTTACTCATTAATAAAAACTATGTATATTTACAAAAGAAATATACATCTTCTTGGATTAAAATAAGACTGAGAGAAATTATCCAAACCCATGTATAAGAAGGTAAATAAACAGGGCTTTGATACAAATCTGTATCTGCACCTAACAATCAGGTTTCTTCAAATAGAAAATATGGTGGCTTATAAAACTTGCTTTGATATGAAAGGAGTAGCTAATAAAAGGAAAAGAAAAATAATTAAAAGAAGACAGGCTAATTCAACTGGAAGAAAAGAGAAATGCAATTTGAAAAAAAGATTGACATCCAAAGTTTACACTAGAAATATAAACTAGAAAATGATATGCTGAAGAGAATAGTCGATGTTTCTAGAGCTAATTACTCTCTTAAAGAGATAAAGGAGAAACATGTATTAGCTGTTACCAGATTTTATTTTTCTGAAAGAATAGATTGGATTATTTTCCCCCAAAACTAAGACACAGGAAATGATGGGGAAGTGTCTCTTAAGTCTTCATAGTCAATTTGTACCTTGAAACCCTAACACCCCCCACAACCCCCCACCCCGTGAGATGGTATTAAGAGGTAAGGCTCTGGGAGGTGATTAAGTCATGAGGGTAGAGTTCCCATGATGGATTCATGCCCTTATTGAAAGAGGAAGAGGATCTGGTTCAAGATGGCTGACTAGAAACAGCTAGTGCAAGCCACGTTAGATTAGCATGGAAGTGAGGAGGCTTGGCAGCTTTGTGTGCTCTCAATAGCAAAATCCAGCATCACTTGTGTGGGAGGGAAATGCCAGTGGGCCACCTTCCCCACAGCCACCAGTCTCCATTGCCCCAGCTGAGGGGTGCTGCCCTCTCCACAGAAGAGCTACCCTCCCCCTACATGAATATTCCAGCTGCAGCCCATAACACTTCTGAAACTCCAGTCCCCAGAGGCCTGTGACATTCCCTCAGGCTCTCACCACCTAAGTGTTCTGCCTGCTCCTGCCTGAGAGTTCGGATGGTGATCCAGGGACCAACCCATTTCACTCATCACAGCCAGCACCTGAACACTGGGCTAGCCCAACCCTGTTCCAGCGCCTTCATGACTCATACACACTATCCAGTGGGCCATCTAGGGGCCAAAGAACTGAGGAACTACCTACCCCATTCCAACTCAGCTATTAGCTGACCACTTCCTTAAGGGCAGAGCCTGAGGTGGGGCTGACCCAACCAGCTGACAACATCACAACCAACACCCACCCACACAGACCTAACAGTGGAGCTCCCACTTTTAAACAAAGTGGCAATGCTATAATGTTGGAGAACAGGTGAGAAGCAAAGCCAAAAGACCCTTCTGAACATACTCTACAGTCACACTCCCTAGGTGAGCAATAAATCTATCTGTATTGGGCTCAGTGACAAGGTTCTGACCTGAAAGCAATATCACAGAGAGTCACAAAACCAGGTATTTCCCATGGCTCTCAAGCACGTCATGGTCTGGAGATAGCCTACAGTGTATGCCTGAACTAGAAGTCACCATCCCTGGAACAGGGGTGAGATAGGGAAACAGATCACATTCCTGCTTCTCTAGGATGGGGAGCCAGTGCAAATCCCTCACCCTCCCACAGACACCTCGATGTCTTTCGACAGGAGCTGCCTGCAGCCACCCTCATCAGGGTTGGTGCTTGTGCTCACCATTGGGGTATTCGAGGGCAGTTCAGGGACTCTAGCTCTACCCAGCTGTGTCTTCCCACCCACACAGAATAGGAAGCTCAGGGCACTGGGTACTCCACTGTCTAACCCATCACCTGAAACAACAGAGAGCACCTCACAGTAAACAAAAATCCACAGCTGGCTCTTGCCCAAAAGTGCCTTCTACTGGCCTGTAGGTTAAACCACACAGCCCAATATAAAACCTGCCAACAGAAGGGGCGACATACTCTATAGTCACACTCTCTAGGGAGGAAAAGATGGGAAAGAGAAATAAATATATAAGGAAGGAAAAAAAATCCTATCTCTACTAAAATAATTACAAAAATTAGAAGTGCCAGCCACTCCAGAGAAGAAGGAATCAGCAAAAACACTCTGGCACTGTGAAAAATCTGCATGTTGTGAAACTACCAAAGAATCACACCAGCATTCCAGCAGTGGACCTTAACCACAATGAAAACTCAGAAGTGACAGGTAAAGAATTCAAAGCATGGATTGCAAGGAAGCTCAATGAAAGCCAAGACAAGGTTTTAAATCAACACAAAGAAACTAATAAAGCAATTCAGGAAATGAAGGAAGAGATAGATATCTTTTAAAAAAATCAGTCAGAATATCTGAAATTGAAAAACTCACTTAAGGAATTTTAAAATAAAATTGAAAGCTTTATCAAAAGACTAGACGTTTCAGAAGAAAGAATTTCAGAGCTTGAAGTCTTCCAAACTTACCCAATTAGAGAAAAACAAATCCAAATTTTGAAAAACAAACAAATTATTTGAGAAATATGGAATTATATGAAGCAACCAAAACTATGAATTATTGGCATTCCTGAGAAGGAGAAGAAGTTTAAAACCTGGAAAACATATTTCAGGGAATAATTCAAGAAAATTTTTCTAATCTTGCTAGAGAGGTAGACATCCCGAGGACATTTGTGAGACATTATATAAGATGAATATCACCAACATGTGTAGTCACCAGACTATCCAAAGTCGATGTGAAAGAAAAAAACCTTAAAGGCAGCAAGAGAAAAGGGAACCCCATCAGGCTAACAGCAGGTTTCTTAGCAGAAACCATAAAAGCCAGAAGAGATTAGGGAGCCTATTTTCAGCATTCTTAAAGAAAAGAAATTACAACCAAGAATTTCATATCCTGCCAAACTAAGCTAAAGGAGAAATAAAATCTTTTCCAGATAAGAAATTGCTAAGGGAACTTGTTACCACTAGACCAGTTTTATAAGAGACCCTTAAGGGAGTTATTAACATGAAAACAAAAGAACAATAGTTGCTACCACAAAAACACCCTTAAATACATAGACACAGACCCTATAAAGCAACTATACAATTGGTACTACTAAGCAACTAACAACATCACAACAGGATCAAAACCCCACATGCCAATATTAAGTTTGAATGTAAATGATCTAAATGACTCACTTAAAAGACACAAAGTGGCCAAGTTGGATTAAAAAGACCCAGCCAAAGTAAAGGATTGGAGAAAGATCTATCACACAAACAGAAAACAAAAAAAGAGCAGGAGTCGCTATTCTTATATCAAATAAAACAGACTTTAAACCAACAACAGTTAAAAAAGGACAAAGAAGGGCATTACATAATGATAAATGGTTCAATTCAACAAGAAGACTTAACTATGTATGCAACCAATATCGGAGTACTCACATTCAAAAACAAGTAATTCTAGATCTAGGAAAAGCCACAGCGTAATAGTGGGGGACTGTAATAGCCCACTGACAGTGTTAGGCAGATCATTGAAAAGGAAAACTGACAAAGAAATTTTGAACTTAAATTTGACACTTGACCAATTGGACCTAATAGAATACTCCACCCAACAACCATAGAATATACATTTTTCTCATCTGTACATGAAATTTACTGTAAATACCCCATGTTGTCACTTGTAAGTGGAAACCGAACATTGGATACATATAGACATGAAGATGGGAACAGTGGGGGGCACTGCTGAAAAATTACCTATTGGGTACTATGCTTACTACCTGACTGACAGATTCAATCATACCCAAAATGACAACATTGCACGATATACCCTTCTAACAAACCTGTACATGTATGCCCTCAATCTAAAATAAAAGTTGAAAAGAAATCTGCATAGTTAGAGCAATTAGGAAACTATCTCTTTATAGACATATCTAGGCCACTTGATTAGATAAAATAATTCACTGACTTGAAATGGGAAGACCAAAAATATTTAAGTAAAAAATTCAAAATATTACAAGATGATTTTCAAGTTGATATGATAAATATACACGTAGCTACAGACATTGCCTGTGCCTAAAATATGTGTGAAATTAGTTTCCAAGGAAAGGTCTAGAAAAGAGAAACATGTTGAAGTACAGAGGTTAGAGAGGGAAAGACAGGGATAGTTTGACTCCAGGCCTTGGTGACGTTCTTATGCGGGATACATCCTGAATGTGATTCTTCCAAATTAGAAACTTGAAGATGGAGAAGATTACCTGAACAGGGGTTCATTTGGGAAGTCCCTGAACTAATTTTCACTCTTTACGCTATGGAACACAACACGAGACAGCATTAAGAAGATTATGAAGGTGGGTGCGGGCCAGCTATTAGGAGAGAAAAGGAAAATTAATGAAAGAAAACATTCTGTCCCAGAAATCAATTTGAGCCCAAATGTACTAAAGATGTAAAGGAAACAGGCCAGGCACAGTGGCTCATGCATGTAATCCTGGCACTTTGGGAGGCTGAGGCAAAAGAATCACTTGAGCCCAGGAGTTTGTGACTATCCTGGGCAACATAGTGAGACCCTGTATTTAAAAAAAAAAAAAAAAAGTGTAAAGAAAGCAATGGACACATTGATTCAGCTGGGCCTCCCTAAAAGAGTTAAAGAATATAGAGGAATGAAATATTAGAGGTATGAGAGGCATGACCCACTACTGCGAAAAAATGATGGAGCAGACAGAATGTTGCTCAAGGCTATGAAGCCACATAAGCCTTTCAAAAGCTGAAGAAATACACAGACACTGTGGAATGACTAAATCTAGCTAATTAACATGTATTAACTCACAAAGTTATCATTTTTGTAGTGGGAAAACTTAACATCCACTGTCTTAGAATTTTTTGTACATGATAAATACAATTGTATCTGTCAATTAAAATAAATAAAATTAAGAAATGCAAAAATAAATAAATAAATAAAATGTCAGTGTAGAAGAAAAAAATCCTGAAGAAATACAGTGCCTCGGGAAGGACACATTCTGATCTGACATACTGACTTGACATCTTCAGACATTCAGAGCTTACTCCTCGTTCTGACTTGAGCCATGGGGCCCAAGTTCCAAGCATCAGTGGCAGCCTCTGTTCAGAAATCTCCTGAGGACAAATACATATCTGAAACAAATGTGGAAATGAAAGAAAAACCTTGCCTAAGAGGCAGATATATCAGCTGAAAGACTGTGGAAGACATGTCGTCCCTAGAGGCTGTACTCAGCACATTAAGGGGCATATTAAGTAGGAGAGTTCACATGTGCTGGATGGGTACACCTTGTGTAGGCTGGGCCAAAATGCCATTCTCTGAGAAAAGAGAAAGGATGAATCAATGATGTTTCCTGCAACAGAAAAATGCACAATGTCAAATTTATCATTTGAAAGGAGGGTATTCTAATTACATCTTAAGTCTCAAGTGATGAACTCTGGACAACTAACTAGTGCAGACAAAATGGTAGCTATTGAGGCAAAAAAAAAAAAAAACCTTTCCCTTCTGCTCTTATTGAGATACTACTGATTCTCTATTTTATGTTTTGGAATCACTCTGGAGTCCCAGATTTGCCAGGAGTAAATGCTTTAGGGGCTTTTTATTTAAAAGGGTGGACTTTTAAATTTTATTTATTTATTAATTTGATGGATGAGGAGCTGGTGCTACGATCATCTTATCTATCCCACTAACTTTTGAGCTCCTTTAAAAGGCAACACATGAGACTAATTAGGACTCTGAAGTACTGGAAAAATTACAGTGATTTTCATGGAGAAAAGCCCAAAATACAGATGCTTAAAGGTGCTCACATCTAACCAGCCATTGAGAATGTCTTTGGCTGAGGCTGAGTAGAATAAAAAATTAGGGAGATCAGTTTTAGATTTTAATTTATTTGAAGTTTACATGGTAAAAAGAATTTCATTTTGTTCTTTAGTCATTTCTACCCTTTGAACTAGCAACTGGAAACTTGGCCAAAATCAGCCACATAGAGCTCCAGAAAAATTGGCCAAAAATAATTATTACTCTTACATGTTTGTGATAGAGAAAGTTTGGTAAAACATTCATAACCAAAAATAGGACATTAGTTGGAAGAATAATATCCAAGAATTGGTGAATGCATACATATGTATTTGTAGGTTTACATAACTGTACACATAATGTTCTTATAAAGAAGATAGATAGAGTTGGGGCATAGAGAATGATACCCCAAATTATGGTACTCCGGCATGCTAGGCACCTTGAGTTTTAAAAAACTGGAATGACTTAAAAGATGCTTCAGAACCCATAACTTTCTAAACTTCTTTTGTTCCTCCCCCCTATTCTCCCCACCATTAGCAACGGGAGGAAGTCTCTTAATTTCCTTATTCAACTAAAGAAACTTCTCTCCAAAAGAAATGAAACTGTCTTTAATACAACCCCTTCCCCCAGGGATCTCATTAAATAACCAGGAAAGATTAACCACTGGAGAAAAGACTAAGAGAAAAGATTAAAAGTCGCCCTGCTCAGACAGACTTTTCATCTGTTCTCCTGAGGGCAGCACTGAGAGATTATCTAGGGGGCTGTCTGCGTAATAAGAACCTTTGTTCATGGTGAAGTTCCACCCTTCAACTTCTCTAAATTTGCCTCCACCTCCCCCAGAGCTCAGAGAAACTCTTTTCCAAGTCCACTGTCTGTTCCTTGGGCTCTTGCATTTTCCCTGAAAGTTGTTTGTTGCTACGCATAATTACCTACATCCCCCATTTCCCCACTTCCCTATAAGAGAGTATCTAACCTTCAAACATCTGGCCCTTCTTTGAGTCTCGTATTTGTAGGACTCCCACATCCACGTGCATGTAAATAAATATGTATGGATTTTTCTCCTATTACTCTATTGCAAGTTCAGTCTAGTGAATGTTCAGAGAGGACAGAGGGGAGCTTTCCCTCTGCCCCTACGATACACAGATACATGCACGCATACATACACACATACATAGAATCGATGACTCTTAGTGATTACATCATAATTTATCAATAAAGGTTGCCTCAAGGTGAGAAATACTAGTGATATGTATTGTGATTTTTTTTGCTTTCTGATGATTTGAGTTATATGAAAATATGATCAAGAATTGGGCAGAAATAGGTACTGTTTGGGGAGGACTGGATATTTTTCCTGCTCTGAAATAAAAGAGCTCCAAAATTAATTCCTTTGTTTTCTTACCTGCCTCCTTTTGATATATTTGAATAAACTATATATGTATTATCTTCTAAAAGATTACCTACCGTACATATTGATTTTTCAGTGTTTCCCTAACACAAATTTGGAAAAAGAAAAACAGCTGATTGAAAATGAACGTAATAAAACAATACTGACAATAATGGGTAAGATTTAATAACATTAACTTACTAAATGCCAGATGCTGTTCTACAGGCTTTACAAATCCTAACTATTTAATCCTCATCATACCAATATGAAGTTTTACTCTATTATATGAGATTAAGTGCCTTGCCCAAGGCCATGCAGCTGTTTCTGAGAAAATGATTATTAGGGTCGGGACATCATTGTTGCTTTGCACAGAACTTGATCAAAGACATTTCAATTTTCAGAACCTGGCTGGGCATTTCTGAAATGTTTTTCTATGTTTCTTCACTTTTTAATATATTGTCACCAAAAGAAAAAAAAAAAGGAAAATCATCTAGGGTGATTTCAATTTGCACTTGATCTAACAAATTACTAGTTCTGGGATCTTAGCAAGCTTATGAATTTGATATTCATTCCTTCAATAAAAACTTAAGTGCAGGAAGGTATTCCCGGCACTGAGGGTATGGTTGTGAAAAGACAGAGCAAGATATCTTTTCTGGGGATTGCATTCTAGTGAGGGAGATCTATAATAATCAAACAAACATATAAAACAAAGTAATATCATTTTAGGTGCTTAATATTCCTTAGCCTCAATTTTCTTTTCTATGAATTAAGAAATATACTACCGGCTTCAGGGCTGTTGCTGAGATCTAATAAACTAATACGTGGAAAGCATTTAATACAGTAAAAATTGCAGCTCTACTCTGGCTACTATAGAAATATTTAACTTTTGTTTGAATCTTTCTTTGTACATCTTTTTTTCTTCTAAAATAACACATGCATACTTTTTCATTTAAATAATATAAGCGACTTTCTTAGGTATTACACAATAGGACCTCAGTTTATCCTCGAACATCTAGGCCTCCCTGCATTCCCAGTGTTAGCAATAATCTATTCTCTGTTTAAATTTTTGCTTTTATTAGTAGCTTTAAGGAATTTAAGATAAATATTTGCATAAGAAAGAGTTTTTATTGAAATGATCCCAAATCAACATATGCTTTGTCATTTGTAATATTCCCATTAGGGAGTAGAATGAATAATAAATGGCCAGCCAGATGTAGGACTTATTTAAGTACTTAACAGCGAGTTTATATTTGAAGCATTTAGCCATAACCATACTTCAGCTGTGTTTTTGCCTTAAGACACATTTTTTAACTCCATGAATACAGAGAGCTTCAGACATCTCCTCTGACTTTCTCTCTCTCTGGGCTCAAACAGAATTCAGTAGTAGGAGTGTACATAATTAAAACATGGTAAAAAAAATTCAATTAAATTTTGTTTTAATCTGCTGTGAAAAATGGCATTGCTCATGGGGAACTACCTGTAGGTCAATGGTCAGTTTACTATAAATATGAAAACATAGTCAATTGTAAGATATGCCTTGAGGCACTTTATCCTGGTCAGAATTCTACAAAGTACTATAAGCTTATATATTAAACATAGCAGACAATTTACTGTACATTTTTAAAAACAGACATACTAAGGTTTTCTGTATTAATTTAACAGCTCTTTTATGAGACTTAGCCTGTGTCAGCCCATTTTAAGCAATTTACAAATATTAATTCATTTAATACATTGCAAAAATCTAACGAGGATGGTTCTAATATAGACCGTATTTTACAGATAAGGAAACAGAAGCCAGAAAAAAAAGTAAATTTCTCAAGATTGTAGAGCTAGTAAGTGGCTGCAAGTTGGATTCAGCGCTAGCACATGGGCTTCTGAGTCCAAGTTCTCAACCATAGCCCTCTGCTGCCTCTTATTTGAAAAGCATGTGGGCAAAGTAACTTAGGGGTAGTAAAAGAGACTTCAAAGCTGCTTTTGTTTAATATTATAAATTCCTGAACTTTTGCTTTCCCTTACTAAAAATATTACTATTTTCAATAATAAGTAATAATATTTTAAGATAATTCTTGTATTTTTCAATAACTATAATTTGGTCTACTTAGTTACTGAACTCTTAGTTACTGAACTTAGTTCTTAGTTACTAAGTGCAAAAGAAAATGAATTGTAATTCTCTAGGAAGTAAAGATGTAGCCACACTAGGTAAAATGTCCATATATGTTTCATCAGGTGTTTTTATATTCTTAGCAAAAGGTAAAATATAAAAGTTTGATATGTAACACTAAAAACAAAATACATTTTGTGAGACTTGGCAAATAATATTAAATAGTATACAATAATATTCACTTAGTTTGCAAAGAACTTTCGAAAAGAAGATTAGATATACTTGGGTATTGACCTTTAAGTTTCAGGACTTTCTAAAAAAATTGTGTGGCTCATGCTAGTTTCCTAGCAGACTTTATCTATGATGTGTAACTATCAGCAATAACATTACGAAAACAATTGTTTATATTAGACACTAGAGAGTTTTGTAACCCTGATTCACATACTAATTAAAATCTTTGAATAAAAGGAAACAAAAATGTTATGGAGAAGAAAGAAGGCATATATCAGGTAACTAATAAAGAAAAAAGTATTATTGAATAAATTACATTTCACACTAACTCTGGATAATTTTGCCATTTGAAACAGGAATGAAATTGCTATTAACTGTTAATCCCTTTGCATTCTGAGCATAGTAATCTAGATAAACCATTAATCATATGCTGCTATTTACCCCCATTGGGCCATCATGTTCTCCTGTATCATAATCACATGTGATTGTATGGCAAATGCACCAGACAGTGATAACTTAAGCATACCCTTAGAATGACCCTGTATGGCAAACACACCTGAATGTGTGTTCCCAGTTCTGAGCTAGGGAATCCAGGAATGACCAACCCAGAGATTTGCTCTATGAGGAGCATCTGAGCCTCTGTCCTGTACCATGGAGCACGGGCTGGGCCATATGGAGAATCAAGGCCACAAGTTTTGGGTTGACTGAATGGTGCCACGTGGAAGTTGTTAGGGAGAAGGTGCTAAGTGAAAATGCTATATAAAAACTGCGTGCTTTTTGCAAGCAGTTGCAATTCTTCTGCCCCTGCCTGCCACCATCAAGCCATGCGATTCTCCTTTCCAGTCTGCCACCAGTGGAGTCTCTTTGAGATGTAAGCCCCTCTAAAACCCCTCATTTGCTGACTCTGGGTCTCTTTGGCTTCTTGAACCTGGTGCCATCCCCATTGGCATCGATACAGGTTGGCCACAACGGTGATTGACCCTTAACCCAGATCAGCTGCTTGTCAAAACACAAAGTCTTCAGACTTGACCAATAAAATTAGATGGCTCTAAGTGTGGTGGTTCACACCCATATCCTCAGTATGTTGGGAGGCAGAGGCAGAAGGATTGCTTGAGGCCAGGAGTTTAAGGCCAGCCTGGGCAACAAAGCAAGACCTCATCTCTAAAAATAAAAAAGTTTTAATAAAAAAATAAATAGCCAAACATCGTGGTGCACACCTGTTTCCCAGCTACTCAGGAGGCTGAGGTGGGAGGATTGTTTGAGCCCAGGAGTTCAAGGTTACAGTGAGCTACGGTTGTGCCATTGCACTCCAGCCTAGGCAACAGAGCAAGACTCTATCTCTAAAATTAAAAAACAAAACAAAACAAAAAACTAAATAGCTCTATATAGGTACCTAGAAGTTTCATCTTGTGTTCCTTTTAATGTCTATCAAAATTCATCATTATTAAACAGTAGTTGATGAATCTGTATCCCATCCCCTTTTCTAAATTTTTCCCTGAGTTAATCTAGAGTCTGCATGATCAGAGAACAGCCTATTGTACATCATTAGGTGCACAAGTTTCCTGAATTGTTTCTTATGCAACGGTATTAGTTTAGGTTTTAAAATATTGTCAGAAATAGGCCCGTGAAACATCATCACTGCAAGGATTTTGTGAAGTACATTGCTTATTACTTTAAACTGCCTTCTTTATTGGAACACTTAGAACAAATTCATTTCTTGTCTTGGCATCAAAAAGAGCTTTGTCTCTTCTGAATAATTTTTGACACAAACTTTGTGGCTACCTACATTTCCCTCTTTGATTTGTTTGTTAAAAGCTGCCTCTGTTTATCAGGCTAGTATGTTTTGGGGCAGAGTTTTGTGTAGTACCTTCATCTTTGCTCACTGGTGTGCTCCTATCATTGTTTTCTTTTGGAATCACGTTATCCACTTCCCATTTATGTTATTGTGCCAGTCCTGGGGCTCACACTTATCTATGATTGTCTTCCCAGCTCCTCTCAGTTGGTTTCCACTGTGTTCAGCCAATGAGAGGCACTTTGGGAAGGCTGGAGTCCAGAGGCTGGGAAAGGCCAGGGTACTTTTCCCTCTTTCTTTCTCTTTCCAGAGATGCAGTCAGCAACTACATATCTGCTGAGGCCCTGGTTCCTGCCAGAGAGCCCTGCAGTGGTTCTAGCTCCTATGGGAGGATTCAGTCCTTAGGTTCCATTAACACAGCCTTATCACCTTCTTCTTTCAGCTGTAGGATGGCAGCTGTCTCCTGCTGTTGCTAATTTCTGTGTACCTCATCATCCCCTATTTGCCCTCTTCCTCAGTTTATTGCCTGTGTAAACACTCTTTTCTATTAAATTTACTTTATTAAACATGTTTAGACCAGTTTCTGTTTTCCTGGTTAGACCCTGACGGTTATCTTGCGAAATGTCATATATTTCCATATAAGGTATCTTAAATCCTTTTGGAAGACAGCCAGAAGTCTGGATAGATAGGGAGAGGGGCGGAGGAAGATAGAAAGAAGGAGACAGAGATAAAGATGAAAGAAAGTGTGAGACACTATGTAAATATTCTAAGTTCATAATGTTTGTAAATAGATTTCTAGGGCATAATTGCGTTCAAACTTGCATTTCACAGACTCTCTTTGCACTTCATTCAGATTTTTAAATTCATTTTTGCTTTCTTAATGTTACTTATAAGATTTTTTGATAGAATGTTAAGGAATCTAATTTATGAAAATAAATGATTAGCTATTTTTTTCATGACTGTGAAAGTAGCAGTAATCTTTTAAAACTTTCCATTTTTCATTTGGATTTATTTTAAGCATTCTTCAGTCTTGCCTAAAATAACATTTCTTACTTACATACTCTTACACTTTAAGTCATGTTGAAAATTATGTGCAAAATCTGATTTTTTTTGAGAAAGATACACTTGTTTTCCTTTTAATGTCATTAATATTAATTACTCCTAGAAGGCCCTGATATTAACATGTGGGAAGTATAATAGCGATATTATAAATCTGGTTAAACTTACAACAACCTAACAGCTGTCTTATTCCATATGTGCTCCAGATATTTTTCTAGGATCTTTTAATGGGACATACTTGTATTATTATGTATACACACAATTTTCATATGTTTGTTACGAGGTTTTTTTTTTTTTTCTTTTCATTTTTTGGAACATTCCTCCCTGATATACCATATGTCAAGAAACAGACTTGTAATATGTGAGCTATAGCTCTTCAGTGGCAGTCATATGTTCATGGGAGACCTTGGGTTTCCTTTTGTTAAACATTTCTGTGACATTTACACCACAAGCTAAGCTCTCAACAAGCACCCCTGATTTTTTTCCTCCACACAAATCTTTATTTAATGAATATATTGGCAAAGGCAGCTACTCACCACTATGCCCAATATTAATTATCAACATAAAATCAGTAATTATTACTAATTAAAATTTAAATTCTTGAACAAAAACTTTCTCTTCCATCAAAAGCAGGGATAAAATTTCACACTTGGTAATTAGTATTTCTGTTAATAATGATGGTCTTTATTACAACATTTATTATTTTTTCAAAATTCATTAATTTTTCTGATCCTAATTTACTTATGACATATACTCCACTCTCTTCCAGTAAGATTTTTGGTAGAATAAAATTAAGTGTGAAAAAAATGGGGAAAACATTATATTATGAAGTTAAGGAATGAATTTAAGACCACATATATATGGGTTGCCTATCTCTAGATCAACTAATTATCAATATTAAGTGATAAATATGGTTATATATTTCCAGACAAGATCAAAGAATCCAAACAAATATTGTCATTCACAGACAAAAATATGGCAATTCATGTGTAAAGATCTTTTTTTCCCCCAGAATTCAATTACAGATTTACTCTCCATGGCATTTAACAATTGAGAAGGCAAATATTTTTAATTACAAAGTTATCTAAAAATTTATTTTAATTAGTTCAGTTACACCTGTTTTAGCTAAAAATTTCCAGAAGATGCAGAGTTACTGTTTACGTGGTTAATTCTTAAAACATCCTTCTATGTAGAAGATATGATATTAAATCAATATATAAGACTAAGACATAAGGTCTGGACACTTTGCTACTTTTTTTTAATGCTATTAATATTGGACTAGAACATGGCAAATGTATTCAAGTAGATAGTAAACATGCCCATTAGGCTTTCCTGAAACTTCTGTCTTGAAAGAGCCTTTGGCAGTAGCTGTATGGCCGTCAAGACATGATTGGATCCCCTAAGTATATTTCACTCAGTTATGTCGCTTAATTGAAAGTCATATGCTCTATTTAGCAGAAGCGAGGAAGACCAGTCCTCATCCTACTTTAAATTTTTAAGAATTTGATATTTGTCTCAAAGACAATTCAGAACTGATATAGGTAGGCATCAGGCACTAGCAGTTAGATCTAGGTTCATACACAGAAAAAAAGCTTTGAATCTTCTTAAGTACTTTCAGAAAATGTCAAAAGTGTGGACTTTAAAGCACAGAAGATAGGACAGTATGAAAACAAAAAATGAGGAAAGTACTAGTTCTGTATAACTAATAGAATGTCTAATATATATTTCTTATATAAAGAATTGTACCTGGAAATGGTGAAGTAAGCTGTAAAACTGAAAGAAAGATTTGACGCTATTATTTAAATCTACTGGTTTAAATGTTGAAGAACACATATGGAATGCAATCATTTTTGATTAATCAGAATTCATACTGAGATGCCTTTCTAGGCATCTGTCAGTCATCAAGCCCAATCTCAATATAAATCTACTACCAAAACAATAGTGATGCTTTGTTTTTGTCTTTTCATAGATAAGAAATATTTTTCCAATTCACTTGGAGGCTAACAGGTGGTTATACAATAAGTAGTTTGAAGACATGAGAAAATGGCTATTTCACAATATTTAAAAGTTGAAGTTATATGTAAATGTAACTGATATGGGAATACACAGCATGAAAGATAACTAGCAAAGATTAAAAGAAAGTATTAAAATTTGTGAAGATAGAAAAAGAATAAGAAAATTAGAAATAATGTTTGAAGAATCATCTTGATAAATTGTCTTTTATTGGCTATCCCGGGGGACTAGTTCTAGGGATTTGGTATATCATAGAAAGACAGAAGATGATAACTGGCTTGTGATGTTTCCAAAATTAATTTTGGTTTACACTCAAGGCTTTACATGATAGCCACCAAAAAGTACCTTGTTTATTAAGCCCTGCTTCTAAGTGGTTTGAAGGACTAAGAAAATGCAGAACAATTCAATAAACTGTATTAAACTCCTTCTGAAACTGCATTTATTTATTTGTAGTTTTTCTTACAAGACTCTATTTTGTGAAGTAATACCTACTGAGAATGAAATAATTCAAAGTATGTAGGCAGACTATTAAGAAAAGCTAAGTCCTTTGTGTTTGTTTGATGCCACAATTTAAATAGGAGAATTCCTTTAACAGCTTCAGGGGTTGCTATTGTTTGGATGTGGTTTGTCTCCACTAAAACTCAAGTTGAAATTTGATCCCAAATGTGGCAGTGTTGAGAAGTAGGGCCTAGCGGGTAGTGTTTGGGTCAAGGGGGCAGATCCCTCATGAATAGATGAATATCCTTCAGTGGGGGTGAGTTCTCACTCTCATGGGAAAGGATTAGTTCCTGTGAGAAGGGGTTGTTAAAGAGTCTAGCTTCCTTGGTTTCTCTCTCTGGCCCCCTCTCTTGCCATATGATCTGTTTGCACACACCTGCTCCCCTTTTGCACTCACAGTAGATGAGGGCAATATGAGGCCCTCGCCAGATGCAGCTGCCCAATTATAAACTTTCCAGCCACCAGAATCATGAGCCAAATAAACCTCTTTTCTTAATAAGTTACCCAGCCTCAAGTATTTTCTTACAGCAACACTGAATGGACTGAGACAGTAGTGGTGACAGTAAATTTTAAAGACTTCTTTTTGAGACTTCTGGCTTTTTTTCCACTTAAACTTAATTGCCTTGCAGTCAACTTCCAATTATGTCCACCTGATCCTAGTGATTACAAAGTGCCCTACCACTTCACCAATATGTGTTGTCACTAATGATTTTAGTTGGAAAAATAATAACTATGAAATGCATGGTTGTAATAAGGAAAATATTTTATAATTTTGAATTAGTAGTATTACTTTAATTCATCTGTTTTGTATTTCTAGTCTATGTAAACTAGGACCACAGCTAAAATGCAATACCAGCCACAAACTCTTATTCAAAGATTGTACTCTCCCAAAAGACAAAGGTAAGGTAAATCAGTAACTTTAATCACAACATTATCTATGAAGAGATTGACAAATAAATATAAGATAGCTGAATTTACCCACAAAAGTGCAAAATAGCTGTCAGTAGTTCACATGTATGTGTAGAATCCTCACATTTCGAATACCTAACAAAACGTAACTATAGTCCTAAAGTAAATGTTAAAATTAGTTAAAGCTAAAATGTGTGTCTTTAAGCCAAAGTTGAAAGTGTCAGAAAGTGCTATAGGAACTTAAAGGCAAACTCGGTGACTTCCTTTCTCTGAAAGGACTGAAAAATGATTTCTTTGTACTTAGATTCACAGGAGTATATTCTCTAGTTTAAGGCAAATTAATTTAACATTTGATCTTACTTTATGATTTGGTTTAAAATACATTTGTGTATTTTAAATTAACTTATTTGTAAAGGAAATTTTTGTCCAACTGTGGTAATGTTCTCTTCTGCTCTGAAAAGGAAGGAAGGAAGGAAGGAAATTTGAAGTTATGCTAATGAAACAACTTGAAAATACAATATATTTTATCATACAACAGCTTTATATTTGTGCAGGGGAAAATTGTGGCTAAAATATCCCAAAGGTAAACATTAAAGAAAAAAAAAGTTAATTTGTTTCTGCAATTCAACTAGGACAGTCAGAGCAGCAAGCTAATTGGAGTAAGGAGGGTTGCATTGAGGTAACAGTTTTCAAATTTAAAATATATACCTTTCCCCTCTTAAGAAATACTTATTTGTTTGCTGACTTCCTCACTGCTAGTATTTATCATTTTTTTTCCCATGGATTTTTTTTTTCCTTCTTCTTCTTCAGTCCCTTCTAAAAAGGGAACAGGAACTCCATTCTGGAACTGACTTCCTTCACTAGGAGCCAAGAATCTACCCTACGAACTTTCTGGAGGAACTCTCAGTTGCTGAAACGTAAGCTAAAATATAGCAAATAGAGTTATCACTTGTTACAAAAATAATATATAGGTGTTTATATGGCTATACTACAACATTAGCACCACTTCCTAGATCATAGCAATGGAATAGACTGAACATTACTTCAATAACCATCTTAGTCTTAAAGCCAAAATAACTTAATTTTAGAAGTCCTATTTTATAACAGATAAAAGTGCAGTACTGTTGCATTCACACATTATTGAAAGCTACATTTGATTTTATGTCATTCTTTAGAGAGAATTTTACTTTTAGATTTATTTTTTGGAAAAAAATAAAACAGCTGCTTTTAGTTTAAATAGTTTACTCTTGCTGAATGCAATAGCAGTCTAGAAACATTTTTCTTATCAAGGTTTATCTCCACTTGTTAAAGTTTAGAAAAGAGACTGCCAGATTTTCTGCTTCAAAAGCGATAAGAACAAATGTAACTATAGATTCTGCTCATTTATCATTAGTATGTATGGTTTCACAGAACAAAGTAAAAATGCATCTAGCTCTGCTTAGAAAGAAGATACATTTGATTTAGACCAAAAGGAAACATCAGATATTTAATTTCAAAAGACAGTGGTACAGGTTTTGTAGAAGAGGAGAGAATAATTCATAAATAATATAATAATGGAATTTGAAGTATAAAGGTATTGGTTTGAAGTTCACTAGACTCAGGTATTTTTAAGGGTTTGTGGGGAAGACAATGTCTTAAAACAGTCACTTATTATTCTAATGCTTAGGGTTGAAACACAGTGCTTTTTCTATTCAAGAAGATTTGCAAATACTTTTTATACCTACATAGTATCATTTCTAATTCAGCAATTAACATTTACATGCACTTAAATATTGCACAAAATAACTATTAGGAATTATAGGACAGATAGTATAGTCTAGGCATGCTAAACACAGCAAGATAAAAGATAAAAAAGAATGCACAGGGGGATGATATACAAAGATACAAGTAGTCCAAATGTAGTATGATAGGCATTATGGGTGAAAAATGGGTGAGCAATTTATGGACAAGGCACAATTCATGGAGGGAAAAAGACTAGATCTAGGACTTGAGGAAGAATAATCAAGATGATTTCAAGTAGAGAATGAGAAAGGGAGAAGACATTCTGCATAAGGGGCATAAGTAAAGGCACTGAATCATAAAAGGATACCAGGAGTTTGGGAACAGAAATATTGTTTAAATTGGTCATACATCATCAGTTGTTGAAATGGTCTTGTAGGAAACAATGGAGGAGATACAGATTTGAGCCAGGATAATGAAGGAAATTTAACTGAAGCTTTAGCAAAATTGCATGATACATATCTGTAATGGCAAATAGGTCACTATGGCTAAAATATGTGATATCTTTGACTAACGAAAGAAAGCAAGAGTCAGATGAAATGACTGGAAAGATACATATGTAAAAAATTGAGAAGGGTCTTGCAGAGTGTGCTAAAATGTTGTATTTTAGCTGCAGTCAATGGGGGTCCACTGAAGCATTTAAGCTGGGAAATGGCATGATGAGTTGTCATTTGGGATGACTGTGGTGATGCTGTGTAGCATGAGAATGTGAAGGAAGTGAATTGCATAAGACCGGGTCATGTTAATTTTGCCTTCCCATCATTCTTCCTTCCCCTTCTAGTGAAAGGACCTTTTCCTTTCTCTCTTTTTTTGGCTGGTTCTTGGAGCAAAAGGCATCCTATTATGCCTTGGCTAGGTTAATTATCTGGGCTAATTATAGTATTCTTTATCCCCGGCTACAGTGAAAGAATCAGAGATAGGTATGTATCCCTAGTGGGGTTTACCCTGAGATATTTTTTTCAGATGTTTCTTCTGAGGAAGAATGTAGTTTCATTTTAAGTGCAGAGCCACTTGCAACTTTAGAACCAGCCTCGTGGGAATAGCTGGCCTGAAAATTACAGATTAGAACTGAACAGAGGAAAGGAGAAAGGAGACTCCTGATAGACTCTATCCCCATAGTCAGTCTTCTCTGGAACTAGCTCTATCTCATTTCCAAATTGTATTTATGTGATTATAGTAGTTTGAAAGTGGCCCCAGTTCTTCCCCTCCCTTTATCTGTGCCCTTTGCAGTGTGAATTTTCAGCTCCTGCCATCAAAAAAATGGATTCTATTCTCCAATTCTCAAAGCCAGGATAACCTTGTAACTTGCTTTGGCCAATAGAATGAGGAGGAAGTGATCATGTACCAGCTCTGAGCCTGAGTTTCAAGAGGCCTATGACAATCTGTCCTTTTGAAACCCTGCCATTGCTGTAAGAACAAACCTACACTGGCTCACTGGAGGTTGGAAGACCTTGTGAAGGAGAGCTGAGTCATCCTGGCCAGATGGCAGCCGACTTGCCAGCCTACCTCAATTATGCTAGCCCAACCAAAAATATTCAAACCCAGTCCAGCTTAGCAGTTGTGCTCACCTAACCTATAGGCTTATAGGGCAAAATCAATGTTTACTGTTTATATTCCACTGAGATGTAATGGCTATTTCTGACATTGTTTATTGTGACATTATATAATTGACAGTATATGACTGTGACAATATATAATTGATGCGATAAGCCAATACATTTACCCTTTTTAGAATAAATTAGCTGGATGTGAGATTATGAAACAACTAAGTGAATCCAAACATAACCAGTTAGCGAGGCATTTCAATCATCTAGATGAGAGTTCATAGCCTGAAATACCATGGAATGCACAATTATTTAACATTATAAACAAATTAGAGAACCTAAAGTTGCTCTAAAAGAGTATTTTAAAAAACAACAAATGTGATGGGTGATGCACAAAACTTGTTATACAGTTGGATGCAGTCTGGGAGTAAGGGGATATTGTTAAAAATGATGCTAAGATTTCAATTTAGAAAAATTAGGAGTTTGATAACTAAAATGGGGAATAAAGAAGCAGAGCAGGGGACTGAGAAAACATGATCTAAGTGACAAACACAGAAGTTAGGGAAAGAGTGGAATTCAAATGTGTTAGCATTTAATGATTTCCATGGTTATGGAAAGATCAAGTATGATTGAGTCTAGAATGAAGGCATTGGTTTTGATAATTAGAACAGAGTGGTTGAATTTTCCATTGCAACTTCAGTGAAAACAGAGTGGAATGTATGAGAAAATACAATCTGCACCAATTATTAACCACTATTATTTATATTGTATATATCTGTTTTTAAGTATATATGTCTATATTTACTTTGAAAGGAAGGCATACATGTATATTTACTCATTGATGCACTCAACATTTACGTATTGCCTGCTTTTTGTCATGTTGATTGCCAGGGATATGGATAGTGTCTCTGCTGATATTCCTGTGAAGGAGATATTATGTAGACATATATATGAAATATGTAAAAATAAGATAGAAGAAAATATTTAATAACATAAAATATCATATCACAGAGAGAGAAATCATCAACTCTACCTTTCAGAAGGCTTCCTAAAAGACAACATATGAATTGGGTTTTGAAGCATGAATCTAAATTCTCCATTTGGATAAGCAAATATGTGACCATCTAGTCAAAGGAAACTGTTGCCTAAATGGTCATAGATTGTAAACTTGTACTGGGTATGATAATGACATTTCAACAACTTGATTCTGATGAAGCACAAAGTGTGCTGGGAAAGCTGTGATCATTGAGATTGGTGACGAAGGCAGAGGCCAAATCTGCCTTTGTCGCAGTCTCAATGACCACAAAGAGATTTGTGCATTCCTAAGGTTGAGATCTGCACTATAGAGAAGGCTAAGAGTTGAAGACACCTAAAGCAAGGGGGCCGCAGAGTCAGATTTTTGTTTGGAAAGGTAATTCAGAGGATAGTAGAGAATTGAAAAGAAGTAGGGAATGAGAAAAAGATGGTCAAGATAAAAGTCTTTCTAAATATCAGTGACTATTCCTACAAAATGCCATCAAGAATTTTTTGCGTATCAATGTATTAACCATATATGTCTTTACTTAATGCTTTATTTTATATCAATGTGCTTGAAAATTCAAGCTTATTCAGAACAAAACTAATTTCACTATCTTAAAACAGAGTAACTTTATTTTTATGATTTATTCTTACATGACATCTAAAATAATCTTCTGTACTACTAGTGCCAAGTAAACGACTTGGAAAACAGTGCCCTCTGTCATCCATGGTAAGAAAAAGGAGAAGATAGAGTTGAGAGACACAGAGAGAGATTCACCAAGGCCTGATAATTGATTGGGTGATGGTGGTAATGCTAACTTTACATTTAGACACTTCATATGTGCTGAACACAATTGTAAGCACTTCAATATGCTTACAATGAGAGCAGAGCGAGTTGTCTCATTTTTTATGGAATTATCTACAATTTACGAATGGGAAATGCAGCGTAGAGTCTAGTAGAATGGTTCTCAGGTTTCTCATCCCACTGGTTTTCTCTAAAGACTCATCTGGATAAAATAAAGGTTCCATAACATTGTGAATAAGCTAGCATTTATTGGGTGCTATAACTTACTAGTTATTGTAACGGGATTTTGATGGTGTTCGGTGATACTAAGTCCAGGAACAAAAAAAGAACCATAGTCTCCCCTGCTAATAAAAACTAACCTTGGCCTGGTGCGGTGGCTCACACCTATAATCCCAGCACTTTGGGAGGCTGAAGCAGGTGGATCACAAGGTCAGGAGATCGAGACCATCCTGGCTAACACGGTGAAACCCCATCTCTACTGAAAATACAAAAAATAGCCAGGCGTGGTGGCATGCACCTGTAGTCCCAGCTACTCGGGAGGCTGAGGCAGGAGAATCACTTGAACCCAGGAGGCAGAGGTTGTAGTAAGCAGAGATCACGCCATTGCACTCCAACCTGGGTGACAGAGCGAGACTCAGTCTCAAAAACAAACAAACAAAACTAACCTTTTGTCTCCCACTACGACATTAATATCCCTGTGGAATTATTATTAAAGAATGGTAGCAAACTTAGGTAAAGTGCCAATTGATTAAGAACTGAAGTTGTATTATTCCATATCCTAAAGAACTCTGGTGAAATTGAGTTGGAATGTACAGTGTGGACATTCTACCTTCTGCTCATTGATCCATATTGCTTTGTTTTTTTTTCCCAATTATTTGGTAAATATATATTAAAGACTGACTCTGTGACAAGTACTCTGGTTACAAGATCAAAGAAACACCTGTCGACCTTCATGGAATTTATATCCTACTGACGAAAGAGATAATTCACAAGTTAATTAGATATTCCATATGTTAGATGGCCATAAGTGGCTTGGGCAAATACATAAAGCAGTGACAAATGATAAGGAAAGCCAAAAGGCTCTGAATGCAGTTTATAATGGGATGGACAAGGAAAGGTCTCATTGAGAGCTTTGCAATTTTGACAAAGATCTGAAGGAAGTAAGACACAAGATAACCCAGGTAGAAGTATTCTATACAGAGGAAACAGCAACAGAAAAAAATCCCATATGTTTAAACAGGCATGGGGAAAATCCTCTCACCTGAGTAAGGTAGAGAGAGCTAGAACGCTCTGCAGGGTCTTAACCTCTCAGCTACAAAGAGGAAGTAGGAGAGAAAGAACCCAATAATAGCAACTACTTTTTAAGCCATAGTGACTCCATTGGCTAGTTATTGTGGTTTATAGTACATTCAAACTCTGATCAAGTGGATTAGCAACTAGTTCCTCCTTGAGGAAAAGCTAGAAATGAGTTTAACAGGAGCAGGTGTAGCATGAAAAAAGGGCAAAAATTGTTCTCTCCAGTGGCAGTCTTAGATGAAAGATAGGTGAATCGGGGATCTTCCTTCAGATAACTCCAGTTCATGCCAGATTGCATTTAAAAGATTGCTTTTCCAAACTGGCTTCCCTGTGTTATCATCATGTATGCATCCAAATCATTTCATTTATTGCTGAAATAAAGCCAATGCTATGCTTAAATTCAACAGCTGTTTTATAGTATATTATGGAATAACTAAAGATAGGAAGTTTAAACACCATAATAATGCAACTAACAATCACGTTTCCAGAGTTCTCTCACTTAAATGTAATCTTATTTTAATAAAGTAATTGAGTTTCAGTTTATAGAAATTCATACCTTATTTGAAAAGATTTTTATAACAGCATAAATATGCATATAACCAGTAAAGTTGCTCATAAGATGAGAACAACTTCCAAATATAGGATACTGTTGAAATGAACTTACTTCTTTCACTTGAAAGATTATTTCTAACATAAGAAGAAGGTGCTTATAAAAAATAAATCAAAAGTAGCTCAAACAGCAGCAAAATCCAATAAAAGAGACATTTGAATGACTTTTCAGTATTGGATTTACCAGAGCTAGAAAATTATAAACAGAGAAGACATAGATGTCATGAAGTTACACAAGACTCTGATGCCTTAAAAAGAGGCCAGGGGACATTTCCCTAGGTCTTTTTCTTGTGCCCAGTGAAACAACATGCATTGGACCTAAGTTCATAGTAAACTCTGGCAATAACTGTTGGATTATTTAAATGGTCCTAGAGTGGAAAGAAATCTGTCCTGTATTCTCACCTTTTCATGACAATCCTAGAGTAAAACTGGCTACAGTAATAGAGAAGGTTTGGGACATAATTAGTATCATCCATCCATACAAAAATACTCATCCCTCAAAGATGCAGATTTAGATTATTAAAGCTGATCTATATTCTCGCGGTAGATTTGGTAATGTCTTATTCAGTGGTCAGGGTAGGAATCTAACCTCAAGTTAAGTATTCTGTGGTATTTATTTAGCTCTAATTTCTTGAGCACTGACTATTTGCTACCCAAGGAACTAGACTGGGTAGAATAGAAGTTACAAATACAAATTTTACTTTCTAAAAGTCTGTGCTAAAACCATAATTGCACTATATTATGATATGATATATAATATGGTAAAGGCATGTCTAAATTGATATAGCAGCTCATAGAAGGAAGTGACTGTTCTCTCTGAGGAAGTTTAGGAGGGCTTCCCAGAGGTGTCGACAATTTAGTTGTATGGAAAATACGAATATAAGTTTACCATGTATAGAAGGAAGATATAGTAGCATTTGAGAAAGCGATATGCAAAGTTGTGACATGTAATGTTCGGTGAATGAAAATTAGTTCTGCATGATTATAGATAGAGGGGTTGGAGACAAAGGAGTTTAAATGGCTTTGAAACACCGTTGAGTATTTCAGATGAGATCCTCTAGAGAACTGCAAGCCATTGGAGGTTTTTAACTAAATTATTAAATTTTTAGGAAGATGAATTGTGAAACAATATAAAACAAATATTATCTATTATAAACACTTAAATGAGTAACATTAAATGGTTTAATAGAAAAATAAAGGCTATGTTTTTATACAGACATGTTCAAATACTATCACATCCATTTATCACCTTTAGTTTTTAGCCTCTTGAAGTCAGTTTTCTCTTCCCTTTATGAAATGATCACAATATATCTAACTTGCATGACAGCTAGTTCACACAACATTGGGCACAAAGGAGGTGTTCAATAAATATTGTATTACCAATGGGTTTTATTCACACAATTTTTATAAAGATAAAAAACATACATTTAAAAGTCCTAGTATAAATCCTGGCACATATTAAGCATGATGTTTCATTTCCCTTTCTTTTTAAATTTTTGACTGAAATAATTGGATTTTGATACTTATTTTTATAAGAAAAGGCAAAGAAAAATTACTCAGTTTGAAAATGCCATAAGGAAATCTAGGGGATTAAGCAGTGTGATTGAAAGAAAAAGACAATAATATAGTTATGTGATATCCATTCACATAAAAAGCAATAGCTTTCCAGTGGAATGCTGATCTATATAAATATATACACCTAAAGTATAGAATAATTTCAGTTATAGAGGATGGAAATGGTCTGTGAATGTGATCATGGAAAAACATATATGGTAGAGTGTTGAGAGTATTAAAAAAATTACAGAACAATATCTGTAGGCTGATTACATTTTTGAAAAGAAAGCATCAATTATATACATAGAATAGCATTTAAATGATATATGCCAAACTGTTAATATCATCTCTGTGATGATGTGCTGTTTTCAGTTTTACCGTGTACTGTTCTGCATTTCTTACATTTTTTTATATTCATAGGCATGTATTACATTTACACTGTAAATACAAAATGGTAACACACACACACATATACACCTCTCATCAAGCTCTTTATTTTTTGCTAAGCTAATACACAAAAGATAGCACTAAAGAACAAAACACCAGCTCCTTTTACCAAGGACCTAGCACACAAAAATGCAAAGGGAAAGTGGTAGCTTTGCCTTAATGAAGATAAAGCTGACAGTGAGAAAGTCCAGGGGAGGGTAATTGAAGAGATGTGCAGACATATGCCTCCACTCACTCATGGTTACTGACTACCAACGCTGCTGCTGTGTGTGGATGGCAGAGGCAATCTCTGAGGCTTGAAATTAAGTAAATAAAGATAAATTTCCCCTTTTATTACACATAGAATTAGAAGCAAAAAGGATGAGGGACCGTGGTGATAAATAGTGTAAAGCTAAACCTTAGCATATGGCACCTACAGCCACACAGGATATGTTTTTAAGAGACTCCAACCACAGTTAGAAACAAAAGTCTGAATCATTTTTAAATGACAAATTGAAGGTATAAGATTATGAAATTGATTAATATGGAGTCACAAAGAGACTCGTTCTAAATTGCACAAGAAAATTTGGCAATGTTAAGGGGAAAAAAATGCTATTTTTCATGTCCATGAAAACTCAGATTTTCTCTTTTAAACACTTTATGAGCATTTTGTATTTGTATATGTTATCTGCTTAATTTCAAGGCTGAGAGAGAACATTTGGAAAAACACAAACTAAAATTACCTGCTAATCCAATACATCATGTTGAGTTTCTTTTCTCCCTCAATTAAATCTTGTTTTTCCAAGATCAACCACAAAACCCTACCTGCCAAATCCTGCAGGCCCTATTTTGTTCTGTATTAAGTGTGTGTGCATATACCATAGGGTGATGAAATTTTGTTAAATGTGGCAAGAATAATTTAAAATCACTCTTTTCTCCACCTTATGGCTACAGATGCCACATTTTTTGTTCCTTGCTATCCAGAAATACTAATTTTCAATTTTTACTATGTTTTATATTTACACACAGACATATACACACATCACACATATACATCATCACAAGCATTTTCACAAGTAACCCTTAGCAATGTGACATATTTTAATAGCAGCAAAATATATCTGAGTTTATACTATATATTAAGCCATCCTAAAGTCAGATATTTAGGTTGTTTCAGGGTTTGAGTATTATAGAAATGCAATGATAAACATATTAGCACACTTTTTTCTCCGTATATATAATTCTATCCTTAGGCTAGATGAGTTAGCCTCCTCAGCCTTGCTCTCAAGAATCAATAATAGTACTTACGACAATAAATAAGTCTCTGATGCCACTCATCATAAACCAAACCACAGTCATCTGTGAGTGACAGGTTAACTCTAAATCAACACCTCTTCATTTGGAGTTTCCTCCTGTCTGAATTTTAATTTTGACCTCATACATGAAACCACTATTTGTTTTCACATTCCATAGAATCTGAATGCGTATTGTGTGCTGTTACTGATTGATCGTCATGTAGCAGTCTTAGTGTGCCTTCATTTCAATCTTCTGAAGTGTAATTATTTCAGTCAAGGTAGTCTAGGTTATGCCACAGTGATAAACAACACGAATATCCTAGTGTTTTTCAAGACAAAGGCTTATTTCTTTCACACCATTTTCCATTGCAGGTGGAGACGACATGAAAAAAAAAAAGCCATCTTCAGAGCTAAACACATGAAAATTGTAGCTCTTCTTACAAGCCAGAGCAGGAGAAAGTACCCCTATTATCCTATATCAAAAAACCAAAATATAAGAAGTCAGAAAACAAACTGCTAATGATGCTTCAATGACACTTAAAATTCTCATATGTTAAGAGCTTAAATTCAGGAAAATTCTCACATATTGCTGATCACAGCATAAATTCATGCACCCCCATTTTGAAGGCAATCTGGTTATATGTTAAAGAGCTTCAGAAATAATTATCTCCCTTGCTTTAACCCAGTCATTCTTTTTCTGGAGCTTTCAATAAATAAAGCCAGACCTATCTGTCTGGCTGATCTGTTTCAATGACATAGCTGAATTTTTTTTTCTTGCAAAGTTGGGAAAAAGTATTTTAAATTGTATGATTTAAATGCTGTCATATGGAGTATATGAAATTCATTTGGGGGCCCAGAGGACCCTCCAATTAACAGACAGTTACTTGTGATAGGTTGTGTTATGATTCACACATGTTCCTTGCTCTTCTCTCAGGGATAATTACATTCTGGCTCACTGACTCAGGACTGGCCCTGTGACTCACTCTCATCAATGAACTCTACACAGAAGTGACGTGTGTTGCCTCTGGGGAGCAGCTGTAAGTCCCTTCTGCAATGCTGACTGGCAGTGGTCCAGAGTGAGGCTGTTCCCTCAATCTGAGTAAGCAGAGCTTACTACTAAACTCCTAACCGTAGCCTACAAAGCTCTCCATTTATTATCTGGACCCTGTCTATCTCCAAACCTACTTCTAAGCCTCCTCTTCCACCACTCTCCAAATTCATCCAAACATGCAGACCTCCTTGTTGCCCTAGAGTTCTCCAAGCATGCACCACTTCATGTCCCTTATGCTTGCCCTTCCTCCCCATGGAGTATGGTGTTTTGTTTTTTTCCTTCTTGTGTTTTCTGTCTCTGCTCAGATATGATCTCATGAAGAGAAAGGTCTTCCTTGATCATAGATCTTATACCTCAGACTCTTCCTTGGATTGCTTTATCTCCCTACTTTTTTTTATTTTTTAAAACTGTTGTTTTTATTATTTTCAAGTTGTTTATTTATTGCCTAAGTCACCCACTACTGTGTTCTCAATGCTTAGGCAAGTACCTGACACATAACATCTGTTTAATAAATATGTCAAGTTAAATTAACAAATGTAGTTTAGAGCAGGGCCGAATTTCACATTCTTGAATAAACGGTTTGTTCTATTGCTACAAGGAATTTTCATAAATAGCAACAAGCGAAATAATTTAACTCCTTGAAATATATACTTAAAAATAAAGGAGACAGAACACAGATACAATAACATTACCATACCTTTCAAAATAGATATGTTAGATATTTCATCCTAAGATTATGAAACAATGAAAATAAAACATATCATGGTGGAGCAAGATGGAAAAATCTTGGTGAAGAGTATAAATTGGATGCACATCACTTAATAATGATCACCATGCCTAGTTCCTAACTTTTAATTAGCTTGTTGGTAAAATGAAGATATAGAAATATATTAGTCTGTTCTCACACTGCTATGAAGAACTGCCCAAGACTGGATAATTTATAAAACAAAGAGGTTTAATTGACTCACAGTTCTGCATGGCTGGGAGGCCTCAGGAAACTTACAATCATGGCAGAAGAGAAAGCAAACACATCCTTCTTCACATGATTTCAGGAAAGAGAAGAATGAGAGCCAAGCAAAGGGGGAAGGAAGCCCCCTATAAAACTGTAAGATCTTGTGAGAACTTACTATCACCAGTCTAGCATGGGGGAAACTGCCCCCATGATTCAATTATCTCCACCTGGTCCCACCCTTGACATGTGGGGATTATTACAATTCAAGATGAGATTTAGATGGGGACACAGATCCAAACCATATCGACAGATTATTGTGAGATTAAAAATCTATATTCATGGCCAGGCGCGGTGGCTCACACCAGTAATCCCAGCACTTTGGGAGGCCGAAGCAGGCAGATCACCTAAAGTCAGGAGTTCAAGAGCAGCCTGGCTAACATGGTGAAACCTCGTCTCTACTAAGCATACAAAAATCAGCAAGGCATAGTGGCGGGCACCTGTAATCCCAGCTACTCGGGAGGCTGAGGCAGGAGAATTCCTCGAACTTGGGAGGCGGAGGTTGCAGTGAGCCGAGATTGTGCCACTGCACTCCAGCCTGGATGACAATGTGAGACTCCATCTCAAAAAAAAAAAAAAAAAATCTATATTCACTTTTTTTTTATATAGTGTCTGCACATAGAACGTATTCAATAAGTATTGGTTCATTTCTTTACCTTGGCTTATTTATATTATCATTAATTTTAATATATTTTAAATTTTGAACATATAACACATCAATACTTAAAAGTAGATTACCTAATCATAAATATTTTCCAAATAGAAAGTCTATCTAATGATGAAAAAGCATTACGTTATACACTTTAACTTAAAAATTTAACCATTGTAAACTAAAATTCTCTTTCCTCATGAATATATGAAATTCATATAAATTTCTGTAGATTATTAGGCTTTAGTGAGATTTAAAAAATGTATAGCTTACTTTATTATAGGAACATAAGTATGTTTAATTTAAGTTGAAATGGTTGCTAGAAAATGTATTAAAAAATCACTCTACTTTTTTTCCCATATAAAACCCAACTCTCATAATTATCTAGCATATCATCAAATCACATGAGTGTTGCTTGAAATAGTCATGACCAGATGTTAAGTACAGTTTTGTCTTCATAATTTTAACAAGATATGGTTTAGTTTTTTTCTTGTCTTTTAAAGCTCACTGATTACACAATACATTCTCTCTCCACAAAGTATATAAAGTTTGTTCCAACAAAAGTATACAAAATAAAAAAGTAATATATATTTAAAATGAAATTTTAGGACTGCTATCTGCTGAAAACAGTAGAAAATGAAGGTAAGAGGAGAAATTTGGAGATAAAAATTTTTTTCAGTAAATATTCTTATACTCACTCTGAATCACTAGAAATGATATCTCTAATTGTCCCTTTATGTAGCCTGATCCTGTAATTCAAATAAAGTTCTATTGTCATTAAGTGGGTTAAATAATTGTATCAATACTCCATCTAAGGAAGTATACTACTACTTTACCTTTCCACCCTCACCATTTATGTTCTGCTACACAAGGAAAAGAAAACTATATGTCACATTTTCCTCCTTAAAATTATGAAGAATTCTGAATCTTTGGAAAGAATGGAAAAGAAAGTTTAAAGTTTTTCTTTACAAAAGTAAATATCCTTTAGCACAGAGTTAGCTGGTACTCCCCCAAATCCATTCTCTACTAATGTTAGTAATAGAATTCCAAATATTTAGCTGGGCACGTGAAGCCTAAGTCACCCTTTCAGCTAGGTTTGGCCATGTAACTAAGTTCATGGCCACGGGAACATAAGCAGGAGAGCCATGCCTGGGCTCTTGGGATATGTTCTTAAGGAAAGGCTGCACTTCCTTCTTTTCTCTCTCTGGTTGCTTGGAACACAGACTTGATAATGGGTCCTTAAGCACCCATTTTGTACATGAAATGGAGCTGAGTATTGGGAATAATTCAGCTGAGTATTGGGAATAATTCAGTAACAGACAGAATCTGAGTCCCCAGTGATTCCTGAAACTACCGTGTCAACTTGGGACTTCTACCTCTAGTTTGATTTTATATGAAGGAAAAATAAAATTATTATCTTGTATTTTTGTCAATTTAGCAAAACCTAATTCTAACTGATAAAACCACATTCATGAGACTTTCTTTCATATTAATAGCATACTTAATATATATTGCAAACAACAACTCATAAAGGCATAGATAGAATCCCTTAATATCACACAAATGATGTTAAATATTTAAGTGGAGGGAAATTACAGTGATTCAAACTACTGCTGATTAACTAAAAATCTAAAATTAAGATCAAACAAATCCAAGGTCATAACTATTTTAAGAGCTACTTATGTGTACCTTATTCTAAATTTTATTTCATGGGAGAGAAAGCAAAAATATCAATTCATGGTTCAGTGTGTGCACACTAGCAACACTTGATGTAGAAGCTGAAGCTCCCAGCAAGAGAGAACAGCTTGAGAACAATGTCTAAGTGGTTTTATGTGCAACAATGTCAAGCTGTAAGTGGGCTAAGCTCAGTTACAGAGCTGAAATCCTATTGCTTCAGGGAAAGTAGGTTCTCTAAGGTTATCCACTTAAAAACAGATGAAACAGATCTAGAGCAGTGTTTCATGCCCAGACAATAGGGCTGGTAGGAACTAAACTAGAAAGGCAGGACCCAGCCAGCCACTTGGTTGGGATAACGGCCAAGAGGAAGATAAAACTGAAGTCAAACTCAAAACCTAAGTAGGATTTAGCAAAGAATAGAGACAATAGGTAGAACTACATAAGAAAGAACACCATGACAAAACATTGACAAATCACCAAAACAGAACACCATGACAAACACCATTGAGGCCAATAAAACAAAGGGACAAATAAAAACAAACAGCAAAACAAAACATATGAGTATTCTTTCAAAGTAGGACCATGCAATCTCTTTGCTTAAAGCAGAACTAACAATTAGGGAAGAGGTGAGGGTGAGTTCTGAGGTCACTAAAAACCTGCGGTCTGCATCATGGCAGATGGAAAGCCACAGAAGGACTATAGTGTTGGCTGCCTTTTCCACTTGTGCCCTTGAAAGAGATCACTCCGACAGAACAGGTGAGAAGGGCTTGAGGAAAAACTAGTTTGGAGTCAGCTTTTTAGAACACTGAGGCAGTGGAGGGAAATAATGACAGTTTCTACCAGAGCGAATGAGGCAAACAGGAAGAGGAATGGTAACTTTGAGGGCATAATTAGAAGCACTTAATGAAGGCAAGATCAGAAGCACTTAGAGAGCTGAGCTGTGGGGCAGTGGCAGAACAATGGGATGAGCCAGGGCTCTGGCTTTGGTGGTTTTGCAGATGGTACTGCCAGAACTGGAATAGAAACTTGAAAATTTTAGAGAAAACCCAGTTTTAGGGGGAAATGACATGATAGGTGTTTGTAAGATGTAATTTGAAGTACCTATTGGACATCCAGGTGGGTAGATTCACAAAAATTTGTCTTTTTGAGTATACCTCAGAAGAGCATCCAGATACACTAAACTCCAGGCATGATGCTATAAGAGGGTTCCAAAAAATTTAGCTAAAATTTGGGCCATATTGCTATGATGTTACTCAAAACATGAAAGTCAAGATAATACAATTGTACATCATTGACGACATGCAGAAGTGATCAGGATATCTCATTTGCCAGCCCTCTCTCTTCCCCCAAACAGTACTATTTCGTAAAGGAGACTGCAGAGTTTCCACAGGGATCATTAGACTAAAGAGGGCTTTTGTTATATTTTTAGATATGTGAACATCTTGAGAATACTCATAATATTACAAGGTACACAGAGCTTGAAGATTCAAATTAATGAATTAAGGTGGCTGAGAAATATACAAATCACAAGCATGATATTGAGAACGATAAGAACTATTTACTAAGCCTGTAATCAAAATGTACAATCTGTATTTGGGAAACATCAAGTTAGAGTCTCAAACTAGTCTATTTAAGAACTCATCTCACAGGTTGCACAGCCACAGAACATCCCTAGTTCTGTAAAAGTAAGTGAAAGCAATTTTAAATCTGCAAACAAAGACAGTCGTCTAAAGCTGCTTAAAAAATAAAAATAAAATCACCTCTCTAGGGCAGGAACTCTTGCGGGTTTCTGAATTGGCAGGGTCATTTCCCCAGAGGTTGAAAAGAACGGACCTGCACTCATTCCATTTTATGCTACTGCTTGCTTGCTTGTGCTCTTGTTTGATTTGCATTTCAACTCCATTTCTGCCAACAAATGCAGCCCCAGGTTCTCCTTAGAATAACTTCTTCCCGGCCAGGCACGGAGTCAAATTACAAACTGAATTGGGGAAGGAGGCCAAACGAAGATCCACCTTGTCTTGCTCCTTATGTAGGAGTTTACTAGGGCTGCACCTGGGATTGGCTTTCTCTGCCAGGCCTTTTCTATTATCTAATTCAGCTGTAAGGTAAGTTGAGTCTCTCCTTTTCTCTGACAGTGTTTTAAATTTTTTAACTATTCATGCTTTTAAACTCTTCTAAAAGTATTGCAGATCCTTCAGGATTTCGATTAAACTTTAATATACATGAATATGATTAAAAATAAGTAAATAATAAAACTAAGGTTTTGAATGTAAAATAGAGTAGGTCTTGTTCCCAGGACTGGCTCTGCCTCCAGCTATGTGACCCTGGGCAAGTCATTATACTTTTCTGTTCGTGTGTGTGTGTTTGTGTGTGTGTTTGTGTGTGTGTGTTTGTGTGTGTGTGTTTGTGTGTGTGTGTGTGTGTGTGTAAAATGAAGAGGTGATTTTTAACAGGCCTTGGCAGTTGTCAAAGTCTCTGTAATATAGACTTGTAATGTAATGCAAAACGACCCTATGAAAAAGATGGTAATTTTCTTTGAAGGTGTTTCTCTCTTTCATAAAACACCTTCTGGTATCAGCAATAAAGGGCAGGGACCATTACTGCTTTTCTTTGTTTCAGAATAAATTTTGAACTTTTTCCCAACGAAGTCCCTTAGAATTTTTAGCAATACACATTTCTCTGCAGTTCTATTTCTGTCTCACAAGCCTGTTGCTTTTCTTTTTCAATAGCTACACTCCCTTCCCCCATTAAAGATAAATAAATCTCCTCTGCTAAACTGGCCTTTCCCTGCTAACTTTCAACTTCATGGTAAGAAGCAACTCGCCTGTTAGCCAGGTGTATTTAGAGATGAGGAGGCCATGTTCCTTTAGTTGACATCTCAAAGAGCTTTGGGCAAGGCCTGTGTGAAAAGCAGTTTGACCTCTGAATAACTTCTTGCTCATATCCTACCCAGATGATAGCAATGTTTTCTTGTTTAAATAAGTGTTTTCCCTCCCTCCTACTTTCCTGGAAAATAATTAAATCAAATGTCCACGACACAGTATAAAACAAAGGGCCAGGTGGAATTAATATTGAAAATCCACCCCTAAATGTATTCTAATTATGAATTATTTGAACACTTCCTTTTCTCTAAAACGGATGTAGTTTTAGAACCTGCCTATGTAAAGTTGTAATGGTGATTAAATGAGATAAAACAGAGCCTGGAAAACAGCACTGAATAAGCATTATCTATTGTTATTTGATCATCTTCAGATGTAATTAAAAGCTTACGATGAAACATTTGTCAATTTCATGCTAACTAGAGAAATCTTTGTAATTTCATGTGTAAAATGTGCTAGTGTTTTCACCATTTGAGAAACTATGTTATTCCCTTGATAATAAATACACAGACCTCTTGAATCTATTAAGTGTGATAAGACACTTGGGAAAGTAAGAAAGAAGGGGCAAGACTTAAAAGATTAGGAATCTGGAAAAATTCAACAAAGAAAGAGGAAAGATAAAAGAGAGAAACACTAAATATGATTAAATAATTATGTCATAATGGAAGTGTTCATAAAATAGAAAAAAATAATATTCCAATAGGCAGGATTTGAGATTACCACAATGTTGAAAGATTAAGGAAGGATGAACTGAAAAGCACAGTAAAATCTTGCTATATACTCCAGAAGCTATTTGCACTTCTCAGTTAACACTTTCAGATTCTTGGTTGATGCCTGTTTCCCAAACTTGCTTGTATTTATAAGAAGGGTAGGGGTCAAGGTTTATTTATTCACCATGGTATCCCCAGCACTCAGTACTATCATAGTAAATGCTCAATAAACATGTGCTGATTTAAAACAGAAGTGTATGACAGAAGCCAGTGGAAACCACCTCCCCAACACTACTGCCAAAGGAATTTGGAGATGCTATTACTAAAAGAGTAAACAAAAGAGATTATAATGCTATCGTATTTTTGAATTGAAAGAAAACAAGACAAAAACTGTGAACATAATTTCTGACACATTCATTTTAAAAATATTTATCATGTAGTACCTAGCCTAGCCCATGTTCTCCTGGAGCTTAGAATCTAGTAGTAGAGACAATATTCATATCTGTGTATGCAAACGACAATTTAATTAATTGAGGTAAGTGTCCCGAAATAGAAGTGTGTCATCCTGTGCAATGTGTAACTGGATCAGGAAGGTGGGTGGGGGGATGATTGGTGATATTTAAGCTGAATGATGAAGTAGGCATTAGTCAGGCAAAAGCTGGTGGGTGGGGGGATAATTCCAGGCAGAAAGAACAGCATATGCAAAGGTTTTGAGGCAGGAAAGAGCTTCCTGGCCTACTCCCAGAACTGAAAGATACTAGTGTAGCTAGAATATAGTGGACAAAAGGAAAAGAGGTGAGTGAGGAGTTGAACCATCAGGGATAGTTCATCTGTTGGTCAGCTGATAGGAAATCATTGAGAATATTCAAACAGGAGAATAATACAGAGTTACATTTTAAAATGTGTATTCTAGCTAGATGTGGTGGTGCATGCCTAGAGTCCCATCTGCTTGGGAAGCTGAGGTGAGAGGATTGCTTGAACCCAGGAGTTCAATATGGTATTGAGCCATGATGGCACCACTGCACTCCAGCCTGGGCCACAGAAGAGACCCTGTCTAAGAAAAAAATAAATAAATAAAAATAAAAAATAAAAAAAGGATAGAAGGTGGAGAGTAAACGTGGAGAAACACATTTTTGAGGTTACTACAGTAATGAACACAGTTTTGAGATTACTATAGTAATGAAAGTGGAAGAAAATTGTGCCTTGGGCTAAAGTGGAGCCACTGGAGACAGAGACATGTGAGTGATTTAAGATGTATTTAGAAGGTAAAACTTTGGCTGAATGGAGAAAGAAGGACACAAATAGGTTAAAAATGACTTTCTGGATCCTAGCTTGAGCAAGCCCGATGGATGTTCCTTTTATTGAGAAGAAGATTGAAGGGCAAGGAGAGATTGGGGTTCAGTTTTAGAAATGTTCAGTTTAGATGCTGAGAGCACATCCAAGCAGTGACGTTAAGTGCACAGATGAGCCTTTGCTTTTATCTCCACCTGCTTCAGTGCTATCCCATTGAGCTGCTTTGCTGAGATCCAGCCAACCTCCCCTGTAAAGTCATGGTGGTGGAAAGATGCTAAAGCATTTGAAGCTGAGAAGGGAGTTGTGATATTTTAGAGAGCAATTTTAATAAGTACTAGAGCCCTAATTACAGCTTGGTAACTATAGTTAAGAAGATGTTGTAGACTTGAAATTTGTTGAGAGTAAAAATGAAGTGTTCTCATCTCACACATACACGGTAACTGTGAGGTGATGAATATATTAATTAATTTGATTGTGGTAATCATTTTGCAATGTGTACATATATCAAACATCATGTTTTACACCTTAAATATATACAATTTTTATTTGTCAATCATACCTCAATAAGGCTGATAAAAAAGACATTACTGAGGAAGTTTAGAAGTAAAAAGAACAAGAATAAAAATGGGACATTGTGAATGTGGAAGAACTGCATTCTCTGTGCTTGTTAATTTTGGGATGACTCATTGTATTTGGTTTGTAAGTGGATTTTGGAAATACAAGTGATTGTAATTAAGAGGAAAGAGGCTAATAAAGAAGAATAATGCTTTAGATCTTTTTGTTGACCTCACTTCTAAGGACATGTAAATGCCTTCAGAAAACTTCTCCCAGCTCCCCTCAACTTCTTTTTTAATCTTTTTTTTTCCTTTTTCTTCTTTCATTTTTATTTTCTTTCATAATCTTTACGTGTCTTTCTTTTCCTTGGTGCCCTGTTTCTAGAGCTGGAAATTTAGGCAGAGGAGGGGATGTTGTAAACACTAGAAAGATTTTAAAAAACAGGCAATTTTTTTAGCTTTAGTACTGTTAAAATAGGACTACCTTCACAGTTTTGTGTAATCAATTTTGGTTCTGTATTATTGATAGGAAAGTTCCTATAGATGGTACGTATATGTCAAGAAAAATGTGCATCAACTCCTCCTGTCTGAATTTTACTCAAAGTAAGTAGAAAAGAGTAAATCATGTAAAAAAGAAGTTTGATCTGGGAAAATTTTCTGTGAGATGCTTTTGTAGAGAAAACATATTGTACATTATAAAGACATAGAAATCTCAAACCATGTAGTAATAACTGCCTCTCATTTAGAAAGTAAATTTGGAAATCAAGTTTTTCCGGACTGCATTTATCAGAACTCTAGTGTCTTAAGACGAAATGAAATATTGGCTCTGTAATTGTAAGGGGGTTCTGTAATACAGTAAATCTGAAGAATGTCCTCTACCATACTCTCTCATGGAGCTTCAAGACACATATGAGCATCTAAAGGCTCTTAACTATCCCACAGCAAAGTGGCCTGTATAAAGCATCCCAGCATCTCCAAAGCTTACTTAAGCCTTGAACATTTTGTTCTTCTCAGTATAGCTTTTAAGGATCCTGCAAAAGACCAGTTTGGTTAAAGCTTATGAAAGTCATTAAAGAAATATTTCCTTCTTTAGAAAACGTTTGTAGTTAGAGATTCTGTTCTTCTTGTTCATTCACATATTCTGCAACCTTCACTATTGGGAAGTACTGCCTGGTACCTAAACTATCTGATTGAAATGTCAATCTTATTTTTCACAAATTCTTACTTTTTTAACCAAAAGGACCTGAGCATTTCCTCTCAGAAAGACTTTTTGGACAACTGAAGAAACATATTTAATCATATTTGCACCTTCTCTTCTCTAATCTAGATATCTTTAATCACTTATTTCATTAAGTCAATTTTCCACGTGTTACATTACTCATTATTTTTAATAGGATATAAATTCTTTGTTTTACGGCACAACAATATATTTTGAGCTATTACTACATTTAGGTTTTAATTCATCTAAAAAGTCAGAAACTTGAAAACCTCACACTTTTGTAAAGCTTTAAAACTACATGAAAAATAATTAATATGAAAATCCATCTGCCTTTGGTTCACCTCATTTCCTTGCAACATGCTACGCATGTTCATTTCTCTCAGTTAAGAAAACTCATCAAATGAAAACCTCTTGTTCCTTAAGTAATGATACTGTGAAACTTCTCAATGCACAACAGATTGGATATTTGCACGTATATAATGAGTGGACTATTGTGGACTCAGGATATTTTTGCAATAATTTATCCTTTAACTTTATCCTCCAATGTTATGACATCAACCTTTCATGGAAGAATCTTTTTTCCAGATGGGAAAAAGTATTCACTAGCATAATCTAAACTCTATTAGTTTGATAAAACAATATATTTATCCATAAGCAAATTGAAATTTAATTTTTTATTTCTATTTTTAATAACCGCATTGCAAATATAAATGTATAAACTCTCTAAAGTTAATAATTTCTCTTTTCCAGCTGCATTGTCTATTGTATAAATACAATAAAATATTTTAAAATAGCCCCACTTACTAATTCAAATCTAAATAATGCAACTAAATATAAAATCTTAAAATTCTTAATCCTCATTGAGAGTTGCATAATTTTTACAAAAATCCCAAATGTCTTGTTAACATTGATAAGGCTTCAAGAAGAGGGTGAATTATAGAATATTAATAATTATAAAATGTATATTGGATACCATAATATGTGAAGCACTGTACAAAATAGTGTGCAAATATTACTAATATGACAATGCTAAATGTCTTCAAGGAGCTCAAACTCACTGGAGGTGATTGCACATTGAAACAAAGCAGAATAGCTGGGCGTGGTGGCTCATGCCTGTAATCTCAGCACTTTGGGAGGACAAGGTGGGTAGATCACAAGGTCAGGAGTTCAAGACCAGCCTGGCCAAGATGGTGAAACACCGTCTCTACTAAAAATGCAAAAATTAGCCGGGCATGGCGGCATGCATCTGTAATCCCAGCTACTCAGGTAGTTGATGAAGGAATTGCCTAAACCCAGGAAGTGGAGGTTGCAGTGAGCCGAGATCATGCCACTGCACTCCAGCCTGGGCAACAGAGCGAGACTCCATCTCAAAAAAAAAAAAAATTAAAAAAACAAAGCAGAATAAATCGAAACTGATCTAATTCAGTCATACACACACTATTGTAACAAATGAAAAGAAAGCATCAACAATTCACAATTGTCAAATCTTGGAAACAACCCAAATGCCCATCAATGAGTAGATGAAGAAACTGTGATGTGTGTATGTATATAGATGGAATACTATATCTATACATATGGTATACATATATATGGTGAGAGAGATATATATGTGTGTATATGTATATATTTATATATACATATATAGATATGTATATATGAATGATGGAATACTACACAGCCATAAAAAGGAATGAATGAACAGCATTTGCAGTGACCTGGGTGAATTTGGAGACTATTATTCTAAGTGAAGTAGCTCAGGAATGGAAAATCAAACATCGTATGTTCTCACCAATATGTGGATGCTAAGCTATGAGGACGCAAAGGCATAAGAATGATGCAATGGACTTTGGGGGCTTGGGGGGAAGAGTGGGAGGGTGGTGAGGGATAAAAGACTATAAATATGGTGCAGTGTATACTGCTCAGGTGATGAGTGCACCAAAATTTTGCAAATCACCACTAAAGAACTTACTCATTTAACCAAATACCACCTGTACCCCAATAACTTGTGGGAAAAAATAATAATAAAATAATAAAACATTTATATATATATATATATATATATATATATATATAAGAAAGCGTAAGCAGCCACTGCGGCAAGCTGAGGAAATGATGATTTTTTGGATAGGGATGTTGAGGATGGAATCACATAGGAAACCCAGTGACATATGAAGGTTTTTAAATGTTGAAGAAAAGCATGATGTTCATGGGGACTGTTTGAACACAGACATGAAGTTTAAATATGAAGACATGTTCAAAAATGATGAAAATAAAATAATGTTAAGTAGTATTTGAGTGGGATGAGGGTCTGAAGTTGGCTTGGAGTTAGATTGTATGTCAGATTGATAAGTTTTTTGTTTTCATTGGTGCTTTTTTGATGTTATTATTTACTTTTAAAATCCATAAATAAACATATAACCTATGATCCCATACTTCTTTTGAATTATATAAAATAAAATTAAGTTTCTTTCCTTTGCCAGGTATTTTCTGTCTTGCTTAGCTGTTCTTTAGGCAATAATATATTCTTCATAATACTGTAAACTCTTCGCCAATTACTAGAAGTATTCCTTTCATCGTACTTTTAATTCTTGGCTTTTAAAAATAACACGTGCAATCGAGATATTTGTAAATATAAGGGACAAAAGAAAACTATAGAGTGCCAAGAATAAACCTTTTAATGTGAATTATACATGAGAGGCTTGTAATTTGGTGAAAGTGATGTAGAAAACTTTTTAAGGATTGTATAGGTTAAGGATGGCCCCTGTGTAGGAGAATAATAAAATAGAATGGCAATTGAACTCCGGGACTAAAACACAGAGGAAATGCAGACCAAGATGATTCTATTCAGGACACTGACAAATGGTAACTATTTAGAGCATCACAATTTATAAGAGTAAATAAATAAGAAACCAACAAAAATATTTTCTAAGTATTATTTATCAGACCCCAGGTATTTAAACAATTCACTCCCTAAATTTTACTGAGGACCCTGTTCAAATATCTCTTAAAGAAGATTTGCTGGACTATTCTATTTAAATAGCAGAATATAGGTTTAGAATGGAATGGGATTCTAGAAAAGAGAGAAAAAAAGGTCAAAATTTAGAGAAATCAAAAGTTAATATATTTGAAATATTCTTACTGCCACCATAAATGGATAAGTATATATTCTGCTTTAATCACAATCACTTAAAAGATTAGGTATTTTAATATGGGCTATAGAATTAGATACATTAGTCATCACTTGAGATCACTAGCTATGCCAGAATAAATTAGTACAGCAACCTTTTGGGGGAAAAAGGCAGTAAAATACAATTTGAAATAATCAGTGGTGTTATAGAGCTCTCTTTGCTTAGATCATTGAGGACTAGTTCTTCCAATTTGAATTAAATGAATCCATTGGATTCTTATTTATTCTTAACTGAATGCACACTTTAAAGAGATACCCAAAGTGATTCATTAAATAATTTAAAATCACCTTTGTATTATATAGTGGCATGAGAAAGGAAATTAGGTGAAAATTCATGGGAATATTTTGTATATATTGGCAAATAACAACATAGCACCATTCTAGCAAATATGAAGAATAAACAAATAGTTACATTTTACGGTGGGAGAAACTAAAGTACATAGAGATTAATGGTTTACTGAAGACCAACTATATTGCTGTGGATATTAGTTGGAATAAAATAATGATTTTTGTCTTAGTTCTATAAACAAGTTGTATTATAGTTTTTGCAAGAACGTGTATGTAATTTTTGTCAGTGAAGTCAACATTGCTATTTTCTGCATTTAGGCCCTAAGACAGATATAAATATGTACATGTAAATAATCATAACAGAGAAAATAAGCATTTTGATAAAATATTTTATTAATAATAATAATATAATCATGGTTATAAAAATAACAACTTTATTAACTACAGAAAGTTTATAATACAAGTCATAACCACAGTGTTCCCTTTTTTGGGTAAGCATACAGCTATACCACTCAATAGGCAGCTTATTAATTTCCTATTTACATACAAGACAAACAGTCATAGCATCCACAGTATTTCATTTTCAGTTTCCTAAAGACAGAAACTTTCTGTGCAAATGGAAATGAACCTACTTAAAAGTTACACTGTCAAGATATATATGGTCCAAAAAATTTTAACTTTTTTTGTATTAGTAAATTCTTAGCTCCAACCTTAGTTGAATGTTGAATGATAACTTCTTTTTGGACTTTATCATGACAAGTGATTTATTTTAAAATTATGTATTTTAAAAACAAAGGCCATGTACTTTTACCAAAATTAGTTTTATTTTTTAAATGAGTTTGCCTATATGTATGGGATGTAATTAATTATAATAGTATTTTTTGAATCTCAATAAATTGATTTAAGGCTTTTTAGTATAAGATCTTATTAAAATTCTTTACCACATGATCTCTATATTGCAAAACCAGTATTTCTTTTAAAAAAGTTTAAAAACAACAATGAAATGCCTGACAGCAATTTCCCACTTCTTGACAGTGTTCTTTTCAAGAGAATGTTGTGGCTATAACATTCACTTTGTACAGTACCATTGGTACCAACAAGAAATATTCACAGGAATAAGTGAAATACAATTTTGCTATCACATGCCATTATTGTTAATTTTCTTGCCTTCCAGTGTCTCACACTTCCCATAATTTGAAACACTTAGATAGCAAGCAAAAGCCTGTTAATACTAGAAATTGACTCAATAGATTTTACTGAGGACCTGCCCACAGCATATAGGTAAAAGTCATTACACATTTTACAATAAAATTAAAGAAGTATACAAAAGGATTATCATTCCTTCTGCACGGCAGAGGCATTATGAAAAATATTTTAGTTTTACACTTCAATTCCTGGTAGACGTGAGAAAATGTCTACAATTATAACAGTACATAACCATTATTCAAACAGCCAAACCAAAAATTGCATTGAAACCTTCTGATTTAAAAGATCCTTTTGTCAATGACACAAAATAAAGTGGATTGTTGGATTTTTAAAAATGTTTAATGATTTATTCAGCAAAGAACACCTGGTAAATAGTGTCTTCCACCAGCAAATAATGACATGACTCTACCCTGTTCTACCACCTAAAATAACATGGACCTTGTTCATCTAAGTTTCATTGTCAATTCCACCCATGTCCCTCTATCACGAAAGGAGCCTCCCAAAGAGAGAATTACTTTGTACGGTTTGTTTGATGATTTATTGGTGGTATTGTTTTTAGCCTTTAATAAAATGAAAAATACTAGCCTCAAAATGTCTAAATACTTAGCTGTATCTTGTATCTAGCTAATCTTTATCTGTATTTCCAGGAAATTTAGAGGAAGAGTCATTAAAGAAGTATTTTTAAAATGTGAGTATTTAAAATTATGACAATTTTTATAAAAGTTTTACAAATATCATTAATATGCAATAATAAAATTTCACTGGTTCAGCCAGAAGAAACTATGAAATATACTTTATATTTTGGCAATATGCTCTTGAAATTTCTAGGAGTTCTTACTAAAATGGTGTATTATATAAGGAAAATAGAAATACCATCAGATAAGATGATAGAGACCAGCAACTAGTTGGATGTCTTTTTGCTTCCACTTTAAGTTTCTTGATGCCAGCACATATCTTATTATGAAAAAAAAATTGTATAAGCATTTCTGGACTCGCCGCCCTATATTCTGTGGACTAAGCTCTCCATAAACTTAAAACCATTTTAGTCCAGATTGAACAGTACTCTAAAGAGCTGGTAGGGAATTGTTTGGGGACTTGGCCTTGATAAAAATCACTCAAGAAAACTAAGTCAGAGAAATGGGACTACTGGATTCACACCATTCAAAAAATTATTTTTAAAGGTGTTTTGTACAGGAAGATTTCTGCAAAAATTCAAAGCCTATCCTATTACTTTTTGTTATTCTATTTCTCAACAAATACATGATCTTTAGCTAAGCATGACAAATACAATGATAAATATGATAATTTGGCTGTTATACAGAACACAAAATTTAAATGTCTGTTACATATGGCATTAGGAGTGAACTTTGTAAAATGAAATAAGAAAAAATAAACATATCTTGATAAAATATCTGATTCAACAGATTCCACTCTACTTCAAAAAAAAAATAAATGAATACAGAGTTGAGACAAACTAGTTTCTTTCCTTTTACAAGTTGTCTTTTACTTCAAAAAAGCTTTATTAGGCTAAAATCTTCCAGGTTGAGAAAAGTATTTTTATTTTTTTCTCCAATATATACTTTAATGCATGACTTGATGAAGGGTATTTATAAAACTTTGGAGACTTGGAAATTTTCCTCTTAAATTTTTTAAAATTTAAAGGCAGTGAGCTAGAAGCCAATCACAGCAGCAAGGCTTAGATTTAACCTATTTAAGTACATTTTTAATGACCAAAACACTTTTAAACTTCTTCAATTAGATACTGATCTGAGCACTTAAGAAATGCTTTAGGAAAATAGATCTACAAATATCTTGTGTAAATAAGTGGCCTTAAGTTTGGAGGAAACAAATTACACAAATAGAACTATTACCCTCTTTCCTTTAAGAATTAGAAACTACATGAAATAACTAGGATAATGAATACATGTAAACACCTAGATTAGGTGTTATTTAACTCTGGGTGATGGCCACACCTGAAATGCCAACCAAAGAAGATCATCTGCAGATTATGTATGGAGAATTAGCTAATCATTTTGATCTTGCATCATTTTTTAATATTTCTACTGGTCTTTAGAGATTTCTGGTTTTTTTGAGGTAAAACTATAGGTACATACTTCTAAAATATTTAGGGGTTACATTAGGTACACCATAATTTAAACTGTAGTGCATGCACATGTGTACCTAGGCATGTGTACATGGGTATGTGGTTTTGTAAAAAGTGTGTTCGTGTACCAGTATTGCAGGATACATGGTGAAGAGAAATGAATGAACTATAACATATAGCATATGAAATGTAATATAATTTAATATAGGGCTACAATTTAGGGACACAAGGTATAAATTGTTTTGGTGAGGTTAAAATAACATTTAATTTGTGGTTTACTCATTATTAAGAAACCAACATCAGAAAGCAGCTTAGACAGATTAATTGATTTTTTTTCCCATGAAATCTTTATCATCCAGCAAATATACCTGTGTGTTTTTTTAATCCATTCAAGTATCTTCAGGAGATATGTTATTACACTTGCATGTACCTTAATTCACTTCAACATTGACAAAATAACACTGACAAACAAAACAACAGAAAACACCCATAAACATTAATGAGAATTTCAACAAACATGACTCTCCAGTAGTTGTCTTAGGATTGTTGTAAGTGACATTTTAAATTCCACATTCTCTGAAATCTTCATGTAAAAGACAGTTGTATTGGTGGGTGCTTCAGACACACTTACTTCAGCTATGACTGTGGTACCTTATATGTTAAAATAATTTTGTGTATCCATTTTGCATAATATGCTACTCGGACAAAAATACCAGGACGATTTGGAATGGCACATCCACGACCAGGAACAATGACACCAAGAACCATTCTCATTTTATGTTGCTCACAAACAAGTGGGCCACCATAATCCCCCTAGGAGTAAGACATACAAAAACAAAGTATTATTAGGAATTAAAAAAAAGCTCATTAACATAATCATATATAGATTTGCATCTCAGAGATATATACAGAAAAAGAGAATAACTGCAACTGAAATATGAAGATATAAAAATTAGTGTACTAGACATTTGTTGACTTTCTACTGAATTAGCCAAGACTGAGATAAGTACAAAGTTTAAAGTGTTCTATTATGTGTGGTATTCTCCTAAAAATGACTTGCCTTTTCCAAAAGAGTCAACCATCCTTTTAAGTGTGCTTTGCCTTTGTTGGATGCAGACTAACATATAACCATCGGTGCCTATTTAATAAGGTAGATTTGATATTTATTTTGATCTTCTTATGTTCAATATAGGAAATTTGGAACATGTAGAAAAATACAAGTATAAAAGAAAATAACTTGTAATCATATAGTTTTAACAATTAAACTGCATTATATTTTTTCTTATTTCTAAAGCTTTTTTTTTTTGCCTCTCCCAATCCTGCCCTACATGATCTTAACAAGTTAAATAAAAAACTTGTTGTCAACAAAATAATTCTGTTAATTGAAATTGCTTTTCCAGGCAAGGAATATTCCTCCAGTTACTGCTGGTATTAGTAGTTAATATAGTTATAGTTATATTTTATACCCTCCTTTCTGTAGCGTGTCCTGTGATTTCATGGCATTTCTTATATGGTAAGCCTGTTGCATCATCAGATAGAGGAAAGATGAACAGATAGCTTTATTTGTGTTGTGTATATATACATGCATATATTCATTTATGGTTTTATTTATTCATATAAATATAATTATATAAAAATATATAATAAGTAAATATAAATAAACAATGCACATAGTGTTATATGTAACAACTACAACTGTGCTGCACCACTTTCATGAACCATGTAGCCTCCTTAGAATGCAGTGGCTGGCTTTTGGTATCTTTATATGCAGAAGAGTGTTTGGAACTACCTTAATTTTCCCTAAACAGCGATGGGGGAAACCACTGCAAAATTAACTTATGTGATTCAAATGGAAAGAAGAGAGCCATTGGCATTCTGTGATGGGGAAAACCAAGTTAGGGGTAAAGTAGAATTTCACACAGTAAAGAAAAATAGTTTATTCCAAGAGACTATATAAACTATGCCAGTTGAGGAAAGAAAACTGATTTTTAAACAAATGTACTAGTGATTACTGAGACAAACTCCTCAAAGTAATTCACTCTGGAGACTTTCACTAAATATGATGTTACTGCTATTATACAAACATTTGGGAGATATCTCCTTCAAATTTATTTCAGTGGCTAAATTACCTTGATTTAAATGTCAGTGACATATATATTTTTAAAAACATTCTGGAGGATAAATACATTTTTGAGAAGTGGCGGAATCTACTTGAGGTCAAGTCTTATCAATAAAGTTAAAAACAACATATATAGTATACAGATATGAATAATTCAAACTGAAGAGGGAAGTGAAAAATATATAGGTGATAATCCAAATTAAAGGCTATTCTTCAAAAGCAGTTGTCAAATTGGTTTTGGTAATGACAATAATTAGATGATCTGTAAGGTTGGGTCTAGTTAGAAACTTCTGTGTTTCCCGGATGCTTATTGCTTTTTCTTTTTAAAGTATAGTCATTTATTTCTCCTAGTAAATGTTCCCTTGTTATAATGAACAATGGTTTCATTGTTCATGATTTACTAGAAAGGCAACAAATTTGAAACTGGTTATAAACATATAATCTGTTTCTAACCATATCATTTTTAAGCAGTTCTAAAAACTCAGTAAACAGTAAACATTTTCTCTTCTTTTCAGAAATAAAATCTCAGAGCAAGGTGTATAACACTTGCATTTCAATACATATTTATGTTCCATACTTACAGCATGCATTTTCCTACATATCAAAGGACATTTCACTATCATTGAACTCATTTCATCTTTTGCCACACACAGCATTCCACAATCCCACAGCCCTGAAGCTTGGAGAACATGTCTCTCACATTCAAAATCTAACTAAACTAACAGTTTAACAGCTTGTCTATGTAAAATAGGGATAGGAACATTGCCAAGCCGAAATAACAGTTGCCTCACAAATGAAATGTCCAAGCTCGTAAAGTCACAAACTTTGACCTTTAGGCTTTTTAAAATAGAATCTGTTTAAACACATACACAGAGCGAGAGAGCAAAAGAGGGAACAGCTTACCCAAAAAGAGATTTAAAAGTTTAAAGCCAGGCATCTCTGAATGATATAATTAGTGGAGTTCACTTCGAGATAATTTGGGAAGATAAAATAAATTTAGAAAAACATTAGAAAAATGCAAACCATTGATCTAACTGATTTGGATACTTCTCATTTGAATAGCTCTCCCTTGGAGTTCCGGCTCTACACACTTATTATTTTTTGAGTGACAAATGTCATCATAGTTTGCTGCTAATAAAACATTGATTATCTCACTGCTTAGTTGAAAGAAATGCAGAATATTACAGAGTTAATTTTCCCAATTCCTCTTTCCTAGAATAGGTTGGTATACAATATTTTTGATTTGAGAAAAATAAACAGAAAAAAATAAACATGAAACACTAAGCTATGAATCACATACTCCTTATTAAAGAACTTCCTTTTTACCTCACATGGTCCTGATCCAATCTTTTCAGCCCCAGCACATATTTCAGACTCATTCAGAGTCACCTTCCCTCGATGATGCTGGCTGCATTTCTCATTTCCCATTATATAGAGATGTGCCACTCGTAATAGGCCATCATAGTTGATCACTAGATTGATGCAAAAAACATACAATAAGGTGAGAAAAGTAAGAAACAAAGACAAATGTGTTCTTTTTAAAATAAAATAAATATGGCCTCATCTTTTGAAAACTAGCTTACATCCAGTGTAGCCCCAGCCATAAACACTGCAACTGGTCTTTTCAGGAATTGTGCATCCATAATTAGGTAAATCAATCGTACTAACAAAATCATCCAGGACAGCAGGCCTGAAAACACAAAATACAATGGTAAGTACTCTCAACTGGATTCAACACAAAATTAACATATTAAATGTAGTGTTCATGTTTAATATGGCATTTACAGAGAATGAAGTCCTGTTTCTTAAAAAAAAAAAAAAAAAGGTGGGAATGTCCAAATGTAATGATGACATTTGGAATAGGTAGTAAAGAAATGAGTCATGTATTTGCCAATATTTAAGAATAAATGGTCAATGCTATTTTTTAAAATAATTATTTTACATTTGAAAGTTATCAAATAACTGCTGAGTTTCCATTTTAAAACAGACTGATCAGACTGTTGGCCCAATGTTAGTTATTCATTTTTTTACAGTTTTGCAAATACCTTTCTCTCTATACTCACAGAGAGACCCAAACGCACGCATATATACATATATATACAGCATGTAACATATGTTTATAATGCATCTGTATGAGAGAGAACGAACTGCCACACAGCTGAAGAAAATGCTCCAACAATTCTTGTCCAGGTGAAAAATACAAAATCTTCTAAAGTAACTAACCTGGCAAGCTTCATTAAAACCAGATCTGATCCTTCAGGGCCATATACCAGCTGGGAAACATTGAGAACCTGTTTGCATTTCTCATCTCCTCTTCCGTGGACATCATGAATTCCAAGCCAAGCTTCATAATCTTTCAAGTCTCTGTTTTGAAGGAAAAAAATTTAAATGTAAAACATAATAATTCCAAATTCTGTAGTATTATTCCTATCTATTGTTATTTTAGACTATTAAGGCACATAACCTAAATTTAAAATTTGATTCATAGTATAATAAAGAACAACACATTTGTTATGGCAGATTCTGAATACTACAAACATACATAAGCAGAAAGAGGCTTTAAATTGCTGAGATTCTAAATGACTATTTTAGAAACTTGCTTATGCTTGCTAGAAGTCACTTGTGAAAAATGCTCAGGTAAAGCACTTTACATGAATTATAATTTTTTCTGCAAATTTTGCTTTGTTTATGTCAGCTGTGTATATATTTGGTTTGGTAACAGGGGTTGAAGTTTTCTACAAACAAAATCAAAGTGACCTTGCTGAGAAGCAGGAAGGAAGTTTACAAATGCTGCCTCTTTATCTTTTCCTTAGGCTAATTTTCATTGAAAATTATGCCCAGGATGATCCTGAGGCTGACTCTACAGGAGAAAGAAGTAGTGAGGACTGAAAAAAGCCTATTGACAATTTAGAAAAAAAAAAGAATTATATCTAGAAATACAGGGTACAAGTAGAAAGTTGGGATATAAAACATTTACATAATTCTAGCAAAATTTTCCCCAACTGAGGGTAACACTAATTGTGAAAAGAGGTGAACTGAAGTAGTGTCTTGTAAATATCTGTGAAGTCAAAGTAAGTTTTGTAAGCCAAATTCTAAAAATGAAATAATTTGTTCACCCCATTTGTGAATCTCTGTAAAATGAATACATATTATAACCTTAAGAGCAAAGTGGAAGACATACACATTTTAAAGGCTCAAAATAATACTAGTTTTAAAAACACTTTACCGAGAAGGGAAACACTGTCGTGCAGTAAGAACCCAACTCTCCTTTATCAATGATCCTCCGCAGATATGTTTATTTCTGTGAAAAAGAGGAAAGAGAAACAAGTAACATCTGTGCAGAAAGAGTGACTGCCAATTAATGCAAAGCCTGTGGCTCCATTTGTTAAAAATAAATACACTGCAGAGGAAAATATAGAAATTAACCCAACTGGAATAAAATGAGAAGTTCTTTTATCTGAAGGGTGATATTTGGTGATTGTAGCGTTAGCTTTTTTTTCATAATGTGACTATAAATTTATGAAATCAATTTGACTTTTGTGTAGTCTAAAGTTATTACACATCAATAGCCATCCCGAACACACATATTCGTGTGTATGTGCATCTATCCTTGTGAGGAACGTATGTGCTACAAATATAGGATAATTATAATTTCTTAAAAATGTGAATCTATTTTAAATTCAGTGTTTGCTTATTAAAAATGCAAAGTTGAGTTCTTGTTTGAACCCTGAAAACCATCTAGTGGTAGCAATTTTATTCGTGCACTATTTCCTTCTTCTACTACCATTATGTAGTTTTGATATATTAACATAAAATGTAACTGAATCTGAATAAATTACTTTGTCCAGTATAAGATCAGGAATATAATATTTCATCTCTAAAGTAAAACAATTTTGCAAGGCAAATCATTTAGGAAATTGTAAAATATTTGCAGAGTATGATGAGTACTAGTACATTTTTTTGATGATATCCAAAATCTGTAAATCCATTTTTTTTGGCAGAGACATGGAAAAAGCACAACTTTTCATAATTTACATTTCCAAAGAGTACAGATGTTCAGTGCTTCAGAGGGTAATACTAGAAGATTCCCAGACTGAGACCACAGTTATTTATGGCCTTTACCACACAGGAGGATAAGAATATATATTGACTTTTAATTTCTATCCTTTTCAGTATGAGTTTTGGAAGAATAACTAAGCAGCTGTTGTTGCTAAGAACTTGGATTTAAAAAGGAAAAAAACTAAAAATTTACAGTACTCTAATCTGATGGAAAAATAGCTTCACCTGCTTTTCCAACAATGGAGATGACCAAAGCAGTATCCTTGTGAATTCTCTTACTGGAAAAAATAACTTAGAAGTATTAATATATGTCTTCTTTTATCCTCTGGGGTTATAAGATAAGCAAAGAATCACCAATTAACTCAAATGTGGATTATTGAAAGATTTCTCCTTCCTTCCTTCTTTTTTTTTTTTTTTTTTTTTTTTTTTTGAGACAGAGTCTCGCTCAGTAGCTGGGATTACAGGCATGTGCCACCATGCCCGGCTAATTTTTGTATTTTTAGTAGAGATGGGTTTTACCACGTTGGCCAGGCTGCTCTTGAACTCCTGACCTCAAGTGATACACCTGCCTCAGCCTCCCAAACTGCTGGGATTACAGGTGTGAGCCACCACACCCAGCCTCTTGAAAGATTTTCTATAATTAAGAAAATTAAACACTCCAACAGAATTCTAAAGTCTTTACTAAATCCTCATACTGCACACTCAGCTTTAATATTCTGGTTAGTTTCACAATTCTATTTTAGTACTACACACCTAGGACAGCTATACTACAATTATTGGCATAAATATTTATAAAATCTGATAAGCCATTCCTTGAGAAAAGGGTATACTAAAAAAAGAACTTTAGGCCATCTCCTACAACATTGTGGTCATCTAAAGTCATATATATCAAATTATATAAACTCTTGCTTTCCAATAATTGGTTTATTCATAAAAGGACTTCTGTTTCAAGTTGTCTCTATTCTAATGTCACTGTGATTTAATAATAGTAACAGACATTCTTTTTCTCTACTCTAGGAGGCTAGCGGTAAGGGAACAGGAGGGTATTCTAAAAGAGGGGATATTTAGGTTGAAATTTGAAGGAGAAGGAATTTTCAGGCATAAAACATGGAGGAAGAAAGCCACAGTGTGTTGTGGGAACAACAGCATAAAGGCTTAGAGGAAGAAACGTGAGGTATCTAGAAAACAAGAGACAATGTGGTTCAAATTCAATGTATCTTGGGGTGTGTTGCATGGTAAGGTTCTGATAGAGATAGCCAAAGACATAAATATTTTAGCATTCCAATTAACATACAGAATAATATATGTAGTATATGAAAGTTGTAAGATCAGATTTTAAGTTAACTTATATTTTCAGTATTTAATTCTTATGACATAATTATTAAGCATAATTTTCTCTAACAATATGATTTGCAAAGTGATTTTATGTAGAATATGTCATTGATTCTTAAGAGCATTGAGAAATAGACATGTCAAGAATTTTGTATCCCCACTGATTATTATAATATCAAGACTATTTAACTATTGGCCTTTTTGTAAAGATAAAATGCTCTAGAATTTAAAATTACCATTTTTCATTTGATTGACAAGGAAAAAGTCAGAAATTAAAAACAAATATAAATGTTTTGACATGATCATGCATAAACATATTAGAAAATAAACCCATAATATCCTAGATTGGAAATTTAATAACAAGTATCATAACTACTATGGTAATATTAAGGTTTCAATAGGTCCTCCGTATTTTGCTTAATCGGAACCAAAGTGTCTCTTAGAATCAGGGACATTGCCAACACATATGGGACCTTTGTGAAGATTTAAAAAGGCACTACCTCTGGAGGCACAAATTATAGTCCAGAGCTTACAGTCTGGCAAGCAGATGTGATCAGCTTCCTCTTTTACTGCCTCACCCAGGTGCCCTGTGGAGGGTACAACCTTCAGGACCACATGTGTCCATATTTCTGGGAATAGGACTCTCTTGTACATATTCTGGATATGCATGACTTGCATCTATTAATAATTACCTGTATCTCAAACTAACCATCCATCCTATGTTTGTTCGTGTTGGAATCCCATTTACAACTCGCAATTGTTTCGTTTTGGCACAAGATATTACGGGATCTGAAACAGGACCAAACATAACATTTTTTAAAATAAGAATTTGAAATAATCAGTGCCTCTTAGTTTTCTTAAATGCAATGATAATTACACAAATGTAACTATTCTTATTGTGTCCAAAGAACAGTTTGGTGAAAGAGAAGTTTAATATGACCGCAGCATTATATTAAGTCCTTAACACTTGCCATCTTCATCTAAGAAGTTGAGTAACTCAGAAAAACAAATAAACTCAAAGCAGACAGGATTGCCATGAGAGTGACAATGGCTTTGCTCACAATACACTAAGACCAAGCTCCTCAGGTCTAATCCCTCACCACCCTCAACATAAAATAAACCAAAGTTATTTACAATGGTTATTTCTAATGGTCAGTAGAAATCAATAGATTCAGTGAAAAAAACAAAACCAAGCTTTACTTGGATATTACTTCTGAATTTGTACAGTTAGATTGTAGATTTATTCAATATGTCTTACCAACATTTGATTTATTGAAATCATATCCAAATGATATAATTATTATTTTCAAATCATTATGTCCAAAGACATAATATAAAATTTATTGGAGTAAATGTTTTCCTGACCCTCCTCTGTGCTCCTCGCCTTATCCCCTCTACTTCTGCCCATGGTCTAGAATAGATATCCATTTGCTTCCTGAGCCTGGGGCACAGCAGGTGGTATTCTAAATCAAAAACACTTGAGTAACTTCCTTCAGCTCAAGAGATATGTGAAAATAAAATACAAGTGGCCCCCAACAGATTCTTAAACTGAGGATTAACTGAATATCATAGACTGTGTCATCTTGTGCCCACTTGACTGTAGGGCATGCAGAGAAGTTTACAAATAGAGTAGAATAGAGGCACTGAATAACTTTCCAACTTTCAGGTTTCATTCTCCTGAATTCAGCATCCTAATTTTATTAAATCATGGTATATATAAAGGTGGTCCATTATACGCATTGTGCCCCAAATTAAAAGTAAATATAAACACTCTTTTCGAAATCACATATACCATCTTATAGATTTTTTGCAAGAGAATTGAATTTTTATATTCAGTATGCAGTTGCCTTTGAAACTCCTTTACACCTATGCATAGAAAAATATATTTTAAAAAGTAAAAATAAATAGATTAACTTCTTTTTATAATGGAAGCTAATATAGATAATTTTCTTTGAAAGAAATAATGACACTTCTGACACACAGAGAGAGACTCAGAATATACTTTATATTGTGAAATATTACTTACGGTCTAAATTGACTATTGTAGGTGTGGTATCACCTTCACCTGTAAAAATAAATGTATAGATAAATACACAATTCATATATGCATATATCTGTTATATAAAACCAAATATATATTAAAATCCAAGTATCAATGAATTCAGTAATTTACTAAAATTTTTGTTGTTGTTGTTTTGTTTTGTTTTGAGACAGAGTCTCATTCTGTCACCCAGGCTGGAGTCCAGTGGTGCTATCTCAGCTCACTGCAACCTCCCCCTCTCAGGTTCAAGCGATTCTCCTGACTCAGCCTCCCAAGTAGCTGGAACCACAGGCACACACCACCACACCCAGCTACTTTTTGTATTTTTAGTAGAGACGGGATTTCGCCATGTGGGCCAGGCTGGTCTCAAACTCCTGACCTCAAATGATCCACCTGCCTCAGCCTCCCAAAGTGCTAGGATTATAGGCATGAGCCACCACACCTGGCCAATTTACTGAAATTCTTGACATTTTATTCAGAGATAAAATGTAAACTCTTTTGAGTAATTATACATCACGTTTACTGGATAATATTGTAAGTATATGCCCTCTGGTACTAGGTGATATGAGCAGAGCCCTATTTTATGACTGTGGAGGCTCTCAGGTGTGTGTTTTGATGATCATTGGCCATTTGAATTACATTGCCTTCATCAAGGAGCTGCCTCGATCCACCAAGATGTCCAACATCCTACACCATGAACATTCCATTGAATAGCACTCGTGTTCATTATTGTCTACTTGGACTCTTCATATTGATAGGCCATTTGCTTCTGTAATTTGAATCATTTAATTTTTTTTCTGAAAACTTTTAGTTTTATATGGTTAAAGATAATTGCAACTACACCAACTTCATAAATCTCTGCAAGGATTCTAGAAGATAGATATCAATGTCACTAATGGAAAAAGAGGAATAATACAATATAATTATGCTTTGTTGCTTGAATATTTCAAGGGTTGATTTTTCCAGATGCGAGTAAAAAAATATGGAAAAAAGAGAACACTGAAAACTACAAATTAATTCTAATTAAAACCTGTAGCTTACTACTTTTTCATCTCTACTGGGGCTTAATTGCCACAAATAAGAGAAAGTCTTGGAAGATGCAAGGATTTTGAAATACTTATGCTGTAATGAATGAGACACAAGACATTTCCTGGAGCTTAATGTGTGACTATTCAGAATTGATGGCATAGAGTTCAGTCAGGCACTGTTTAGACCCAGATGGTTGTCAATCCCTGGAAATGCCCTGAGCTCAAATAAGCCAGCAACAAACCAATAATGTATATGGATTCCTTTGTAATAGATGCCAATGTGATTGTTATTTATGAGGATAGTTGTGAGAATTAATATATACTTATTTAAGTTCATTTTTCAGATCTAGATATTTTAAATGAATAGGTTAATGGTAAACATACAAAATTCATCATTTCTCTTTCCCTGTAGCTTATCCTAGAGGAGGGTTTGTCAGTCAGCTGAGGTCAGAGTTTTAGTTCATTAAGTATGAGTTAAGATTGAGGCGGACTATGGTAACAAAACTTCAAGGATATTGGTTTTCCACGTAAGTCAAATACTTGAAAATGTTAAATAAGTAGATATTTATTTCTTATTTTGTGAGGAGAAAGACTGGTTATTTGTTCTATCTTGTATATTAAGTCTCTTATTTCTAAGCATTAAGCTAATAGGTCAACAAAATGCTTAGTTAACTCTTGTATCTTACAATATATTTAGTTTTAAAAATTTGTAGATATGGCCTTGCGTGGTGGCTCGTGCCTGCCTGTAATCCCAGCATTCTGGGAGGCCGAGGCGGATGGATCACAAGGTCAGGAGTTCAAGACCAGTCTGGCCAACACAGTGAAAACCTGGATCTACTAAAAATACAAAAAATCAGCCAGGTGTGGTGGCAGACACCTGTAATCCCAGCTCCTTGGGAGGCTGAGGCAGGAGAATCGCTTAAACCTGGGAGGCAGAGTTTGCAGTGAGCCGAAATTGCTCCACTGCACTCCAGCCTGGGCAACAGTGTGGGCAGCAGTGTGATACTCTGTCTCAAAAAAAAAAAAAAATTTGTAGACACTATACATTTTGGGTTTTAATAATTAATAGTAATGTATATGTTTTGCTTTCTCTAATCCAGTATTTCTCACACTTTAGCATAAACTGAAATACGTTTTAAAATTAAATTTCTGGGGATTCTGGGTTGGTGGCCGGATGCATCCATTTAACAAGCATCCTAGGTTCTTCTGTTGCATGCCTGGAGTAAAACTTGAAAAACTACTTTCTATGCCTTTTCCATTTCACTGCCAAATACTATTCTCACTTTTCTTCCTTTACTTTCACCACTGTCTATACTACACTATCTATACCACACTACTTTCAGACTCATGTCTACAAAAATATATGTGATACAATACTTATTTTTTATTGGTTCAACTTAAATTTGAAGAAAGAAAACATGTCAATGATAAAAGTTTTACCTACGGAAGGGTAGGGGTGTGTGTGCGTGTGTGTGTGTGTGTGTGTGTGTGTGTGTGTGTGTGTGTATGGCCTCAGAACCAAACATGGACTTTTTCTGAAAACATAAAGAAAACTTTCTCCCACTCTTCTTAAAGCTTTAACTCAATTTCAAAAGTTTACGAACATCATGTATTTCTCCATGAAGAAATCGATGTTCACATTCTCATTTTATATATTGTTAATATATACATATTACATGATTATATTGCTTTGTAATTATTTCCATAAATGTCTCCCTTCTATACTATGAACTATTTAAAATTAAGAAGAAGTGTTTGTATTTTTATAAACATAGTATGTTATATATGGCTTTGTACACAATAGCAGCTCAATTAACAATAATGAATGAACAAATAAAAACAGAGATGGAAGTTAAGGTTTTGACTCTTTACTATGCAACAGACACTGTTCACAATAGTCCCATATAATAGGTACTTTTATTATAAAATATTGCAAATACAAATATGAGTCCTAAGTGGGTTTGGTAACTTGCCCAAGGTACTTAAAAGTGATGGGTCTGGCATTCTTAGGAAGTCTGGATTGAAGTTCTTAACCACTACGCTCTTGGTAGTTAAGATTTTTCTAAAATAGTATACTAACTGTGTCTGTGTATACTCAATCATATAGGCACCTCTACATTTTTATGTTTGCATATTTGATAAACTTAAAAATATGTAAAATATTATTTTGTAAGCATGTTAAAAAAAAGAATAAAAACCTTTACATGTTTTGTAAAAGAATTTTACAGTGTGAAAATGATTTATACAGTCTCTGCAGTTATATAAATAATAAGAACTCAAATCTTCTAAAGATAAATATTATCACCCTTTCACCAGGGAGAAAATGTAAACAAATCCTGGCTATAAATATTAGTTAGAAAAATGACACTGTAAAAATCTTTATTAAAATTAATTTGTGGTATACATTGAAATAAAATGATTTATCTGCAATAGTATTTAATCAAATACTAGTAACCCCCTCAAGTCTTTCAACAGCACATTACTTTTAGTTTAAAAATATTAGTTGAAAAAATTTTTTGAAAACTTGTAAATTATTAGAGTCCTGGCTCCCTTGGTTTGTGATTATAAATGAAATCACAGTGCCTTGAGATACTATAGGGCATTTCACTCTTAACCATGCATATGTGCTAGATAGAGCTGCTGTGATTTTTAAAAATCTGGAAATCTGTAGAGGAAGCAAAATAACTTGTTTTAGAAGGCAGATAATTGCCTTTTTCCTTCTTCCTACACCATTATATATTCTATGAGCCTCCATTAGTCTTAACCATAGAGACTTAACAAAAACATAGTGCTATAAAACTGTACTTAGAAAAATAATAATCTTTTAATAATTTTTAAATATTTTTGTATGGCATTCTCTGAAAAAGTAGGTGTGTTTCTTTTAGTATTAACATTGAGCCTATGCCAACCTTAATATGGGAAAAGTGAAGAACATTAGGAAAACAAATTAATTTGAAAGGCTATGATCATGGCTGATAAAATGAAAATAAACTTATTAGAAATGCCATTTATTTGCAAACATATAATATATTTAGTTATTTATTATTATACAGAGTTTCCCAACCTATTAAAAATAGATGGAGCAGCTCCAAGTCTTAATTATAGGTAGACTTGATTAACATCATATTTTAAAAGTTTGCCTTTAATGCTAGAATTTCATAAAACATGACTGCTGTTTCCATTTAAGGTGAAATTTACCTCTTTAATTTGACATAAATTCTAGAAAAACACAGACTTCTGTTGTATTTCATTTTTTAAAAGCAACATTATTATTTCTTCAATTTAATCTCTTTTTAGAGTAGATATTTTTGCTGCTGTTCTCAAGGTACTTGCTACTACTAGCTTGTCTCACAAGAAAAACATTCTTAAAACAAAGTTTTTATCGAACTTATAAAAGTATTTCCTTTCTAAAGAGAAGGTGGTTTAACATTGTGGTAAAGGATGTTCGTTGTAAACATAGAGTTACAGATACATAGTATAGTAAAATGGTCTCTTTCTACTGACACAGCTTTATAAAAAGGCTTTTTCACTCAATAACATATTTAAGACGTACTTCCATCTCAATACGTATTACTAGACATCAGTGGTTACCAGTGGAAATGATTTTGCCCTCCAGGGGACATTGGCAATGTCTAGAGATAGTTTTGATTGTCACGACTTGGGGCAGGTGTCATGCTACTGGCATCTAGTGGATAGAGTCCAGGAATACTACTAAACATGCTACAATGCACAGAACAGCATCTACCCCAAAATGTGGGTGTGCGGAGGCCCAAAAATCCTGATCTATGTCAACATTATTACTGCTTTTGATACATTTTATCAAACTAACTTCCAAGCAGGATTTTGAATTCACACTGTAAGTAGCATAGAATTGAGACAGACTGATTACCCAGGTCCTCACTAATACTGGATATTTACAATCATTTTATTTGCCAACCTGACAGGTAGAAGTGACTTCTCATGTCTTAAACATTTTTTTCCTACGAATATGTTTTAATGTCTTTTCATTTATTTATTAGCTATATTTTTGAAGATTTATTTTCTACTTTTTTCTCCTGAATTCTCACATCTTTTTCTTACTGATATCTAGGGACTTTTTAATATGAATTATACCAGACATGTATTTTATATGAACTATGTCAAACATGTATTACATGTTTTTTATATAACTTTTACTTTATACACTAATATCTTTTTAACAAAGCCATCTGGGAATCAGATAACTGGGTGGAAAACTCCAGGCTCTTCTTTAGTCTTAAATTAAAGAACTGAGAAGGAAATAGAAGTACCACTAGTTCAGATCTGCTCACGGCTTTTTAGTGGGCTGGGAACTTTGCTGAGAGCTCTGCTATATTCAGAAGCTGAACAGGTAGTATTGGTATTGGGGGGTGGGGAGATCTTTCTAGCCCAGTCATATTAGAACTGTGGCCAATTAATGCTTTCGGAATCCCAATGGAAATCTTCTGAGGGAAGAGAATCTCCATTAAAATGTTAAAATTTCTTCTTATCTATACGAGAGATGGAGAGAGAGAAAGAGAGACCATGTGGTGTGTCTGTGTGTGTGTTGTGTACATTTGTGTGTGTTGCTCTCTGGAGAGCTTCCTCATTTGGGAATAAATGCCAGACCACCTATATTATTTACAACTTTTAGATGAAATGTAGTACATTTAAAATATTTCACAAGACACCAATCCCTAACTGTACTTACAACGAGAAATAGGGCAATAATCCCAAGGAATGAGTGGATTTCCCGTGTAGCACCAGGGTCCATGAGCATCATCATCTGGATTTCGGCAGTAATTCTCATTCAGCTTACTTGCATCTGGTTCCCAGAAGATATGACTGTGGAAACAACAGGCCTTGCACATCACAAGATGCTCATTCCATCCAAGAGACACAAAATATTACAAAAAGATATAATCTCAGCACATTACTTTCACTGTAGATACAGCATAACCTTTTACTTGGGATGAATTTTAGCTATTTTGTTTGAGGTCTGTTTGGTTGCTACTGTTGTTCCTACACTTTAGAAGCAGATTCTCTAACTTGGAAATATGGAAGAGGGCTCCATAATTGGCATATTAGGTTTTGTGATTTTGCCTCTATTTGGTAATCCCAGTGGCATGGTAATGATACTTCTGTGCATAGAAATAAGAAAAACATTGTCTAAAGCAAGCAGATGGCAAAGATTAAAACTATAAAATACATAAAAAATACAAGCTATTATACAAGTATTTTTTTACATTTTAGATACAAATGAAGCATCACTAGCCATATCACTATGACAGAGTACAAGAAGATATACTGAAATGAATAATGTGTTAATTAAATAATTAAAATTCTAAATTTTACTGATCAGTTACAAAATATTATTTTGACAGATAACCGAGCAATACTTTATTTCTAATTCACATCTTAACTAAATTTATTACAAAAGAAAAGCAAAGATTGTAAATTTACTGTAAATTATTTTATAAGGCCATTTTCATTCATGTAACATCAATATTTACATTTACCTCAATAACATGAATGAAGTCAATTCTACATGGCCACTTTGACTGATCATAAAAGTCATTAAAACTATTCATCTTACTGAACTTGTTTCCAGTTATTAATTGCTACCATGCTTGAATATAATTAATGTGTCATTTTAAATAAAATTTTAAAAAGCTTGAACATGGAAACTTGGACTATATTTCCAGACCAAGTTTCATTTTTCTGGACCAAGAATAACAGTAAACACATATAGTACTTATTACATGCCACATTGTGTTGTAGGTTCTTTGTAGATATAACCTTAGACCAATCTTATGAGATAGTCTTTAAGGTTATGCCATATTACATTTGTGGAAATTGAAATCCAGAGAGGAAAACTAATTGGTGTAATGTCACATGACTTGCAAACACTAGAGCTGGGGTTTGAACCCATGGCTATTTCAAGAGTCAGTGCTCAAAACCGCCATGCTCTGTCTCCTACTTACAAAGTTTGTCCTTAAGCCAAAATGGTACCATGTGACTTAATCCTTGATCAATTTCCTACAAATTGTTTCCAAAAGTCAAACCTAAACTTGATGAATTAAGTATTATTAGAGACCCATTGATAGTTTCTAAATAAATATATCACATATTTTCAGTGGTATGCTGGTAAAAGTTTACCAACTGGTACTTTGAGGTATGTGTACGGTGAGGATGAAGATGAGGAATCCTCGTCTGAAGTTGTTGCTGATTTCTGTAGTGTAAATACTTCTACCATGAAAATTTCAACCTTCTAGTGTAAAATCACTGAAGGCAACACTTTTGAAAGACGATGAGAACAATTCTCTCTCACAAGTCCATAAGAGCAATCCACCCCACCCACCACTGCATGTTTCTAAAAATGCTTTAAAAAATAGCAGTGCTGAAATTAGCATTTATTTTAATCATGCCAATTCTTACTTAAAATTATTTAATAAATCCTTTTAATCCTCAGGATAAAATTTAGATTTCTTAACTGAGCTTACAAGACTCTCTATATGGTGTTACCACTTTGTGAATTCCTTCTCTGTGGACATTGACCAAGTTACATTCTTTCAGTCTTACCAAAATTATTTCCTATATTCAAATAATCTAATGCTTTGGCCTTTGCACATGCAATTTCTTGTGTCTAATGTCCTCTTCCTCCTCTACTTCCCTTGCCCAGTTCCTACTCATCATGTACATCCCAGCTAATTTCCCTTCCTTTAAGAAGCCTTCCTGACCACTTACGTCTGAGTAGGCACTTCTTTGCATTCCCATAGCATAAAATATGCTATCTTTCATAGTTTTCATATGGCATTCCCTGTTTGCTTGCATCCCACACTAGAGTGGGAGATCTATAAGGACAGAAGTCTGCTGCTCTTTGAAGTCCTAGAACTCCAGTGTCAATATAGTAGCCACTGGCCACATATGGCTACTGAGAAATTGATTCAGTCCAAATTGACAGGCGCTGTAAGTGTAAACAGACACCAGATTTTGAATATGGAGCATGAGAATATAATGTAAAAGATATTTTTAATTATTTTGTATTAAATACATATTGAAATGAAAAACTGTAGATACAGTGGATTAAATAAAATATATTAAAATTAATTTTGCCTGTTTATTTTTACCTCTTTAAAAGTGGCTACTAGGAATTTAACAGAACATATGTCGCTTACATTTGTGAGCTGCATTGTCTTTATATTGGAGAGCATTATTTTAGAACTATCCTTTTGTGTGAAGTAAATTAACTGAAACAATATAATCCACTATTGAGTACATTTTGGAAGAGAATAAGGAACTTAAAGTTAAAAGACTGAAGCAAAGTCACTCCATCTCTCTGAGCCCTTAAATTCCTATCCACATATGAATCTTTCCTATAGGATTATGATGGTCAAATGGCATAACTCATGTAAAGCAGCCATGTTATAGGCACTTGATCAAATGACTGTAACTTGTTTTTTCTTTTATTCTAGTGCATATACTCTGGGATGTTTATGAAAAAATCTGCTTTAGGTCACAATTATGTGTCATACTTCTTTTGCAATTTTGTAAACACTAGCACTATTGCTAGGGTTGAGTGGGTGCTACCTTCTCTATGAGTATATCTATGGTAAAAATCTGTAATTCTCTAAAATTTGTAGATTTTTTCAACTACATATACATTCCTGTAATTACTGGAAAATTTTATGTATCAAAGCTACATAAGGAAACCTGTCATTACACATTTTTAATAGTTAAGGTTTAGTATTTTAGAAATTTAAATTATATGAGTGATTATTCATTGATTTTTCATAAACTATCAATTATTAAATATGAAAACAATAATCCCATAACATGCAATATTTCAAACACCAGATTTGCCACTTACTTATACACTGTCTTATTAAGTTATGTAACTATTGTGTCAATGTGACCGTATCCTCCTTGGAGGTTGGAACCAAAACATTATCCACTTTTTGTTGATGTTCCCCATGGTACCAATTACAGTACAGAACACATAGTAAATGCTCAATAAATATCCACTAACTTGAATTGCATATTTAAAAGTTTGCTACATAAAGAAACAATGTTATGATGAGTTGTAAAGAAAAACCAATCTAATGCTTTTATTAGCTTACCATGATATATAAAAGAATAGAAAGAAATAGCAATGTACATATCTAAATACACAGTCTGTTGGTATCACTACATTCTATATATTGAAAGGAAGAAATTTACACACCGATGTAAGTCTTCCATGTTCTTGTCCCACATTGAACATGTTAGTCCAGATCTTGTTTGGGATAAGTTGCCCATATAATTTTTGCCATTCCCACGATAACAATCTAGACATAAAATATACAGAAATAAGTCCAATGAATATCAAGGCAGATAAAACAAAAAGGTTTTTTACAAGTATATGGAATCATGAAATCAACATAAAAATTAAAGTACTTGAAAGGGCTGGGTGCGGTGGCTCACGCCTGTAATCCCAGCACTTTGGGAGGCCAAGGCGGGCCCATCACGAGGTCAGGAGATCGAGACCATCCTGGCTAACACGGTGAAACCCTGTCTCTACTTTAAAAATACAAAAAATTAGCCAGGCGTGGTGGTGGGCGCCTGTAGTCCCAGCTACTCGAGAGGCTGAAGCAGGAGAATGGCGTGAACCCGGGAGGCGGAGCTTGCCGTGAGCCGAGATGGCGCCACTGCACTCCAGCCTGGGCGACAGAGCGAGACTCCGTCTCAAAACAAAAAGAAAAAAAAAATTAAAGTACTTGAAATCTGTACAAATCAAAAATACTCAAATATCTCAGATTAAAAAATCTTTATTTTAAGCCCAGTATCTTCATCAAAATAAGGGCTTATGCAAATTCAAATATAACAAATAATAATTTAAAAACAAAATAATTTAAATGAGTGGCCCTTTGGAACAACAAAGAAATAAGAATTTTTAGACTAACACATGTATTTCCCAACATTTTCTTCTGAAAAATTTCATTCCATAGAAAAGTAATATAACGAACATTCATCTCCTAGTCACATTCCTTATGTTTTGATTTTTGTCTTTTATGACATTGACATTCTGAGTCACCCAAGTCAGCTGTTTTACAAATGCTCTTTAAGTTCATTTTGTTTGATTTATTTTCTCATGAATAAAACCAAGTTAAAGATATTTGACAGGAATATTGCATCAGTGATGCTTTGTCCTTTTTAGAGCATAACATCTTGTGACACATGATGTCACTTTGTTCCATCACTGGTGATGTGTTTGATCACTTGGTTAAGTGGTGCAAAGGAAAAACTCCTCTGTATTTAACAAAAAAATCGGTTGGGGCCTTTGAGTCTGAATAAATATCCTAATGCCAAACAAATTTTCACAAAATAGCTTAGGCATACGTTAATGAATTTTGCATGAACCACTTATTGTCATGCTGATGATAAAATGGTTATTTTGCTATTTCTAACATTTCTTTGTATTTGTTCGTTAGCATTCTTCTGTAAATAAAAATTTTTCCTTTTCCCTTACCCCATTCATTTAGGTATTAGTAGTAGAAGTGCTAGCACTAGCTGTAGAAATAGTAAATTAAATGTTGACCAGTGGATTTTCTTTTTATTTAATATGATATATAATCTATTCCTGTTATTCATTTTGATGCTCAAATTGTTCCAAATTTGGCCAATGGAAGCCACTTTAAACTGACTCCTGGGTCTCTTACTATGCTCCATGAGGTTTTCTATTTCTCTTTTTTTAATTGAGCAATTTGTGTTCTCCTGCCTTAGCCTCCTGTGTAGCTGGGATTACAGGCATGCATCACCACACCTGGCTAATTTTTTATATTTTTAGTAGAGATGGGGTTTCACCATGTTGGCCAGACTCGTCTCAAACTCCTGACCTCAAGTGATCCGCCCGCCTCGGACTTCCAAAGTGCTGGGATTACAGGCATGAGCCACTGCGCCCGGCCATATTGTTCATATTTTTAATCAAAAGAAATGTAGTCAGAAATCAAGTTCTTCAAAAAATATAAGTTGGTCAGGCGCGGTGGCTCACACCTGTAATCTCAGCACTTTGGGAGGATGAGGCAGGTGGATCACTTGAGGTCAGGAGTTCAAGACCAGCCTGGTCAACATGGTGAAACCCCATTTCTACCAAAAATATAAAAAATTAGCTGGGTGTGGTGGCGTGTGCCTGTAATCCCAGCTACTCAGGAGGCTGAGGCAGGAGAATTGCTTGAACCCCAGAGGCAGAGGTTGCAATGAGCCAAGATCATGCCACTGCAATCCAGCCTGGGCGACAGAGCGAGATTCTGTCTCAAAAAAAAAAAAAAAAAAGAAATTTAAAAAGGTATATATATATATATATGTTGCATTGCAAATTTAAAAAGAATTATTCTACTTTTAAAAATATTCTATACTTTTAAATAATACCGAACGTTTTTAAAGTGACTTTTTATATTTAACATTCTTAATTTTTATATGAATGAAAACTGTACATTTGACTATGAAAGGTCATCTGCAAATTTACATCAACGTTAAGATTTTATGCTGGGAAAAATAACTAATGGGTACTAGCCTTAGTACCCGGGCGATGAAATTGTCTGTACAACAAACCCCCATAACACAAGTTTACCTATGTAACAAACCTACACATACATTCCAAAAAAGTAAAGAATGGAAAATACTCAAGAGCCATAAACAAGAAACTAATGAAATTGTCTACTTGCAATGGTGAGTAGAAAGTAGAAATGGAATGGCATGGAAGCAAGAGAAGAGGACACTTCTCTGAATTTACCCTTTCATATAGTATTTACTATTATCCAATGTTAAGGTTTTAAATATTCAAAAACTAATATCCAGAAAGATGAAAATAAAGACAGAAATATGCCTATGGATATATCAAATGTATACCATTAATACAGAGCAAGAAAATCCAGATGATTTTTGGTTACAATTTTCTGACTGTATATACTCTCATTAGAATATATTTTAAGACTGAAATAACTGTAAATACATTTTATGATATTGATATAAATATTTAAATTATATTGTTTACTGCCTTAAGTATACAATATATAGTATATATAATATGTAGTGTTTTATCAACATTTTAAAGAAATTCTGTAATTTCAGTTTTCATTTTTCTTTAATAGTGTTTTTAATATCCAGTTGGAAGAATATTTATATATATATTAATTCAGATGTTGCAAGATTTGAAAAATGTTTCCACTCATCTAACTATATGTAGAACTTATATTTTCTGTTTTATGGAGAAGGATAAGAGTAACATCTTTCATATATATATATAGATAGATATACACACATATAGATATATATACACATATATATATATCTGTGTGTGTAGATTTATATCTATAGAAAAATACCTAGATCTAAGTAGATAGATCTATCTGTAGATATATCTGTATTTGAGAATTTAGGCAAGTTACTTAAATTCCATAAAACTAATATTTTCACCTATGAATGAATGATCTGATAAGCAATAACATGTTTACCCTCCAGAATCCAAAATTTTCATATTCTATTACCTGATCCTTTTTAAGTGACGTATATGTATATAAAATATCTTAATACACACCAAAGGTTTATCAAATAATTGTTTTCCTTTATCACTCACAAATTATTAACAAATGTTCAAGTAAATGAGACAGGAACACAGAAGACTCAGCTGGTACCAAACTTCCCTTAATCATTGGCTTCAACTTTATTTCTAACTGATCCTTAAAGGAACAGTGAAATTGACTGAAAAGGGACTCATCCCCTCTTCCCTCTACAACTCTATTTTCAGAGTTGCTCGTGAAGAATGACACTGTGGAAAAAGTTAAAGGATAGAAGTATGCCTAGGGCAGTAGGTCTATGAGATGGAGCTTTAAATTTGGCTTGGGATTTCAAGGATGATTTAGGGCTAACCACGATCATGACCATCACAATTAAGTCTATGTGAAATAGAACATGATCATTTAAAAAGGATAACTCTCAATTTACTATACATCAGTAATTCCCAGGATTCAACTTTATTATTAATATTTAACAAATTATTTCTTTGAAAAATCTACCTTTTAAAAAAATTATTTTACGTTCATGGGTACATAGGTAGGTTTGTTATATGTAAATTGTGTGTCACCGGGGTTGGGTGCATAGATTATTTTGCATGCATATGCATGCATGTTTCTTTATGGTAGAATGATGTATATTCCTTTGGGTATACACCCAGTAATGGGATTGCTGTGTTGAATGGTAGTTGTGTTTTAAGTTTTTTGAGAAATCTCCATGTGGCTGAATCAATTTACATTCCCAACAGGGGGATATAAGCATTTCCTTTTCTCAGCAACCTCACCATCATCTATTATTTTTTGACTTAAAAATCTATTTCAATCTGATTTTACTACCGCTCCCTGAGGCAGTTATCTTCAATGGCATCTATGTTTCCAAATGCAATGGTGATTTCCCTCAAACCCCACCATTATCCAGCAGCTACACTGCTAACAACCAGGGTCAAGTCACTCCCATCTGTAGTCTGAATTACTGAAACAACCACTTCATTGGTTCTCCTGTTTTAACCCTTGTCAAGAATTCTAGCTATTTTCCGAAATGCAGCCAGAGTGATCCAGTTAAAACTTAGTCAGATTGTGTAATTTCTCCCTTCAGAGAAGAGTCCTAAGAGTCCTTTCTCTTTCAGAGCAAAAGGGCAAACAATTCCTGAAAGGCTGATGCAATTTTAGCCCAATTGCCTCTCTAATCTCATCTCCTACTACTCTTCATCTTACTTATTTTGTACTAGCTATAGTGATGTGCTTATTTATTTAACTTTCCCAGAACTCCCTCATCTCACACCATTTGCATTTGCAGTTTTCTTTATCTAGAATACTCTTACACATATATGTGCATGGCACATGCTGCTCCCTCACTGCCCTTGGGTCCTTCTTATATGTTAAGCAAGTAAGATCTTATAGCAAGTAAGATCTTCCCTGAACATTAAAATATAAAAGAGCAGCACCCCTCTTTTCTAACTCTGCGACATTTTTCTCTCTACTGCTTATGACAAACTACTGTAATATTCCCATTCTCATTTTTATTTTGCTTATTTTCTATCAGTTGAATATTAGCTCCAGGGGGTCAGATAGCTTAGTTTTGTTTACTGGTATATCTCCAAGGCTTAGAACTGTGGCTGTCAGTAGCATACACTCAGCTAAATAAATAAATCTTGAGTGAATAAACATAAGAAAAATCCAGCTTCAAACTTGGTGATTTTGTTTGCAAGCCAGCAAAACCAGTGCAGCAAGAAGTAGATCTTATGCTGTAAAATGTGTCCTCCCTTTAGGCATTTCCCCTGAATTTAATCATGCCCACCCTGCAGAATGTCAGCTATTACCTTGTCCATGTGACATATCACAGTTTGGAATTTGGGAGCAGTAGCCAACTCGGATGTTTGGATCAGTGGTAAAACACCAGGGTGATTCAGACCCATCTGGATTTCGGCAGTAATTTTCTCGTAGGTCCCTATTGAGAATAAGCATGTTAATGTAAATTGCCGGAGTTCTTACGTTGGTGAAGTCAGCGCTATTACATTTCTAGAATTCTAGAATGTATGCATGTTTATAAATAGAGTTCTAACTTTTTGGACTCAGAATAGCTATAACAATTTAATATTCAGTATACATAACTGACTCTGCCCAAATTACTGAAATAAATGCTGTCATATGTTAATATTTTTTTCCTTCCACAGGCCTAGAGTTTCACCCAAACATTACTGCTTCATAAAAGAGAGAAACGGTACCGCTGCATTCTTCTCACTCAGTCTTAAGATTGAGACTCTCAATTGGTACCATTTCAAAACATTGGCCTGTTATTTATTACATGTTCATGGCCCACATATTGTGTAGAAACAACACATATCTCTCTTTGTGGAAGAAAGGTTATTATCAATAGTAATTAATTACTCTCATTTAAAATGGAAGTTCAATCTATTCAAATATGTGCCACAAAAATATGATAGCTATTTTTCCTTGAGTTCTGCATTTCTTTGATTTATTTAATTTGATGCATTGATTTATTTTAATTACAAAGCAATTATTTATTGATTTAGAGAGGTTACCTAAAATCTTTATATATATTTCTGTAAAATTAAGGCCCAGTTATACTATAGAAAAACGAACTATAGAACACATTTTCAATGTAGTACACGTATATTCTTCATTTTACCAGTATTTTAATTAGAAATTTAGAGTTCCTAATAAGAAAAAAATCTATGCTAATATTCTCTGTATGTAGAAGACTTTTAATGGTTTTCTATCAATATAAATAAGGTTCACATTAAATAAAATATGGATTTCATAATAAATAAAATTTATTAAATATGCTAATTTTAAATAAGTAGGTGCTTTCATTTCATAGATTCCTTTTTAATAACTATATTAATATTCAATCTTTTGGAAACCACAGTATTTGTATCACTTAGGTCCAATTAGAAGTACTATTATACAATTATCTTAATATCCAAATGGACCATTCGAAACTGAGGTTTTTTTTTTGTTTTTTTTTTAAACAGAGTCTCGTTCTGTCGCCCAAGCTGGAGTGCAGTGGCGTGATATCGGCTCACTGCAAGCTCCGCCTCCCAGGTTCACGCCATTCTCCTGCCTCAGCCTCCCGAGTAGCTGGGATTACAGGTGCCTGCCACCACGCCCGGCTAATTGTTTTTTTTTTTTTTAGTAGAGACAGGGTTTCACCGTGTTAGCCAGGATGGTCTCAATCTCCTGACCTGGTGATCTGCCCACCTTGGCCTCCCAAAGTGTGGGAATTACAGGCATGAGCCACCGCACCCGGCCGAAACTGAGAAATTTTTAAGGAAGAAGCTTGTGTTGGGTTAGAAAGTCAATAAGTATTAGTCTTATCTCATCAAAGTAAGTCCTGACACAAACTATTATTTAAGGATATGAGAACATCGGCCACCAATAATTAAAGCCACTGTATAGTTAAGTGTTCATAACCCATATTCAAACCTTTAGCCTTCTTATAAAATTATTAACTGGAATAGATGAGACAAGCAATTTATACTTACATTTTTAAAAAAAATCTATGTCAGTATAAAATATGTGTGTTAAATTTTACATGAACTTTGCATACACTTTGGTTTTATTTTCTATTATTTGGTAGAGATGGAGTCACCCTTTGTTGCCCAGGCTGGTCTTGAACTCCTGACCTCAAGCCATCCTCCCGTCTCATCCTCCCAAAGTTCTGGATTGTTCATTTAGACAAGCTAATTAAGTGAAGATCGAGGGCTATCAAAGTCTTAGTTTGGACTGACTTTAACATCTGTATTAGAAGCACCTCAATCAATAATCTAGATTAAGCAAGAATGAAAGTCAAGATTTGCCCAGATATTTTTACTAGGTCCTTACTTTTCACTTGAAGAAAGGATGGTTTACAATTACTAAAGTAAATTGATGATTTTATGATTCATGTCGATTCATCACAGGCAGTGTTGTTCAGTTACAGTGTTCCAAAGATTGCCATTTTTAAGGTCTCAGTACTGGGGCAAGTGGGCAAGTAATATTTCATGTTTAATGTTTAATAGAGACACGTGACCAGTACGCCCCCTCACTACTGGATCACAAATAGTAAATGGTAAATCAATGTCCTGAGAAAAATGTTGAATCAGATTTTATCAGTTTTATAACACCGCACAAGCTTTGTTTCTTAATACTTATGTTTGGTTATTTAAAACAAATAACAAAATTAAGAAAAGATGGCTTAAATTCTACCAAGATATAACAGGTAACTTCTGATACTTAAGCTTCACTTGTGAAGTCTGTGAATTAAATGTTTATATCCATTCTGTTTTTCTTACAGATGAATTTCACTAGGTATCTTTACGTACACAATTTCTTATTGGGTATTACTAGTCATTAGAAGTTAACAAAAATGTGAATGGCAGTGACACTATCTCCTTTGTCCCTTATAACTAATATTTTCTCTGTTTCTTTGTTTTTTCTACTTTGATATGTATTTCTCAGGTGTGAAACCCATGGGTCACGAATAGAGAGTGAATTGCTGTGATGGAAATGAGGGAAATAAACCCAGCATGACAACTGTCAATTTTGTTATTGTAAACTAATGGGAAAAAATCTTAGATTAATATTTACTATTTAAACAAATAAATTACAGAACTAGCTAAAGCTTGTGCATGCACACACACACATACAACACAAATCTCCCCTCTCCTATGGCGGATGGGCCAACTAGTGCTCATAGCTCTTCATTCAGAAATGTTAGGCTGTCTTATTAAAAGCCAATTACATAAAGCCAATATATGTTATTTATAGGTGCTATTTCAGAAAAGCCACTATGAATGATGTGTGTTATTAATTTCAAAAGCAATCACTTTATGTTCCTCATAACAAGGTGGACAATTTAAAAACACATGGCATTGTGTCTGTGCCTGTCTGCAAAAGTCAAATGGTGTGAAAAGTACCCATAGAGAATGCACAAAACAACTATGTAATTGATACTCAAGGGCAGTTTCTTTGGCTTGAGTCATCTACACAATTGATTTGCTTCCCCACTTTTCAAAGCAAATCCAGAAACAACTGAACACATTCATTTAAGCTTTGAAAAATTATTTTATTCACAGATCTTTAAGGCTAATAACTCTTCAGTGGTAGGCCTTTTCTTTCCATTCTTTCGAAAGGAAAAATGTGTAATCCTCCCAAAGCTAATACGAAAATTTAAGAAGGCAGTATTTTGAAACATGCCTGGCTGCCATGACTATTAACTGATTTACTAAACAGACCCAGAAGAGCAAAACTGTGATCAGAAATCCACCTAGGGATGTGTTTCCCAAAGCATAGTGAATCTACCCTCTGGATCTGAACCACCTAGGGTCCTTAATGAAATGCATATTTGAGGACCAAATCCCAGATTAAGAGAATCAAAATCTCTGAGTGGAGGTGTAATCTGCCTTTTAACTCCTGATTATCACTGGGCACGCTGAAGTTTGATCACTAACACAAAATTAGTAAAAAGTAACCACTCTACCTCATTTTCCCCAGGGCCTACTGAAATGTATAACATTTGCCTACTTTACTCACTTGCACTTGAAATTTTCAGGAGTCATGTCATGCTCGTGAGGATACTGAGAATCCCAACGCTGACATGGAATTCCATTCCAAATGGTATTGACAGTGCCCCTGTAGCCTTCTCCTTGACCTTGGATGCATTCAGTTGTTTCCAAAGGAACATCAGTGTCATTCATAGTATTGTCAGCTATTGGCAAAAAACAACAACAAAAAAAAACTTATATAAAATCTTTGAAGATGTCATTTGCCTCTTAGAGTTCATTGGCATTTGTATTAGCAGATTTTTTTTTCTGTTACTTATAAGCTTTTATAATAATTGAGTGGAATAAGAAATTTAACTTAACATTATTACTAACTTCATTCCAATTTTCCTTTCATTCAAATCCTAAATTAGTTTTTTCTTGAAAAGTTACTTAAATGCATTTTACCTCCACATGTATAACTTATATATGCTGAATATATAGTGTTTCTGAAATGACTATACAATTATTTCTAAAATCAGCTTGCTTATAAGTACATACAAAGTGGTAATGAAATTAACCATAATTTTCCTCCAATATAATACATATATTCTGGCCAGGTATGGTGGCTTATGCCTGTAATCCCAGCACTTTGGGAAGCTGAGGTGGGTGGATCACCTGAGGTCAGGAGTTTAAGACCAGCCTGGCCAACATGGTGAAACCCCATCTCTACTAAAAATACAAAAAAAATTAGCCAGGAGTGGTGGTGGCAGGTGCCTGTAATCCCAGCTACTTGGGAGGCTGAGCCAGGAAAACGGCTTGAACTCAGGAAGTGGAGGTTGCAGTGAGCCAAGATCGTGCCATTGCACTCCAGCCTGGGCAAGAAGAGTGAAAGTCTGTCTCAAAAAATAAATTAAATAAATAAATAAATTCTAAGCTAACATGTTAAATATATTTTTAGTCATCTTGTTGACAATAAAGAAAAAATCAGTTATTCCTAGGAAGATCTATCTCCTGCTTTTTTTCCTAGTCCAACTTCAATGCTTACTATACGTCATGAAGATTTGAAACCCTCAGTCACTAAGTAATAAAAGTATAAAATTAAATTTTTACCACAATTTGGTCTCTCTCTCTCTCTGTAATGTTTAGTCAATCAAAATGTAACTCAAAACATTCCAGAGCAACTAAAATTCATATATCTTCTTAAAACATACATGAAAATGTTTATGGTTTGATAAAAGTGTAAACTTCCCAGCTACCTTTACAATCTAAATGGCCATTCAAGATGCCTCTGGATGAAACTCAAGTTGGCAGCCTCTAGGACAGTTTAAGATTTGAGTAAATTTCATTGATTTATCCATTTTGGAATTGGATGTACCACTGTACGAAGGACAGGCCAGAATTAGACATGCTTTCAGTGACTAGGGATGCCTATGAAAGTTTTCTATAGTTAATAGTGTAAATATTTTTAATAGCTTTTAAATTTCATCTAAACACCTCTCTCATACAAACCATTTCTACCTTATGTAGTTAGTTGAATGCTTTATTTCATTGCATTCTATGAGCTAACCTAGGCAAACTAAACAATAGCTTATGTTTAGAGTTATTCTACGAAGCTTTGTGAAGAAAGGGAAAACATTACCTTAATGACTACCCTAATTACTGAAATAAGTTGTACTGTGCAAATTTTCAGTAAATTCCTTTTAAATAACTTTATTGCAGCCCATTTAAAAAGTGTTTCAATGTTTTGTATATCTGCTTCAGAGAATAGAAATATGACTCAGAAATATCCAAACTTAAAAAGAAACTCAAATGAAGATGAAAAATGTTCAGTAATTGACCCATAAAGTGGTAACTGAGAGCTGATAGCCTAGAGAATTCATCTATATTGATATTGATGATATATATTGATTTTAGGAAGAACAAAAATTATTGGACTTGGGGAAATGGCTTGTATAGAAAAAGTTGATGCTGATTATGCAAGTCTTTTATAATTTCAATACTATCCAAAGGTCTTTGGTGAAATACAAAATAAGATGGATTTCATAGGTCCTAAGGAACTATATTTCATCAATATAAATGCCATTAAGTTACTCTATTTCTGACTATTTGAATTAACTGTTAAATGATATGAGGAAACTGAATGTATGGGGAAAGTCTTAAAAGGTGATAACTCTAAAACAGGTACAAGGTCAAGTTTGTACTGCTATATTTCATATCTAGTTATAAAACTGATGGGAAAGGAGACAAAAATAAATGTCCTTGGGCATCTATCAGTTCATTAGCTTAACATGCTAAAAGAAAATTTGGGGGCACAAGCTCTTGGGCAGCAAACTTGTGACCTCAGTCAGGACTAAGTCCTGACAATGGAAGGGAGTTCAGAGTTAGAACAGCCAGTGTAAACACACTTCCACTAATCTCATAGACTTCATTGTCTGCCTCAGGTACCTCAACTCTTTTACTTTCCTACTTAATTGTATGTGATTTATTTTGATTATTTACTACTGAGCCATTCTTCTCAAGCACTACTCTTATGCTGTGCACATAACTCACAGATCCAGTCTTGATGAGTCCAGGTGTCAATCAGTGCCATCTTTGGCTAGATATGGGTCCATCCATTGCATCTCACTGAGAAACTAGTTCAAGGCTCAGTCCATGAAAAATTAACCCACCACTCCTCGGACACAAGTATGATTTGCCAGATACCAATCAAGACAATAAATAAAATGAATATAATATTCAGATATGATTAAGGATTCGAACATTGTTGAAATTTCTAAATATGGAAGCAGCTTCAAAAGGCTGTTTGTTTCCTCTACTATGTGAAGGTAACTTCCTACTGTAAGGATATGCCTGGGTAGGGGTGAGAGAGTAAAATTTTCTGTCTACATTGTCAACGTAAGATTAAATACCAACTATCATTTCTAGAGCATGTTATTAGTCAAGGGTGATTCGAATTTCTAAGTAATTTTTCCAAAAATAACATTTTAAAGTTACACTCTTACAGAAATGACCCATGATAGTTACAATCTGAAGCAATACTTAGACCCTTAAACTCAGACACAAGTGGAAATATACCTTATAAAAATGGAGACAGTAAGGTAGACATAGGTTATCACAATTCATTAAAAAATCAATATTTGGCAGGTGCAATGAGCAACTATAAGCAATCACGTGATAATCAGGAAATATTAAGAGGAATGATAAAAGGTAAATACTGATAAAGGCTAAACATATTCCTAATTTGAGAGCAAATTTTGAAATTTTAAGAACCTCTGTGAAATGAAAGATCTATATTACCAAAACCCCAAGTCAAAGAAACGCCTACTTGCTTTAAAATATACAGGAAAATAGTTCACTGCTGATTTATCCACTAAAACTTCAATGTCAATTCAGACATGCATTGTTAGTGCTAATTCTCTACTTCAGCTGGAGGTTTCCAACAAGATTTAATTGAAGAATCTTTCACTTTTAAAAATAGCAATGATATAAATCTCATCACTTGAGCTATTATGCTGAATAGGTTTTTTTCTAAACTTTCATTAGCATATTTTAAAGCATTTACTATAAACTTGAAAAGTCATTGAACATTCATTTTTTAAAAAGTATGTAAAATCATTAAATAAAAACCCAAATGCTGGCTTTGGATTCAATAATTTAAACTATTTAATATATTTTAATTTGGAGACGGAAAATAAAACCTTTTCAAATTTTTTAAATTATAGAATACAAAGAATTACTGTAATTAATACAAATATAATATTTTACCAAATAAATATAACTTTTTCATTAGGCTTTATTAAGATGTAAAGAATCTAAATAATAACATTATTATTTTTCATCTTTTTAAAAATAAATATCCATAACTTTAAAATGTGTATAACTCTAACAACTTAATAGTTTTATTTTTCTTGTGTTTTAATTCATTGGAAATATTTGTCATTATTTTAAACACAAACTAGAGTATTTAGCTAGTATTTTTCTTTAACTCCAAAGTACCCTCTGAAATCAGTGCATTGTATTTATTCCCTTTGACATTCAACTGCTAGAAGTCACCCCATAAATAAAAACTACATAATTCTGGTGGCAATGTATAGAATAAATAATACAGGCGAATAAAGATATATTAGTACGACAAGGTAACTAAATAGTTTTCATCAATAAATAAGAGTTATTATGAGTCTCCATGAAGCTGTTTAATAAATATCTGATGAGGACCATGATGAATGATTTGTCCATAGACCATTTAACTGTGATATAAATGTTTGATCTTTGCTGCTCACATACTTACTATTCAAACAAAATTAATTATTCCTCGATGGCAGTAAAACAAACTCCTCCTGCAGCCCTGCTGTATAAATATCAAAACTGGGTGTAAAAATAAAACAAATGTTTCATGACAATTGATTTGAAGAGGGCTATTAAATGTTGGGAAAGGCATTCCTTTGTACTTAATACTTAACATGGGACCTGAGTAAGGGAGGGTTTTGAAAAGTCTCCATTGGCCAAACTAAAATGTCAGAAAACACAGAAACATTCCCAAATATCAGCTGAAGTTGATTGTTTAGACAAAGCAACAAGTATTTTAAAATACAGCATCCCCCCATACACAAATATTTTTGCAATCATGTCTACCCAGTTAACATTGAAAATATCTGGAACTCTTCTGAGAGTTCCAACAAAGAAAACATTTTGCCAGGGGTATCAGCAGTGGCTACCCATTGGAAGCAGAAGCAAAGGTATTTATGTAATCATCAGTGGTCTATGAGTAAAGGAATGCTTTCTTTTGATGATTGACACAAAATTTTCTGTTTGGAAATGCTTTAAGTAAAACAACATTTGCTATCGAAATTTTTCACTGTCCTGTTTGAATATGAACAAATACAATGCATGCCTCTTGGAACATTAATTTCACTTTGCTGGTGTGGTTGTGCTGTGATCTGATTGCTACAAAATTTGGAAGTGAATTTTAAGATTTGAACAGATTTTTTTTGAGACAAAGAGTATTCACTGTTGTCTAATTCTTGGTACAACCATCTTGCCTCCCAACAGAGACCAAGAGAACAAGATCACTAATTAGAAAAAAAAATCTGATTACTTCTTTCTATAAAGTGCTAGCCAAAGCCTTGCAGAGAGGCCACAGGGCCCTGATAGAGGTCTGAATGGTAACTGGAGAGGAGGAGTGCATAGTATGTTACAAACAGGGACACCCAGGGCTCTGTGAGCTTCATATGAATGATAAGTAAATGCTTACATCTACGGTTTTCACCAAACCCACCCTGCCCTCAACATCCCCACCAAAAGAAAACCCAGATTTCCCAATGGAGACAAGCTATTGCTTCTCTTTTCCCTATAGCTAAGAATAAGTCAATTCATAGGCTGGTAGACAAATACCCGATAACCTCCTGGAGCAGTTCAACCTAACCCACTGCTTCTTCCCAGCTACTAAAGAGCAACTGAAATAGAATTTACTTTATGAAGGTCCCTCGGGATTGAGAACAGTGTGTAATAAAGCCACTCTCCCATCAACAATACTTGTGCTCTGTGGGCCATGAAGACCAGGATCCAGCTCATTATAAATTTAAAGAGCTTCTTGTTTTAAAATTGACATGGGAAAGTAGTAAAGACCTCCAAAATATGAACCTCAAATTGCTTGCATGTTTGCTTTCCATGTGAAGCCAGGATTCATACCTCAAACTTTTCCCTGGAATTTATCTAAGCTTTTTCTGGTACAAAATGCTCAGGAGACAAGACTTTCATGAAAGGTCTTCAATTCTATAGCCTTATTCTTTAGAAGATGATTTGGAAGAGACATCCAAGTAAAAGATTTTTCCCTTGAAAAAGGGTATTGACGGCATTGTTTTTTTCTGACACAGGACACAAGATTTTATTTCTGTGAATCTCTATTCTGGCCTTGGATAAATTAGGAAAACTCAAAGAAACAATCAGCTTTGTCTAAGAAAGAAAATAATTTGTAAAAATTATTTTGTAATTGTATACAATTTGTAAAAAATATTTTCTCATCATATAAACACACTGAATTTTAAAAGACGACTATGTTCTTTTAAAGTTATGTCCATGTTCATTGGTTACTAAGGGAAAGGATTTTTTTGTATATTTGTTTCCAATGGAAACATACCTATATTAGTCTGCTCTTGCTGCCATAACAAGGCTGCAGATTTGCTGATTTAAACAAAAATAATTTATCTTCTCACATTGCTGGAGGCTAGGAAGTTCAAGACCAAGGTGCTAGACAATTGGGTCCTTGGTGAGGGCTCTCTTCCTCACTTGCAAATGGTCACTTTCTTGCTATGTCCTTACATGGTAGAAAAACAGAATTCTCTCTTTCTTCCTCTTGTTATAAGGCCTCCGATCCTACCAGATTAAGGCCCACTCTCATGACCTCATTTAACATTAATTACCACTTAACAATCCCTATATCTAAATATAGTCACAATGGGAGTTGGGGCTTCAACATATGGATTTGGTGGGAGACACAATTCACTCCAGAGCAATACCTCGAATAGACACCTTAGTTATCAAAGATCTACCCACGTCTCACTTCTAAAGTGTTTCTGGGCACTTAAGTATAGTAGTTCCTCCTTAATTGCAGTTTTGCTTTCTGCCATTTCAGTTACCTGTGGTCAACCGTCATCCAAAAATATTAAATAAAAAATTCCAGAAGTAAACAATTCATACGTTTCAAACGTACACTCCGTTCTATTTTGCCTCAAATGTGACTCATTCCTTTGTCTAGCATTGTATATGCAACCCGCCCATTTAGTCACTTAGTAGCCTTCTAGGTGATCAGGTCAACGGTCATAGTTTTGTAGTGCTGATACCCAAGTATCCTTTATTTTACTGAACAATGGCCCCAAGGCACAAAAATAGTGATGCTGGCATATTGTTATCATTATTCTATTTTATTGTTGTTGTTAATCTCTTATTGTGCCTAATTTATAAATTAAACTTTATCATAAGAATATATGGAGATGATACAGTAAGGGAGCTCAAATGAAGGAGCTGATGTGAGGAAATCATAACTTAGTTGAAATGTGAATGAGTAGCTGCCAACTAGGTAAGGAAGAAAGTAAAATTTTTTGAAAGCAGAAGGCATGGCTGGGGTAAAGAGACTATAATGAGAACATGGAAAATATGAGGCAAAGGAAGAAAATCATTGTGGCTGGAACAGACAGCATGAGAGCCTGGAGAGAAATGTGGAGGTATATGAAGTCACATATAAGGTTAGAAATATAGATAGGCGGTAACAGATGGTTATGTTTTGTCATTGCCCTAAGATCAAAGGAAATCACTGAAGGGTTTTTAATTTATGTGTAGAGGGGTGTGTGTGTGTGTGTGTGTGTGTGTGTGTGTGTGGTGTTCTATAGATGAGGAATGATATACTTTTGAAAACATTCTCTTTTGCAGGGAAAAATAGTGGATATAGATATTTCATTCTGAAGGCCATTCATGTTAAAAAATGATACTCTCTTGGACAAAGGAGACAATGATGGAGTGAAATGCTCTTATGTGAAAGGTATGTAGAAGATAAAATTGACAGGACTTAGTGATAAATCAAATGTGAAGAGTGAAGGAGAAGGCTATATCTAGGATTATACCAGGCTTTTGGATTTTAAACTGGGCAAATAATAGAGCCTAAATCATGCAAAAGAGAGCTTAAAAGGTGAAACAGACCCTCCCATCTCCCCTTTACAGGATTCATGAAGAAAATCAGGGTAAAAGATAATCAATAAGAGAAGAGGCGAGTTTCTGGTGCCGAGGGGCTGAGGGAAATTGGAGTAGCTCATAGGTAAATACTAATTAGTGTACTCTTAAGGGGACCATATCAGTCTTGCATGTTCTGATATATAGCAAGAAGTTGTTCTTAGAGCGTCCTGGGACACCTGAGGTTCCTGAGATCCTTTCAGGGGTCCAGGAGATCAAAACTATTTTCACAGTAATGTTAAGACATCATTTGTTCTTTACACCATGAAACTTTCAGATGGCACATGATATGTGATATCCTGAAAGACTGATGGCAAAAGCAAATACAAGACACCCAGCTGTCTTCATTTAAGGTGCCATTAAAGAAAATTTTTTTAAATGCCAAATTTGTAAAAAGTTGACAATGCCACTGGTTTTACTATTTTCCATTAAAATATATTTATTAATAGCCAATGGCCTTATTGCTATTATAAATGAATTAATAAATGTTTTGAATTTTCTGTTTTAATTTCTAATATAGAAAAACATGGATTCATATAATCCACACAGATAATTTGGGCTTCCCAATAATGTCAAAGAGTATAAAGGTATCTTCAGTCCAAGAAGTTTGTGAACTGATCTAAATACTCAGTGTGATTTCTAAGGGGTATCAATCACAAGAGAGCTTTTAAATTGCCAGGCACCTGTTGGAGTTTACTTCATAAAAATACTAATACTGCATGTTCTTACTTAAAGTGGCAGCTAAATGATGAGAACACATGGACACATAGAGGGGAACAATAGACTGGGGCCCACCAGAGGGTGGTGGATAGGAGAAGGGAGAGGATCAGGAAAAATAACTAATGGGTACTAAGTTTAATGCCTGGGTGACAAAATAATCTTTGCAACAAAACCCCATGACACAGGTTTACCTACATGACAAACCTGCACATTTATGCCTGAATTTAAAACTTACAGAAAAAATACAATAAATTTAACAAACATTATTATTTGTCTCTGAAAAGCAGGAAACTAATATATAGAACCAACTGTTATTCAGAATATGAAGTTATAATCAGAGAAAAACATAAAAAAATCAGTACTTCATTCAAGCACTATGCAGGACTTCCAATTTTATTACATATTCGTGATGTCTTAAAATTCCATGTGCCCAAAACGCTGTTAAAATTTTATACACAGAATATTTGTGGGCTGATGACATTTAGGTATATATCCCCTCCTGAGAAATACAGTGTGAAGGAAGTCTGAAAAGGCCCATCCCAGAGCACCCTGGCACACATTTGTCAGACAATGAGCAACATTAATTCTTTACTTTTAGTGATACATTGATTGTAACATAGAAGCTTGGAAGCAAAGTGACTAGAACACATTTGTAGTTCAGCTTTTGAACAAATAAAAGGAGAGCAGTATTCAAACGTTGGCTGGCAGATGTGAATATCCTAATATTAAGGCAGTGTCATCTTTTTCTTTACTGGTTTGTGTTAAAAATTCTGAATTTTCTATCTTGTTATAGGCCTTGGTCTGTTTTATTCACTTCTGTATCCCCAGCTACTAGAAAAGTGTTTATTTGACATATAATAGCTGCTCAGAAAATATTTATTCAATGAATGCTATGGAGAAAGGGGCAAACAACCCTCTTTGTGTTCTCAACATGCTGGGTGGAATTGCTGATGCCCAAGGCTTTTGCTATCCCTGTTCACTTGTGACTTTCCTTGACTTTCCGGAGAAGAATGAACTTAGATGTGCTATGAACAAGGATGCCAAGCACCTGCATCTCAATATAAGCAGAACTAAACCTGTGATCTTTCTCCTCAAATTAATGCCTCTCTTATATATATGTCATCTACCCAATAATTTTAAAATATTTTAGGCTTTTCTCTCTCCCTATCCCATTTCCTAGTATAACCAATTTGTCATTATATACTGTACATTCCCCCTTTTGATATTGTTCACATCCTTCCCCACCTTGTTTTTCTCACTGCTTACTGCCTTAATCACACTCTTTATTTCTTACTGGCCTGTGTTGTATTTTGTGTTGAATAGTCTTTTATTCTTCACCTCATCATACTTCTCTGAAAGCTTTTTATTCATTGAAATTACATTTTAAGATGTCTTGTGACCTAAGGTTTTAAGAGAAAAATACACACATACAGTGGACACATGCACGTATGTATACACATATATAGTGTATAGAGATACAATTATCAGTACTCCATAAATTATAAACAGCATGAATATATGTTTAATGTATTTTCAAAGATCTTTTTGTTTAGTGTCCCCAGGGTTTTTAAACCCCAGGGCAATGAGCTACAGTAAAATTCAGGTAAAGTAGGAAAGAGCGGCAGTGTGGGAGGGTAGAGGTGTTGACATGCCTGGCTTCTGAGAAACACATGTATCTCAAGAAGGGACCTTTGGGAAAGAATTCACCTGAGAGAAGAAGAGGTGGAACTTGAGCCCCTTAAGCAATCTATGCCCAAAGGCCCCTAAGAGAGTCTTTGTGTTTTCCTGGGTCTCATGGACACCAGTTTAGAGATCACTATTCTAGATCACAAATGAGGTAAGATCCCTCCCTTTGCTTAATTTTTCAGTGTTTCTCATGGCAACTGAATGGGCTACTCTTGGATCTTACTTGATCTGCCTCATATCAACTTAATTTTTCTCAACTTCTTTCAGTTTTCTGTTTTTACCCCATACCCTACCCATATCAATCATGTACCTTGTCTTGAATTACCATACTGCTCCAGCCATCCATCTCTTTACCCCCTTCCTCACTGGCCTAATTGCAACCATTTGCTAAGAATGAAATAAGGATTGTTAACTCTACAATGGAAAGCACCTCTTTGTGGGTGTTAAATAAATGATATTAATTATGATTTTCTAATACAGTTAGTATATGATAAAACACGAGTTTAGAAATTCCCCTCCAACTTTCTAGAGAGTAAGTGACATAATCATTATCTTTATTCTTTGTTTTGGAAACATTGAAAACCCAGAATGAGTTCAGCTGGACTGGACTAAGAGAAAACCAGAAAACTGGCCCAGTTAATGATACGAATAAAAAATAATAATTAATTATCTCTTACAACCAGTACAAGTAAATACATGTGTGGTCCCCCAGATCCCCACCAACTTGTGTACACACTGCATAATCTTCTCCCCTTGGGTATGGATGAAACTTTTGAATACAATGAGAACTACTCTTGTGATTAGGTTATATTATACAACAAAGATGAAGAGATTTTGCATATGTAATTAAAGTCCCTAATCAGTTGACTATAAGTGAATTAAAAGGGAAATTAACCTAGGCAGGACTGACCTAATTAGGTTAGCTCTTTAAAAGAGAGTCTGGAGGTCAAAAGCTCAAAGCAGGAGAGATGCTATCCTGTTGGCAGGAGTAAACTGCCATATTGTAGAGAGGGTTATGTGTCAGAGAAAGTTAGGCAGTCTCTAGAAGAATTAAACTGCAGCCTTAAAACCACAGGAAACTGAATTCTGTCAAAACTAGTGAACTTTAAATGCAACATGGAGTTTTAGATGAGACCTGAGGTGAGGTAGGCACCTTGATCAGGACCTTTTGAGACCCTAGCAAGGAGCCTGCCTGAGTTATGGCTGGACTCCTGACCTACAGAAAATATAAGATAATAAACGTGTGTTGTTGTTAGCCTCTAAGGTTTTGGTAATTTGTTATGCCACAATAGAAAATCAATGCACAATTGAATCCACCACCAAATTTTTGGTTTTGCATTATAGGCTTTACTATATATGTGAACCAAAACATTTAAAAGAATATTCATAAAACATTATCTCTTATGGTTTCCAGAATGTCAATTTTATTTCATCCACTTTAATAGAAGTATCGTCTCTTTATAGTCATATCTATATCTCTTTCATATATGTATTTTTTAAACTAAAAGCTATCCTTTAATAAAATATTTCCAAAATATTCCCAAAGCTCAGAAGACTTTTTAAATTTGAGTGATATAGGTTTGGCTTACAAATTCTGGTATCATTTTTTTAGAATTAACACCCTATAAACTCTATCCTCTGCTTAACAAAGACATTGGAATTATATAGCATGTTACTTGCATAACTAGCCAGCTCCTTTTTGGACAGAAGAGAAAAAAGAAACCTACTTAATAGCTAGCCAGTGTCATAGTCATTCTATTTCTTGCCTCTCTCAGTCTCTTTTTAAAAATACCCTAAAGATTGGTTTGGAACTGAAGAGGAGGGCAACATTTGGATTTCTTGGTGTGTGCATGCCAGTTGGGTGAATATGCAGGTGAGTGTGTATGTGTGTGTGTGTGTCTGTGTGTGTGTGTGTGTGTGTGTGTGTGTGTATAGGTTTTATTCCAGAGAAAATTTATAAGAGTACCTAAACCGGCCAGGCCTGGTGGCTCATGCCTGTAATCCCAGCACTTTGGGAGGCCGAGGCAGGCAGATCACCTGAGGTCGGGAGTTCGAGACCAGCCTGACCAACATAGAGAAACCCTGTCTCTACTAAAAATACAAAATTAGCTGAGTTTGGTGGTGCATGCCTGTAATCCCAGCTTCTCAGGAGGCTGAGGCAGGAGAATCACTTGAACCCAGGAGGCGGAAGTTGTGGCGAGCTGAGATTGTGCCATTGCACTCCAGCTTGGACAACAAGAGTGAAACTCCATCTCAAAAAAAAAAAAAAAAAAAAAAAGAGTACCTAAACCACACATACATACACACACAAAAAATCAGAAGGGAAACAGTTGGTTTATTATACCTAACTGGTGTAGAACAATGGAAAGACTAATACAATTTAAAAAGCAATGAGTGGAACCAACCCAATCTATGCAGAGAAACACTGTCACAGGAGTCATCTTTTATTTTAAAGGACAAAACACATGATTCAATTTCCTTGGAACACAGTGTTTTACTCTGAAAGGCTTCCAGATTCTTCAGTTATTTATTGTTGTCCAAAGTATTAAGAGTTGTCCAAAACATTTCCTTTTATTAGCAGGTCTAGATTGAGAGAGATTTACCTCGGCAGTACCATAGTGTGGATAATATTCAGTTAGGTTTGTTCAGAGGAACTTCCCCATCATTCTGCTATAGTGAAATATATGAAAATCAATCCATGCCCTCTTAATTATATATTTTACTCTAGGTGCTGGTGCCTGATCTTATGTAGGTTATTTAGCTTTACATGTCTGTCCATATATACATAACTTTATATTATCAGGCCAATTTATAACATTATTATACCTTACTAAATTTATGCAATTCTATTGATTTTAAAGAATTTTAATATCCAGTTGAAAAAAATTAGCCCTGTATTCAAAGAAATGAAAACATTATGTAATATTGTTTAAGAGAACAGTGAAAATGTGTGACTTAACCATAGAGGAGAGGACCAAGTTCACAGATTGAAAGGAACAATATAAAACACGTTAAAAAATAGTTTTTATTGTAAATTCAGAAAAGCTAGGTAAGGGCCAGCATGTAGAAAAATGATTGTATGGACTGCTAAAAGACAGATCGAAACAGAATGCAGGCTGGGTACAAAGACAGCGAGAGAGGTAGGGATCAGCTATAAAGATTAGAGACATCTGTGATAAACTTCTATTAGACTCATTATTCTTCACTGCAGCCTCTGTCACTCACCAGAAGAAGTTCACCATCAGTTGAGAGCCCATGTTATGTCTCTGGGGAGGAAAGGTAGGTAAAGGATACAGGATTGGAAGGTAAGGAACTAAGGTCCTAGCTTTTACTCCCCTAATGACTTTGTGATGCTGCACACATTTCCGATCTTTTTCTCTCTCTGTGGTTTTTTAAATTTTCTTGATAACATTAGAATGTTTAGGCTCTTGCCATAAGTAAAAATGTTTTCTATGGATGTGTGTATTTGCATATTTATCACAGTCAAAATAATCAGTCTCCAAAAATGCAAAAGATTGGGTAGGATTATGTAACACATTCTTAAAATATTAAAACCTGCACACATTAAAGCATCAAGTTAAATAGTTGTTAACCTGTCTCACTAATAATCGCCTGCTTAGATCCAGTCTGTGAGAGGAAAAGGAAGCAATAAATTTGACCTTCACTTACCGCATGTTTTAATTGCACAGTACTCCCAGCGGGTGTGAGGGTCAAGAGTATAGCACCATGGCCTCGGCTGGCCATCGGGATTGCGGCAATAATTATCATCAAAGCCCTTGTCGGGATATCTGCAAACCACACCAAGAAAAGTGTCACGTAAATCTGCCTGGAAACACCACCCACCCCTCAGCTCACAAAATAACTTTCCACTTAGGTTGTCTACACCTAGCTGGGGAAAGAGGACGTTTTCTATGTTTTGCCTTACGAGGACTGCTGATCACTGACTATTGAATCTACTAATTTATATATCCCACTAAGGACAGAGTATCATCCCCTGGCTAATAAGTTAGGTCTATGTGGTACCTTTCCACTAGCTGAGGTTCCAAATCGAGTCTCTTTCTCTTAGAACCCACTTAAGGGCAGATTACAAAAACATGACTTCATGTAGAATGCTCATTAAGAAAACAGGTCCTCTTCTAGGGAAGGCTTAAAGTTCAAACTGAAAGTTCAGTTTCAATAGCGCTGTTACTAATGATAACTCAGTTTTGGAAATAGAGCCCTTCGAGGTCATGCCCTCACCTTCACCAGATCATGAGACAAACTTCATCACACTACTTTCTCCACACCCCACCTCCCTTCAAATGAACAGAGTCCTGAATTGGTGACTTGATTTTAATTGCTACCATATCCCTTCTGCTCTCACTTAAACGACAAGACAAGCATTTATTTGGAAAATAAGCTGGAGTTTTAATTTCATTAAAAATAACACCAAACAAAAAAGAATAGAGAAAAAGAACAAAGAAAAAACACCTAACAGCAATTTCCAAAGAAAGGTGGGGGACGGAATTTCCTGTGTAATTATTTGTATTTTTATTCTTTATAATCAAAATAAATGAACTTCTTCCTTTTTTTTCCACCTTAAAAGTTTCATGTAAAATACATGGGCAAAAGTAGACATGATTTTTTTTTTTTTTTTGGCGGAGATGGGTAATAATTTAAGCTCAAAACCTATTCCTGGGGATAAAAGATAGATTAGTTGCCTGACTTCTCCAAATTGGCTTTTTATATGGGCAATTTCAAAACACACCAGGACAAAGCAACCTGAATGGTTTGCTCTACTTTTTACTCCCTATGACCACTACTTATGTCATGCTGTTATGTGTGTGGCCTGCAGTACCTGAGTCTCTGAAGATGCTGCTCCAGAAGGAGATTTGCCTGCAATTAGTAACAATACCTCTAATCACAGCTAAGACTTGTCAAAGTGGTCATTACTGAATTGGTCCTGTGGTTTGCTTTGGTTTTGTTTTGTTTCTGCTCTGAGAGAGAAAGAAGCTTCTTTTTGTGCTTCCACTCTATACCCTGCTGATGATTTTGTGTTCAGTACCATGCTGATTTTAGAAACTCTGACCAGTTGGCTATGTAGTCAGTGTTCTCATGTACCTCATCATAAATCTTTTTGCCCTTAGACTATTTCCTCCAAATATAATGGCCAGAAATTCTGTCAGAAGAACTCCTGAACATTCTGGGAGTTCTAAATGTTATGTTCATGTCCTATCGGGAAAACATAATATAAAGAGAATTTCCACAGCAGTGTGTCATAGAGTGAATAATAGTTTGTAAAAGAATCACTGAAAGCATGATTCATTAATATTTTACCTTTCAGGCAAGAATTTGTGCCGGTGTGGTGTCTGATGATCCCAGCGCTGACAAATCTTGCCTGATTCTGTATGATCCATGAGACCTCGATAACTCTCCCCATTGCAGGTCATGCATTCAACTAATAAAATTAAAGTATGGCATGTTAATTGTTTCTGACAGCAAAATCAAAAACACCACTGTTGCATTTAAAGAACAGCACCTGTTTAGTAAACAGATTTTTAAAAAATCCTACACATCATTCTAACTTTTTATTAGGGCCTAATGTCTATAAATAGTGACATAAACTACTCCCTATAGAACACATCATACAGTTTAAGTGGGATTTTTGTACTTAGTGTCACACAGATTTACTATAGGGCCACGACGCTGTCTATCTATTTTTTCAATAACTGTCTCAAAGGTATCTAGAAAATGGAAATAAAAGACAGATCCTTGGAAATTTTTCCCGTGTTGGTCTAAAATGCAAAGATCTCAGTATCTATTTGTCAGCACAATAGTGTTTCTCTCTCAATTTGCCCTCCAAATACATACACAGGAAATACAAAGTTTAATTGAGTTTGTGTCATACTTTTATGGTTAATGACATAATCAAGACCACATAGATTTAAGAGACTGGCTTCATATAGAAATCTGGTGCAATTCAAAGAATACGGATATTTTTAAAAAATAAATCACAGCTCCTTTCTGTTAGCGAACATCCATGTTGAATAAGCTGGGCAGGTTTACATTCCTGTCTGGCTTAGGATAGAAGATGACCTGCTATTGAACTCCATGTTCCCACTCTTTTTAAAATGTATAAGCTAATGTAATTAGGTAGGCTCTTACTGATGATTTTGTGAGGTTAATTCATTGTTCTCTTCTGGCTGGCCTCTTATGTCACACAGAAAACTGAATCACATCAATTGCTGAAAGTGAGACTTCTCAAACAGACAGGTTGATTTGTAGCACAGAAAGCATCCTGTGGAATAAATCATTGCTTGGCTTTCCTATGAATCAGGCAAACTTCCTTAAACACATCATTTGTATCTTGCAATTACTGATCATCTAACTTTAGCTGAAGTGGGAAGAGGCATCAATGTTTAGTTTTATCCAACGGAATCTAGCCTAATGAGTATTTGTAGTAATTTGGGATTATAGTATTAGAATCATCACTTTTGAATCCTTGATTCTTATAATCTAATAGGGACATTAACTATTAACTTTCTGAAACATGCAACAACTTGGCTTGATCCATCTGCTTTCCTTCATTTATATTAATACATTAGCTAAGAGGCCAACTCGGCTTCCCTTCATTTGATACTGAGATTTTCCAGACTACACCCAATAAGCACCTGAACTGTAAATGAGTGGAGTCCATGAGCATATCAATAAAGGTGCTCAGGTTGGCCAGGGTCATAGCAGTGCTCAACATAGGTGATGCAATGTTACATTTCAGCTTTCCATTTGAATGCTTAACAGGTTCATTTAGGTATCTCTCTCTTTTTTTAAAGAACACAAATTTTGATACCGTCAAAGAAAATGATGCAGCATTTATCGTTATTTGTTCCTTCGTGTTGGATGAAATGTACAATAGAGTACTAGGGTCACACATAAAAGATAAGTATTCATATGTACAATTTCTACTCTTGTATAGTACTCAGGAAAGAGATTACATCTATTATGCCTCCTTCAGCAAATGCAGCTTGTGATAGTATATTCCTTTCTAACGAGGGTGAATAGAATTATTTTCTGGTAATCACTACATTGAGCAGTATTATAAAAATTTTTCCTTGACTTACACATTTTAATGGTTTTAAGAAAAAATAGCTACATGAATGAAACAGATGGTTCCATAAGATGACCACTTTCCATTATGAGTGTGGCAGATCAATGCTTGTTCAAATATGAATGTGTGCAAAAACCTCCTTGAGATCCTGTTAAGAGGCAAGTTCTGAGTCAGTGGGTCTGGGCTGGGGCACTAATAACAAGCTCCCAGGCATTGCTGCTGTTGCTGGTACTTGGACCTCACTTTGCTCTGCAACTTTCTAGATAACAGGATCTATTATAAAAGTTCTGGCCAGGCACGGTGGCTCACGCCTGTAATCCCAGCACTTTGGGAGGCCAAGATGGGCGGATCACGAGGTCAGGAGATCGAGACCATCCTGGCTAACACGGTGAAACCCCGTCTCTACTAAAAATATAAAAAAATTAATCAGGTGTGGTGGTGGGCACCTGTAGTCCCAGCTACTCGGGAGGCTGATGCAGGAGAATGGCGTGAACCCGGGAGATGGAGCTTGCAGTGAGCCGAGATGGCACCACTGCACTCCAGCCTGGGCGACAGAGCGAGACTCCGTCTCAAAAAATAAAAAAAAGAAGTTCTAAGTATTTGGCCGTAATAGTTTTATAAGAGAGACTAGATTTTACTAGGATCTTGAATAGATGAGAGTTGGATAAATTATAAAGGGACAAAATAACATAAAATCAGAAGCATAAGTATACTATGTTGATAGTAAAGGGAAGAGAGAGTTATGATTGCAGTTGTGGGCCTAAAAATAAATAAATAAAAGTTAGCAAGAATAATGTTACATTTTAGAAAGCAATGAAAGTTATTGTTGGGGTGGGAATTAAACATGCCATGATTGAATTGAGATACTTAAATATATTACAGTTACATATTATTTGATTGTTTATACCATACTTTTAACATAAAAGGTATAGGCCAGGTGCAGTGGCTCAAGCCTGCAATCCTAGCACTTTGGGAGGCCAAGGCAGGCAGATTGCCTGAGGTCAGGAGTTTGAGACCACCTTGGGTCTGGTGGTGCGTGCCTGTAGTCCCAGCTACTTGGAAGGCTGAGGCAGGAGAATTGCTTGAACCCAGGAGGTGGAGGCTGCACTGAGCCGAGATGGTGCCACTGCACCACTCCAGCCTGGGCGACAGAGCAAGACTCTGTCTAAAAAACAAAAAACAAAAAACAAAAACAAACAAATAAATATGAAAACATGAAAAGTATCATCTGATTCTTACAGTGAGGAAAACAAGTCTCACAAAAGTTTTAAGAGACTTACCTAAAACACAAAATGTTAAACCTGAGCCAGGAACACAAATCTTCTGACCCATAGTCTTAGTATTTTTTTTGCATTATCCCAAACTGCCTTTTTGTTTTATATATTTTAACTTATTTCCTACATATTCTAACTGGTTATACTTTATGATATACTGATAGCAATAACTTTAGAAAGTTGGTATCCCTACCCTTTTCAACATTGTCCTCATTGCCCTCTGCTTTTTTGTTTACAACAGTTAACTTGCTCTCCTGTTGAAGTCTCATCTATTGGAGGAATTGCAGGGAAAGTGCATGGGAATGTAACTAGATTGGACACCTTATCCAAAGTCAATGGCTGAAAAGTTGGCTGTTTTACCACGGAATCAAGCCATCAAGTTAGTCATAAGAATTATCTCAAGAAAGCCAAATTTTTAACTCATATTCACTTTTCAAGCTTTGGGAATTCTCAGATTCTTCTAATTTTTCTTAAAGTCAAGCAGTTCAGGTGAAACCAAGTCCATGTATTCAAGGAAACAGGTGAACATATAAACGATGTAACAGTTTATATGTAGGAGTGCCCTTTGGCTCTGTCTATTGCTGTCAGTACATTATTTACCTGCTCCAGCAAGTTCTCCTCTAAAACAAAACAAAACAAAACAAAACAAAACAAGCTAACTACTGCCCTAGATAGATCACAAAAACTCACAGAGTAATGGTTTCTGTTCATCGGTTCAATATTTGTTCTAAGTACAGTTCTGGACTGAATAATAGTAGAATACTACAAAAACTGTATATGAATTAGAAAACACAGAGGATTAATTTAACAGCTTTCTCATCATACTAACCAACCAAACTTTAAAAATGTGTTTCATTTTTCTCCGTCATAAAACAGGAGTGATATGAGTATACAGACTAAAAGAGTTATTTTGAAAGTATCTGAATCTATTTTTAATTAGTGTTTGTTTTATTCCATTAAAGACAGTCTCAGAAAAATCCATACAGGTGATTACTTCAACAAAACTGAATGTTTAAAATATAAATAGTCTCACAAATTAACATATATAAATAAAAGTTTGTCAAATAAATTATGAGTTGCCATTTAATCTTTGTAACTTGCCATTTAATCTTTGTTTTTAAAAGTCTTCACACAGAGTATCGAATTATACACATAAACTTATGTCAGTATTATGTGGGATTTTAAATGTATTGTATTTTTTAAAATAATGATTATGGCTTAATTAAAATATATTTACTTGATCATTTGACAATCATTAGAAATGACATCTGTTCCAATGACCAATGATTGTTTTATTTTAAATTTCAAGCAAACGCTAAAGCAAGAAAATGGATTTTGCATACCTCAACTTTCTAAAACTTTTGAATCAAGCACTAATTATTTTCTCTGTATAACTCTATAAGGTTCTTTCTTAAAACTGTCCAATAAAAGTCTACATATTATGTACGACATGATGTTTTGAAGCATATATACATTGTCAGTGGACTAAATCAAACTAGTTAACATATGCATTACTTCACATAGCAATTTTGTGGTAAGAACATTTAACATCTAGTCTCTTAGCATTTTTTAAATGTACAATATAATATTATTATCTATAGTCACCATTCACACAATAGATCTATTGAACTTATTCCTCTTATCTAACTGGAAGGTGATAAATGTGATAGACGAATATTTGTTTTCTTTTGGAATATTGACTATATTTTCAAGTTTTAAATTATAAGAAAATAATATTAATCATTGACTATCAGATACAATTCTTTTAATTTTAAACAAATTTCAGGTGATTATATAGCCAAGTTTTAAGCATAATTACAAAAATTTCAAAAAATATATACTGTTCTATATGTCTTTTTCATTTGAACAGTCTAAAGTTTGATTATGGGTGTTTTTCTTGTTTAATTTTAAATATGCAAAATGACTTTATAGTTGCTACCTTAGCCATAATAAAATAACCTTTATAACTTACCATTTAATTTGTATCCATGGATAGAAATGGCCCATCTATTATACAACTTAAGCATTCTGGATTTTGAGGTTTCCCCCTTATATGTATTTTAGAAGAAATTTATATCATGTCACATTATTTTGTATATTTTATATTATTGATTTTATAAGTCACTCTTTTTCTCTGCCAATGTTTTGACAATGCTTCTTATTTTGGATCTTTTTCATTAAAATCCTGCTAACACATTGCTTGTGTTAGCTGGAATTTAAAATATCACAGTTTAACTCATAGTCTCCAAAATATGTTTAACCTACAGGGCAGATGTTGGTTCCCTTCTCCCACAGGAGAGTTATTCCACTATTGCCAGGCCACTAATTATTTCCAGAAAGAACATGTCTGCAACCTTTGGTGCCGCGGTGACCAATAGCATCATGTGCCATTAATACCAACGAGCAATGCCCTTTTCTAAGGGAGGTGTGATGATCTCAAATTATTAAAGATACTAGACAGTTACATTCTAATGAGATAAGAATAACTGAAAATAGGATTTATTCAAGGACTTCTTTTCTAGCACTTTTAATCTATGTCGCCTAGCAGTCCAGTCCTATGTTAAGTAAGTATATTTTGATGAATGTTTTCCTTATAAACCCGTAGTGGAAAAATCATATTCTCACAAGAACCAGGCAGGTAACGAAAATAGTAAGCTGTTTAAAGTTTGGCCAAGGTACCGGCCTTTGAAAACACGTTTTCAGGTCAAACAAAACCCCTTGTCAATGATTTTCAACCTCAGAAAACTGTAATAGGAGAGATTCCCCTAAAAGTAGGGTTTTTTTTCTTCCATGTGCAAGTTTAAGACAAATATTAATTCGTTCAGACTTATTCATACAAAACAGACTTGTTCAAAACGTGATCATAGAAAAGTTTATTATTTTTAAAAGAAAAGAAAACAATGAAGAGGTTATAGGGAACAGAATATGATATGGAATGGAAAGTAAGAATTTACAAACAGAGATGGAACTGGCTGTAGCACATAAAGTCAAGGATTTCAAATTCACTAACAACAGAAAACAAATCCTTCTCTGTGACAATTAGCTAACAGTAGCCTTTACTTTTTATGTGATAAATATCAACCTAATATTAAATGAATATTTATGGAGGAAATATTTTTAAAAATATTTGGTTAATAACAAACAGGTAAGATATCTTAGTATAAAACTTGGACAGCATTCCAGTAGTCCCCCTCCCCAAATACTCCAAAATCCTAACAATTTTCTAACAGAGTTTCATCCATGTTTCACTTAGATTTTTGGAAATTTAGAGTTTCTGACAGAACTGAAAAATCCGGCTATTCAGTAGCCAGATAACTAAGAAAAATGAAACCACATACAATGCTGAAATGGTTACTCTTCCATCTTGTCAGCCATTCAGTTTTCCACTGCAAAAGTAAGGACAATGCCCTTTTATGCTGTGAGAAGAGCTGAAAACATAGACATGGACTTAAGGTCCATAGACATGCCTTCAAGACAGTTTGGTGGTCTCCATTGCTTTGATCTCTTCAGATCCTATTCTGAATGGTACTCAGTTCCAGCCTACGTGTCACATTTGATTCTAGGCACATTTTCACCAAAATGTGCATGGGGTCAAGCTTCCAGTGATCCCTTCTTATATTGTATTATCTTCTGGGTCCATATACCCTTGTCACACCACTTCATGATAGTTTGGACAGAATTTCTGTGGAAGCAGGTGCTGGTTGAATAGAATTAACATTGCTAATGAAAGGCTAAGCTTCATTCAACTCCTTTCAGGTGCCACACAGTAGTAGATTTTGAGGTATGTGAGCTCAAGACAGTAGGTAAGTAAACCCTCTCTTTCACTTTCCCCAGAGGGATGTCTCAGGCAGTGTTGAAATTCAAACTGATAACTCGCTCTGTTATTTTGCATTAATCTGGTGATAATCCAACAGTTTTAAAAACATTGTATAAAAATGTTTAAATAATTATTTGTAGTTGCATTTGCACGAACAACATATTTGTTATGATTGATTCGTTGCTGTTAACCTTTAATGTGAGTTACAGTTCTACACATAGGGGGAATAGAATGGCCCACATGGCATTCAGGTTTATTTACCTTCTGAACACTGAGGAATGTCACAGACTTCGTAGCGTACCTCTGGATTGCTTGTGAAACACCAGGGTCCCCCTTCTTCCCCTCGAGGATTTCGACAGTAGTTTTCCTGTAGGTCTTTACCCCGATAGCTCGAAGGCAAAAAGCTAGTTTTAAAATGATAATCATTACAGTATAAGAGCATGCAACTTTTTTTTGCCTATTAATTTTACTAATTAGTGGGTATGTTTTTGCTGAAGGTAGAAAAATCCTTTATCTTATATTCCTTCATATATTTTACCTTAAAATTCTGTCATTTTCATCTGTCCTTAAAACGTTTGAATTTTATTAACATCCATTTAGCTGAATTTCCATATTCACCATCAAGTTAGAAAGATGAGCCTGTGAATTTGCTGAGTCAAACATTCTAGAACTGAATCGAAGTTGTCTGAAACATAATTTCAAAGCTCCACTAAAAGATAGCAGGTGATTGAGCAAGGCCACTTAGGACAGAACTGAGAAATCGCTGCCACTGATTTTGAAATCTCACTATTTCTTGCATTACTTATTTGAGATCATTACTTGTTTGTTTATTGCTTTTCTTATAAATAGCCCCCTTTTTTCTGCACAATTGAGAAACAGATTCATGAAGTAACATGAATAAAGAGCCCAGAATCCAGTTAAATCTGGGCTGAAACTTCAGCTCACTTTCTTACTGTGAGACCCCAGTAAGTAATTTAGCTTCTCTCAGCCTATTAGCTTACCTGTGCACTGAGTGTAACCATAACCTTTAACATCTTACACCTTATATGGTTATTTTGAGAAGCTCCAAGGGATAATAGAGTAATTGACACTTAACAAATGCTACCTCTTATTAAGCACACTCCACTTTGTAGTCTGTATCTACTGTGTCCTAATAAAGAACAGAATTGCTTATTCTCTTCAATAATTTTGATCATTTTGACTGACTGGAGCTTAGTGATCCCAGTTTTGGTTTATAATAGTAAGCCATTGAGTGCAGTAACTGCAACACATTATCTTCACTTAAAATTTCTAGTGCCCTACTCTTAGTGTTATTACCAGCATAAAGTATTTTAACACATTAGAAAAGGCCAAGTCTTTTTTATACTTTTGTACTGCTTGTGATATTGGACTCAACAATTAGATATTGCATTTGTCTGCCAGACTTTACACAAAAGATCATAATAAAGAATATACATCTACAGGTAATACCAGTAAACATTTCTTTGAAAATCCAGTTACATTTTTAATATTCAGCTTGTGTTTTGTTAACAGGCTTTATTTCTACTTTTACTGAGACCTTGAGTTCTAAATGGCACTAAAATTAGAGTGAAGTCCAAGGATTTTAGTATCTTAGTAAATACCATTCAAATGTGTTTCCTACCCAATGAAACTTCTAATAAACCATCATTTTTCATGTTGTGACACAAAACAAATACAGGTATGCGTCATGTACCAAGCAATATTTTGCAATGAAATTCTTTCATTTTGACATGAGTGTATTCTAGAGTTAAGTCTTCAGAAAATATAAATTATTGGACAAAACAAATAGTGTAAGAGACTTATTACTAACTAAACATTTTCAGGGAACCAGTGAAGTATTATCCATATTATGCAACTTCAATGCATCTAAGTAGTAATAGTTAATATCCATACTTAACTAGCATTCCTCATATGGGGAAATAGAAATAAGACAGGTTGTCAGACCGTATGACTGACAAAAATTATAATGCAACTAAAATTCAGCATAATTTCACAATTCCTAACAGTAAACTTTTTTAAAAAGTCATTTTTCTTACTTTTAGCTCCATCATTCCAGAATATTTTAATGCATCTTTTGTTTGGGCCATGGCTTACTCACTTTTCTGATAGAATCAAATGTGACTTTTGCTTTATATGTTTTCAAGAAGTCATGCACTAATCAAATTTATTTAAGCAAAGAATACTATAGCTCTCTTTTATGGAAAAGTTGATATGGTAGAGTGGTGAGAAGTTTATTTGTTAATCATAAAACCCATACGGTTGCCCCATATCTATCACCTAAATAGTATACAACCTTAGTCCTTAGACAATTTATTTACTCCCTGGGTTTTAATCTCTTCACTTAGATGAATAATACGAACTATAATTTCCCTTTTTCTATATCATTTTATATATTAAGATTATTTAAGAAACCTAGTAGTTATAGCAAATGTTCAATACACAAATACTCAATATTTATAGTTTGAGAGAGGATTTTTGTCCCCTCTACACATGCACACCGAAATACACAAAGTGATACACCCATATACCTTTCCAGTGGATTTGTAAAGCCAAAAAAAAGCTGTGAGGAAGTAGTGAATTAATAAGTCAACAATTTATTAGGACAAATACAGGTAGAAAGGAAGAGAGAATAATGTAGAAATCAAAAGTAGATATGGCCAAAACACGAATAAAATTCCCCCATTGGAGTTAATAAAATCAAAATGAAGAGAAAAGATGGGCTCCTTTCCACAATTCTGAATGCAATTCATATCAAAAACCTCTCTAGGACATGAAGGTTAAAGAGCAGTCTGGGTCATCTCTTTTCTTCATTCTGTGGTGTATTTTATCTTTTACCTAAATTAACTGTTTTTTTTTGTTAGTGTCCCAATGTATTTCCCCTGCTTTTCTTTAGCACCCCATATTTGACCAAGGGATGAAGCCTAGCCATGCTCTTTCACTTATGTGTGTTCATTCAACAAGTGTTTATGAGAACCCATTACACACAAAGCATGTGCCAGTCAGCAGATTCTGTAATAAGCATTTATTCATATATACACTATTTTTGGTTCTCTGTCCTTGCTGTTGGCAAGGCTTTAAGAGAGACAAGTGAGGAAATGTTTAAAATTGGGTTACATCCAAATATACTTTGAAATATAAACTAGGTCTTCTAGGTGCTAGGCTCCCTTTGTTTTCTTTTAATATTCACTGTGTTCCTAGGAAACTTGATCTATTCCATCATCTGATTCATTAATGAATGCTGGGTGGCCAATGAAGGATACAGATGTAGATATCAGGTCACCTGATTTTCTAGTTAAGCTTCTACATTAATTTCATCATCTTTCATCATCTTTCCATTAAGCCACTAGTAAAATATTTCAATTTAGGGGTCAACAATAAATCATTCCTCCAGACAGAAACATATTTCTTTTTCTATTTTCTGTAAAATTAATCTTTAGTCAACACTTAAAAGTGTTAAACCATCATGCAGATATTCCAATAAGCTGCTAATTGATGAAAATTATGTGTTTCCCTCATTGAATACAAAAAGGGATTTTATTAATATACTGGATCCTCTCGGCCATAAACATCTATATCACAAGGAAGTGTTCATTGGTAAAAGAGCTGATTGGACTAGGAAGCCAGTTCCCAGAGAGATCTATTTCACAATTACTCCTCCAGCAGAGAATCACGATCATAGAAAACTCAGGGTGAAATAAGACCTCTACTAGGTTAATCTAATGCATTCTCCTGGACTAGGGTAGGATTGATTTCAAATGTCATTCCTTTGTTCATGAAAAACTTAGATCCATCTACTTAAATAAAATGTTTTCTTCACTATGCAGGGAGTAACACCATGCAAACTCTCAAAAGAGGACAAAACCAATTATAATTTTTGTTTTTGTAATATAAGGAAAATACTGTGTTTTAGAGGCATTTCTACATAATTGTAAGTAACTAATTTTGAAAATTGTTGTTTTCTGTTATTGAAATGTTGTAGAGATGATCAGCTTGGACACTTACTAGCTAGTGTTAATTAGGCCAAGATCATAGGTTTAATCCCAGTGTGGAGCAACAAACTCTTTTTCTTTCTGTGTTGGTCAATAACTCATCTCTGTTTCCTAATGAAGAATCATCTTGCAGAATTGTGTCCCCAAAATGGAATAGAATAAAAAGTGGATTCAACAAGGCAGTCATCACCACCACTGCAAAAACAAATCACAGCATGGGTTCTACTGACCGGCCAAATGTGTCATGCCCTGAAGTTGTTAAAAGCGCAGGTTATAGAGTGATGGTGACTGGGCTTATATTCTGGCCATGTCACTTCCTAGTTGTGCATGACACTGAAAACTTACTAAGTGTTTTTATGCTTCAGTTTTGTCATGTAGGTAAAATAGAACCAATAAAACTACCCGCTGTGTGGTTCTCATTACAAGTAAATGAGATTAACAAGGTACAGTGCTCAGCAAGGTACATGGTAAAGTAAACCCTCCAATGCATTACTAATAAGGGGAGAGCTGTTTTAAACTACTTTGGTTTCTGATAAAATTGTGTGTGAAATAAGCCTTGACTAATACTCCAGTCAGTATTAGATATCTATGTTTTTCCTCAGTGATGATTAAAACTCTCAGTCTGACGAGCCTAAGTATATTGTGTTTACTCATCTTTAAATAGTACCCATCTGTCGTAATGAACACATTTATCCAATTTGGTCTTTAGGCGATAGGTGAGATGGAAAAGCTGGTCAATCTGAAGCTTGAGCTTTTAGCAGTGGTTCTCAAATTTGGCTGCACTTTGGAATCATGGTGGGAGCTCAAAAAATACTGGTGCCCTATTCTCCCCAGAGATTCTGATTTAATTGTTCTGTGTTGTCATCTTCTAAGTAAGATTCGTCAAGGGCTTGCAGCAGGTGATTTTAATGTGCAACCAATGTTGAGATCCACCAAGGTTAAAGAACCCTCAGCCCTCAGTAAGATTCTCATCTACCTCTGATTTTTCACAATCAACCTCTCCCCCTGCACAGTGCCGTACTTTCTCAAAGACAGGAAGAAGAATCCTTTTAAACGAAGTTTACGTTATTATTTCACAAATACCGAGATCTACAAATTGAGGCATTAAGGTAAGATATTGTTTTGGCTACATTTTATTAACATATTAATTAATCATTTGCTAAATATCAGTCATGAATTCATATAAACCTTGCCGTAATACAATTCAGCAAGTTGGCTAAGTTATTTTAGGATTGTAGAATTATTCTGAAGGACTAATATGAGACTGTTAACATGTAAAAAAGACAGAGGCTTCATCTCTTTTCTTCATACTGTTCTTACCTGTGTTCGTGTGGTATCATGGAACTCCAGGGCTGACATTTGATGCCACTCTTAGTGATAGATACTGTTCCCTTGTAGCTGCGTCCTTTACCAATGATGCAGTTTCTAATGTAGTCTATTGAAGAAAGTAGATAAAATTATTGCAACTATGCAAAACATATGCAGTATTTAAGAAAAAAATTCCGTTCAAACCTGTAAGTAATTAACTCTTGTAAACTATTTCAAATAACATTGAAATTTCTTGCCTAAAGCTTCTACTAGTATTTTCAAAATAACACATTTCTGAATAATCCAAAACAAACAGATGATTGAGAAGTTTTAATTTTGTGTATATATGCATAGATAGCTCCAGAGAGCAGTCGCTGTACTTAACATAGTCTGTATACTCAGCTAGCCAAGCAATTATGATTTGCTCAAATATATAGACCATTTTAAGAAAATATTAAAAACAAAAATTAAATGATTTTTAAAACCTATATTGAATTCAAAAAGTTACCTAAGATAATTAATTTGTCCTTCTTAGTAAAATTGTGTGGATTTTTGTTTATATATGCATATGCATGAGGTAGCTTGCTTATTAGTTTCCATATTTTTGCAAACATTTCCACTGCTGATAGGACAACCAAATTGTAATAACCTATATATTCCTACCAAATAATAGTACATGCAGTTGTTAGCAAGCTAGAAGACAGTTTGAAGTAAGAATGGTGTTATACTAGATCATGAATTATGTTCAAGATTTGTAGTATTATTGAGGTGTATAAAGATTAACTTACTTCTACCATAAATTTATTTTTAATTTTATTTAAACATTTACCCTATTAACTTGAAAACATCTATATATTGTACCAGGTTATGTATCTGAATTTAATAGGACATGGTTGTTTAACATTCTTCAATTATTTCATTTACTTGATTCTGCTTTTGAACAAAGTAAATACCTAGTGAACATAATATCAGACCACCAGAATAGGCAATCAGCAAATAATATGGTCTCAATTCCTCCTTTAAATATTTTTTTCAAGTATATGATGAAACATAGTCCCAACTCATTTCTCCAAAATCTCCATATTTTGTTATCATCAGTAATCATCACTATAATTTAGTTATCCAACATTGTTAAATGCAAAATACTATAGCAAACTCAGAATTTGCTGTAATATAAAGTGTTTTAAACTTTATAATGAAAGAAAGTAGCACTTTCTAAAATGAACATGGAGAATGCCAGTTCTAGGAGATGCTCCAAAAAAATAAAAATAAAAATAAACAGAGGGAGGAAGGGAATCAAGATTATGAAAAGTTTTGAAAATGTTCTCCTTAAAGTACCATACTAAAAATAGTCAAGATACTAGTTTCAACTGTCTTAATGGATGAATTGACTACATAAAATATCTCATATATAGTAGAAAAATCAGTGAGAAAGACCACTCTGGCAGGAAATTACAAACATACATTTCATTATACTTTATTTCATTATGCAATATTTAGGGAGAAGTCAGTTACCTTTGTTTTCATAGAGGTCAAATTCATGGCCAAATTCTTTTTTCACTCCACTTGACATGCTATTGAAGGGGAACCAGAGGCATTGTTTTCTTGCTTTATCAAAAACAAAAGCCCTGAAAAAAATATCAGAATGAAAAGAAGAAATACTACTATTTATACAGTATTTAAAGAATGGGCATATGGTTCATCTTGTCCATGGGCATATGGACAATATAGAAACAAATGCATAATTACATATACATAATAAAAATATGAGTAAAATTTGAACCTACCATTTTGATAGCCAAACAAGAAAGAACAAAATTAAGTTTTTGTAGGAGTAGATTTAAATATCAGATTGAATACTCTTTGGAATATTCTCATGTTATTCCAAAAGGCTTGTAGAAAAATAACAGTTTTAACATGCAAAATCAATATGTAACACAACTATTTAAATTATTTCTGAAGGCTTTATTTTTCTGTAACTTCACAGAAAGTTGGAATATTTTTATCCACACTTGTACAAAATGGTATTATATTTGAGATATTTAAGCTATCTCAATTATATCTGAGATATCAGGAGTAATTTACAAAGTGTATAACTGTAAAAAATATATTCTAAAATGACATTTTCTAAGGTGCATTAGATATATCAATGCGCTAGGGATTCTCCTAAAAAGTGGGATCTGAAACCAAGTGTTTGGAAATTTTTGCATATAATGTAATTTTTTGGTGAATTATAAAACATTGCAGTTTATTAAAAGCTATGAAAATCTTGTTGAGGATAACTATTTAAGCTAATATTTCCTAAACAGGTTTGCTTATATAAGCATTTTTTGTTTTTTTGTTTTTGAGACAGAGTCTCACACTGTCGCCCAGGCTGGAGTGCAGTGGTGTGATCTCGGCTCACTGCAAGCTCCGCCTCCCGGGTTCACGCCATTCTCCTGCCTCAGCCTCCCGAGTAGCTGGGACTACAGGTGCCCACCACCACGCCTCGCTAATTTTTTGTATTTTTAGTAGAGACGGGGTTTCACCATGTTAGCCAGTATGGTCTTGATCTCCTGACCTCGTGATCTACCCGCCTCGGCCTCCCAAAGTGCTAAGCATTTTTAATTTAAAGAAAACTAGTAATATTAGAGAATATCTTTTTGACATAACATCTTAAAGAAAGTTATGAAGACATACCACCCCTACTATTCCTATAGCTAAGTATTATATTGGTTTTTTGTTATTGTTCACTAAAAGAACCTATTTATATAACAAAATGATAAATACGCAAAAAAATGATAAATTTGTTTTTAAGTGATTCCATCTGTAAAGTGGGTGACAGGATTTCCAGTTTGCTGATCTCATTCACTCTTTCTCTCGTTCCAATACAATGACAAATTCTTTAAGAAAAGTGTTTCTTATATTATTTTACACCTCCATATAAAGTGGGTGGAAGCCATCAAATTCCGTAAGTTGCATCTTCTTTTAGGTTTGACTTTTAGAGTCTTTATCTTAACATCGTTCTAGTTGTAATCTTTTCCACAGCTTATTTTGTCTATTTCCTATTTGTTGATGGCAGGAAGGCAATTCTAGTACCAGTTGCCAGCCATGGCTAAAAGAGGAAAGCTTCCTATCTTATTAAGTGAATTTATGAATGAGCTATTTCCTGAAGAGCTTAGAATCAGGCATTCTTGGTCATCTTTCCTACCCAGCAAAGAATAATTTGAATCTCTAGGAAATCAATATTGTTGATAACTTCTCAAGGAAAAACAATATTTAAGAATGTTCCACCTCACACTCATTCACGTCACAGATGGTTTCGCACACTTCTTTGGTATTTTATAAGTGGTTTACGGTATTTTTCATTGTTTTTAAATAATTATGTTTTATATAACATGTCTAGAAACAACATCCTTTGATTCATTAAGACCCTAAGTTCATAGTATCATAGTATGTTCATTCAATTCTATATAGCTAAGATATTTAATAATCCCAAATACATATGTGTGTCTATGTGCGTGCGTGTGTGTGTGTGTGTGTGTGTGTGTGTGTGTGTGTGTGTGTGAATGAGGAGGATTTTACCATTTCTGGGCCAAAAAATCTTGGCTCTAATACATAATATTACCTGTGGTTTTCTGCACAGGTTGCCATAAATTTGGAGAATAAATATAACTCAACCAAAATATGGTAGGAAAGTATGAAATCTCATATATATGGAATATGTGAGCACTTACTAATTTATTAATGTCTTCTCCAGTAAAATCATTTTAGTTCCTAGTAAATAGAACAAAAGGAAAGTTTTTCTTTCCTAAGTATACGGTTGACTAATGTGAAAATTGAATGGTAGCAATACTTTCCTTACTTGTGGGTCCAAGAGAGCTTATTTTCAAAGTTAAAAATCAGCAATGAGGTGTCCTCTCCTTCCCTTTTCCCTGCCCTTCCAGCCCTGAGAGGGGAAAATACAACTCTATCCTCCTCAACTGCTGGAACATCTCCATGAATCTACACAGCTGAGATGTTGATTGAGAGTAGTTGTCTCTATTTCTAACAATAGCAAGGCTTTTATAGGAAAGTCAGGGAATAAAACAGAATTATCATAGGAATATACTTGCAAAGTCAATTCCCACTCCTCTTGCCAGGAACTATCTCCCGGAAATTGGCAGTTTCACTCTAGAAATGGAAAGCAGACAGTCTTTCCTCAACCTAAACCTGATAAAGATCTTTTCTGACCATGCTCTTCCTCTCAGGCCCATAACATTTATTTCTCTGAAAAAGGCAAGATGAAATTAGGACCACTTGCCATGACATTACTAAACCCTGTGGTCACATTATGGGTCACTACCTAAATGTAATTGAGTAGAATTTAATATGTACAGGATTTTATGCATGACCCTGTTAAAAAAAAAAAAAAGATAAAATAGGGAGTGAAAGAGTGGGAAATAAGTGAGGTAAGATAATGAAGAACTAAAAAAATGTGTCTTCTTCTGACAGTTTAGGAGACGATTCGAATGAAATTGTCACCCTCTTAGCCCAAAACAAAGAGTTTTATCTTCTGGGATCACTGGCAAAGTAATAAGGCATCAGTTCCCAACCTTTTTGGCACCAGGGACTGGTTTATTTTTCCAAGGGTGTGGAGTGGGGGTGGGGGTGGGCCGGGGAGCGGGGAATGGTTTTGGGATGAAACTGTTCCACTTCAGATCATCAGGCACTAGATTCTCATAAGGAGCGCACACCCTAGATCCCACTCATGTGCAGTTAACAATGGGGTTCAGCTCCTATGAGAATCTAATGTGGCAGATCCAACAGGAGGTGGAGCTCAGGCAGTAATGCTCACTGGCCTGCAGCTCACTCCCGCTGTGAGGCCTGTTTCTTAACAGGCCACAGACTAGTGGCAGGGGTAGGGGGTTAAGGACCCCTGTAGTAAGGAATTCTTCCCTATGAGGTCACACAGGGACTGTCAAAAGACATGAAACTCTCCATTTAAGTCCCCTCATGCCTCTTTAAATTGCCCCATCAATTTTCACCTGAAACTTTACCATTGCTATCCTCTTCTTTTAAACAGTCTCTGCTGACACCAGTCTCTCTAATTTTTAAACTAATTCTCTCAACACCTTTTATTTAAATCCCTAAATGCAATGATATAATAAAGATGAAGTAAATTTTGGCTGCTGCCCAAATTCTGTTCTAAAAATTCCTCCATTCCTCTTGCAAGGAAAAAAAAAGTTACTCTGAATAGATATTTTAAAACCCAAAGCCAATTGAATTTCATTTTAGTTACTCAAATTCAATTGCTCATCAGATGAGAAAACAAATTCCATAACCAAAGCCACTGTGGATTTTAGAAGGTAGCAGTTTTTGCGCTCTCCCTTACTCAAGCTATGTTTCCATAAACTGAGAGCTAAGTCTTCGTTTGTAGTGAGTTAAATCTAGAGTCAAACTTACAATTTTATGATCAAATCACATTGACTACAACACAAAAGACACATGATTATAATACATGCATGCTATATTTGGAAAATTATTCTAAGAAGAAAATGAAGTAACTTACTTGCAAGTGAATGGAAGTCCTTTATTCCTAGTACATCTATTAGCACATTGGTCTGCAGTATTCACTTTTTTGGTTTTTATCTTCAGTGCTGGATCTATTTTGATTAGGGTAGTCTTTGCTGATTTTTTGAATTCATGAATTGTATTTCTTCTTTTCCTTTGTCCCTCTATTAAATACAAAATGTTTTAAAAAAATAAACATTGGAGAAATGTTTTTAAGGCTCATATATAAAAAAAATCCTAAGGATCATCTACAAGAAAGTGATTTTACTTGACAATATACTAGATTTCCAGGGGTTAGGAGCAGAGTGAGGTAGGGAATAGTTAAGAGAAAGAGAGGAATATTGTAATCAAGGAAAAACAAATAACTTGTCATGTAGAGTCACTCATTTACATTCTTTCAAATTAAGGAGCTTTTAAAAATCAGGACAGAGTTCACACTAAAGAAATAAATAACATGATATTTTCCAAACATCATGAAAGGAAATATCAGTGCTAGAAGCATATCATATCATGCTTTATAATTAAACTTTTCATTTCCTTCTACAATTGGTCCTCATATACGTTATAGTATTTAATGAGATAAGCCAACACAAAGACAGGCGAGAAACGTCTCACTAAAAACTGTACAGTGGACAAATTCTTCTGACCTACTCTTTAAAGTCTTTCATGTTATTCATATTTTAGCCCCTCTCTCCTCCTTTAGTGCATAAATGTTTTCTGTGCTTTTGGACACTATTTCTTGGTATCACCGAACTATTTGTCTTGAGATCAAGCCAAATGCTGTAAATCAAATGTATGTAAAACTTCATCCTTTAATGCAGCAATATCATTTTTCTTCATGAAAATACAAGGCGCCTAGATAGCATGAAGCCTTCTACTGAAAATCTGAAAAACAGAACTAAAACATTCTAAAAGACCTAATCTTATGGATAACTTTAGTGTTTCAAAAACTTGTTCTCTGTATTCTCAATTTGCCCAAAATAGCCCCAATCTGTTAGTGATCAGCATCTTCACAATGCAGATCAAAATGTTTAATAGAGTGCAGCTATTGTGTAATAAGGATAGATGTGCTTGTGCCCCTCTGCCTGTCAATTCTTTTCAAACATGCTTATACCAAAGGCAGTAAGGATACATTCATTTTTCAGCCAAAGAAACCAAGACATAGAAAAAAATTAATTGACCACTTAGAAGATCTCAGATTGGAAACCCAGCAGGCTGACTTAAAAACCACCACTCTGAACCACTGACCATGCCATCTGTAGCTAAGAATGGCTAAGATTGTAGTGGAAATATGGCATGTAACACTTTCCTGAAAATTTGGTTTAGAGCTAGCAGTAGAGAAGAAATGTGGATAGTAGAGCAGGAAATACATTCCTGATCTGAATCTGTGTTGAAATGTGTCAAAAAAGGAGAGTAAAAATTTGTGTGCACAAAATTTGGAAATACAACTAGCAGAGTGAGGTACCAAAAATGCCATCATACTCTAAGTTTGTCAGCAACCACTGGCTCCAGTTGGTTTATGAGATGAGCAGATGCTACTAATTAGTGTCCATCCTAATTTGAAGGCTGCAATAAATTAGAGAAAACACGAGGTCCTCTAAATTTCTGAATCTCTGTAAAACTCCAAAGCACAATCTCCAAAAGACAATACTAATTCCTGCAATGATGCTTTCATTTTTAATTTTGCTTTGCCTTACAGGATAGAATGGCTATGGTACAACAGATACAGTTTAAAAGACATTTTAACATGAAAATGAAATCAACCAAAAATCTGTCAACATGTTATTTATTGAGCATGGACCAAATGCCTTGTACAACACTGGCAATCTTATTGACTTGTCAAATGACTTTTTAATTACCTGAAATGTTAACATCCCAATTTCTCAATCTAAAATATAAAAGTTATGTTAACATTAAACTGTAACCATTAAGTAAATATTTGAAAATCAATTTGGATTTTTAAAAATGTTATAAATACGCAAAGTTTTAGTTTTGTTTTTGAAATTTTATCCTTTAATCTCTGGCATGAAGAAGAAACTGTGATTCTTCCAAGCAAAGAAGGCATAATTCATTTCAAATTTTGATTTCTGTCACAGAACCATGTTAATAGGAGATAAGTTTTTCCATTAAGAGTTTCTCTTTCCTTTGACCTTATTACACTATTTCTAAGGTGCTTTGAAATGCTTCATAGCATAATAGTTTTATAATTTCCTGTATAAATTTGAATGTTTCTTAGAAATAAATGATAGTTAATTGATGAAAAAAATCTATGAAACAACTATTCACCAAAATAGAAGAGTTTTATACACGTATTTCTTAAATATGTGTATAATTATATTAACTAAAAATATAAAATTGAAGTTGGCCTGATATATAATCTATTTAGTATACATGTCTAAGTGTGAGGGAAAAGCCTAAAAATCAAAAAGTCTAAGACAAATATTAAATGTGTAATGTATTTTAATGTATCAAATGAAACAAAATCTCTGGTCAATGCTCTGGTTTCTTTTCTCAATGCCACGCAAAATGAAGGCAAGCCATGAAGAAGATTCTGGAGAGCAGAGGTCTCCGTGGAATTTTTGATTGTATTTAATTCTAAATCTCCTCAATTGTCCTACTGAAATGTGTTAATGTTTTGTTGTACCTCACAAAAACAGTCTACCCTTGCTTGCTGACAAATTTTCCAATCACTACCTTTCATCTAAAGATCGAAAAGCATTTTGAAAAACAAATAAATCTATTATTTCCCTTTACTAGATAACAAATAGAAATGAAAAGCTTGTCTGGGGCTACAAAGCTATCAGGGGCAATCAGAACCAGACACCAGAATTCTCTTCTCACTATTTTGTTCTCATGACATAGAAACTTTCCCTTTTAATTAAGTCATTTATACTAAGCCAGTAACTAATTACTCAAAAATATGAAGTTGGAGCTAATTGTACATCATGTAATCCACACATCTATAAAATTAATTCCTTATACAATAAAAGAAAAATTCAAAACAGAAGTCATTCAAAAACAGCATCTGAAAATAAAATTCCTTTGCTGAAAATAGTTTCAACTTTCTCCTCCATATGTATTAACAACTGATGCTTGTTTTACTGAAAACAGTTAAAAGCCAAGCTTAATTTGGGAAGAAACTCAAAAATATCTTTGGATCAGATTTTTCCCTACTATTTTTTGTGCGTGACTGTTAGCTGAAGTTTATAAACAAAATATTGAAATGAAATCAAAGGGTGAGAGATCACTACAAATTTGTCATGCTTTCCTGTGCTTTAAATTACAACTCCTTTTTCCTCTTCTCCCAGTATGGGAAAACATTCTGGAAGCTATATTTCCTGAAGAACCTGAAGTCCCTGTTTTAGAGCTGAAATCATTAGGATCCTAGTGAAAACCTACACACAGAAAGTAGGGTCAAATGTATCAAGGTGCTTGAAGAAAGACACATTTCTCCCTCTGGTCCCGGCACCTCACACTCATTTCTCTCAGTACCTCATATATTTTCTTCTCTGTGTGGACTAACCATTGACTTCAAAGGAAAATCATGCAAGGAAAGGATTTGCAGGGTGTGGAAAGAAGCAGGAATCTGGCTCCACATATTCTGAGAAACCTATCCACATGATTAGTGATGAAGAGATTCAAGTGGCAAGATGTTAAGATGAAAGTACACAAATAATTAATGGAAGGGAATGGTTGAGACTGGAGATTGTAAACTCTCCAAAGCCAAGAATTTCAAATAGAAGTCTAAATTTTCGTTGTTATTATCTAAGACATGGATTTTTGCAAATCGGCAGTCATCTCCCTTTCTTTAGAGAAGGCAACAATATCACAAATAAAGATACCAAGAAGACAGAGACTGTGTCAGATGTAAATCAAATGCTGATATTTGAGAAGCTGCAGCATCATCTCTTCCAAGGGGATTTACAAAATGAAGTGATGTTCAGTGTGATTTGAGGGGCCTCCCTAGGTATTTTCTTCCTTCTCCTTTCCAGTTCTTATTTAAGGTTTCATTCTTCTAGAAGCCTCATCCTGGCCTCCACCTTCACTGTCTGTTTCTGCCTACAACTTTCCTTCCACACAGGAACTGAAGCAACCACACTGAAGAACAACTTCAATCAAGTACATTTTCAACAAAAAAACTTTCAGCTGCTCGCATGACATTCATTTTAAAGACCACATGGTTGAGCATGACCTTCAATCCTATCCATTCTACCTCATCTTACTTTTCCACTCACAGACAATATTCCCCATCACATGCCCAATACTTCTGCCTCAAATGCTTGCCTTCAGTTGCTGTGTGGGGTCCTTCCTGGGACATTCCTTATACTTACGAACCTCTGTACCTTGGGCCACTTGTGATCCTGTGCTAAGATACTGACTATTCTACCATCCATCTTTTCATATGGACTTCAGTACCATATAACCCCTTCACCTGGTTTGATTCTCTATGCTGAAAATGAACTCTCAACCATAGTACAAAGTATTTCTAACAGGGTTTTTTGAAAATATATCACTTGGCCAAATGATTTTTTTTAAGTAAATTTCAGTTGATTTCACTGCTGCTCGCTTCAATATAAATGAAAAAAGAAAAAAAAAAAACACCACATAGTTCATTCACATACATTTGGGTAGAAATCTCAGCTCTGTCCCTTAACTCACAAAGAAATAAGATAACTGAGGTCTTTGAACCGGCTAAATGAGTCCAATAGTGCCAATCTTATTAGAATTAAGTGAGATGTACTTTACTACTTGGTTCATATCAGTTGCTCAACAAATTTAAGTTCCTTTCTTATTTGTTCATCTTTACATCCCCCACATACTCTTGAATATTAGGTGCTCATTTAATGCTTCTTTTATTACAGAGGATTGGATATTTGTTTCCCATGTAGGTGGGAGTGAATAGAGGGTAATTCTATATAGGCTAACTCCTACAAAGATGGCGGGGGCCCATTATATTGAATATTTCTTAAGCTTTTAAAAAAGTATCTCCATAGTGTATTCTGTTGATAACTGGTTGTCAACTTACAGTATATACTTCTTTCCTAACAATGTGTTATTTTACAATACATACAAATATAAATTCATAGAATAAATAATTATAATCAAAGCTAGTAACAACAAAAGAAACCTCTAAATAGTCAATATTAAATGTCATTTAAAAAAGAACAAACTTTGTGTGTTCTAAGAGGCTACCCATATTTTTTATTTTAAAGGTTATTAAAAAAAACTATCAAACTGGCCATCTAAACAAAGGCGCACCCTCCTTTGATGACAATTTTAGAATTATCCACTTCAGGAATTATTCACAGCATATTTGTAATTCCCAACTGGACTCTCCTTGCCTGCCAGCACTCTTGGGCTGCATTCTGCCTGTACTCAGGAAACACAGTCATTTCTACATTAGGCAAAGTGAAATATAATTACAAATGTATGTCTCCTGCCAAAAGTTCATAATGCATGCCGAAAACAAATAGACACTGCCTACGGTTGATCTACTGTTTGGGTTTTCCACACTGCGTTCCCCTTGCGTTAGCACAGATGAATTCAGGTAACCAGATTCTACTTAAGAACAGTGACATTTTAATCTTTAAAAATGAAAACCCTCAAAATATTAGCCATTATTTCAATTTAAGCTCAAAATCCCCTAAACCAGCAGTCATCTGTGAAGCATTTTTTTCTTCTTCTTCTTGAGATGGAGTCTTGCTCCGTTCCCCAGGCTGAAGTGCGGTGACACAATCTCGGCTCACTGCAACCCCCACCTCCCAGGTTCAAGAGAGTCTCCTGCCTCAGCCTCCCAAGTAGGTGGGACTACAGGTGCCTGCCACCACGCCTGGCTAATTTTTTGTATTTTTAGTAGAGACAGGGTTTCACCTTGTTAGCTAGGATGGTCTCAATCTCCTGACCTCGTGATCTGCCCGCCTCGGCCTCCCAAAGTGCTGGGATTACAGGCGTGAGCCACCGCACCCGACCCTGTGAAGCGATTTTAACATGACACATGTCAAGCATGATAACCTGCTTGATTTGAACTCACTGCTTTTTCACTTCTTCAGAAATCTTACCTAAATGCTTTCAGAGTGACCCTTTCCAAACAGTGTCATTTTCCAAACGGGCCACTTCACAAAATAAAAGAAAACCAGGTGGGTTGAATGATTTTCCTTTGCATTTAGAAAATTCTTGAGTTTTTTAACCCTTGTACCATATCAAAAACTAGATCAAAGGTCTGATAAATGTCATATTTACCATCTCAAAAGATACAGCCAGTTCTCTTTTTTATATTGTAAAAAGGCCATGTCTCCATCTGGGCATTTGTTCCCACTCTTTTATTCCCCTGCGCCTACCCTTGATATTCACTGCCTTCTCCCGTTGGCACCTCAGCCTCTACAATGATACAACAAAATACAGATGTTTCCTCTTGCCCTGATAACAAGAGAAACTTCCCAGAGCAGCAAACGAGATCTCTAAATCTCCAAGCAATATGAACTTTCAAGCAACTCCTCCCCAAACGGCAAATCCAAGGGAGAAAGTGGGAGACAGAGATGGGCAGTTCTGCAGCTTTAATCAAAGTCTCCGTGCACTGCAGTTTCAAAGGGCAGGCATCCGTACCCAGAAAGAATAAGATCTTTAAAAAGAGGCTTTCTCTTTCATTTTTATGATATGCAAATACTCAGAGTTTATTCTGCCTCCTCAAAATGAAAACCTGTACAAAGTCGTAATTTGGCTCCAAATGTTGACTAGGTGATGTGGAGTAGTGCATTATCATGAAAAATTGTTCTCTGGAAAAGGATGACTTCCTGCCGGACTGACCATCACTCTTGCCTCTTCAGACCAGACCCTCTCTTTAGCTTTAAACTTGTCCAAAGCAGCCAAGTTCAGCCAGTATTAGCACTTCCTCCCTATCTCATAATCCACAACTATTAGGCTAAGTGGGACGGGGCTTGGGTTGGAGGTGGAGGGGAGTTGAGGGAAAGTTAATTATCATTTTAAATGCTATTCAAACAACAACAAAAAAGAATGTCAAAAAAAGCATAATGAGAGCTTTTAGAAACCTATACTACATACTGAGTTCAGAAAGGATGCTGGGAATAGGGTAAAAAGAGGGTGTTAAAAGGAATAGGGAAGGTTAGCAGGAGAGTTAAATACTAATACTAATAATGAAGAAGAAGAAGGGAACTAACCTGCATAGGGGATGGCGATGGGGAGCAGGAGGAGATGCAGGAGGACATGCTGCAGCAGCAGGGCTGGCAGGAGTTTGGTCACCCACATGGTGCTGCTGGACGGGCTGGCGGATCCCTCTGGAGGAGATGCCTGGGTGAAAGAATCCTGTTCGGAGTCAGTGCCTAAAAGAGCCAGTCGGCTCTGAGCTGCTTTTTATTGCGATGAGCTAAGTTTGTTGTGTGATTAACTGGAAAGATCTAGGTCTGAACTCCCTCTTACGGTAAGAAACTGTTTAACAACAGCCCTTTACTCTCTTCCAGCCCCCTCCTTTCCTCACTCGCCCCCCCTTCAACAGCACCAAACAGATCCCTGCAACCCCCCCCATTCCCCGCCTCCCCCCAACCCCACGCTTAGGAAAGAAACTTACAAAGAAAAGGTCACCTGGCCTGAGGCCAGCTTCAATTTGGAAGCTGGAGCTCCAGATCCCAGTGGCTCCTATCCGAGTAAGGAAGGGAGGAGCAAGGCTGAGCCCAATGGCTAAATCAAGGCACAGGCAGGGGACCAATTCGCTCAATTTAAACAGGAAAATACATGTGTTTATATATCTATTTGGGAAAAGAGGAAGGGGAAGCAGCATAAGAAGAAAGCGAAGAGCTGTCTTTCAGCCAAATGTGCCCCAGCTCCTAATCTGTCTAGTTTTCCTGCTAGAGCAACTGAGGGATTCAAAACACTGACACAGGTTCTCTAGGGGTTTAGAGACCTGGGAGAGGTGGGAGCGGGGCCAGGGAGGAGAGCCCAGGCACGTCCAGCCCAGGTAGAAAGAGGTTAGTTAAGAAAAGGGTGTGGTATTGTGGGGCCAAAATAAGCAAGCAAAACAAAAGCACGCAGATTGTCAGATGAAAAAATTGCCCCTGCCCCATGGGCTCAGAGCAGGCAGCTTTTTTTTTTTTTTTTTTTTTTTTTTTTTTTCACAAACTGCCAAACTCACGAAATACCACACATTTACCCAAAGTATACAAAATAAACTTGTCTGATCTGACTTTTTAAGAGAAAGTCCAAGAAACAGTCATTGTCCATAGCCTGTCCCTGACAGGTAAATATGCCATGTGGACTTGTACAGGCACACACGTGCACACAACACATTCACACATGTTGGTGTGTATGTACGTATACACTGGTTAGGACTGACTTTCACCGGAAATCCCTCAAGCTGTTTGAATTCGTGAGTACTGAATATGCCTCTCTTTTCCAGCTTCATCTGCCTGTACACGACAGCCAGCTTCCCAAAGTGTAAGTGGAAAGATGAGGAGCTTGTATGGGCATGGGGGGACTCCTAGGTATCAAATCCTTGTGAGATCATTGCCCAGACCCCTCACTTGATTCAGAGAATTTGTCTTTGCACCCAGAGGTGGATGCTCTGGTAACTTTAAGCAAGAGCCTGCTTTATTTCTAATGGATGCTGAGGGATACTTGCCCCTGTATCTCTCTGAGATGGATATTAGTAGAGAACAGTGCCCCTGTCCACAGAGGAAAAGAAAGCAGGCCAAATGTGGGAATGACTAGAGCGGTGGGTAGCTGTACAGAAGTGATTGTGGGGCTGAATTAAACTCATCCACAGAACAGCCTTCCCTCCACATACCACCTTCATTTGTCCTCCAGCTCCCTTACCCCCACTTTCAGGGAAAAACAACCTGCCTGATAAGTCCCTGAGGTTGTGGGATATCTAGAGAAGCTAGGGATTAAGAGAATTCCTTTTGAGGGATCTATTTTATATGACCCGTTTCTATTGCTAATCCTTCTCTTTTATCATTTTCTCCTTACTTAAAAATCATTTGTCAGCCTCTGTCTGGTGTCCCCAGGATCCATTTTACTTTCTTTTTACTGTTCAGTAGACTTTTTGGGAAATCTCAGTTCAATGCATAGCCTGACCGTGACCCTGAATTGCTCCACTGCATCTCTTGTGCTTTATTAGGGTGTAGGGGCTCAGAAAAATGATACCCCAAATGAAGACCTCAGAATCAGCTCTCTCTGACCTTCTCCTGCTCTCCAGTCTCCGGCCCTTCATTCTCCCCCAAGGCGAGGCATAGAAACTAGAATCCCTCTTTCCCAAGGTGGCTCCTAGAAACCAGAACCCTTTTTCCCAAACCAGCCATAAAACCTAAGCATATCACTCTAACACCTCAACTTTCTGTGTGAAATCTGGCCATAAAGACATTATCTGACCTACCTTGTTTGATCGTAGCTCATAAGACCCCATTCCAAAGAAGGTCCTGCCCCATACCCAGAAGGAATGAGTACTGCACAGAGATACCAGGAAGAATCTCACCTTGCCAGGCGTCCCCACTCAGTCTGTTAGCATGAGATCATATTCCTTTTGTCCAGTTGTATTTCTCCACACCTGCCCACACTTTGTTGAACCTAAGCATAAAAATGGACAATTTCTTTTGTAACTTTGGGTCTTTGTTCTAAAGGCTCTCGGGTTGTGTAAAATTATGATCAAATAAATGTGTATGCCTTTTCTTCTATTGATCTGCCTCTTGACAGTAATTTTTTTTTTAGCAAACCTTCAGAGAACAATGGAAAAGTTTTCCCTTGGCCCAACAAGGGATTAAGGCTGTTTTTAAAAGAAGTTAGATTTTTCTGTAAGTAAATTCCTGTAGGTAAGGAAAGAAAAAGAACAGTGTTTCTATTTATTTTTTTCTCTCAGAAAAAAAAACTAGAGTCAGGGTTGTAAATTATTGTTATAAGTTTGGAGCAAAATCCATCTGAGATAAGGGGTTCAGGACATTAGAAAACTGAATAAACTTATTAGGTCACACATTTTCGTGACTTTTTTTACTGTCACATTAAATATGGTAAATACAACTTAAAACCTATATAATTTATATATTCATATTTCTTGACAAAAATTATTTGGTCTTTCTTTACTGAAATTGTTGCTAATATACACTGAGATCTTAATGTATGCTAAGCATCATATTACATACTATTGAAAATTATTTCATCCTTACAGTAAGTTTAAGATTATTAAAATTCTCATTTTATAGTTGAGGAAACATAGTAAGTTATTTTTATTCTTAAATAACTTGCCTAAGATCCCAAAGTAATATTCAAGTGTGAGATTCAGATTAGTCATACCCCATAGGATGGTATAAATTTTTTTAACCCCACGAGGAGAAGAATCACATGTTCCAGAGTATAATCACCAAAATAAGTCTGAGACTGGGTATATAGGAGATCCTCCATAATAATTTATAAAATAATACATAATTTTAAATCTCTCAAAACTATAAAGAAATACTCAAATGAAATTCTAATTATGCTATTAGTTTAGTCATTTTGATAACATATTCTCTTTGTTTTTTCTAAATCATGCAATGTTTTTTTCCCATCATCTACTGATTGCCTTACATAGGCATACATCATTTTATTGCCCTTCACTTTATTGTACTTCACAGATAATGTGTTTTTACAAATTAAGTTTTGTGGTGTCCTCGAATTGAGCAAGTCTGTTGGTGCCGTTTTTCCCACAGCATGTGCTCACTTTGTGTCTCCGTGTCACATTTTGGTAATTCTTGCAATATTTCAAATATTTCCTTATTATTTTACATGATGATCTGTGATCAGTGATCTTTGATGTTACTGCCATAATTGTTTTGGGCACCACAAACCACAACCCAAACTTAATCCATTCATGTGTGTATTCTGACTACTCCACTGACGAGCTGTTCACCCGTCTCTCTCCCTCCCCTCAGGCTTCTCTATTTCCTAAAACACAACATTATTGAAATTAGGCCAATTGATAGCCCTGCAATGACCTCTAAGTACTCAAGTGAAAGGAAGAGTTGCGCGTCTCTTCCTTGAAATCAAAAGCTAGAAATAAATTAAGCTTTTGGGGAAAGGCATGCCCAAAGATGAGTTAGGTCAAAAGCCAGTCCTCTTGCACCAGTTATCCGAGTTGCAAATGCAAAAGAAAAGTTCTTGAAGCAAGTTAGAAGTGCTACTCCAGTGAACACACAAATGATAAGAGAGCAGAGCAGCCTTATTGCTGATATGCAGAAAATTTGAGCAGTCTAGATAGAAGATCAAACCAGCTGCAATATTCCCTTAAGCCTTAAGCCAAAGCCACAGCAAGGCTCTGAACATCAAGCAAGACCCTCCATCAGCAAAAAGATTATCACTCGCTGAAGGCTTATATGATCGTTAGCATTTTTTAACAATAAAGTATTTTTAAGTTAAGGTATGGACATTTTTAAACATAATGCTGTTGCACACTTAATAGTCTGCTGTGTAACTTTTATATGCACTGGGAAACGAAAAAAAAATTCATGTAACTTGCTTTATTGCGATTTTTGCTTGATCACAGTGGTCTGAAACCAAACGAGCAGTATCTCCAAGGTAAGCCAGTACTTCTTAAGTGTTAAACAGTTTGAATAAATCCCCAAAAAATTGTGTCTGAAAAGTTTTTGATAAAATAACTTGTAAAGAGATTACTTTAAGTACTGCAATTTATGTAAATACTTAAATACTAGATGGATACTCATTACCCTATAATACCATTTTAAATCTGTCCTATGATTGAGGGTTCTAGTATCTCATGGATACTAGATGGATTTAATGGAAAAGCCTCTATTACTGTGCTCTTTAAAAGGCTGCTGCTTTAACACGGTATCTTTCTTTGTCTTAAGCCCAGGTTTCTCCACAAGTGATGCTTGTAAGAACGTACGTGAGGAATAAGCTGACATGACCTTATGATCTGTAGATTACTAATGAGTTTTGTGTTATTGAACTGGTCATTTTGTTTACTAAACGCCTGTGATTACTAATGCGTTTTGTGTTCTTGAACTGTCATTTTGTTTATTAAATGCCTGTCACATGCCAGGTGCCATTCTGTTTCTGCTACCACTTGGATAGGCTCAGCTTAGTCATAGGCCTGCTTTCAAATCCCAGCTGAGTCACTTACTAAAACAATTACAAATTGAGGAAGCTAATTTATCGCCCTAATACCTCAGTTTCCCTATCACCAAAATGGGGCTGTATGTGTCAGGTGCTGTACTAAACACTTCATATGTGTTATCTCACTTGCCCTTACACCTTGCCTCAGGAAAAAAAAGGTACGTGTATCTAAGAGGTATATCTTATTATTGTCATTGACTTACAGGTAATGAAATCAGCATTTAGAGATGATAACTTGGTTTAGGTTAAACTGTTAATGAAATGTGATTTCAGGACACCAGCTATCCAGGTATCAAATCACTGCTATCAAACACTATGCCACATTGAAAGAGATCCAGATTAAGAAATTTCCGGCATTCCTTCTCCCTTTAAAATTAGATTATTCTACTTATCTGAATTCTTTAGTAGCCACTATACTTCTATATAATTCTTACCTTCCAAACCTATGAAGGAAGCACTTGTGTAATCTTTGGTATTGCTTACTTTTCCTACAAAACCAGATATTCTCATTGTTTTCCTGTTTGTTGATTCTACCCTCTAACTGGTCATTTTTTATCTTTAGACCTTGCCACTGAATATGTTGACTACCTTTAATGTAGGAAATATTACAAAATACATTACAGTTTGAATCAGACAAAAACCACTTCAAACACATGAAGCAGAAACTAAAATCTATATGACACAAGCAAGCATGATGACATATTTATTTGCAAAATTATTGAAGAGTGGGTACAACATCCATGCAGCCACCTAGACCTGTGATGTCTAATATAGTAGCTATAAGCCACATGTTCCTATATATATTCAAAATTAAATTAATTAAAACTAAACTTTCTCTGTTGTGTTGTAATCACATATGAGTGGCTGGTGGCTCCCACAGTAGATAATGCAGATACAGAATATGTCCATCATTGCAGAAAGCTATATTAGATAATGTTGATCTAGTCTAAGATGATTGGTGTAAATGTACTCTAAATGTGATTATGGGCAAAGCAAGATAACGACTATTAAAGGCATAATTTTAAAAGATACTGAAAAGTTATCTGTATGTTGGTGGCACTTTAGTTTGAAACCCCCCTTTCTTTCTACTAGTATTTTGCAGTAGTATATTATGAACAAGGATAACACGACCTTGATTACTTTGTCTTTTGAACATAAGGTAACAATGACTGAAGATAGCTCCTTGTTCAGAGAGTATGCCAAGCACATACCACAGACACAAGCCCAGAGAAAATGGTTAAAGAAAAGTGTTTTAAAATAGTTCTAACAAAACACCTGTCTACTAAGGAATGTGAAGCAATCTATAGAGTCAAGTATAGAGTCTGTGGGAATTTGGTGAGTCTTTGTCCATTACATAATAAAAATGACCTAATTGAAAGCAACTGACAGGACTTCAGTGCACATTATAGACTTAATGTAAAGGTTTTATTTTTATTAATTCATCATTGATTAACCACTAAAAGGAGTCTAATGGTTACTCAGTCAAATCATAGTCTCAACCACTCACCCGGGACTTTGCCACACTCCCAGGAAATCTGTTGCAGAATTTGTGGTGAGACCACAAAGCAACATCCAGGAAAATGACAGTAACAGTTAAAGTACATCATCACAGGGTAGGAATTGTCATGTGTGTAAAAATAGCAGGGTTATTTTTTTCCTGTAGAAATATGCCATATATACTTAAACAGCATTTTTATATTGTTCACTATGACTATAAATAATAGCAGAGTACATATTAAAAGAAATTCTTCTCAAACAGAAAAGACTGTCATGACTTGAGCTGTGTTTTGCCTTCTGGGAGTAAAGAGAGGATAGGCGTTGAGAACACCAGGAAATCTGAGCTAAAACTAAACTCTGATGCTGCATTTTCAGTTTTCTTTTCTGAGCCACGAGGGGCCATTTTCTGAATCCAGGGGGCCTAGTTAACTAACACTCATCACCTTGTGCTTAGAGGCCAGCTTTTATGTATTTCCAGGTGTTGGCTGTTTTGTTAAATCTGAAGTGCCCCCAAACTTATAAAGCCCAAGCACTCCACACCTGGTATGTTGGACACTGGCATATTAGTAAAATGCATGAATTGGAGGAATCTATTTCTTTTTTCCCAGTTTAGAATCCAACCATGATAAAATCATTAGTGTAAGAACATGGGAATATTCACAATAAGGTACATTTCAAAGTAACTGTTTAATCCATTTATTTTGCATCTTAAAAGCCATGTAATAAAATTGAGGTTTCCCTTTTACTATATGTACATGTTGCATGTTTATTGTGGTCCTGGGGATATCTGAGGGCGATTCCACTTACCAGGTGGCACTCAATACCAGGAATTACATTTCAACCCTGGGAGGAAAAGACTCCACCTGGTGGAGCATTGCTTTTTTTTTCTGTACGGGGCCGAGGGTTGGGGGGCGGTGTTTGTTTCTTTATAATATACTATTCTGTACACCAGTCATCTGGTGCATTGGCCCTTCTTAGGAATTACTTAAAGAGTTATTTAGCTAACGCTGTGATAGCATGGCCCCATATGATACATTAATCTTGCAACATTTTTTAAATGACTGAATTTATATCTAGTTTATCCTTAATAAGATAGTATGCTTTAAGTTTTTTAAGAAGCTTCTACTTAAATTCCTAAACTATGAGCCTGGGAATCCTCATTCTAAATGGGAGGGTTCTTGGCAGACTTCTTACCATTTTCAAGTTTGTGAGGATTTGCAGTTACTGGACTTCTGGAGACTTGACAGAGCTAAGGGACTATCAAATCCACCAGAAACATTGCTTTTTCTAGCCAAGGAACAAAGGATGTGAGGAGGCAAATTCATAGTTCCTGAAATTTTCTATATTCTTTATTTAATCTTGTTTTATTTATATGTTTTTACAACTCACAATAGTGAATATAGCAAAATTATGGAAAATGGCAAGTGTAAAGGACAGATGAAGTATGTTGCCCAATGCTTTAATCTAGTCCTGAATGAAGGGACTAGAAGGGAGAAACATCTCTAGAATGAACCTAGTCTCCTCATGCTGCAACTCCAAAACAGAATTATGCCTTGCATACTGAGTAAGTGATGACATTCAGCAGAACACCCACTATGGAGAGCACCAGATTATAGCTGTCCTTAAACTGCTTGTTTGCTTTGCCCTGATAAAAGAAAAAATGTTCATAGAGTTTTCTAAGTCTCTTTTGTGTGGTTAGTTTATTTGCTTGTTGTATGTGAATAAGAAAGATTACATATGGCCTTCTCTTTTAAGAGTTAAGTAAGAGAATTCTCTTTTTCAGCTATCTCTGTCCAGCCCCAAAATGATGTATTTATCCTAGCATTTCTCACATTTAAAGGTGCACTAATGTTTTTCTATAGTTTTTTTTTTTCTGTCACTTTCCTAAGAGACAATCTTTTACCTCTCCAAAGTGCTATTACATCTTATGGTTATTTAGCCATTGTCCCAAATATTACTTATCAGAAAAAAACTTCGTGTCTTGTTTAATTTTTAATTCAGGATTTCTGTACAATATATAGCTTGAATACCCTACCAATTAACATTTCTTGTTAGGGATTTATTTATTTTCTTCCTGATGTACACAATGAGATAACACAGTGTAGACCAGCTGGTTGAAGTCTTTATTATACCACTTACTAACTGAGAAAACCTGGACAAATTATTTTACTGTATTCATTTGCAAAATGATTATAATAAGAGTTGTAGCAGTTATTTACACTTAAATGTATTACATGTGAATTATAGTGATGATTAGAGAATAAACATGCAAAACACAGATGACATATTTAGGAACACAATACAATTTTATTACTAGCCTTATTAATACTGAAACATTTAAGATAGTCTTTGAGTCATTTAATATCTCAAACAGAAAATACCTAAATTAAAATGCAGAGTGAAAGCATGATCTTGGCATAATGATATTAGGGAATGCCTTAGTGTTTAACAATTATTTAATCCGAAGTATCTGTTAATATTTTACAATCAGTTTTAAGTGAAACTAAACATGAATTTAAGTTTGCTGCATGCATCCATGTGTTAACTAATGCAGGGAAGCAGAAGAAGCCACATAATTCCATGTTATAAAATATTGCTAGTAAAAAATTATATTTAAGTAAAATAATTTGGTATTTTAAAATATAAGAAGTTTTGAGCATACTTAACTTTGCATTGGCATCATTTCTTGATAAATGTCATTAAAATAATTTTCTTGAAGTTCCGTAAGGGGTATACAGCACCCAGGAACTCACAGCATTTGTGTTTTGTACCATTAAATCAGCAAAAAGAGAATAAATACCATCATCCTCTGTCCAAAAAATTCTTATTGACTCAGCTTCTCAATTTTATTAATAAAATGTTAACTGAATTTTCCTATTTCCAAAGAACTCAAGCTAGCCACTGATTCTATTATTAGAGTACATGATTGACTATATATTGTCCACCTTCTGAGTTAGAGCCTATAGCAGTGTCTGGCATATCTTAGTGACTACCAAAAGGTATTTAGCAGTCACTAAGTAGGCTTTAATTGTTTTCACCTAATATATGCAAAGTATTTGATATTTTCATTCAAACAACATTGCAAGGCCGACACAGTGGCTCATACCTGTAATCCCGGCACTTTGGGAGGCCAAGGTGGGTGGATTATTTGAGTCTAGGAGTTTGAGACCAGCCTGGACAACTTCGTAAAACCTCATTTCTACAGAAAAATACAAAAATTAGACAGGCGTGGTGGTACGCATCTGTGATCCCAACTGCTCAGAAGGCTGAGGTGGGAGTGTCTGAACCCAGGAGGTTGAGGCTGCAGTGAGCCATGAATCACACCACTGCACTCCAACCTGGGCAACAGAGTGAGACCCTGTCTCAAAAAAAAAAAAAAAAAAAAAAAAAAAAGATAATAGTAAATTCACTGTTTAATTCCTTTCACACAGACACATATACACAGACACACATCTGTATATACATGCATACGTACACACACACTCACAAGAATGCATAAGTAAAATCTGTTCATCAAAACCACCGTGAATTACTCCAAGTCAGTTTACCACTTAGACTGCTAGATTTATAAGTGACTCAAGGTCTGTCGATTTGCAATAATAGAAATTGAAACTGAGAGCAGAGTTCTACTTTTCCAGCTGTCAAAGATTCCCATTCTCTGATACATATCTTTATATATAATTTAAAGACAAAACCTAAGATCTACGCCTATTGGCATTGTATTGAGATTGTGTTAAGCTCTAATAAATGGCATTCTAAATAGTATATGATTTGTAATAGCAAAACTTATGAGCAATATATTAACATGTATTGACACTAGAATTTATTTTTCATAATTGTAACACCATTCATTAATACATTTATAAGTACATACTTTTAAGTTCTTTTTGAAACATTTATTTTTAGAGACGGAGTCTTGCTATGTTACCCAGGCTGGAGTACAGTAGCTATTCACAGCCACCATCATGGCACACTACAGCCTCAAACTCCTGGGCTCAAGCAATCCTCCTGCCTTTGCCTCCAGAGAGCTGGGACTACATGCGCCTGCCACCTCACCCAGCAGTTTATAAGTTCTAAACGGAATCTTCCAATTTTTGACTTGAAATAATTAGACATTAATTAGATATTACTGTTTCAAAAACAAGTCATGTGAATTTATGTACAAGAGATGTCTATTTCCATAAACCTAAAAGCCCTTTTCTTATGTCATCTTTATTGCTTTATACATCTTTCTATTTATTCATTGATTAAAAACATTTATGAAGTATTTTCTAAGTGCTAAAGATACCATAGTTATTTTATATGTTGTGTTAGGCAGAATAATGTTTCCCAAAGATGTCCATGTCCTAATCCCTAGAAGTAGTGATAACATTACATAGCAAAAGGGACTTTGTATATGTGGTTGAGGTTAAGAACTTTGAGATGGGAGATTATCTTGGTTTATCCAGGTAGGTCCATCATATATGAATACTTTAAGTCAGAGAACCTTTCCCAGCTGTGCTCAGAGAGAGCTGTGCTGTCTGAATAATGGTCAGAGGAATGCAACGTTGCTGATTTTGAAGATGGAGAAAGGGGGCCAGAAGATAAGAAATATGGGCAGCCTCTAGAAGCTGAAAAAGTTAAGGAAACAAATTCTCCCCTAGAGCCACCAGAAATGAACACTGCCCTGCTGTCACCTTGATTTTATCCCAGTGAGATGCATATCAGTCTTCGGAGGTACACTAACAAGGAATACAATTGTGCTGCTGTAAAACCAACATTTTTTGTTTGTTTGTTTTTGTTTTTGTTTTTTTGTAATTTGTTATATCAGCAATTAATACCTACTATCTTCTAGGTATGTTTTACTTCTCTGAATGTTTTGTAAACTCTTTAAAGATAGTAATTAAGTCTTATAGTTCATTATATCTTTCCAAATTACCTATTTCTATGCTTTGCACTTAGTATTAAAGGAAATCTCTGAATGATTGATATAATAAGGAAAGTTTGTTTTTTAAGAAACTATTTGTATTGATTAGGTTACAATGATAATCTTAACCTCACAGTGGTTTTTGCCTTACCCTGTGCAATGATACATTAACTGATCTTTAAGAGAAACATTTTGCAATGTGCTGTTTATTCAAGTAATCAGGAGAAAGCACAAATATTACACTTGACTTTGCAGGAAGATTGGCAAACAATAGTGCTGTTTTGAAAGACAGAGATCTGTATCTTTGAAAAGGGAAGTGGCAAAACTGTCTTTTCCTTTATCTATTCAGATTCCTTAGGAAGGAGGATTTTACAACTGGTATTATCCTTGTTGGAGACTCCTTTATATGGCTGGCACTCCTCCAGTCCAAGTTTATCTGATACCCTAATGCTTCCCGGAGCCTCCTCTGGGATGTAGATCCAAAGTTTTTGTGCAAAATGTAACGGAAAAAATTTGATGTAGCAGTGCAGAAACTTGCCAAATAATTTATTAAGAAGAAGCAGAAAAATAGTTACAGAAATTGCACAAAGTTTGTCAAACAGATGATTTTTGCTAAAAATCCTGGCCACACCCTCTAGAACTTATGGGTGTAAAGTAGGTAATTGAAAATATTTTTATTCCTGCCCCTCTTACCTTTTTAGCTCGTTAACTACACCTTGGATGACTCTTGTATTTACATATCTTATTACATACATAAATCATGTGTTAAAACCCACTCTAATTCTTGCACCTGCTGGGAAATGACATTAATAACCATTGAATGCCCCATGTACTAATAGATATGAAATCATTCAGAGAAATACGAGAAAGCTTCCCCACCTGAAGGGGAAATTATCTTCTACCAATAGGCCTAACAATAATAACCTGAGTAGAGCCACTAGAGATTTTATATAATATATATTTAAAGTTATTTCATGTATTTTTATACTTAATTTTGTATTTCCATTCTTTGTACTGTATTTCTTGTAATTTTTTTGACTCAGTAACTAGAACTCAGTTTATTCTTTTGTTCCTTTTTGCTCAGTTATTATAATCTTTGGTGACCAAAACACTAGTATATGGCAAAACTGAGACTGGAACCCAAACATTCTGCTTCTGGAACCTATTCTATTATCCTTTAGAAAAAAGGACAAAAATAAGGCACAGCAGTCTAGGGAAAGAAGATAAGGACTTTCCTCTCAATTGAACTTGAATGTAATGTAGAAACTGGGGAGAAATCCATCCATTAGTAATAAAACTGATTTCTCTCCATCGGTAGGTGACACCATGCATAAGTCAATTGTTGCAATCATTACTCAGGACTGCCCTATTCCCCACATGCATTGATCTATAATCCCTTTCCATTTTTTTCGAACACTATTAGTTGTTACAAGTTTTTTTGATATTGAAATGAATTATTGATGCTAACATTCTAGCTTTACCCATTGCTGCTAACAACACTTCAACTACTAGTCATTTACCCTCTCTTACTTCTTCAAAGACAGGAAATATACCATCATTCTTGGCAGTTCTTTTACTAAGCCGTTGTATGTTTAGAAAATGCTCCTTCACGTTGATCTGAAATCTACCACCTTATAATGTTCATGTATTTGGTTGTGATACTGCTTTCCAGAGCCAAAGAAAATAAGACTGCTCTCTTTAGAATACGTAAAGATGTGTAGTGCTTCATAGGAGGCACCCTACTCCAGTCCTTTCAATATTCTTTCTCAGCTGTTATGTTCAAATGCCCTTTTAAACCACCAGGTCCAGAAGAGAATAGAACATGATAAACATGATCCACTCCATGCAGAATGGAGCTCTGATTACCTCTATTCATGAGCTAAAAACCAAAGAAATGTCAATTAGATTCAATTATTATAACACAGAACCTGCCATCTATTGACAGGCTATTATATGTCCAAAACTGGGAAAGAACTTCATATAACACCGTATCATTTAATCCTCATAACAACTCCCTAAGGTGGGTACTTTGGGGAGCAAGGCATACTATTTCTATCCAGATGTAATTTTTCTTTCTCCACATTTTGTTCACTGTGGTCTCTCAGTGCCCACTCAGTATCACTTCTTCAGGCAGGCTTGTGAAACTTCTCTTGCATGCTTTGTGGATATTTAGGAACAATAAAATATAAAATGTACATAAATATATTTTATAGCAGTATTAAAATGATGTAGTAAAACCATTCTCACATAATAAATCCTCATAAATGCAGTTATTTAAAAGTGTTATTTTCTCATGTAATCCGTTCTTTAACTCATGCTTATAAGGTTATGTCAGCTCAAATAGTTACATATGATTTGATTATTTAATATTAACAGGTAAACATTTGGTCATATAATTTTTAGCTGTTTGTCAAAACTGAAATCCACAATAATTAGGAAAAAATCATTAAGAGAAAGCTGTTTGGAACATGAAAATTCAAGCAACCATAACAAAAGTATCCATAAATCACAAAAAAAAAGCCTATGAGAAATTTATCCAGATTTAAAAACAAAGATCATTGTTTTTCAACTGGAATAAAATTTAATTATAATACCATAGGATCAAGAGTCACTGTCCAATAATGTGTTTTAAATTAACTAAATGACACCTTACCCTCTTTTTATATCTACTCCAGGAAACCCTGATCTTTATAGTTCACAAAAATATAAACATACTTGTCAGACCTCACTAAATTTATTAAGATCTGGCAGAATGCCTATGCAAAAAAATATGTTTCAGAAGGAAGTTTAAAATGAGTGAGAAAAATAACCTCTTGAAGTCAACCAGCAGAGCAAAGCAGGTTGCAGCTAACTAGTGATATAATGAGTTCCTTTAGTACTTACCTATCATATACTAACCATTTCATTTTTTAAACAAACTTCTAAAACAGATTTGCTGCACCCTGAGTTCTGTTCACTTTGGCAGTAATAAAAATTTCACTGAGATAAATCTGTGTCATGAAAATGAGAGATAAAGATGAAAAACATTAAATACGTGATGCTATCACCTACACTGATACTTTAAATTTGTTTTCACCTGTGTCTTGAATTTATATAGTCCTTGGTTAATCACCTCTGTATTATGCTGGCTTGGCCAACATTAGGCATAAGACAGGGAACCATGGTTACTTCAAAATAAGTAATAAAACAATAGATAAGAAGTCTTTCAAAATATTCATAGAAATAAAATGCATTTGAATCACCATTTATTTCCTTATTTTGTATGCTGACTGATTAGCATTTTATTTGCCCTTAAGAAATTAAGAAAATTTAATGAAAAATACACACATATAAATATATGTTTATATATTCAAGCTATGTGCAGAGAAAAATAGTAAATTCACAAATATTCTTTAAAATAATTGATCATTTTAGTGTCATTATTCTTAAAGGGTCACCTCCCCAAAATTGTATTTCCTTTTATTTCTAAATATTTTAATGTTTAAATATTAAATAATTCGTTAAGAATTTCTGGTGGGGTAACACTTTTCAAAGACAAATTTCTTTTTTTTTTTTAAGTTTTTTTTTTCTTTTATTATTATACTTTAAGTTTTAGGGTACATGTGCACATTGTGCAGGTTAGTTACATATGTATACATGTGCCATGCTGGTGCACTGCACCCACTAACTCGTCATCTAGCATTACGTATACTCCCAATGCTATCCCTTCCCCCTCCCCCACCCCACAACAGTCCCCAGAGTGTGATATTCCCCTTCCTGTGTCCATGTGATCTCGTTGTTCAATTCCCACCTATGAGTGAGAATATGCGGTGTTTGGTTTTTTGTTCTTGCGATAGTTTACTGAGAATGATGATTTCCAATTTCATCCATGTCCCTACAGAGGACATGAACTCATCATTTTTTATGGCTGCATAGTATTCCATGGTGTATATGTGCCACATTTTCTTAATCCAGTCTATCATTGTTGGACATTTGGATTGGTTCCAAGTCTTTGCTATTGTGAATAATGCCGCAATAAACATACGTGCGCATGTGTCTTTATAGCAGCATGATTTATAGTCCTTTGGGTATATACCCAGTAATGGGATGGCTGGGTCAAATGGTATTTCTAGTTCTAGATCCCTGAGGAATCGCCACACTGACTTCCACAATGGTTGAACTAGTTTACAGTCCCACCAACAGTGTAAAAGTGTTCCTATTTCTCCACATCCTCTCCAGCACCTGTTGTTTCCTGACTTTTTAATGATTGCCATTCTAACTGGTGTGAGATGGTATCTCATTGTGGTTTTGATTTGCATTTCTCTGATGGCCAGTGATGATGAGCATTTTTTCATGTGTTTTTTGGCTGCATAAATGTCTTCTTTTGAGAAGTGTCTGTTCATGTCCTTCGCCCACTTTTTGATGGGGTTGTTTGTTTTTTTCTTGTAAATTTGTTTTGAGTTCATTGTAGATTCTGGATATTAGCCCTTTGTCAGATGAGTAGGTTGCGAAAATTTTCTCCCATTTTGTAGGTTGCCTGTTCACTCTGATGGTAGTTTCTTTTGCTGTGCAGAAGCTCTTTAGTTTAATTAGATCCCATTTGTCAATTTTGTCTTTTGTTGCCATTGCTTTTGGTGTTTTAGACATGAAGTCCTTGCCCATGCCTATGTCCTGAATGGTATTGCCTAGGTTTTCTTCTAGGGTTTTTATGGTTTTAGGTCTAACGTTTAAGTCTTTAATCCATCTTGAATTGATTTTTCTATAAGGTGTAAGGAAGGGATCCAGTTTCAGCTTTCTACATATGGCTAGCCAGTTTTCCCAGCACCATTTATTAAATAGGGAATCGTTTCCCCATTGCTTGTTTTTCTCAGGTTTGTCAAAGACAAATTTCTTAAAATTTAATGATTCGATATTTTTAAGAATAAAATAATTTTTTCAATATCATATAAATTATGCCAAAGGTTCAGTAATAATGGTCCATTAAATGTGTTCATAATTAATCTAATTTTCTGCTACTGTGGTTAAAAACATTTATAGGATCTAGTCCTGAAAACATGACATGTAAATTTGCATAAGTTACTGCAATTTAATCTGATTGTTGCTAATTACAAAGGAAAATGACTTCAGAAAACAATAGAGTTTCTTTATAAATTCCTTATTTTGCTTTAATTCTGGCAATAAAAACAAAAGAAACTCAACATTTTTGGCCTCACATTGAATATATTATAACAGCCAAGATGTTCAAGATACAACAGGTGAGACCCAAATGATTTTGGAGACTAAACTATTAAGGACATAATTACCCCAAAAGTTATAGATTAAGTTTCACTAAAATAAAACTTAAATGAAATTAATTAAAATGTAATTATAATTTTCTTCCAAGAGAAATATTGTTTTCCTTCTTGCTAATCTTTTCCAGGTATTGAACTACCGTTAATATTACATTTGTTTCTAAATAGGGCCACTGATTTCAGAGGAAAAAGATCATATATAATAGTCCAAATATTGTGCTGTAATGTATAGAAAGATAATTCCACTTAACTGCTCATATGTAGTTCATGTTGCTATACTTTTTCCTATTATTATTATTATATATTTATTATACTATATATACTTGATATGAAAACACATGCAAATTTATATTTAAAACATCACTTAAAAAAACATTTCAAGGATATTTGGGGCCAAAAGCAAGAATGCTTTACTGTAATTTTTTTAACTTGTTACTTATTTTGAATAAAACTGAAAGGCTAAAAGTAGAATTAATAAGTTAGCATTTAAGTAGGACCCATTTTTTTTATTATCTCTGGCATTCATTGGTAAATGGCAATTTAATTTTTTATCCTATCCCACTAATATTCACCATAAAGCATCTTTATCACTTGGTTTCCACAATATCATACTGTCATACTTTTTTACTATGTGCTTTTATTTTTCTCATTTATTGGATCAGTTTGTCTCCATACACCCTATATTTGGCTACTTGCCAGAGGCAGAGTACTTCATTGTGTTCCTTTGCCTAAACATTCTTCCTCAGAGGGCTGCTTTATTGTCATGGCATAGCTCCTTAATGACAAATAACATTTCATTAAATTATGATTCCTCAGTATTTAACTCAGAGACCCACATATGTTTCAGTCAAATCATCTATATTCATTCATTCTTTCTTTTAGTTTTTTTTTTCTGTGAAAGTTTAATGAGGGCCTATTTTCTGTCAATAATAATTGTAGGCTGTGAAGCACTGGTGAATGAAATAGGCAAAGGTCCCTGGTCACCTGTAGATGATATTTTAGTGAAAAGAGACAGCAAGCAAGTAAATACACAATTACTGAGATTATTTTAGATAAATAGTGCTCTGAAGAATATAAAACACGGTGATGTGTTAGGAGTGCTGAAACAAATAGGGATGGAAAATTTAGATTGGACTAAGAAAGACTGAGTAGGAGAGGTGACAAGAGAATTAAGACAAAATGTCAAAAGCAAATGGTTTTGGGAAATCTGGGATAAGAGCTTCCAGAGCAAGTATGATTTGAAAGGTATATGTCCAGAATGAGCCTGTCCTCTGACTGCACCTTCTCAGTCCCTTCTGGTCGTTTTGATCAATATTTGAATGTCAACCCAGAGTTAGTTTAACAGACCACCATACTAACTTCCTCAAGACTTGCTAACTCCTTTAACATTAAAATGTTTTTTGGTGACATTACCATTTTTCAGATCACCAAGTTAGGAATCTTGAATTAGCTGAGACCCTCATCTTTCTTTTTCATGAAGAATCAGCCAAGATTCTTTTCAGATATGTTTTCTCTCTCCCCCGCCGGCTCTGTTTTTCTGTTTGTTTGTTTTTTGAGACAGGATCTCACTCCCATTGCCCATGCCAGAGTGCAGTGGTGCAATATTGGTTCACTGCAGCCTCGACTTCCAAGCCTCAGGTGATTCTCCCATCTCAGACTCCTGACTAGCTGGGACTACAGGCATGTGCCACCACACCTGTCTAATTATTATTATTATTATTATTATTATTATTATTATTATTATTATTATTATTTGTAGCGAACAGGCCTCTCTATGTTGCTCAGGCTGGTCTCTAACTCCCGGGCTCAAGCAATCTGCCTGCCTCAGCCTCCCAAAGTGCTGGGATTACAGGGCTGCGCCACTGCGTCTGGCCTCTTCTATCTTTTTCTTTCTACTTCCCTAGATGTGTCACCTGGTCCAATTACATGATTTCCTGAAAACATAGTACTTCATCTGTGAAACAGAGGTGATACTCCTAGTGGTAACGTAACTGCCGGAAGTGTTCTTCCTGCCCGTTACAAAGAAAGACCAGGGGAAATAACATGAGTTTTGCAAAGAGGCACACAGATTAAAATCTGGCCCACTGCTTATTAACTATCTCATCAGGACAGCGCCAAACTATTTTAATTTTTGCTTTCTTGCTTTGTAAAAAAAAGAATTCATTAAATAAAATGATGTGCTTGCTTCACAATACTTTTGTAAAGAATAAGGAAGATATCACACAAAAATAACCTAGCATACATATTTAGTGAGTGTTAAATAGCCTCCCTTGTCCTTTTTTATTATGGCACCAAAGGAATTAATATATAGGAAGCACTTTATTGATGATATAAAATATTTTGTAAAACATTTTTCTGTTTTTCTTATATTCCCAGTGTCCCTAACTGATCTAAACCCTCAGCTCTTCCCACTTGAATTTTTCTTTAATTTTTGGAGGCAGCTGTGGTTTGAATGTTTATGTCTGCTGAAAATTTGTATGTTGAAATCCTAACCCCCAAGGTGATGGAATTATGAGGTGGGGCCTTTGGGAGGTGATTAGGTCATGAGGGCAGAGCTCTTATAAATGGGATTAGTGCCCTTCCAAAAGAGGTTCCAGAGAGATCCCTCTACCCATCCACCATGTCAGCACACAGCTAGAAGGCACCCTCTGAACCAGATGTCTGGCCCTCACTAGACACCGAATGGGCCAGCACTTTGTTCTTGGACTTCTCAGCCTCCAGAGCTGTGAGAAAAAAATTTCTGTTGTATATAAGCAACCTAACTCTTGTTATTTTATTAAACCAGCCTGAATGGACAAAGACAGATGCTAAATAAGGAGCTAATCATTCTTTTCCTTAAGATCTCTCATATTGAGCTCAGTGAAACAGGGGCATCAGAGCTTGGACACCAGAGATTTTGCCTAGGATAGATTATGCGGGGGATATAACTGAATATGAAACCATCAAAACTTCATTACACTTCCCATGAATGAGTTTCTAAGAGTGCAGAGGTTCACATGGAGAAATCTGTGACCCCTGGCACCATGCTGTTTGAGTGACTGGTTATTCTGAAAAGACTGCAATCACTGAGCCAATTGGGAGAGCAGTCCTCAGCTTAGTCCTATACACACCACACCACCCATGATCAGGAGCCTGGCAGCTTCTCCAGAAGATTTTGCCAACAGAATGACTATACTATCATAAAGCAGGTCATAGCCCTCAAAGATCAAGAGAAAATCTCTTTTTGAAGCTACCATTCCCTTCACTAGAAGTTCCAGCAAAGAGGAGGTTTTGCTGCAGTTGTTTTTATTTGTTTTGGGTTGTTTTTGCTCTTGCTTTTCTTGTTTTGTTTTGTTTTGTTTTGTTTTGTTTTTAACCAAGTTCAAGGCCAGAAAAGTGTATCACCCATAAAGTAACCCCAGCACTCCATGCCAGAGGAATTTCTGACAAAATGAATGGTTTCAAATACAACAGCCTGCTGACTAAGTTCCCAGCTTGCAACCTCCCTGGAATCTGCAGTCTTGGATTAACCCTCAGCAAAAAAGACCTTCATTCTGGTGTCTTTGCCATATCTATTGTCTGCTCCAATCCTATGAACCCTCTAGGAAGTGTAAGCTAATTTGGACAACTAGATGTGCAGTCATACTATAAAACTATTTTGTTCTACTTCTTCTAAATGTATTTTAAAAAGAACGTAAGGAAAAAGTAGCAAAGCCTCTTTAAAAATCCAAATTCAGAACCAGCAGAAGGAACACAGGAAGCTTTACTGAGTAATTGAAGTGATTACATGCAAAGCACTTTCCCATAATCAGCGAGTTTCAAAGAAGGGCAGAGGGTGATTGACAGTGTTGGCCACCCTTGAAACTACATCCTGATTGGAGAAAATAATTACAAGCAGGGAGAAAGAGACTCAGTGCTCTACATCTCTTTTATTTTTAGATTTAATCTGAGAGAAGAAAGATTATAGAAGAAAATAAAGTTTAGAAAGTTTAGAAATCTTGTTCTTGGAGAATAAGAAAGCAAAAAGTCCCTGCTATACCAACCGCAATAGCTTATTTTATGTTTTATTTTCCTTTTATTCATTTACTGAGCACCTACTATGCTCCAGGTTGTAGAAAAGATCAAAGGATGTTTTGGCATAAAAACATGTGAACTGTAAACCTATAAACAGATATTAAGCTGTCATTGTGGATATAAACTTTTCAAGAAAAAGAGGGTAAAATGACAAGCTAAGATTCCATATCAAGCTTGCTGTCTGTTTGCTGGAATGTATAACTATGTACACATATGTGCAATAGATAGGGTAGAGCAATTTCAGTTGAACCAGACATGGAGTCACTAGACTCGAAGGATTCCAGAGCTCTAGGAAAGCCTTTGAAAGCCACTGGCCTATGAGAAAGTATTAATGCATCCTTGTCTGCTGTTGGTGTTCTGGCCCTTCAAAAGGAGTCAGGCTGTTTTGCTATCTTTGAAATGCTTCCTCCTTTCTTCCTCTGTCTTGTTGAATGCTTCTACCTTGAATTCTTGATCTCTCTCTCTCTTTTTTTTAACAAAAGGCTGCCTGCCCTCTTCCCTGAAGATTCCCAGATTCACATTTATCTTTTGATTTCTCCCAAATGCCTACAGCAAGTGCTAAAAACACAGTATTTGCTTGCATACCATTTTTCTATCACTCAGTGTGTGAATTTCTCATAAGTCCTAAGAAGCTCATGATATACTTACTTACCTCTTTTGGATTTCTTTCTACAAGTGCCCAGCCTTTGCAGTCAGCTTTTGAGGGTTTAAATTCTGGTTCGACCACTTAATTGCCAAGACCTATTAGCAAGCTATTTACCGTCTCCTCATGTCATTTTCTGCATCTATAAAATGATGATTGATAATACTCATATATACCTTATATGGTTGTTTTAAAAGTTAAATAAAATAATGCATACTCGATACAGTGCCTGGCACTCAACACATTTGAACTATTATTATTATTATCAGTATTATAATTATTTTCTCAGGAAAGATTTACTGAGTGGAATTCTGTTAAATAAAAATTAGAATAAGTCTGTTCCACATTCTTTCCCAAGGAGAAAAATGGAAAGTTTTCAGAATGTCACCCATTCACAAGAATGTGTTGCCAAAGCCAAATGGGAGGGAACTAGAAAATCCTGAATGGAACTGGCTAAGCAGAAAGTATTAATATATTAGACTAAACAACAAGCCGGGTGATGTAGGGGAATAAGGCGTTAATATGAAAGCATTGGCTTGGAAATTCCTGGTTACCCATGGTCAAGTTGGATGAGCAGAAAGTGATGCAGCCCAGCTGCCTCCCTCACCACTGCTCCTCCCATGTTGCAAGCACTCTCTTAGGAGAGGCTTCATATCAGCAGCATTTAGTCTTACCTTTAGGTATTCTGTTCCATTTTATGACTAAATCTAAATCATTTCCTAAAATCTTCAGTGGGCTTCGTAAGTGAATTATCGGTGGCAGAATTTAACTGGTCTAGAAACGAGTGCAGAATCTGGGTGTTTTTAGAGACACAGATGCAGGGCTACTCTCAGTACAGAGACTAGACCATTAGTTCCGTTGTGTGCTTTATTTTGGCAACAAAGCAGTGAACTGTGAAACACTGAGCAAAACTTCAGATTGCTACCAAACAGAGAACGTCGTGATTTACAAAATGAAACATTTCATAGATAGTATGCGCAGTGAAGCCTCTTAAAAGGATTCCTCCTTTTAATCATGTTTAATATTTTATTCTTGTCGATTTTTCTAATTTACTTGACATTCTCTCAGCACTCTCGTTAACTACAAATTGTTGGCCATTGGTCTGACATCATCTTCTCTGATTTCCCAATACTCCTCTATGGTAATTGGGGTTTTTACAATGAGCCATCACATGGTTTTATCTGGTAAGTGTCTGTCTCTCTCACTTTAGGCTCCTAGCACGTTGAGGGCAAGGACTTTATTAATCAGCCATGTAATTTTAGTTCAAGGCACACACTAGATGAACAAAATATTAATGTTGAATATACAAATGCTAAATATTTTGTTAATAAAGTTTTGGGATTTTTTTTTTTTTTTTTTAGTATTTCTACTAATTCTCAGGCCTAGGCTTTAGAACTCTTCCAAGTTACTTTCTTAAATTCAGAGGTTTATTCAACATCTATCCCATTTCCAGAAAGCCCATTAACAATGTCCTTAATATGGTTCACCAATAATCTGCTTGCATACAATATTCTGAGTTGTATTCCCTTGTCTGCAAATAGGAATAATTATATCTATTTCTCAGATAATATATTAAAACAAACAAACATGAAACAAAAAAGGAAAGACCAAAAATTCAGGGCAGTAATTAGCTTTTACAAATGCAGAAGTTATTTTTGGCACTAAGGACTAACAGCAAGACAAGCAATCATCTTTGAGAGAGTGCTCACTGAAAGACCACTCCCAGGAGGGAAGATTTGTTGACCATATTTGAACAAACTCATTCTTTTTTTTTGTGGAAAGCTCTAAACCTACCTTTCAGTAAACAATCCACTGAATATGTTAATGAAGATGCCATATAGTAATCTTGCAAAGGACGAAAATAGGTATTTATATATCCAAAAATTTTCAATGGCTAATAATTACCTCAGGCTTACATCATTCAAGATACTACATTAGGTGACCAACAGTTTACTCTAGATTTGGCTGTTTCTCCATTTAGTGTAATTAATTCTGGATTAAACGTCTCCTCTTCTAAAACAATATCCTCTCATTAAGAAGTAGACTGAATATTGTAGATTCTGTGTTTTGAAATGCATTTATTTCCAAGAGAATAATATCATTTGTTTCTAAATATTCTTTGGCTTAATATAATTATTTGATCCTATATAAAATAGAGATAGATATATAAATTTCTCTGTATTGATTGCAGATATATATACATATATATGCTTTCTACATCAAAATGCACAAAATCATTTAAAATTTTCAGATTTATATGCCAACATATTTAGCCATGCCTGTAAGATCCTTTCTGTAATCTGTACTAATTTAAAAGAACTTTAAAATATACATGTTGACAGATTTTATTTTGAGACATGGTCTCCCTTTGTCACCTAGGCCAGAGTACAGTGGCACAATCTTGGCTCATTGCAGCCTCGACCTCCCAGGTTGAAGTGATTTTCCTGCCTCAGCTCCTCAAGTAGCCGGGATTACAGGAAAAGGCCACCACAATTGGCTACTTTTTGTTTGTTTGTTTGTTTGTTTTGTAGAGATGATGTTTTACCATGTTGCCCAGGCTGGTCTCGAATTCCTAAACTCAAGCAATCCACCCATATCGGTTTCCCTAGTGCTGGGATTACAGGCATGAGTCACTGCACCGGGCCAACAGATAGTTTTTTTAAAAAACCGAATTCCCTGATAAACCTTAATCTCCCTAAGTAGCGCCTTAATAAATTTCACATCTTTGTTGTGTAAAAATGCAAAGACTTTCAGGTGAATTTTCAAGTATAATGCAGATTGTCCAGTGAAGTTCATGAGATGCTACAAATGATAAAAGATTTTTATTTAAATTGATCTCAATGAAAATGTAGATGTAGCTTAGAAAATAGTCAAGATGCAATACAAAATAGAAAACTGAATAGAAAAGTTGTGTCCATATTTCTTTATGGCTGGGAAAAATAAATGGTAGTTATTTACTTCAATATGATAGCCCTAGATTGAAAAGGTTAATAACAGATTTTCACTAATTAGACAGTGGTTTAAAAGAATATTTGCACAGAATTTTAAATCCTTGTTTAACCGGTGTTGGTTAAGAAATGTCCTCCAGCACCAAAACATGAAATCAAAATGTAAATAAAAGATCAAAGGCTTTGCACAGCTGGCCATGGTGGTCCCTCAATTCACACCAGGCCTCACTGAGCAGTTAGCAAAATCATGTTTAATAGCTATGCTGAGTGTCAGTGTCACCCTGAAAGCAGTGTAGGTTTGGAGATCAGGGAAGGAAAATGAAAAAGAGGTTATAAAAAGGAGAAGCTGAAACTATCAGCAAAATCTTCAGGAAAAACTTGCCCAAACAGAAAAGAAAAATGATTTTGTCTGTAAAACTTATTTCACCTTTAAGTAGCAGATTTGTTCTGCAGACAATGGTCTTAAATTGTTTCTTAAATTAGCACGTTTTGATTTCTCAAATAAAATCACAGAACATTACAAAGTAACCTTAAATAAGATGTGACACACTGTGCATCATCAATTTTTCTCTTTAAATCAGGCATGCAAATTCCAAGTCATTTGCTAGGGTGCAAAAGTGAATTATGTCTTGCTTAGATGAAATTGCTTAATGCAGGAGTCTTCATTCATGGAATAGTTTCAAAGAACATGATAATAAATATTAATTGAATTCTTCCAGAATGAGATTATAACACAGAGCAACAATGGGTGGATCCCACAATTTTAGAAGTAGCCCGTTCCCCCTCTTCTGTTTATAATGCCCTCTAAAGTCTGTCTATAATACATCTGGTGTTTGTTCTCCTAGACTGAAACTAACTAGTAGACCACCAGTAATTTAAATTGTACCCTGTTTCAAGGATATTTGACATGTGGTCCCTTTGGAAGAACTAATGCAAAAAACTGGCTCTAACCCTGGAAATAAGGTTACTATAGACTAACAGAAGGTTGCAATTAAGTAATATCAAGAAGGTTAACCTGTAAATTTCTCTCTCAAATACGTACTAATCTCATTTGTAAACCATTTTATGCAGTTACAGAGAATGAAAATAATAAGGGTTATATTGTTTAATTTTAAATGTGATTTTTTTTTCCTCTGGAAGGAAAAATAAAAAGAAAATGTCACATTTAGTTAATAGTTACCAGTCTACCAAACACAAATACACACACACACACACACACACACACACACTGAATTTATTTAATGTCTAAACTTTATTATAGATAGGTAGATGAGAGAGAGAAAGAGAAAGATTCTTTCTAAAAACCATGATATGTCTTTTATTTTTATTTAAATGTTTACAAAAATAAAACAGTATATTTTAAGGTCTCCCTCCATCATTCTCCATCATTGTGATTTCTTAATAGACAGGAAAATCAGACTCATTAAAGTATCAGAGGATGAAGAGTTCAAAATTATGTAATTTAACCACTGCACTTCACAGATTAGAAAACAAAAGTGCATATCATTGAAGCGACTTGCTGCAGTGTGCATAGCCAGTCACTGGGTAATGCAAACTAGAAATCTGTTTTTCTGATTCAACGTCCAGAACAGTTTTTTACAATACCATAGTGTCTCTCATAAAATATTCTGCATGTATCTCCATAATTGATAAAATGTGGGCATACTTAACTAGAAGATTAAAATAGTAGCATATAAAACTTGATGACAAACTTTTAAAAATTCTTGTATAATAGTTTCTCTTACAATATTTTACAAATGGATGGGAGAGGCAAAGAGAGTTAATTTTCTAATGGGAAAAAGTAACATTTATTTGCATTAAAAAAAACAGAATCTGATCACTAAGCATTTAACACTTACATATGGTTTAAAGAATTACTTTAGTTTCATGTTGACTATTTAGAATGAAGTGCATAAATTAAGGAGGAACATGCTACTACAGTATGCTATGAATTATGGTGCTGCCTATCCATGGAAGATAGGATTAATAGAAATCATTGTGATATTTTCTTTTTTACCTCTGTTACTCAAAAGAACTTTACAGAAGCACATGCCAAGCTTAAAAAGCAAAATAAAATATAAATTGAACCTCACCTAAAATATCAATTTATATGACAAAAAAGAATTGTTTATATAGATATATAAATATACTGAAAATAAGAAATTTATTGACATAATAATACTGCTGAAGAATTGATCTTGATAAGCACCAAAATTCAGGAAAGATAATAAATATGAATAAAAACAATATTTTGCAAATCCTGTAAGCATGATAAAATTAATTTCCAAAATAGGTCTAGGCTACCTTTATTTTTTGACACAAAGTCATCCTAAAGAGAGTATATCCAAGTTTATGCCAATTTTCTCTTCAAGGTCTGGAGAGAAGGTCTCCAAGAGGGTGAAGTGATAAAGTAGCAATGAAACCATGGAGATTATTGGTGTGATTCATTGCTTTCATTTCTTAAGGCACACTTTTCTCATCTCAAAACTATGGAAACTAATAAATATCTTGCAAAGTTGTGTTGAGTTTCACAAATAATATATGTAAACTGCCTGGTGCAGAAGAGGAATTTAATACATGCTAGCTAGTGTTATTAATGTGACTGGAGAACATAGGCTCAACATAGCATGGGAGACATCTCTGAAATGAAGGAGGAATAGAAGACACCACTGTGTTGCTGAGTTTGGCTCTATTAAACATCAACTTGGCAAGAACAAATATTTTGTATAATGCAGCATTTTTTCCATGCAGGTGCAAATGCCTGATTTATGTATTTATAAATAAATCTGACTTTACACATGGTTAACTATGTAAAATGAGGCTTTTTTCCCAGGGGATATATGATCATGGTATACATACAGAGAAGAAAGCGGGACTGTTGAGAGCCAGTAACAATAGAAATTGTGGAAATGATGATGTCAGGAAAAGCTTGAAATATTTGAAAATAAATTTTAAAAAAACATGCCTAAGCCCATGGTCATAGTTTACTTTTTAAGAAGTAAGTTTAAGAAGTATTTATGTTGCTACAATCAACATAAATATGCAGAAAATAATGTTCTTCAAGCAATTATATAAATGAAAAGGAGTTTAAAACTCAAACTATAGGCAGTGTGCTATCATTTAAATAGCTATACTAGGGTCGGGTGCAGTGGCTCATGCCTGTAATCCCAGTACTTTGGGAGGCTGAGGCGGGCAGATCACCTGAGGTCGGACCAGCCTGACGAACTTGGAGAAACCCCGTCTCTATTAAAAAGATAAAATTAGCTGGGTATGGTGGCACATGCCTGTAATCCTCGCTAATCGGGAAGATGAGGCAGGAGAATCACTTGAGCCTGGAAGGCGGAGGTTGCGGTGAGCTGAGATCGCATCTTTGCACTCCAGCCTGGGCAAGAAGAGTGAAACTCAGTCTCAAAAAAAAAAAAAAAAAAAAAAAAAAAAAAAAAAATCTGTACTGAAGAGATCAGTCAGTAATCATTGGGTAGTGGTTCAGTTATTCACTTGCTATGTGTGGGACCAGAGATAAAACACTAGACCTTAGTTTTATTAACAGTTATCTAGGTCAGTGTGTCTCTAATTCCCCTTTATTTTATTTTACTTTTTATTTTTATTTATTTATTTATGTAGGTAGGTGGTAAAGCCAAGAAATCCTTCCTTCAAAAGATAGCTTATTCACATGCCTACCACTTAAGACAGGCAAAACTCTATCTTCTCTGATTGAAGCAGAAATAATGGCCTGGAAATCCAGTCTTCCAGCTTCCACTTTGCTCTATACTCTATCTTTCTAATGATGTTAAGTGCATCATGGAACCTAATTTAAAAAATCTTTCAAGAGTCTTTTGATAGTAAGAAATATTCTGGTCAAATGGTTTATTTAGAGTGTTCCACTTTCCTCAAGAAGTTATCTCCCCTTTTGGTTATTAAAAACAGGATAATTACTCCCTCCAATTTATTTATAAAATAACAATTTGATATGAGTCATTTACAGTTGTTCTTCTGAAAATACAGCATAGTTAAAAGTAAATAACAATGAGTTTTAAGCTACAAAATCTGGTTTGGTTCTGCTTGCCTCCATTTACAATATAGGTGACCTTGATCAAACCATTTAACTTCTCTGAGCCTCAGCTTTTTCAAGTATCTAATGAATACAATGATCTCTACTTACTTCAAAAACTTGTTGTGAACTTTCAATAAGATAAACATATCAAAGTGTTTGTAATATTTACCTCATTCACGTTCTTTACCACAGCCCTCATTCTTGCAGGTTCAGGTTATAAATTTTTGTTTAATATACAACTTAATTACAGATTTACTTCTCAATTTAACTTTTTAAGAAGTAACTATATTTTTCATAGAATACCAACCTATAGAGTCATCATTAACTATTGCAGAATTTTACATTTGCAATAATAATTATATACTTGGACTACTGATAAAATTTCAACAATGACAGACATACATTCTTTCAGTCCAAGGGAAGAAAATACTCAGAAATGAATAATACATCTAAATGACACAGCTTGTTCCTTTTAGTGGCATCAGTATGGCAATAAGACTTCTTAGGAACCCAATAACTTTTCATACACATGCTCAGGAACACTAAAAATGATATGGAAATAGACATTCACCTTTCTGGCTTTCCAAAGGCCAGGGCTGAGGCCAAAGCCAATAAGCAGATTTTGGACAAATCCAAGGACTGAAGGTGAACTTTGGTGCATCCTTAAATATATTTAATCCCCATGAGTTCTTTCTTGTTTTCTATTTGCTCATCTCTTTATTTTGTCTTATTCGTGTTTTGTGGACATGATTGTCTTTTCAAATATCTTCAAGAGTATTCAGTAAAAACTTATTAAAGTCCGATTCTGTGTTGCAGGCAGGGACTGCTTTACGTGTGTGCAACCTGTGGGTTCTCACAGGGCCCCATGATGGGAAGGAGCAGTTCTTGGTTTAATGCTCTACTGTGGCCATCTTGAAAATTTTACTAATTTTAGAAGGGTCTCATGTTATTATTTTTCACTGGGCCCCACAGATTTTGTGGCCATTCCTGTTCTAAGTGCACTACTCCTTCCTGGGCCAATTTTGTTTTCTTCTTTTCATTGTTTACCTTGTTCTCTCATTTTGATGTTGATTCTTCCCCGCAACTCTTTAGTCATCTTTGGTTGCCCACTCATTTTCTAAGAGTGACACAATAAAAAAGGCTCTTGGAATACCTGTGTTTACAGGGAGAGTTTTGCCTTAAAATGCTAGTTAGAGAACCTTGCCCTCCCTCCAGGGACTTGAAGCTTGCTCCTGCAACATTCAATTTCTCCACAGAACAAATTTCTAATTAACAGTCATATTGATACAATCGCCTTTCAAGTTAGGGTCACTCCAAGGTACAGATGAAAACAGACCTTACTTTATCTTCCCTGCATATAACAGAATATATCTATATAAAATTTTTTCCAGAAAATCCATTTTCTACAATAACCCACCTGCTATTTTATCATCACACATATAAAAATGATTTATTTCAAGAATTAAGCAATATAAAGTGTTAAGGTTGAGTTAGTGAAAGAAATGTTATTTTGAGTAGCTGAAGGAAAGCCACTTTATAAATAAGATGGTTCAGGCAAAAAAAATTATGAGGGAACTTCCAGATAAGATATTTTGGTCTTTATTGTGGACATGATAAAATACTAGCTTCTGTGTGTATCCACACTAGCATATATGGGTACCTCCCTCTGCATATTTTTTTCTTTTTTCTTTTTTCTTTTTGAGACCGACTCTCACTCTGTTGCCCAGGCTGGATTGCAGTGGCATGATCTTGGCTCACTGCAACCTCCACCTCCCGGGTTCAAGCGATTCTCCTGTCTCAGCCTCTGGAGTAGCTGGGATTACAGGCATGCACCACCACTAATTTTTGTGTTTTTAGTAAAGACGCAGTTTCACCATGTTGGTCAGGCTGGTCTCAAATTCCTGACCTCGTGATCCTCCCGCCTCGGCCTCCCAAAGTGCTGGGATTACAGGCATGAGCCACTGTGCCCAGCCCCCTCTGCATATTTTTAATGACAGAAATAACAGGTGCATTGAGAAAAGTAGTGGATATACAGACAAGGCTAGAGATGCTGAGAAAAGTAAAATCACGTCTCACTTTTACCTGTCTTACTTTTACCCATTTCATATTCAAAGTGTTTGTTAGTATTTTAAAATTTGGAAAATATCCGATAAATGCAAGTTTTCCAGCACTCAGTAATTCCTTGCTTGAAAGGGCTCAAAATATTAAAAGTTCAGGATACACCCACAATGCACATGACAGAGATACAATTTAAAATTGTAGCAAAATAATATATGAGCTATTATGGATATCACTGCATATAAAGAAAGACCATATTTCCTAGTTTAGTCCTTCAATACATATTTCCATTGAGTATAATATATATATAATGTACATATAATATATATAATGTATGCATTGAGTTTGTATATACAGATGTATACATATATGTATACATATATGTGTATATATACGTATATACGTATATACATATGTGTATACATATATGTAACTATATATACATAGCTTTTTTTTCTGAGAAGAGGGAAAGAAGACTCAGGGTTATTATCGAATTCTAATTCTCTCATGGATCTGAAACTCAGTAAAGTTAAAAATATTGGTCCTTTTTAGGAAATTAAGAACACAAAGCACTGACAGAAATTGGGATATAGCAGAGGGATACATTTTTCAATTTATTACTGTCACTACTCATATAATTTCATTTTCATCTTCAAGAAAAATATAAAAGACATTTAAGATTTGGAGATATATAAGTTCAATCAATTGATAGCTTTTGCTATTATCTGGCCATGATTCTCAGCCAGAAATATCCCACAGATGTCAAGGAGTCTGTGTGTTCTTTTAAAATAAGGCTATTTTTAAGATTACACATCACATTTACAGCTAGAGAATGCTACTGGCAGGCGTTAAAAGCAAAAAGAGATTTTTGCTTTGAATGCCTCAATATTTAAATTTTAATAAAATTATTGGCAATTTTAATTTTTTATATTTTAAGATACACACATAGTATACAATAATAAATTACCTATGTAGACAAGAAAGATCTATTTATCAAAAGTTCTAGAGGAAGCAACTTCAAACTCTTTTTTAAAACCTTTTTTATTTTTTCCTAACATGATACTGACCTTCATCTACAGCTTCACTTATTTGGCTATTTTTAAACACAAAAATAATACTAGAGACCTTTTCCGATAATATACTTAAGATGTATTTTCAGAATATGTTTGATTGCATATGCAGAGTATTCAGCGAGCTCTAATTTTACATTTATATTTCTAAGAAGCAGCTGTATGAGGATATGTTCCGCATCTGTTTTGAGACAGCTCTTAACAGCGTTTGTAGAAATTAAGAACACAATCCCTGAAGTCAGATTTGAATCCTGCCAGGTTCCATCACAGACCATCTAGGTGACCTTGGCAGTTTACGTATTACAATTATAATTATGAGTTAGTGTACTCTCTTCTTTGGGAGGTTGTGAGGATTAACAAATGTGAAGTACCTAACATGGTGCCTGGCACATGGTAAGACTCAGTAAGTGTCAGATAAGATACCTCTACTGTTGTTGCTGTTGCCACCTCTACTGGGCATTGATCCTGTTTAGATTGGTTGCCCAGCAATTCATTTCCTCACTTTCAATAGCACGCTGGCTTCCTTTCGGGGTAATTGTCATTCCCCACTCTGTGTAACGCTGCTGGGATTGTGAATTCAGGTGCCTGGTTTCCCACTAAGGAAGCCCGTGGGGTCCCTAGAAAAGTCCTACATCAAAAGCTTCCTCTCACTGTCCCATACAGGTCAGAGGTATGAATGTCCCCTAAGCTCACTGAGCTACCCTCTCACAGGAGTTTTAATTCTGAGCATCACACAGATAGGGAACCATTTTTAAAAACAGTCGTTCTTTTGTTTTATCAGGAGTGGCTCTTTGTATCTCTCTCTCACTGAAGGTGATAGGTTTACCCTCTCCACCTTCTCCTTCCTCCTCTACTCTGGCCTGGGGTTAGGGGTAAGGAGGAGAGAAGGTAAGACTCCCAATTACAGTGTTTCAATGTTTTCTGAAAAATTCTGTCTGGTGCAATGATATCTACTCTTATCAGATTATTACATTTTACTCTTATTTCAGTTCAATATTTCCTATCCCTTAAGCATAGTCAATTTGCTTAATTACATTTGTCTTGACCAAATAAGTCTACATGGACCTGGCCATTGACAGGTGAGAAGGGGTGGGAGGAGTTGATGGCAATAGAAGGAAAGCAGTTGGGTATCTCAAGTGCCTGCCACAAGTAAATAGTTGTAAAAGCAAGGACAATGGGAAAGTCAGACTTATTCATGAGAGTGCTAGTGCCCGGGAGAAACTGTTAAACTCTTTCTGCTATTGAGAAACAAGTCACCTTATTATAGTCACAGATAAAAACACAGCAGAAAAGTGGGACTTATTGAATAGCTATCCCCTGGGAGAGGCTGTCAGACTGTTTCAGCTACTGAGACTCTAAAACAGCCTGGTTCCTCTTGGGTCCAAGCTGGTTCTTCAACCTATCCTTTGACTCTGTAAGTTCTCTCATATCTTTCATCACTTAAGTTTTCCGGGTTGAATTCTGTTGTTTAAAACTGAAGACTTACCAAATCACTGCTTTACAGTGAGGTGTATAAGATAAATTCCTCCTAAAAATTAGTGCTAGAAGATTTGTTTTCCTGGCATTCTGTTATGTTTTGCATGAGATCATTTATTCTATTTCTCATTTTGTGCTTTTTCTTCTTGGAAGTTTAGGGCTAGAATTAGTTCACAACTACAGTAGCTATCTTTAAGCATGTATTTTGAAAAAAAAACACCATATTTTTTCTCCCTTTAGTACTTCTTTAACTTTATTTTAATTTTTGATTATGTATTTATCTTTTGTCACAAGTTCCTTATTTTATGCTTAAATGGATGAATAAAAGAATCCAAAACTTAATAAAAACCAATTAAAGATAAAGATGGCACATTTAAAAATTTCAGACTATTAAAGTGTCCATCCATTCTGCTATTCACCTACACATATACAAAAATGAATTACCTATGAAGTATACATTTTTATTCAATGTGACAAATTCATCTTTAAGTTTCTTTTATCAGATTTCTTTTAAATCTGATATTTGCATGTATTATAGGCATGAAGCTTTAGTAAGGCAGATTATCATGAAAATGTACACGACTCTACTTTTCCTTCTGATATTTAATGTCATTGAACGCTTTTCTTTAAACTCTTCAGTGACACTCACTAATGATTAATGACCCACTGACTCGTGCTGCCTTATAACATGAAAGTCACCGCAATGCCTTTTCCCTAGAGAGCAATTATTCTATGGAACAATATCCCTTACCTGGTGCATTGAAGTCCCAAAGGTTGGCTGTTAAACTTGCAGTTGTAATTCGTGAAAAAGTCCAGAATGCCAAGTTTTGAACTGCTGGGGATTTTATGCACAGTTTCATTTTACTAGAAACAACTTGTTTCTTTTCTGCCTTTCCTTGCAAAGATTTTGAATAAGTAGCTGAAAAGGCAGAAACTTGAAATAGAAGTTTTCATATTTAAACCCAAAGTTACCTAACTGAAACCTGTGTATCTTCTAGCTTCTTGATTTGTGAAATTATACTGCTGACTTGGAAATGTAGACATTTGGGTGTTTGTATGTATTCAGATGATCATCTATTTTGATATCCCAATGAGGTAAAATGATTAGAAAAAAGGAGAAAACACAGGCCTCAGAGTTACATTTCAAAGTAGTAGAGAATTTCAATACATAATACAATTGTGCATATGAATCTCTGGGCCTTGAAGTAAAGGATTCTTTCTGAACACTTCTCTTATCTGCAGAATATTTGGAATATTTCACTCAGCATGTACGCAAATAAAGCTACCATCATTAGACGTGTAAAGTCTAAAGAAGTCACTTACCTCCTTGAGGTATTTGATATTGAGGGAGACCTTGCCAGCTTTTCCTGTGCTTATAAAAAATGATAACACCTGTTCAGTGTGAATTAGTCAATTAGGAAAAATATTGCTTTTATGTGCCTTCAGCTATTTTAATGCTATGAATGGTACAAGTAATATTAGTCTTACACAGTAAGTATTTATGGCCTTTTTGGTAAGAAAAACATATCATATTTATTAGAGCACAGTAAAGGATTAGAGCCTATGATATTGATGAAAATCATATGATTCAGAAAATGGAGAAATTATTATTAACTTGCTTGATCATAGAATATGTGGGACAAGTATTTTGAGCTGAGCCTCCAATTACAGTTAAAGTTTGAAAGAAAGGAAAAGAAGGAAGAAGGAAGGCAGGAAGAGAGAATAAGACAAACTTTTGAAGTAGAAATAACATGACTTGTGTAGGATAGTGGATGGAAAATGGCCTCTCTCAAGCTTAAATGTTGGACTATCTTAGAAAGTAGACGTAGATTAGAAAGACCCAGACATCCCAGAAGAAGTGTTTGGACTAGCTAGGGGCTGTGAATATTGACAGGCCACTGATCTGAGGCCAGAGTGGTGGATGATGGAGTGTAGGCAAGGGAGTCATCCTAAAGGCTTTTTTAGTAATTTACTTCTAAGGCGATGAAAGCACGGAGTAGTGAGGTAGCTGCGGGAAGGAAGCAGGGGAGGAGAAGATGAAGGAATGATAACGCTTGGGGACAGATCATAATTAGATGATGAAGGAATAGAAAGAATAAAAGATGGCTCCAAATTTTCTAGTCTCATCCAGATGACTAGAAGAATAATAGCACCTGTGAGAGACACGATGCACTTAAAACTTGATAAATTGAATGTGGTGGAAAGAAAGTTCAGTGGTAGCACCCTACAAGCAACTGGACTCAGGAGAAATGCTCAAAGATCCAAGCCATATATTATGTATGTGTAACTATATACATACATGTATATTATATATGTGTAAATATAATAGAATTATATACATGTATGTGTATATATACACATATATATAATTCATGGATGAGTGTCATAGGAATAAATAAACAGGAAACTGGGAGACCTAAGATAATTTCAGTTTTGATATAAGTAAAATAAAATGCTATATTCAGAAATGTCATTTATTTAAACTTCACATCTAAGTAATCCCAGATAAGTGCCCTTCAGTCTCCTCATCCGTAAGCTGGAAATAATAACCATGGCATTTCCCAACTCAAAAAAAGTATCTAAACTTTTTATCCTAAATATGCATTGTACTTATGTTTTTAAAAATGCTTGTTTAGTGAATCAGTCAGTAAGTAAAAAATGTTTCTGTGTTTGCATTTTGTATTATCTCTTATGATATAAAGATATACATGCAATATATAGAAAAATATATTTAATATAAAACATTGCAGTTTCTAAGTGGTATGCACATTTACATTTGTTACTTATTGCTAACTACCTCGACTAGCCAGCTATGAGGCCTCTGTAGAGTTTTTACTTATCTTACCCTCTATTTTATCCTACTGAAATCTAACATGTCTACTGCAACTCACCACCATTTCCTCCCACTTCTGTCACCCTGGAAGCCCGTGGGGAGCAGTGGAACACAGAGACAGGGACATGTGAAGAAGGGAAATGACTGAGAAGGGTGTACACTGCTACCCAGATCCCATTAGGCTATTAGCAACCAAGTACCCACCAAGCCTCCCGCTGCAATAGAGAGGATGTAGAATGAAAGAAAGAGAAGGAAGAAGCAAAGAGGAAAATTAAGAAGTTAGTAACAACCTGGGCAGCAAAAGGAGGCCCCCATCTCTACAAAAGATGAAAACCAAAACAAAACAAATTGGCCAAGTGCAGTGGCACACACCTCTAGTCCCAGCTACTCAGGAGGCTGAGGCAGGAGGATACCTTGAGTCCAGGAGTTTGAAGTTGCAGTGAGCTATGATTGTACCACTGCACTCCAGAATGGGTGACAGAGCAAGATTCTGTCTCAAAAAAGAAAAAGGAGTTAATAAATCATGGGAGAAAAAGAGAACAAGTCCTTTTCAATCCTCAAGGAGTGTCCTAGAGTCATTCTTTATCACTTTAGCACTTCACTCCTATTTCTGAATCCCTAACAGCTGATACTAGAATTCTGCTCTGTCTCCTCTACCCTCTACCTAAAGTTCTTGCTTTGCATAAACTTCAGGTCCAGGGTATTGAAGGCAGTGCTGCCAGTCCAGAGTTGGGGACGGTTCTTTTTTATCATCATCTATTATGGTCTAGCAGGACACAAAGAAGTGGAACACAGGGAGACCCTTTGTCAATCAAACAATCAATCAATCAGTGGAACAATGAGAAACAGGAGCAAGAGAGATGGTTTTCTGCCCCTCACACTATTGTGTGATCTTCCTGGACTTCACAGGCCATGACTCTGAAAGAAATTGATCTCACTGAAAATGTAAAGATTTTGTTGTTCATTTCTTCTTCTTTCACTACATATGATGCATTTTCAAAAATTTTCAGCACTTAAACCTTGGGAATTATATTTTACATTGTTCTAGTCACAATGTGCTTATAATTTTTTAAATCTTTAGACTAGACCCAGTCATTGATATTTTCTGTTTCCTTCATTTTTAAAATTAAATATTAAAAATCTGCTCTATAATTCTGTGTGGAAGAAAGCCTTGAATCAAAAGGAAATATATTCACAGCTCATGTGAAGACAATATATATATATACATATGTATGTTGATATATATATTCTTGTCCCAACTCTGCCACAATGGCCTTGGGCAAATCAGATTTATTTTGTTCTTTTTAAAGTGTATGCCATCTCTGAAATTCAGTTGCCTCAGTGTAAACTGGGGATAACATTTATCTTACTGGGCTCTTCTGATCTTTAAATTAGGTAATGTATTTGATAACTATTATTATTAGGTGATAGCTTTTAAATTTTACCTTCTTTTCCCTTTTAATGAAAGAATCAGGTCAGGCACAGTGGCTCATGCCTGTAAACCCAGTACTTTGGGAGGCCGAGATGGGTGGATCACTTGAGGTCAGGAGTTCGAGACCAGCTTGGCCAACATGATGAAACCCCATCTCTACTAAAAAAAAATACAAAAATTAGCCAGGTGCCTTTAATCCCAGCTACTTGGGAGGCTGAGGCAGGAGAATTGCTTGAACCTGCGAGGCGGAGGTTGCACCGAGCCGAGATTGCGCCACTGCACTCCAGCCTAGGTGACAGAGCAAGACTCCATCTGAAAAAAATATATATAATAATAATGAGAGAATCACAAATGTTTTGGGATATGAGGTGACTTGGGAGTATGGGATAATAGGTGGGATAAAATCTATTATAGATGGGATGAAATTGGGAAATCAAACCACTTTACGAATTAAATATTATTTAATTCAGAAACTCCTGATTTTATAAATATTTTATAAAATGTTTATTTATTTATATATTTATTTATTTTGGAGACAGAGTCTCACTCTGTCACCCAGATGAGTGCAGTGGTGCAATCTCGGCTCACTGCAACCTCTGCCTCCCAAGCTCAAGCAATTCTCCTGCCTCAGCCTCCTGAGTAGCTGAGATTACAGGCGTGCACCACTACCACCCCGCTAATATGTGTATTTTCAGTAGAGATGGGGTTTCACCATATTGTTCAGGCTGACCTCGAACTCCTGACCTCAAATGATACACTCGACTTGACCTCCCAAAGTGCCGGGATTACAGGTACGAGCCACGACACCGGGCCTAAAAATGTTTTTGAGAAGAGAAAAAGGGACTTTAAGCCAAAATACAGCTGGATAAAAATAGATTAAATAGATGTTTATATCTTCAAATGAGTGGAAAGATGTTGCCATGTTCTTGCACAATAAGGCAGTAAAATCACTACTGTCCCTGATCCACTGTCCACTTGCTAAAGGTAGAACTTTTGTTGTTGCCACCTGCTGTGTATTTACGTAGCATTTTAGTCCCATCGTTAGGACAGCATCAGAGAAACAGATGCATAGGGAAATACCCAGGTGCCTGCTTCTGGGTATAAGAAAAAACAACTAGATTGATGTAATGCTGTCACAAATACATATTTTATATAAATTGTACATATTTTAAATAAATTTACATGTTGTACATATTTTAAATAAATTTAGCTTTTTGTTGATTATTAAAATCACGAGCTGGATACAGTGGTATATGCCTATAGTACCAGCTACTTGGGATGCATGGCAAAGGATTGGTTTAGCCCAGACATTTAAGACCATAGCAAGACCCTGTCTCTAAAAAAAAAAATAAAAATAAAGATTAAAAATAGACATTTAGTTCATCAATGCTAGACTGGATAAAGAAAATGTGGTACATATACACCATGGAATACTATGCAGCCATAAAAAAGAACAAGATCATGTCATTTGCAGGGAGCTGGAGACAATTATCCTTAGCAAACTAACACAGAAACAGAAACCCAAATACCACATGTTCTTACTTATAAGTGGGAGCTAAATGATGAGAACACATGGACACCTAGAGGGGAACAACACACAGTGGGGCCTTTCAGAGGGTGGAAGGTAGGAGGAGGGAGAAGATCAGGAAAAACAACTAATGGGTAGTAGACTTAATACCTGGACGATGAAGTAATCTACAACAAACCCCCATGATACACATTTACTTATGTAACAAACCTGTACTTATACACCTGAGCTTAAAATAAAAGTTAAAAAAAGTCTTTTAAAATAAAAATGTAAAATTGAAAGATTAAGGAAAAATTGACATTTACATTTTTAAATTTATAACATAAAGTAGTTCAATACCAGTCATTTTAAAAATTTACATTTTACATGTTAAATATGTTTTTCAGTTCTCTCACTATATCTTAATAGATTTGGGTACTATATTCATTTTATGCACAGATGAATTATAAATTGCAGTTTTATTCAATTAAAATTTAAACATTTTAGTAATGAAGCAACATAATATTAATATATCTGTATTTTCCGTTTTAAGAAATTTTACCTTATTGTATTTTATATTATTATAAAATAATAAAAATTTTATTTTATTTTTTGAGATGGAGTCTCACTCTGTCACCCAGACTAGAGTGCAGCGGCATGATCTCAGCTCACTACAACCTCCGCCTCCCGGGTTCAAGCAATTCTCCTGCCTCAGCCTCCCGAGTAGCTGGGATTACAGGTGTGCACCACCATGCCTGGCTAATTTTTGTATTTTTAGTAGAGATGGGGTTTCACTATGCTGGCCAGGCTGGTCTCAAACTCCTGACCTCATGATCCGCCCGCCTCGGCCTCCCAAAGTGCTGGGATTATAGGCATGAGCCACTGCACCCGGCCCAATTTTTTTATATCTATAATCTTTATACAGATATTTCTATATTCAATAAACAAGATATATAGTTACATGTTTATTCCTCTGGAAGTTAGTAATATCATTTTTGTCTATTCATTCACATCTTTAGGGAAACAAAGTCATGTTTGTGTTATGATTTCTATCATAAAATATATTGTACCAATTGTTCACAAGCATCCTACTATATTCTCTGGCTACCAATGAGCTCGAAGGGAAAAGATTCGATTTCTTCTGTTCCAGAATTTTGCATATAGAACTCTTTTTCTAAAATATTGATTAATTTCAGAGGCTTAGTCTTAGCCCTGTTCAGAGGTAAAATTAAAAGTATATAAACACCAGACTAAGGAAGAGTTAGTCAAATATCAGCCGAATTCGTAGAGCATCACTTAGTTTCCCTTTGCTTCGTTCTGTGAAATAGGATTGTTAGGAGCAAGGAGGCAGCTCATGGGAAGACAACACATGACCTAGTGAGACAGTGTTAAGCACCCAGATGAGGCTTGGCACTGCCCTGGAAACTGGCGGTTGAGGGCATGAGCATGCGTGCATGAAAACACACAGGTACACAGCCACCCACACCCCCACCCCCGCCCCGACACTTTCCTTCTAAGTGCTGAGAGATGCTATAGCACTGCTCAGAAAAATCCTCTCTGTATTTTCTTCTAATGAAATCATAGTTTATAAATACACCAAGGTGCACATTAACATGAAAAGCAATAGAGTTAAATTATTTTTCTCTTTGGTCCTCCTGTACCTCACTTCATCAAACTGCAGACCCTCAGGACAGTGAGACAGAGACAAGGTTTACTCTCTACACTTGATTGCCAAGTGGACCAGAGGCATCATTTCAGCTTCCTATCAGCTGGTTTATAACAACCTCCACTCAGGTCTCACTTAGAAGAGAACACAGATCCGAGGGAAAGTCATTCTGTTTGGGACATTTTCCAAAACATATTAAACTGAACATTAGAGAAAGTTGTAAAGAGAAAAATTATAGAGACCCAGCTTGAATGCCTCTTTGCTACGCTGCTTTGGGGTTACTGGCAGCCTGCCGGAAGGTACCTTATGTGCTCATGAGAGAGGCCTTCTTAGACGGTTTAAAAACGGCTTCATCTAGACCCAGAATGAGATAATATAAGACTGAGACTTGACTCCCTCAGAAATGAACATTGGGTGGGGGAAGTGTAGCTTCATATGTCATCATACCAGAAATACTGAAGTTCGTTTAGGGAACTTAGAAAGGGTTTATGACAAAAATATATTTACAATGGCATAATCTTCACATTTTCATACTTTCTAAAGTTAGTTTTGCCATGCTGAAAAGAGTCCGGTTTTAACTAAGACCAGAGCAATGACACTTTGCAGATGAAAAGAGAAGCAAGTGATACTGTCCTTAGATTAATCCTGTTTCTCAGAGATTCAGAAGGGAAGATATGCTAGGAGGCATGCCCACAGTGGTTTAAGATGCTGACCTTACCCCACCAGTCTATACAGATCATGTGATCCACCCAGAGTCTTGTGCTCACATGTGGACTGCTTGCTGATACAGCAGGATTATTTTTAAGTATTATTTGATGGTCTTGAGTCTTTTGTTGGGAAAAAAATAAAAGAGTGAGATGGAGAATTCCTCTTTTATCATAAGTAAGGGTATGCATTTCTGGAAGCTCTGACCAGATCACCAAGACCTGAGGCAGTGAAGCTAACCATCTGGAATAAAGTTCCACTTAGCCATCTGCAAGCCACTTAACAAAGACTATTTTAGGCACAAAGTAGCAGCAAATTCTGTAATTTTCATCCAAGAGCCTGCATTTCTGAAATTTCCTCACAATATTTTATAAAGGAAATCAGTCACTGAATGAGTGGGTCTACCCTGTGTCTCTAAAATCCAGTAAATACTAACACCAACTGAAAGTACTGCACAGGCCAGGCGTGGTGGCTGACACCTGTAATCCTAGCACTTAGGGAGGCAGAGGCAGGTGGATCGCCTGAGGTCCGGAGTTCAAGACCAGCCTGGCCAACATGGTGAAACCCCACCTCTACTAAAAATACAAAAATTAGCCGGGCATGGTGCATGCCTATAGTCGCAGCTACTCCAGAGGCTGAGGCTGGAGAATCGCTTGAACCCGGGAGGTGGAGGTTACAGTGATTCGAAATCATGCCATTGCACTGCACCCTGGGAGACAGAGCGAGACTCCATCTAAACAAATAAATAGATAAATAAATAAATAAATAAATGTACTACACATACACACCCACACACACATATAGGACATGGAGCCATTATGAAATGAAAACAGCTAAGGTGAGACTGGGTTCGGCCAGCTACGTGACTTCTAAGAGGCATCACAATTTGACAGGTCTTTTGGGGAGTTCATAATTGAGAAGTACAGAAACTTTATCTGGTCAACACACCATAAGTGGTCTGTAGAAATAGATGCATCTAGCTCAAAGTAAACACTAAATTAGCCATAATGGCAATGATCAATTTACAACAAAAATGCAGTTGCATTTGAGACTGAAAACATCACCCCATGGGACCAGCTCATTTTCTTTCTGTTGTGGACTGGCATGGGGATGCAAATCATAACTTGAAGTGATAAGCACAAAATCAGCATGGGAAGAATTCCATATATCATCTGAACAAGTATACAAATCTGGATCACCAAGGAGTGTACTAAAAATAGATTATCTAGCCACACCCTGTAGATTCTGAGTGGGGCCTAGGAATTGTATTTTAAAAGCACCTCAAACAAACCATTGACATCAGTTTTGAATTGGGGAATGACTGAAAGCTTATCCATTGTGCCAACATCACTCTAGGACAATCAAATATGCCATCTGCACTTTAGAGATATGCCAGCCCTCTGACTAAACAGTTCATATTATCTCCTGCCGCCTGGACCTATGTGAATGAGCACTGCCAGTGAAGCTGTTTCTGGAAATACCTATGGCTGAATAACTTCTTTCTAACCAACACCTTCTTTGTTACATACATTGTTACCTTCACTTAATTTTGCTGCAACCTGTGATCTATTCTGCTTCCTGAAAGGCAGATTTTTCAGACAATGGCACTAAAAAAACAAACAGTAAAACTGGAAATCAGACGTATTTTGGGTTAATTTAAGCTTCAGTGTCAAAATCACTAGGCATATTGTCTTGTATATTGGTTTTTACACTTCAATGTACAAAGGACACTGTTAATTCCAAACATTTGCATAGCCTCTCACCGTTCCTCTTCTTCTTCACGTATCACCTGCCTAGAGAATTGAGATACTTGGTTGTCTAACGGTGGGTTTGCCTGGTCCAAATGTTTCAGAAATTTTGTTAATTTATTTATATCCATTCCCTCATTCTACTCATAGGCACAAGAAGAACATATTTCAGTTATGTTAAAAAGCAAAGATTAATTTTAATAGAATATTTAAAGTGCCTAAATATCAAGAGAGCTGTTAAGTACGTTATTTTAAAAATGGAGACTAATACATGCTTTCGTTTTGTTTTGTTTTGTTTTGAGACAGGGTTTCACTCTGTCTGTCACCCAGAGCAGATTGCAAAGGTGTGATCTCAGCTCAAGGAGTGTACTAAAAATAGATTATCTAGCCACACCCTGTAGATTCTGAGTGGGGCCTAGGAATTGTATTTTAAAAGCACCTCAAACAAACCATTGACATCAGTTTTGAATTGGGGAATGACTGAAAGCTTATCCATTGTGCCAACATCACTCTAGGACAATCAAATATGCCATCTGCACTTGAGAGATATGCCAGCCCTCTGACTAAACAGTTCATATTCTTATCTCCTGCCGCCTCATGCCTCTGCCTCCCAAGTAGGTGGAACTACAGGCACATGCCACCAAGCATGACTAATTTTTGTATTTTTTATAGAGATGGGGTTTCACCATGCTGCCCAGGCTGGTCTCAAACTCTCTGGGCTCAAGTGATCTACCTGCCTCAGCCTCCCAAAGTGCTGGGATCACAAGCATGAGCCATCACACCTAGCCACATGTTAATTTTTATTAGGAAAATACACACGTATGATAAAGAGAAAATGACTAATAAATATTGAAGAAACTATGCTCGTAACTCACCACAGACAATAGAGAGTTTTTAAAAAATGTAAATTTCTGGCCGGGTGCGGTGTCTCACGCCTGTAATCCCAGCACTTTGGGAGGCTGAGGTGGGCGGATCACAAGACTCCGTCTCAAAACAAAAACAACAGCAACAACAAAACAAGTAAATTTCTTAATCTTAAAATGCAGAAGGTCAGGATCTCCCCTTCCCCATTCATGGTGGAAGGTATAATTAGGGTAAAATGTGTTTGTTATGAGGAGGACGATACTGCAAACTCTATTGAGATGTTGTGATGTTCCAACTGGAAAAATATTTAAAATTTCTTCCAGCAATGAAAACTAGGGCAGGCCTACCTGTCTGCAAGGAACATTGCCTAGAGTTTTCATTACTGCATGACAAGCTCCCCTAAGGACCAAGCCACAAACTAGGAGACTTGGCAGATAATTGGAAAAGTTAAGAACATCATGAGAAGAAGAAAGAAGACAATAAGAGACCAAGGTCAGAAGACTTCAGAACACTGGAAAGGGATTCTAATCGAGCCAAACATTAACAATTATTAACATTAACAATTCACATTGAGCCAAACATCAGTAGGAAAAGGAAATAAATGTTTGGTATCATTCAACAATATCTAGATTTCACTAGTATCCTTTTTTTTAACTTTTAAGTTCAGGGGTACGTGTGCAGGTTTGTTATACAGGTAAACTTGGGTCGTGGGAGTTTGTTACACAGATGATTTCGCCACCCAGGTGTTCATTCTCTTTATCTAGTCTGTCACTGATGGACATTTAGGTTGATTCCATGTCTTTGCTATTGTGACTAGTACTGCAACGAACATATGCGTGCATGTATCCTTTGTCATCTAAAATGATTGTCTTCTTTCAAGTAGAAAACTATACCTAAATATCCTGCCAAATATTAAAGATAAAGCTAAGAGTTTAGCTTACATTGTCTACATTTTTTTCTAATAACTAGTCCAGTAATGAAAGTAGTATCATAAACTTCAAATTCTGTCCAATCCTCACCTTAATTTTGCAAAAAGCATCAGTGGTACCTGTTAAATCCCCAAAGGGGGGGGAAATGTTTATTCTATCTCCTCCCTAATTTCACACTTGATTTTTCTTCCCAATTTGATTTGTAAATTGCTCCACTTTTATTCACGCAACAAACTTTTATTGAATAACTACCATAATTCAGACACAGTTAGGTAATGGTTTATCTGCCTGTTAATTAAAGCTTTGCCACTTGATGAGTTCATAAAAAATTTTACCTCCCAGGCTGTTTGATGTCTCTATAATTTTACTAAAGGTCTCTTTACTTGCTCTCATGTCTTACTTCTTTGGTCCAAAAATCAGCTGGGTGCAGTGTCTCACAGGTGTAATCCCAGCACTTTGGGAGGCCAAGGCAGGCGGATTACCTGAGATCAGGAATTTGAGACCAGTTGACCAACATGGTGAAACCCCTGTCTCTACTGAAAATACAAAAATTAGCCGGGCATGGTGGTGTGCGCCTGTAGTCCTAGCTACTCGGGAGGCTGAGGCAGGAGAATTGCTAGAACCCAGGAGGTGGAAGTTTCACTGAGCCAAGATCATGCCACTGCACTCCAGCCTGGGCGACAAGAACTGCACTCCAGCCTGGGCAACAAGAGCAAAACTCCGTCTCAAGGAAAACAAACAAACAAAAAATTAAACATCTACTTTATATTTTAAAATGTAGGCCAGGATTTACTTACTGTCTTAAGCCTTCTTTCCCTTCCCACCCCTTTAGAATATTGGACACCACTTCCTTTGTGCTCTGAATAAGCTCATCTATATTTCTATAATACCTATGTTATATAAATATACCTTTAAATATCCATAACAGACATTATATTTTATTTTCCTAGCTACTTTTTGGAAAATTACTTCTTCCCATTTTCATCTCTGTAGTTCAGGTAGAACTGACTTCACCTCGCTGTTTGCAGGATAGACACATGACCCAGACCTAAGCCAATCATAAAACTCACATAAAAATGATCTAAGTGATAAAAACCAGATTTCATTTTGAAATTGATATGAATGCTTGAAAATAAAAGGTCTCTTTTCTGAAATCTTAATTGCTAAGCATCGTGTAAAATCGAGGGTCGTATATGCCACCATTTGTTGGTGGCAAGCCTGAGAGTGAAATCATTACAGTAAAAAGCAACCAAGAAGTAAAGAGGTAGAGAATGTGTCCTAAAACTATTTGAGTTCCTGAATCTGGCTGTGGCTGAAGCCATTTGTACCCCCAGATATTTAGATGTTCTTGCTAATGAACATTATTCTGATTAAACTAGTTTAGACTGAATTTTCATCATTTGCAAGCAGAAAAGCCTGCAGTAATACATCATGTCTGTTGCTGTAACTATACTATTTGGTCTAAATTGCCTCTTCTAGTCTATGACAGAACTTGGAACAAATTGGGTACTCTTTTGGTTTACCGATTAAAGAATGAATATGAATGAATAAAATAAATACATGGAGGAATATAGAAAAAAGGTAAATTTCTTGTTGTGGTCCCAGTATACCAAAAATTTGGTGCCCTTGTTCCAAAACAAACAAACAAACAAACAAACAGAAATGCCCAATGAGAAAACTGATTAATTATTTCCAAGTTATTGTACTGCACTGTGCTGGTCACAGTGGATCACGATCCCTTGAGACATCCTTTAGATGGCTTACTCAGGTTGAATGGATTTAGGAAATATCTCAGGATAACCAAGCCCTTTATTTACTTCTTAACACCAAATGATATCCTCCAAGTCCTAAAGTTATTTTAAATGGCACATGAGATGGCGTCTCTGTCTGTTCTCTTGAGATCAGATTTCATGGTCTAATCAGACTCACCATTAACAATCTTCCCCTGGACAGGAACAGAGTTAATATAGTGTGATGAGAGAGTGTTGGCCGGTGGCTCAAGCAGCTCTGCAAGTCTGCACATGTGGATTTTATTTTCAAACCTATGATTGATTTACTTTCAGACTGTGGCAAACCCTCCGCTCTCCCACATGATGCTTATCAACAAATGGTGTCTGCTTAACTCATTTATTGAGAAAATGTAACTGCATTTCAGAAATTTTAAATTATTTCCCATGGACAATTTTTGTTTCTCCTACCACAGTGTAGTTCTGCATGTGTAATACACCACCTGATCAAATAGTTACATTAGGACATGTTTTTTAAAATTTTGAAAGTTCAACATTTCCTCTTAATGAAGATATTGACCTGTGTTTACAATTTGATATTCTTATCTCAATTTATGTTACTTATAGCTGTAAAAATAATCGCTCTGAAAATCCATTGTTTTTGAACATTCTCTAAGTAGTTTCTTATGGATTGTAAACTACTCAGATAGGGATGAATGAATATTGAACATACATTTGTTGATTTGACTTAATGACACTTGAATTTGATACAATAATCATCAGTTCACATATTCATATAAGATGATACATATGTGTGTATCATTTCCAAATGCAAACTGCTGGAAGAAGGGAGTATATATACATTTGGAACTCATTTTTCTTTTGATGGTATACAAATTCAAGTTAGCTTGTGTTGGAAAGAAATGGCAGGGGTCGCGAAAAACAGAGTTTCTGAATTATTGCTGTACCTTAAAGTCAAGAGCTAGGATAGATGACTTTGAGGGATACTTTAGAAGTCATTTTATTATTTGAAAACCAATATTAGATAACATAAGAAATCATATAAGACATTATCATCCATAAATTTTCTTTAAATTATTTTTAAATGTACTTGGTGTATGGATTTGTGGTTAGAGTTATGCTGACCTACTTAGTTCCATGTTATAGAACACATGAAATAATATCAGCACTCTCTGTTTCTTCAAAGACTGAAAAAGAAAAGTTACTGGGAAATCATCTCAGCCTGGCACTTTGAGAAGGATATTAAATCAATGTTTTGTTCCATGTTAGTCTCTCTTGTTGAGTCAAATTTTTTGTTATTTGAGTTTGTTGGTTATTTAGTTATTTTGGTTTTCATTGTTAACTTCCATTTCTTCTAGGGCTTTGTAATTATTTTCCTGTACTTCTGCAAAAACACACTAAAAATTATTTGATTACTTTTGTGTCTGTACCCTTTAGCTTTTTGTCTTTATAATTGTGTAATTCTGTTTTCGCATGTAATTTATGTGTTGTAAAATATTTTATCTAAAATTTGGCTCTGCATTATTTATCAATGTTATGTTTTTATATTTGGTTCACCTATTTATGCCTTTAACTCTATTTGTACCTATCAATCTTCTTTCTTTAGATTTTTTCTTGGTCTATTTCTATCTTCTTTTATTAGATGTTTAATTTTTCACATTTATTCTGTATCAGTTTAAGTTGCATGAAAGTATAATGCTATGAAGTTGTATGTAAGCTCAAGTTTGGTTCTATCCCATGTATTGTATATATCATATATATATATGAGATACGTAGGGGCTTCATCTAAAATATTTTTCATTTTGAGTATTAAATATATTTGCATACATAAGCATATACAAGCATATATATGTGCATTGTGCATGTGTATGTGTATATACGTATATATAGTAACTGGATAATTTTTTTATTTCATTGGTGTTATTTGTTCTATACTACATTTTGGACTATGTTATCTAAAAATACTATTTTTAAAACATGTTCAAAATACCTTGAGAGGAAGTGTTACTATAGTGATGTATTTATTCATTTTATATATTTGGATTAGCCTTACTAATAACTATGTACATCTACATCCTTTTATCTACTTGCTTTTTCTCGAGATATAAGTTTCTTAAGTTAGCCTCCTGCTTCTACAGATTTTTTCATAGTTACACTCATGAGAATCTGCAATTCTTGTTTAATATACTTTATTATTTGCTGCATAATAATTAATTCATTTCTCTAATTCAAGAACACTAGTTTTCCATGAGTTGAGTGTTTCCATGTTGAGTTCTATACCTAATATATAGCATTTTTTCCATGACTACTTTAAAGAAATTGTCTTTTCTGTAGTTTTTAGTTTTTAAGATATTTTATTTTTTTCCTAATAGCCAGCCACTTATTTGTTTATTCTCTAATGATATAGTTTTGGTGCTCATTTGTTTATTTTTTTCCACAGTCTCTAATTTATATCACTCTTTTGTTTCATGAGATAATGAAACAAAAAAAAGTATAAATTAGACTTACTTTTTGTTTGTTTACCTGTCTTACTTTTTGTTTGTTTCATTGACTTCTTGTTTTCATGTTTTTTGTACTTCTTCGAGATGTGCAAGTATTTTTCATATAATTTTTAAAAATATTTTGCATAAATCCTATAAGACATTTTTTCCAACACTATATTATATGTTCTTAAAATTGGAGTAGCATTTTTTATGGGGCTCAGGGGGTTATTATTTTCATCTTTCTGATAATTAATGTGGGCAGTTATATCTGGATATTATCCCCTGGATATAGTTTATATAAATTTCCTATAATTATCTTACTTCCTTATCTGAGACCTGCTTGTGTTCACATCAGAACATTATGAAGTTTAAGGGTGATTATTGCTGGCTTGTGTTCTATGTGTAACTTTGTAATTTCATGTTAGATCAGAGCCATGGGTTCATCAGTAGATGCTGCATATTAACATGATTGGCGGATTGGTCTCTGATCTTTTAAAATTAAAGGCTTTATTCCATCAAATTAGAAGTTTTTCATAATGCAATAGGAGATAACATTTGAATTCAATATCAAAGTTAAATCATTAAGGTTTCATTTCCCATGGATTCATTCAGAGAAGCTGAGTTCCACACCATTGCCAATCTTTCCAGCATCATTCCACATGCTCTCTTAGCCAAAGGAGAGAAAGATAGACAAATTATGTAGAGCTCAAACATAGCTTTCTTTGCGGGCTTTCCCTTAGGTACTTGTACAGCTGCAGAGATTCTTGTGTAATTTATTTTCTCTTTTGTGATTCTGATGGAAAATTCTATATTTATTTTTGTTGACCATTATTATTATTTTATGTTGCCTCTGCTGCCTTTCTACCTTCAAGAAGACAAACTCATTCATCTTTAACAAATAATTCTCATGGTGATGATGACATTTGCCTTCTCTTTCCTTTAGTTATCTGTCTGCAGATAGAATTAATTACTCTGGAAATGAGGTTTGCCAATTATTTAACCTGAAATAATCTCATTTTCCACAGCTCAATCAAAATTCTGGGAGGTAAAACTTCTGTAACAAATGTTCTCAGTATCCTCAATGATCAATCCACCAGAATATTCATTTTCTTCTGAAAATATTCATTTTACTTTTCTTAGCTCCATGATGACAATGATACCTTCCAGTCATAAAAAGAAATAGCTTTTTATTTTAAAATGTTTAGAGGCTATGATTTCTGTAAAACTAAAGACAAGGCTCTTTCTTTAGCTTTTGCCACACTAATTTGTCCTGGTCAAGCCAAAATATCATTTTAGTTCATGTGGTACTTAATTGTGAACAGCAATGGCTGGAGGATTTTAAGGGTCACTAGGTCCAGATGTTTGGTCATTAGTCACCACCATATAATCCACCTTCAATATAATAAATATGGATAAAATAAGGAAACACTTCAGCCGTCAACAAGATTAGTGTTCAAGACTAATAGGAGCCTGATTTCTGCTTTTTAACTTTGTTAACATTTAACCCTTTGAGGGCAGAGAATTTCACTTGAAGTAAATCTCTCTCCTCACACACTCTGCTCTTATTTTCTGAAGTTTATATACCTTCATTAATGGCACATCCATTCACCAAAGAAGTGCAGGCATGCTTTTAAGTGTTTTAATACTTTACATCACACTTCATATCTTTTTCTTAACAACATATTGGAATGTTTAAGAAGGTGGTTTTGTTGGACAGTCAGGTAATTGTCTGATAAAGTGACCTATGTCTGTGACTATAGAACAGCCTATTTAAAAGAATTTATTGGACATATTGGGTTGATCTGTACTCCCTAAAACAATAAAAAGATTATTTTAAAAACTTCTTTGTGTGTTTCCTCTTCTTTTTATTTTTATTTTTTGGTATTTGTATAGAAAAAAAAAGTACATGTCCTAAAATCTTCTATCTCTTGTGTAGTATTTCTCAACTGCGGCAATGAAAATAAAACTTGCAACCGTGTGGCGCAGGCTTTAGAATCTGCTACAATAGATGCCATTTCTGTCACTTCTGTAGGTACCACTGCAGTAAATGAAATAGTAATAATACTAACCACGTAGAGTTGTTATTTGGATTAACGAGATAATTTAGGCATTCAATTAATACTAATTTTATTTTTCTTATTTGCATTGATGTTTGACAATATTCTGAGAGATATGTTTGCAAATAAAATATCTACTTCAAAAAGTGGATAAGATTGTTGGCTACAAGCTGCAAAGGATCCTTTTGCTGGTATTTTGGCATTATGGAATGCCTATAATATCTGCTATTTTAAATGTAACTCTTTTGTGGAAACTCGTTTTTGTTATTAAATTAAATATCATCTTGATTCTGGTACTTGGAGAACTTTTTTTCTGTTAAAACAGGCCTCATCCTGAATTATTAATAACTCACTGGAATTATAGCTTTATCTTAAAATAAGAATTCCAAATTGAAAAAAAGGAAAATATATATCTTTGGCTAGTTGATGTTGTTCACAATGCTAATTGTTTATATATAAGCATTCTTAGAAACATCTTTTTTATTTTAGCTTTACTGATCTATAATTTACAGACAAAAATGGTGTATATTCAAGGTGTTCAATATGATGATTTGATATTGTATAATGATCACCACAATCAAATTACTCGACATGTTTATCACCACACAATTACTTTCTTTGTGTGTATGTGTGCATAGTAAGGACACTTAACATCTACTCTCAGCAAATTTCAAGTAAACAATACAGTCTTGTTAACTAGAGTCACCATGCTGTACATTAGATGCCCATAAGTTATTCATCTCGTAATTAAAAGTTGTATACTCTTTAACCAACATCCACCACTTTCCCCATGCCTGAGCCCTGGAAACCACCATTCAGGGTGTAATTTTGATAATAATACAATCGTGTCAGTTGTGGCCTCCTGAGTACCAATTCCTTCTGCTCTATGCAAATGCTCCAGAACCCTAAGCTTGGCCATGTGAAAATCACATATTGTCTCTTCCAGGTCTTTAAGTCCTTTCTTGACATGTCACGGGAGCTAACTGGCAATGATCGGGTGTAAATAATTACTCAACTGAAAGAAACCAGTAGAAAAATAATGGATCATCCATTTCAACAAAAAGTGGAGAGGTCCATTGACTAAATTCCAAAGGAACCTCAGAATCCTTCCTCTTATCATGAATTGTATGGTTTTTTTGTTTGTTTTCTTCTCTATCTACTACTACTTCCTATATCCTTCCTGTAATTTATTATTTTCTTTGCTCCAAAAATAATAACTATCTCATTCCATATGGTCTATTGTGATGGCACAATGCATTTATATGGATAGATAAAAAAGAAGTAATTGATTGCTATATCAATTATATGATCCTAAAAAGGCAAATTTGTATAGGCTGCTATATAATTAACTGCATTATTTATTTTCTATTAAGATGTTTTTATATTTTGCAAACTTAATCAGCTTTCAGTCTTATTTATGCACTGTACTGAATTATTTGTTTTTTTGTTTGTTTGTTTGTTTGTTTGTTTTTATAGAAACAAGGTCTTGCTCTATTGCCCAGGCTGTAGTGCAATGGTGCAATCAGAGCTTACTGCAGCCTCAACTTCCTGGGATCATGCATCCTCCCATCTCAACCTCCCAAGTAGCTGAGACTACAGGCATATTCCACAATAACCGGCTATTTTTTTTTTTTTTTTTTTTTTTTTGTGCAGACGGGGTCTTGCTATGTTTCCCAGACTATTTTCCCAGGTCTTGAACTCCTGGCTTCAATTGATTCCCCCACCTTAACCTCCCAAAGTGGTGGGATTACAGGTGTGAGCCACCATACCTGGCCTGTTTTTTTGTTTTGTTTTGTTTTGAATATATAATATTTATTTTTCAAGGCCATTTATTAATCCAGATACATAAAATAGTTTACATTTAGTATGTGTGTATAACATACACATGGGTAATTACCTATTTTCCACACCAGTATATACATACATGTACATCAATATACAAATTAATCTTCATTTATAATTTATGCTCCCTTATAAATTTGGAAATTAGCTTTCCAATGCTTATATCTATTCCTGTTGAGTCTGGGAACCTTGTCACAATTTATGTATTATGCTGCTATGAGGCTATATATGGAATATATAAAATTTATTTTCAAATGTCAACTGAACACTTTATAGATTTTTATTTCCTCCATCTCTTTCTGTAACCCTGTTACTTAAGTTATTAGTACAGCTGTCTGAGGGATCAGATTTAAGGCCTTCAAATGTTTCCTCGGTCTTAGAACAGATGCCTCAGGAGACTTTCCACCAGAAGGGTACATTGGATTAGCACAGCCTGTTTCTCTACCATATTCTTTAAGCAGAACTGACAGCCTCAAAATAAGAACAATTTTTCTTAGGATGTGTGTGGAATTTAAAGAGAGGACATACTTTCTCCTTACCAGTATGAAGGATACCAAAATAGTTTATCTAGAAAACAATTTCATACCATTCCAATGAATGAAAGGAGGTCAAATGAAATGCATAAATGTGTCAGGCTTCTATCAAATGTAATAGATGCTTACGAAATCAGAAGAGTGTTTTAATGGAGAAGGAAATTAGTGTATCATCTTAGTAGAGCTATCAATCCAGGCATAATTCTTTGGCATATGATAGCAATATTGAATGAACACACTGTGATCTGGTTTTGCCAGAACACATATGTCAATGTTTATTGATTAAGCGGCAGTGAAGTATCATAAGATCTGAGACAGAATCTTCAATTCCTTAGCAGAAGAATGGATTTAGTGAGGAATGCTGCACCTGCTACTTTTCACCAAGTGAGATTTAAGGATTTATTTTTTCTTTTACTCTGAACTGAGTATGTAGACTGGATTATGCCTAAGAATTGGAAGACACAATTCTAAGATGACAGGTAGAAATATGTCACAAGTTATAGAGAGTTAAGATTAACTCATGAAAAATAAATGGAAAAGGTAAGCAAAGTATAAATTATTTTATTGTACTTCTCTAATTGTATGAGAGGGGACATGTGTCTGAATATAAACTTGTGTTTGGACTACAAAAATCTTCATATTTGGCAAAGGAGTTTTTCATCATAGGACTGTAGCTTTTTTAGTCTGTGTTTCTGCCTCTGACTATACATTGTTTATGCACGCACTAGTTGAGCTAATGATATTGTTCAAACAATGAGATATTTTCCTACAGAGTGAAAATCAAGAAATCCCATGCAACCTGCACAGGCATTTTCATTTCATTATTTCAATAGCAACATGTACACTTTGATATCTGGACGGCAAAAAAATGTATCTAATTTTGACTTGTAAAGCATATCTAAAATTTCTGTTTACAAAGCTAAACCAAAGTCAATAATTTTTTTATTATTATTATACTTTAAGTTCTACGGTACATATGCACAACATGCAGATTTGTTACATATGCATACATGTGCCATGTTGGTTTGCTGCACCCATTAACTTTTCATTTACATTAGGTATATCTCCTAATGCTATCCCTCCCCCAGCCCCCCACCCCATGACAGGCCCAGTGTGTGATGTTCCCCTCCCTGTGTCCAAGTGTTCTCATCGTTCAATTCCCACCTATGAGTGAGAACATATGGTGTTTGGTTTTTTGTCCTTGTGATAGTTTTCTCAGAATGATGGTTTCCAGCTTCATCCATGTCCCTACAAAGGACATGAACTCATCCTTTTTTATGGGTGCATAGTGTTCCACGGTGTATAAGTGCCACATTTTCTTAATCCAGTCTATCATTGATGGACATTTGGGTTGGTTCCAAGTCTTTGCTATTGTGAATAGTGCCGCAATAAACATATGTGTGCAGGTGTCTTTATATTAGCATGATTTATAATCCTTTCGGTATATACCCAGTAATGGGATCGCTGGGTCAAATGGTATTTCTTGTTCTAGATCCTTGAGGAATCGCCACACTGTCTTCCACCATGGTTGAACTAATTTACACTCCCACCAACAGTGTAAAATTGTTCCTATTTCTCCACATCCTCTGCAGCATCTGTTGTTTCCCGACTTTTTAATGATCACCATTCTAACTGGCATGAGGTGGTATCTCATTGTGGTTTTGATTTGCATTTCTCTAATGACCAGTGATAGTGAGCATTTTTTCATGTGTCTGTTGGCTGCATACATGTCTTCTTTTGAGAAGTATCTGTTCATATCCTTTGCCCACTTTTTGATGGTTTTTTTTTCTTGTAAATTTGTTTAAGTTATTTATAGATACTGGATATTAGCCCTTTGTCAGATGGGTAGATTGCAAAAATTTTCTCCCATTCTGTAGGTTGCCTGTTCACTCTTCACTCTGATGGTAGTTTCTTTTGCCATGCAGAAGCTCTTTAGTTTAATTAGATCCCATTTGTCTATTTTGGCTTTTGTTGCCATGGCTTTTGGTGTTTTAGTCATGATGTCCTTGCCCATGCCTATGTCCTGAATAGTATTGCCTAGGTTTTCTTCTAGGGTTTTTATGGTTTTAGGTCTAACATGTAAGTCTTTAATTTATCTTGAATTAATTTTTGTATAAGGTGTAAGGAAGGGATCCAGATTCAGCTTTCTACTGATGGCTAGCCAGTTTTCTCAGCACCATTTATTAAATAGGGTATCCTTTCCCTATTTCTTGTTTTTGTCAGGTTTGTCAAAGATCAGATGGTTGTAGATGTGTGGTGTTATTTCTGAGGCCTCTGTTCTGTTCCATTGGTCTATATCTCTGTTTTGGTACCAGTACCATGCTGCTTTGGTTACTGTAGCCTTGTAGTACAGTTTGCAGTCAGGTAGCGTGATGCCTCCATCTTTCTTCTTTTTGCTTAGGATTGTCTTGACAGTGCAGGTTCTTTTTTGGTTCCATATGAACTTTAAAGTAGTTTTTCCCAGTTCTGTGAAGAAAGTCATTGGTAGCTTGATGGGGATGGCATTTTCACTATATTGATTCTTACTATCCATGAGCATGGAATGTTCTTCCATTTGTTTGTGTCCTCTTTTGTTTCATTGAGCAGTGGTTTGCAGTTCTCCTTGAAGAGGTCCTCCACATCCCCTGTAAGTTGGATTCCTAGGTATTTTATTCTCTTTGGAGCAGTTGTGAATGGGAGTTCACTCGTGGTTTGGCTCTCTGTTTGTCTGTTATTAATATACAGGAATGCTTGTGACTTTTGCACATTGATTTTGTATCCTGAGACTTTGCTGAAGTTGCTTATCAGCTCAAGGAGATATTGATTGGGCTGAGATGACAGGGTTTTCTAAATATACAATCATGTCATCTGCAAACAGGGGCAATTAGACTTCCTCTTTTCCTAATTGAATACCCTTTATTTCTTTCTCTTTCCTGATTGCCCTGGCCACAATTTCCAACACTATGTTGAATAGAAGTGGTGAGAGAGGGCATCCTTGTCTTGTGCTGGTTTTCAAAGGGAATGCTTCCAGTTTTTGCCCATTCAGTATGATATAGGCTGTGGGTTTGTCATAAGTAGCTTTTATTATTTTGAGATATGTTCCATCAGTACCTAGTTTATTGAGAGTTTTTAGCATGAAGGCTGTTGAATTTTGTCGAAGGCCTTTTCTGCATCTATTGAGATAATCAGGTGATTTTTGTCATTGGTTCTGTATATGTGATGGATTACGTTTATTGATTTGCATATGTCGAACCAGGCTTGCATCCCAGGGATGAAGCCAACTTGATCGTGGTGGATAAGCTTTTTGATGTGCTGCTGGATTCAGTTTGCCAGTATTTTATTGAGGATTTTCCCATCAGTGTTCATCAGGGATACTGGTCCAAAATTCTCTTTTTTTGTTGTGTCTCTGCCAGGCTCTGGTATCAGGATGATGCTGGCCTCATAAAATGAGTTACAGAGGATCCCCTCTTTTTCTATTGATTGGAATAGTTTCAGAAGGAATGGTACCAGCTCCTCTTTGTACCTATGGTGGAATTTGGCTGTGAATACATCTGGTCCTAGACTTTTTTTGGTTGGTAGGCTATTAATTATTGCCTCAATTTCAGGGCTTGTTATTGGTCTATTCACAGATTCAACTTCTTCCTGGTTTAGTCTTGGGAGGGTGTGTGTGTCCAGGAATTTATCCATTTCTTCTTTATTTTCTAGTTCATTTGCATAGAAATGTTTATAGTATTCTTTGATGGTAGTTTGTATTTCTGTGGGATTGGTGGTGATATCCCTTTTATCATTTTTTATTGCATCTATTTGATTCTTCTCTCTTTTCTTCTTTATTAGTCTTGCTAGCGCTCTATCGATTTTGTTGATCAGCTCCTGGATTCATTGATTTTTTGAAGGGTTTTTTTGTGTCTCTATCTCCTTCACTTCTGCTCTGATCTTAGTTATTTCTTGCCTTCTGCTAGCTTTAAAGTTTGTTCGCTCTTGCTTCTCTAGCTCTTTTAATTGTGATGTTAAGGTATCAATTTTAGATCTTTCCTGCTTTCTCTTGTGGGAATTTAGCGCTATAAATTTCACTCTACACACTGCTTTCAATGTGTCCCAGAGATTCTGGTACATTGTGTCTTTGTTCTCACTGATTTCAAAGAACATCTTTATTTCTGCCTTCATTTCATTATTTAGCCAGTAGTCATTCAGGAGCAGGTTGTTCAATTTCCATGTAGTTGTGAAGTTTTGAGTGAGTTTCTTAGTCCTAAGTTCTAATTTGATTGCACTGTGATCTGAGAGAGTGTTGTGATTTCTGTTCCTTTACATTTGCTGAGAAGTGCTTTACTTCCAATTATGTGGTCAATTTTAGAATAAGTATGATGTGATACTGAAAAGAATGTATATTCTGTTGATTTGGGGTGGAGAGTTCTATAGATGTCTATTAGGTCTGCTTGGTGCAGAGCTGAGTTGAAGTCCTGTATATCCTTGTTAAACTTCTGTTTCATTGATCTGTCTAATATTGACAATGGGGTGTTAAAATCTCCAAGTATTATTGTGTGGGACTCTAAGTCTCTTTTTAGGCATCTAATGACTTGCTTTATGAATCTGGGTGCTCCTGTATTGGGTGCACATATATTTAGGATAGTTAGCTCTTCTTGTTGAATTGATCCCTTTACCATTATGTAATGGCCTTCGTCTCTTTTGATTTTTGTTGGTTTAAAGTCTGTTTTATCAGAGAGTAGGATTGCAACCCCTGGTTTTTGTTTGTTTGTTTGTTTTCCATTTGCTTGGTAGATCTTCCTCCATCCCTTTATTTTGAGCCTATGTGTGTCTCTACACATGAGATGGGTCTTCTGAATAGAGCACACTGATGGGTCTTGACTCTTTATCCAATTTGCCAGTCTATATCTTTTAATTGGGGCATTTAGCCCATTTACATTTAAGGTTAATATTGTTATGTGTGAATTTAATCCTGTCATTATGATGCTAGCTGGTTATTTTGCCCATTAATTGATGCAGTTTCTTCTTACCATTGATGGTCTTTACAATTTGGCATGTTTTTGCAGTGTCTGGTACTGGTTGTTCCTTTCCATGTTTAGTGCTTCCTTCAGGAACTACCAAGGTAGGCCTGGTGGTGACAAAATCTCTTAGCATTTGCTTGTCTGTAAATGATTTTATTTCTCCTTCACTTATGAAGCTTAGTTTGGCTGGATATGAAATTCTGGGTTGAAAATTCTTTTCTTTAAGAATGTTGAATATTGACCCCCACTCTCTTTGGCTTGTAGCGTTTCTGCCGAGAGATCCGCTGTTAGTCTGATGGGCTTCCCTTTGTGGGTAACCCGACCTTTCTCTCTGGCTGCCCGTAACATTTTTTCCTTCATTTCAACTTTGGTGAATCTGACAATTATGTGTCTTTGGGTTGCTCTACTTAAGGTGTTCTCTGTATTTCCTGAATTTGAATGTTGGCCTGCCTTGCTAGGTTGGGGAAGTTCTCCTGGATAATATCCTGAAGAGTGTTTTCCAACTTGGTTCCATTCTCCCTGTCACTTTCAGGTACACCAATCAGACGTAGATTTGGTCTTTTCACATAGGTTTATATTTCTTGGAGGATTTTTTCATTTCTTTTTACTCTTTTTACTCTAAACTTGTCTTCTCTCTTTATTTCATTAACTTCATCTTCAATCACTGATACCCTTTCTTCCACTTGATCGAATTGGCTATTGAAGCTTGTGCATGCGTCACGAAGTTCTCATGCTATGGTTTTCAGCTCCATCAAGTCATTTAAGGTCTTCTTTATACTGTTTATTCTAGTTAGCCATTCGTCTTAACATTTTTTCAAGGTTTTTAGCTTCCTTGTGATGGGTTAGAACATGCTCCTTTAGCTCAGAGAAGTTTGTTATTACCAACCTTCTGAAGCCTACTTCAGTCAACTCATCATTCTCTTTGCAGCTTTGTTCCATTGCTGGCGAGGAGTGTGATCCTTTGTAGGAGAAGAGGCACTCTGGTTTTTAGAATTTTCAGCCTTTTTGCCCTGGTTTCTCCCCATCTTTGTGGTTTTATCTACCTTTTATCTTTGATGTTGGTGACCTGTAGATGGGGTTTTGGTATAGATGTCCTTTTTGTTGATGTTGATGTTGAAGTTAATCCTTTCTGTTTGTTAGTTTTCCTTCTAACAGTCACATCCCTCAGCTGCAGGTCTGTTGGAGTTTGCTGGAGGTTCACTCCAGACCCTGTTTGCCTGGGTATCACCAGCAGAGGCTGCAGAACAGCAAATAGTGCTGTCTCATCCTTCCTCTTGAAGCTTTGTCCCAGAGGGGCACTTGCCTATATGAGGAGTCTGTAGGCCCCTACTGGGAGATGTCTGCCAGTTAGGCTACATGGGGGTCCGGGACCCACTTGAAGAGGTGGTCTGTTCATTCTCAGAGCTCAAATGCTGTGCTTGGAGAACCACTCCTCTCTTCAGAGCTGTCAGACAGGGACGTTTATGTCTGCAGAAGTTGTCTGCTGCCTTTTGTTCAGCTATGCCCTGCCCACAGAGGTGGAGTCTATAGAAGTAGTAGGCCTTGCTGAGCTGTGGTGTGCTCTGCCCTGTTCAAGCTTCCTGGCTGCTTTGTTTACCTACTTAAGCCTCAGCAATGGCGGTCACACCTCCCCCAGCCAAACTGCCACCTTGCAGTTTGATCTCAGACTGCTACACTAGCAGTGAGCAAGGCTCTGTGGGCATGGGACCTGCCGAGACAGGCATGGGAGAGGATCTCCTTGTCTGCCGGTTGCTAATACCTTGGGAAAAGTGCAGTATTTGGGCAGAAGTGTCCTGTTTTTCCAGGTACGGTCTGTGACAGATTCCCATGGCTAGGAAAGGGAAATCCCCTGACCCCTTGCACTTCCCAGGTGAGGGGATGCCCTGCCCTGTTTCAGCTCGCCCTCTGTGGGCTGCACCCACTGTCCCACAGTCCCAATGAGATGAACCAAGTACCTCAGTTGGAAATGCAGAAATCACCCATCTTCTGCATCGATCATGCTGGGAGCTACAGACTGGAGCTGTTCCTATTCAGCCATCTTGAAATGGATCCCAAGAATTTTCTTTAAAGTAACAACAGGCTAAAGTAACAAATAGCAATAATAATCTTATACATGTATATGTATATGTATATGTATAGAAAGACACAATACTTATTGTTAATATGGGTCATTTGACTTCTGATTTCTAGTCCAACATATAAAGCACTTGGAAGTCATCATTATCACCCAGATATGAAAGAGGTTGAACAAACTGAAAATCAACAATTCTTAGCTCAATCAGACAATTGAGGTCACAAGTCAAACTATCCCTTGAAAACTGGAAAGATGGAGAAGTAGATTCAGAGAGTAACAGCTTACCTGAAGTGGAAGCCCAGGAACAGAACCCTGTAACTGGCATCAATATCAGGAGTAACATTTTAAACTAGAAGTGATGAATTGCTGGAGGTAGAATGTAAACTAACTTGAGAGTTAAAAACTCTGAGGTGTCAAAGTCTTAGAAAGACCTTTACATTTTTATGAGTTTTACCTCCAGATCCCCAATCAGGTTCCAACTTTAAAGATTTAAGAAAAATTACCTCTTGTTTTCAGCAGGGTGAAGGGAAGAGCAACTATTTTGGAACATACTCCAAGCTCTCTGTTCTCATCTAAAAGCTATAAAAACAAAATCATGTCATTTTCTGCCACATGGATTGAACTGGAGGACATTATATTAAGTGAAATAAGCCAGGCACAGAAAGATAAACATCATGTTTTCTCATTCATATGTAGGAACTAAAAAAATTGATCTCGTGAAAGTAAAGAGTAGAGTGGTGGTTATCAGACACTAGTGTAGGGGGTAAAGGAGTATGAAGGTTAATGGGTACAAAAATACAGTTAGCTAGAAGAAATATGTTCTAATCTTCGATAGCACAGTAGGACAACTATAGTTAACAATAATGTATTGTATATGTCAAAATACCTAGAAGAGAAGATTTAGAATGTTCCCAACACAAAGAAATGATAAACATTTGAGATGATGGATATCCCAGTTACCCTTATTTGATAGTTTCACATTGTATGCATGTATCAAAATATCACAAGTACCTCATAAATATATACAACTATTATAGCTATTATGTGTCAACTTTTAAAAAGGCCTGGCCCCAAGGAAACCATTTCATCAGAGAATAACTGGGGCTTTGCCAGACCCTAATCAACCAGAGAGAAGGGAAATGCCCAACTCAGGCTCACTAAAAGACTGAGACCTTATCACAGGCTTGTAGAACACCTCCCCACCTACCTTACCAACACATAAATAACACAACTATATAACAGGAATGTAGCTAAAAGAACTACAAGCTCCAGACCGTATTTAAGTAGTCTCTAGGAAAACCTAAGAATCACAGGGGAGGCAAAATCATGGACGTTAAAGAAAATGTTAGTTTCTGACACCAAAGCTATAGCAAAGCTGAACACGGCCTAACCCTCAGACAGAAAAACATAAAACTTCACACTGAAGACCTTTCTATATCAGTTCCTTTTGGCATGTAATCATGTCATGCTTTCAATGAAAAATTACAAGGCATGCTAAAAGACAAAAATTACACTTTGATTAGGCAAAGCAAGCATCAGAAAGACAACCAGATATAGCAAAGGTTTTAGAATGATCACATTGGGAATTTAAAATACCTATGATTAATATGCTAATAGCTCTAATGGAAAAGTAAGCAAGTTACAAGATAATGGGTACCATAAACAAAAAGATAACAATTCTAAGAAAGGATCAAAAGAAAATGCTAGAAATGAAGAGTCCCTTTGATTGGTTCATCAATAGACTGGACACAGTTGTAGAGCAAATCAGTAACCTTGAATATGTGTCAATAGAAACCTCTAAAACTGAAATGCAAAGAGAAAAAAATAATGAAAAAGATAGAATAGAATTTCCAATTACTGAGATAAATACAAAAGGTATAACATATGTATAATGGAAATGCCAGAGAAAAGAGTAAAAAAAAATTCATGTAGTCATGGCTGAGAATTTTCCAAAATTAATGACACCAAGCCATAGATCTAGAAAGCTAAGAAAACATCAAGCCAAACAAATTTCAAAAATTCTATACCTAGGTACATCATATTCCAACTACAGAAAATCAAAGACAAAGAGAAAATCTTAAAGAAGGTAGAGGGGAAAAATACTATCTTACCTACTTTGGAATAGGGATTAGAATTACAATTATATTCAGAAACCTCAGAAAGCATCCAAAGAAAAAGAACATGGAGAGAAATATTTAAAGTATTTTTTAAAAACACCATCAACATAAAATACTGTATCCAGAAAAATTACCCTTCAAAAGTAAAAGAGAAATAAAGAGTCTCTCAGACAAACAAAAATGGATAGCATTTATCAGTGGTAGATCTGCTGTGCAAGAAATGTTAAGAGAACTACTTCAGGGAGAAAGAAATTATATAGAAACACAAAGCTATATAAAAGAAGAGCATTCAAGAAACTCAAAGCTGTATAAAGGAAGCATTAGAGAAAGCTTTATAAGCTATATAAAGGAAGTATTAGAGAAACTCAAAGCTATAAAAAGGAAGAGCATTAGAGAAGGAGTAAGTGAAGGTAGTACAAAATCTTTCATTTTTCTCATTCTTAATTGATTTAACAGATGACATATTGTCCAAAATAATACAATGTACTTGACCATTATAGCTTATGGAAAAGTAAAATTAATGACAGCAAGATTATAAGGGATGGGATGAAAGAATTGGGAAGATCCTGTTATAAGGTACTTGCATTACCCATGAAGCAATATAGTTTTATTTGAAGCTGAATTTGGGTTACTGGTAAATATATGATGCAAACTCTAAGGCAAAAATGGGCTAGCCATTTTACATCAATTAACTTACATATTTTAACCCTTCATAGTAGACATGTGCATTGTTTTATAGATGTGAAATTCAGCATAGATTCAGAAGAAACATTTCAGAAAATATTTTTTCTAGACAGGAAAACTAAGGGACATACAAATTTTCAATTTACTCAAGTACTAAGTGGAGGACCCATAATTTTAACCTCCATCAGCTTTCAAATCCTGTAATTTCTACCACAGGCTCATGATGCTTCCCATTTGTGAGCTGTCATTGAAATATGAACCAAATTGCAAACTCATGATTAAATGGTCAAAGAAAATCGAAGCAAAAGTGATAATACATATTTTTTAAAAATGATACCAATATAAGAAATATGTTTGGAAGTAGCAAATGTCCTTTGCACATTGGAATTAAATAAATGATAGTGATAAGGAGTACATATCCAAAATAGTCCAATTATTTACATTCCAGGAATAGTGCTGTTATCAATCAACTTAAAGCTATAAAACTTTAAAGTTTGGAAAACTGAATTCAATGTCCTAGAGAGGCATGTCTTCATTCAATCTGTCTCTGAGCTAAACATTCCTGTGGTATTTCTTCTTGAGGGGAAAGTCATGACTTGCATTTTCTACCTGCTACTCTGAGAAATATTTCCAGATTGGTGGTCCATGCTTGCAAAATATTTCTCTTGGCCCACAAGAGTTTTAAAAAAAATCACTTGGCAAGATTAAAAGTCACAAGATACTAAACAAGAATACATGTTTACCACATTTTGCTAAGAATTTAAGGGTCCCAAGAATGAAGTCCCCATGTTTATTGGAGTAGTTGCCCCATAACTAGGGCAGTACCCAGTCCACCACACACTTCACCAGTTCTTACTGCCTTTTCCACACTAAGGAAGGCCAAGCAGCAGTTGTCATTTAGTATCTTGTGGTTCTTTCTTTGTTTTTCTTTCTCTGTCTTTTTCTCTTTTTAATTCTGGGTCCACTTCACTCCTTTACATTACAAACCTGGCACCTCAGGCTATTAAATTTGTCCTGAAACTGTATGTCACTATGTCTCATAAAATTTCATATCCAGAACTAAGCACAATAGACCACTTTTAGACCACCCTCTTTGATTCTGATGTTATATTGCTATATAAAAATAAAAATTGCATTACATTTTTTGACATCCCAAGTAAGCTTACAGTGAATTCACCATCAAGTAAAATTCTCAAGGCTGAAGCCCTGCATGCCACACAGCTGGAATTCCTTGAAAACCACCTGCAGACTCAACATTTCCCTACATCCTAGTGGGATACTTGGAGCTCTAGCTAACTGTGAGACTAAACATAAGTCACCCCTGCAATGACCCACAGCTATGTTCTAATAACAGCTTTTACCTTATTCTCACTTGAATCTTTATTCTGATGATTTGATCTTTGCCTATTTATTAATACCTATGCAGAAGCTCCTGCTTTATATTTTGCCATATCAGTACATGTGCCTGGTCCCTACACCCTAGCAGAGTAACTGATACTGTTACTGGCTTTAGACAGCAAGCTTGTGTCTATTTCAAAATGAATCTTATGGCTAGATTTGCCTGTTAGTCTGACATTGCCTTTTACCATTGTTTCTGTTCTATCTCTTGGGTGGATGTGCCAGCCCCTGCAAAGGACTCTCATCCCCCAAAGTCAACCCTGTATCTAGCAGACAGGGCCAGATGAAGTTCCTAGGCATTAATACTTATCTGCATGGTGCTCTGTTAAATATATCACACTTACTTTTTTGTGCAAATAGTTAAGTGATTCTTTGTACTGTAACAGTTAAAATTTGTTTTAATTATAAATAATAATATATATCAGTGGTATACTCAGTAATGTAAGTATACTGTATAACTAGTTTTATATTAGCATAGTGTTACATTCCCAAAATTTTCACAAAAGACCTTTACACGGTTCACGTTTTCCAAATGTTCTTTCCTTTCAATTACCATCAACCTCCATGCTGCTCACTTTAGCACTAAACTACAGCTGATGCTTGGAATTTTTGAACCAAGAACTTTACAAATGTTCCTACCACATTTACCGAAATTCTTCCTTTCACTTTATAAACCCCTTTCAACCTTGATTTAGTCACTCAGCATTTTACTTATGAATTCTAGTTTTAAAGCTTCTGAAATATAGATAATTATCCCCTGATTATCTACAAAGTAAAGCAAACTTGGATAGCGACTTGTGGCTCTCCTCTATAAATAATTCTCTGGGTTAATATTTTAATGTTCAAAGGTAAATTTGAATTGCGGCATTTTAAAACTCTTAGTTACAATTTATTAATCAATAAAATCAAATAGTTCAGGCAGAAATGATAAGAATCTGGTATAAGTGGTCTAACTAAATATTTGAGTTGTAGAATTCACAGAACTTGCTAACAACCCCATGCCACTCCATAGAAGGTACCAAGTTCAAATAGTCCCCTAGATAAATTTTGAAAAACATTAAACTTTTCCAAAACACACACCAGTGGATTTCAACCGGAGGTGATTGTTTGCCAAAGGACATTTGTCAATGTCTGAAAAACTTTTTTGATTGTTACAACTGGGCAAGGTGACAGGAAGTGGGGTTAGGTGTTCCTAATGGCTTCTAGTAGGTACAGGCTAGATATGCTGCTCAACATTTTGTCACACATAGGACAGCCCCTACAGCAAAAAATTATCAACCCCATAATCAAAAGTGCCAACGTTGAGAAACCCTGGCATAGAGAAAAATAATGATTAGAAAGCACATTCTTAGTTTATATTCAAAGAGAAATGAAATTCCAAAACTAAAAACTACCAAAATGGCTATAACAAAATTATGTGTAAAGCCTACTTACAATTGTCTATGCAAATGCTACAATAAAGTATGAACGATTCTAATGCTCTTACTGAAATAATAATCATGAAAAAGGTTTTATTTCATAAGCAGATGGATAATTCAACAAAAGCAATCTGATGATAATATCTCATTTTATTAAACAATAAAAACAACTAGATCTCAATACATCCCAAACAGCATTTCAAAAAAATTAATATACAATTCTAATTTAAAAATTCAATTCTCATGCCTATAATCCCAGCACTTTGGGAGGCTGAGGTGGGCAGATCACGAGGTCAAGAGATTGAGACCATCCTGGCCAACATGGTGAAAGCCTGTCTCTACTAAAAGTACAAAATTAGTTGGGCATGGTGGTGCACACCTGTTGTCCCAGCTACTCAGGAGGCTGAGGCAGGAGAATCACTTGAACCCGGGAAATGGAGGTTGCAGTGAGCCGAGATCGCGCCACTGCACTCCAGACTGGTGACAGAGCAAGACTCTGTCTCAAAAAAAATAATAAATAAATGAATAAATAAATAAATAAACAAGCAATCCTAGTCTAGTGATTGAAATAATCTTTATTAATATGGTAAAAAGCATTTGTGTATGTGTGTGTGTTTATAATTAGGGATTATACTCCATAATGTAAAGTCTATATACTTGATATAAAAACATGCACAAAATCATGTTGAATAATGAACTACTAGAGGCATTTCTGTTAAAATTAGAAATTTAAAAGTGTGAAAATTACCAGTATATTAGGTTATATTCTATAATGTAATAAGACAAGAAAATATGTATTAACATGAGTTTTATACGGAAGAGACAAAACAAGCAGTACCTACAGATAATATTATTGAATGCCTAGAAAATTCAAGAAGATAGATTCCAATGATTGAAAGAATACAAAAAAAATTATTAAAGCAATATTTTAAAAATTATAAATTTACTTAATTCAAGAAATAACCAACTTATCACAAGTTAAAATGCCTTATTTGATTCACACTGATAATCAAGATAATAAGCTTAAAATAGAGGCTATCTTTTGCTTTTGATTACCCACTCTCTCTTCCTCCCCTTCCTATGGCAACATCCCAATTTTATGGTGCAGAACTAAAGATGCCCCTCACATGCTGCTATCTAGATCTTCAGAGTTACTCTGGCCATCTATTTTTCCTAAATTCATTATTTTTCTTTGTTTATAGAGATACCCTATAAAGGTTCAATTGATTTGAAATTGTTTGTTACGGTAATTTTAGTGATTATAACCAAAGAACTAAACAAGTGAGATATGAAGGAGCAAAGGAGAGAAAATTTCAATGACAAAAACAAACTCAAACGTGAATTATTGGGTTTATATTGTGCCTGGATGGAGAGACCTAATCAGTAAAGGTGTAAGTTTTTTTTGCAAATAATGATTACAATTCCATGTTATCACAATTCCGCTATTAGGATGTGACCCTTAACTATTTAATATGGTATTTTATTTTTAAAATAAATTCCAGAAAATAGGGCAATTTTTAGAGGTATAATGCAAAGGATCTGCCTATCAGATAATAAAACAAATCAGATAAGCCCTTTTTATTGCAGGAAGAAGCCAAAATAAACAGAGATGAACAGACATAAAAAGAAATTATAGCAATAACTTCACATATAATAAAATTATAATTGAAAACCTGTAAAAAACATTCAAACAAATGAAGTTAACCCCCTCCCATGTTGCACACACACATACATACACACACACACGGACACACATACACAAATGTATTCCAGTTTGATTAAAGGTTTAGATTTACGTACGAAACCATAAAATCTTAAGAAAATTCAGGAGACTATTTTTATCTATTTTAAGCTTATGATAATAAGCTTAAAATAGATGTTATCTTTTGCTTTTGATTACCCACTCTCTCTTCCTCTCCCTCCTATGGCAACATTCCTACTTAATGTAGGGAGAGTCTGTATTTGTAAAAAGAAATCTAGGTCAGACATTAGAAAGGGAAGGACTGATAGATCTGTTAACATAGAAATATAGAAATAAAAATCCTACACTGTATGACAAAAGTCACCACTAAGAAGGTTAAAAAACATACTTGACAAATGCTACTATGTTTTACCTCATTAATAATCCAAGAATTACGGTTTTAACCAACCAATCAAACTGAGGACAATTGCAGAGGCCTAGTGATAACGACATTCCAAATACTGTTGATATAAATTAGAACATTTCTGTAGCACAATTTGGTAAAAAGATTTTAAATTCTGAGTGCACAACAATTTCTATTCAGTGAATTTATGTCTAGGAATTTTTTAAAAGGAAATAATTTGACAAGTCTGAAAAAACACATCTATGCTTGTTTCTTGAAACATTATAGCTATAATTTGGAAACAACCTGAATGACCATCAGTGATGGATTTTTCATGAACAAAGTATAACACAACCATACAGGAAAATATTATACAGTCATTAAAAAGTTTAACTTATGACTACAGTTAATGAACAGATGTTTAAAAGACAGGAAGTAAAATAAAGCATGTTGTTATATCAAGTGTATAGACTACGTTATGGAGTATAATTTCTAATTATTAAAACAAAGTCTGGAAGAATACACATAAAATGATTAATCACTGAGGGATAAGAAATTAGAATATTTAATTTAGTTTTATTTCATACATTTTTATACTGCTTGAATTTTTCACACAGATCAAACATTATCTTCATCATTGTAACATACTTTAATATCAGTTCAATTGTGAAAAAAAAATTGGTTCAAAAAAAATAATTCATACATTTGGGCCTAATAATTTCACTTTTAATAGTTGATCCAAAGAAAAGAATTCAAAATAAGAGAAGTCTACAGAACTATCTTATTGGATCATAATTTATAATTGTAAAATATTAAAACCAGCTTATATGTCCAACAATAAGAGATTATACCATTTCATAAATATTATGAAGCCATTAAAATGCAATTAGGAAGATTTGCAGAAACCTGACCCAACATATTTGACAAATAATCGGTACAAAAGCAGGATACAAAGTATATGTTTATAAACATTAGAAATGTTTGCATATACATGGTAGATTTAAACAGGCATATTAAAGTTGAACAGCATTTTTGTTACTATGTATATGTGTTTCATAGTTAAACTCTTCATAATATCATTTACTTTATTTCATGAAAAAATTTTTAGAATGAGACATGCTTTGTTTGTTTTCATTAAGCCTCTTTGGCTGATCAGTGAACTCTGAAGACAATCAGTTTATCATTGATTCTATATTGCTATTTCATATCACATCTCACAGTTAGTGATTATGCATTGACTTGTATGTTATTGGCTTACAATCCTTACAAACTTAATTACATATTCGTAAGTTCTATTTTTTTCTCATTTCACTCACTAGATTCTATGTAATGTGAGGACAGCTACTATAAATTACTTACACACTTTTTTTCTTTTTTTTTTGTTTTTCAACTTTTATTTTTGGTTCAGTGGGCACAGGTGCAAGTTTCTTAAATGGGTAAATTGTATGTTGCTGAGGTTTGGTATACAAATAATTCCCTCACCCAGGGAGTGAGCGTAGTACCTGATAAGTATCTTTTCACTCCATGCTATGCTACCGCTGTCCCACCTAAAGTGGTCCCCAGTGTCTATTGTTCCCATCTTTGTGTCTATGGGTATTCAATATTTAGCTCTCACTTATAAGTGAGAACATGCAGTATTTGGTTTTCTGTTCCTGCATTAATTCTCTGAGAATAACAGCCTCCAGCTGCATTCATATTGCTGCAAAGGACGTGATTTCATTATTTTGTATGGCTGCGTAGTATTCCATGGTGTATGATACAGTTTGGCTGTGTCCCCACCCCAATCTCATTTTGAGTTATAGCTCCCATAATTCCCATGTGCTGTGGGAGGGACCCAGTGGGACATAATTGAATCACAGGGGCGGTTTCCCCCATACTGTTCTCATGGTGGTAAATAAGTCTCACAGATCTGATGGTTTTCAAAGGGAAACCCCTTTCACTTGGTTATCACTTTCTCTTGCCAGCCACCACATAAGATATGCCTTTCACCTTCTGCCATGATTGTGAGGTCTCCCCAGTCATGTGGAACTGTAAGTCTATTAAACCTTTTTTTCTTCTTAAATTACCCAGTCTCAGGTGTGTTTATCGGGTATGTTTCAGCAATGCGAAAATGAACTAATACAGTATATATGAACCACATTTTCTTTATCTAATCCATTGCTGATGGACAACTAGGTTGATACGATGTATTTGCTATTGTGAATAATGCTGCAATGAACATATGAGTTCATGTATATTTTTGGTAGGAAGATTTATTTTTGTTTGGGTATATACCCAGTAACGAAACTGGTGAGTCAAATGGTAGTTCTGTCTTAAGTTCTTTGAGAAATCTCCACACTGCTTTCTACTGTGGCTGAACTAATTTACATTTCCACCAGTAGTGTATAAGTGTTCCCTTTTTTTCGAAACCTCACCAGCATCTGTTATTTTTTTTTTTTTTACTTTTTAATAGCAGCCATTCTTACTGGTGTGAGATGGCATCTTATAGTGGTTTTGATTTGATTTCTCTAATGATTAGTGATCATGAGCATTTTTAAATATATTTATTGGCCACATGTATGTCTTCTATTGAGAAGTGTGTCTATTCATGCTCTTTACCTATTTTTTAATGAACTTGTTTGGTTTTTGCTTGTTGAGTTGTTTAACTTCCTTATAGATTCTGGATATCAGACCTTTGTTAGTTGTATAGTTTGCGAGTATTTTCTCCTATGCTGTAGATCTCTGTTTACTCTGGTGATAGTCTCCTTTGAGGTGCAGAATCTCTTTTTAGTTAATTAAATTCCACTTGTCAATTTTCGTTTTTGTTGCAATTGCTTTTGAGGACTTAGTTGTAAATTCTTTGCCAATGCCAATGTCTGAAATGGTATTTCCTAGGTTTTATCCTAGGGTTTTATAATTTTAGGGCTTACATTGAAGTCTTTAATCCATTTTAAGTTGACTTTTTTATATGGTGAAAGGAAGGGGTTCAGTTTCAATCTTCTGCATATGGCTAGCCAGTTATCCCAGCACTACTTATTGAATAGGGAGTCCTTTTCCCTTTGGTTGTTATTGTTGACTTTGTCAAAGATCAGATGTTTGCAGGTGTGTCGCTTTTCTTCTGGGTCCTCTATCCTGTTCCACTGCTGAAAGAAATCAGAGACAACAAAAAACAAAGGAAAAAATATTCCATGCTCATGGATAGGAAGAACAAGTATTATTGAAAGGTCCATACTGCCCAAAGTAATTTACAGATTCAATGCTATTCCTATCAAACCATCAATGTACACCGAATTAGAAAAAACTATTCTAAAATTCATATGAAATCAAGAGTCTGAATAGTCAAAGCAATCCTAAGCAAAAAGAACAAAGCCAGAGGCATGGTACTTATACAAAACAGGCACATGGATTTACACTATTTTCTAATAAATGTCTTATAATATTTCCACATGTACACCTAATATGGTTAGGCTCTATGTTCCCACCCAAATCTCATCTTGCATTGCAATCCCCATAATCCCAATAATCCCCACATGACAAGGGAGAGATCAGATGGAGGTAATTGAATCATAGGGAGTGGTTTCCCCCATGCTGTTCTCACGATAAGTGAGTTCTCAGGAGATCTGATGGTGGTTTCATAAGGGGCTCTTCCCCCTTAGCTTGGCACTTCTTCCTACTGCCTTGTGAAGAATGTGCCTTGCTTTCTCTTTGCTTTCCACCATGGTTGTAAGTTTCTTGAGGCCTCCCAGCCAGGCTGAATTGTGAGTCAATTAAACTCTTTTCCTTTATAAATTACCCAGTCTCAGGCCATTCTTTCCAGCCTATGAAAATGGACTAATACAACACCTAAACAAGATTAATCTCTTAGACAAAATATTAACCAGACAAGATAAATATATTTATAAAAAGAAGAAAGGAGCACAGCAAAAGAAAAAAAAAACTTAAAGCAACAACAGCAACACAGTTAACAGGTACCGTACTTTATTAGGTACCAGGCACTGTGGTAGGCACTTTACATCCATTAACTCCTTTAATAATCGTAACAACCTTGTGAAGTAGGTACTGTTGGTCAACAGTAATTTACAGATAGAAAATACAAAACAAAACAAAATGAGTCACAGAGTTAGGAATCATAGAGTTAGGAAATCTAGATACAAACCCAGGCAGTCTGGGGCCTTCTTGCTCCCAAATCTGCATCATTTACCAAGGGTGTCATGTAATATAGCCCTTTGTTATTGTTATTAAACCATATTTCAATTACCATTATGTAATATATTACATTGAATATGCCATCTTAAAAAAACTCTTGCATATATGCATATATATCACACATAGTGTTAAAACTGTACTATTTATAATTTCTCTAGGCTTTCGTGAAGCACTCACAGGCGTTTATCTCAGAATCCATTGTGATCTATTGAAACTGTAGTTTAAGGTCTAATTAATAATTTTCTGTGAAAAACTATTAGATAGTATTTTTTAATGTGATTCCAAAGTGTCCTTTAAAATGGAGAAGCAAAATTTCACATATCTAACTTACACAGAATTTAGACTATTTGGGTATTTCATCTGTCTTCATTGTTTTTTTTTTTTTTTTTTAATTTGAGACAGACCGAGTAAATAAAACTAGGAATTGTAAGATACGATTGGTCCTTGTTTTTCCTGAACCATCTTAATGGATTCCTGGCAGTGGAACAGGAATTTCCATTATATAGAGGGCAGCAGTCACTAATTCTACTTAAAGCCAACCAACTGAAAGAGTTTGGTCAAAAGAAACATGTTGTAAAGTTGCTTGCAGTGCAGCACCAAAAGTATTTTCAGAGAGACAAAATGATTGTTTTAGCAGGTAGGTTCTTCCACAGCTTGAAAATGTGTTTTTCACTTGTACTTCCTACGCTATTGGTAATTTGGGAACTTTACTAATTAAGCTTTTTGCCTACTGTCAATGCAGTACAAAGTCAAGCTATTAAGCTATAAACTGTAAAAGCTGTAAAAATGATTAAATCATACAGCTTAGAGATAATTCTCTACAAACTTAGGCATAAATTCATAAGTTCTTTTTTCCCATTTTAAAATGGTTTGAGGCTATTGTGTAGCTATAGCTAGAATAGTTTCTATCTAATCTGACATTATTGTATTGTTTTGGTACATTTAACAATAAAGAATATAATAATCTTTTCAACAAACTTAGCATCGGTAGTATGAGACATTAGCAATCTGAAAAATACTCATATTTTAATACCTCTTTTAGGTCAATCGAAAAGAAAATAACGTTTGATTGTTTTGTTATGTATGGCAATTGACGGTTTGTTTTGTTTTTTCTTATTTGAAGAGCTCTGTGCCTTCTATAAAGAGGGACTCATGCTCAGGAATACTCTAAGTATAAGAGAAGATAATACACATAAGGAGAACTATGGAAAGTATAACATAAGCAAGATATTCTTCTTCATCTTTCTTATGGCTTAATTCTTTATTTTTTTGAATTATATTACATATCCCTATGCCTTTTCTTCTGCCTAAATATCAAGCTTCCTTCCCTTCATCCCACATAAGGTATATTTTCCATCAGTCATTAATCATTGTAGCCATTCAATCAGTCTACTTGGGATACGGTGAGGGAACTTCCATCGTATTCACATTTTAAAAAAATTATACTTTAAGTTCTGTGATACATGTACAAAACCTGCAGGTTTGTTACATAGGTACACACGAGCCATGGTGGTTTTCTGCACCCGTCAACTCGTCATCTATATTAGGTATTTCCCCTAATGCTATCGTCCCCAGCCCCTCACCCCACAACAGGCCCCAGTGAGTGGTGTTCCCCTCCCTCTGTCCATGTGTTCTCATTGTTCAATTCCCACTTATGAGTGACAACATGAAGTGTTTGGTTTTCTGTCGCTGTGTTAGTTTGCTGAGAGTGATGCTTTCTAGCTTCATCCATGTCCCTGCAAAGACATGAACTCATCCTTTTTTATGACTGCGTAGTATTCCATGGTGTACTCATCCTTTTCTGTGGCTGCATAGTATTCCATGGTGTATATGTGCCACATTTTCTTTATCCAGTCTATCATTGATGGGCATTTGGGTTGGTTCCAAGTCTTTGCTATTGTGAAAAGTGCTGCAGTAAACATACATGTGCATGTGTCTTTACAGTAGAGTGATTTATAATTCTTTAGGTATACACTCAGTAATGGGATTGCTGTGTCAAATGGTATTTCTGGTTCTAGATCCTGGAGGTATCGCCACACTGTCTTCCACAATGATTGAACTAATTTACACTCCCACCAACAGTGTAAAAGCTTTCCTATTTCTCCACATCCTCTCCAGCATCTGTTGTTTCCTGACTTTTTAATGATTGCCATTCTAACTGGCATGAGATGGTATCTCATTGTGGTTTTGATTTGCATTTCTCCAATGTCCAGTGATGATGAGTTTTTCGTATGTTTCTTGGCTGCATACATGTCTTCTTTTGAGAAGTGTCCATTCATAACCTTTGCCCACTTTTTGATGGGGTTTTTTTTTTCTTGTAAATTTGTTTAAGTTCTTTGTAGATTCTGAATATTAGCCTTTTGTCAGATGGATAGGAAGAATCAATATCGTGAAAATGGCCATACTGTCCAAAGTAATTTATAGATTCAATGCTATCCCCATCAAGCTACGACTGACTTTCTTCACAGAATTAGAAAAAACTACTTTAAATTTCATATGAAACAAAAATGAGCCCATATAGCCAAGACAATTCTAAGCAAAAACAAACAAACAAAAAAACAAAGCTGGAGGCCTCATGGTACCTGACTTCAAACTATTCTACAAGGCTACAGTAACCAAAACAGCATGTTACTGGTACCAAAACAGATATATAGACCAGTGGAACAGAACAGAGGCCTCAGAATAATGCCACACATCTACAACCATCTGATCTTTGACAAATCTGACAAAAGCAAGCAATGGGGAAAGGATTCCCTATTTAATAAATGGTATTGTGAAAACTGGCTAGCTATAAGCAGAAAACTGAAACTGGATCCCTTCCTTACACCTTATACAAAAATTAACTCAGATGGATTAAAGACTTAAATTGTAAGACCTAAAATGATAAAAACCCTGGAAGAAAACCTAGGCAATACCATTCAGGACATAGGCATGGGCAAAGACTTCATGACTAAAACATCAAAAGCAATGGTGACAAAAGCCAAAATTGACAAATTGGATCTAATTAAACTAAAGAGCTTCTGTAGAGCAAAAGAAACTATTATCAGAGTGAACAGGCAACCTATAGAATGGAAGCAAATTTTTGCAATCAAAGTTTTAATTATCTTATGTTTAAACAATGGAAGAAGATATGTTACCAATTCACAATGTAATATTCTCATCATAAAACACAACATATCTAGTTACATTAAACTATCTGTGATTTGATACTTTTTTGGGAGGAAGGTATTTAAATTTATGTCTCATTCCCCAAATAGAACCAGTTTGATTCACAGTAAGAAATATAAGGTAATATTAAAACACCTTTTGGAATCAGAAAGAACGGAGTTCCAATTCTTTTTTTGCCATTTTGTGTTCATGGGATTACTATTAACTACTTAACCTTTCTTAAACATCAGTTTCCTTATCTGTCAAATGGACACAGCAAGAAAAGCTCTTAAATTGTTATGAGGCTCAATATACTGCTGTCTCTGTGAGATGTTTAGTAAACTTTCTATGTGAGATATTTAGTGTGTTTGTTTCTATAACAATTAAACTCAACTCCTCTTTGGACAGCTATTTGGTTAAGTCCTAAATTATCTTCTTTAATGATACCTATATGATAAGAGTTATAAACTTTCTGTCTTAAGTGACCAAATTATATGTAAAACAAAACTTTGAAAAAGTTCAAAATGATATGGTATTGGAGACTTAGATGTATCTCACAGACTAATTTGGATTCATGAAGTTTCGCTTCCTCTTTCACTCCACTTGCAACCAAGAGATGATAACCGAAGAGAGATATAAAAAATGTTTACAGTTTAGTTTATCCTCTCATGTCCTTCATTAACGTACTGTGGGTGTTGTTCTTTTAAAAGGCCAAGGTTCATGGTTCTGTTTTTTAATTGCAATTCAGTCTTTCCTCCTTCTTCCAGGAGCATCGGCTTTATCATTGCTTGTGAGATTTACAGCGCTTCTTTCCATCGTCAGCTTGCTAATAGGCAGTTGTTGAACTCCCCAGAGTCTAAACTAGGAAATATGAGCAGTATGTAATTGCTACAGCTGGAATCGCATTCCACTTCAGAAGCTTCTTAACAGCATTCTCAGATGTGTGAATATCCATTAGTGACCCAAGGGGATTACTCCCTGGCACCAAGTATACCTTTATGAGGGGTCTGGATGATGAGACTTTCCCCTCCCATCAGCAGAAAGTGAGGCGAGGCGAGGGGCTTGGATGTTGGTGAATACAAAAAGATAAATAAAATAAATAAACGTGTGGCAACACAGAATGCTTTTTAAAAAGAATTCAAAAGGAAAATTATAAATTTTGGCCATGGGGTACGTAAGTTGAATATTTATGTTGAGTAAATAGCTAACAAATTTATCAAAACATTCAAGGGCACTAAGGCTAAAGTAACATGACTTGATCTTCCTGTGTCTGTTTATGTGGATGGTAATTGACAGTAAGCAACACTGAACTTTCACTTCCTGTTCACTGCATCTAGGACAGACAATACTGGGAGGATGACTCAGTTGCTCCTGCAGCAACTGCCCTTTGAGGAAAAAGCTTCCTGATTTCACCATGTCTCTTTTAAAATACTTCTACTCTTCCTGCCCACCCCAACAGTTCTGCAGCTTCTCTTTTTGCAACAGTATCTCTAACCACTGTCCTCTAGATGTTATAGCAATCAGAAAGCCTCCCTTTCAGTTTTAAGAGTAAGGGGAAAATGTCTGTGAGTAGACGTACTCATTTTATAGAAGAGGTTCATGAATTTTCTTGCATAAGCCATGCCTGCGTTATTACATTTGCACAATCAGAGGGAAAGACTACTGCATGTTCAAGTAGTAGGTACAGTGAGAGGATCTGCAAAGAGATTAAAAGAGATCTGCTAGGGATTAAATTCTTATTAAATCCATGATATCAGCTAAGTGAGGAAGAAAGTTCATAGTAGAATCTTGGAAGTATCTGGCTACATTTTATATCCTTCACAATTCCTAGTACAAACTTTTGCTTCTCGTAACAATACATAATATGTAATATTTATGTAACAAATATAAGATGTAATAATATATAATTTAAAACTATTATATGTTTTGAATGAATATATGAATGAATGATTTAAGAATTATTTAATTAGAATTAGACATTTCCCAGGCCAACAGTAATGGTTTGTATGGTTCATGAACAGACGGGTATTCAGATTTCATCCATTAGAGAGCGTGTTTCACAATTCTAGCTCCACATTAGCATCACCTAGGGAGCTTTTAAAAAAATGTTGCCTGAGCCTCACCTTGAGAAATGCTGATTTAACTGTTCTGTGATGGGCCTAGCTTTGGGTGTTTATTAAAAGCTCCCCAAATAATTCTAATATGCGGCCAGCATTAAGCATCATTATGGTACCATCCCGTAGGTAGACTCTTAGAATGACTTGTGCACTGTGGGAAATGAAAATCTTTTGCTGATCTATTAGGGGGAGGAAAATATGAGAGAGAGAGAGAGAGAGAGAGAGAGAGAGAGAGAAGAAATACATATATTCCAATTATTCCACATTTTAACACATTTATTCAATAATTGGTAATATGTATTGAGTTCTTACTGAGTGTCACACACTCTAAGTATTGATGCTATAAATATTGAACATAAGCAGATATTGTGGAGCTTATAGTCTAATGAGAAGAAATAGACATGAATTAAATAAAACAGAAATGCCTATAAAATTGTAATTCTGACAAAGCCATCAAACAAAAATACATCATAGGGAAGGAGTTTTTCTATATTCCTTGAGAGGCATGGGTTTCCCAGTGAAGTGATATTTGAATTGAGAATCTAATTACTAGCAAAGATGAGAGAGTAAAGCGCTGTAAGACAGAGGACACTGCATGTGCAAGGGCCCTGAGCCTTCAGGGACTATTCGTTGTAAGAAAGTCAGTAAGGTTGTCACATAGAGATCAAGGGGAGGGTTAGTCTGATACATGCCTGAATACATGGATAAGAGACGTTTCATGCTTGTTGGCCATGTAATGTTAGTTGGTGGAACACATTAAGTCTCTTAATTATTATCCTAAAAGCAGAAGAAGTCAATAACAGATTTTAAGAAGAGGTGAGGTATTATCAAACTTGAATTTATAATAACAATCTATTGAAGAGATTGTATTGGGAGGAGACAAGAATGGACAAGGGAGGCTAATTTGCAAACTATCCAAGTAAGAGAAGATAGAAGCTTGGCTTATGGAGCTAGCAGATCAAATGGAGAGAGGTGGAAGAATTTTAAAGGGTGTTTTAAATATGCAATGTAATGGAGACGCAAAACTTAAAGAAGAGGACAACATTTAAGGAGAAGATGAGAAATATTTTTGTACATAGTAAGTTAGAGTTACTTTTTATTATCCAAATGGAAACATCAAGCAAGCTGTAGGTTTTATGGGTTTGGGGCTCAGTACAGAATTTTTAATTAGGAAATACAATTTTCGGAGTCATTTTCAAATAAAGCAGGTTAATGAATGCCATTGGATGAAGTTTTCTTTCAAGAAAGTACAGAGTTTGAAGAGAAGAGAACCTAGGTCCTGATCTTTAAAAAATATCCAGCATTTTGACCAGAAGGAAACCAGGAAAGCATGGTCTATCTTTACTTCATACTCTCCCCCTTTTATTTCCTCACATTTGTGCATTATGTTATAGAAGTTTCTATGCAGTTGGAATCAGTTGGAACCAAAACTTTGTCAATAATGTCTTTGCTCACAATCAACTGACTTCTCAAATTTTAGATTTGTATGAGTTTTTACAATAAAGATAAACTAAGAAAGACCAATCTGCTACTGAGAAAAATAGATTATTCAAAAGGGTGTGAGAGGTTTCAAATTGTGATGGTGTCCAAGATTATGTGAAAATTAATATGGATGAAGTCACTGGTGTTCTGGTAATTATGTAATAATTGGTTCTTCAAAATGTAATAAAAGGAAAATGGAATCTATTCAAGAGAACTGACTATAGTTAATGACAAAATACTATATATTTTGAAAATCACTGCAAGTGGATTTTAGGTATTCTCACCACAAAAAAAAATAAGTATGTGAGGTAACACTTATGTTAATGTATTAATCTGTTTCGTAAGGCTATCAAGAACTGCCCAAGACTGGGTAATTTATAAGGGAAAAAAGTTTAATTGACTCACAGTTCAGCATGGCTGGTGTGGCCTCAGGAAACCTACAATCATGGCAGAAGATGAAGGAGAAGCAAGGTACCTTCTTCACAAGGCAGCAGGAAGAAGAAGTGCCAACTTAAGGGGGAAGAGCCCCTTAAAAAACCATCAGATTTTGTGAGAACTCATTCACTATCACAAGAACAGCATGGGGGAACCACCTCCATGATCTAAATACTTCCACCTGGTCTCTCCCTTAACATGTGGAGATTGGGGATTATAATTCAAAATGAGATTTGGGTGGGGACACAAAGCCTATCCAAATCAATTAATTAGCTCAATGTAGTCATTTTACAAATATATGAATATCTCATCATTTTGCACACCACAAAAATATCTTATTTGTTAATTTAAAAATAAATAATTTTAAATGGTGTTTTTGATCCATAATTGTACATATTTATGGGGTAGAATGCGATGTTTTTATACATGCATACATTGTGTAAAAATCAAATCAGGATGTTTAGCATATCCATCACCTCATATATTTATCTATTTTTTGTGCTGAGAACTTTCAAAATCCTCTCTTCTAGCTCTTTTGAATTATGTAATGCAATGTACAGTATTATATAATCCTAGTCACATACTGTGCAATAGAACACCAGAACCTATTCCTTCTATCTAACTATAACTTTGTACCCATTGACTAATATCTCCCTATCTTGCCTGCACCCCTAACCTCCCCCAACTCTGGCAACAATTATTGTACTCTCTGCTTCTATGAGATCAACTTTTTTAGATTCCACATATGTGTAAATCATGCCATATTTGTCTTTTTGTGCCTGGTTTATTTCACTTAACATACTGTTCCTCAGGTTTATCCATGTTGCCACAAATGATAGAATTTCATTCTTTGTTATGGATGAATAGTATTCCATTGTGTATGTGTACCACATTTTCTTTTTCCATTCATCCAATGATGGACACACACTGATTCCATAACTTGCCTGTTGTGAATTGTGTTGCAATAAACATGGGAGTGTAGATGTCTCTTTGAAATATTGACTTCATTTCTTTAAAATATAAATAAATTTTAAAAAGAAACCAATGAATCAACATCAGATTTACAGTCATTCATCAGATAAAAAAGTTCATAATATAAAATAAAAATACATAATGCAAAATTCGTATGGTAAAAGCAAATACTATGAAGTTGCTTAAAAATGAAATGGATCTATCTGTGTGTATAGATGTATATTGTAAAAAAAAAAATAGTTACAGAATACTACATAGAGCTGTTTCTCAACATTGGCTCTCTTGACATTTAGGGCAGGATACGTCTTTGCTGTGGGGGTTGTCCTGTGCATTGCAGGGTGATTAGAATCATCCCTAACCTCTACCCACTAAATGCCAGTAAAACTATCCACCATCTCCATTTTTGGTTACAACTAAAAATGTCTCTATATATCACCAAATGTTCCCTGGGGACAAAATCACCTTTGGTTCAGAAACAGAAATAAAACATGATTTCGTTGATGTGCAAATAAAATATCTATTTATTTGTTTTGTACATATGTAAGTTTATTATTAACTGGGAGTCATCAGTACAGTTTAAAGTGCATACATGAGACAATATACCTGAGGAAGGGAATGTAATTATAGATAATGGGGGATATTGAAGAATAAAATTATTCTGGGGGAAAAAGAGAAATAAAAACTGATTTTTAATGATTTTCCATTTTCGTGGGGCTAAATACTCCCACCATGACCAATATCAGCTTCAGTGATGTCACTGAACCCAGTGTTTAGAATAGATTTGCAGACCTGGTTTTCAAAAGACATTTCAAGTCAGCTTTAGCCCACAACTGGATCTAATATATAAGATGATAAAATTAAACCTTGGGAGACCACCCAACTTCCATAAGCTCATAGTTCTAGCAAAGGAAACATCTGGAAAAGGATCTAGATCTTTCACGAGTCCTGTGCTCTATCTAATCACCATGCTAATAAAAGTAATATAGAACAGTGGTTCTCAAAGTCCTGAGACCAGCAGTCTCAGCAGCATTTGCGAAATTCTTAGAAATGCAAAGTCACAGGCTCCTCCTCAGAATTCCTGAATTTAAAAAATCTGGGGATATTCCCCAGCAGTGTATCTTTTAGCAAGCCCTCCAGGTGATTCTGATGAATACTAAAGTTAAAGAACCACAGGCACAGACAATAGTGATATCTTAAGTCACTTGATGCTTTGATGCTTTTTAAAGAATTATCATCCTGTCAGCTGTGCTTCCCATAAATGCTAATCCTAGTAACACAATAATACTGGTCTTTAGGAAGAGCAATCTGGCAGCTTTGTTAGATTTAACAAAGATAAATTGAAAATTTAGAAATGAGTTGTGGTTCTAATTTATTATGCTGACTGTGAAAAAAGAAAGAAATGGTCCCAATGTAGAACCTGTAGCAATGACATTTTAAATGAAGGATAACATACAGAAAGAAACTTAAAGTGCCTTCAAGGTTTAGTGCTTCAAAAAATTTAATTAAAAAAATCCTGTCCACAAATCTATCCTGCTTTGTCCTCAACTTGTTGCTATGGTTTCCCATCTTTTTCACACACTCAGAACTTTAGAAGTATATCACATATCGCACATATTCTCCCTACTAGTATTTTTTTCAGGCTCCCCATTAGAGGATACAGAGCTTTACTCATCCTTATATCCTCTGCAAAAACTGGCAGAATGTCTTTCACATAGTCAATAACTATAATAACTGAAATAAGAAATTCTTACGTAGGAATCATTTCAGAAAGGTGATTAAGTTAATATTTACTTTGATGTTTCAGAACAATGGGAGGCACCCAATGAAAATATTAAAAAAACAGATGGAGTTAACATACCTGGAATACTCACAGCCACATACAAACCTTCAAACAAGTTTCTGTCACAGCTTAGTTCAATCTGATACATTCTTAAATGAGCTTCCTTTGTTTCGGCCAACACATGTTCCATGTATGCCAGCCACTAATTTTAGTGCATCCCCCGCTTTGTTTGTAGTTCCTATAGTTTTGTTGTCCTAAAACTGATAAGCTTTTTATTTTGTATTCATTTAGAAGTCAACCTCAAATATGGAACCATTTTCATATTTAATACGTAGAATTATATATTGAAATGTATTTTTGAAATTTATTCTCTACTATTTCTCGCTCTTTAAAATATTTTAGCTAGATAGAAAAAATACATTTATCTTCACATTTATGTGTTACAGTGTGCATAGACTATTTTGCAGAGAATGAAATGGAAGTTTCTACTAAATTTAGTAAGTGAATATGCGTTCCTACATTCGTAGGTAAAACTATGTACATTTACTCTCAAAAAAAAGAAATAAAATAATTTTCTATATTCAGATACATATGAAATTACAGAAAAGGTGGTATATTTATTTGGGTAGTATTCCACTCTGTAAATTCTTCTACCCTAAAATATACTAAATTATACAGAGGTGGTAAGAAGGAGTGCAGATAATAGAATGAGATGCTTGTAATTGACTTAGTTTTGCCATTAGATCCATGACTTCAGAAATTTGTTTCATGTAGGTCTCAATCTAAAAAATACAGAGATAATAATAATGCCTACTATGAAGTGTTTTTCAAAAGACTAAAATATTGACCCAAGTACAGCAATTAGCACAGGACCTGAGTCAGAGTGCCTGTCTCAACATGTATTAGTTTATTATTAACTGCTATTATTATTGTTAATGCAACTTTTCTTCAGCAGCTATAGCAGCCCCTTCATCTAAACTTAGGTAAGAACATTCTAAGAAGTAAAAATGTAATTATTTGAAAATTAATCATATGAAGAAATTACTGCACTCATTTTAGTTGTCATAATCATATTATAGTTATGTTTTTGCTTAAAGAGTACTTGTCTTTTAGAGAGAGATCAAAGTATGTACAGATGAAATACTTTAATGTCTTGGATTTCCACAAATATACTCTGGATGGGAAGCAATAGATGAACAAAATTAGACAAACTGTTGAAATTAGAGTATATATACGTGTTTTATATTACTATTCACTCCACTTTTACATATATTTGAAAAAATGCTATATTAGTTCATTTCACACTGCTATAAAGATACTACCCAAGACTGGGTAATTTGTAAAAGAAAGGAGGTTGAATTGACTCACACCTGCAGATGGCTGCAGAAGCCTCAGGAAACTAGAGTCATGGTGGAAGGTGAAGGAGAAGCAAGGCACCTCTTACATCATGGTGGCAGGAAAGAGACAGGGAGAGAGAGAAAGATAAAGAGAGAGGAGAGTGCACACGAAGGGAGAAGAACCCCACACTTATCAAACAACCAGATCTCCTGAGAACTCTATACAAGAACAGCAAGGGAGAAGACCACTCCCATGATCCAATCATCTCCCACCAGGTCCCTCCCTTGACACATGGGGATTACAATTCAAGATGAGATTTGGGTGGGGAGACAGAGCCAAACTATATCAAATTCATAATTAAAATAACTAATAAGTGTAAACAAATAAAATACATTTTTTCTCTGCATTAATTATTTTTGCTAGTCTTTGAAAATCTGATTCTCAGCTGCCTAACCTGTATGCCCATGGCTTCAATGACTGCCAAAATACACAAAGTTCACAGGAAGGAAAATAAATGGTTGCTTCTGTAGCTACCACCTAGTAGCAAATAGGTGATTACCCCCCACCCACCCACCCACACACAATTAAAGGGGATTTTTATGGAAATCGAGTATGTTTTATATGAATGAAGTACATTTTTTGTAAATATGAGTGACAACAATACTTTTTTGTAGCTAAAAGATATGATGGCCTAGCAGATTTAGGACACTCTGTATAGCTGGGTGAAGCATATTGATACATTGGTAAGATGGCAAGGAATAAGGCAATTTCAGTATAAAGTTATATCAGAGTAACAAAAATATGCTAGCGGTGACCATATGAAGAATTTACCATGACTATTATAAAAGCAAATACAATTCCAAACTTTTGCAAATCTACCCTTGTGGAAAAGCTTTCTTAGTAACAGATGGGATTTTGGGAAATCAAAGGGGAAACATATGAATAACATTGAACTTTATTTAACCTAACCAAATCTCACATAATTGATATAAGGAAGTTTAAAAATCACCCCAGAATAAATAAATGCATGTCATAAATAAATGTACCATATATATGATCTTGAAATACATTTATGAGATACATTTACATATAAATATATCCCATTTTAGCCTAATTTTTTCAATTTTCCTTATTATGTTTCCATTATTTTATCAGAATAAGATTATTCTTTATGTAGGCAAACTTTCCATGAAATTCATTGCTAAGTAATTGTTGTGGTGGGGAATGTTGAACTCCCAAAGAATTTTTATGATAAAGGGGTATTGTACTTCAAAGTCACTTTTTAAGTGACTTTGGTAAGTGGCGTGTAATTAGATCTACTCTTGCAAGTGTCCTAAACTATTCTAAAATTTTTGGCTTTATCTTTTACAAATATATGACTTTCTGACAACCAGATACTGGTAATTAAATATAGATCCAGTATAAACATGAGAAGTCATAACTCAGAATCATTTTTAAATTAGCATAGTGTACCGTGTATGTATTTCAGAAAACCTGGAGCATGTTAAGCTTTCCCAAAATGAAGAAAACAAAACCACCTTCACTGGACTTGAGATATCTTATTATTAGTGTTATTAGTGTGATGGCTGTTCAACCTAGTGATTAACAAAAGCAATAGAGATAAGCTTCTAATTTATGAAAGCTGAACATTTTTTTAAAAACGTATCCTATTTTACCTCAGAAAAACATCCTGACCTATCATTTAATCCTAAGGATCAGACTATAGGAAAACAGTCATCTCCATTTTTAAAAAGTTTAAATGGGCAATTATTTTTCTTATAAATATATTATACAGCATGTTTTTCAGGCTAAATGTATTGACACTCATGGACATAATTCATGATATTTTTCTACTTAAAGGATTATTTGCATGCAGCTTAATTTATTGAAAAGAATGGACCAAGAAGTCACAGAGGGCTACTATTCTTTTTAACTTGATATTCTTAGCTTATGGCAGAGTTTAACATTCATAAGTATTTTCTTCCAGTGTTAAGTGAATGCTAATGATTTATAAAAGAAAATAAAATATGTCCATATTAGATCACAAGAAAAAATAGTGCTTGGAGTTTTATAATTTGGGGATGCATTTTCTTTTTTCAAACATACAAAAGTCCCTTCTCAACCTACATGTAATCATTATAGGATGATACTCACCATTAACGATAACCTTTGACTTTTGTCATACTCTCAAGTGGTGGGCTGAAAAAACAAGTAGACTTAGGTTGTGACATGATCACATATTCACATATTCTTTTCAGCTAGATATAGGCAGTATAAGTGTGAAGTTACATTCCATTCATCATGATGACATGATGTGAAGGATGCAGTATAGGACCCACACTTCTGAACTCAGTCATTCTCCCCGACGTGGATGCTTCTTGATTTGCGCTCTGAATTACAGAACAACTCTTTCAATTTAGCTGACAAGCTAATTTTAGCAATCCTAAATATACAGTAAGTCCATCAGATGTTTCAAAATGCAATTCAAAATTTCATATTTATTAAAACCCATTATAGTCTTTCGATTTTGTTCTTTGTGCTCAAGTCTCCTGATAAGGATTGCCCCTTTGGGGTAGCCCATAAAATCAAAGCATAACCTTATGACAGAAGGAGGAACTGACAAAGACATGTAATCTGTATTTGTCATATGTGAATTTTAAAGAAATTGGAATCCAAATGTCTTCATTAGATATAAAGTATCTAAGTTTGGAGGACTAGTCCAAGAAATGTTGGCTTCCCATTTGGAAGAAGACAATGTTAGCATATGTTTACCAATCTAAAAACCATGTATTCTATTTATGAATGCAAAAAAGAAAGATTTAATACACAGAACACATTTTCTCATCCATAGTTCTGTGTGTCCCTCAAATCTTACACACACACACACACACACACACACACACACAGACATTCCTAGGATGTTGGCTTCTCCAAATTTTTTTATGCCACAAACACATTTAAGTTTGTGTGGATCTCAAATAAAACATTTTTATCACTGATGTGAGACAAAATGTTATTATTCTGTTTTACTTTCAGAATAGGTGAAGTAAGTTTTTTAATTTTATGCAGCTCTCAATACAGGGGAAAGACAAATGGAATATATTCTTAATGTTTTTACACTCAGATTTTAGAATAATACTTCAAGGAAATTTTGTAAAGAAATTGAACAGAAGCATCACAAGGACTGCGTAAGCTAATGATCCCTAGCCTATATGAGCAGACAGAAAGGTTTTAAAGTGTGCGTTGAGTTAACCAAATGGTATCCACTGTAGCCCAAAGGTTTGCTGCACAGTTTCATATAACAGTTAGCGTAAGTATTTAGTTTTGACTTGTAAACCAGTGAGAAATTAGCTGGGCATGGTGGTGCACACATGTAGTCCCAGCTACTAGGGAGGCTGAGGCAGGAGAATTGCTTGAACCTGAAGCGCAGAGGTTGCAGTGAGCCAAGATTATGCCACTTCACTCCAGCCTGGGTGACAGAGAAAGACTCGGTCTCAAAAATAAATAAATAAATAAATAAATAAATAAATATACCTCTGTGATGGAGAATATTCAACAGATAGTCCAATATGAAATTACAAATGGGCTTTTATATTATTATTGATCAGAGATTTGTTTGTTACTTTAAAAATAGTTTTAACACTGTAATTTTCATTATTTCTCCAAGGTATGAATAATTATTTACTTTTGATATCCACGTGAGTTATAAAGGCAATAGGCATATCAAACATTCTTTTTCATAAAATTAAGAATTCCTCTCCAATCTACGAAATGGGTATTTGGTAAGTCCCTTCCCCAGGGAATATGTTTTATGGTTCAACCCCTGGTGGAGAATGACTATAGATGATAAATTTTTTATTAGTGTTCAAAAGAACATAAACATCTATGAACTGAATTGAAAATAAAGCAAAGAACCGTTTATTTCCTTGAAAAATTTAAAATTATATTGGGAGAAAAATCCACACTTGTTAAGTACTTAGTCTTGTTGATTCTGGATTAGTATCTGTGGTGGCCCCTAATAGATATGTCTGCATTCTAACCCTGAAAGCAGTGAATACAATCTTATTTGAAATACAGTCTTTGCCAGTGTAACTAAGCTAATGATCTCAAGACGAGAACATCCTGTATTATTAAGGTGGGTGGGTCTGGAGTCCAGTGACAAGTGTCCTTATAAGAGACACACAGAGGATAGCATGTGGGGAAATACAGGAGAGGCCAAATCTGAGTCAGAGATTAAAGTTATGCAGTCACAAGCTAAGGAATGCCTAGAGCCTCCAGAAGCCAGAGAGGCAAGGAAAGATTGACCCTAGAGCCTTTAGAGGGAATTCGGCCAGGCTGGCACCTTAATTTTGAACTTCTTGCCTCTAAAATTTTAAGAAAATAAATTCTGTTATGCAAGCCTCCCACTCAGTGGTAATTTATCATGGCAGCCCTAGAAAACTAATACAGTAATTAATTGCATAAATTAAAGTACATTCACCAGTACAGTGTAATTACAGGCCATTACATAGGCACAAACAGGAGCCTTTCCTGTTTTGGTCATCACCAAATGCAGAAAGCTGGGCACATACTAGATGATTAATAAACATGTTGCTGAATGGCATCTATTTTCTGTTAATATCATAATTCATGTAAAGTGAAAAAATGTAAAGGACAGAAAGTAAAGCAAATATTTTACATCTTGTAGCTTTTAAAAATTTTTTTCTTAAATATGATGAGGAAGCACGTTTTCAGGGTTTCTAATGTAAGTTTCTTGGAATCAACAAACCTGAAAGAGAACTTTACACCTGTCCATTGTGAAAATACACTGTGCAATATATGTCATTTTCATGAAAGGAAAAAGTTTCATTTGAAAAGATTGACAGTCTACTATAACTTGCTTTTGCCACAAATCCATGAGTGAAATAGTGCAAGAGCTTTTAGCTGTTTTCCCATAAGGTGAGATAGATACCAAAAAATATAAAATATTGTGTATATGTTATGAAGCCCAGAAAAAGAGCAAATGTGAGCTGTATTCCCTCATTTCCTTAAGAATTAGAACATTAGAAATAAGGTGATTTTACTTATGTGCTTCTTGGTCGGTTTCCTGCCCCTTCCTCTTCCACCCACCCACCTGTATTAGTTTTTTATTGCTGCCAGAGGTAAAAACAAAAAACAAAAAACAAAAACAAAAACATAAACTCTGTTTAAAATAACATTTGATTATTTATCTCAGAGTTTGTGAGTGCTCTACCTTATGACAAAATGAAAGGATCATGGAGGCTGCGCTTATCTAACGTGCCACTGTATTAATCAAAAGATTCTGTTAAAAATAAAGCTTTGGTGCCGCAAAAGAAATAGCGCTAGAATATAAAATTTTCTTTTTAATTCTCAGCAAGGCAATGTACTTCTATAGAAGGGTGCGGCCTTAGAGATGGAGCAATGGTGAGCGCACACTTGGACCAGGGAGGGGAAGGAGTTCTTAACCCTGATGCACGTGGCCCCTGCTGTTGTGTCGTTCCCCTATTGGCTAGAGTTAGACAGCACAGGCTAAACTAATTCCAATTGGCTAATTTAAAGAGTGTGACAGGGTGAATGGTTTGGTGGGAAAAATGGTTATGACAGAGCAGGTAATCGGGATGAGTCAGGGTGGAATAAGTCAGGGTGGAGAATGAGTCAGGATGGAGAATGAGTCAGGGCAGAGCAGGCAATTGGAATGAGTTAGGGTGGAGCAGGTAATCCGAATGAATCAGGGTGGAGCAGGTAATCGAAAAAGGTTGCTTTATGAGGAAGTTAAGTTTAAAAGTAGAAGGCAAACAATTGAACATACTGACATATTGATTCTTTGAAGAGAAATATAGAACTCATATCTAACAATTCCATTTCCCTACATAATTTGCACCAAAAGCTAGTTCCTGAGGCTATTTCTCCAGGTTTCTGACCAGCATGCCCAGTGTATTCTGAAACAGCTGAGAAGCAGACACAAGGATCAGATGGGACTCCAGATTTTCATTCTGTCCAGTACAGCTAGATTAGAAAGCAAAGCTTGACTGCCAGAACAAACTGCATCATACTCTTCCTTCTTCTGAAATTAAATTTACCTTCCCAAGCAGAGGAACAAATAATGAACATGGTAAACTTACCATGGTAAGTTGACCATGGAGAAGAGAAAGCAGAGTGGAAAGCACATACTATGTGAAAAGCAATTTATTGCTTCCTGCAGGAGCACAGCGTTTTATTAACTCTGCTAAACAGTGGGCAGGATCTTGCAAGGAATGGTCTAATCTGATTACAGACATTCGCTAGCTTTTCAGATGATAAATTTTCAAGTCTTTGATGAAACCGCAGGTAATAAAGTTACTTTCACTGGCAGAATAACAATGAGTATTATTTTTGTCAGAATAATTTAATTGGAATAACTTAATTAGCAGATATTTTTGGCCTGTGAATAATGGCAGTCTAAAACGTTATATATGCTGCTAAAACTTGAATAATGTAAGACTAATCTTCATAATAAAGGTGATAAGACAGAGGCACCAGGAAGAACATCTTGATGCCAAAATATGTTAGCTAGCTGGACTTGTAAGAGGTACAGCCTTAGCTATTTTCCGATATGCAAAAATCTGCAGATGCCTATAAAAACTGTAGAACTCCTTTGAAGTCTGTTACTGATTTTAACTTGTGTGTGTGTGTGTGTTGTTTTTGTTGTTGTTGTTGTTGTTGTTTATGAGACAGAGTCTCGCTCTGTTGCCCAGGCTAGAGTGCAGTGGCGCAATCTCAGCTCACTGCAACCTCTGCATCCCAGGTTCAAGCAATTCTCTTGCCTCAGCCTCCTGAGAAGCTGGAACTACCGGTGCCCGCCACCACACCTGGCTAATTTTTGTATTTTTAGTAGAGACGGGGTTTTACTATGTTGGCCAGGCTGGTTTGGAACTCCTGACCTCAAGTGACCCACCTTCCTCGGCCTCCCAAAGTGCTGGGATTACAGGCATGAGCTACCATGCCCCGCTGATTTTATTTTATTTTTCATTGAATGAGAATTTACATATCAATTTATAACATATATTTTATATAATTTATAAAAAATATATTATAAAAGTATAATGTATTTAATCTTCCCCTGAAAACATCACTAATAATCAAGAAAATGCAAATCAAAATCACAATGAGATATCATCTCTCCCCCGTTAGAATGGCTATTATTAAAAAGATAACAAATAACAGATTATTTTTGTTGAGGATGTGGAGAATAGGGACGGTTTATGCACTGTTGGTGGGAATGGAAATTAGTACAGCCACTATGGAAACCAGTATGGAGATTTCTCAAAAAACTAAAAACCATATAATCTAGCAATCCCACAACTGGGTATTTATCCAAAAGAAAAGAAATCAGTATATCCAAGGGATGCCTGCACGCACATGTTTGTTTGTTTGTTTGTTTGTTTGTTTGTTTGTTTGAAACGGAGTCTCCCTCTGTCTCCCAGGCTGGAGTACAGTGGCGCAATCTGGGCTCACTGCGAGCTCCGCCTCCCAGGTTCACGCCATTCTCCTGCCTCAGCCTCCCGAGTAGCTGGGACTACAGTCGCCCGCCACCACGCCCAGCTAATTTTTTGTATTTTTAGTACAGACGGGGATTCGCCGTGTTAGCCAGGATGGTCTCGATCTCCTGACCTCGTGATCTGCCCGCCTCGGCCTCCCAAAGTGCTGGGATTACAGGGGTGAGCCACTGCGCCAGCCTGCACGCACATGTTTATTGCTGCACTATTCACGATAGCAAAGACATGGAATCAACCTAAGTGTCCATCAATGGATGAAGAGATGAAGAAAATGTGGTATGTATACACAATGGAATGCTATTTGGCCGTAAAAAAGAAAAAAATCCTGTCATATGCAGCAAACATGGATGGGCCTGGAGGTCACTATGTTAAGTGAAATAAGCCAGACACAGAAACAAAATTTCACAGGTTCATCCGTGAGAGCTAAAAACATTCACTTATGGAGGCAGAGAGTAGAATGATAGATACCAGAGGCTGGGAAGGTTTGTGGTTGGGAGAGGGGTAAGAAGAGAGGTTGGTGCATGCTTACAAGCATACAGTTAAATAGAAGGTACCAGTTCTAATGTTTGATAGCAGAGTAGGGTGACTGTAGTTAGCAACAATGTATTATATATTTTAAAGCAGCTAGAAGAGAGAACTTGAAATGTCTTCAACACAGAGAAATGTTAAATACTCAAGGTGATGAATACCCCCAAATACCCTGAATTAATCATTATACAGTCTATGCATGCAACAAAATATCACATGTACTCTATATATGTAAAATACTATATATCAATAAAAATAAAGGAAAAATTTATCAAACAGAATTTTGAAAAAGTGGTGTAGTGAACCTATTTACCACCATCTTATATTAATCTTTTTTCTTCTGGCATACTCAGCATCAAGGATAGAAGCATTACTAAAATTAACTTAATTGAACTAAAGACAAAGGAGAACAGTGAATGTAACTTGAAGAATATTAAGGAATGCCTGAGTTTCTGAACCCAAGATTATCCTTATCTTTAAAAGCCAACTACAGGAGTATGATTCTCTTTTACTATTACACACTTCTGTGACAGGGTTGTTAGCACTTGTAGCTACCCAAAAATAATCCCAAACATGATTTCACATAGTGCTGGGAGTTTGACTGTTTGCTGTCAGATCTTTTCTCCATCTTCCCTTGTTTGACTCTATCAAAGGGGACTGATACTCACAATTGTTATTTCCCAGTCTGCTTTGCAACATGGCTGCCCATTGGGTTCAGCAATGAGAAGCACTGCCAGGAGATTGAAGGTTCTTTTTAAGTGAATGAATACTATACTTGAATATCTATTTTGACTTCATAGAGTGAATTAGCTTGCTTCCAAGATACTAATGGAAAATAAATAGTATCTTTATCCTTGTTAATTATTTTAATTTGCTAATGATATGCATTGAATTCTAGTTTAGAATTTATTAGAAGCCTGGGAAAATAGTAAATATCTGGAATAGTATTCTCCTAGAAATGTTAGTATATTGGAGTAAAATATATTAAAATTCTTAGAGGCTAGTCAATAATATATATCCCTATTTATTTCAATCACAAAATAATGTTATAAAAGAGTATAGCTTTCAAATCAGAACAGAGCAAGCAAAAGCAAGTGGTCAAGAAATATTAGCTACTTTTATTCAACTCTTGGAATCTAACATTGTTTATCACTCCCTATATCTCAAAATCTCTGTCACTGACTTTAGTGGGACAATGCTCTTTTACAGTTACCTTTTCTCTGAACTTTCTTTAGAAACCATTTCGCATTTTACATTTTTAAAGTAGTTCATCTTTTATTCTATTTCAGTCTTGCTCTATAACTTATCTTCATGGTGACCCCAGGTTTAATTATCCCAATATGGTTCATACTAGTAACTGCAGAATTTATAATTCCATGCCTGTGCCCTCTTTTGAGCAATGTTAATTGAGTATTAACTCTGGAAATCTGTTAACTCTGATCAGTGAAAGTGGGCATTTAGATGTCTCTGTTACCACTAGGAGTTGCGTTAGATGTTAGGAGATTGTAGAAACTTTAGCAAGATCATTTAGGCCCTCAGAGTATGGCTGGAGATTAAACGCCACATTGAAATGTAGAAAAATAAATAAATAATGGCCACCAATAAAGAAATACTTTCAAAAGTCCTTGTAATGAAAGAAGACATTCAAATAGTCATTAATTTGACAAATTACTTACTGTTTTGTTGCCTTTATTGCTTGGTAGATTATTAGTACTTTGTTCAAATAGTCACTGTAGCAATTATATTGTGTTACATGTATATTTATATATTCATGCTGATTAGATTATGATCATTTCAAAATGGGGATCACTCTTATTCATGTTTACATATACAGTACTCAGTATTACTGCTAGCTTTATAGACACTCAGTTTCAGGAATGAAGTTTTTTATCAGCTAATAAATTTTACAAGTGAACTTAAAGAAGAAAAATCTTAGCTAGAGTCATTAAGAAAAACATTACCAGTTTTCATAGAAGTCTGTATCAAACCGGTTTGGAGGATTGGCCTAGAGTAGCTCATTGATCAAGATTGATGGCCCACAGACCACTCTATGATCCAGAAAGATAGGACCATCATAAGTTTGATTTTGACTAGTTTCTGTATCAAAGGTAGCCCAATTTGGTGGAGGCAAATTCAGCAACTAGAATCATCATGGAATTACATTACATTGGCTGAGGAACAAGGGTATTGATCAGGCTATCTGTTCCTTTAAAAATAGTACCCCAGTCAGCCTATGAAAGTACAGAGTACAGAGCACAGCGTTCATCCCTACAAGCCAAGGAGTTAGATTGTCAATTCAGATGTAGTTTCTGAGTGTAGTTTTAAATCAACAAGGAAATTGCAGTGCCCATTAGGAACTAGTATAAGTTATTAAAGAATTACTAGGAAGATAGGAAAAAACACTGGCTTACTGGGATTTATGTTGTTCGGAATTCAACCCCAGAAACCTCTGTACACAAAAGTTTCAGCATCAAGTATATGTAAACATCTTGATATGAAGCTTTGCTTTCAGATTAAAAGTAGATGTGAATAAACTTGAAATAAACTATAAAGGATGAGAAGTAAATGATAAAACTTTAGAAGAACAAACAACATCAATAGTTTCCAGCAATGTAATTGTTAGCTCCCTTAAGAAATGTCGATATAAAATTATACTCAGTATTCATTGTTTTATAAACATTATTACTGACAGAAAATATTGCTTTTTCCATAATTTCTTCCAACAAGGCAGGATTCAAAATGTGATATATTTGATGTTTTTATTTTCCTAAATATACACCTTTTGTGACATCATAATTTCTTACTTTCTTCTCAGTGTGTGGACTTAAGGAACTTTACTAGATTTTCCTATCCCAACCATAACAAAATTGTAAACACAATGATAAAGTCATTTTATTACTAGCATCTCCTGGGGGGCTTCCTAACTTCATCTGTGTGGAACAGCCTCATCACTGGTATATACTTCTCTTCCTAGAAATCCAACAACACTACATTTGCAGCCTCTCTTGAAATTACGCTGGAATCATATGACTGGCTTCTGACTGTTGAAATGTGGCAGAAACTAATGCTGGCCTTTTCTTTTTTTTTTTTATTATACTTTAAGTTTTAGGGTACATGTGCACAATGTGCAGGTTTGTTACATATGTATACATGTGCCATGTTGGTGTGCTGCATCCATTAACTCGTCATTTACATTAGGTATATCTCCTAATGCTATCCCTCCCCCCTCCCCCTACCCCGCAACAGACCCTGGTGTGTGATGTTCCCCTTCCTGTGTCCAAGTGTTCTCATTGTTCAATTCCCACCTATGAGTGAGAACATGCGGTGTTTGGTTTTTTATCCTTGAGATAGTTTGCTGAGAATGATGGTTTCCAGCTTCATCCATGTCCCTACAAAGGACATGAACTCATCATTTTTTATGGCTGCATAGTATTCCATGGTGTATATGTGCCACATTTTCTTAATCCAGTCTATCACTGATGGACATTTGGTTTGGTTCCAAGTCTTTGCTATTGTGAATAGTGCCACAATAAACGTACGTGTGCATGTGTCTTTATAGCAGCATGATTTATAATCCTTTGGGTATATACCCAGTAATGGGATGGCTGGGTCAAATGGTATTTCTAGTTCTAGATCCCTGAGGAATCGCCACACTGACTTCCACAATGTGTGTTTGTCCTCACTGTGTTCCTTTTCAACTGTGATCTTGGAGATCTTATGTTCAAGATGGCAGCATAGCAGGATGGAAGAGCCTCCACTCCTGGGTCCCTACTTGCCCAACTCATGTCAGCATATTGATGTGAACAAGAAATAAATTTTCATTGTGTTATGTCATTGAATTTGGGTGATTATACATTATAAATACTTGCATTAGTTCATTTGACTTATACTTCCAGCCTGAGTTAAATGTTTTCCACTTTGCTATAGTAACAACACGTTTATATACCTACTATGATTTTTATTTCAGCACCTTATTAGTCTTTTTGTTGTTTACCTCCTCTTTCTCTTTGTCTTTCATAAGTTCCTTAAGGACAAGGACTTTGCAAGACAATGCATATATGGGAAAATGTAGATGCACAAAACATGATTAGTGAATGCATATTTACACTAGATTTTAAAATAGTTATATTAAAAGAATTAATGCTGAGTTTTTGAGATTCTATTAGTCAAATAATAGTTTACATGCTATAGTCCTAAGCCAGGTAGAGAAAGTAGCATGAAATTGAAAAGCAAATTTAAAAAAATTATTATATTCCCTTAACAGTACTATGGAAGTCATATCCTGAGTTGATAGAAATAAGTTAGGCATTACAAAAGTCATCAACTTTGCGCCACATAATTCATTGAATTTCTTCTAGGTATGGATTTTTATAAGGCAAAAATAAAACTTCTACTGTATTTGCTAATACTCTTTTAAAGATTTTAGAGGAAAAAAACTTTTTTTGTATCATATTACAAAAAATGAACTTTGTTTCACTTTGGAAATGAGTACACTCAATAGTACCCTCTCTCCCCAATAACTCTTAGTCATAATAGCAAAAATTGTAACCATATATATGTGTATAGTACATGCATCTGTACATGCAAGTACTTATGTATGTGAGTAATCATTTAAACGCTATGCTCAAAAACAAGAAAAGAAAGTCTTAAATGCCAGAAATTATTAGGATTACTAAGAAACTAAAGAGAGATGATAAAATTAAACAATGACTTGATAACCTAGAATGTAAGTAAGACCCTGACAGAGAATGGTACACAGTGGCAGCACATTAAGTTTCTCCAGACCTAAAGAAAGTAGAGGCCAGAAACATTAAGAAGGTTGGAGCAACTCAGAGTGAGTTTGGCCATCAAACTGTGGAAGATACCTTTGACTGCAGAATTCTGTACTCAGCTAAACCCATTGATATACGGGATGAAGACATTTTTCTAATATACAGGAACTCAGTTTACAACCAAAACACTCCCAAAATACTACTACAGAAATTAGTCCATTAATAATGAAAGTGAATTCTATGAGGAGGTAATGAGTTGAAAAAATGTAATGGTGTACCACAGCCAAAAAAGTAGAAAAATATGTCACCAACTAACTTAGTAACACTTGGAAAAATACAGAACAATTGTATCTTTTCCTGAGCTACAAACACTAGCTATACTAGCTAAAAGCACTAACAAAATAGTGAACATATGTACACACACATACTAGTGAACAAATGATATATACACTAATAGTGAAAATTATATATATAATATATACTGTTTGTTATACAATATATACTATACATATATACTATTAGTGAGCATATATCTATATGTATATATGTATATATATATATTTCCATCATAGCTGAAGTGTAAAAAAAAGAAAATGAAACTTGAAGCTTCCAGAAAGAAACTTAAAACTTCATTCATTCCAGAATGAAGAGGGAATGTAAAGACAAAATGGAAAATTCACTATTTCATGCTTTGAGAGGAGGAATCAGCCCAAATATAGACCCTACATCTAGGAGACTAGAGTTTTAATGGCCAATGGCAAGAGAAAACATGGCATTGGGTCTTAATTCGGTATAAGAGTTGGAAATGAGACTTCTAAATAAAGCTAGGACTTGCAAGTTTTGTCCATTCAAGACAAATAAAGAAGAGAGTCTAAAAAAAAAAAAAATAGCTGTGTCCCAGTGGAATGATAGGGAGCTCTTCCCTATACCAGGGCTTTGATAGCAAAAAAAAAAGCTCACCACCAAAGAAGGTCTTACATGAGAAGTAAGTCCTGCAAGCTTCTATACAACTCCATGCACATGGCACTGTTTAGGTAAGTGAGGAGGGTGGCAGGGGGCTGGGAGATGAGGCTTAGGCAGCCTCACAAATAAAACTTAGGAAACCACAATAAGAAAAACATTTGTCATAATGAAAAAACCAGTAAACAAGGGTCTGTCTAAATGGCCTTATTAGACCCTTCAAGGCAATCTGTCAGAACAGAAATGCATGATAATTTCCTTTCTGCCACAAGCATAAGAAAAAAGGCTCTTCTCTTCGCTGGTATTGAAAGATATTCATCTTAAAATCCCTAAATAATGCTGATTTTTAAAGAAGGATATTGTATTAGTTTTTCAAGCTGGTTGTAACAAATTATCATAAACTGGGGGGCTTCAAACAGCAGAAATTTACTCTCTCACAGTTCTAGAGTCTAGTCCAAAATTAAGATGTTGGTAGAGTCATTCTCCTACAGAAGAATCCTTCCTTGCCTCTTTTGGCTTCTGTTGGTTTCCAGCAATCATTAGCATTCCTTGATTTATAGCAGCGTAACTCCAGTCTCTGCCTTCATCTTTGCAGGGCCTTATTCTCTAAGTCTCCTCTGTGTCTCTGTATGTCTCCAAAGCTCCCTCAGCTTCTAACGAGTTCCAGCATTGGATTGAAGGGCTGCCCTAATCCGGTATGACCTCATAGTAACTCGATTATATCTGCAAAGACCGTATTTCCAAACAAGGTCACATTCACAAATACCTGGAGTTGGGACCTCAACATATCTGTTTGGGGGACACAATTCCACCTACAGCAGACATGTAAATGCTTATGATGATTCAAAAAATAGACATTCTCCTAATTTTCTGTTAAAGATTTCTCAACTTTTCTGGAGGAAAACTAACAATGATTATGAAGGGATGCAAAATCTCATATTCTTTGGCATGACTTCATTTTAAAAACTGTATCCTCAAGAAATAATTAGAAATAAGTAAAAATTAACAACAAATCTATAAAATAGAGTATCATGTATAATAAAAGAAAATCTTTAAATACATATTATTTATATAGTATTAAAGCCTTTAAATTATAGATCAAGTAATTTTAATACATAGTAAAATGCTAATGAAATACTTTAAAGTAAAAAAATAGTTTTTTTGAACTATGATAGTCGTATGTTTAAAGAGGTTTTTCTAGGTGACATTGTTTTTATTTTTTCTTATACACATAATTTTCAAAGTTTTTCCAATGGACGTACACATGTGTTACTTTTATAAATCAGGAAAAAAATAAATAAAACAGTGTTGTTCAAAAACCCACCTGTTCTAGTGGTCATTCCAGCTGCAATGATTTCTTAGCCTTCAGTTATAATAAATACTATCTGTTCATCTGCTTTTTTGTCTTTTGCTTTCCTGAATTGTAATCGTGTCTTTCCTCTGGCTCTTTTGATCAACATTGTTATTGTTTTTCATGTCCTACTGAAATAATAATGTATTGTGTGGGGTTACAGATCTGCTGAAGTACATAGAAAAAGATTCTGCAAAACAGCTACTTAAAAAAATTGCAATGCTACAAAAACACAACACACTCCATAAAACATGCTGAGAAGTTATGCTCTTTCACAGATATTTCAAAGAACCACCCAGAAATGGTAGCAATGCAGCCAAAGCAAAAAGTGTAAGGAGCAAAGAAGAACATAAGCCACAAATCAGAAACTAAGGATCTGAACAGCTAAAATACACCCAGAATTACTGTATTATTTTAATACAATTTTTAAAATGTTTTGTGTTATCCCTTTTTCAATAAAAGTTACAGCCTAACAAATAGACTCTCTGGAGCACTTATTATATGAATACATGTTGTTAAATTTTAAATATTTAATGTCCAATGTATGTTGAGCACTATTGATATCTATCCAGGAAATCCACTCTATTGGCCTGCAACGTAGGAATTTATAATTTCATCAAAACCAACGCCCTGACATTTAGAACAATGTGGGACATGTCTTTATCCTGTTCTGTGCCTCAGGAAAGTTATCTCTTTATATATTTTATCAACCAGGTTCTCTTGTCCTGTGGATCCTAGTTGAATTTGGACAATGCAAGTTACCAGCAGGAGACCAGAAGGGAGAGAGGTCTGGTTATTTATTTCTCCTAACCACCCACGATGGGTCATGGTTTGGCAGTGGCAATGGTCCACTATCCAAGACACAGATACTGTTGTGCAACTTTGATACTATCAACACACCTCTTGAATGTAATCTCTTAATTGTTCCCCATTCTTGCCTATCAAGCCTAGGCGGTTTAAGGGCTTCCCATCAACAATTCTCCTCAGGTGGTTTTCTATCACCTACTTCTTCCCTTTACTCTGCTTATTCCTATGTACGTACTCACCTTAAACTGTTTAAATCCTCCTTTTAATGAACTATCTCCTACCTGGAAAACGTTTGACACCTTAATTTTTACCAAATTTGCCTTCAAGAAATAGACCTTCTAAATTGGATTTGGAACTATTCTTCTATTCAATGGATGCAAAGATTCTCTTTGTTGAAATTAAATGAGACATTGCGAATTTGTGGCTTGCATTGGTATTAGGCTTACTCAAATTATCACTGGTGGTGGCATGGGTGGACGGTAAGGCATTTGCAAAACTTGTGGTAGTGAAGTCTTTCATCACTATGGTGATGATGATTATAAAAACCACATGATGAGCTGGCTTTTTCTGATTAGTCTAAAAACATGAAAAACAAGAAACACACTGAAAGCCTTGAATTCAAAATTCAAATCATGAGTGGAGAGTCAACTGATTTTCAGGGAGTTCTAAAAAATATTAACTTATTTAGCCACAGAGAAGATATGGCTGAATACCCAGCCCAAGGCCTAATGACTAGGGTTAAAAATTCACAATTCCAGTTAAACATGTAACATCTTCAGTCTCTTCTGCCAAGAGCGGACACAGGCTTACTAGGAATAGCACCCTAAAATATGATATGAGGACATTTGGGCAGACACAGAAAGACAAGATAGAAGCCACAGAAAACTCAAATCATTCTCAATAGTCCCTAGAAGAGAAAACTGCCTCTTCCCCCACCTTATCCCCCGAGAAAACAAGCCTCTCCTTGTATAAAAAACCTGTGAATAACTTCACCAATATCAAGGAGCTACAGATTCTCTTAATTGTCTTTTACGCCAATTTTCCTTGCCTCTAGGCCTATAGAAAGACATATTTCAACATGCCCCAGTGTTAGAACTCTAGACTGGAGAGAATGGACAGATGTTTGTACGATTAAATAGATACTGGCTTTTCACTGAGTTTAATTCTTAGAAATCCAAAATACCACTAATATCCATCAATTAGAGCAGATGCTTATTAAAGTAAGATGATAGGTGGTGTCTTGGCCAGAGTCTGTCTCACAGTGGAACCAGTGATCCAGCCTGTGGTTATTTACTTAGCACAAGCATTCACAGTAAAAATTATAACAGTAACTGGCAAAACTGGCCACAGTAATTACCTCACCATGGATAAAGAGATACTATGATAGAAAATTTCTAATGGAAGGCCATATAAATGTGGCTCTCTATCCAAAATAGTACATTCAAGGCAACACTATGCCTCTTGGAGAATCACAGAGATTAGCATTATCATTAACATGTTGAAAAATACAGGATTTGCAATTCCTCTCTTGTCCCTATTTAACTGGTCTCTTTAGGCATTGCAAAATGAGATGGATCATGAATAATAACTGTGGATTTTCTTGAAGATGATCAGAAGCTGAAGCTAAATTCAGTTGCTCTTCTTGATATGATTGGAGCAAATCATTCCTTGGTACCTGATATACAGCTTTTGAACAAGAAATTACTTTCTTTTCAATTCTCATCAACAAAGATAAGTAGAAGTAGTTGAACTGTACCTGGAAAGGGTAAAAGAGTTTTGCTTGCTGGATGTGACATACGGAAATAAGCAAACTTATTGGATACATTGTGATAACATGGCATGATGTCCTTGTAATGGACCAGCAAGATAATCATGGCTGTCCTGGACTATAATATGACAGAGAGAAGAGTTGACATGGCCCTACGGTAAGGCAGCAAACATATGCTGCTGACTTTTCCAGGTACAGATTGATCATTTTTTCTTATCTTTGTTAATGGGAATTGAGCTTTAAAATGGTCGATTTCATGGCACGTAAATTATATCTCAGTACAGCTATTTTTTTTAAATAATAGATTCTGAAGTAGAAAAGGGATGGACAATGAGAATATTCTCCATTTTTCCATCCAGCATCTGGATGGTAAGGAGAGACTTTCTTTCTCTCACTCTTACTTTGGCTTTCTCTTTCCCACTCTTAGAGGCTTTCCTCGATGGCGAATGTGGAACTCCTTCACTCTTAGCCTTTGTTTGAGTTCAGCCAATGTGAGGCCCAGAAGGCAATCATACGACGAAAGGAGAGAGATATCAAGATATCTATTGCCTTTCCTCTCTCCCCTGGGGAATTATAGTTAGTTACTGCCTCTGTTTCTCTATCTACAGCCATAAGCTCCTATCTGGTAACTTCTCTCTCAAAACTACATCTCCCTGTACATTCAGTAACAGCTGTTTTCCCCTTGTGCTTTCACTCTAGAGATTATAATAGGTTCCAGCTGTTGCTAATCTCTGCGTGCTTCACCATGTTTTTGTACTTCCTTAATTCTTCCCACTCTTTTTAAATAATGCCTAATCATTTCTTAAGTTACCTGTTTGAGGCTACCATTTTCTATCAGAAGGCCAGCAAATAGAGAAGGTCTCACGGAGATATGAGAAGGTAAGATTGGCAAAAATACTTTTAATGAGAAAATGAAGCAAACCATATGAATATGTTGGGAAAGAGTGTTCTACACAGAGGCAAGAGCAAACGCTAAAGCCTGAGGGAAGAGTTTAATCAACCAGCTTGCTTAAGAAGCAGTAAAGAGGCAAATTTGGCTGAAGTGAAACAAGCAAGTACAAGAGTTGTAAGAAATAAGGTTGCAAAGAGCATAGGTTCGATGAGATGATGTAAACTAAAGGATGTTGTAGAAATTTTGGAATTTACTCTGAACAATCGGAAGCCATTGGGAGGTTTACGTGTAAAAGTGAAATTATTTAGCAGGATCACTCCAGCTGCTAGAGCTGAACAGACCCTAGAGACAAGTGTGGAAGATATAGCTGCAATAATGTTTCAGTAAATAGGCTAGAGATGATGGTAACTAGGATCAAAGTGATAGCTGTGGAGGTGATAGAAAGTAGGCAAAGTCTCGGTATGTTTTGAAAGTAAAGCCAACAATAGTCGCTTATGAATTGGATAGAGAGTGTGAGTGAAATAAGAGTCAAGAATGACTACAGCTGTTTTGCTTTGATCAGTGGAAAGAATGGATTCACCATTAATTGAGATGACCTTTGAATTATTTCAAAGGAATATAGAATACTCCTTTTACAATCCATACACAACTTAATTCTTCTCAAGAAACATGGTATTTATCGTTAATCTCTTGCAAAATATCCAGCAGGTCCTCCAATAATGTCATTTCATTCAGTGTTGTTTTGTTGTAGCATTGATGAGAAAATTGAAATCAATTTCAGGTGGGAGCCACTGTCTTGTGTGGTTTGCAGTCACCTCGTGTCTGTGTGGGTTTTCTCCAGGTACTCCAGTTTCCTCTCGTATCCCCAAGGGGTACATGTTAGGTTAATTGGGGTGTCTCAGTTATCCCAGTATGGTGACTGTGGGTGTGGGCATGAGTGCTCCCTTGAGGGATGGTGTCCTGTTCAAGGCTTGTTCCCACTTTGCACCTCGAGCTGCCAGGACAGGCTCTGGCTACCCACAGTCCTGAACTAGAATAACTGAGTAAATTACCTTACTTGTTTACACTAATCTTTCTTAAAGGTAGGTATAGCTCACATTTATCTCGATGTTTATTATTAGAAGTCTTTTGGTCTTTAGTTAGAGATTTGGTCATGTTTTTATGACCAGTAATGTGTGGTAGGAACTAAGCTCTTGTTTGTGTCAACCAGCCTATGGTAAAATTAGTTTTGTTATATGTTGTTTCACTTGAAGTCGCAGTTTTCAAGAACATATCTACAACTCTAAGTGAGGACTTGCTGTGCAAATGTGTTATGTATCATTTTGTTACTTTATGAGGACCCTCTAAATAGCAAACTAGTTGACATTTTCACAACTTACTCATTTTAAAAGTACACGGAGGGGGTGATGGGCACACCAAAATCTCAGAAATTACCACTAAAGAACTTATCCAGGTAACAAAAACCCACCTGTTCCCCAAAAACTATAGAAAGGAAAAACAAGAAAAGTACACAGGGTTTTTATATTATTTTCATAATACAATGTAAACCAAAAAGAATTGTTTGATAGCCACTCAGCCTTTAGACTCATTCATCAAAAACAAAAACAAACAAACAAAAAAAAAAACAAAAAAACACATTTCCGAGGAATGGCTGGGACCCTGAACATCATAAAACATACCATCAAGAGTACTTTTTAAAAATTCTTAGTTCGTGTGGTTAGGTCACTGACGTCAAAGCAATGATGTGTCTCACAAGAACAGATGTAAGTTTTCAGATATTTCATAATTGAAATGCATTGTTTTCTCAGTGTTTCAGTTTACAGTAATCAGAATCTGATGTCTATTTTAAAGAACCTGAAACTATTGCTATAAATGGCCCTACAATTTGCATAAAATATCAATGAATTGATGAGGTTAAGGTTCTCTATTTTCTTTTTAAAAAGTTAATTGAACTTAAAAACAACTTTATTAAATATTTATGTAGAGGTAAGTAAGTTAAATGATAAACAAACACTCTCATTCTCCACACATGGATTCATCAAAGTAAAACATGAATGTTGCCTTTAATGCCTCTTAATGCATGCTTTGTTTTGGCTATTTCCATCTGTATAGTTTTGTTTTAGAGAAATACTTAATGACAGGCAACTGAAAGACTAACTTTTTCATATGTCTTTAAAATTTCAAATGTAAAAGTGACACAGGAAGAGGACATCTAAGTGCCAGAAATAAGTGCCAGAGTAAATCTGAGTGCCAGAGTAAAAATCACCATTCCAACCATCACAAAAACATAATGTTTTATTAGGGCTTTAGAATGTAATGCATTTTTGTTGGAAATGTATTAATTTATGTAATTCTTACAATGATCCTATATGGGCCTATCTAATTAATAAGTGTGTATGGAACATCATGACTCAGATTATTATCTATTACATATAATCTATTAAAACAAATCTTCATTTTTACTACATATTCATATCTCTCTAGATATAAAGCTGATAGACCAGCTTTGGATAGATCCTCTGAACTATGCTATCTCACCTAAGAACTGAGTATAAAATGGTAACTTCTTGTTGCTTATTAACCAATACTTATTTAAAAATACAGTCATCAGTACTTCTTATAATGGTATCTGCACATACACTTTATGAATAATAATAGAATTTAATATACAATGAAATCTTGCTAACCTAGGAAGATATAAAAAGCAGATGTGAATGAATAAACGATTTAAATTGCCATTTTAATACAGTTGGTCTCAATAAGCAGCATTTTTAAAACCACATTCATGGGTTCTATAATCAGGTATATTATTAAAATATATATTTATAATTATTATTTACATATAGGTAGAACTCTGTTTTTCAAACTTTTCTGCCCCATTTTGTTGGCACTATTAATTTGCATTGAGTTTTTTTAAGTTTATCAGAAGTTAATTTAAATCTGGTTATCAAATTTTCAGTCTAAATTGATGGAATCTAAATTAATACCAGAAACTTGTTCTCAAGTGTCCTAATTCCATTCCTAACCATCCAGTCTTATTCATAATAACTTTATATCTCTCTTCAATCTATAGATTTATTTTCATATTTATCATATTACCACACACATTAGTCTTTTTACATCCAGTCTTGAATTGCTCTAAGTGCTTCTGCATACTGCAAAGATGTCTCTGAAATCCAAATCTGATGCATTAATTTGTTTTAACCCCTCGGGGATTCCTATTATTCCAAAGATAATATCCAATATCCTTAGTAGAGCTTTAAGGCCCTTTATCTTCTGGCCTCTGTTTATCTTTGCTCCTCATCTGCCCCAAGCTTTCTAACTCCTAGACTCTAAACCCCAATCAAAATCAAAACAAACCCCTCTATTTTTTGCCTCAGTCATACTGACTTCCTTGAACATCTTGCACTTAACTCACACTCCCTCGCTTCCAGTCTTTGCACATTTTTCACCATCCTCCTATCTTTTTAAAAACTGGTTTAGGTGTTCCTTCTGTCAGACGATGTCCTTCCAATGGATTAATCACTTTTTTTTATTTGTTGATTTCCCCTGACTAACTTTAAGTTTCTTAAGTGTCATCCTCATAATTTTATTCTCAACTCTTAGTGTTTTTTCCATGAAAAAATAAAATTGATTCAATGCAACGAAATTAAGTTTCTTATAAAGTGTTTATTTGTAGTTACCAAAAAAAGTTGCTAGCACAATAGAGGATGGACAAAACTTATTATTAAAATTACAATGGTAGAAGTTCTTCTGCTTCACTCTGCAGACCTGCTCTTGCAGCACAATAGTCCCATAACAGAAGCCATGGAAATGATTTAAAACAAAATCAGATTCTTCTTGCATAATCCAACCCCCATAACCTTCTCCCACCCCATCTCCTACCTCTCTCATCCCTGCTCAAACCTCCCTAGATATTTTGCAGTTTTATGATTGTTGGATCCTACCTTAGGGACCTTGTAGATGTAATTTTCTTGGACCTCAATAATTTGCATAATTCTTTCTCAAATAACACTCAAAGACAGCCAGCTACCCTAGACACCTCATCTAAAATATCAAGTCTTTATACATACCATCACTCTCTTACCTCTGATGTCTGTGTTTTCCTAATAGTACTTTTCAATACCTGATATTACTTTACATATTTATGTATTTATTGACTTCCCTAATTAGCTCATTGGTGGCATGATTTGAACTTGTCATATAAACAGCTGTATTTCTATCACCTAGACCAGGGCTTCACACTTAATAGATGTTCAATAAATATTTCTGGAAGGAAGGAAAAAATAAACAATGAAAGATTTTAAACTGTTAATACTTTTTAAAAGTTTATTTGATGCTTTAAACCAATTGAATAACTGACTTAATCATAAAATCGGGCATGCAGTCATCAGTCCTTTAATTAGTCTCAAATAACAGGTTAAATAGTGGATTTGGTGATTACAAATAATCTTGTTAGTATTACAATATATTGTGAATACAGTTATTTATATTATGTTTTAAAATTATAATTATAATACTTGTGTATTATAGACAAAGGATGTTTATTAAGTCCTTGGACATTTTTTCCCAATGTTTATATTTTAACAAAGTTGTCTCTGGGGTATTTACTTCATAAATATTTGAGAGTTGACCACTGCAGACACTGGTGACAGAGTAGGGACTCCAGCTGGGTCAATAATGATACTTCATTCCCCCAACTTTGGTGGTTCAAGTGTTGGCAAGTATCCCAATTTGGCCCAGGCAGAATATTTTGGAAGAATTTTTAAACCGGAGAGGTGGTCTCCGTACTCTGTAGCTTCGGAGGTAGGAGGTTTTGAGTACAGAGCTGCAGATGGCTATTTTGCTCATTATGCAGAGAAGCCCATCTGTAGTCAAAGATAATAAATATGACTCATGGAGAAAAATAGAAGTTTGTGATAGACCAAATCCTACAGGCATTTGTTGTGTGGTTTGAACTGCTCTGACTTTGGAGTTACCCTTGCTGCAGCTTCGATGTTTAGCCCTTCCTTCAGTTTTCTACACTACCGCAATGTATATCTAATATATAGCTTGTTGTTGATTAAGATATTACAAATTGAATTTCTATCTTTACAACTAAGAGTTCTGACTAAGAGTATTTATGGCAAAATGTCTTTTGAAAATATTAGTGTACTTGAACCCTATGAAATTTTATGATGCTGTTAAAGGAAATAGTGCATAACATTTACCTTGCTACCTTAAGTGAACAAATTAAAAAATGGTGTAGATCATGAGATACCATTAGGGCTGGGAGAATTGGGGGAAGAGGGAAAGTTTATATATTGTATTTTTTGTTTACAATAAGCTTTTATTATCCATTTTTAATTAAAGAAAAATACAGCTATTTAAAAGTAACAAAATAAAGTAGACAATAAAGAATCTGTTTACTAATTTAAAGCAATTTAGCTTAGAGAATAATAAGGCTGTATCTAGATAGGCAAACCATGTATGTATATCTATTAGGTAAAATATTGTCTTTAAACTCTTACTATAATGGCAATCTCACTTTGACCCTTTTTAGAATGCTACAAGCCTCCACTCATAATAAGGCAATCTCAGAGGGGTAAGATACGCTTCTAAGAGCAAATCACAATCTTGAGTCAAGTTGTTTTACACATTACTTGACTGTCGGAATTTAACAATGTAAAATAGGATATATGTTGCCAAAGGAAAGGAAATAAAAGTCTTCCAATAAACAGTTGAAAGAAACACAGAGCTAGGGTTACACATGGCTTATTTTGGATAGAGACAAATTTCGGTCCAATATCCTTTAAACTATATTTTGATATGCAGAGAGTGAGGCTGCTAGCTTTGTGGTTCAACTGCTCTGTGGATTCATAACAACTGATACATATGCAAGGATTGGTCAGTACTTCGGGTTTAGAGTCTCATAGAACTAGGATGTGACTTTCTGGCTGTTGGCAATGAATTAACTTCACATAGAAAATATGTGCTACTCCTCATATCAAGCACTTATGGCATGTAGGTATTACTTGAACCAGTTTCTGATTCCACATTGCCTGGATCCTTTTTTGCCAAGTAAATATGATATGTCAGTGGAAAAGGGCAGGACTTTTGAGTCATTCAAATCCGGGTTTTAAATGCTGATTCTGCTAAATATAAGCTGTGGGATTTAGGGGTAACTATTTGTCTTATACTTGTTTTCCTAATATGAGAAATGGGTTACTAACGTGGAACATTCAGAGCTTTTGTTAAATTTAGTATTTTTCTATAAGTAATTAATTTAGCTTTCACCAAGTATCATCGTTATTACTTGTTTTAAGAATATTGTTTACTCAGACTATTAAAGTGCCCTGTAGCAATATGATTAATTCATTTTGAGTACAGTAAAAATTAACATAAATTATAAATTTTCAGAGATGATTTCTATAGGGAAATTACCTGGAACTTAAAAACAGGTGACAGGCCAACAATGGGCATTTATTTGCCCATTGTTGGGCAAATAGAGGCAAGAAGGGACAAGAAGAGGTTCTATCCTCCATTGGATCAAGATCACACTCAATATTTGATCCTTTAAATTCAAATATTTTAGTATATGTTGTCTTCTAGTTTTTGAAACAAGCTTTAGTGAGAAAGTTGTGATCTGTAATACATCCTAGGAGACCTTTAGATCCAGAAATTTTACATAGCATTCAATATTTCTATTAATTAAACTTCAAATATTTATTCCATTGTGCTCTGTGTCTTGGCATTGCAGGACAGATTTCTCAAAATAAATTTGGCCCTTTTATTTAAATTAAGAAAAATTTGTACAAGAGTTTTTTGGAATACTACATCAGGAAAAATAGACACAGAACAGAATGATTATTAAAAATTCCAAATTTTAATGTTAAAAGGTATTAATATCTTAAAATGTATTTTTAAATGAATCATAGTATGTAATATGGAAAAATGTAAGGTCTCATATCTTACAAAATCTCATACAAAAATAGCAATAATAAAACAATAACAATAAAATCCAGATTTGTTTAGAATTTAAGTATAAAAAATTATTTCAAAAATTATGAAAAACTGGAAAGAAGTACAGTTAAAGCAAATTCAGATGATAGCAGTTGACCACACAAAAACGATATGTTTCAAGAGGCTTAGGAATGATCTTGAAATTTTACTTCTAGGATTTTATTCTAAATGAGTTATTAGCTATATATATATATATATATATATATTTATATATATATTAGCTATATATATATATATTTATATATATAAAATTTTATGTACAAAGATGTTTATAAGTGAATTAATATTAGCAAAAATTGAAAACAAAACCTAGAACTTAATTCCAAGAATAGAGAAACGTCTAAATTTCATTTGTTACAGACATAAAATGAATAACATGTTTTTAAAGATCTTTTGGGAGATGAAAATGCTAATGATACAATATAAAAATATGATACCCAGTGCATTTGTGTTAATAAAAAAAAATAAAAGAAAATAGAATGTTAATGAATATTTTGGGATGGTGAAATTATGATTATTTTTCTCTTCTATATATTTTCTATATTTTCAATTTTTAAAAGGTCACATGTTAATTTATAATTTAAATCAAAATAAACATTGAACTAAATAATAAATACATGGCATACATAGTGGAAGAATATGACTGTTTAACTTCCTATATGTGAGGAAGACTATATTTTATGTCTTTTTCTTTTAGTTTATATTATCTTTTACCTATAAAAAATCCAAACAACTAACAAACAGAAAACAACAACATCATCAACAAAAAAGACCCTCTACAAAAACCCATCCAAAGGTAATCAGCCTCAAAGATCAAAGGTAGATAAACCCACAAAGATGAGGAAAAACCAGGGCAAAAATGCTGAAAATTTCAACAGCCAGAATGCCTTTTGGAATCTTAATTTGGTGCTAAATGCCCCAATTAAAAGACACAGCCTGGCAAATTGGATAGTCAAGACCCACCAGTATGCTGTATTTGGGAGACCCATGTCACGTGCAAAGACACACATAGGCTTAAAATAAAGAGATAGAGGGAAACTTACCAAGCAAATGGAAAGCATAAAAAAAAAGGGGGTTGCAATCCTAGCCTCTGATAAAACAGACTTTAAACCAACAAAGATCAAAAAAAGACAAAGAAGGATATAATGACATAATGGTAAAGGGATCAATTCAACAAGAAGAGCTAACTATCCTAAATATATATGCACCCAATACAGGAGCACCCAGATTCACAAAACAAGCTCTTAGAGACCTACAAAGAGACTTATACTCCCACACAATAATAGTGGGAGACTTTAACACCCCACTGTCAATATTAGATCAATGAGGCAGAAAATAAACAAGGCTATTCAGGACTTGAACTCAGCTCTGGATCAAACAGACCTAATAGACATCTACAGAACTCTCCACCGCAAATCAACAGAATATACATTCTTCTCAGTGCCACATGGCACTTATTCTAAAATCAACCACATAATTGGAAGTAAAGCACTCCTCAGCAAATGCAAAAGAACAGAAATCATAACAGTCTCTCAGACCACAGTGCAATCAAATTAGAACTCAGAATTAAGAAACTCACTCAAAACCACACAACTACATGGAAATGGAATAACCTGTTCCTGAGTGACTCCGGGGTAAATAACAAAATTAAGGCAGAAATCAAGAAGTTCTTTGAAACCAATGAAAACAAAGAGACAACATACCAGAATCTCTGGGACACAGTTAAAGCAGTGTTAGGAGGGAAATTTATAACACTAGATACCCACATTGGAAAGCTGGAAAGATCTAAAATCAACACCCTAACATCACAATTAAAAGAAATAGAGAAGCAAGAGCAAACAAATCCAAAAGTGACAATAGACAAGAAATAAATAAGATCAGAGCAAAACTAAAGGAGATAGAGAGATGAAAAACCCTTCAAAAAAATCAATGAATGCAGGAGCTGGTTTTTTGAAAAGATTAACAAAATAGACCACTAGCTAGACTAATAGAAAAGAGAGAAAAATCAAATAGACACAATAAAAAATGATAAAGGGGATATAACCACTGATCCCACAGAAATATAACTACCATCAGAGAATACTATAAACACCTCTATGCAAATAAACTAGAAAATCTAAAAGAAATGGATAAATTTCTGGGCACATGTACCCTCCCAAGACTAAACCAGGAAGAAGTTGAATCCCTGAATTGACCAATAACAAGCTCTGAAATTGAGGCAGTAATTAATAGCCTACCAACCAAAAAAAGCTCAGGACCAAATATATTCTCAACCGAATTCTACCAGAGGTACAAAGCGGAGCTGGTACCATTCACTCTGAAACTATTCAAAACAATTGAAAAGGAGGGACTCCTCCCTAACTCATTTTATGAGGCCAGCATCATTCTGATACTAAAACCTGGCAGGGACACAACAAAAAAATAAAACTTAAGACCAATATCACTGATGAATATCGATGTGAAAATCCTCAATAAAATACTGGGAAAACAAATCCAGCAGCATATCAAAAACCTTACCTACCACGATCAAGTTGGCTTCATCCCTGGGATGCAAGGCTGGTTCAACATACACAGATCAATAAACATAATCCATCACATAAACAGAACCAATGACAAAAACCACATGATTATCTCAATAGATGCAGAAAAGGCCCTTGATAAAATGCAACAGGGCTTCATGTTAAAAACTTAATAAACTAGGTATTCATGGAGCATATCTCCAAATAATAACTATGACAAACCCATAGCCAATATCATACTGAATGGGCAAGAGCTGACAGCATTCCCTTTGGAAATTGGCACAAAACAAGGATGCCTTCTCTCACCACTCCTATTAAACATAGTATTGGAAGTTCAGGCCAGGGCAATCAGGCAAGAGAAAGAAATAGAGGGTATTCAAATAGGAAGAGAGGAAGTCAAGTTGTCTCTGTTTGCAGATGACATGATTTTCTATTTAGAAAACCCTATCATCTCAGCCTAAAAACTTCTTGAACTGATAAGAAACTTCAGCAAAGTCTCAAGATACAGTTGAATTATCAGTGCCTGGTATATAGTACACACTTAATAAGTATTATTCTTATTCTAAGTTATATAAGTTAGAAAGTCTCACTTTACACATGATGATATCAATTTCACCAGCCAAGTCAAAGATGAACAAATGTGTTTTCAAGTGTGTATAAAATATGCGGTTATGTTTTAAATGTTCTCTTCAGCTCTAAAAAATTCTTTCTTGTGGAATTTTTAGGCCTTGAACAGTTCTAGAATATTACAATGTGCTGTCCTCATTTTACTTTCACCCCGGGTTGAGAGGAAATTATTACTCCTTTATCTTAGCCACAGATATTTCCTGGCCTTTGGTCATTTTAGGAATTCTCTATTTTCACAACTCTCACAACAGCTGTTTTTAACAATCTAAGTCTCACACCACAGCCTAAAAACAAACAAAAAAAATCAAGTACAAATTTATCACTAAAACAATTTACATTATTGACAACCCTAAATTTATTAAAATGAAAGAAAGACATCAATGTTACTGAAGACAGCCACAAAGATGGTACTAATTTTAGTCTAAGCATTTGGAAAGATTTTTTTTCTTTAGTTCTGCAGATGCATGGTCAACAGAAGCAGAAAACTCGTTTGTATTTTCCTGTTTTATCTATAGCTTTATAAAGAGAGGAATTCCCATTTTGTTGCCACCATTCAATTTCATGTGGTCAGAGTTGTCAACACGAAAGTTCCCATTGTAATGTTCGTTGTCCTGGTACTAGTTTACCTACAGTTTTGTTCACTCAGAACACCAACTTGCTAGTCTTGCAGAAATAGTTTTTCCAGCACAAAATATAGTCACCTCTGTCTCTGAGAAGTTTGACTTGACCATGCTTTCTTTATCTGCTCTTAGGAAAATCTCTAGAGAGTTGGCTTATTATGATATGGCCCTTTAGATTTCTTGTGTAATTTTTTATTTTTTAAATAAACTTTTTCTTTTCTTTTTTTTTTTTTTTTTGAGATGGAGTTTCGCTCTTGTTGCCCAGGCTGGAGTGCAACGGCATGATCTCAGCTCACTGCAACCTCTGCCTCACAGGTCCAAGCAATTCTCCTGCCTCAGACTCCCAAGTAGCTGAGATTACAGGTGCCCACCACCACACCCAACTAATTTTTTTGTATGTTTTTTTCAGTAGAGATGGGGTTTCACCATGTCAGCCAGGCTAGTCTCGAACTCCTGAGCTCAGGTGATCCACCCTCATCGGCCTCCCAAAGTGCTGGGATTACAGGCGTGAGCCACGACACCTGGTTATGAACTTTTTCTTCCTCATGAGTAGTTCATAGCAGAGTTTAAATATGCTTGCCCATGTAGTATTTAACATCGTATATTGTGATATTTCTCAGGTTTTCCTTTCGTGTGACTTTTTTCAAAAAAATTTTTTTTTCTTTATGTGGTAGTTTATACTAAATTTTCCACAGATTCTTTTGAGTGTCTTTTCACTGTCATAACATGGGCTACTAAAGCCAGTCTGGAGAGTAGGTGAGCCGATACGAAACATAGCATCATTGCTTCTGAAAAGTAAATATAGTGCTGTAAAGAAAGCTCTAGTCAAATTAGCAAATATTTTCCCAATAATTAATTTATTCCTGCGTCACCAACGAGAAAATTGAGGTATAGAAATGCTTTTTATGGTGTTTTTTGTTTGTTTGTTTTTGAGACAGGCTGGAGTGCAGTGGCACAATCTCAGCTCACTGCAACCTCCGCCTCCCAGGTTCAAGCGATTCTCCTGCCTCAGCCTCTCAAGTAGCTGGGACCACAGGCGCCCACCACCATGCCTGGCTAATTCCTGTACTTTTATCAGAGACAGGGTTTCACCATATTGGCCAGGCTGGTCTCAAACTCCTGACCCTTGTGATCCTCCAGCCCCGGCCTCCCAAAGTGATGTGATTACAGGCGTGAGCCACTGCGCCTAACCAAGGTATAGAAATGTTAAGAAATGAGTCTAAACTTATTCAAAAAGAAAGTGTAGCACCATGACCTACTGCCAGGTCTTATCGACTTTGTAAGCTTTTTCTAGTTAACAACTCCCATCAACTATTTCAAGACTATTTTGCTTTCTCATATCTGATCCTATGTCTCTGGTAGATGTTAATTGATCGTAGCACCCTTTCCAGCTGAATCTGAACTTAACCTCTCAATCTTTCTCAGAAGAAATGAGTACAGAGACACTAGCAATTGGCTAGAGTTAGCACCGAAACAGAAAGCTAGTTTTTAATCACAACATTAGAATGCATTCCCTCGCTGAAATGATTTATGTCTTTATTTACCTGTTTGCAAAATGGGAGTACTGGACTAGAAAATCTCTAACATTTTTGCCACACTACAATTTTGTGAAGATCCCAAATCTGTATATTACCAGAAAATATATAATTTAGAAATTCCTAAGTATTTTCCATAGAAAATATATTTGAATTACAGTATGTTTACGATATGAAAGTAGAATTACCCATGAACTTGCATTCATTTTATAACTTTCAAATATTATTCCACAGGATAGAAATTTCTCATGCTTGATCACAGCCCAAAGATAATTATGTCCTGGAAAACACACCGTATCTTTATTCATCTAGAAGTCCTGTCCCGCATGTGAAGAAATAGGGGAAAAAATGAAGAGCCACACACAGTTGAAATAGACCATGCGTCTGGTCTTTACTGAGGCATATTCTCCTGAGACTAACCATTTGATATATGTTTTACAAATTGCATTTTTAATGGAGTATATGAAGTATGAGGTCACATGAAATTCTTAGGTTATTTCTTTGAAGTCTGATGTTTTACAAATAATGCCAATACTGATTTAGGAATCTTTCAAAATTACATAACTGCGGTTTAGTTTTGCTTTTTAACCTAGAGGTATAATCTTTTTTCCCTTTCAAAAGACAATAGCAAAGCTCTGCTCTGAGAAATCTCTCCCTCTCCCACTCCCTTGTTTTTTGGCCAAAATGTGCTCACATCTGTCCAGAGCTGAGGAAGTCCCAGCCACCATGTGCAGTCTTTTGCTTTCAGCCCGCGGCCCAGGAAATTACTACCTGTGTGGGCAGAACCTCAGTGCATAACTGCTAAGTTCCACAAAACTGAGGATTCAGCCAGATAAAAAAGAAAAGAAAAAAAACTAAAAACATTGTTTCTTCTACCAAGAAACCCTCTTTCTTTGAGGTTTCATAGCCCAGGTTACAAACAAAAAAGTGTAGAGTTTGCAAGGTATGTTCCCTTACAAATGAGAAAAACAAAACACCATGGAATATCCTTAATGACACTTAAGACTTTTTTTATTATACTTTAAGTTCTGAGATACATATGCAGAGCGTGCAGGTTTGTTACATAGGTATACATGTGCCATGGTGGTTTGCTGCACCAAACAACCCATCATCTACGTTAGGTATTTCTCCTAATGCTATCCCTCTCCTTGTTCCCCACTCCCTGACAGGTCCTGGTGTGTGATGTTCCCTTCCCTATGCCCGTGTGATCTCATTGTTCAACTTCCACTTATGAGTGAGAACATATGGTTTTTGGTTTTCTGTTCCTGTGTTACTTTGCTGAGAATGATGATTTGCAGCTTTATCTAGGTCCCTGCAAAGGACATGAACTCATCCTTTTATATGAATGCATAGTACTCCATGGTGTATATGTGCCACATTTTCTTTATCCAGTCTATCATTGATGGGCATTTGGGTTGGTTCCAAGGCTTTGGTATTATGAACAGTGCTGCAATAAACATAGGTGTGCATGTGTCTTTATAGCAGAATGATTTATAATCCTTTGGATATATAACCAGTAATGGGATTGCTGGGTCAAATGGTATTTCTAGTTCTAGTACCTTGAAGAATCGCCACCCTGTCTTCCACAATGGTTGAACTAATTTACGCTCCCACCAACAGCGTAAAAGAATTCCTATTTCTCCACAATAATAAAAATAAAATGCTAAGTGAAAGCTCTGTGCCACTTACTCATTTAATCATTACCTCAACCCTATTTGGTACAGATTTTTATCTCCACTTCTTAGATTAAGAAATTTAGGCAGAAAAAAGTTAAATACATTGTCCAGGGTTACAGGGATGAAGTAGAGGTGCTGGGATCTGGCTCACGGTCTCTCCCTCTGGCTCACAAACTCAGCCCCTGGAGTGTGCTGTCCTAATTGCAAATATAGACTTATGCATACATTCAAAATCCTCACAGCCCAACAGAGATTAAGGTGCTATAATTATTTGTCAGTTCTTTATAGGTAGAAAGTATGGAGGAAAAGCCTACTCTTCTGATTGTACGTCATTTCCATACAGTCTTTAGCCCTAAGCAAATGATACTTTAGTAATCTCCTATATCATTCTCTGCTCTGTGATAACTCAAGACTCTCCCCTTTATAATCAAGTTGGGTGACACGTCACTGAGTTTGCCTCTTGCATTCTGTTACTCTCTTGCACATAATCAGATGATTATGTGCCACAGCAGGGACAAAGAATCTGGACCTTCTCTTTCTTATGTGCCCTGTAGTGCCTGACTTTCCAGAGTGTGTTGGATGACTGTGTTCCAGGGGGCTGAGAACCACAGACATACAGATGCCACTTGATAACCACATGTCTTTATTAGCGTTATTATTCCCAGAAAACATTCCCTCCTAGTCAGGATTCTGTTAGACATAACAAAAATATGCTGAGGAATAAAAAGGCAACATTGTTTGGTGATCCAAACTAGCATTCATACATGACCAACTAAAGAGGCAGGATGTACAAATATGATGTTTTCCTATTTTTCAAATGTGGCACTTAACATTTTAATTCCATTTAAGATATCTGAATAATCATCAGGAAACAGTAGCCTCAAAGGATCTAAAAATGGATTTGTCTCAGTAATCTTTGAGTTCTACCCCCTCCCTATCCAATATGGAGGTGTTCTGGCAGAGGATAGTGGCCCATCTTCCAGGGAAGTAGTAGAGAGAATATCTACATTACCATAGAATTTGAATGAGACATCTTGAGAGTCTATCTTATTATAAGCTTTTATATTTCTGAGATATTGGATAGTATTGGTATATTAAAAATGAAAAAGAAGAATATAAATCTTAATTATGGGTTTTACATTATTTAGAATATAATTTAAACCTAAAGCAATTTCCATATGAGCAGTGGTAAATTGAATTAGGTTTTTAAAAAAAAGTTCTTCTGGCTAGATTCCCTGCAGCTAATCTATATGGTTATGCCATGTGGTTAGAAACAGGAAACACCTGTCTCCCTGCTTGCTAGCACTCACTTAACATGATCCCTGGCAAAGCAGTTTTTTCAGCCCCACTCCAATTCACCAGAGGTCATTTCAATATGGACTATTTCAACTTGTATTACAAACCATCAGTGCTTAACAATTTTCAAGCACTTTCTGGATATGAATCATTATATAGTCACAAGAGGTTTTAAAATTATTGTCCTGAGGTCCTCTGAAAGAGATCATTTGCAAATTTCAAATTCATTGGGATTTCAATACATAAAATACCTTATTTTTATGTTTTTATTGTCATAGAGAGAATATATCTCACCTTGCAAAATGGAATGTGTATTTCAAGTTCTTTGTTTTTAAAAAGCATAAAACGTAAAATCTATTGTAAGAGTTTCAAATGTCAGCACAGTAGATTTGCGTTAGGGCTTTCAGTTTTTTGCTCTTTACAGTGCTTCAAAATAGAAACCTCATATTTAATACCCCATTCAAATTCTGGCTTTGAATTTTGTACTACAAAGTTTGACAGCTATCACCAATACAGATGCTTCAGATATGCTAACAATTTATGCTTTGGGAGTGACTTTTTTTTTTTTAACATTACCGTAGTTTCATAATTGACAATATGCCTAGGTTAACCATGGTAAAAATGAGGTTGGGAAATTCCTTTACCTCCCTCTGCTTGTGATTGTACTCATTTCTAAAATAAGGGGATGAATAAATAGACTCCTCCCCACCCCCAACTTGAAGGAGTTAAGAAACAACTATTGACTTAAAAATAGCAAATTGCAGAATGCCTATTATAAGAAATATTCCACAATTATTATACCATTTAGTCACTCTGTAGAACTACATGGCTGTTTGAGAGAGCTCTTTTCACCCCACCCCTGAAAATTTTCTACCTGTGCACCAGACAAAATTATTTTATATCCGCAGTAAATACAATGTAGCACTGGCTTTAAATCACTATACTATAACTTGCCTCTGAAATTATAATCTGCTACATGTCATGTTTTACATCCTCCTCAGTTAAAAAGTCAATTTGACAGAGAGACAACATAACAGCATGTTATGAAAGTGAAAATTTTTAACATAGATGAAAATTTGGCAGTTTACCTATAAATGTGTTTTGGTCTATCAACTTACCTTTGCTTTTTTATACAGGGATAGAACTGACTGATTAAATATAGGTTGACCAAGCAGACAATAAGGCAAAAGACAAGACTAACGTATGATTATGTAGGTAAAATTAGAAATGCTGGCAGATATGCCCCCACCTCCATCTTTCAGACCTACAGAAGTTTTTGGACAATTAATGCTCTAATAATGAGGTTGGTGCACAGTGAAAAGAGATTTGGAGGGTAGCAGTTGCATTGTGTCAATAACAACTGCCAGACATGAGTTCTCTGGGCATAAGTTGTACTTATAGAAATAGGCAGCCATATGTCAAATTTTCTAGAAATCTCAGTCTCTCTCAATGGAGATGCCTCTTGAGATACAGGGAATTCTTCCAGCTCTAAATGTATGCTATAGTTTTAAGAAATACATTACACTTTGAGGGTCATGTCACTACCAAGAGAACTATAATTTAGACCACAGAAAGCTTAGGAGAACAAGAGCAAGGCTTTTTTCCTTATATCAAAAACTAATCAATTCCTACATAGAAATTTCTCATAATTGAAATGAATTCTTGATCTATCCCATACCTCATTACTCCAATGTGGAGATACAAAAGGAAGCTGGAGGAAAATAACCCCCTTACACATACAATTTTAATTTTAGAAAAGGAAGGAAAGAAAAAAGAAAGGGAAACAATACAATTCATAAGGCAATTGAGATGAGATAGAACTTCTTAGATTATTGAACACATTTTGATGCATTTTTCTCAAGCCATTGACTTTTGAAAAACTTGGGCCATCTTCCCTGGCTAGAGATTTAGTAACATTCTTCTGCTATAAGCATTCACCAATCACTGGATAAACAAAGACACAGACATAGCTAACTTATAATATCTAGTCCAAGAGGTTTTAGAAAGATGTTTTTAGGAATATATTGGTATGAGTTAATTCACTTTCTAGGTAAGGAAGTCAAAAATTGGATAACAAAGATTTGATTAGAAATTTGCCCCATAGCCACACCTCTAATCTTTTCTGTTTTTCTCTACCATTTCTCAAGCTGAGTTCACAGGAGGTAGAAACTCTTTTGAACTCCTTTGAGTATGGGAATCTCCATATTGATTTTTACTTTACTAAGTAGATGGTTCTTAAGTTTTAAGAATCTGCTTACTTTTTAAAATAATCTGATCACTTTTGAGATTAAAAAAAGGCAAAACATTTTCTCAGTAATTTAAGCAAAGCTGGCAAGTTAAAATCCTAGTTATATATTACTGAAGAAATTGGCTAAAATACTTCATGTTGTGATTTCAAATCCAGAATGAAATCTACCATGGCAGGAAACTGGGGTGGGGGCTATGTAAAATATAGTGGAATATTTTAGTAAGACCTTAAGTGAGGTAAGAAAGGAATGGGCATCAGTCATATGGAAGGAGAGAGAGAACATCATTAAAAAAAAAAAAAGGAAAATAAATGTCCTCTCATAGGCAAGGTTCTAAAATTACTGAATCCAAAAATACCATGTCCTGTGAAACTCTAATAGGTGAATTATCTGCCCTATGCTGAATAAAGGTCGTGTGTGACAAACCCACGGCTAAAATCATTCTCAATGAGAAAGAGTTGAAAGCTTTTCCTTTAAGATCAGGAATAGTACAAGAATGCTCACCCTTACCACTTCTATTCAACATAGTACTGGGTGTTCTAGCCAGAGCAATTAGGCAAGAGAAAAAAAATACAAAGTATCCAATTTGGAAAGAATGAAGTTAAATTTTTTGTTTACAGATGACATAGTCTTATACATAGAAAGCCCTAAAGACTCTGTCAAAAACCTCTTAGAACCAATAAATGAATTCAGTAAAATTGCAGGATACAAAATCAACATACCCAGTAGCATTTTTATTCAATAAAAAACTGTCTGAAAAAGAAATTAAGAAAGCAGTCCCATTTACAATAGCTACAAAAAATAAAGTAGAAGTTTAAGAAGGTAAAAGATCTGTAAGCATTGATGAAGGAAATCAGGGAAGACACAAATAAATGTAGAGAAATCTTATGTTCATGGATTGGAAGACTTAATATAAAAATGTTCCTACTACCCAAAGCGATCTCTACATATTCAATGTAGTCGTTATAAAAATTCAGATGACATTTTCACAGAATTAGAAAAAACAGTCCTAAAATTCCTATGGAACCCCAAAGACACTGAATAGCCAAAGCAAGAACAAAGCTGGAGGCATCACACTACCTGACTTCAAAGTATACTACTAAGCTCTAGTAGCCAAAACAACATGATCTGGCATAAAAACAGACCGAAGAACCAGAAAGAAGAGCCCAGAAATAAATCTACACATTTATAGTCAATTGATTTTCAACATAAATGCCAAGAATACACAGCAAGGAAATGACAGTCTCTTCAATAAATGGTGTTGGGACAACAGAATATCCACATGCAGAAGAATGAAATTGGTGCCTCCTCTCACTTCTTATACAAACATCAACCCCAAATGGATGAAAGACGTAAAGACCTGTAACTGTAAAATTTCTCGAGACAAAATATCCATTGCATTGGTCTGGGAGATGATTTTTTTTTTTTTTAGATATAACACCAAAAGCAAAAAACAAAAGCAAAACCAGATAAATGGTATTACATTACACTAAGTAGCTCTGTACAGCCAAGGAAACAATCAACACAGTGAAGAGACACCTTATAGAATGGGAAATTATATTTCCAATCTGTTATGTCTCATAAGGGGTTAATATTTAAAATATATGAGAAAATCAAATAATAGTAAGAAAACAACTGAATTAAAAAATGGGCAAAGGATCTAAACAGACATTTCTCAAAAGAAGGCATACAAATGGCCAATGGGTATATGAAAAACTGTTCAATATCACTAATCATTAGAGAAATGCAAATTAAATCCACAATGAGATATCACCCAACACATGTTAGGCTATTAGAAAGAAGATGAAAGATAACAAGTGTTGGCAAGAGAGTGGAATAAAAGGAACTCATACACTGTTGATGGGACTGTAAATTAGTAGAGCCATATGTTAAACAGTATGGAGCTTCCTCAAAAAAGTAAAAACAGAACTACTATATCTTTCAGTAATCCCAATACTGGGTATATATCCAAAGGAAATGAAATCAGTATGTGAAAGATTTCTGCACTACGATATTCATTGTAGGATTATTCCCAACAGACAAGCTATCAAATCCACATAAGTGTCCATGAATGGATTAATGGATAAAGAAAATGTGATATATGTCCACAGTGGAATACTGTGAGTTGTTAAAAAAAAAAAAAAAGATATCCTGTCATCGTTGATAACATGAAGGAAACTGCAGGATGTTATGTTAAGTGAAAAGTCAGGTACAGAAAGATAAATATGGCATGATTTCACTTACATGTGAAATCTACAAAATTTAAGTTCATAGAAGTAGAGAGTAGAACGGTGGTTACCAGGGGCTGGTGGGGGAGAGATGGAGAGATGTTGGTCAAAAGATACAAAATTTCAGTTAGGAAGAGTAAATCCATGAGATATATTGTGTGACAGGATGGCTATAGTTAGTGTAATGTACTGTATTCTTAAAAATTGCTAAGAAACTACATTTTAAGAATTTTTACCACAAAATAATAAGTATGTGAGGTAACGTGTATATTAATAAGCTCAATTTTGCTAGTGCACAATGTGTGCATATTTTAAAACATGTTGCACACAATATATACAATTTTTGTCAAATAAATAATGTTTGCATGGGCAGAGGCCCAAGACTGGAGATAAAACTGGTTTGTACTTTAAAGAAAAGAGAAATGAGGAAAGCCTGAACCTGTAAGCACATCCAAAATAACTCAGGCTGTAGCCCATTTACCCCAGATCAGTAAGATTCTCTCCCAAGTGCCAACATAAAATGAAATTTCCTAAATGCAACCTGGGGGTAGTGGGCATATTAGATCTGCCTTATATTTGAGTAGGTGAAGTAAAAGTTGAGACTATAACATTAATCTAGGAGTAAGGTTTTTATCACAGGAGTTACCATCAATGCCTGATAAATTATTGAATTAACATTGGCGGAATACACTAGGATTGGTAAACATAGGCACATTGTTTCTTATAGAGTCTCCTAGTATAATGAGGTTCTGAATCACTGGTTTTCTTAATTCTCCATCCATTCAGTCAGCTGTCTCAGTATACTTCCCAGAAAAATGAGGCAGAGCTTTTATCCCCAGTTAAATTATTTGAAGTCAGTTTCTTTTTCTATTAAGGAATTACGTGTCATGCAATTATAAAGAAAGTCCATTTGTTGAAAAGATAAACTTTAGAGTTCACTTGACGTAGCTTTTTGGAGAATATTTTGCTTTTTCCATTGGCTGTAAGGCCAATAGTACAGAGTCTCCTGAAACATTTAGAAGTTTGTTTATGTAAACTGACACTCTAGAAGGGGAGATGGGAAATAGACAACATGTGAACTTCCCAAAGCTGGAAATAGTCTGCAGAGTGTATCAGGAGTTTATACATCAGATTCACTACAGGCAGGAATCAGAGGACCTCTGGGAACTCTGAAGCCCTCTTGAGAAGATTACTTTAGCTCAGATAACCTCAAAACTGAAATGTGGATTTTATATTCATTTCTTGTCTAACACAGACAACATCAATAAAGATATACCTTGTCAAAGATGATGTCAGCCTTGAAGACAAAGATTTGACATGATTTCAAAGAAATGTCTTAGAGAATTCTGGGTTTCCTCGGCACAAGCCATGCTTATCTTGAGAAGTGGCCATGAAAATTCACTGTTTGTGTTTGTTAATGCATACTTTTGTGAGTCTGGATTTTCTGCAGCCTGCTGTCAAAGAGAAAAATGGTCAAAATTAATTGTCAATAATTTCAAGTGTATTGCCATGTGAAAGACCACTCACCAATTCAAAACACTATTTATATTCACTACAGTAGTCTTCATAATAAAAGATACTAGGAACAAAATTAAATTTTAATTTATATAAGTTAATTATATAAAAGTTAAATATAGCTCTGTTTTAAAATGAAATAGATATGTTTGCAGTAAACTAATTAAAGACAATTTCTGAAGTATAATTTTAGGGTTTTCATTTTGTGAAAGAAATTTCTAACGCAATAAGATGATTTCAGGTAAACTTAAATGTAAGTGTTGATATGTATTGAATGAAGCAGCGATAGAAGAGGATGATAGATTTCTTTAGTCTTAAGTCTATGGCTCTAAAAGTTTGAGTCACTTTTATATGGTTCACATTTGTTTATATTTTTCAATAACTAGCAATATATACATGCTACATGCAGGTATTATAAGTTATTTAATTTTTTTGATGATCAAGTCTTCTGAATTAAATCATTTAAAAAGAAGACTGACATTTTTATGTCCCTTTAAGATTGGAGTCTGACCTATTTCCTCTTAATTGAATATATTCTTTGCTTTTCATTTATGGATAAGTACATTTTAAAAATATATATTGTCTTTGAAGAATTATTTTTGTATTTAGCTCCCACTTATTCACCATATTTATTAAAATTGTTAAAATGTCTCAAGATTCATCTGCTATTTCTTTTAATTATCCTGTTCTTAAATATTTTATTTTTATATACTGAGAATATGTCAAGTATTTTAGTCATTTTTATATCTGAGAAGACCTTACAGTAGTTCTCAAACATAAATGACATTCTGGCTGCAAATGAAATTCTTATTTTATAGCATTTTACTCTTAACATGCAGTGAATTCTATGATTTCATGTTCTATCACTGTCTTCAGTTTCAGTCTGATTTGTGTTTAATTTCAAATAATTTTTGCCCTTTTAAAAACTTATATTGTAGAATAATATAAATAACATTTATATTGTTTTATTTAATGCAGAAATATATGCCAAGTTTTACTAATATTTCATAGCCAAAATTCATTTTTTTGCATAGTTGGGTATGTTTTGCTAACAGGCTGAAGGTTTTTGTGTTTGGTCTTGTTAGAGCATTCTTTATGACTTTTGTGTAATTTTAATACTTTATCAATAACTACTATTTACAAACACTTTTTATAGCTTTATGGGGTAAAAATGCCACTTTGTTACATGGATATATTGTGTAGTGGTGAATTCTGTGCTTTTTTGCATAACCATCGAAATTACTTAGTGTACATTGTACTACTTAAGTAATTTCTCATTCCTCACCGCCTCCCACCCTCCAATCCTTCCAAGTCTCCAATGTCTATTATTCCATTTTCTATGTCTATAGGTACACATTATATAGTTCCCACTTACAAGTGAGAACATATGGTATTTGACTTTCTGAGTTATTTCAGTTAAGATAATGGCCTCCAGTTCTATCCATGTTGCTGTAAAAGACATGATTTCATTCTTCTTTTATTGTTTTTTTATGGCTGAGTAGTATTCCATGGTGTGTGTGTGAGTGTGTGTGTGTATATATATATATACATATATATCCTCATTTTCATTATTCAGTAATCTGTTGATGGACACTTAAGTTGATTCCATATCTTTGCTATTGTGAATAGTGCTGCTATAAACATACGGGTGCAGGTATCTTTTTGATATAATGACTTATTTTCCTTTGGGTATATACCCAATGGTGGGATTGCTGGATCAAATGCTAGATCTACTTTTAGTTTTTTGATAAATTTTCATACTGTTTTCCTTAGAGGTTATACTAATTTACATTCCCACTAACCGTGTGTAAGCATTCCCTTTTCTCCACGTACTCACCAACATCTGTTATTTTTTGATGTTTTAATAACAGCTATTCTGACTGATGGCATCTTGATGTGGCTTTAATTTGCATTTCTCTGATAAGTGATGTTGAGCATTTTTTCATACCCTTGTTGGACATTTGTATGTTTTCTCTTGAAAAATTTATGTTCATGTCATTTGTCAATTTTTTAATGGGGTATGTTGTTCTTGTTAAATTCCTTGTAGACTCTGGATATTATTCCTTTGTTGTATACATAGCTTGCAAATATTTTCTCCCATTCTGAAGGTTTTCTGTTCACTCTGTCAATCATCTTATTTCCTGTGTAGAAGCCTTTTAGTTTAATTAACTTCTTCTTGTCTATATTTGTTGTTGTTGTCTTCTGAGATTTTCGTCATAAATTATTTGCCTAGGCCAATATCCAAAGGGTTTTTCTTCGCTTTACTTATAGAATTTTTATAGTTTTAGGTCTTACATTTAAACCTTTAATTCATTTTGAGTTAATATTTGTATATGGTGAGAAACAGGAATCCAGTTTCATTCTTTCGCATATAGCAATCCAAATTTCCCAGCATCATTTATTGAATTCGGGTATCATTTACCTAGTGCATGTTTTTGTTGACTTTGTCAAACATAAGTTGAGTGTAGGTGTGTGGCTTTATTTCTGGGTTCTCCAATCCATTCCCTTGATCTATATGTCTATTTTTATACCAGTACTATGCTATTTTAGTTATCATAGCCTTATACTGTAATTCGAAGTTAATGTAGGGATACTTCTGGCTTTGTTCTTTTTGCTTAGGATTGTTATGGCTATTGGGGTTTCTTTTAGGTTCCATATGTATATTTAGAGTGTTTTACTAATTTTGTGAAAAATGATGTTGATATATTTATAGGAATTGTATTAAATATGTAGATTGCCTTGGGAAGTATAATCATTTTAACAATATTGATTCTTCAGATCCAGGAACATGGGATGTTTTTTCATTTGTGTCATCTATTAATATAATTTATTTTATCAGTGTTTTGTAGTTTCCTTCTAGAGATCTTATTTTTTACCTCCTTGGTTAAATATATTCATATGTATTTTATTTTCTCTTTTGTAGCTATTAAAAAGAAGATTGACTTCTTGATTTGGTTCTTAGCTTGATTGTTATTGGGATATAGAAATGCTATTGATTTTTGAATGCTGATTTTGTATCCTGAGACTTTAGTGAAATCATTTATCAAATCTAAGAGTCTTTTTGAGAAGTCGTTAGGGTGTCCTAGGTATAAGATCATATCATCACTACACAGATAATTTGAAGTCCTCCTTTCCAATTTGGATGCCTTATTTTTTCTTTCCCTTGTCTGATTCCTCTCGATAGGCTAGTACTATGTTGAATACGAGTGGTGAAAGAGGGTATCCTTGTCTTATTACAGGTATTAGGGGGAATGCTTTCAGCTTTTCCACAATCAGTATGAAGTTGGATGTGGGCTTGTTGTATATAACTTTTATTATTTCAGGAATGTTTCTTATATACCTAGTTTGTTGAGGGCTTTCTAAAAAATTTCAACGGTTTTGGGGGTACTTTTTAAGTTCTTTAGTGGTGATTTCTGAGGTCTTGGTGTGCCCATCACCTGAGCAGTATACACTGTATCTAATTTGTAGTCTTTTATTTCTCATCCCCTCCCACCCTTCCCCCAAGTCCGCAAAGTCCATTACATTATTCTTACGCCTTTGCATCCTCATAGTTTAGCTCCCACATAAAAGTGAAAACATACAGTATTTGGTTTTCCATTCCTGAGTTACTTCACTTAGAATGATGGCCTGCAGCTCCATTCAAGTTGCTGCAAAGGCCATTACTTTGTTGGCCTTTGTATTTTTTTTTTAACTGAGTAGTATTCCATGATGTATATATACCACAATTTCCTTATCCACTTGTTGGTTGATGGGCCTTTAGGTTGGTTCCATATTTTTGCAAACTGCAAATTGTGCTGCTATAAATATGCAAGTGCATGTGTCTTTTTCATATAATGATTTCTTTTCCTTTGGGTAGAAACTCAGTAGTGGGATTGCTGGATTGAATGGTAGTTCTACTTTTAATTCTTTAAGGAATCTCAATACTGTTTTCCATACAGATTTTAGTAGTTTACATTCTGACCAGCAGTGTAAAGGGGTTCCTTTTACACCACATCCACACCAGCAACTATTATTATTTTATTTTTTAATTATGGCCATTCTTGCAGGAGGAAGGAGGTATGTCACTGTGGTTTTAATTTGCATTTCCCTGATAATTAGTGATGTTGAGAATTTTTTTCATCTATGTTAGCTGTTTGTATATCTTTTTTTTTGAGAGTTGTCTATTCATGTCTTTTGCCCACTTTTTAATGGGATATTTTTTTCTTGCTGATTTGTTTGAGGGCCTTGTAGATTCTGGATGTTAGTCCTTTGTCAGATGCATAGTTTATAAATCTTTTCTCCCACTCTGTGGGCTGTTTACTCTGCTGATTATTTCTTTTGCTGTGCAGAAGCTTTTTAGTTTTAATTAGGTTCCATCTATTGCTTTTGGGTTTATTTATTTATTTATTTATTTATATTTTTATTTTTTTTGAGACGGAGACTTGCTCTGTCACCCAGGCTGTAGTGCGGTGGTGCAATCTCTGCTCACTGCAAGCTCCGCCTCCCGGGTTCATGCCATTCTCCTGCCTCAGCCTCCCAAGTAGCTGGGACTACAGGCACCTGCCACCACACCTGGCTAATTTTTTGTATTTTTAGTAGAAATGGGGTTTCACCGTGTTAGCCAGGATGTTCTCCATCTCCTGACCTTGTGATCCGCCCGCCTCAGGCTCCCAAAGTGCTGGATTACAGGCTTGAGCCACCGTGCCCAGCCACTTTTGGGTTCTTAATCATGAATTTTTTGACTAAACCAATGTGTAGAAGAGTTTTTCCAATGTCATCTTCTAGAATTTTTATGATTTCATAACTTAGATTTAAGTTGTTGATCCATCTTGAGTTGGTTTTTGTATAAGGTGAGACATGAAGATCCAGTTTCATTCTTCTACATGTGGCTTGCCAGTTTTCCCAGCACCATTTTCCCTGCTTTGTTTTTGTATGCTTTGTCAAAGATCCATTGGCTGTAAGTATCTGGCTTTATTTCTGGGTTCTCTATTCTGTTCCATTGGTCTATGTGCCTATTTGTATTCCAGTACCATGCTGTTTTGTTAACTGTACTCTTGTAGTATAATTTGAAGTCAAGTCATGTGATGCCTCAAAATTTGTTCTTTTTGCTTAGTATTGCTTTGGCTATGTGGGCTCTTTTTTAGTTTCATACGACTTTTAGGGTTGTTTTTCTAGTTCTGTGGAGAATGATGATGGTATTTTAATGAGAAATGCATTGAATCTGTATACTGCTTTGGGCAGTATGGTCATTTTCACAATATTGATTCTACCCACCATGAACATGGGATGTGTTTCCATTTGTTTGTGTTGTCTATTATTTCTTTCAGCAGGGTTTTGTAGTTTTCCCTGTAGAGGTTTTTCACCTCTTTGGTTAAGTATATTTCTCTAAGTTTTCTTTTCTTTCAGCTGTTGTGAAAGGGGTTGAGTTCTTGATTTGATTCTCAGCTTGGTCGCTGTTGGTGTATAGCAGAGCCACTGATTTGTGTACATTAATTTTGTATCCTGAAATATTGCTGTATTCATTTACCAGTTCTAGGAGCCTTTTGGATGAGTCTTTAGGGTTTTCTAAGTATACACATATTATCAGCAAACAGCAACACTTTGACTACCTCTTTACCAATTTATTTCTTTAGTCTAATTGCTCTGGCTGGGATTTCCAGCACTATGTTGAGTAGAAGTGGTAAAAGTTGGCATCCTTGTCTTGTTCCAGTTCTCAGGGGGAATGCTTTCAACATTTCCCCATTCAGTATAATGTTGGCTGTGGGTTTCATGTAGATGGCTTTTATCACCTTAAGGTATATCCTTTCTATGCTGATTTTGCTGAGGGTTTTCATCATAAAGGGATGATGGATTTTGTCATATGCTTTTTCCGTGTCTATTGAGATGATCATGTGATTTTTGTTTTAAATTCTGTTTTTGTGGTGTATTACACACATGATGTTAAACCATCCCTGCATCCCTGGTATAAGACCCACTGATCATGGTGAATTATCTTTTTAATATGCTGTTGGATTCAGTTTGCTAGTATCTTGTTGAGGATTTTTGCATCTATGTTCATCAGGGATATTGGTCTGTAGTTTTCTTTTTTGTTATGTCCTTCCCTGGTTTTGGTATTAGGGGATACTGGCTTCATAGAATTATTTAGGGAGGATTTCCTATTTCTCTATCATTTGGAATAGTGTCAATAGGATTGGTACCAGTTCTTCTTTGAATGTCTGATAGAATTCAGCTGTGAGTCCATCTGGTCCTGGACTTTTTGGTGGCAGTTTTTTTTATTACCATTTCAATCTCACTGTTATTGGTTTGTTCAGAGATTCTGTATCTTCCTGCTTTCAGCTAGAAGGGTGGCATATTTCCAGGAATTCATCCATCTCTAGGTTTTATAGTTTATGCTCCCTTGTAAAAGTGTTCACAGTAGCCTTGAATAATCCTCTGTATTCTGTGGTATCAGTTGTAATACCTCCTGTTTCATTTCTAATTGAATCTTATTTGGATCTTCTCTCTTCTTTTCTTGGTTAATCTCACTAACGGTCTATCATTTTTTCTTCCCAAAACAACAGATTTTTGTTCATCTTTTGTATCTTTTTGTTTCAATTTCATTTAGTTCTACTCTGGTTTTTGTAATTTCTTTTCTTCTGCTGGGTTGGGGTTTGGTTTGTTCTTGTTTCTCTAGTTCCTTGAGGTGTGAGCTTTGATTGTCTACTTGTGCTTTTTCACTTTTCGATGTAGGCATTTAATGCTATGAACTTTCCTCTTAGCACTGCTTTTACTGTATCCCAGAGATTTTGATAGGTTGTGTCACTATTATTGTTCAGTACAAATAATTTTTTAATTTCCATCTTGATTTCATTATTGATCCAAAGATTATGTAGGAGCAGCTTATTTAATTTCGATGTATTTGTATAGTTTAGTAGGTTCCTTTTGGAGTTAATTTCCAATTTGATTCCATTGTGGTCTATGAGAGTACTTGATAAAATTTTGATTTTCTTAAATTTATAGAGAGTTGTTTTGTGGCCTATCATGCAGTCTATCTCTGAGACTGTTCTTTGTGCTGATGAAAAGAATGTACTTTCTGCAGTCGGTTGGGTAGAATGTTCTGTATCTGTTAAGTCCATTTGTTCCAGGGTATAGTTTAAGTCAATTGTTTCTTTATTGACTTTCTGTCTTGATGACCTGTCTAGTGCTCTCAGTGGAGTATTGAATACTTCCACTATTATTGTGTTGCCATAGCTCATTTTTAGGTCTAGTAGTAATTGTTTTATAAATTTGGGAGCTCCAGTGTTAAATGCATATATATTTAAGATAGTGATATTTTCCTGTTGGACTAATCCTTTCATCATTATATAATGTCCCTATTTGCCCTTTTTAATTGTTGTTGCTTTAAAGTCTGTTGTATCTGATAAAAGTATAGATACTCTTGCTCACTTTTGTTTGCCATTGGCATGGAGTATCTTTTTCCACCCCTTCACCTTATGTGAGTCCTTATATATTATGTGAATCTCTTAAAGACAGCAAATACTTGTTGGTGAATTTTTCTTCATTCTGCCATTCTTTTAAGTAGAGAATTTAGGCCATTTACACTCAGCATTAGTATTGAGATATGAGGTAGTATTCTATTCTTCATGCTAGTTGTTGCATGAATAACTTTTTTTTTCATTGTTTTATTGTTTTACAGGCCCTGTAGAACATGCTTTAGGGAGGTTCTATTTTGGTGTATTTTAAGGTTTTGTTTCAAGATTTAGAACTCCTTTTAACATTTCCTGCAGTACTAGCTTGGTAGTGGTGAATTCTCTCAGGAATTGTTTGTCTAAAAGAGACTTTACCCCTCCTTCATTTATGAATCTCAGTTTGGCTGGACACAAAATTCTTGGCTGATAATTTTGTTTCAGGAGTTTAAAGATAAGACCCCAATTCCTGCTGGATTGTAGGGTTTCTGCTGAGAAATCTGCCATTAATCTGATAGGTTGTCCTTTAAGGTTAATGGAGGAGACCACCCCTCATATTGTCTTATGCCCAATTTCTGCCTCCAAAGAAAGAAGAAGTAAAAACTAAAATGCAGAAATGAAATCCACAGGCAGACAGCCTAGTGCCACACCCTAAGCCTGGTTAAAGATCGACCCCTAACCTAACCGGTTATGTTACCTATAGATTCCAGACATTGTATGGAAAAGCGTTGTGAAAATCCCTGTCCTGTTCTGTTCCATTCTGATTACTGGTGCATGCAGCCCCCAGTCATGTACCCCCTGCTTGCTCAATTGATCATGACCCTCTCACGCAGACCCCCTTAGAGTTGTAAGCTCTTAAAAGGGACAGGAATTTCTCACTTGGGGAGCTCAGTTTTTGGAGACGTGAGTCTTGCCGAAGCTCCCGGCTGAATAAAGCCCTTCCTTCTTTAACTCAGTGTCTGAGGAGTTTTGTCAGTGGCTTGTCCTGCTACAAGGTTGCCTGATGCTTTTGCCTCACAGTTCTTAAGATTCTTTCCTTTGTCTTGAATTTAGATAACCCGATGACTATGTGCCTAGGTGATGATCTTTTTGTGATAAATTTCCCAGGTGTTCTTTGAGCTTCTTATGTTTGGATGTCTAGATCTCTAGCAAGGCCAGGGAAATTTTCAATTATTCCCTCAAGATATTTTTCCAAATTTTTAGATACTCTTCTTCCTCAGCAACAACAATTATTCTTTGGTTTGGCAGTTTAACATAATCCCAGACTTCTTGGAGGCTTTGTTCATTTCTTCAAATTCTTTTCTCTTTGTGTTTGTCAGATTGTGTTAATTGGAAAGCCTTGTCTTCGAGCTCTCAAGTCCTTTCTTCTACTTTAATTCTATTGTTGAAACTTTACAGCATAATTTGCATTTTTCTAGGTGTGTCTTTTATTTCCAGAAGTTGTGATTGTCTTTTCTCTGTGATATCTATTTCTCTGGACACTTTTTCAACAATATTCTGTATTTTTTTAAATTTCTCTAAGTTAGTTTTCACCTTTCTCGGGTGTTTCTTTGAGTAGCTTACTAATCAACCTTCTGGATTATTTATCTGGCAATTCAGAGAGTTCTTCTTGTTTTAGATCCATTGGTGGAGAGCTACTATGATCTTTTGGGGTGTTGTAGAACCTTGTTTTATCGTATTACCAGAATTACTTTTCTGGTTCCTTCTCATTTGGGTAGACTGTTTCAGTGGAAAGATCTGGAATTCAAGGGCTGCTGTTCATATTATGTTGTCCCACAAGGTGATCCCTTGATGTGGTGCTCTCCCTCTTCCCCTAGGAATGGAGCTTCCTGAGGGCCAGACTGCAGTGATTGTTATTGCCCTTTTGGGTCTAGCCACCCAGTGAGCTACTGTGCTCCAGACTAGTGCTGGGGAATGTCTGCAAAGAGTCCTGTGATGTGATCCATCTTCAGGTCTCCCAGCCGTGGATATCAGCACCTGCTCTGGTGGAAGTGGGAGGGGAGTGGAGTGGCCTCTGTGGGAGTTCTTGGTTATAGTTTCGTTTAGTGTGCTGGTTTTCTTGAATGCTAATTATGGTAGCAGTGAAGTTGTCACACAGACAGACTCAGGACCTTTGGTTATTCAGGGTGCTGCAGGCTGTGGAATTAGCGATTGTTTTCTCCTTCTTTGGAGCAAGGTTGTTCTGAGTTGCTGTAATGGCTTGGGTTGGTTGGCCTCCAGCCAGGAGGTGGTAATTTCAAGACAGCACCAGCTGTGTTAGTAGAATGGGGATATAATCTTGCCCTACTTTGGCCAGGATGAGTACTTGGGTTCCTCACGTGATGGGCAAGACCATAGAGCTCCCAAGAGTTTGTCTTTTGTCTTCAGCTACCAGGGTAGGTAGAGAAAAACCATGAAGTGGAAACAGGGTTAGATGAGTCTAAGCTCAGATTGTCCTTGAGCGGGGCTTGCTGCAGCCACTGAGGGAATAGGAGGGTGGTTCTTAGGCCAGTGGAGTTACGTTCCCTTTGGGGATTATGGCTGCATTTGCTGCATCATACAGGTCACCTGGGAAGTTGGGGAAAGCCAGTTATGACAGGCCTCACCCAGCTCCCATGCAGCCAGCAAGGCAAGTCTCCCTCCCACCATGCCCCGCTAACCACACTGACTGTATACCCAGACAGCTGGCCAGCAATGTTGAGATCTTGCCATAGTCTACAAGCCTCCCCAGTGAGAAAGCAAAAAGGGCTCTCAGATCTCACCCCTTCCTGCCTGCCTTCACTGTTGGCTGTGGCTTCTGTGATTATATCTGCACTTCCCATTCATCCTCACAGGATTCTGTTCAGGAAAATTTGTGCTCAATTGAAATAATTATAAAGTTCAGCAATGAGATTCCTTCACCCTCCAGGTCCTCCCAAGTTCCACAGTCTGCCTTCCTTTCCACAAGGACCTCTGTGAGAAAAGGCCAGGAATGACTTCCCTGAGTTTGAGCTGGGGACCAGGAGTTCCTATAGGGCTTTTCCTGCTGTGGCTTCTACTTTTATGTTTTTCTTGACTCCCTAAATCTGTTTCAACTCTAGGTAAGCTTAAATCTGTGAACCACAAATATCTGAGACAGGTCCCAGTCAATTTTGAAAGTTTATTTTGCCAAGGTTAAGGGTATGTGCCTATGGCACAGACTCAGGGGGTCCTGATGAAATGTGTCCTGTGTGGTAGGGGCACAGCTTAGCTTTATACATTTTAAAGAGACATGAGATATCAATCAAGATATATAAGATGAACATTGGTTCAGTCTGGAAAGGCAGGGCAGCTCAAAGCAAAGGTGGGACAACTTCAAGAAAGGAGGGGGCTTCCAGGTCATAGGTAGATAAGACAAATGATTGCATTCTTTTGAGTTCTGTTTAGTCTTTCCAAGGAAGCAATCAGATATGCATTTATCTCAGTGAGCAGAGGGATGACTTTGAATAGAATTGGAGGCACATTTGCCCTAAGCAGTTCCCAGCTTGACTTTTCCCTTTAGCTTAGTGATTTTGGGGTCCCAAGATTTTTTTTTCACAAGTCCTTCTCCTATGATCTATATTTTCAGTTTCCCCAGTTGGGATGTGTGTTTGGAGGCCAACTTTTCTCCCTGTCACACTTTGGAAACTCAGTTTTTCAGCTGTCTCAGAGTTTGCAGCAGCAAGCTGCTTCTTTCAGAGAGTCTGTGAATTTGTTCTATTTTCCTGGTATGTTCCCATGATGGTTCTTGGAGCAAAACTTTGGTGCACGTATGTATTAGTCCGTTTTCATGTTGCTGATAAAGACATACCCAAGACTGGGTAATTTATAAACAGAAAGAGGTTAAATGGACTCAGTTCCATGTGGCTGGGGAGGCCTCACAATCTTGGCAGAAAAAGAAAGGCACATGCTACATGGCATCAGACAAGAGATAAAAGACAGCCAAATGAAAGGAGTTTCCCCTTATGAAACCATCATATCTCATGAAACTTACTACCATGAGAACAGTATGGGGGAAATCGCCCTCATGATTGAATTATCTCCCACCAGGTCCCTCCCATAACACATGGGTGGAGGCACAGCCAAACCACATCAACATATATTTAAAATCATTATATCTTCTTGCTGAATTGAACCCTTTATCATTATATAGTGATATTCTTGGTTGCTAATTATAATCTTGACTTCTATTTTGTCTGATATCAGTATAGCTGCTTCTGCTCTTTTTTGGTTTCCATTTCCATGGAATGTTGGTTTTCATCTCTTTATTTGTAGTCTTTGTGCTTCGAAAGGTGAAATGTGTTTCTTGTAGGCAACAGATTGGCCATTTTGTTTATTTGTTTTGTTTTGTTTTGGTTCATTCAGCCACACTATGTCTTTAGATTAAAGAGGTTAGTCCATTTACATTCAATGCTATTGTTGATAAGTAAGGACTTGCTCCTGCCTTTGATTTATTTGTTTTCTGATTGTTTTGTATTCTTCCCTTCCTGTCTGCCTGACCCCTCCCTCCCTCCCCTCTTTCTTTCCTTCCTTCCTTCTTTCCTTCTTTCCTTCCTTCTTTCCTTTCCTCCTTCCCCCCTTCCCTCCTTCCCTTCCTCCCTCCTGCCTTCCTTCCCTCCCTCCCTCCCTCCTTCCTTCCTTTTTTGCTACCTACCTTCCTTCCTTCCTACCTTTCTCCATTTATGTGAAGGTGGTTTTCTCTGGTGGTGTGTTTTAATTTCTTGCTTTACGTTTTTTTCCTATCTGTTGTAGAATTTTTGATTTGATGATACCATGAGGTTTACAAATAACATCCTATAACCCATTATTTAAAACTGATTATGATATAACACCAATTGTAAAGAGAAAGTAAATAACATAAAAGTAAAAGAAAACTAATGAAAACTCTACGCTCTAACTTCAACTCTTCCTCCACCTTTTAACTTCTGTTGTTTCTATTTGTATCTCATTATACTGTCTATGTCTTGAAAAGTTGTTGTAGTTATTTTTGATAGGTTCATCTTTTAGTATTTCTACTCAAGATATAAGTAGCTTACACACCACAATTCAGCGTTATAATATTCTGTGTTTGTGTACTTATTATTACCAGTGAGTTTTGTACCTTTGGATGATTTCTTATTGCTTGTGAATATCCACATCTTTAACATTGAAGAGCTCCCTTTAGCATTTCTTAAAGGACAGTCTGGTATTGATGAAATCCCTTAGCTTTTGTTTGTATGGGAAAATTTTTATTTCTCCTTCATGTTTGAAGGATATTTTTATGATATATACACACACACACACACACACAGTTTATTTTCCTATCACTACTATTTCTTACTCATTATCACAGATTCTCACCTATATATTCCAGTCACTCAAAACCACAACTTACCTGGCATGTAAGTTGTAACTCAGATGATCGTGTCTGCCCTATGTTTCAGTTTCCTTGGCACTGATTTGTTTATACCAGGGATCTCAGAAAAATAATTATGTTGACCCTTTCCTTTGATGATCATTAGTTATAGATGATAAATTTTGATATCTAATTTTTATCTCACCAGCAGATTGCACTACTAAGCAGCACAGTTAAATGGCCCTGTGATCCATTACACCATCACAGACTTAAATGGTATTATGTACATACTGTAGTATAGTTCTAACCTAATATCTTATTTCTTTACATTTTTACATAAAACCAAAATAAAACAATTGGGAATCATAAGATTTTAAGTTTATCTTTTTATGTTTTTCTCTTCTTTTAAATCTCTGGAGTTGGCAGAAAGATGGCCGTCTAGATGCAGCCAGGAGGAATATGTACCACATAGGGACCAGGACACTGGAAAGACTGGCACACTCTGAGGAGATCTTTGGAGGGAAGACATTGAGAGTAAATGGAGAGAGGACACAGGTGCTGAGCTGAAAGGGAAGGAAGCTGGGGACACTGCACGGGGCTACCATGCACTGGGATTTGTTCCTGGCCCCTAATGATTGCTGAAGAGGGGTGAGTTGAGCACATGAGGTGCAACTCACTCTATCTCTGTGGTATGGTTTGACTGTGTCCCCACCCAAATCTCATCTTAAATTGTAGCTACCATAATTCCCATGTGTTGTGGGAGGGACCCCATGGGAGATCATTTAATTGTGGGGTCAGTTTCCCCCATATTGTTCTCATGGTAGTGAATAAGTCTCATGAGAAATGATGGTTTTATAAGGGGAAACCACTTTCATTTGGCTGTCTTTTCTCTCTTGTCTGCCACCATGTAAGATGTACCTTTCTTTTTCCACCATGATTGTAAGGCCTCCCCAACCACGTGGAACTGTGAGTCCACTTAACCTCTTTCTGCTTATAAATTACCTAGTCTCAGGTATGTCTTTATCAGCGGTGTGAAATCGGACTAATACACAATGGATCTCTGGAATCCTAGCAGTAGGACATCTCACAACCACCATGGACACTTGAGTTGACAGGGACAGCTGCTTAGAGAGGTGTTAGGGATGCATTAGTCCATTTCATAATACTAAAAATAATTGCCTGAAAGTGGATAATTTCTAAAGATAAAAGGTTTAATGGACTCACAGTTCAGGGATGGGGAGGCCTCAGGAAACTTATAATCATGGCAGAAGGAGAAGGGGAAGCAAGGTACTCTCTTCTCAAGGCAGCAAGAAAGAGAAGTGCCAAGTGAAGGGGGAAGAGCCCCTTAGAAAACCATCAAATTTTGTGAGAACTCACTATCATAAGAACAGCATGGGAGAAACTGCCTCCATGATTCAGTGACCTCCACCTGGTCTCTCCCTTGACATGTGGGAATTATGAGAATTACAATTCAAGATGAGATTTGCATGGGGACACAAAGCCTAACCATATCATTCTGCCCCTGACCCCTCCAAAATCTCATGTCTTTTTCACATTTAAAAAGCAGTCATGCCTTCCCAACAGTCCCCCAAAGTCTTAATTCATTTCAGCGTCCAAGTCCAAAGTGTCATCTGAGAGAAGCCAACTCCCTTCTGCATACAAGCCTGTAAAATCAAAAGCAAGTTAGTTACTTCCTGGATACAATGGGGGTACAGGCATTGGATAAATACAGCCATTCCAAATAGGAGTTATTGGCCAAAATGAAAGGGCTACAGGCCCCATGCAACTCCTAAATCCAGTGCAGCAATCAAATGTTAAAGCTCCAAAATAATCTGCTTTGATTCTATGTCTCACATCCTGGTCACACTGATGCAAGAGGTGGGCTCCCACAGCCTTCAGCAGCTCCACCCCCATGGCTCTACAGGGTATAGCCCCCTCTCCCAGCTGCTTTCATGGGCTGGCATTGAGTCTGCAGCTTTTCTAGGTGTACAGTGCAAATGGGTACAAGCTGTTAGTGGATCCACCATTCTGGGGTTTTGCAGCTCCACTAGGTGGTACCCCCACGGGGACTCTGTTTGAGGCTCTGACCCCACATTTCCCTTCTGCACTGCCCTAGCAGAGGTTCTCCATGAGGGCTCCACTCTTGAAGCAAACTTCTTCCTGGCCATCTAGGCTTTTCCATACATCCTCTAAAATTTAGGTGGAGGTTCCCAAACCTCAATTCTTGACTTCTGTGCACCAATGGGCCCAATATCATTTTAATAAAGAACCAAGCTGATCTGAAAGAGGTGAAAAACTGAAAAAGTCACTTTAAGAATGCATTCTCAAGTATTAACAGCAAAATCGAGCAAGCTGAGGAAAGACTCTCCAAGTTCAAAGATCAGTTCTCTGAAATAGTCAGACAAAAGCAAAGAACAAATATTAAAGAAGAATAAACAACACCTCTGAGAAATACGAGATTATGTAAAGAGATCAAATCTATGACTCACTGGCATCCCTGAAAGAGAAAGTAAGCAATTTGCAAAACATATCTTAGGATATTGTAGATGAAAATTTTTCCAATCTTGCTAGAAAGGCAAACATTCAAATTTAGGAAATGCAGAGAAACCTTGTGAGATATCTCACACACACACACACACACACACACACACACACACACACACAAAATCCCAAGACACATAGTCATCAGATTCTCCATGGTCTCAATAAAAGAAAAAATGTTAAAGACAGCTAGAGAGAATGACAAGTCCTCTACAAAAGGAAACCCTTCATGCTAACAGCAGACTTTTTTTTAGCAGAAACCCTGCAAGCCAGAAGAGATTGGGGGCCTATGTTCAGCATGCTTAAAGAAAAGAAATTCCAACCAAGAATTTCATATCCGGCCAAACTAAGCTTCTATAAGCAAAGGAGAAATAATAATCTTTTCAGATAAGCAAATGCTGAGGGAATTTGCTGCCTACCAGACATGCCTTACAAGAGGTCCTGAAGGGAGTGCTAAATATGGAAAAGAAAGATCATTACTGACCGCTACAAAACACACATAAGTACATAGACCATTGACATTATAAAGCAACCATGCAAACAAGTCTGCATAATAACCAGCTAACAATATAATGACAGGATCAAATTTGCACATGTCAATATTAACCTTGAATATAAACAAACTAAATGTCCCCATCAAAAGGCACAGAGTGGCAAGTTGGATAAAGAAGCAAGACTCAACAAGATGCTGTCTGCAAGAGACCCATGTCATGAGCAATGACACTAATAGAAAAGCATAAATCTTTTTTTTTTTTTTTAGACGGAGTCTTGCTTTGTTGCCCAGGCTGGAGTGCAGTGGCATGATCTTGGCTCACTGCAACCTCTGCCTCCCAGGTTCAAGTAATTCTCCTGCCTCAGCCTCCCAAGTAGCTGGGACTACAGATGCATTCCACCACATCCGGCTAATTTTTTATATTTTAGTAGAGACAGGGTTTCACCGTGTTGCCCAGGCTGGTCTCGAACTCCTGAACCCAGGCAATCTGCTCACCTAGGCCTCCCAAAGTTCTAGGATTACAGGTGTGAGCCACTGCACCTGGCCAACAAGCATAATTCTTTCTCTGGTATATTAAATATTTCACTGTGGTAGGATCTATTGCTGGGGAGTTAATATAATCCTTTAGTAATGTCATAACCCCCTGCTTTTTTATACTTCCAGAATTATTATGTTTGTTCCTTCACACCTGGAGAAACTGTCACTTCTTTTTACTTTGAATTTATTTTTGTTTGAAAGGACATTTTTCTCTTGTTGATATGACTGTAATGTATATTTAGTAGGGCCATTTGGCTTTGCTTCTGGGTGTTTTCAGTGGCAAAGTCTATGTATGAATTCCTTGGTTATAGATAGTGTTAGTGTGCTGGCTTTTTCAATTGCCAATAGTGGTAGCAGTATACTGGGAGTTTGAGCAGGCCCATGGGCTCCCACAAAGCCAGGGTGGCACAGGTCTTGAGAAGCTGAGACCGTCCTCCACATGTTATCTTCTTTGTTTTCTTAATTATGATCTACTCATCCATTTACATGTCATTACACCACTACACTAAAATAATTTCTTAGATTTGTTTTCTACTTGATTGATTTGATTTCTAAAGTGTCTATTCTGCTAATTACAGTATAGAATATATATTTTTATCCTGCTACTAAAATTTTAATTTTGTTAAAATTATTTTAAAATGTCATCAGTGAATAATGATTGCTTTATAGCTACTTTTTCAATATAAATACTTTTCCTTCTCTTAATTCCCATATTGCACTAAGTATAACCTGCAATATAATATTGAATAAAAGTCATAAGAGAAGATATTTTTGTCTTGTTTCTAAACTTGGAAAGAATTTAGACTTTCACTATTACGTATGATAGCTGTAGGTTTTTCAAAGTTATCTTTTATCATATTGAGGAAGTTTCTTTGTGTTTCTAGTTTTCTGAGAGTTGTTATTATGAATAGTCTTTGTATATTATGAAATATTTTGTCAACATATACTGTATTAAGATAATAATTTGAGGTTTTTCATTTATTACTTTAATTTGTTTTTAACATTTTAAATTTTAAAAATATAAAACTTTAAAAGATAAAATTTTAAAACTGTATAAGATTCTATATGAGTACAATATGATTTGATATATGTATACATTGTGAAATAATTACTATATCATGTTAACACATCCATCATATCAAATAGTTACATGCCTGTGTATGTGTGTGTGTGTTAAGAACACTTAAGATCTGCTCTCTTAGAAATACAGTATTATTAACGATAGTCACCAGAATGTATACTAGATTTCTAGAACTTCGTCATCTTATAACTGACAGTTTGTACCATTTGAGAAATATACTTCCTTCCCCCAAACCCCAATTCATGGCAAGCAGTGTTCTGCCCTCTGCTTCTAAGACTCCTACTTTTTAAAATTCCACATATAAGTGGGATCATACAGTATTTGTTATTCTGTGTCTGGCTTATTTCACCCAGAATAATATTCCCAAGGTTTATCCATGTTGTCACAAAGGACAGGAGTTTCTTTATTTTATGGCTTAACAACATTCCATTGTATTTCTATGCCATATTTTCATTATTGATCTGTTGAAGGGCACTTAAGTTAGTAGCATACCTTTTTTCATTTTTTCTTTTTTTTATTATACTTTAAGTTCTAGGGTACATGTGCACAATGTGCAGGTTTGTTACATATGCATACATGTGCCATGTTGGTGTGCTGCACCCATTAACTCTACATTTACATTAGGTATATCTCCTAATGCTATCCCTTCCCCCTCTCCCCATCCCACAAAAGGCCATAGGAGACTTTAACACCCCACTGTCAACATTAGACAGATCAATGAGACAGAAAGTTAACAAGGATATCCAGGAATTGAATTCAGCTCTGCACCAAGTGGACCTAATAGACAACTACAGAACTCTCCACCCCAAATCAACAGAATATACATTCTTTTCAGCACCACATCGCACTTATTCCAAAATTAACCACATAGTTGGAAGTAAAGCACTTCTCAGCAAATGTAAAAGAACAGAAATTATAACAAACTGTCTCTCAGACCACAGTGCAATCAACCTAGAACTCAGGATTAAGAAACTCACTCAAAACCGCTCAACTACGTGGAAACTGAACAACCTGCTCCTGAATGACTACTGGGTATATAACAAAATGAAGGCAGAAATAAAGATGTTCTTTGAAACCAATGAGAACAAAGACAAAACATACCAGAATCTCTGGGACACATTGAAAGCAGTGTGTAGAGGGAAATTTATAGCATTAAATGCCCACAAGAGAAAGCAGGAAAGATCTAAAATTGATACCCTAACATCACAAGTAAAAGAACTAGAGAAGCAAGAGCAAACACATTCAAAAGCTAGCAGAAGGCAAGAAATAGCTAAGATCAGAGCAGAACTGAAGGAGATAGAGACACAAAAAAACCTTCAAAAAATCAATGAATCCAGGAGCTGGTTTTTTGAAATTATCAACAAAATTGATAGACCGCTAGCAAGACTAATAAAGAAGAAAAGAGAGAAGAATCAAATAGACACAATAAAAATGATAAAGGGGATATCACCACCGATCCCACAGAAATACAAACTACCATGAGAGAATACTATAAACATCTCTACGCTAATAAACTAGAAAATCTAGAAGAAATGGATAAATTCCTGGACACATACACCCTCTCAAGACTAAACCAGGAAGAAGTTGAATCTCTGAATAGACCAATAACAGGCTCTGAAATTGGGGCAATAATTAATAGCTTACCAACCAAAAAAAAGTCCAGGACCAGATGGATTCACAGCCGAATTCTACCAGAGGTACAAGGAGGAGCTGGTATCATTCCTTCTGAAACTATTCCAATCAACAGAAAAAGAGGGAATCCTCACTAACTCATTTTATGAGGCCAACATCATCCTGATACCAAAGCCTGGCAGAGACACAACAACAAAAAGGAGAATTTTAGACCATTTTTTCTTAATGTAGGTCTTATCACTATAAACTTCCTTCTTAGAACTGCTTTGCAACATATCTTAAATTTTGGTATGTTGTCTTTCCAATTTTGTCTAAAGATACTTTTTGATTTGCCTTTTGATTTCTTTGACCTATTGATTATTCAGAAGTGTTATTTAATTTCTACATATTTGTGAATTTTTCAAGATTCCTTGTATTATTATTTCTAATTTTATGCCATTGTGCTCAGAAAAGTCACTTGGTATGATTTGAATCTTTTAAAATTTGTTAAGACTTGTTTTATGGCCCAATATATAATCTATCCTGGATAATGTTCCATATGTGCTTGAGAAGAATGTGTATTCTGCTGATGTTGAGTGAAACGTTTTACATATGTCAGTTAGATCTGTTTGGTCTACAGTGTTATTCAAGTTGCTGTCTTCTAATTGATTTTCGGTTTAGGCAAACTACCCACTGTTGAAAGGGGGATATTGAAGTTTCCTGCTATTATTACATTGCTGCCTATTTGTCCCTCCATTTCTGTTAACATTTGCCTTAAAACATTAAGTATTTCACTGTTGGATGAAATACATATTTAAAGTATTTAGGCCCTGAGTTACAGGGACTTTAGGTGGGAATCACAGTAGGTGTGACTCCTGGGTCCCTTGGTGGATGGTCCCTGCTACCAAGCAGGACCAAGGCCAAGTGGAGATATATATATATATACACTTAAACTTTTATGTTATCTTGATGAATTGATCCTTTATTATATAGTGACCTTATTTGTCTCTTATGACAGACTTTGTCTGAAAGTCTATTTTTTCTAATAAAAGTATAGCCAACCCTTGTTTTGTTTACTGTTTTTATGGAATATATTTTTCATCCCTTCCCTTTCAGCCTACGTGACCCTAGGGCTAAAGTGAGTCTCTTGTAGGCAACATATTTTTGGACTTCTTTTTCAATTTATTCATCTACTCTCTCTTTTGATTGGAGAATTTAATCCATTTACATGTGAAGTAATTATTAATAGTTAAGGACTTAACTATTGCAATTTTTTCATTCTTTTTGATTGTTTTGTAATATGTTTGGTCCTTCCTCTCATCTTCCTTTGTGATTTGTTGATTTTTATAGTGGTATGCTTTAATTTCTTTTTCTTTATTTTTTGTAGATCTGCCAGAGGTTTTTTTCTTTGTGTTACCATAGGGCTTATACAACACATCTTACAGTTATTACGTTTTATTCATGAATCTGCATGTTTATTCCTTCTCAAGACTTGAGAACTTTTCAGTCAGTATTTCTTTAAACTTTCTGCTATTTCCTTTTCTTTTCCTCTTCTGGTGCTTTCATAATTCATATATATGAAGTCCTGATGGTATTCCATAGGTTTCTTATGCTTTCTTCTCTCTTTTTAATTTCTTTTTCTTTCTCTGACTGGCTAATTTCAAATGGTGGCCTGTCTTTAAGTTTGCTATTTTTTTCTTCTTCATGATCAAATTTTCTATTAAAGCTCTCTATTGAATATTTAGATTTGTCCTTGTATTCTTTAGCTCTAGAATTTCTATTTGTTCTTTTTTATGGTTTAAGCAGTTTATATTTCTTAAGCTTCTCATTTTGTTTATACATTCCTTTACTAATGTAATTTAGTTGTCTGTGTATTCTTAAATCTCACTGAGCTTCCTTAAGGATGATCATTTTTAATTCTTTTTCAAGCAATTTATGAGTCTCCCTTTATTTGGAGTTCTGATGCTAGAATTTTATTAATTCCTTTGGCTTGTTTGCCTGATTCTTTGCTACTCATGCAGTCTTGCATTTGTGTATGTTTACATGGAGTAAAACATTTCTTTGTAGTATTTATGACTGATTTTGGCAGGTAAAAGCCTTCTCCTGGTGGGTCCCCAGGCTGATAGGATTGCCTCTGGGATCACAGTTGAGTGGGGGTGGGATCCAGGCCAAGTGGCTGCTGCTGAGTCTGCAGCGGGGTCTGTGGTTGGTGCTTGTCACCAGGGGTTGAAGTAGATATGGGTCCTATGTGGTTCCTTGGTGGACTAGACTGTCACCCAGGTCTGCAGGCCTGTCTCTTGGGGCACAGATGGGCATGTCTCCTTCTGGGCCTGTAAGTGGACAGGACTGCTCTCAGACCACAGCTAAGAGGGGATATAGCTGAGTTTTAGGGCCATTTCAGTTGGGCCTGAGTTACAGGGCCTTTAGGTGGGAATCACAGTAGGTGTGACTGGGTCTCTGAAACTATGGTTGGTGAGCCTGCCACTTGGGAGGGAGTGGGTATCCCTTCTCATGGCTGTGGATTATTGGTGCTGTGGAGATATATAAACAGGGGACCTCTTATTCTGTCATCTGGTTGATATCACCCTTTTCTAATTTGTTAATATAGTTGTTTACATTTGTTGATTCCTGAATATAAAACCACCCTTGAATTCCTGTAATAAACTCTACTTAATCATGAGGTATTATCCCTTTTTTGTAATGCAAGGTTTGTTGTGCCAGATTTTTGTTAAGGAATTCGTGTCTGTGTTCATAAACGTATTGGTCTATAGTATTCTCTATAGTTTTTACATGTATGTGTGTGTTATAATCCTGGTAAACATGAATTTGTATTAATATCTCTGACTTCAATCAAGTGCCAAAAGATTTATTATAGCTTTCTGCTCTTGATTATCTGTAACTTCCCTCTTCATCAGTAAGAAACCACCCACCACTTTTCATATGTATTTCTTTAAAAGTTCATTTTTGTCTTTAATGTTATAGTTTAGAGTCAAACATAATTTTCCAAGGGTAATTAAGTCAGTTTCTCCCCACCTCCCGTTTAGGGTGACTAAGTATTTTTAAATACTTGTGATAGAATTATCTTCATTCAGTTCTGGAGTATCTCAATATTTTGGTTAATTGTTTTAAAATTTATGTTTCTACGTTTACATATGTTAAATTTAACCATTTGAGGGGTGTAATTCTATGGCATTTAAATTTTTTAAATTTTTATTCATATTAACTTTTCAGAGAGAGGGTCTTTCTTGCTATGTTGCCCAAGCTGGACTTGAATTCCTGGGTTCAAGCAATAACACCTGCCTCAGCCTCCTGAGTAACTTGGAGTACAGGCATACACCATTATGCCTGGCAAGTTCTATGGGTTTTGACAAATCTGCAGAGCCTTGAATCCACAACTCAGTGCTATATAGAACAGTTTCCCTGTGTGTCTTTTTCATGTTCAATCCCCCACCCCATTCAATCAACCACTAGCAACTACTGATTTGTTTTCTATCTTGATTGCATTGCCTTTTTCAGAAGATCATATTAATGTAATCATATAGTAGGTAGCTTTTTTCTGTCTGGCTTCTTTTACTTAGCAAAATGCATTTAACATTTATCCATGTTGTATGAAACAATAGCTCATTCCTTCTTATTGTTGAGTATTATTGCATTATTTGTTTCTCCATTCTTTTGTCAGAGGACATCTTGGTCACTTCTAGTTTTAGTGATTATGAATAAAACTGCTATAAAAGTTTTTATATGTGAACATAAGTTTTCAAGTTACCTGGAGGAATACTTACAAGTATAATTGCTGGGCCATATGGCAAGTCCATATTTAACAACAACAAAATAAAAAAAACACAAAAATGGCCAAACTGCCACCCAAAGTGCATGAATCACTTTGAATTCCTGTAAGCGATAAATGTTCTATATCCTTGTCTGCATTTGGTATTGTCTGTTATTTAGATTTTAGTTATTTTAATGGATGTTTAGTGGCATCTCATTATCGTGTTTGTGTTTTTGTTTTTGAGACAGAGTCTCCCTCTGTTGCCCAGGCTGGAGGGCAGTGGCGCAATCTCTGCTTACTGCAACCTCTATCTCCTGGCTTCAAGCAACTGCCCTGTCTCAGCCTCCCAAGTAGCTGGGGTTACAGGCATGCACCACCACGCCATGCTAATTTTTGTATTTTTAGCAGAGACAGGGTTTCATCATGTTGGCCAGGCTGGTCTCAAAGTCCTGACCTCAGGTGATCCGCTTGCCTCGGCCTCCTGAAGAGCTAGAATTACAGGTGTGAGCCACTGCGCCTGGCCTCCAATTATTATTTTAATTTGCATTTCCCCAATTACAAATGGCATTGAATATCACTCCATGTATTTTCCATCTATGTTTTTGAAGTTCTGTTTAGATATTTTGTCAATGTTTTATTGGGTTATTTTCTTCTGATTGAATTTTAAGAATTTTTACATATTCTAGATCAAGTTCTTTATCAGATACATGATTTGAAAATATTTTCTCCCAGTCTGTGGTTTGTCTTTTTTTAATTTTTTTATTTTTATTTAAGTTCTGGGATACATGTGCAGAACATGCACATTTGTTACATAAGTATACGTGTGCCGTGGTGGTTTGCTGCACCTATCAACCCATCACCCAGGTTTTAAGCCCCGCATGCATAAGCTATTTGTCCTGATGCTCTCCCTCCCCTCGCCCCTACACCAACAGGCCCCAGTGTGTGTTGTTCCCCTCTCTGTGTCCATGTGTTCTCATTGTTCAACTCCCACTTATGAGTGAGAACATGCGGTATTTGGTTTTCTGTTCCTCTGTTAGTTTGTTGAAGATGATGGCTTCCAGCTTCATCCATGTCTCTGCAATGGACATGATCTCATTTATTTTTGTGGCTGCATAGTATTCAATGGTGTATATGTATGTGGTTTGTTTTTTAATTCTCTTAGCAATATCTTTCATAGATTGATTTTTAAATTTCTATTGATATCTACTTTATTTTCTTTCATGGATGTTGCTGTTGGTGCTGTCTCTAAAAACTGATTGCAAAAGTCATGAAGATTTTCTCCTATTAATTCTTACATATTTTATAGTTTTATGTTTTACATTTTGGTCTATGATTCAAGTTTTGTATGATGTGTGAGTTATGTGCTGGGGCTTATTTCTATTTTTGTCTTTTTCACATGATTATTCACTTTTTTCCAACACAATTTGTTGAGAAGACTACCCTTTCTTCATGGAATTACCTTCGAAACTTTGAAAAAAGGAGTATAGTTGTGTAGGTCAATTTCTGGGCTTTCTATTGATTTTTATGCATGTGTCTATCTTTTCTCTAGTCCCACATTGTGTTGATTGCTGAAGATTAGAGTGAGTTCTCCAATTTCCTTCTTTTTACAGAAATGTTTAGCTAATAATCTAGTTAGTATCTACTAAAAACATACTGGTTTTTTAATTGGGATTGTGTTGATTATATACACCATATTAGAAAGAATTAAGATCTTAACAGTATTGTGGTTTCTAATCCATAACCTTGACATCTCTCTCAATATATGTAATTTCTTTAATTATTCTCATCCATGTTTCATAGCTTTTCATATGAAAACATAATTTATTAGATTCATATAAAAGTGGTTCACTTGGGGATGGTTATTGTGGATTTAAACATTTTATATTCCAAATGTGAATTTCTGGTACGTCAGAATACAGTTGACTTTTGTAAATTGAACTTGTACCTGGCAACTTTAATTAGGCTCATGGACTACTCCCAGAAAAAAGAAAAAAGTAGATTCATTGGGAATTTCTACACAGAAAATCATGGTATCAGATAAAAAAAAAAAAAGAATACTTTTATTTATTTCCTTCTAACCTGTATGCCTTTTATTTATTTTTCTTGCTTTAATGCACTAGCTAGGACTTTCAATATGCTATTGAGTAGGAGTGGTGAGAGAGCACATCCTCTTCTTGTTCCAGATCTTAAGGAGGAAGCAATCAATCTCTCATTATTAAGTATAAAGTTTGCTGTACACTTTTCACAGATACTCTCTACCAGGTTAAAGAGTTTACTTTCTACCACAGTTTGCTGAGAGTTTCCATCATAAATGGATATTGCTTTTATCAAATTATTTTTTTGCATCTGTTTAGATGATAATATAGCTTCTCTTATTTAGCCTATTACTATGATCAAATTCACTTATTGACTTTCAATATTGAACCAGTCTTGCATTCTGTAGATAAAGTACTAGGTCATGATGTGTTATCCTATTTATATATTATTAGACTAAATTTGCTAATAATTTGTTAGAAATTTTTGTGTCGGTTTTCATGAAAGATATTAGCCTGATTTGGGTAATATGTTGGACTCATAAAAGGCTGCAAAGTGTTCCCTCTGATTCTGTTTCCTGGGAGTATTTGTATAGTACTGGTGGTATTTATTTTTTAGTGTCTGATAGAACTTATTGAAATCATTTGGTCCTAGAGCTTGATTTATAAAGTTTTTACTACAATTCAAAAGACATACAACTATTTAGTTTACTACTTTTTTGATAAGCTTGAGAGTTTGTATTTTGTGGAATCAGGCCATTTCATCTAAGTTATGGAATTTATAAGCATAGATTTTTAGTAGTATTTTCTTACTATCTATTTAAAATATCAGTACTGATATCTCCGCTTGATACTGGTAAATTATGTCTCCTCTCTTTTGTCTTAGTTAGCTTATCTAGAGTGTAAACTTCAGCTAATAAAGCAATGCAACTTATGAGAGGTACAATGAGAAATAGAAAGTGCATGTTAAGAATAGGAAATTTTGATTTATGTTTTTTTCCTTTGCATATTAAGCAAGAGGACAACTAAAGACACACATGGAAGACCAACATAATATCTTTAAGAAGGTAGACAAAACTGATATACATAAAATTCTGCACCCTACATGAATAAATTAATTATCTCCTTTTTGGGGGTTCCTGAAATAGACACAAAAATTTACCCTATATCGCTTCATTGAGATAACTTCCTAAAAATCCAAGCTAGTAATACTACTACATATAATATTCTCTTACTGCATTGCATAAAAACTAAACATTAATTAATGACAAATATCATAACAGTGGTAAATCCTAGTAATTGTGATCTTATTAGATATTAAGCAATTTGCAAAAGAAACTGGAACCTTCTGCTATGTAAAACAAGGCAAAATCAGATATAATCAATCCTTCTAAGATATATTAATTTCTCTTTGAAACATCATCAATTTTAAAAGATGACTCCACTGCATGGAACCATGTAAAAATTGCTATGTGTTAATAATGTCATGGGATCCTTGGGGTGTTGCTTGACAAACCAGAAACCTCTGTGGCTGGCAGTGCCTCTGCTTGAGTTTTGTTTGTGCCTCCTGGTCTCGTTCTGCCTACTTGGCCCAGCAGGCTGTGCTTGGCTTGTGCTACTGGCCCAGGTCCCACACCTGCCAAGGACAAGCCAGGTGTGGAGCAGTAGGGGATGTGTGGGTGAGCAAGTGTGGGGTCTGGCCACTGTGCATAGCCAAGCACGGCTGTGGTGGGGCAGGCAGCTCCAGGCGCTAGCACAGCTGCCAGCTCCTGCAAGGCTGCAGCTGGACCAGAGGTACCACAAGTGGCTTCTGCTGTGGGCACCAGTGTCTGGACAAGGGGAAAGTAATGGCACCCAAAAGCTTAGAGATGCCAGGAACTGCAAAGCCCCAAAAAGGATATTACAGCTGTCGCAACCCTGGCTTGGGGAGCCCTGATGTCTGGGCTCCCAAAAGGGCTGAAGCTCTTCTCTCCTTCTCATCCCCCGCCACGTGGGGAGTGGAGGATGTGTTTCAGCCATGTTTGGGTTACAGCTCTTTCTGTCCTACCATTCAGCATGTCCTGAGTTCTTGTCCTGTGTCCATGGAGAATGAGGTATGTGGACAACTGGAGGGGTGAGCAAGGTGGAGAGGAGCTTCATTGAGCTACAGAATAGCTCTCAGGGGGCCCAAAGTGGGTAGCTCCTTTCCATAGGCAGGTTGCCCTGATAAGTGTCCAACTCTCAGCAGGGAGGAGACCCATAGTAGGTAGCTCCTTTCCACAGGCAGGTCGGCTCAACAAGTTGAGGAGACCCATAGTGGATAGATCCTTCCTGAAGCTGGTAGTCCTGATGTCTGTGTTAGTCTGGCTGGGTCCAGGGTTTTTATGGGCTCAGAAGGGAGGTGGTGTGTGCTGACTGGTCCATGGGCAGCCATGGGCGGCCATGGGCAGGCCTGGAAAAAGCACCATAAGTTTTCTCTCTGGGCCGTGGATTCCACCCAGAACTAGCAGCCCTGCCCCCAGGCTTTAGGCCGTCTCTGGCTTGAAGGTGGTGCTCACCAGGTACCCACCCCTTTCTACCCAGGAACCTGTCTGCCTCCTGCTGCCATCAACATTTTGTCCATGGTGCCTGGCTGCTCATGCTGAGGGGTGCCTGCGGGCCCACACTAAGCTGTCCTCAGCATCCTTCCTGTTCTTGTTGGTGCCCAAAGTCTGGAGGGGGCCAAGGCAGCAGAAGGCTGGTGTTTCAGCACTGCCCTGAGTGTGCAAACTCCTAGCTGAGTCATGACAGCGCCCAGGTTTGACCACAACTTTGCTCCAAAATCAGAGGGGTTACTGGGAGCTGGGGAGCAGTGGGAGCAGGCATTTCCAAGCCTGTGGGGACAGGGGTGTCTTCCTGGGCCCCTGAGAGCACAGGGATACCTGGGTCTGGAGCTGAGGCTGGGCAGCTGCAGCTGCACCCAGGAGTGCAGGGCTTCTGCCACACCAACTCAATAGGGGGTAGGGGTCCCACCTGTTCCTATCTCCTGCTGGCCTGTGGAGCATGGAACCTAGGCCATGCCTCCTGTGCTGCAGCGGGCATCTTCACAATGGCTGCTCCATACAGGCCGCTGCTGCCATCAATAATGAATAGCATAAATCAACATTTTTGTTTCTACTTATAGTTTTTTTAAGTAGAAAATTAGTGCAGTTCCTTTGGTTTGTAACACAAATATATGTCTTCTGTATACTTTTTATAGAAATTTCTATCAATATGCACATATATCAGAGAATGCTTCTGGTTTGCTATCTAATTGTTATGATGCTCTGAGATTATTACGGAAATATTGGGGAGAAGTAACTAAACATTCTGTATTCCACAACTTATCTAATGTTTTTATATTCTTATTAATATTGGACTGGGAGAATTGGCAATTTACAATTTTTTTCCTTTTTAATAAAATTAATAATTAATGAAGAACCATTACTAACTTGAGGTCAAACTATTTCTCCAAGTACATTTAATTCCACACACTGGAGAATGAAAAATTTTAACACTATCAAACTCTTCTATAACACCTGTAATCAGATAAGCCATTTCCCATATGTTAAGACTTTTTATTGCACGGAAGATGCTACTGAAGAAAATATCTCTCTCAAGCTTGCCAGACCTTTGTATGCCTGAACACAGTTGATAATAATAGATTAATTTCATGTTTCATACACTTCAGAATGAATTTTCATTCTAATTAACTGCAGTGTTTTTCAATGAGTTACCGGCTTATTTTGAAAGGTTACAAAAAGCAGAGTTAATTGAATAAGGTGTGGTTATAACAAATAATTCAGATATTTACTATTATCACTATAAGTGTTAAAATTGAGTAAAAAGGTAACACTCCACAAAATAGAATATTAAGGGATTCATGTCCATTTAATATATAAATTACAATGATTGCCTCATTAAATTTTCCTTATACTTCTTTGCAGCCATTTTCATCCTGCAAATTTGTCAGTTCCATTTCTTATGCAAATTTGCTGAGAGTATAAAAACACATATTTGCTTCATAAAAAAATTGAACTTATTTTTCTCTATAACTTTATCTTTCTACTATTCATCGCAAAACACATTGGCTTAACTAGCAACATAACTTGTTTTTAATGTCTCGTCTCAATTCCTGGTTAATTCATCAAGGTGGCTTCTGTCTCTAACACTTAATTGTAATCGTCATTAATTAAGGTCAGTTGTTTGCTGTTTTGTATCTACTTTGCTTAATCTCATCAACACCATTCAGCTAATATGTCATTGTTTGATTTTTCTTCTTTTTCTCCCACTCCTCCTTTCTCCTCTCCCTCTTTCTTATGATTCCTCTTCCTTCTCTTCTCCTCCTCCTCTTTCCCCCACCCCACCACCCTTGAGTGAGATATCCTTCTTTTCTTGTACATTGCTGCTGCTGGGCATGAAATGAATTTGCAATGAAAAGTTACAATAATAATTATCCAGTCTTTAAGCAATTTATACACTATGGCAAAAAAAAAAAAATCCCAAAGTGTGTAAAAAACAAAACAAACTTTTCATATGGCTCAAATGCCATTTCTGTATTTTAGTTGAAACAATATGTCTCTCCTAAAATATATTATAAAATGAACTTTAGTGATAAATTAACTATGTTGCTTAAAGGATATAAAATGAATGGCTTCTTCTAAAATGAAAATGAATACATACAACAGAGTTGCTTTGTTAATTTAAACATTTTAAAGGTAATTTTTCAAACTGTTTCAGTGGCCTGGAGCCAAATTTTATGCTTCAGGTGAACAAAAATCTATCCTTTCCAAATGAACACTATGGACTGGCAGTTCACTTAGAGGAAAGAAATGTTTAATGTATTTTCTTTGCTATAACTATCAATAATGATATAGATAAACTATAAAATATAAAAAGAACCCTTTGTTGAGAATAAGCTTTGCTTTACCCCCCTGTTAAGATAAATGCAATTTGTACTTACAGAAAAACAAAAATTTAAACTAAAACGTAATACCATGTCACATCGGTTTTAAAAGGCTTACTTATGTCTCAGCCATACGGTTGAACATCAGAAAAATAATGTCAACTAGATATATTATTTCAGCAAAAGACAAACGTGTGTTTTTGTTTTCTGGCTTAAAATATTGCTGTTCTAAATATTTTTCCCTCAAAACTCATGAATATACCATATATCTAAAATAATACCAGTGAATTTTGAAACTGTAAACTATTCAGTGTTTGAATAAATTAATAATGAATCTCAAAGAGTGGAATAGATCCATATACTATATAGCACACAATTAACTCTTCATAGGCTAATAGTTTTTGAAACTATGAAACTGGATTGTTTTCCTATAAAACTTGATTATTTATTTTATAATTGGATAGAGAAATTAAGATCTAGTAAAAAATAGTCATCAAGATTTGTTGGGAATTAGTATGTAAGACCAGGAGACAGTGATTATATCTTTATAGCAGCAAATACAAAAATGCTTGGCAGTTTCAGTTGCAGTTGAGTGGAATGGATTCTAATGGCATTATTTGCCTTGGAATCTACAGAAAGGAAATGCATTATTTGAAAAACTGATGAATAGAAGAAATGAGGTCAAGGCTTTGGGCAGTGAAAGGGAGGCCTCTGAAAAGAGTTGAAAAAGGAAAGTGTGGGCCAGATCAGAAGAACAATGCAAGTGTTATGTTGTATTCTAAGAAAGTGTAATGCTATATCAGGGTGACTAGGGGGAACAAAGTTGGTGAACAACATGAGTACTCCCAATTCAAATTAAATTTACAAGCCTAGTTTTTGATATGTAGATTCTTAAAAACGGAGGTAAAGAAGCCAAGAACCAAACAACATAGCCCAGACTTCTGTTTGTGATTGATCTATGACTGGATCGTTACGAGTCAATAACATCAACCAAAAAATAGTTCCTTCCTGGATAAAAATCCCATATTATTTAATAGTCTCTTCTTTTTCTTTAGTGTTCTATACAGCCAAAATACTATTGTTGAAGTTATTTTCATTTCTTGCCCTGTGGAAAAAGCGATATTGTTACACGGGTAATTATCATGTTTAGTTTCAAAAATAAGTTTCTATTGTATTTCTTTTGTGTTAACTTTTAAAATTAGTAATAACTGACATCTTTATCATAGATTTTCTTACCAACCCAAACACACACTTTTTTATGCGTTCATTTACTTTGTTTTTTTAGTAGCATTTTTAGATTTTTTTTTCACATTTTCTTTAGCTGTTTGTTAGCTGTTTAATCTTTTTATTCTTTGTGACATTTTGTTGGATATTAAAAGACTCCTAATATTGCATATTAATTTTCTACCCACGACTTTACTGTATAACTTAGTGTTTATAATATTCTCTTCATTTACCTGATATAGTATCAAAAACAAGTAATAAACTTACCTTCTTTCCAATTTCTGTAATTCACTTCTTTCTTTTCTCATTGAAGTTGCTATTTAAATAGCAACACTCAAAGTCACTCTTGAGCTAAGGTGTCTTGATAAATTCATTAGGTCATTTTGGAATTTTTTTTTTTTTTTGTGAAAGCAGTATACTTTAGAATGCTTTGAAGTACTAATGAACAGAATGAATGAAAGCATGCCTAGGAGGGGAATGCCTGTGAGAGAGTTCTGAAACAGAGCAATTGACTTATGTGGCCCTGAGTGTTCCAAGAAATGATGTGTTAACCTCATTTTACCAATGAAGTAATCAAGGCAGAAGCAGCATCAGCCTTTTGTTCTTTCCTTTGTTTTATCTAACATTGTTTGGTTTGCTGTCTTTCTCTTAACCGGTTTCTGATGTTGCTTGAGGTATTTAAGCTGCTCTGGCATCAAGTTTCCCTTTTCGATGGTCTTCCTTTAGTACTAAGGGCTAAGTGTGCTCATCTTCTCAAATATATTATCAGTTAGACTTGGGGGTCCACTGTCCACTTGGTTCTAGTGATCACTCATGTTAATCCTGAAGTGATACTAACCTCTAAATCTAGTTAGTCTCTTGGCACAGCAGGTACACTATTGACCTCCCCTTTGATATGTGTCACATATGGGACAGCATAGTTACAACTTGGTGCAAACTGAGAGCCTTGGCTGTTGCCAACACGGAGATCAGAAAATTTCTGAATGGGATGCAAAATGTGGTTGAGATTATAGCACCAGCATGCCTCCTGAGGGTTCACAGTGGAATGAAGCAAAGAGATCCTGTAGCTGAGGCTGTAGAAAGACATGCTGTATTAGGAAACAGCTATGTGCCTCCGTCCCCGTGCTAGAGTTCAGCTTTTCTGGTGGGACTGAATCCCAGTCCAATATCTTATGAGCAGCCACCTCAAAGGCAAAACTTTCTAATGTCCACATAACCTACTAGTTCCAAACCTTCACTACATATTAAAATTCTCTGGGAAGATATTAAAAAAATTACACATGGCCAGGCATAGAGGCTCACACCTATAATTTCAGCATTTTGGGAGGTCAAGCAGGGAGGATCACTTGAGTTTAGGAGTTAGAGACCAGCCTGAGCAACATAGTGAGACCCTGTCTCTACTTAAAAAGAAAAAAAAAAGAAAAAAAGGTGAGTGTGGTGAGGCTTGCCTATAGTCCCAGCTACTTGGAAGGCTGAGATGGGAAAATCGCTTGAGCCCAGCAGGTCAAGGCTGTGTGGTTGTGTCACTGCACTCCAGCCTGGGTGACAGAGCGGGACTCTGACTCAAAAGAAAACAAACAAACGCATGTCTAGGTTTTAGGTTTCAACTATAAATTAGCAGTTCCTGATTTCATTAGCAGGTTCCACAACTGTGTAGTCAGTCTGAAAATCACTGATATTACTTGGCTGTAAAATATCATCTTTCTTCTTTACTTTTCTAGCTGGCATTCTACCACTCCATAGACACTCCTGGGTACCTATGGTCCAGAATAGCCTGGGTCTATCAATTCCCTTTGGCCATTGTTCTTTGTATTACCTACTTGGTAGATGCTCCACTGTTACCCTGGCCCACCTAATAGTCTATCCAAGTCTGGTAAATTGTTTACTGAGCTATAAGGAGTAAGCATAATTCACACTTAAGTCACTTACATAGGTAGTTAGTAACAAAGCCATCCCAGAAACCAGGTGCACTAACTTCTAGACATCTGTTCTTTGCATTTTGTCTGAATGCTTTTCACTTATTTCATTATTTACTTTACTGTGTTCTGGAGTCTTCCTCTTTCCCGACATTTGGGCCTAGTATACTAACTAAATATAGATTACTGATTTTTTAAAGTAGTTTTTCCTTTGTACTCATATCTCATTTTAGACAATGCTAAAAAGATCATGATTCATTATTTTACATAGTAACTAACATCTGGAGTCAATTAAAATGAGTCTAACTCGTATGCCACATGGTACAGAAGCTGGATGAAGTTTTTTATTGAAGCTAGACATTGGTAATGTAATATGTAATGTATATAGACTCTATCACATTTCATTCCTCATGTCTTTGGACTTAGGTGCTATAAGAAGGCATGACCAGATGATGAAAAATTATGATGTCTTTAATTTTTTCAAAGAAATAACTGTTTTGCTTTCATCTAGGTCCCCAAAATTGTGCTTTAAAATGAATTACGATATGCAAATTATTTTTCATACTCCAAGACTGAAAGGATACTGAAATAAAAGCAAAAGTGTGACAGTGTTGCATACTGATGTTTCTCATAAGAATCATAGTTCTTTTATTTTTTTTCTTTCTCTTTAAACCATCAAGGAACAAGCAAGAGGCCATTTATTGCATATATATTGTGGCTGATAATCAGTATTTCTATTTTAGGAATAATCTATTATACTTAGCTGGGAAGGAAAATGAATCAATTTAATTACATGGGCAAAAAAATCATTCCTAAAAATCATGTTACTCTAAATTAAGCATCATACTAAATATGCACATGAAATTTTACAGTTTGACACTTTGCTCACTAAAAAACTTAAAGTGGTGTCATATATTTGGCCTATAACAAATAATAGCAAATATGCTATCATTCAATATTGTATTATCAAATACAGTTGGACTAAAATGAAAGAAATCATAACATATTAACCTATGTTTTAATCTTACAAAATCACATTCTAATTGCATTATATATGAATTTCAGAGACATTCTTAGACTTTTATTTTATTTTATTTTTTGAGTCTTGCTTTGTCACCCAGGATGGAGTGCAGTGATGCTATCTCAGCTCACTGGAGCCTCTGCCTCCCGGGTTCAAGCGATTCTCAGACCCCTGTCTCCTGAATAGCTGGGATTACAGTCTCACACCACCATCCCTGGTTAAGACATTCTTAGACATTCAAGCTGCAAATAGAGCCTCAGATCACAGTTTCCATGCATAATATTACATTAAACTATTTAGTAAGGACTCCACTCTTATTCATATATGGCAGTTTAAATAGTGGAGAGTAAAATTTTACCTACCACATATAATTGAGAAATGGGATAGAGATCATTAGGAAAGAGTGAGCCTAAAATAGAAGTTTCTTCTCAAGAGAATATTTTAAGTATAGGTTACTCTAATTTTAATTTAGTATTCTTTTCTTTTATAAATAAAATTTACTCTTTTTATCCCATTTACTCCAGTCAGTGTGTGATAGCATACTCAAATTTCTTTTACCTATAAATTTATTTAGTATCTTCACACTACGGTTATACCATTTATTTATATACCCTTAATATGTGTCATATAGGTGACAGCATAGTTGCAACTTAGTCCAAACAGAGAATATTGGCTATTACCAACATGGAGAGGATCAGAAAATTTCTGAATGGAATGCAAAATGTGGTTGAGATTACGGCACCAGCATGCCTGCTGAGAGTTCCTGGAGGAATGGGGCAAAGGGCCCCTGAGGCTGAGACTACAGATAGACAGGCTGTATTGGGAGAAAGCTACGTTTCATGGTATCAGATTCCTTCAACAAGTACAAAAGTGTTAAAGTGGGACCCAAATTGACAGAGGGAGAATCACCAAACTCCACTTGAGAAAAAACACTGTACATTTCCTATGGTTAAAGTAGATAGCATAAATTATTCCATCAGAGAGCATACTTACTGCAATGGAGGCAATGGCCCAGTGTCTTGGGCCAGACATGGGAAACTATGAAAGCAGATGTCAGTGCTTGGAGCAGGCATTACACTGCTAGATACCTCCCGTTACCACCCATTTTTTTTAATCAATAAGAGAAGCAAGAGAAGAGTCCTAAGAGCTCAAGCTTTAAGCCCTTAAGAACCTGAGTTACCTTGTATTAGCCAGATACTCATTTGTACTACAAGACACAAATTGGGATTTGTGAGTTAAATTTCAATTAGGTAGAAATATAATTGCAAAGGAGCACACTGAAATTGGGTCCATTTTGTAACCACAACTATTTAAAGCATATTATAAATTCTGAGTGCATTGCCCTACTGCCTTCTCACATTCAAGGTCACCCTTGATAAGTCTGAAAATTATTATAGTCAACATGTATTAACAGCTTATTAGGGCTAAGGTATAGTCAGCACTTCAAGGTCTGAACCATAAAAGATAGAAACTATTATTATCCTTATTTTGTGGTAGAAGTCATTGAAGTATAAGTTAAATAAATTTCCTGAATCACATGTTTAGTAAATTGCAGCATCTGAGTCTAGAGTTCTTTAATACTACATTTCACAGCTTCCCAGGGCAGTCATTTTCTTGTTGCTTTTTGTATAACTTAAAAAATGTCTTTAGAAACTTTGAATATCTTCTTATCTCCACTGTTCTGAAGTTAAATGCATATATGTCTAATTATGACTCTTTTTAAATTCAAAGTGACAGGACTGTTGTGGGCTCTTTTATTCTGAAATTTGTTTCTCATATCAATCTGTTTTCTCACATTAATTTGTCTTTTTTCTTTCTTTTGTGGAAACCCTCAAGTAGCGAAATAATGGGAGCTTAATTCTGGGGTGCAAATGTCTACACTAGAAGGTTTCGTTATCCCATTTTTTCCCTAATTTTTTTGAGCAAGAGAATAGTCGAAGTGAGAATTGACTAGATGAAGCCTTGAACAAATTACAAAACTTAGTGACTTTCAAAACTGTAGAAACTTCTTTTTTCCATGTCTCTTCACTCTGGAATGCAGGCTGATAAAGCAGCCATTATCTCAATGTTGCTGTCTGTGGCTGATGGAAGGAAGGTTCTTGAAGGGCATCAATTACATGATCTTGCCTGAAAAGGACTTCGCATCACTTTCTCTAGCAATTTGTTGGCCATAACTAGTCACATGGTCCTACACAATTATATCAGTGAATTAGTTTGGGAATAAATATGGATTGCTTATGATTTGCACATCCAGTACCAGTGTTAGCAAGTTGTTATTGTTATCTAACAACAGTTACTCAATACATACACAGTCACTGAATTTCAGCCCTATTTTCCATTTCTATGTTTTATCATACTGACTGATTCTGAGATTAGAGCTTCTCTGAGGTCTTCTTTTGTGCATTAGTTCCTACTTTCTTCCTTATAGCATATATCTTCTAGCATATGCTAGCTTGTAGCTTTTCTGCTGATTTCATCCAATGATTCATTCTCAATTACCTTCTGTGTTCAACCAGTGTTGATCTTTCTCCCTGGTCATAACAGTCACTTTTTACTTTCTGTTCTCCTTATCTTACATCTTTCATTCTTAATTGTAATTCTAGTGGAATCTTACAAATAATGGGGCAAACTATATGTATTATCTGCCATCATTAATATGAAGCCAGGTGAGAAAACTGGTTTTTCAGTCTTATAGTTTATTCATATATTGAGACACATCTAAATATATGAGGAAAAATACTTTAGACGTTTGAGATAATCTTTCCTCCTGAATCAAAAGTATAAATCTGTTCTTATTAGATTTAAGGAACAAGTATAATATCAAAATTTTAAGCTTTGATATTACAGTGGGATTTAAAAAATAGCTAGTTCTTGTCTTGAGGAAGTTCAGGATTTATCAGAGAGGTAAGATACACAAATATAAATATATAGTACTAATTTAAAAACAGTATATAAGTAGTACAGTATTACAAAAGATGGAGAAATTCTTTTCACCTCATAAATGCAAAAAGTTCATGTAGGAGAATATTTAAAATGAATATTCCCTCTGTTCCTTACCCACCTCACTACCCTTTCCATATTCTACTTTTCTTGTTTTGCCAATTCATCCATCTAAACTAAATGTATGATACATTTAATTCTTTCATAAGAAATTTGAGAAAATTCCTACTTAGTGCTTAGGATTCATTTTAAGCATGGCTATTATAGGCTGAATGTTTGTGTTCCCCCAAAATTCATATGTTAAAACCCCAGCCTCCACCAACCCCCTACGGTGACGGTATTAGGAGGTAGGGCCTTTGGGAAGTAATTAGGCTTAGATGAGCTTATAATAGTGGAGCCCTCATGAATGAGATTAGTGCCCATATCAGTGACTAGAGAGAACCTACTTCCTCCTCCTGCCCTCCACCATGTGGAGATACAAGTCGGTAGTAGTCTCCATCCCAGAAGAGGCTCCTCACCAGAAGCCAACTGTGTTGGTAACTTCATCTCAGTTTTCCAACTTTCAGAACTACAACAAATATATTTCTGCTGTTTATAAGCCACCCAGTCTGATAATTTATTATTGCAGCCTGAACTAAGTCAGTGATCTAAGACCTTAGACGCAGTTTAGTTATAGAACTTACCTAAGAAGCAAGCAATTATTTATGCATACACATGCAAATTAATACCTTTTTAAAAGACATCTGTTATGTCCTTTAAAAAGCTGTATGCGTATGAAATTTGAATAAATAAGATTGGCATAAAAGAAGGTTGAAGGGTCCAAAGATTCATTAGACTAAAGATAAATTTGTTGCCAACTTTTCACTTTCCTGACCTACTACATCTAAGGGTATGACTTCAAGTGGTGTTTATATATTGATGCCAAAATCTATATTGTTTCCTCTGAATTTTCTTGCTGAGATACAGACTTTTATATCCCACAGCTGCTCTATACCTTTTTATCCTTATAGACTTCTAAAACCCAATCTTGCCAAATAAACTCATTATTTCTCCTCCTGAATGTAGTCCCTCTCTTAACTTCCCTTACTCAGCAATGGCTCCATCACGTATCTGGAATCATGGTTAATTTCTAGATCAAGTTGTTTCAGTTAGGATTCTTTGGCTTCAAGGAATGGCAAGTCTGACTAAAATCTGAATAATTCATTGTGCTATCTAATAGGTTATACTTTCAATTGTCTCTACTCACCCCATTGGTGAGGGATGACTCCTATTCATCCCTAGGATTTCTGCCCTAGGAATATGGAAATTGCTGAACATACAATACCTAACAGTGGAGAGATGAGATTGACAGCAAATTATACTCACAGTTTGGGGAAGAAGGACTCTGGACATCATTCAGGTCCACATGGGGTTGCATTCAATGACAAAGTGAACAAATAGGGTTTGTGGGAAGCTTTGTAGTACAGTATCAAGAGCGTGCAGTTCCTTCTAGTTTTGGAGGGAGGATGTATTTGGCTTTTTCGAACAATTCTACTGGGCTGGCAAGGAAGTGAAACCCATTACTGTGAGATAAGCAAGAATGGTGCCTGGTTCATTGGATATGGAGGTGACCAGATTCCAAGAGCAGAGCAGAAAAAAGAACCTGTGTTCAGGCCATGCATGGCTGTCCCAGTTTCAGATGTCAAAGTGGCATATAATATTTGGAATTAATTTTAAGCCTTACACTACAGTTCTTAAGAATTGTTTTCTGGCGGGGATTTCTGGTGGTCTCTCCTAAGGAACAAATGTTAGAGACTTTAACCACATTCTGAGAGCTCCAACCACACATGAGTGTTTCCAAATTCTTCATGTTATCAGTCTTTCAGTATTAGCCTTAGGCCCTGATCACCTGGCCAAAGAAACCAGTAACTACTAGCCAATGTACAACCTGATCTCAGGCCATGACTTCCAGGTAACAAGGAAGATAAAGCATAGTGCTAATTGTCCCACTTACAAAGGGTATTTATTTTATTCATTTTATTTCACAGCCAATCTTCAGTGGGACTTAATACTGTAGAAATCTTCTGTAAGTAATGCTAATGAATTACACAGAGCTATCTATAGTGGTTGTTGTTATTTGTCCTCTTTGAACTGGTCATAAAAGCAATCCATGAAGCCCTAATTAGGATAACTAGAGAGGGCCATGAGTAGGAACGCTAAAGTCGGAGCACCCAGCTCATGCAACTGATTTGTGCCTTCAGGGTGTTCTCAGGTCTAGTCCACATACCACAATTCCACCTTAACTGTGGAATGCTATCAGGCACAGTTGACCCCTTAGTAAGCTATGAGAGATGGATAATTTTGGACACATAATCAATTTGTGTCCCAGACACACATTTGACTTGCAAGATTATACATTTCATTTCCTCCATAGGCTTTGTTTTGAAATCTATGTTGTCTGTTTCTTTCTTAGTTGTCTCCCAATCCCCTTCAATAAGAAATAATTTTTTAGCTGAAAGTTAAGTGCCTCACTTAAATACCGTATTGTTCTCCTACTTGGGAAAATAATCTCTACAAAGAGTCTATTAGATGCAAACATTTTGAGCTCCAATTAATACATAGGTTTGTGAGGTTGAGTAGCGGAGGTACTTGCACTGATTGTGTAATTGCCCAATAGGCTCTTTCTGCCCACTGCACAGACAAAATTAGCTCACTGAGACAATGGTATTTCAGTAAAGAAAGGCTTTAATTGATGCAAGGCTGACCATACAAGAGACGAAGTTATTACCCAAATCAGTCTCTCTGAAAGATCAGAGGTGAGGGTTTTTCAAGGGTAGTTTGATGGGCAGGGGGCTAGGGAATGGAGAATGTTGATTGGTTGGAAATGAAATCATAGGGTATAGAAAATGGTCCTCGTGCACTGAGTCAGCCACTCGGCAGGGGCCACAGGACTGGTTGGGTCATAGGTCTGAGTGAAGTCAGCTGGTTGTCAGAAATGCAAAAATCTGAAAAAAAAAAACTCAAAAGACCAATCTTAGGTTCTACGATAGTGATGTGATGTATAGGAGCAATTAGGGAAGTCACAAATCCTGTGATCTCTGGCCATTTGACTCCTCAGCAGTAAGGGATTACAGAAACTATGCCTACATCTTAGCAGACTTCAGGTTCCTCATAACCCTAACCTTATAGCTTTCACCAGTTTTATAAAGGCAGTTTAGTTTAGGGAAGGGCTATTACCATCTTGCTTTAAGGTTAAACTATAAACTAAATTTCTCCCAAAGGTAGCTTGGCCTATGCCCAGGAATGACCAAAGACAGCTTGGTGGTTAGAGGCAAGATGGAGTCAAATTTCTCTTAACTGTCATGATTTTGCAAACACAGTTTCAATTGTATCCTGGACTACATGGAACTTTGTCATGTTGAGGGTACCATTCAAATCTGACAGTTATTAATATAAATATTTTGGAACAGCGTGTCTAAAACTTTAGTCTCCAGTATCAAAAGAGGCTATTCAAGCATTTTGTGTTTTTAATTTCAGAGGGTACTTTTTTTTTTAAACGTTAGAGGTTCTACTATAACTTATACAAGAGCTAAATACTAATAGAAAGTTCCTGAAGTGGAAGTTCTGTGCATTTTTGTGAAATATTTTGTGAACATTGTCATTTCCATGGTGTTTATACTTTTTTGCAACCCAATGGCAAAAAGGGGCATGAGGGGAATTGGGAGCCGCCTTCTTGCTCAGACAAATAAATGTTCCAACCTTAATCTAGTTCTTTCAACTAGATTTAGAGAAGGGACCAAATTTTATTAATTTTTTTAGCACTCAACAATTTCTATTTGTGTGTGTGTGTGTATAATGTAAATATTAAAAGCTTGCTGAATGGATATATAAACAATAATAAACAATAAGAATAAAATATAGGAAGAATTTCAGCCAGGAGTGGTGTCTCATGCCTGGAGTCCCAGGATTCTGGGAGGCCGAGGAAGAGGACAGCTTGAGCCCAGGAGTTTGAGACTAGTCTGGGCAACATAGTGAGACACTGTCTTTATAAGAAAAAAAAATTAACTGAGTGTAGTGGTGAATGTCTGTGGTCCCAGCTGATCGGGAGGCTGGGGCAGGGGGATCACTTGAGCCCCAGGAAGTCAAGGCTGTGATTACGTCACTGCATTCCAGCCTGGGCAACAGAACAAGACACCCATCTCAGTAAATAAATAAATAAATAAATAAATATATAAATAAAGTAAAACATTAAAAGAAAAAAATAGGAACAATTTAAGTATAAGTTTTTAATAAATCAGCCATGGCTCAGTTTTATTAAACTTCAACACGTGCTTTCCAATGGCTATATTTTAAAAAAAACTATAATCTTAAATTCTCATATCTCATTATACTATTGTTGTTACAAGTAATAGACTGACTTAATAAAATGATCTCCTTATCCATGATAATGGATTTAAAATTTATGTATTCATATCTTATGATCCTTGTTAAACTTCACTGTCAAGTAAAATACTATACAGTAACCTAATTCATGCTTTGAATACCTATTTTATCTAGGGACTTGTTTGGCACTGGATCACATATATAAGCTTTTATCTTTGGATCACTACATTTTAACCATAGTACAGAGATATTCAAGAAATGATTTTCCTATTTAGTTACCACAAAGTGTGGGAAGGGATGGATAAGAAGAAACAGAGTCAAATACATATTTTTACACATCTGTGGGAATTTTTATAGACATTAACCAGCAAGCAAATTCATGGCAGTAGGACGATGTTGTACTGGAAATAATCAACCCACAACGTGCTCCTGGAATGCACTGATAGCCTGTACTTCTGGGAGCATCTGAACTGCTTGTTCTTGAATTAGAGCCACTTAGATAAAATTTAAATACTGTAGTATTTAGAAAATATTTTGTATAACATTTACTTCATTATTATATGTGCACATTGAATGTTTACTTTAAACTAACTTGGGTTCTGGGATTCCACCATATGGAATAATATGGTGCAATTACATGCCATGAGATGTACATGATTTAACACTAGGTACAAAGCCAACCTCTGGAGAGGTCCACAGATAATTCTCCTCACTCAGTTGTATTCCTTTCCCTTTCCCACTACAAGAGGCGACCTAATTAAATTTCGGAATATTTATAATAACTGACACGATAGCACTTACTATATGCCAAGTATTATTTTAGCCCTTCTACGTTTATTAACCACTTAATCAAAGCAACTCTGTAATGTTGAGTACTGTTATTATATTAGTACTATTATTCTTTCGACTTCATGGTGGCTTGGAAAGAGTAAGTAAATTGCCCAGGCTCACAGTTCTAATAACTGAGAGTAGTATGGGAGGAGATGATGATCACACTAGGGGAGTGTTAATGGAAATGTAGAAAACTAGACAGATATCCAATATAATTTAGAAGTAAAATTACTTGGCTCTAAATAGGATCTTGGTAAAAGAAAAGGGTACGAAGTACAATAATTCCTATGCTTTTGGCTTGAAAATTCTGTGGATGTTGGTGTCATTTACAAAGTTGGGGAATGGGGAAGGAACTCTTTTAATGGAAGGGACAGAATGTGAAGTGGTGGAAGATACATTGCAATAAGAGTTATGTAGGGACATGTTAGATTAGGGATGCCTTTTTTTTTCTAGGCTGCATTCTAGCGGGAACAAACTGAAATGGACACTTGCATATAGGTGGTTTTTTGCAAAGAACTCTCAGGAACAGTACCTGTGAAGGAAGAAAGCAGGATTGACAAAGAAATTGGTGATGTACAGCTGAAACAGAGGCGTCAGTCAATCTCATGGGAAACTGGAGCTGGGATGGCCCTCCAGAGATGGGCTGAATTGAGACATGTTACCAAACCTGTCCTTCTGTCCCTTTGTCCCTCTGAAGTGGGTATTACTTGGAGAAAAGCAGCTTCCTCCACCCCAAAGTAATTTCTGGGGAGAATCTTAGCTATGAGCCACAACTAGTCGACTCCCCTGGAAGATGGGAGAATGAGTACCCCAGTTTTGAGGCACACTCAGGTGGAGAAATCAAATTGGCCATCTACTATATCAACTTGGATGTAAGAATCTGGACATAAGGGAAAAAACAAGGTTGGAGATATAAATTAGGGAACTCATAATAAGCATTTTCCACTCAAATACCATAATGCCAAGGGAATATGTATGGTGGGTTGAATTGTGTCCCCAAAAAAGAAATGTCCAAGTCCTAATCCTTGAAACTTGTGAATGTGACCTTATTTGGATAAAGGGACTTTACAAATGTAATTAAGTTAAGGATCTAGAGATGAGATTAGCCTAGATTTAGGTTAGAACCTAAAATCAATGATACATGCCCTTATAAAAGACACAGGAGGAAAAAACACAGACAAATGGAAAAGGCCATGTGAAGGCAGAGGCCAAAATTAGAATTAACTGCTACAAACTGAGGAATGCCTGGAGTAACAGGCACTGGAATAGACAAGAAAAAAATAAATTCTCTCTTAGAGGCTCAGAGGGAGTGTGATCCTGCTAACACCTTGATTTTGAATTTCTGACCTCCAAAATTGTGAGATAATATACTTCTGTTGTTTGTAAACTACCACTTGGTGGTGATTTATGGCAACCCTAGGCAACCATGATCATATGTAACAAACTCCCTATGCCTAAGGGATAAAATGATATTGAGAAGCTAATTCCCTATAAGGATAATAACAAAGATTTATATACTACTAAGGAAATCACTGGAAGAAATTATGTTGTTATTTGTGAGATACTTAAGTTAATCTCAGTAATATTTTGTATTTCTCTTTAGGAAAATAGGAAGTTCAAAGCATTAGTGAAGACTACTTAATATTTTATTTTTATATACATATCAATCCTACTACATGAAGGGCACACTACTAAACTTTCATAATGCATATTTAGGAATAGCCTGAAAGAGAAATACCAAAATAAATGACAACTTGAGTCACTGAGAACTTTGAAACCCTAGGAATAACCCTTGGTAGGTGAGAATAGAATAGGGTTCAGAGGGTTGATGGAATTTTCTCCAGGCTCACCCTACTCCTCCTTTGCAATCAATAACAATACAAGGAGAGATTAAGGAGGAGGTTGCCCCTGAGTATTCACTTGTGTAAGCACAGGGGTATAAATACTTCATTGTTACAAAACTCAGGCAAGACAATAGCACTGATCAAAATGCTCCTGATTCATAATGAGTGGTTCAGTAAGACTTCAAGCTCTCACTATCCCAAGAGACAAATACAGAAGGGTTTGAGACATGTTAGGATTATAGTCTTTCCTTTGGATTAGAGGGAGTGACTCAGACTGGCTCAAATCAGCAGCAATCTAGCTTATGAGGCCACATCACACCCTAAATGGTATCCCCTGGGATGGAGTGGCCCTGTGACATCACTAATTATATAGGGATTAATAAGACATGTACTTGGGTGTTCAGGAACACACACTATGGTTTGAAAGCACAATTTTAGGTTTTTTGGGATCAGCTTGAAGCTATGTTTTCAGATTTAGCTTAACCATTCTCTCAGGCTTTTTTATTCATGAATTTCTTGATTCTCCATTCTTGTTTCACAGCATTTCTTACTTCTATTTATGAAACAGAATAATAGTGTATGCAGAAATCTTTTACTGAATTATATAGTTAATAATAATTTAGGGCTATAGTTTAGGTCTTTTGGTATTATACTTCCTTACATATGGTATCTAATATGTAATTTATAATATAAATTGGCTGAGATTGCTTTACAATTTTGCTCTTTTCTTCAATTTAATGCCATTTGAGTGCAATGATTTTTCACCACAGAAAAAAAGGTTGAGGTATCAAGGCAGTAAAGGATTCAAGCTTTAAAGAAACATTTTCCACCGTAATTTTGCCTAGTTACAGTCCATGTTGTATTAGTCACAGTTGAAATAGAAACAACTGGGCCAGGAGCGGTGGCTCAGGCCTGTAATCCCAGCACTTTGGGAGGCCGAGGCTGGCGAATCACGAGGTCAGCAGATCGAGACCATCCTGGCTAACACAGTGAAATCCCGTCTCTACTAAAAATACAAAAATAATTAGCCGGGCGTGGTGGCGGGCACCTGTAGTCCCAGCTACTCAGGGGGCTGAGGCAGGAGAATGGCGTGAACCTGGGAGGCGGAGCTTGCAGTGAGCCGAGATGGCGCCACTGCACTCCGGCCCGGGCGACGGAGCGAGACTCCGTCTCCAGAAAAAAAGAAATAGAAACAACTGGACTTGAGACTTTCTTGCCCTGTCTGTATTGCTCATCCTAATTTTTTTTAAAAATCGAAATGTGTTGATCCTTTCCACTTACTTTCCTTTCTTTATCTAGTGACTACTTTTACTTGCTTACCATCAGTTGTGAGACACTTAATGTCTTTCTTGAGGCTCTGCTGACTCTAGAATTTAGGAGAATATAGGAAGTCCATCAGTAAACTTAACGGCTCAGTTTTAATTAAAACTTTCTCTTGAATTCTGATTTTGCATCCCAGGTTTATTTTTTAAATCATTATACCTTTCTTATTTAAAAATGATCTACCTGATCTGCCATTTTCTCTTTGTCCTGTCCCACTTTTACTAATCCCAGAATTCTGATTCAAAAAAACAATTTAGGGATAGATTCTTGAGTTACAGAGGAGACAGTCTGAGATGCAGGTTGACATGTCTTATTAGGTTTTCCTAACCTGACATGGGGTTGTACTAAGTGGAATGATGTTCTATTAGAAGGAAAAGTAGAAGAAGCCCTCCGGAAGATGTCACAGCTTAACCATTATTTAAATTGAGATGGAAATTTAATTGAAAAATTAACCAAATGTTTGACTACTTGAAGCATTCTTGTTATTCTGGCAATTCCAGAGACAGTATGGTTATTAGGAGATTAGGTTCTTATTTTACTACAAGTTGGTATTATTTATTAAGCTCCTATTTTATGCCTGTCCTATATCATTAGTAATTGTTCCCACCATATTGCAAAGAAAATGCTGTGACAATTTACAATTGCAGATTCTGATCCCCTAAGCTCACACTAGTAAAAATTAAAGCTACAGTTGACACTAGGTTTTTTAACATTCTAAAGTTCACACCTTTTTTTTAAGTATGCCACATTTTCATAGATTGTAACAGAGATATGTTCCAAATATCTCACTTGGCCCAGAGCGGAGTGTCTAGTAAATACTTGGGTTTTCTTTATTTCCAAGCTCTCCCTGTTTGTTTCCTAAAAGGAAGTAATTTAATATAAATGATATTTAAGATGATTCTGGCAAACATTCAAACTCAAATCTATGTTGAAAAACAGAGGAGAAAATGGCCCAAGCACTCAGAACACCAGAGAATGCTCTAGAGGAGTGGTAGCATTTACAGTGGGTATTAAAATATTGGTAACAGTAGAAGGGAGTTTAGGAGAAGGCATTGTGGGAGTTGTGTTCAGCCGCAAAAGAAAATGAATTAGTGTGTTATATTTGAAAAACTTTAGGTAATTTGGTAAGGTTTAATTTAAAATGGCATTTTTTTTTTTTTTTTTTGGTGTTGGGATAGGAATGAGGGGAATATGAAGTCATAAGTAGCGAGAGGCCTGCTTCTAATTGGTGTCATATGTCCTACTAAGGCACTTATATTTTATTTTATAGGCAATGGGGAGTCACTGAATATTTTTTAAAGGGGGAAGATGTGATCAGAGGTAAATTTTAGAAAATAAGTACGATGGGGGTGGGTTGAAGTGGAAAGAAACCCGAAGTAGGGAAACCAGTTGGGAATCATGTAAATGGTTGGGCAGGAGTTGACAAAAGTCTGAAGAAAGAAAGTAGCAGTGGGTGTAGAAAGTAGTGGGAAATCAAAAGGTATTTAAGGTGTAGGCTTGTCAGAATTTGGTCATTTAATGACACTAAAGTTTCTAGCTTAGCTGACTTTGCCGCTTTGACTATGTCCTGAGATACAGAGGGCAAAAGGAGGAAGAGATATTGAGAAAGATGTTAGTTATTTTCTAGGTATGTTAGATTAGTCATATATTTAAGACTCCTAGGTATGAGTATCCAATGACGATTGGGAATTTGGACCAGAATGAAGATAGGAAACCATAACATTTAATAAAATCATATAGGTAAAGAATTTATAAACACCAATATTTAAGGGGCAGATGAGTCGGACTATCTTGAGAAGAGAGTGAGTGAGAAGGCAGTGAAGCTCTGGGACTTAGAGAAGTCTGAGTTTTCAGAGGGAAACTGACAGAATATATTGAGATTAGAATGAGCAATTAAGAAATCATCCAAAGCAGTTTTGGAGGAGAGGTTGAGATGAAATTTCAGGAGACTGAGGACTAATGAAAAGGAGGACAAGTAGAAATTTAGCAGAGAAAATTAAAGGTTTTTGATGAAAGGAAATAAGAAAATGGTTGAGGTAATGCATTTTTGTTGAGGGAAACTTAAGTATTGGCCCATAAGTGAGAAGAAATTTCTTCATTCATACCCTCAGCTGTTAACTGAAGTCAAACATTCTCCCAGAGCTAACATTGCCATCTGCTTCTCCACTACTTAGTCTGTATATACTGTGCTCCAGATGTCAAATTGTTGCTGAGATTTGGATGAAGACACCCAGGGCAGTGTGAATCGTCCATCCACCTTCTTCCCAGCTCAGTCGCTAAACCCAGGTCACTTCCTGTCAGGTTCTTTCCTTCCATCTGCTATCAACTCCTTGTTACCAAGATCTTTTTATTGCATAGTGCTTTTTTAGAGTTAGTAATATATGCCTCTTCGTGCAATTTTTGGATGAATACTCTCCCAATGGTCTCCTGCAACTTGCACTGTGTTTGTGTTTCTCATCATTATATTTCCAGTGCCCAGAAGAGAGAAAATTTTGAGATCTTGGTAATATTTGTTATACCTTAGAAATCTTCTTCAGATCGTGTTTCTCTAGGCATTCCTAAAATCATCAGCATCAGAATGATTAAGTTTCTCAGTTAAGAAAGAGGCCTGAGTGACTATTAGGTAGTGACTATAATCATTGTTATTATACATATATATTTATTGAGTGAATAAAATAAATCAGGCAAGAACAGAAACTTTGAGGTGTCATACAACATGCCCAAGTTGGGGAGCTGGGATATGTCCCCAGGCAATCTGTAGAGACAGGAACTTCTATCATGTACCACAGTCTCTTTTGCCTCAGTCAGATTTTTTTGAGGGCCTGTAAATTAAGATGAGCAGGCAGCCTGCAATCAATCCGAAATAGTCATCTTTTAAGTGGGATTTTAAGTTTTGATTAGCTTTTTATTGTGTCAAGAAATAGCCATTATTTAATTAAAAGTGATATGTAAAAAAACATATTGTCAAGTCATGTAATTTTCTAATTTTATTCTGTTGTTTGGATACATAAATGTCTGTATTTCATTTACCATAAGAAAGAATCTGATTGACAAAGTTCTTTTTGTTTGATAATATTTATAGAAATCTGTGGTGCAACTATATAAGACATTTGATGTTATTAATGTGACTTAAATAGGAATAGAATGTCTAGTAAAAAGAATTATCCTAATAGTGGTCCTAAATATCAACCACAATCAATGAGAATTTTACTGATTATCAGGTATGTCCAACTATAGAATCCGGATCCAAAGAGAAAAATGAATAGAAAAGGCTTCAAAAATAATGCAATCAAAATGGGATTATAGAATGTGTTTTAAAATATACTCAATGTGTTCATTTAAAATTGAAACAAAAAATTTTATGAAGATACTTATAAAGTACAATTCAGAACCATCCTGCCTCTGAATCGTCACTCCTGTCACTTAACATCCTCCTGGCTAGTGTAACCCTGGCTGCAGGAAACACTCGAGATTCTGAATTAATTAGAGTGGGACCTAAGTATCAATATATAAAACAAAACAAACCAACAAAACTCCCAATAAGCATTTCTAACATGCTGTCAGTGTTAAGAATCACACTGAGTGTATATATTCTTGGGCAGCAGCGACCCACCCATCTTTGCATTTTCTTGTCTTCATATCCTGAACACTGTACAAAGGCTCATTCACAATATTTCTGAAGTGCAATTTTTAATTTTCTCCTCTGGATTTGCCCCGTCTACCTCACCAATGCCTTGGGCATCCTCCTTTCTCCCCCGAACTTGGGGGACTGCACTGCTAGCCAGGATGCTAAACTTCAGAATCCTGAGAGTAATTCTGTTTCCCCCCTTTTTTTTTCAATATAACCAGTGAATCATAAAGTCTTCTCCTTTTTTTCTTCTAAATATTTCAAAGATCAGTCCACTTTTCTCTATCTACCTTCCTACCAGTTAACAAAAGTTTCACACCTTGATGGTAGGCTCCTAAGTGGTCTCCTTATCTGTGGTGTTCTTCTATCAATAACACGTATTTCACCCAGAGCGGTTGTCCTAAAACGCAAATATGATCATACTGTTCTCTGCCTAAAACTCTTCAGTGGCTTTCAGTTACCTAAATACCCAAATGTGATTCAGAGAGAGTTTCAGGCCCTGGTTCTTCATCTCTCCAGCGGCATCTTCCACTTCATCTTCAGTTGCCCATCCCTTCAGCCAGACTGAACTGTCACATTCAGCTACTTCTAGTTCCCTGGGTGCATCTCTTTTCACACAACTCTTCTCCATTTCTTACAGTATTGCCCCCTCCTTCCTTCAGCTTAAGACCATGACAGCCTTCTCTGGCCAGCCTAGTCTTGCTAGGTTACTTTTCTGTAAGCTCCTATAATAACATTTATTTCCTACACAATAGCACTCATCTCACTATTGTAAATATTTATTATATTTTCAATATTCTCAGCCAGTAGTCCCTCAAGGAAAGGAACTATTTTTATCTTGCATAAAGGGTCCACATCTAACACTTCAGTTGAATAAAGAATAAATGCATGTTTCATGGAGTACACATAGACACAAAGGAGAGAACAACAGACAGTGGGCTCTACTTGATGCTAGAGGGTAAGAGGAGGAAAACGATTGAAAAACTACTTATCGGGTACTATGCTTATTACCTGGGTAATGAAATAATCTGTAAAACAAACCCCGGGACATGCAACTTACCTATATAACAAACCTGCGCATATACCCCTGAACCTAAAAGTTTAAAAATAAAAAAAAATTTAAATTACACACTAATGGTATAGTGATATAGTTTGGAGATCTGTCCTCTCCAAATGTCATGTTGATTTGTAGTCCCCGGTGTTGGAGGTCAGGCCTGCTGGGAGTTGAGTCATGGGAGCTGATCCTTCACGAATGGTTTGGTACCCTCCTCACGGTAATGAGTGAATTTTTGCTCTGTTAGTTCATGCGAGAGCTGGTTGTTTAAAAGAGCCTAGCATCTCTCTTTCTCTTGCCATGTGACATGCCTGCTCCCCCTTTGCCTTCTGCCATGATTGAGCAGATGCAGATGCTGGTGCTATGCTTGTTGTACAGTATGCAGAACCATGAGCCAAAATAAACATCTTTTCTTTGTAAATGACCCAGACTCAGGTATTCCCTTATACAACACAAAACAGATGGATACATGTAGATAATTAGGATCTTTAGCGCTTCAGCCCAAAATGAAGACTGTATTAGGAAGATGATTGTCATGATAACAATTCATAATAATGTATGGCATTGATGAGGGTTAACACAATGCTGGGCTCTATGCTAGATTATTTACATTAATTTTATCACTTAATCATCATGGCAATCCTTCAATGTTGTTACTGTTATTTTTATTTTAGAAATGAGGAAACTGAGGCTTTCAGATATTATGTAACTTGTCCGTGATTCCATAGCTAGTAAGTGGTGAAGTCAGGTTTTAAATTGAAGCAAGGAATTCCAGTGACCACGTGGCTACACTGCACTCACAATGTGGACCAGGGTAGTACTATAGTTCCTGGATTGAGAAATTTTACAGGTCACTATAATTATAAAATAAAAAAGAAGGGAGGGTAACAGAAGTAATGACAACTAACGTAAGTTTGCTAACTGAAGTAATGACAAGTAACATAAGTTTGCTAACTCTTTAATTTGCTGTTTACAATAATCAGTGATGCCATACTTTCACAAAACGTCATTTTTCCTCAAACAGGGGAAATAAGAATATCTGGAAAAGGGAATTCCTCCTAATACAGAAAATTGGCAACCTTGCCTGCATTTTACTCCGACCTATACATACATTGTCCTTATATCAATATGTTGGAGAGCTGGAATCACTGTCTCTAGGGAAGTTACTAACAGTCAGCCAACTTGAGTTCCTAGTCCAGTTTTGGCAAAAGGAGCTGGTGGCCTTGGACAGGACTTAACTCCTCTGGGCTGCTTCATGTGAAAAGAAAGCACTTAGAATTGCATAAGCTCTCTGTCTTATAATGCATTAGCTATTTTTTTTTAAATCTTGAGCATTTTTTTTCATGGAAACTTCATACTACAGTATAAGAAATGTTTTAAATCATTCACCCTTCCCATATAAGATTCATGATGAACTTATTTTTTAGATAAAAAAAAAAGAAAATGTTTCAAATGACCCAAAACTATTAGATAATAAATCATTTGGGGGAAAATTCTACACATCTAAGAAAAGCCAAACTTTGACAAAATTTCATGAGTATACATTTTTAACATATTAATAACTAAAGTATACAGTCTGATATTTGGGTCCATGTTTACATTTTATGCAAAAACTTCCTAAACTTTCATAATAAATGCATTGATGAAGCATTTTATTAAATGTGGCACATTTGACAACTGGCATATGCTGAGTGAGTTTGTTCATCTCTTCTTATCGCAATAGCTATGAACCTACTTTAATGTGACATACTTACTAAATTGGGCAAGTTATATTCATTTTCAAATTATGGTAGTGATATTAAATTTTCTTCTCATACATTTTTAAACAGTCCACTTATTAAATATAAAACAGCATTTTTGAGTTGTATAGCAATTTATAGGAAAGTATATAGGTGCTCTGGTGGATAACTCCACTTTGAGATACAAAAACATTTAGGAATTGAGAAATATCCAAGAACTTGAATTTATTAGGACCTCATACCAATAATTAAAAATTTTCAGCAGTAGTGAAATCTGGTGGTCAGAGGTAATGTGTCTTAAAGATCTAAAATTCTAAGAAGACCTACTTGAATATAACGCCAAGGAGAAAAGACTACCAATATATGTCTGTGGATGTACAAATAAATAATTCTAGGTTTATAAATCTAGGAAGTAATAGGGTTAATAGGCAGGGGTGGATGTTTGATTGTTCAGTTTGTTTTAGATAGAGGTGTTCCAAATGACTTTAGACCAGAGGGAAAGAAGCCTGCTGAGAAGGGGTACGGAATATGCTTGAGAAAGAAGAACTGATGAAGCAAGGTCCCAAGAGAAGAGGCAGGAGTGGGATCAAAATGATTGATAGAGGAAATGAAGGTCTCTGGGGAAAGAAAATTGAAGAGATAAATTGGTATAGAATGAATCCAGATGTTCAAAAAACAAATGTAATCTACGTTACACTTTCGTGTAGTTTTTTTTTTTTTTTTTCCTTTCCTGTTAAAATGTCTTTATCAGACATAGGGGTCAGATTTTCCAGTAATCACCATCACGGGTACCCACATACTACATTCCACCCATACGTAGGTATTTTTCAAATTCTCCAGAGGAAAAAAAGATGGTAGGCCTACGTTATACTAGATTCCATATAACATCAGGCTCATCAGTTTATCACGTGAGCATAGGAAGTCAGGTTGTAAGCTGGTATAAGTGTAAAAGGAATCTAATAGGGCTTTTAGGGAAAATTCTTTATACTTCATTGCCTCAGCTGCTGTTCAAATGTTAGATGCATAGAAGAAAAGCACATTTCAGATACTCTAACTTGTTTCTTTCTTTTAACCTACTTTTCTGAGGTCTTTAAAGAAACATGGAAACATTAGGGAACTTTTTTTTATAAAAGAAGTCCAAAGTCTGATGAAGTACATTCCTAAGTGCCTTGATGGAGAAGGCATGTTAGAAGGTTAGACTTAAGTAAAGGCATCGCGAGTGAATTGACAGTCATCCCTCTGTGCGTGGGGGGGATCAGTTTCAGGATGCCCACGTGTATCAAAATCAATGCATACCCAAGTCAAGTCTGGAAAGTGGCCCCGCAGAATCTGAGTATACAGAAAGTAGGCACCTGGTATATGTGGGTTTTCCATCTTGCAAATACTGTATTTTCAATCTGCATTTGGTTGAAAAAAATCCACATATAAGTATATCCATGTGGTTCAAACATATGTTGTTCAAGGATTGACTGTATTTGTGTGAGTTGAGGTTTGTAATTGTAAAAGCACTATTTAATCCCAACTTTTATTTCCACAATCCAGAATTCTCTCTTAAAATTATTTATGACAGAGCCATCTGTCTCTTCCAACTGGATCTTTTAAAAAGCAGAAAACCCAAACCGCGTGGTGACTTTAAATGATAAACTTTTATTCTGAATATACTGTTTTTGCACAAGATTTAACACAACATTTTCTGGGATTATAAATATTTTATAACAGTATTATACAAATTTTTACAAAATGTTTTTATCAGGCTAGGTAATTTTCACAAAAGTGTCAAGAGAACAAAATAAAGGGGAGAAAAGATCTATTGTTCACAAAAGCCAGTTGGCCTTTTGCATGAATGCACACCATTTTAATAAAAGTATTCCTAAAAGCATGATCCGACACTCATACAACACAACAAAAAAGACAGCTTTACTAGGTCACATTATAAACTCAACTGGCATCTACACAAGACAGTATCCCATTAGTTTCAGTGGAATTTGAGATAACTGTGTGAACTAGAAATAAGGTAGATGAAGAGTTGTCTAATTCTTCAAAAATCTGGAATTTTTTTCAACACTCAAAACATTATATTGGTTTGCTCTTTACAGAAATGTACTGTGAATATTGACATTCTGCTATGGGAAACAATACAAGTTTAGATGAAAAAATATTTAAAATTTTGGGCAAGTGAAATAGTTATTTCATTCTATTCTTTAAAAAAAGTAACAACATCCATTTTGTTTCACTAGGTCAGACTATACCATTAAACATTTGAACGTCTAACATGATCAATGGAATAGATTCAGAGTTTTAAATGAAGACAAAATCTTAAGCTTTGTTGGTCACAGACAAAGATTTAAATGAGATTTAAAATACAAGAGAGCATCAAATAAGCAAGTAACACTTGGGTTGCAAAGGTCACTTAAAAGGGATACTGCCTATTTGAACCCGATAAGTCCAGTTTTAAAGTTAATAAAAGGAATATTATAGGAAAACTTACAAATGGCAGGAACACTGTTTTTTGTTTTTTTTTTTCCCAAGTTAAGCAGTAACACCTCAAGCATTAGAAACATGAAAAAAGATCATACTAAAATCTTATAGGCCCAGGACCTAAAAATCTCTTCAATCAAACTTGCTAACTATGTCATGTTAAAAACCTGTTACAAATATGGACCACGGTTGGTGTTTGGCAGTAATGCTGGTTGTTTAAATGAGGAAAATAAAAAGAAATCATTAATGCAAAATTCTTTCTTGTTACTCAACACCATTGCCAAGCTCACTTGAACTCTGTTTTAGTGACTAACTACACTAAGCCACATGAGTATAACAAAAATTAGTTAAAGCAGTGTATAAACTTTTTTATTGATCTGTTGTACTGTTCAGTCGTTGGAAATCAATATTAATAACAGGCTATAATTTAAGTTCTTGTCAATGTAACTCAGAAAAATACTAAATGTAATGTAATAATTTGATGGGATGAGTGTTACTGTCTTAAAAAATATGCTAAAAGCATGAAGACTAATATTAGTCATGGGAACAACTTTTATTCAGCTTGTTCTTACCCAATTTGTAATTGCATTTATGGTTGTCATAATATATAACTTTATAGCAGAAAATAAAGGTTTATAGCAAAACTCATGCATATAAATATATTTTGATGGCAACAGAAATTAAATAGGATCCTGCCAAGAGATGCCAAGTTTAACCGCGATTAATACAATAACAATGTAATTGATGAAAACATATACTCGACATTAGCCATGAAAATATATTTAATAGATTTTGAACATAATTTTAAGGTAGTTTGTTGTATGCTGGAAGCAATTCAATTGTTTTAATGTGCATTGTTTATATACACAAACTAACAATTTTATATTTTGATACCCCCTTCCCAACACTATCATGATTTAAGATAGTCTAGCAAAAATTGAACAATAACTTTTAAATATTTAACAAACAACATGATTAAAACATTGTTACTAGAGTGAGAAGTTTTTTTCCCCACATATATTTTAAATCACTTTGGTGTTTTCTAAAATGTCAATACCAGTTATGAATGACACTACAAAATCACAACAATGCATTAGAAATGGTAACTGATGTCAACTCTTAGAACAATAGTTGGCAAAGTGATTCCATTTCCCCCCACCTTTTTATTGAAAAAAAAAATCTTGAAATGTACACAAATGGTACCTAAGGTATATTGGTGGTGGGAGGGAATTACAAATGTATGCAAAGCTAAAAACAAAACAAATGTTATCTTTTAAGCTACGTTAAATTATTGGTTATATCTTTGATATGTGGAGCATATTAAAGCATGCTGGATAATGTTAATAACTTTGACTTAAAAAGGATATGTAAGAAAATTTCCAGCATATACACATACCAGTAATTGGCATGTTCCAAAAAAAGAAAAACTGCATTTTATCATAAAAAATATCTACATACGTTCAGCCTTCAGTAAAATTATTAACTATTCTTAGAATTACACATTCATAGTTTTTACCTTTTCTTCAAATACTGTTTGCTCCAGAAAATAATTTTTAAAAGCATAAATAATCTGCTACCATATTAGTCTATAATGAAATATCTGATTTACTACACTAACCATTTTCACCAATGAGGCTGTATAAAAAACAACTTTTATTATTCACAATCAAGTATTCATGTGCATACATAGAGATTCAAGGTTTCCTATTTGTTCAGATTATTGTAAAACCCTTATCAACTTGCATGGAAATTTTGGCCAAACGATCATACCATTTAAAATGGAAGGGCAAAAGCAGCAGTAGCAGGAACTTTTGGATTGTATGTGCTACTATTGAAACGAACAAAGAGGAAACCTAGGATGAATCTTCATTGAGAACATATATGTACTTTTCAAAAAATAAATGTGTCAAATCTGATTTATGTACTTAAAATATCTGTACATAGGTTATCAGGCGAAAGCATGAATCTGTATAAAATTCATTAATTCTCATTTCACCATTTATCTAACCCCAATCATTCAGCATTTACATTGCACAGTATATTCAGAGTAGTTTAACAACATTTTAAAGATGACTTAAGTGCATTTACACTGCAAGGTTCAGATTCTTACATAACAATATCACTCAGTTAACTTTTCAATGACTACACTCTACAGTAAGAGAAAAAACAACTGAAAAGTTAAAATAGCAGCAGCATCATGCAAAATACCCTTGGTAAACCAAAGTTCATTTATCACAAGAAAAACATTTCCCCCTCCCCCCTGACAAGCTTTTCTTAGAGCATTTTTAAATATCTGGCTAGCACTACATAACTGTACTGTGAACAAAAGGAACATTACATCAAAGCATTTATTAAGGGCTTGCTTACATTTATGAGGAAATATGTCACATATTCTAATTTCTCCCTCAAGCACCTTTAGTTTAATAATTTCTTAGTTACTATTTTCAAACCATCAATTCATTACCCCATCAAAATTGAATTGGTCATCAATTGTGTTTTATTTTTGGCAAAGAAGCCGTTCTTCATAAGGCATTTTATTCATGGCAAATTTTTCATAGAAAATTAGCCATTATTTATATTTCAACAATTTAGACCAATGTTAATTCTCTCTTTCTCTATATATTTCAATAATTGCTACTTAAAGCAGGAATTAACTTTTCACAGAAGAAAAAGTGAAGGCAAAAATAATTTCTTTCCCCTTAGAGATTTTCTTAGTAAAATTGCAGCAAGTCAAAATTCCAGGTCAATATCAAGACATTTCTTATGGTTCATTAACAATTGTATGGGGAACCCTTTCACATGTAATCACCAACAATGCAACAACAAACTCCCAAATTTTCCAATAGAGGACACGTATAGGATTTTGCTTTGATGTTACACATAGATGATGCAGCATTCACACACGTTTAAGGATCTGACACCCTGACATGCAGCCAGTGGGTGCCTTAGGAGTCTGCGCCTTAGTGTTATGCCATGGAACAGGCCCAGCTAATGTTTGTCTGATTTTATAGCTGACCCTACGTTACTGTAATTGAGGGCAGGGCTCATGTTTTGGCAGGGTCTGGAGTTTAACTATGCAGATTTGGTTTTTAGAAGGTCATAACAGGCGGTGTGTGCTGCCAGATACCAGCCAAAGTAGTAGAAACTGGATTCCAATGATATACCACAGGGAGGGATTTAATCCAGAAACACCACCACAGTCAGTATAATCCTCCTGTTGTTAAAAAAAAAAGAAAAGAACAGAAAAAGAAAAATCTAAAAATCTTGAAAAATATTTAGTAACACATCTTTCAGAGTAATCCATATTTAGTTCACTTTCTGAACTTACCTTATAAAACTGCTGTAATTGAAATCCAAAGAAATTACTTTCTCCTAGATTTTATCATTGAGGAATTTCCCTAGCATCATTTGACAAATGCTTTAAATTTTTAGTTGTAGCTTTTGATGATTATGAAAGAAAATAATAAATGCTGTTTGAATAATATACTAATTTTAAAGAAAAAACTTTCACAGTATCAAAAATCCTATATATTTATAAATGCAAGAAATAAATGTAAAATTTAATAGTAGGTTTTATAATTCCCAAGAATTATGATTTTAGCAACTATGCTCCATATGGTAAAGTTGGGGACTGGTAAAATAAATACATTTCCATTTCCCATATTTCTTATACAATTTATAAGGCTCAACATAGAGTGCAATCATAGCATCTGGACCTTCATCAAGAATTAAAGTAAAATGGGAATAATGTATTTGAACCATTGTTTATGTTGGTTCAAATACATTATTTGGACACATATAGGATTTTGCTTTGCAAATATATATCCAAAATAGAGAGCTAAGCTAGGAAGAGATTTGTCTTGAGACAACCAAGAAATATTAGAATGAATATACTCCCATTAACTCCCCACAGTCTAGTGGTAGCTCATTTAGTTCCCTCTTAATGCAAAAGTATTATTCATCTTTTATTCCTAGGTTCTATATTTGATAACATTGTCCACATCCTTTAATTCCTTTTAACATAGTGAATTTCATTTTTAAAAACCTCCTTATTATTTTTAAATTTTATTTCAATAGATTTTGGGGAACAGGTGGTTTTGGTTACATGGATAATTCTTTAGTGGTGATTTCTGAGATTTTGGTGCACCTGTCACCCAAGCAATGTACAATGCACCGAATGTATGTAGTACTTTATCCCTTACTCCCATTCCTCCCAAGTCCCCAAAGTCCATTATATCATTCTTATGCCTCTGCATCCTTATAGCTTAGCTCCCACTTAGAAGTTAGAACATACAATATTTGGTTTTCCATTCATGAGTTACTTCCCTTAGAAAAATGGTCTCCAACTCCATCTAGGTTGCTGCAAATGCCATTATTTCATTCCTTTTTATGGCTGAGGTGTATTCCATGTTGTATATATACCACATTTTCTTTAATCATTGGTTGATGGACATTTAGGTTGGTTCCACATTTTTGCAATTTTGAATTGTGCTGCTATAAACATGCATGCGCAAGTGTCTTTTTCATAAAATGACTTCTTTTCCTCAGGGTAGATACACAGCAGTGGGACTACTGGATCAAATGGTAGTTCTACTTTTCATTCTTTAAGGAATCACCATACTGTTTTCCATAGTGGTTGTATTAGCTTACATTCCCACCAGCAGTGTACAAAGTGTTTTTTTTTTTTTTTTTTTTTTAACCACATCCATTATTTTTTTATTATGGCCATTAGTGCAGGAGTAAGGTGGTATCACATTGTGGTTTTAACATGCATTTCCCTGATAATTAGTGATGTTGAGCAATTTTTCATATGTTTTGGCCATTTGTATATCATTTTTTGAGAACTGTCTATTCATGTTTTTTGCCCACTTTCTGATGGGATTATTTGAAAGACCATATATTTAAACATCTTTAAAGAATCTGCTAATCCAAGGTAGATGTTCTAAGAATCAAAATAATAGGTTGAACAATTTTCTTTCAGGATAATTTTACAAAGATTCTAAGCTCCCAAAGAATAAGAACTTTGGCTCTTTTTGTTCACCAGGATTTAATACAGTGCTGCCACACAGTAAATAAAATTATTTCTTTAATTGTATTTTAAGGCAGCAGAACTATTTTGTTAAGAAGAAAGAAAGCTGGGAGAAAAGAATCTATGAAAAAATTTTAGTTTCAATCAATTTACATCCCAAATCTAAATAGAATCATAAAATAATCAATTCTTAGTCTTCATCCTCTTTGACCTTTCAGAAGCATTTGACAAATATATGACATTGTCTCCTTGAAATACGTTCTCATGTACCTTTGGCTAATGTACTCTTCTGGTTTTTCTTGAAACTTGTTTGTGTCTCTCTCCTTGGCTTGACCTCCTTTCTTTCATGCTCTCTAAAATGTTAGACTTTTCCAGGTGTTACTTCTCTCTCCTTTCTTCTTCTTCCTTTACACTTTGTTCCTAGATGATCTAATCCCCAGTCCTATGGCTTTAATTTCATCCGTTTCCTAATAACTCACTCTTTTGTATGTTCAATCCTGTATTCTCCTCTGGTCTGTGTATTCATTGATCTCTACCTTTCTCCTCTTGTATGTCTCATAGGGATTTCAAACTTGACTTGCCTTGCCCCTAATATAATTCTTCTGGTATCAGTAAATATCTGGTACCAGTAAATAGCATGGCATGATCTTGACCTCCCTGGGCTCAGGTGGTCCTCCCACCTCAGCCTCCCAAGTAGCTGGGACTATAGATGTGCACCACCACACCTGTCTAATTTTTTATATTTTTTGCAGAGTGGGGGTTTCAGCTGGGAATCCATCCTCTAACTCTACCTTCAAAATACATCCCCAAACTTACTGCTTGTCACTACTGCAGGTCCAAGTCACCATTACTTCTTGCTTCCACTTTTGCAAAAGCTGTCTCACTTGTCCCATGGCTTCTACTCTGCCCTTTTATAAACGCTTCTCCAAAAAGCAGTCTTCTTAACACCACACATTCTTTCACTCCCTGCTTGACATTTCTCATCATTCTCAGAGCAAAATCTACATTCTTTATTGAGGTCTACAAAGCCTTATGAGGTCTGGAGCCTGGCTGTCTCATCTTCCCACCTTCTCCTCTCCCGCCTACTCACTCTGCTTCAGTAACACTGGCTTTCTCTGCAACAGGCCAAGCTGTTTACTGCCTTTGCATTTGTTCTTTTTGTTCAGATGCTTTTCTCTCCAGGTAGGGTAAACAGATAAAAAACAGGGTACCAGTAACAATTGAATATCAGATTAAAAAAAAAACAAATACTTTATATAAATGTATTTCATACACAGAAGAGTGGCTAGATACATAGCAACGATTTGATAAATGAAGAGTAGGTACTCAATAAAGCAGCACACATGGACTGGTTAGAAACACTATGAGGTATTAACTTAAAGAAGTCATTGTCACTTAAACAGGAGTACTCCCCAGTTATGATTAAGTGTTAATTTGAATAAAAATTACCACACAAGACCCATTTGTGTATTAATAACATATTTTGTCATCTTTATACTCTACAAATGTGTTATGGAAAGAAAAATATTCTCTTTGGCCCTTATTTCACTGTTTTTATTTTTATATATAATTTTTGTTTAATTTCCTCTGTGTGATGATGAGATATGTCTGTTTCTATTTGGGAGGTGGTAGTTTAGATAAGTTATTTGGGCTCCCTGTGGTGTGCATGTCAGTTCACACTGAAAAATGTGTCTTTTAAGTTTCCTGATCATGTCTTCCCAAGCATTTTGCATGGTGCAAGTCCATGTAATGTATTTCATAGAATCATTTCAAGTCTTATTATGGCATACATTCTACACAAATGCACTGATGTGGGAGGAACTCAGCATTATTTCTGTCCTATAGAGACTGAAATCCCACTGACACCATGACCAGATATAATAAATCGGTCTGATTTTTAAATGATTATTTAAGTAGAAAATAACAGATTGGTACTTTCAGTTTAGAACATTAAAATGGAAAAAGAATGCAGTGCCAATATTATATATATATTTATTTTAAAATATGATAAAACTAATTTTATTAGACTTCCTTATAGGGGAACCTCCCTTAAAAGACTGTGTTATTAAAGATATCAACTAAGAATTCTTTATTCCTTTCTCATTACTCTTTAAAAAATCTAAACCATAGTAAAATTCATATGGTTTTTGCCCCAAAGTTTTCTTCATACAGCATGCGTTACCAGTGGCTAAAATCTTTTGAAGTTACTGTTGCTAAACTCTTACTCTGCCTTTCTTTCCCCATTCAGAACCTGGGACAACTAATTGCATACAGTACAAGCTTAATAATTTTTAATTTATTAAATTTAGAAGTACATGTTTCAAAAGAAAATGTTCTGGTCATTTGGCTAAAAGGTTTTTGATCTTTTTTTCTGAATTATAGCCATCATTTAATTTCCTTCAAAATGCAAATCGCTGGTGAAGACAGCCATCAAATCATGGACTAACTTTTGAATTCAGGTAAGTCTGTACTAAAGTTACCACCAGCAACTTTGAAGACAATCTATATTTAAAAATTTTTAGGCATGTAGATACTGCATAATAATAGGAATAATGCCCCTAGCAAATAATTTGTTCTCCGACATGTCACCTTAACACTCTTACACATTAACTCGTGAGATAGGTAGGTAGTAGTATATTTATTCAACTCTTTAAATGTAGACAGATTATGTACCCAATAATATGCTTTATAAATTGGGTTTGCATAAAATAATAAATTTCTCAATGGACAGAATTGGCTTGCTTTACTTCTTTGATTAATAAATGTTAGCTTTTTGAGTCTTCATAAACTTGTTATCAAAAAGTCTTGTTTGAACACTTGAGTTCTGATGAAGTCCTCATGGTATGGAGCTTCATAACTGTTTTTGTATAATCTATATCCTTCCGGACTCTACCGGGTATAAGGGCCCCTTGGTAGGCTTTGGAGATTATACTACCATTCTACCTTGCTTGTGAGCAGAACCTAATCCAACAGAAATTGCTAGTTTTAGCCAGACTACATTGGAGCATAGACCATAACCTTTATGGTCCTTAATGTGGGAAACAACTGCCAACTAACATTTCAGTATTTTTTGTAATGATTTTTTTCAACTTAATTGTTTCAGAGAAAATAATACTTCCTTTGATATCATTATATCAACATTCAAATAGCACTAAGTGGATTCACTGTTCTATACAGATAACTGTGTTTTTAAATACTGAAAGCATATTTTGTTAATGTAAAATATACATCATCGATATTATGTATTCCTTTGATACAATAATATAAAGGAATCTCAAATGTTTTCTTTTTGGAGATCAGAAGGATATAGATTATACTTCTACAATTATGAAGCTCCATACCATGAGGACTTCATCAAAACTCAAGCAAATGAAAAAGCTAACATTTATTAATCAAAGAAGTAAAGCAAGTCAATAATTGTCCATTGAGAAATTTATTATTTTATGCAAACACAATTTATAAAGCATATTATCTGGTACATAAATATCCTAGTTGAGTCCATGGTGATATATAATTATTGCCATGATAGATTTATAATTATAGTTCAAGGAAAGTACCATAATAGGAAAATGTTATTTTGGTGGGGGGGGGGGGGGGTGGTGGTCTTAGGTTAAAAAGATTTTAAAGTCACTGTTGCTATATATATATATATATATATTTTTTTTTTTTTTTTTTTTTTTTGGAAATGGAGTCTAGCTCTGTGATCTAGGCTGGAGTGCAGTGGCACAATCTCAGCTTACTGCAACTTCCACCTCCTAGGCTCAAGCAATTCTCCTGCCTCAGCCTCTGGCGTAGCTGGGACCACCATGCCCAGCTAATTTTTGTATTTTAGTAGAGATGGGGTTTCACCAGGTTGCCCAGGCTGGTCTCGAACTCCTGACCTCAGGTGATGCACCCACCTCGGCCTCCCAAAGTGCTGGGATTATAGGCTTGAACCACTGCACCCAGCCGTTGCTATAAGTTTTTAAGAGAAAGGTAAAAAGAGAGCTGGCCTACTCAAGAGCAATACTTACATATTTTTTAGTGTAACTGATAACCTATAAATCTTATCTAAAAATTCTATGATTGACAGAAGTAAGCTTTTGAATCAAAAGGGAAAATAAGGACAATTATAGAAATATAATTTGATTACACTTTTCTTGTGTAATGGTTGACTACCTATGAACTTCTTTCAGGAATTAATAATAATTCAAATAATTGCCTATATATCAATTTTTAAAATGTGTATATGAAGATATTAAAGCAACGTTTCCTTACTTTGGCGTCTTTTGCCATGAAAACTATTCTTTTATTATGCCAGAAGACTTGTGGTTATTTTCTGAGACTCCCTCTGCTATTCTACTCCCCACCCTCTATCACCCCTGCCTGTGAATTCACTCCATTCATAGTAATGGCCACATCTCCATCTAGTGGCTTCCTAATCAATGACTACTTGGAAACCAATGACAAACACAACGAAAGTGCGTGCTCTAGTAATACATCATGATGATTCCAGAGCATTAGAAAAGAAATTGCAAAACAGTAAATGAAGAACTAAATGCAAATCCAAGACCCAAAACATCTCTTTAGTAGTATTGAATAGAGAACTCAGAAATTTCTTAAAAGGTTAATTAATAATTTTGGGCTAGATAATGTATATTAAATAAAATGAACTTAGAAACTAGAAGCACTTATTCTAAAATATTTCAATAAGAATATTTTGAGAGTAAAAAATCTAAAAAGTTATTTAAGTCAGATTTATTTTAAAAAGTAGAAAAATCTGAAAGGAATTGAAAGAGTGCATTAAATTTGTGTTAGCATCTTTTGTAAATAAATTGAGATAACCACCTCTAAAAATTGTCATTAGGTAGTTCTCATAAAATACCATGAAGCCTGTATATCTGTCTCTGTAATGACAATTTTTACACAAAAACTTTATGAAAAATGATTTTTACATAAATATTGAATATGTTTCATTTAGGATTAGAAATGTACATGCCATTTGAAATCAGCTATTTACAAAACAACAACATTGGTCCTGAGATTTTAATAACCTGGTTTCAGGAACATTAATATCGCAGATTTAGGAATATGGGTGATTTTCTAGAATTTCAAGCCAAAAACAAAAACTAAGAAAAATTAGAGAAAGTGACTGACCATCCACACCACATGAAAACTTGCAGTAAAATGAAGATAGGAGCTGACATCATGGTACAGGCACGACTCGTTGTGCACTTAAGTTGATCCTATTAATAACGGGCAAAGTAGCAAGTATAGGAAAAGGAAAGAAAACACAGAAGACATACAAGATGAGATTTCATGCAATTTGCTGGCAGTTAACGTGAGTCTCCATCCAGAGCAGATTCACAGTGACCATTGCAAATAAGCATTACCAAAATAACTCCACTGCTAAAGAAACACAAGATATTATTAGCACACCAAGCTACTGAGCAACAGTTGTACTTTCACACACAACCCATTTATAGGAGCTTCAATTGCTGAACATTTTTGTCTTGGTCAAATCCTTTTAATGGCTTGATCATAAGATATAGCCTCCTAGAATAATATTTTGGGCAATAGGCTTTTAAGTCACTTTTCAAGTTCATCTGAATTTAATATTTCTAGTGTCAAAAAACTGGTGACAAATAGTTGATGAGCGAAGTTTCTCTAATGAGTGACATGACCCTTGGCCCTTCATAAAACATTCTTTGGGGGAATAATTTTACATGGGCAACGTGCTGAAGTTGCAGTAGACAGAATAACAGGAGTCCGCCTATCTGGACTTAATATATCTTAAAAAGAAAAAAAAAACGCTTAGTTGCAATGTTGAATTACTCTCCCTAGCAAGGATCAATAATCCCTCACAGAGATAACTGGGATTGACTGGCTAATACATCTTTCATTTTTAGTCCCCATTACTGATTTTATTACTTCTTTGTGCTATTTTTAATTTATATTATCTAATTGCATAATATTATCTGTGAAAATGTTTTGTCCTTTCTGGGACAAATGCAGCTATGTATTTGAGTAGGTAAACTAAATAACTCAAATAATTTATGAGATAATGCTTTACAAGTTTGGATATTCATTGGTGTGTGCACACACTGAAGAATCAGAATTAGGAAGTATTGTATTTAAAATTAGTTAAAAAGAGGTAGACAGAGATTTTTATGTAGACTTCATCTTTGAGAATAGATTAATATTTCTTAAGAATTTTAAAAGCATAAAGCTAATGTAGTACATACTGATGACATATTACCTACCTTGTATATAATCAATACACAGTAAATCAGAATAGTATTTATTAGAGAAAGATAGCTGAACTATAGGAAAAGTAGTAAGCCATCTTTAAGTGACATATATTAAATATGATTTGTAATATTTTATCAAACCCTATGTAATTGACCTGGTCTAGTTTCAAACACTAGAAAAAGAAATTAGTACAATTAAAGGAAATAATAGAAGTCTAATATGTGATAGCATCAGAAACCATCCAAAAGAAACTAGAACTCTGTAATAATAAGACAATGGCTGTATAACAGGTTTTTCAATTCACACTAGAACTCTGTAATAATAAGACAATGGCTGTATAACAGGTTTTTCAATTCACTGAAGACAAATATAACTAACAAAAATATAATAAAATTAACTTTTATATCTTCAGGATTGGAATATAAATGGAGGCAACAAATATACCATAATTAACATTTACTATGAGTTAAATTGATTGGAATTGTGTTTGAAAGCACAATTTCTGTGGGAAGGACATATAAAAGAAGCAACTGTCAAGTTTATGCTAACCATGAAAACTACTGAAATGAAAAAAATCTACCAGCAAGTATGTCATGTTAATGAGAAAAACTATGGTTAAGACATTACGTTTGAGTTAAAATTGCAATTTGTATCCTTGAATTCTTGCGGACAGTGACCATTAATTTATAGTATTTTAATCCAGTAGAAGTGTGATCTTACCAAGACATTGTTATCAAAGCAGACATCAGGCCCTTTTCGGTATCTGGGTTGCTTAACCATGTCACAAGGATTTGGACCGTCAGCTAAAAGAGACTTGTTAAGGAATCTCATGTTAGTTTTTTTCACATGATTAAAAATAAATACAATGCAATGTATTTCCCAAAACATGTGAGAGAGATAACTTATACATCATTACTCTCATCCAACACAATTCAAGTACATAGGGATTTAAAGAACTAAATTGTGAATTATCCTTTTCTGGGGCATGTGTAGCATAATTATTCTTGACATTCCAACCAAATTTTGAGTGAGGAATCGATTCTGCCTTTGCGAGGTGATCAGAGCAGTCTAATAGTTTTCTCTTTATGAATATAAACAATGTGACAAGATTCAAAATGCATTAAGATGGTTTTCCTTTCCAGATAGCTCTGATGTCAAAGGATACAAGTCTGCTCCGCTTGTATGAGCAGTCGTGTGTCACATGGACATGTCCCTTTGCTCTCAACCATTATGAATATTAAGTTGGTGTTCATAAGCTTTTCTCCATGAAAGATTCTGCAAAATAAATATGGTATCATAGAAAATGAGTATCTTTTCCAAAATAAATGGAAATCTTTCAAAGATTCTTACATATTAAAATGAAAGACAAAATATGACATCTGAAACAGAAACCATTCCCAGCACAATAGGAGTATGATTTTAGAAGAAAAAAATGCTTCATTTATTAGCATGAACGTATTACCTATGTCAAATGAATAAAAAAATTGCAATATATGTTTTATGTGTGACCATTTTAAAGTATTAATCCTCATTGCAAAATAAGCACAATTTAGTTGTTGATGTACATAGAAAAAAGTTTTTCTTTACACATACAAAGAATTGTGATGCTTATGCCAAAGTTGCCTTATTTTACAGATAACACAACAGGGAATACAAAAATGTCTAGGCATCTTGCCCAACCTAAGGGCAGAGAAAAGTCTGGAACAGTGCTATTAAGCAAACTTTCTGTGAAGATGGAAAAGTTGTTCGCACTGTCCAATATGGTAAATACTAGCCACTCGAGGGTATTGGGCACTTAAAATGTGACAAGTGTGACTGAGGCACAAAATTTTAATTCTAATTAATTTAACTGTAATTGAAATTTCAATAGCCACCTATAGGTGGTAACTACTGCACTGGGCAACACAGACATGGACAGAATCAAGGGTTTTGAATTCCATCCCCTGTTTTGTCCACACCTTAAGCTGCTCTTACTTTAGTAACCAACATAAAAAATGTAAATATATCACTAAAAAAGTAATTTCTTTATCATTATACATTTTGCAGAAAAGTGGGATTTTCTTTTTGCCCTGTTAAGCTTTGATTTCCATAAAGCAAATCAAAAGGAAAGTATGATGCAATTTAACATCTTGGTTATACTGACCTTCTTCACTTTACAATTTAACTTACTTCTTTAAGCACACCAATTGCTCTTGCTGGATGTCAATTAATAAAAGGCCAATGTCTGTGAAACTCTGATGTATCCAATAAACATGCCACAATCCCATTTCCTGAAGTCCATAGCCTGATATGCTAATCTCCTCTAAACAAGACAGTCTGCTTTTTTTCTGAGTTCATGCTTGACTCTTCCTTCCCTTTCCTCTCCTCTTTATATACTCTACCTCCTCCTTGGAGATAGAGGTCTGCTAAAGAAAGTCATAAAACATACTGACCACGTCTCCTAAAAATTCATGATAGGTTGCTTAGCCCCTCTTGCAAAATTTTTTTTTTTAACTATTCTGGCACTTTCATAATCTCAGATTACCTCACCTCCTCCTATTTCTTCTTCCGCTATGGTAACATTTCTTCTAGAATAATCTTCCCTCCACCTCTAAAAACAAAGTGTCTCTACTCTGTGCTTTGTAAGCTGTGACTTGCTGCTCTCCTCTCAGGAATCCTGTGGCATTAATTATTACTTTCCCCTCAAAATCCCCATCTTGCCTTTCTCCTCTACCCTCATTACAACAAAATTAAATTCTCCATCTCTTTTTAAAAGATATTTTATGGATACTGACTAACATTAACCATGACCTAAAAAAACTGTATTTTTCCCAGTTCCTTCAAATTCAAATAAAGATAACATTCAGTTCTTCAAGTCAGAGAAGACTAGAAGTAAAAACAAAACAAAACAAGACTTTTTTTTTGTAAATCTGTTTAGTTACTATATAGAAAAATAAATAATATTTGGCTTAGAATTATTTAAATTACTAATATATTTAATAACTTTATATTAGAAATTTTTAATATGGGTTATTTTAGGAAAAAAAGTTAAAATATAATCAAATTTCTCTATGTTCTGCCTAAAGAGAAAGGAATTATCTTGATCATGTAATTATTATAGTTGAAGAAATAACAGCTTATCAAAGTTAGAATTTTAAAAATTACAAATTTTAAAAGTCTACAGAGAAACTAAAGATTGCTGACATTTTCAGCTTAAAACAATTACTCACATCTCTGACTCCAACACAATTTTCAGTTTTTTCTGTAATGATTATAACAGTATATACAATTTCTTAATGATTATAACAGTATATACAATTTCTTAATGAAATAGGACTACTCCTGAAATAAATAAATTACCTGGAACAGTTTCCACAGTCTAATACACCACTGAATGATTTACTGTCGTTATCGAAGAAATACTGGGTTTGTTCAGTAATGCAGCTCTGCTTGGACAGGGAGGCCGTGAAGTCATCATCCTCCATCTCAACTTGGGTGGCGGGGGACGGTGTAAAAACAAAGAACACCATTAGGAGGGGTCTCTGTAGTCACTCCCCTCGAGTCTTCACTTCTCACAGAGCAAAATAAACGTATAAGACCAGGACCCCTCGACTGGCTTGTTTACTGCTGTGTAATATCGTGGCAGCCCGTAATAGATGCCTGATAAATATCAAGAGAATAAATGAATTCAAATACAAGATGGCTATGAGATCAGGCCCGTGTGACCTAGGTAATTTCTAAAACATTAGGAAAGGTTGGACAAAAAGTTTCTAGCTCTAAAATTATGAGATGGGTGACCTGTTTTCTCTTTCACACAAATATTCTCTGAATTTGTTGAACTTCAAGCACATCCCAAAAGAAAATTTTTATTGTTATGGCAATGACAAGGTCTGAGCATTTACATACCTGCCTCAAGGAGTCGTGGAAAGGTCAAACTCAAGAGAAACTGCTGTAGAATAGACCTGAATTTTTCAAATAAAAAAAAAATAAACATCTAGGGAAAAAATGTGTTTTTACATGTACCCATACACATAAATACTGTTTCCCTTTATCTTTTTGGGAAAGAAAGTCTTGGAGTGTTTTTATTTAAGTATTTTCAAAATTATATAACACATTGTAACCTTTTTGTAATGTGTAAAAGAAGTCATGAAATCAGAAGTGTTCAGATCTTGTTCAGGATCAAGTGGGACACAATGTGTGAAGAAACCTAACAGGCAATGTTATCAAGCAGAAGAGTTCACTCTAAGAGGGAGAATGTCTGTTTCAGCGCGTAGGTTTTCACATTCATTACGTCTCCTTATTTTAGTTTTTAAAACCATTTGTTTTTTGGGTTTCCCCCGCCCCCAACAAAGAAACAATGCTGTTTATACCATGGGTTTGAATTTGTTAACTATTTACTTTGTAATATAGAATATATTTGTAAATATGTAATGTAACTTTCATGAAACAAAATATACATATTAGAGAGATACAGCACATTTCAGTTTTACAGTAACTGACAACTGAGCCAAATTTCTAGAACTGAATTTAGTTTAAAAAAAAGTGGGGGTGGGAGGGGATATAGGATAAAGCCAAGTATTTCAGGGTCATGATGAAATTTTAAAAGCCTACTGAAATTAATATATAAAATCACATCAGAAAATACCATTTTTCAGAATAAAACAGAATTTTCTAAATCTTTTAAAAACTCTCAAAATTTTAAAATCTTTTTTGCTGCTTTAATGATATAGTCACTTAATTTTAGCTGGGCAAACCTCAACATCAAATGAATATTGTACATTAATCTACATGGAATAGGGCTAACAATACAGTGTGATGATACAAAAAAAAAGATTAGAAGGGAGAGAGGGAAGAGGGAGATCATGGATTCCAGACGTAACAGGAGGTTTAGTTACAACTAAACAATGAGAAATGTGATCTTCCAGACCTTCCACAGTGCCACAATTGACCATTTAAATGTCTTATTTTCATAGGTTGTAGGGTCTACAGGTGAGGGTTGAGGGAGGTTTGGAAGGTAGCATCAGTGAAAAGAAATAATTAGATCCATGTCGGCAACCTGATGCCCCTAAAACAATACTAGTCCTTGTATCAATAGTAAAGAGGTAGAAGGTTGCCATCATGCCATGAATTTGATGCATGTAGACATCCAACTGGGATATTAAAGACAAATTGTAACTTCTTACAGATCAATACACCTAAAAGAAATTAGTGTAATGTTTTTATAAATATTTAATACAAATGAAAAGAGTTTCAATAGATATGTAGAGGAAGGAAGACTCTAAAGAGGCTGAAGTTTACATCCGCATAACATTGTTTTCATATGAGAAACTGAATAATGGTAACTTTATAGTGTTCACTTAGGAAAAACTATAAATATTACCAATAGGTGATGTAAAGAATGAAAACAACTTAACTCCCTTAATAAAAATTTGAATATCCCCTAAATCCATATTTTCATCAGATGCTTTTTTATTTTACAACTTCTTTCTTTCATTACCAATAAAACTAAAATTTTGACTTACCAGGCAGCAGCAGTGGCCCACCAGCCAATTTGTAATATGTCTGCTACTGATGGCTATAAAATAAAATAATAAGGTCATTTCAGTAGTCTACTTGATACTGAGGACACTTGAGTACCCCTTGAGAATTGATTAGACCGTGGATATTACTGACCACATATGCTGAGCGATGTCCTGCTCCTTGTTTTGGTGCAGCACCGGGCTCACATACTGACTGATAATCATAAGATTTGTTAAAAGCATAAACTGATATATTAACCAGGTGTCTCATCAAGCTGGGATCAATCTCTCCAAAAAATCTTCCAATCTGGTGAAGAAAAAAATCATAAAGCAACGTGCACTTAAAATGTAAGCCAAAAATGAACACGGGAATCACCACTACAGTGAAAAGAAATAATACAAAGAAACTGAACTACAACTGAGGAGCTTAAAAACAAAAGCAAATGAGAAACGTGTATATGACACTGTGAACAAACTAAAATGAGAGTAAGTGTTCTCATTACTCAGTGGGGCTGTGTGATATTTTATTTGTGGAAAGAATGGACACACATTACTAAGCATTAAATCACAATCAAATGCTTCCCAGATGAATAAAACAGGGCCGGGGAATGGAGAGGTATAAGTGGAAGGGTACAAAGAAGCAGTTATGTAGAATGCATAAGCCTAGAGATTCAACATACAACAGAGGACTGTAGTTAATAATACTGTGTTGTCTACCAGAAATTTGATGAGAGTAGATTTTAAGTCTTCTTACCATACCGCAAAAAAGGTTAACAACCTGAGATGATGGATATGTTAATTGGCTTGACGCAGTAATCACTTAACTATGCAAATCAAAGCTTTTTTTTGTACACCTTAAACATATACAATAAAAAAAAGATCAAATGCCCCCCTGGGGAATGGAAAAGTGGCATAAATGAGAGAGCAGGCTGGCCTAGAAAACGAACTTGTAGGGGCTGTGATGAACTGGAACAAGTCCCATCTAAAGGGGCAATCATGAGTGAATCAGCTCCACCCCATAAATCCTGTCATCCAGAAAAAAAACAAACAAAGCCCAGGGTTGAGATATTTTTGCTTTGTTTTTTCAAAAGAAAGAAGCCAGGAATGCAGATTCAGAAGTGAAATTAGTTGGCATCTACTTCAAATTTGTTAAAAATAGCCTATGTGCTGCTCATTTGCAGGTTTGAGACTAGAAATCACATCAGTTTTAACAAGCTATATATTAAATTAGATACCATCAACTGACAAATGTTGAAGTGAAAGTTTTCTAAATATCAGAAAGATTAAAAGTTCATGTCATGCTAAAATCCTTAACTGTATGTTTTAATGATACCAGTACTAAAATGTAAAATCAAATAACATAAAAACTAGACTTAGCATGCATTTCTTAATGGTTTACATAACATTAAGCATTTTACAAATTATTGTATGACAGAAATAAAACAACTCATCGATTTCTAAAACACTGAAAGAGGTTTTGTAATGTTGATCCGGGAAACACACTTTGGAAAGCCTAATTCCCTCTTATTTGAGGTACATACCTGATTAGTATAATCATCATGATTTGCCATCAGAAGAAACCCACCATCATCCAGAATCACACAATCCATTACCTATCAAAATAAAGTGAACAGTTAACACATTTTTAGAAAGGTTAGGAGGCTGCATTGTCTTTACCCCATTATATACATGATTAGAGCAATAAAAATAGAAAATTTTAAATGCCTATCTTCTCTTGAACATATATGTTCATTAAATTCTGGTGAAATAAAGGCATGCATAGATTTATATCAAACCATCAGGCTTGATAATCCAACACCAACCATCCACTTGAGACTGTCAATTCAGTCTGAACAAATCAGAAGAGCAAATTAGAAATAATCTTTTTACCATTTCCGGGTCATCTAAATGATCCAGAAAACTGGATAGAGAAAATTATTTAATAATGAGTAACTGATTTAAACACATACTTAGGATTTTGACAAAAAGATATTTTAAAAAAATATCATTTTAGTTGTCCTGTTTCACAGACTTAAAACACATCAGTACTATAAGACTATTTATAATTATTTCATATTTTAGATTAAAAATATGTAGTTGGATAATTGGAGATTTAAAAGCAAAACGCAAAACAAAAAATGTCCATGGTTAATACTTACTTCACCCTGAAACACAGGATAAATTCCCACCTAGTTTAAATCATGTTTTAATGTATGAAAATCAATATAATAATTTGTATTGAATAAAAATCACAAATAAAAACATGGTTTTCAAAGTTGAGGATGTAATGCATTGCATTTTCCTAATGTGGAAGCAGTTTATTACTAAAATATTTGCTCTTAAAACAGCTACTGCATAGTCTATGTGAAATAGATAAGTTACAAAAATCATTAAAATTATTGGCTCATAATTTCACAGGAGTAGGAGTGATAAAGACGATATGAACCCCCTGCTTCCCTTGGAGATATACAGACACACAAAAGAGGACTGGAAGAAAATATTGTTTCATCATTGTTATTCAATTTTTAGAATTATTTATCTAGTATCATTCTTAGAGCATCTTCAACTTTTGAACAAAGTTCACATTTCCTTTTTCAATTTCTCAAACAGAAGTGAAAGTAATACAAGACACCTTAAAACTCAATCCATGTAACTATAACTTTATAATAAACTGTAATACTTCCAGGTTTAGTTAAAACATTTTTCCTGTAACTATATAATACAGTGTGAACAAATTTAGAGAAAGTGTGATAGGTGAGAGAAAACTGCATTGATAACCAATAGGGTTGCTTTGGTTAGAAACTTCCTATCCAGAAATAGAGCTAAAGATAAATATGTACAAAAGAATGTAACACAGTTGAGACCGAAGAGAACCATCATATTGACATGACCATTTTTTTACCTTCCAAGGATACATACATATTTTTAAAAATTCAAGCACTTTACATTCAAAATCAAAAGCATACAAATTCAAATGAATATATTATTTCACATTTCCATAGAATTTTTTAGCCTTTGATTAAAAAATTCCTGCATATTTTTTCATCACTATAGTCTTAGCAAGAGTAACACAAGGAAATATTGTACTCAAAAGTGATTTTAAATAGTTTTCTTACGTCACTGTTTCTTTTGCAGTCACAAACTGGACCAGCACACTGAAAGACAAAAATGCGATTATCACCTCACTTTTAAAAGTTGGATTTTAATTATATTATTACCATGTTATAATTAGAAATTCTGAAATAATTTATCCAGTAGAAAAATAAGATTAAACAGTCTAGTCTATAAGAAACAAAAGTTTTATCTTATTAGACAATGTCAATCAATATATAAACTAGCATTGCATGTTATAACCTTGAAATACTTCTATTACATATTGACTAATTTAAACAAAAAAAGCTTTGAAAAAATAGGAATTCAGAATTCTACTTCAGTGTAGTGGTATTGAGAATGTATTTGCCACTGTATAAGGACCTTATATTTTTTTCTATTGAATTTTGAAAACATTAAACATAGCATAAGAATTTTTTAAAAATATCTTACCGGATCTCTGATTGAGGTTTTGGTGAAATTCTCTATCCAGGAATTTACATCAATTTTAATTCCAACAACTGAAAAATTAATTTGAATTAATTCAAAGGTATAATTAGATGTAATACAACCTTTGCAATATGACAGTTATTTTGATAGCAAGTATCAGACTATAGTTTATTACAGAAGTTTTAGTTTTGTGTTCATTAAGAAATAATGCTAATAGCTCTTAAACTATTACATAAATTGTAACATATTCACAAAAGAGTGTATTCATTAGCCACAACCTGACCAATTAACTAATACAATAAGCTAAATAAAAAACAGTAGTGTCAGGAGAGCCTCATAAACTTGAGGTCATTCAAACGGTATATTTTAAGATGTTTCCCTAACCCCACCAGTGCTTGCAGTAGGTGCTTAATAAATCTTTGCTGAAAGAGTGAACAGATGAATGGATGAGTAGGTGGGTTAGTAGGAGAGTGGGTGAATAAATGAATGGCTGAGAGAATAACTGATTTAGTAAGTAATTGAGCAATTGAGTGAATGAAGGAATAGGTAAGTGAGTTAGTGAGTAAGTGATGGAGTGAATTCATGTAATAGATCCGCTGATGGGGTAAAGCTGTCCTCAGGAGCAGGAAGGCTCAAAATACTCTCCTTTAAAACTTCAAACACTGAATCATACAATCAAAAAAACTAATAGCTTTTACTTTATTGTATTCACTCACTCTAGCCCACTTCCGATCCTCATTAATGCTCACTTTTACTATGTTTGTTTACTTGCCTATTTTTCCAAAAAGTCATTTTTCTATATATTTTATAGCAAGTTTTTAACTGAGCCCTACCTAATTCACTTTAACAGACGCCTACTAGAATATAGTATAAATATGCCATATTTATCTTTTCCCTCAGGGCTGGAAACTTAACTTTTTTGTACAAATATGTAACTCCTTGGCCATATAACTTTGTACGTATTTTAAAGTATTAAGAGAGACTTCTGGAGGTGGGTTGCTAATCCAACATTAAAAATTTTGATTATTATACTAAATTGATTCCATCAATTTGTGTCAGAGTATAAACATACACACTGTTTTGAAAATTCCTCAAATCTATGTAGTATCAATTTGATTTTATCCCAACTTCAGAGGTAACTAGTCATATTTTATTTAATTTTTTTAAGTGTGCATGCCTTTATTTTGTTTGACACCTTTTGATGACCTTCTTGATAAACATTGCCAGTTTATAATATAAATGCCAAGTAACATTTAATTTTGATTGTGTTTTTGTATTTAATATTTATCCTTACCTGCAGGTTTAAGAAGTTTCCCTTGAATATATATTTCTACAGCTTTGCTTACCATAATGCCCGATTCATAGGCACCAGGTCCACTTTCTAAAAAAAAAATAAATAAATAAAACACCTATCAAGATATATTGAATAATAATATTGATTTTCCGTCATTAGATACAAATGGATAGTATTTTGCTTAAAAATTCTAGCATCTACAAACTATAAAATGTTTGTGCTCTCCTTCCTCTCTTCTTCCGTTGTATACACTAGGCTAACTGGTATATCCATGAATTGGTTTGTATTAATTGATTCGGGGACATTAATTAGCTTGGTTGCATCTGCTTTCACAACATAATGAATACATGCCAAATCTCTACTTCACAACATTTGTTAAAATATTAAGTAGTTCTGCTGAAGTGAAGTGGAAAGATTGATCCTGGATGCATAAAACTGACTTTGTCTTTTATAAGACGTATGTCACTGGGCAAAACTTTGAAATTCTCTGAACTTGTTTCCCCATTTAGGAAAATGAAGGTAAATACTACCTATGTGCAAAGATGTTCAGGGATTAAATTACAAGGTTTTTGGGAAATAAGTCAATAAAATATTTTAAAAGATAAGCTATTATTAATTGTATAATTATATTTTATAATACTGATAAAATGTAATTAATCAATGGAATTACTCTATTTAATTCCTTAAATGTTTTTCAATACATTTTCAGTTGTAATATGAGGGATTATCTACATGTGTTTCTATTTCTTATGCATGCCTAACAGATATGCTATCTCTAAATTACTGGAAGACTGTTTGCTGTGTATGCATTTTGCTTCTTCAACTAAATGATGTTTCTTTTCTATTTTCCTAATGCCTTGCAAATACTCTATTTTTAATGATGACTATTCTGAGTAGTTAACATAAAATGTAGTGATTTGGGGGGAGAGCAGATAGTAGCAGTAATTTATTATTTAAAAAATTGAGAAAAGCTGAATTCCAAAGCAATACTTACTGTTAAAGTAGGGAGCAGTGAAAACATAGTTATCATTATCTAGGCTCCTTTTATAGAAGCTGTCCTCATATGTCTCTGGGTTTTCTTGCCAATTTTCTCCAGCCCTAAGGAGGAAATGGCTCATCATTTGTATTCTTTAATCTACCTGATAACCTACTTTATCCTATGTGGACTTGCTGAGCTTTACAGATACGCCTACATCTCAGGTATGTCTAAAGAAGTTAGTGGTAATTGATAGCATAACTGATACTCATTACTGAGCAATGCATCAGCATAGCACTAAATTAAGAATCAGAAAAAGCTAACTCCTAGTTTTACTCCGTTGTTTACTAGTCAGGTAACAGGACAAGTAAGTTAATAGGTCAATTAATGTTAGTAAGCATTGGTGCCTACTCAGCCTACTTCATGGACTGTTACGAAGATAATAGAGATAAGATGCATCAAAGAAGAGTGAAAGATAATAAAGTGCTACATAAATATTGCTGATTGGTTATAATCATTGTGTTCATTTCACTGGTTTAGCTTGTATCTACAAAGAGAAAAATCTCTTTAAACGTCTCTTAAATGTTGTAATAAACATATTTGGCAAGCAAAAACATCATTGAAGAATTTTATAATGTCATTTTTCAGAGAAATAAAATCTTTTAATAATGTAAATACTGTAAACAATGGCTCCAATGTAATCTAATGGCAATCAGTTTATTTGAAGAATGGCTTCCTTAAGCAGTAATGTACAAATCCTTGGCGCAGTCTTTTGTAATGTACTTGTTTTTACAGATGTTATTTGAACTTACTCTTTGGGATAAACTCTGGTAATCCCACCATCAGTCACAACAAATCGTGCTTTCACTCCCTTGCTGAAACAGAAGACAAAACAAGGAAATGTTCTATTGAACATATTCTAAAAAACAAAGTTAGGTGTTGGTGATACAAAGAGAAGTAAGTTTAGGAAGTAAAGGAAATATATCAATAGATACACAACTATGTTTTAATAATTTAAATATCTATTAAATTTGTACTTGAAGGATGTTTAAGGAAGACATCTCATAGGAAATAATGACTGAGGTGCATTTTGAACATGGAGTATGAATTGACAGCAATGACACAGAAAGCAGGAAGGTATCACTTGTAGAGAGGAATGTATACATAAGGGAAAGCTACCAGAGATGGCTGGTGTTTGGTATAGAAAAAAAACGTAAGACAAAAGGAGAGAAACAGTAAGAAGTAAAGTTTCAAGTGCAAGTTCCTCAATGGTCAGCTAATGAATGATTTTGAATTCCATCTTAGAGAGCTTCACCTGTATCTTGAACTTAGAACTGCATTTTAGGAGTTAGATTCTGGCCAATATGAGTTGTATGGAGAATTGTCTAGAAGCTGCATGTGGAGGAATGGAGAACACTAAAGGCAGAAAAATCAGTTGCTGTGATTTCTTAGAAATGGGATCTTAGGGCCTTCATTATGAGGTAGAGAAGAAAACATTGCTAGGAGAAATATTTAGCATTTAGTGACTGAAAATGGGGTGGAGAAGAGATTTTAAATAAGAATCATACTCAGATTTTCTCAACTGGATGTATGGTAATGCTATTAGAAACCCAAATAAACACTGACTAGAAATCCTACTTTAGCACAAACAGAAACACACAATCATGCCCATTTAATTTGGTGTATTCACCCTGAAGTGTATGTGCATGAAAAGTTGAGTAATAGCAGACATTAGTACTGAAAAACACCCACAACTGAAAATGCAAGTTGTCAACAACTGTATAGTGATTTTCTTGAGAAATATTAAACATTATTAATGAACTGTAAATTTATGAGATTCATACCCAATTTCCACAGGAGAAACTAAATTGAAATGCAGAATACATATTTTTATTAATAAGAACAAATACTTACATATTTTTCTGCTTACTCCAGTAATTTTGGACAAGTTCATTTGTAAAGCCTGCATCAAGCAAGACTCTATTAATCAAATCCGCGTTACCTAACACAGAAAAAGATCATCAGTTACACTCACATTTCTAAAATTATGATCATAATGAAAAATATATTTTCTATTTCCAAAAGCAATTTAGAGTAGATATTTCTATGAATTTTAAAATATATTCCACATTCATTTTCTTTGTAATTTTAATATTGTTCATCTTGCCTCACAGTTTTTCAGGAAATGAATGGATTTAGTAGTAGAAAAATCAATTCTAAATGAGCCAAATTATTTTGTAAACTTTATCAAAATAAGAAATAAGCTATGTTAAGAAACAGGAAATAGTCCTTCTTTTGTGTTTTTGTTTATTTCTGTATGGTAGCATGGCGATTCCCAACCATCATAATTTTATGACAATTTAATGTATACACACATAAAATTTTATATATGTATATAAAATTTATATATATAGAAACAGAACTACCACTGAAATTATCAAGTAAAAACATTCAACAAAAAGTTACTGTCTACTTTCACTTTCATTTGTTATAAGAAAAGCTATTTTCATTCTTTTCTATCACAAATATCAAAACATAGGATAATCTTGGAGTAAATAAGACTATGAAAAATTCAGTGCCGCATATCGAGGAGCAAGGAATGGAATGAGCATCACAGAGCAGTACAATCCCAAGAATGTTTTTGAAATCTACTGGTATTGGTCAAAGAACCAATACCTAAGTAGATAATAGGTTGTCATTTCTAGAATAACTGAAGTGCATATTAGCCCAAGTTTAAAGATAATTGAGGAAACAGGTGATGAGGATCAAAGGCCAATTATTATGTATTCTTAAACAAAAACCTCTGCCTTCTTCCCATTCTCCTTGTTCCTCTAAACCCATTAAGCTCTGAAATACCCTAACAGGTACCCTCTGAAATTGCACATTTACGACAAAATTTGACTTTTTCAGATAAAGAATATATGTTCTTAACATCCTATTACTATACAACATGGTGGTGAGATAGGCTGGAAACATTTTTGTTGCTTTTAATTATTTTAAGTTAATATATCTTACACCTGGGATTAAAGGATCAATGTAATCCCTATTTTGGAGTACATTTTAATTCATTCTAGACACTCTTTTTTACTATATTGTTTTAGAAACTGAATCATTTAAAAAACAGTTCATTTGGAAAGTAAATGTTCTAATTGCCTCCAATCCCTTTAGGTAAAACAAAATAAATAGATACAGATATAAAAAAGAATGATTCCAATTTTCATGGTGTTCTGAAAAGTTATATGTTAGGAAAAACATTTCTGATAAACTCATTTTTGCAAGGAATATGAGAGTGTTTCATAATTTTGGTATCCAATTAAAGGAACATTCAACAATCTTATTACAGTTCTCTCTTGGAAATGCCTAGTACTCATTAATAGGAAATAAACAATGACATAAAATAACATTTCAAAGGCACTGGCTCAGTCTCAGTGAGCTTGCACTGAGTAGAAAGGTTTGGAATCATCATGTTAAGACATGATCAATGTAAACTCTGGCTCCCATGACAGGTTTTCAGAGTGGCTCACTGAAGCCGCTAACTAATCTGTGCTAAAGTGAAGGAGCTAGGAAGTTATTTCTTCTCATATGCAATAAATCGAAGTTAAGAGTCAGCTTTAAGAAAGCCTTTGCCTTTTTGATAACTGATAAAGTGCTTTGACCCTTCCTAATAGAAAGATAAATAATTGAAAAACAAAAAGAAGGGAGGAGGAGAAGGAAAAGGAGGGAGGGAGGGAGAAGAGAACAAAGAGACTCCTCTTTGAGAGAGAACCAAAAAAGTCAATTATGTGTACTTATTCTTTTTTCAAATTTTATTTATGAAGATAAATTTTGCCATGAATTTGGTTTTCCTCTTATTTCCCATTTGTACGGTATTTGTTTTGGTAGTGCTTTTATAATAAATATTTTTAGAAGAAAAAATGATTTAGATTTTTTAATGATTTAAAAGCCAAGAATCCATAATTTTCTATTAAGCTTAGAGTATGAATGATGCAAATTTACCTGAAAGACAAATATAATGGTTAAAAACTAATTACTAATTTTCTGTTGTCTATTTTAATTTGATTTACCTCATAAATGAAAAATTACAGAAGCATAATTTTTTAAGACATAAAGTTAACTTGTGATCAAAATAGAATGTCAGGAAGGAAGAAAATCATTAAGTGATATTTCTTTATACTTCGGTTTTTATTCTACCCATATTAAAACTCATTATATTATTTGAAGCATATAAATAAATTTATAAAAATGTACGTTTTCCTCTACCAGGCAAAATGCTATAAAAAAACCTTCAAAAGATCATTCAAAATTAAATTTCCTAAATTTGAGAGGAGCTAACATGAGCGTGCCATATTTACGTTTAACCATTTGAAAGAATATATTACCTTGTTTTGAAAATTTGATTTAACTAAATAATGAAATAACATTTCTTTAGTTTGCAAAATTAAGGATCAAATTGTTACATTTTACTATTAAAAAGTTGTAAAGTAAATAAACAACCAGCACAATATAAAGTAATATGATTATCGTATCCTATGATATACTATAAACCAATAGAACCACACTCAAGCAATCATTTTGAATTAATGCATACTTACATGATGGGTTGTTTGGAGTTTTTCTATCAATAAACTCGTTGAAATTTAAAAGAAATTCAGTGTTATTATCCGATATTTTCAGGTCATTGCAGTAATCTCTGAAAAAAAAACATTTTGAGATATTAGATATTAAAATCAAAACTTTACAGGGTAATTAAAGGTAGTGAAAACACTATTTTTTTTTTTTATTAGCCACAAGACTTTGCAAACTATTGAGCTTCTTGTTACTTCCATTTCCTCACTTCTATAATGGACCAATACTTTACCAGTAAGTGGTGATTATAGGCAATATGAATTAAACGTTTGGCCTTTGGACAGTAGGTGCTCAATAAGTTTTGGTGTAGTTATACTATTATCATTGTATATCTTAGATTTAGGAGTCTCATATAGCAATTAAAACAGAAATCTTGGGGCATCGGGGGCAAGGGGAGGGACAGCATTAGGACAAAAACCTAATGCATGCGGGGTTTAAAACCTAGATGACAAGTTGATAGGTGCAGCAAACCAACATGGCACGTGTATACCAATGCAACAAACCTGCACGTTCTGCACATGTATCCCTGAACTTAAAATAAAAAAAAAATTGCCTGGAGTTACACACATATACAAACACAACTGAGTGGACATAAAGCTAGTGAAATCTGAATAATATCAGTGGATTGTGTTTATGTCAGTTTCCTGGTTGTGATACTGTGTTAAACTTATACAAGATGTTGCCATTGGAGGAAACTGAGTAAAAGGTATATAGGTTCTCTCTGTATTATTTCTTGCAACTGCATGTGAATCTATGACTGTCTGAAAATAAAAATTTAGACAATAAAAAAGCCCAGAAATCTTAAAGTTCATTACATGTTAATATATTTTAATAAAATATTACCATTATTTTAAAAAATATTTTAAAAAGTGGCAATGTTTTACATATTTGCAAATTATCTTTAATTCCTGACAAGAGAAGACAAGCATGTCTCTGCAATCAATTGCAAGAGTTTGTTTTGGTCTATACAGAAAATTTGTCCTCACAGAGACGAGAGGCTTGTTTTTCTTCAGATATTGCGGCTGTTCTGTTTTTGATAACATACTGAAACTTGTTTATTTGTAATTCATTGATGGGTAGTTGTAACATGGAATCTGAAACAATATTAATAGTTTTTTTGCCTTCTGTTACATTAAAATTCCATATTCTTTCTTATACTTTAAATGAATCTTTTAAGCATCCGTGATTTTGTAAAATCATAAACTGGTTATTTAGAAAATGAGTTGTGTACAACTTCCAAATAATGACACATTATACAATATTGAAAATTTACACTCATTATTATCTTCAACTAAGTAAGTATTGGGAATGAATCATGTATACAACTTTCCCAAAATTCTAATTTTCGTTGGAAAGCTCAGTTTCTGTCATTGGCAGCAAATACTCTTAGTTGTTTTCTTCGAAGTCAAAAGCTCATCTGATTTATTTTTGAGAAACTATCTGCTGGCTATCCAAATCTGAATAACCATAGTTCTGTAATTTGTTCTTTCAAGTAATGTTACATTAAAAAAAAAAAAGCAGAAAGCACCTTGTTCACTTCCTAACACAATCATACAGGTCCTTTATTTTTTTGAGACATCCAAGTTACTCTGGGATGCAGTAGCACTTCTAGTTTTATCACATATAATATTAAAAGACATGCACTCAAGGGGAAAACTTCAATAAAATTTATAATTCTGAAATCAGGTAGCGTGATGTCTCTAGCTTTGTTCTTTTTGCTTAGGATTGTCTTGGCTATATGGGCTCTTTTTTGGTTCCATATGAAATTTAGTTTTTTCTAATTCTGTGAAGAAAGTCAATGGTAGCTTGATGGGTATAGCATTGAATCTATAAATTACTTTGGGCAGTATGGCCATTTTCATGATATTGATCTTCCTATCCATGAGCATGGAATGTTTTTCCATTTGTTTTTGTCTTCTCTTACTTCTTTGAGCAGTGGTTTGTAGTTCTCCCTGAAGAGGTCCTTCACACACATCCCTTTTAAGTTGTATTCCTAGGTATTTTATTCTGTTTGTAGCAATTGTGAATGGGAGTTCACTCATGATTTGGCTGTTTGTCTATTATTGGTGTATAGGATTGCTTGTGGCTGGGCACAGTGGCTCGCGCCCATAATCCCAGCACTTTGGGAGGCTGAGGCAGGCAGATCACGAGGTCAAGAGTTTCAGGCCAGCCTGGCCAAGATAGTGAAACCTCGTCTCTACTAAAAATACAAAAAATTAGCCAGGCATGGTGGTGGGCACCTGTAATCCCAGCTACTTGGGAGGCTGAGGCAGGTGAATCGCTTGAACCCAGAAGGTGGAGGTTGCAGCGAGCAGAGATCATGCCATTACACTCCAGCCTGAGAAACAAAAGCGAGACTGTATCTCAAAAAATAAAAAAAAAGGAATGCTTGTGATTTTTGCACATTGATTTTTTATCCTGAGACTTTGCTGAAGTTGCTTATCAGCTTAAGGAGATTTTGGGAAGAGACAATGGGGTTTTCTAAATATACAATCATGTCATCTGCAAACAGAGACAATTTGACTTCCTCTCTTCCTATTTGAATACCCTTTATTTCTTTCTCTTGCCTGATTGCCCTGGCCAGAACTTACAATACTATGCTGAATAGGAGTGGTGAGAGAGTGCATCCTTGTCTTGTGCCTTTTTCAAAGGGAATGCTTCCAGCTTTTGCCCATTCAGTATGATATTGGCTGTGGGTTTGTCACAAATATCTCTTATTATTTTGAGATACGTTCCATCAATACCTAGTTTATTATGAGTTTTTAGCATGAAGGGGTGCTGAATTTCGTCGAAGGCCTTTTCTGCATCAATTGAGGTAATCATGTGGTTTTTGTCATTGGTTCTATTTATCTGATGGATTACAAGGCTACAGTAACCAAAACAGCATGGTACTGGTACAAAAACATATAAACCACTGGAACAGAACAGAGGTCTCAGAAATAACGCCACACATCTACAACCATCTGATTTTTGACAAACCTGACAAAAACAAGCAATAGGGAAAAGATTCCCTATTTAATAAATGGTGTTGGGAAAACTGGCTAGCCACATGCAGAAAACAGAAGCTGGACCCCTTGCCTACACCTTATACAAAAATTAACTCAAGTGGATTAAAGACTTAAATGTAATACCTAAAACCATAAAAACCCTAGAAGAAAATCCAGGCAATACCATTCAGGGCATAGGCATGGGCAAAGCCTTCATAACTAAAACACCAAAAGCAATGGCAACAAAAGCCAAAATTGACAAATGGTATCTAATTAAACTAAAGAGTTTCTGCACAGCAAAAGAAACTATCATCAGAGTGAACAGGCAACCTACAGAATGGGAGAAAATTTTTGCAATCTATCCATCTGACAAAAGGCTAATATCCAGAATCTACAAAGAACTTAAATTTCCAAGAAAAAAACAAACAACTCTATCAAAAAGTGGGCAAAGGATATGAACAGACAGTTCTCAAAATAAGACATTTATGCGGCCAACAAACATATGAAAAAAAGCTCATCACCACTGGTCATTACAGAAATGCAAATCAAAACCACAATGAGATAACATCTCATGCCAGTTAGAATGGCGATCATTGAAAAGTCAGGAAACAATAGATGCTGGAGAGGATGTGGTGGAATAGGAATGCTTTTACACTGTTGGTGGGAGTGTAAATTGGTTCAACCATTGTGGAAGACAGTGTGGCGATTCCTCAAGGATCTAGAACCAGAAATGCCATTTGACCCAGCAATCCCATTACTGGGTATATACCCAAAGGATTATAAATCATTCTATAAAGACACATGCACATGTATGTTTATTGCAGCACGGTTCAGAACAGCAAAGACTTGGAACCAACCCAAATGCTGATCAATGATATAGACTGGATAAAGAAAATATAACACAAATGCCCCATGGAATACTATGCAGCCATAATAAGTTCATGTCCTTTGCAGGGACATGGATGAAGCTGGAAGCCATCATTCTCAGCAAACTAACACAGGAACAGAAAAACAAACACCGCATGTTCTCACTCATAAGTGGGAGTCGAACAATAAGAACACATGGACACCAGGGAGGGGAACATCACACACTGGGGCCTGTTGGGGGGCAAGGGGAGGGAGAGCATCAGGACAAATTTCTAATTCATGTGGGGCTTAAAACCTAGATGATGTGTTGATAGGTGCAGAAACCACTACAGTACATGTATAACTATGTAACAAACCTGTACGTCATGCACATGTATCCCAGAAGTTAAAGTAAATTTTTTTTAAAAAGTGTATATATATATATATATACACACACACACACACTGTTCAAAACAGCACATATATATATATATATATATTTATTTATTTATTTATAATCAAGCCCATAAAGGGCTTAACATATGTTAATTGAAGTGGACATTCATTGGCCTGTCCCACAAGCCAAATACTCTCCCTTCTCAAGTACTTTCTCCTTCCCTAAACACGTAAGTAAATTTCGATCTTCTAGTCAGCTGTATTGATATCATTCAGCTATAAAAAAAGTACTGATACGTGCAACAACATGGATGAACCTTGAAAACATCATGCTACGTGACATAAGGCAGATACAAATGGTCACGTATTGTATTGTTCCATTTATACGACGTGTCTAGAACAAGCACATGGCCATAAGAGACAGAAAATAGATTAGTGGTTGTTTGGGTCTGGGGAGGGTTGGGGAAGGATGGGTAGGTAACATTTAAGGTTACAGATTTTCTCTTTATGATGATGAAAATGTTCTAAAATTAACTCTAGTGATAGTTGTACATATATGTAAATATATTTTAAAACTTTGAATTGTAAAAAAAAATATGAAATGTGACACTGACTACAGAAATGGTTCATACACTAATACCTGCTGGATTAAACAAAATCCACTGCCTATGAATTAGGAATTAGAATTGAGAGATATATCTATCTTTCTCTATGTATCTGGATTCTACCCTAGTTTCCACCTTGTCTTATAGTGAAGCTGAGAAAGCCAACATGCATAATCTGCTACTTAATAACTGGGAGAGACAAGGGAAGAAACTGTAGACAACAACACAGACCTCAGATGGAGAGTCTTGCCAACATAGCAGGCCTAATTTCAATCTCTTCCTAAATTGTTTGCTATGTTAATATTCTGCGGGACCCTGTTTTTGTTGTTTTTGTTTTTTCTAGCTAATGTTCTCCTTAATACTGAGAAAATTCTTTCTAGTTAAAGTGGGTTAAAGTTGTTCTCAGTAATTCAAAGTAACTTGAAATTAATTAAAGTGACTTGTGTCCAAAAACTACTAATAAGATTGCAAGTATTATTAGTGATACAATTTTTAAGAATATTCTTTATATATTTACAGATTCTCCAGTCACCAAGTATTTATTCAGCACCTACTGTGTGCCAGCAATGGATTCACTATTGGGTATTGAATGTTAAGTCAAATAGACACAGTCATGGTCTGTTGAGGAAAGTAAATAAAATGTGGCCAGTGCTCCCCAAGAGAAATAGAGAATTCTATGAAGCAGTCAGGAAGGATGCGTATACCAGTGAAGAAAGGAAAGAAATCCCCACATTGAGGAATTTTTAAGTTGGGATTTCGGAGGGAGCGGGATGCATATGTATGTATGTGTGTGTAGTCCAAAAGGGAAAAGAGAATTAATGGAAAAAAGAAGGTAAAACTAAAACCAAGCAAAAAAAAAAAAAAAAAAAAAAAAAAAAGAAAGTGCATTTAGGAACTGAAAGACGTTAGTATGGATGAAATTTAGAGTACGGGTAGGGAAACTTTCCCTGACAGGGCCATGTAGCAAGTGATTTAGGCTTTTGTGGCCCATAAATTCTATGACACGACTACTCAACCCTGTCTTTGTAGAAAAAGCAGCCAAAGACATTCCAGAAACAAATAAGCATCACTGTGCTCCAACAAAAATTTATGTTTAAAATTGATAGCTGATCTACAGGATGTAGTTTGATGGTCCATAGTTTAGAGTGTGGGGGACCACACTGGTACACCAGGACTTGGTGGAAGAGCATTTGAAAGCTATAATATAAAGCACAGATAATCATAAAGACAATATACAATCACTGGCTCGTATTTAGCAGATGAGAAATATGATTTTTTTCACATTTTAGAAACTCTCTGGTTACAGAACAGAGACAGCATTAAGAAATACAGGGTAAATATGAAAGTAGGGAGATCAAGTAAGAGGCAAATGTAGTAGTTTAGGTGAGAGAAGGCAGTGACCTGGATTAGGGCAGAGGCAGCTGAGATTGACAGATACACTTGATACTCATACGACAGAACTGGCAAGACTGGTGATTGATTAGAAGTGAGATACAAGAGAAAGGAAGCAGAGAAGGACAACTAACAGGTTTCAAGATTGCTCGTTTGGGAGGATGGCATTTTCTCCTCTGAGGCAACATAGGTAGAACTTTCCAAAGGAAACAATTATTTATAAGATGCTAAATCTGAAGCACATTGAAGAGATACTCTTGTCTGGTTTCCATGAGATGTGTCTCATATTGAAATATGTAAAGTCTGGAAATAGATATAATATAGGATTAAATAATATAATGCAATATCAATGAAACACATATGTCTTTGTCTCTAGATATTTATGGCCATCATATAGATTTGGGAATTATGAACCTAACCTGTAGGCAGAGAACACATGGGTGGCTTGTGGTCTGAATGCAGTCTCAGGTAAAAAGACAGCCTAGGCTAGCATCCTTTGCAGCCTTCTTATATGAGTGATCAGCAGAAGAAATGAAACTCATGAAAGAGACAGTGAATATGCAGCCAGAGAGGGAGTAAGAAAAACAGAATAGTGTGTCATCAAGCAAGAGAAAGCACACTGTCAAAGGACAGCGTGATCAACAGCGTCACACACTAAAGGAAATTCAAGCAAGAGAAGCTTCTCAAGGATACGGGCATTCAAAAAGCCAAGAATAGGCTTTGTTAACAGAGATTTTTCAAAAAACCCATATTCCCTACGTTAAAGTAGAAACAATTCAGAAATATCCTTTTGCAAGAATTAAAGGGTAACTCAGAACAATTTATATGCATCTTTGAGTTTTTGGAATAATTTAAGAAAAGTGAAAAATTAACAATCCAAGCTTCTATGTAAATTGTTCCCAATAATTTGGCCTAGATTAATAGGAATTATATTTGAATATTATATGTGTCTGTCATGGAATAGGAGTCAAAAACTGAGGAAAGAAAGAAGAATAAAGAACACCCTGGGACTACTGAATAGTTTCAAATAATTACAAGAAAACTGAGATGGAGAAAAAGATGTACATGCGTGATGAAGGGAGATTATATGAGAGATAAATAAAATTGGGTAGAAAGAAATGAGGTGCATCTAAAAAGCTATGTAAAGCAATGCCACTGTAAACATGTTCTCCCAGAAAGTTGAATTAGACCATTAAAAAAATCCATTATTATGTTCATTCTACCCCTACGTGTATAGATACACATAAATATTGGTACATATATGTGTATATATGTGTACATATGTGTATATACATATTCACAGGTAAAAATACACAATTTTCTATTACTGTTGGAAGCACTGTTTGTTCTACAAGAGCAAAGCCTATGTCCATCTTATTCCCATTGTGTCCCAGAGTCTACATTGCTTAGCACATAGTAATTGCTTTTTTTTTTGAGATGGAGTCTCACTCTGTCATGAGGCAAGAGTGCAGTGGCATGATCTCAGCTCCCTGCAACCTCCGCCTCCTGGGTTCAAGTGATTCTCCTGCCTCAGCCTCCCAAGTAGCTGGGACTACAGGTGTGTGCCACCATGCCCAGCAAATTTTTGTATTTTCAATGGAGACGGGGTTTCACCATGTTGGCCAGATGGTCTTGATCTTTTGACCTTGTGATCCACCAGCTTCGGCCTCTCGTATTTGAATGAGTAAAGAAATGAATAAATAAAGATTTTGTTTCAGTTTTAAAGTAATTATTTCCTTTGATTCCATAATGTGATATGGAACTAACCCAGAGCAGTCTTGACTCAATTCTGAACTACTGTTGAAGGCCTAGCTACTGATAGAAGATGTATCAAAAATACAACAAAACCAACCTTGGTGCTATGAATGTATAGCCAGATTCTTCAAAATTATCTGGCTTCAGGGTTTCCGAATCTGCAAAGATAATGTTACAGGATTAGATAGGTAATTCAGAGTATATATCCAGAGATTCTATAACAATAAGAAGGCATGAGAAAGATTACCTAATAAGAAAAATTGAAAATAGAGTACTTACATCCTAAAATTGAAACATATCAATGAATATAAATGTCCTCAATGCTTCCCAAAATAATAAAATTATAACATGGATTAACTTCATAACATGGATCCCCACAGTTATTTCAAAGAAAATGCTATGTCTATAATTTTCTGATCTAACCCTACTATAACCGAATATCTTTTAAAAAGTGATTGATATGAATGTTATACCAGAGGTATTTTAAAGACCAATTATTTATATAAAGTTTACCAATATTATGATCCAGAAAATGATGTTAAAAAACTCATTAATGCCTTTAGTGAGTTAATAACATTCCTCATATTAGGTATGAATTAGTAAGTGGAAGGATACAAAACAAAGCTTCTTAAGTCCAAGAAAAAAACTTGAATGTGAACCAGCTTGCATATGAAAACACAGCATATTCTTTCTACCATTTTTTTGCTGCTAAGTTTTGAGTGATCATGAAGGAAAATTTAGCAAATGAGAAGCACAGAGGATAATATCCAATAGGAAGGAAAATATCAGTGGAAATGTCAAGTGTACTAAACAGAAAGAAGTTGAGCAACAAGAAAATACTTGCCCTTCATTTTGCCCTTTTTTGCTGTGAAAATCCATCAGAAAGAGAAAGCAGGGAAACAAAAAAAAAAGAGGGTAAAGCAAAGGGGGTCATAAACAATATTTTATTCAATGACTTTCTTGAATAAAAATATTGTGCATAGATCAAAGGTTCATTTATGTACAGCTGTAGTCTGAGGAAAAAAAAGACATATTTTGAAGACTGGATAGTATGTCCTATCAATTATAACTAGATTACCCTCTCTGTACTGTGGTTATTTCAAGGGTCTGTTTTGCAAAGTGATTAATGCAGGTGTAATACCAATGACGTCAGGCTATAAACATAAGCATTTACTAATCAAAGACTCACGAGTTATCCCCTCATTTATCAATTGAAGAACTAGCTCATGCAGAATTGCTGGTTGTGAAAAGACCATCATATCTATCTATCAAGTGAAAGTGGAAATATAAATGTACTATGTATAATGCACAGTGAACACCAGGCCTGATGCGGGCAAAAAAGAACTGACAGAGAAATGAAAGAAACTGTAGCTTACTTTAAGATCAGATGTAAAATATATACGTATATTTTTGGTATTCTTTTGTATTTTACTTCATCCTCACAGAAAAATTTAAGGTTGTTAGCAATAATCGGCAGTGTGCAAAGGATATGATGGTCATTTTACTTTACAAAATCTAGTCACCCAAAACAAAATAAACAATAACTTGAAGTATGCACTAGTATTAATTACTCTACATTCCAAATGAGGCTTAAAAAAATTAATCCATTTGCATTACTGAGACATTAATTTGGATTACGAAAAGAAAGTTAATTGCCAAACCAAAGCCAAAGACCAGTGCAATTTAATTTATTCAAAGTAGAAGAAGATGTGAAGCACAATATTATTCTGGCCAAATGCAAAATAAATAAATAAATAACCAGAAACAAATAAAAGGAAAGAAAAGGAAAAGCTTTACTAGCACAGTGCCATGAGAGTAGAGACTATGTTGATAAGTAGCATGTGAAACATTTTGCTCCAGCTAGCAGACCCTTAAAACGACAGCAACAGGACACAGCACTGCAATGATTCTATGAGCACATAGCAAGGCAGGGAAGGGTGGTGGGGACTGCCAGTGAGACTGGAGTACCTGCTCATATTCTATCCATGTAGAATATTTCTTGTTCCTTGCATGTTTGGAATGGGTTAGAATCATTGCTGTAGATTTGGTAATAACACCTACTAAAATATTTCATAAGCCTTGGGTATTCCAAAATCTAGACGTATTTAAACATCTGATACTAGGAGATAACAAATGGACCCTGAAGTCACTTTCACAGTACTTACATCTGGCCTGAGTTATTGTCTCTTCTAGTTTGGCTTTTATATAGTAAAAACTGTAGGTTGGTAATACCAAGGCCAAACTGCAATAGAAACAAGAGAAGCATAAACACAAACAAACAAAAATGAAACATAACTTAAAAAAAAGACACATCAAGTTCATGGGAAAATCGAAAGATCTTCCTCATGGGAAGGAAAAGACATATTACTTTGACAAGAAAATGCATTCAGCAAATACAGTACTTAATTTCAGTCTTGCCATCCAGAGTCATCTAGCTCTCTACATTGTAGGGAATCAGAAGAGACAAGTGGAAAATAAGTTCCTGAATGAACCCATAAATTAGCCAAGGAAGGAGTGTCATGGCCCCCTACTATGTTTCCAGAAAATTATATTAAATTACTTTGAATTTTAACAAAAAATTGAAGAACATTAGGGGTATGTTTAAACAAGGTAAATACATAATACCATTTGGACACACTTCCTTAACGTATTATATATAATGTTAAAGTGCTTTGTATAAAATGGACACTATTAAAATACAAATGGAAGAGTTACTATTATCATTACTTTTTTTTTTTTTTTTTTTTTGGAGACAAGGTCTCACTCTATCCCCCAGGCTGGAGTGCAGTGGTTTCGATCATGGCTCATCACAGCCTAAATCCCCTGGGCTCAATCGATCCTCCCACCTCAGCCCCCGAAGTAGCTGGGACCATAGGCACATGCCACCACGCCCAGCTAATGTTTGTATTTTAGTAGAGACAGGGTTTACACTATGTTGCCCAGGCAGTCTGCCTGCCTCAGACTCCCAAAGTGCTGGTGTTACAGGCATGAGCCTCCACGCCTGGCCATTATCATTACTATTGAACAATGCATAAAGTCATCTAAAATATATTCTTTTGAGGGATTAAATAACCACTATTTTAAAACTCTAATCCTTGGGCAAGTTCTCTAGTACTAGTCTACTCATAGGCAAATTCAGATTCCTTTACTGCACTAACAGAAATTGTTTGCTAAGCTCATTAGTTTATACCCAATAGTAAAACTAAGTCATAGTATTTATTTCAAGTTTATTTACTGTGATTATTCCACATTATTTGGAAGATTGTTATTAGATGTAATAGGAAATGTGTCTTGAGTTTTGTAGTTAACAAGAGCCACGGCGCTACTCTAGTCTTACGGTAGATGTCCAAAGCAGAGGAGGGTTCCAGTGAAAATCTTAGGCCAAATTCAGAATGTTTTAGACACAAAAAATGTCAGACAAGCTGGCCATCAAAACTTGCCTTAATGACTGCCCAAAATAAAAAGCTGTTAGGCAGGTAATCTTACTTATTTTGAAATTGCCAATTAATAAAATAAAATAATAAAACACATCAGAATTGTTAAAGGATTTCAGAATTTTATGCACTTTCCAATAACACAACTGCATATGTGTAATTCTCCTATTCTCATGCTAATACTCAAATGTAGGACATAACTTTTCCATATCCACATGTGCTATGGAGCCACATGATCTTTGCTATGCTTTGAATATAGAAGAAAACTTGTGAACAGTGGGTTTACCTCTAAAATGCCCAATCTAACTACTTTCCAAAAGTAATACTTGTTTAATGTAACCCACTTGGTCACCTTCAGCATCCACTTTTAATAGCTAGCTCAAATTTTAGTAATGTGCAGGAAAAGGTGTGTATATCTATGCTTTTGAGTATTTCCAGGCATGTGTAGATCCTTTAATTAATTAATTAATTTTTAATAATTTCAACTTTTAGATTTAGGGATTTGTAGATCTTCTGAATCACTTAAGCCTCACGTAGCCCCAGTTTTGGGACTGGATATCCTAACATCATTATATATTTTTATGGACAATATAGAATAGGGAAAAACATAAAATTTCAAAATTTCATATGACTATAAATATTAAAATTTCACTCTATGAAAAGGAAAAAAAAAGCAAGGGTTTATTTGCTAAAATTTAATTATACAATAAAGATAGCAAAATGAATGGATGCTTGTTACCTCCAATTCCCAAATCTTTCTCTATTATTAAGTAATTCATAGACTTTCCTTATGGGAAAAGGTCAGGGAAATAAAATGTTATGTAGACTTAATGAAAATTTCTATATTCATTTTATAGGTAACTTCCTTTAAGTGGAGGCAGAGATTAAAATTAAAATAAGCAGTGCAATCACTCTGACAGCAAGATGACCTTTCATGATTCACTTGCCATTTACAAAATGTACAGCAGAATTACTGAGCACTGAAGATTGTCTCCCAGAAATTCTTCTCAAGGGAAATTAGGACATTTTTATTGCCCCATCAGCATTTATTGCTAAGAGAAACTTCTAATTAAAACCGATAACATTATATCATACAACTGCTAAAGTGTCACTGGATAAGCTTGGGTTACATCTAATATACCATAAATATAGTATGGAAACCCATGAGGAAGAAAAGAGAAGTTTTAAAACTAGCACATCTACTATGCGTTTTGTTGGCCTGTAAGTCTTTGATTGTTATTAATAGCTACAGTCCGTTCTATAGAAAAACATAGCTATACTTAATTTAATTATGTCCATCTCAAGCCAAGTTAATTTTTCAACATATAGTCAGATAAGATCTTTATCAACATTCCTAGTCAATGGTGCTGTCATATACAATGTTTGCTGTCTCTGTCCATATAAAACTGATAGACCAAGACTGCTTTATTTCCTTCTAGAGATTAAAGTTTAATAAAGCAAGTGGCCACCAGATGAATAGTATAGCCCAGGCAGTGTTTTGTGACTGACAGAAACATGGTTAACTGAGTTAAGTGGACTATAACACACTTTTCAACTCATTTATCTCCATAAAAGTAAATTATTCTCTAAAAAAAGAGAAAGCATCCTATTAAAATAATTTATTACATTTCAAAATATGGTACTTGGATCAAGACTTAAGAAGAGAGAAATCACCAGATGAAAATTTTGTATCTCATTCATGAAATCAAAACATATCATGTTTTTTCCTTCAACTTAGATGTAACATTTTGTTCTAAATTGCTCTTTGTGAATTTGTACAGTGATTCAGAAAAGTATTTCCAATGGAAATAGATTTAATCTGGCCCAAAGTTGGAGACTTGGAAAGCGAATGTGTGAGGAAACGCAAAGGTGGGAAAGTTGGGGCCTTGTCAGAGAACAGTGATATGTATGGTGATGGAAGTGGCAGAAATGACAGGACAGATACATTGGGTTAGAAATGTGTGAAGGGACTATCAGACTTGGAAGTTCAAATTAAACTTGATGATGAAAATGGAAGGAGACAAAAGTTTTGTCAACAAAGAGTGACATGAACTCGAGAAAAGAACATTCGCCTGCTCACACTGTGTATTATCACTGGGTGCATGCGGAAAAGAGGTTGAGCATAGAGGCCATTTGTGAGACACGTAAAACACCCCAAAAGTGTCCTTATAACTGTAGGAGAGCCAACTATCACATTGTAAGGGTCAAAAGAACCCAGTTTTTCTCAGAATTTGTTCATCTAAGCAACAAAGACACAGAATGCATTCTCATACGATGCCCTGATACTTTGTTTTATCATAAAATCATCTCTCAAGAGACAGACCTTCAAGATTTCCTCTCTTTTTGCACCTTTTGACAAGTTAATCCAAAAATTGAAAGGTGGCAATAAGGAAGAGGGAGGAAAAAGAGTAACTTGTGTATACACATAAAGATTGTGCATGTATAAAGAAATGCCTAGAAATTAGAGATAGGAATCAGTTGATAGAAAAAAGTAAAATAATTAAAACAGCCATTCTGGTGTTTTGCAATATGCTCTCCTCTTCTGTCTATTCTACATGCAATCCTAGGAATACTAAAGGAGATAAGTTCCTATGATAATAACATAGGCTCCCATAAAAGCTTATGTGTATGTTCTGGGGAGTTGGTTTGATTTTTATTAGGAGAGAAATAGTTGAGTTCACCACAGCCTACATATTAACTGTATATTAATATGTAGTTAAAGAGACTTCCGTACTTAAATATTGCAATGGAAGTTCTGTACACCACTATATGAATTTGAAAGGATGAGACAGATTGAAAATTTCTTCAGTTGGAAAATTCTTCCATTTCTCCAAATTGAAATTCTTCAATTCTGTGAATATTTGTAGAGTGCCAACTATGTGCCACTGTCATACAAGCTGATGATTCAGAAGTAAATAAAGCAGGGAACAATCCCTGCCCTCTTGGAACTTACTAGTGAGAGAACAGATGATAATCAGTAGAAATAAGTTTCTCTATATATGTTTCGTGTGTGTGCATGATGTTAAATTTCAATAAGGGTTATGGAGAATATGAAGTGGAAGAGGGAGATAGAGTGTGGTGAAACATTATACATTTTAAATAGGATCGTTGGAGAAGGCCTTTCTGAAGAGATGAAAAGTAAGTAAAGATGGGAAGATGAGGGAATGAGCATGTGACTGTTTGGGAAAAGTAATTCCAGGCAGAAGTAATTTCATATACAAAAGTTCTGAGGCAGATGGGTGCCAGTGTTTATGTTGTGTGGCAAAAAGGACAGCGTGGCTTAACCAGGGACTTTTCAGTGGAGAATCTGGAAGATAAATTCACAGAGCTGACGGTCAGTAAGGTCAAATGATTTACGCCACTGATGGCCGTGCCAGACTTCGGGTGTCAGACTGAATGAGGTAGCAAATTTACTGGTGGGAGTTGAGTAGAGAAATGAAACAGTCTACTCAAGGGTTAAGATCCTTCTTGTGATTGTGTTGAGAACAGAAATAACGATAGACGATGGAGATACAGATGCAAGTAGTTATGTACTCTAATAGTGGGAGTTCTTTCTGACCACTTCTATTTTTCTCCGTGAAATGGAAAGCAAATTCATCACCTGAGCGAAAATGATGAGACAGTATTACAGGTTTGGAGAGTGAAGTGATCAAGAGTCATCTACGAGAGTCCTAAAATTACAGGATTATGGATACTGCCAGCTACCGCTAAGGCCCACTTGAGGTTAGAGGTCATGAATTTTAGGTGATATGTCAGCTAGTGAGCATTTTACTTCAGTCACTTTTAGCTGTATGGGTGCAGTGTGGTGTGGCTAATAATTTGAATTTAACCAGGACTGGTATTTTGCCAAATTGCTGTATGCCAAATTCAACTATGATGAAAGGAGTTGGTGGTGTGCACAAGACAGTGAAAGACCCAAGGAATTTCTGCTAAATAAAGAAGGGCACAAGGACACAAAGAGGGCAAGACAGCAAAAAGGGAGAAGGGATTGATGGATTTCATGTCTTGAGTCAAGGATTACTGCAGTTGGGCTACTAGCAGGAGAAGATGGAAAGCTAAAATGTGGTAACCTGAGAGTTGGATGAAAAATTCTCATGTAAAGACTATGAAGGCATTGCAGACTTGACACTGTAAGAGCTGCAGAATATGATTTTGGAGTCAGTGACTAAGGTAGGGGGGTGACAAGATCATTAGAGGAGAGAAGGCCAAAAGTAACAGAGCCCAGGTATTAGAAACATCATCTATGTCAATGCTACTTAAAGTGTTTTCCATGGACCTAGCCAATTTGCAAACTGTCTATTACAAGCCCGTGATAGCAAAATACAGAAATTGGGAGAAGTATTTAGAAAATTTTATAGCAATGTAACAGACTAATTTTATGTCTGTGAAATATAATAGTAAAAATTTTGAGCTTATGTTTTTTCTTTTAAAGTTTATTTTATTAAATAATTTTTATTTTTCTTTACACCAGTGTGGGTATGGCATCATTTGCAAAACAGTGAACTATGTGAATGTAGGAGAGAGTGACAATGAGCCAGGAGTTGAAATCTTTATAGGAATGAGAGGGATGTGACTGTTAAGAAGGAGGAATAGCAGGTGGTGTGGTTTGGTGTCATGAGATTAAAAGATGGGAATTTCAGAAAGGAAAAAAAAAACAGAATGAGTAATGACGACACACTCATATCACCCTCAGTATTCTAAAGACTTCAGAGGAAGCAGTGAGCTCAGAGGAGAGTTAGAGCAAGAAAGTGAAGGAAGTGTTGAGCAAGTGTTGAAGAATGGAGAATTACCAAGAGATTACTAGGTTTTAGGCTGTCCAACTTTCCGAAGCCCAGCCAATGGGAGGAATCACAATATTATAGAACTGATACTCATGGAGGTAAATTATATCAACTAAACATGTTATATCAGATACCACAATGATGAGATAAGCTTTATATTTTAGTTAGTTTTCAACTCAAATGTACCTAATGTAAACTAAACAACAACTAAAAGAGGAAGTCAGTGAAAGTGAACCCTACATATTATTATGGGTATTTGTCAACATTTCTCATGTAAAAATACAAAATATATATATTTATATCACATAGGTTTTCATTTCTAAATTTTATATTACTAGAGTTTTTCCATCTTTTCCATTTTAAAAATTAGTCTATAAGTTTAGTATGTTTTCATGTTGGGAACTTTTCTAGTGAAAATCACATGAAAATTCACTTGTGAAAATGCAGACTTAATATTAATCCATTGGAATACACAATACACATAAAATACAGTTAATTACCTGTAATCTGTGCCATTGACAGGTGTCCATGTGTATGTCCTGTTTCCTTTGTCAATATATCTCTAGAAAGAAGTTTAACGTGGTTATTATCACTTTACATTTTGTATGAATATATACGAAAAGTAAAGCCGTAGAATTTACTTATAAATTTTGTAGTCATTTAATACTCATCTTTACAAAGGTATGATCTATTTTATTCTATATTTATTTATTTTCTGGGTGTGTCTAGCAAAATTTTTGACAGAAACAAATGTAAGTGAAAAATCTTTATAGTTTATGCCAAATTATTATCTTCAAAACATTGAAAACAGTATTTCCTGAAAAACAAATTTTAATAATGAAACAGGACTATGAAGTATTTAGACAAGGCTCGGATATGTCCATACTAAAGTATGTTAAGAGTAATAGGCAACATCAGGACATTAATGCAGTGTGTCTAGATCCAAATTTATGATTAGCATATGACTGTTTTTATGAAGCCACTATTATAGCATTATTATGGTATCATAAGAGGCTACTCAGTATCACTGAAGGTTAGGACAACATCTAATAAACCCACCAGGGAAAGAAAATACAGAGCTAAGGAAGTTCATGCATGGCTCTATCTTTTATACATTCTGTCTTCCATTAGGTATTGCGATGGCACATGTATAATTTTTTTTTTTTTTTAGACGGAGTATCGCTCTGTCACCCAGGCTGGAGTGCAGCGGTGTGATCTCGGCTCACTGCAAGCTCCGCCTCCCGGGTTCATGCTATTCTCCTGCTTCAGCCTTCCCAGTAGCTGGGACTACAGGGGCCTGCCACCACGCCTGGCTCATTTTTTTTTTTTTTTGTATTTTTAGTAGAGACGGGGTTTCACTGTGTTAGCCAGGACGGTCTCGATCTCCTGACCTCGTGATCCACCCGCCTCGGCCTCCCAAAGTGCTAGGATTACAGGAGTGAGCCACCGCTCTCAGCCGCTGGCACATGTATAATTTTTAATTTGCTTAGTTATTTTTGAGTTTCATCATTCTCACCAAAACAGTAACATGTATTGAAGTATTTCTTGGTATCAGGCACTATGCTAAGCACCTGTCATTCTGTCACTTAGTCCAACCACTGGAGTATATACTTTTATATCCTGCAATTTATTGATGAAGAAATAAGTGTTAAAGAAGAGGTAAGGTGCTTAAGTTGGCAAAATATATAATGCCAAATTCATGTTTGTGACAACTACACAATGAATGTGTGCGTGTTTGTGTGTGAGCATGTGTGGGGTGTATGTGTGGCAGATGGAGGGGGGAACAGGGTTGTGAAGAGGGCTTTGGACTAGCAATATTCTTAAAAGAATTAGAAGAAACAATGCTTATATATTTGTTACTACTCATAAAAAAACAGGGCAAGCAAGTGTTGGTCTGCAAGTTATAAATAAAATACAGTATCAGAAAACAGTATCAGAGCAGAGAAATAAAAATGTAAGTTTTTTCAATATCAGTAGCAGAAATTATAATCTTGTTCAGTCTTCAATTTGTAATAAAATAATCAAACGGACAATTTTAAACATTATTACTAATTTTTTAGTCAAGAAATCTATTTTTCAACTGCTTTTGAAGTTTGAAAGTATTCTCAGATTAGCTTCTTAAAAAAGTCATTATTCAGTAAGTTTATCCTTACTAAATTCTACCATCTTTCAGTAAATTTTCTGCATGAAATAGTACAAATGAATTCTAGTTTTAGCCCAAGCATATAGTTATAAACAAAGGACTGTTGATGGAGTATGCATAATAAATACAAACTATTTTCAGATTCCAACAAACCAGATTCACTTGGGCATAAATTAAGTTGAAAAGTTCTAATTCTATTTTAAACTTATTTCAGTAGTAATACTAAAATCCATAAAAATGCAGTATCATAAGGGTTAGCATATGTGCATTAAAAATTTGATTCATATAATTTCTCATTTATTCTATACACTTACAATTTTTATAGAATAGTAAGACTCATGAAAGACATGACCATGAAAAAAATGTTTACAAATTAATTTCAGACAGATTGTAGTGAAAAATATTCAATAAATCAGGTGTAAATAGAGGTTCTGTGGGAAACATTTCCTAGGTGAGGAATTTCAAATTACTTGCAACTCATTATGCCAAACATTGTGAAATGTGCCAAACTGGAGATTCCTAGCTCATCAATATGGAACATGGTACAAGAAAGGTTCTATAATTCCTACAACAACCACAAAAATGAACTTCAAAGTTAATAGCTAACCTAAGCCTGTGGAATTCAGCTACTTTGGCTAAACCAAATAACACTATAATGTGAAGGTTACTATCACATCTTAAATATCTCTGCCAAACCCCTTACATAGACCATATAGATAGAGCTTTTGAAAGATATCACCTTAAAATTAGAATAATACGTATGCACAGTGTTGTAATTGTCTATAAAATAGTGAATAGTGATAAAAATTATAGTCATTCATAGAATAAATAACTTTTCTTGAAATACCAATATACATAGAAATCTGGAGTACAAGGCAATGTAGTAATTGAAAATTAGCAGTTATATCTATTTACAATAGTGTGTTCATCAGAGACATTTTAAAATTCTAAGACAGGAAAATATAGTCTTTAGGTGAATATTTGTCAAAAAAAGTAATTTGCAATAAATTGAAGGAAGAAAAATATCAATGGGAGTTAATAGAATATTACTTTGTAATCTGAGAAAAGAATGTGCAAAAGTCTAAGCAAATAGAGTTGAAGTTTCAACAAAGACTGAAAGGTAAATATACCTCCCTTTGCGTTCTGTAATAGGGACTCATTATGATATTAAAATGAGAAAGGCCATGTGCTAATGAAGGATCATAGTCAGATCCTAGCTCACCTTCCACCTAGGGAAGGATCTGATGAGGAATTTCAGAGGAATGTAATTCATCTAGAAATGATGAGATTGTGAGGAAAAGGATATAGGTTATACATAAAAGCTTAAGTTAAAATTTCCAGGCTCAAAAGCTTCTGAGACTTACATTTTTCAAATACTCAAATGTATAAATGTCTGTATGTACTCCACATCTGACTAATAGACATAATCCTCTGACTGATAATAGATATACTCCAATATGATAATAGACATAAACCAATTATTTGTGGGGGTAGTTGTGTTGTCACAGGATTTAATTTCAGATCTAAGTGCTGGGAAATTTTAAAGTGTGTAACTAGTAAAAGAAGATAAATCAAGCCAGAAACAAGTAAACAAAAAGCTAAAAATAAAAATAATTAATATGTGGAACTCAATAATTAGAATAAAAAGGCAAATCATGTAAAACATATAGCTATTAAATATTAACTTCAATTTTGTAACATTGGCATAGTGTAAAACAACATGGCAACATTATATTGTGTATTCTATTTCTCATAAAATATGTATGTAAAATATAATTTCAAGAATATACTGTTAATGTATAAGAAAACATCAAGAAACCTAAAGCAATAGTATTTTATAAAAAGAAAAAGAGGGTTAAAAATATATCTTAGTGAAAATATCCCTCCAGCTAAGAAGTGCTTTAAAAAGAAAAATTGTTTCCTAGAGATCTCCCTGTTTTATAAGTAAATAGTGGATTAATAGAAAAAAAGGACAAGTTACCAATATCAATTATTCTTGATATAATTTTTATTTAAGAATAAGCTAGAATCAATTCTTACCTCATCTTGAGATTTAACCAGAGTTCTGAATGTTTTTTCTCCACTTTCCCCATCAATCATCTTATTTCGAATCTAAGAGTAAATGAAACAACTACTTTATTCCAGAAACAAAGCTGACCTGCCAAAATATGACTATTAACATGGTAGTTTTTCAAGTTCTTTACCTTATTTAGAACAAATAAAATAAAAATAGGGGGTTAGTTTTACCAGTATCTGCAGTTGTTCTCAGGGAATTTTTTTAAGTTACCATATTATAGTCATTTTACATTATTTTAAAATAATAAAACACCCTTAATGAAATATTTTCAACCTGTTGGTAGTTTTTGAAACGTAATTAATAAAATGTTCAATTATATTATGGCTAGCCACATTGGAGTGGAAAGTAGTCATTGAGACATAGAAATGTATATGTACAGAATTACATATAACACGGAATGCTTCAAATTTCTGCCTTACACAATGAGTTTCATGTGAGAAAAATATTTTTAAGAGGACTCTTTACACTTTTTAGTTTGTAATTCTTATATCTGGGTACCAAAAAAATCTAAATAAAGGACAGAGAAAACTATAAACACCTATTTGGATTTAGAATAATAGAGTTGAGTCTCCTTCAGTAGAATACTCCAAATCCTTAAAAATATGCAAGGTCGGCCAGGTGCAGTGGCTCATGCCTGTAATTCCAGCACTTTGGGAGGCCGAGGCGGACAAATTGCCTGAGGTTGAGAGTTCGAGATCAGCCCAGCCAGAATGATGAAACCCCATTTCTACTACAAATGCAAAAATTAGCCAGGCATGGTGGCAGGCGCCTGTAATCCCAGCTACTTGGGAAGCTGAGGCAGGAGAATGGCATGAACCCAGGAGGTGGAGGTTGCAGTGAGCTGAGATTGCGCCACTGCACTCCAGCCTGGGCGACAGAGCGAGACTCCACCTCAAAAAAAAAAAAAAAAAAAAGTGCAAGGTTACATTATCCACTAAATATTCCAGTCGACTGGCAATTCTCAGAAGTTTCCTCAACTTATTTTTTATAACTCAACCAGTGATTTACATGTGGCTTCGGGAAGCTGCAAATGATAAGTAAACAAACTTGGTGTGATTAAAGGAATAATTTGAATTTGAAGAACACGAATGTTTGATGTATCTAATTTAGTTCAAATATTTGGGTCTTAAAGGAAGGAGTAGATAACAGCTTCTAATGTAAGTTGAGTGTGCACTTATGAGGAGCTCAAAAATAATAAAGACTTTACCATGAACCAGGCCTTTTGCTAAGTCCTTTCTATATATTATTTCATTCAATCACTATTACTGATTGATTTAGAAGAAACTGAGGCTTGCAGAATCTAAGATCATTTTGGTCACTCACTGGAGTAAGAGTCCAGACACCAAGCTTGTCCCCATTACTTTATCCTACTTTATTATGTCAATTACTTTACAACAAATACTATTAATCACCTAAACACCCTAACACAAGGCCACCGTCTAGGGTAATTATAATAAATCATTAAATTCTATTGTTCTACAATTGAAATGCAGTGACAAGTTATAAAAGAAACATGATGGCATTTGCAAGGGAGTTAATCCATCTGGAAAAATCCTAAAAATCTGTAATCTAGAATGCAAGAGCCAAGTTCTGCTACTTATTAGCTGAAGAACTGTAGAGAAACTATTTGACCTCTCTGTACCTCAAATGTATCATCAGTACAACAGATATTATAATTTGAAATAAAAATACCTATTTCCAAGCCTCTTGAGAATCCATGACTAACATATATCATATAATGTTATTTATTATATATTTCTAATATTTTTATTATTAATATAATACTCTCATTATTATGGAAGACTCTCTCAGAGGAGGAAATATGCAATTTTGCTTTTGAAATAAAATAGATTGCCAAGTAAAATGTATTAAGGCAAACATGACAGCTTCTACTCATGCTATTTCTTATGTGTTTGGGTGGTTGGATTCCTTCCAACTTTTTTTTCAACACTATAACAACATCCTCCATCTCTATGATTTTTACTGAAGTTTACAAGATACATTTGTATTAGAATAGTGAAAATATGTCTACCTTTAGGAAGAGAAAGAAGACTAAGGTCGAACCCAACTTAAACATTTATTCCTTTTCATATGATCTTTTGGATAGGAAAACCTAGGATCTAGAAAATTTTAATGACAAAGAACATTCATCTTTGTGTATACAGTATCAAACAGACAAGCTAACACATTGTAGCCGTTCAACAGATACTTGTAGAATGAGTGCATACCAGCATCTGACCTGAGGAATTGTTTAGTCTTACTGATTCCACTCACCTCCACTTTAATATCATTCTCTAACTCTGCATCAAGGAAATCCAATGTTACTGGCTCCTGAGATTTGGGGTTCTACACAGAAAACAATAATAATTAGGTACATGTAACATTATACAATGATGCTGTGTATAAAACAATTTAACGGGTATTTATGAAATTGTGCAAAAATTACCTAGGATACAATAATTGTATAAAGGTATCTTCTTTCATATATATTTTATATATATATATAGCTTATATATAAAAGCTAGAGATTGAGCTTTAAGTGCAGGAAATCTTAATAAGCAAGTGAAGACAGTGTCATTTTGAGTGCTGTATTTGATACTGCATTTATATTCACAAGCTCTTTGGGCACATCACTTTTGAAGAACCATTCACAACTTTCTTTTCATTAATTAGCATGGGAAAGGGGCAAAATATAGCCATTTGGATGACTTATTTGGTAATAAAACAATGGCAACATGTAAGCATACTTTTAAAATTTGTAAAAAAAAAAAAAAGTGTATGAGAAAATGTTTTAAAATTATGTCTACACTTGCCAAGTAAAACATTCTATTGGACCTGTTCTTCCTTCTGAAAGTATATAAAGAAAAGGTGCAAGTTTGCTTCATATATTTCAATCTAAGAAATTTTATATTTTAATAATTCAAATGACATCAGAATGTATAAGATAAATTTTGTGGTTGTCATAAAGATTTTAAGATTAGCTATTATAATTAAAGTCTTACTAGGATAATAACCCCTGGGTTCAATGAATACTATTTCCTATTGCTTCTTCTTGCTGGTGTATAATAATAAAGAAAGAACACTGGGGAATAAGATAGATTCTTATTTATTCATATCATTATATAAAATGATACTGTTAGTCTGGCAAATTTACCTCATATGATATTATTTTAATGTCTCAATTGCAAAATGAAGATTCATTGAACTATTTGATAAACAAAATACAGTCAATTCCTCTATAACTTCCTAAGTAATGTAACATGTCATACTAAAATTTCAAAGCTTACTAGACCAATAAAATCATAATAGGTATATGTAATTTCATAATTGCAAAATTTTAGAAACTGAATTTTTAATTTTTATTAAAATATTACCTAAATCTGATAACTAGATTCCAGTAACAAACGCAAACTATGCTGGATTAGTGCAAAGGTCACTCAAACTTTAATAATATAAGCCTCACAGACTCTTTCAAAAGATGTTCAAATTATCACCATTTTAAGCACTGTTTTAGGAAGAAACTTCCCAAGGCAGTTGCAATAAGTAAAAATGTACTAAAATTAAGCATATCTTATCAAGATGTTGAATGACATAGTATACACGGCATGTATTTACTGACAAAAATGCCTTCCTTCAAAGAGTAATTCCACCTAAAGATGAAAATTTTTGATTCCTATGGTTTTTGATAAATGAACATTCTTAAAGGCAAATTTTAAAAAATAGCCATGTCTGGCACTTTAATTGAAAAAAATATTCACTGCTTAAGTACTCTATCACTACAATCAGAAGATTCTAGAATACTGAAAATAAGTATTAAATTTTTCAAAGGTGAAAATGCTGACCAGTATTGGTAAGATACTGATGACATCTTACTGCGTGAAAAGGAAATACTCATTTGAAATGCAGCGTATTTTAAAAGAATAAAATAAAAGCCAATGTTGAAAATTCTTCTAATTTCTTTGTTTAAAAAATGAAACCTAGAAAACCCCTAACAAAAGGATACTCTAAAGTTTACAACATTATTCAGAATTGCTCATTTAATGTCCCATGAAATAAACTGTCCTCACACAAACACCATCATATCAGCATTAAAATTTTAACAAACTCACTGCAAAGCAAAGTCAAAATAATGAAAATAATAAAAAGTAAACAGAAATAAGAGTATTTATCTTACATGCAATGGATAATGCATAGCATGACCAGACCCAAACAGCATGCATGGAGGAGGCATTATCAGGAAGAATTGGCAATATGAAGATCATGTCCCAATCCAGCATACAAAGACACAGAGAAGAAAATGAAATCATAAAAGAAAAATCTCAATGCATAAGTTGTACTTTTAATATAGCAATCTAGCTGACCATTTTTTAAAAGATTCACCACGGGCATGGTGACTACAAAATTCAAAAGCATAATCTTTCAATAAGAAAGCACCAAGAGAGGCTGAAGAACTGGAATATAGTCTCTGCACACCCATTGTTTTTGTCTGATATTAAAATACCTAGTATTTCTCATTTGCAAAATTTGGTTATCAATGGAAATAAATACCACACCATTTGTGGAAACGAAAGAATGAAATGTTAACAAATTTTAAATTGAAATAATTACTAGATAGTATTACAAATGCTACTTAGTTCAAAAATAGCCTTCAAATTGAGGAGTCTTGTGTGGTTGCTAGTTTGCCATTTAGAGTTTTCTTAGAATGAAAACAAAAATAAAACAGACCATTTTCAGGTTGTTTATTTTTTAATTATATTGTTAAGAGTTACATGCAATATTTGAGGCTGCTGCAAAAACAAAAATTCACTAAAATGCACATGACTGCAAAAGTATAAGATAATACATAAAAAGAAACATGCAAGGACAGTAACAAAACAATTTACTATATCAAGAAAGGCATAAACATAATTTTAAACTTTATAGGAATTATAAAAGATATGAAGACTTTCATATGCAACAATAGGAAATTCAGTTTGTTCTAAAATTCTAGCACTGGAAGAGAGCTAAAGTTTCTCAACTAGGGCAGTGGCTCTGCACTTTAGACCTCCATGGGGAGCTTTAAAAACTATTTAGAGGCCGGGCACAGTGGCTCACACCTGTAATCCCAGCACTTTGGGAGGCCAAGGCAGGTGGATCACGAGGTCAGGAGATCAAGACCATGCTGGCCAACATAATGAAACCCCGTCTCTACTAAAAATACAAAAATTAGATGGGCATGGTGGCCAGCACCTGTAATCCCAGCTACTCGGGAGGCTGAGGCAGGAGAATCATATGAACCCAGGAGGGAGAGGTTGCAGTAAGCCGAGATTGCGCCACTGCACTCCAGCCTAGTGACAGAGTGAGACCCATCTCAGAAAAAAAATAAATAAATAAACAAAACAAAACAAAAACTATGTAGAGGCCTGGTCCCATCACTGCCAAATTAAATCAGAATTTTCAGAGGATGAGGCAGGGGACTGACATATATATATTTAATTTCCTAGGTGAATATACTGTGTAGGATGGAAACTAGTGACTAGTTCAATTCTCCTGCTTTTCAGATGAAGAAAATTAAACACTACAGGATTTAGTGGAGTGCTCAAGAACACAGTGTTGGCTTTCAGAACCAAACTAGCACTCAATTCTACTAATTCACAGCTTATCCATCTCTTAATAACATATTACCTCTTCATTTTAATGTCACCAACTTATTTATTTACTCATTTTGTTTTTGAGACGGGGTCTCGCTCTGTCACCCAGCCTGGAGGCAGTGGCACACTCTTGGCTCACTGCAACCTCTGCCTACTGGGTCCAAGCGATTCTGCCTCAGCTTCTTGAGTGGCTGGGACTACAGGCATGTACTACCATGCCTAACTAATTTTTCTTTCTTTTTTTTTTTTTTTTTTTTTTTTTTTTTTTTTTTTTTTTGTAGAGGCAGGGTTTCACTATGTTGGCCTGGCTGGTCTCAAACTCCTGACCTTGTGATCGGCCCTCCTCAGCCTCCCAAAGTGTTGGGATTATAGGCATGAGCCACCGTGGCCGGCCTTAATGTCACCAACTTTTTCAAAGAAATGGTAGGCTTACCTACACAATCTTAAATAATGTTGAACATGCTTTGAAATTCTGAAATTCTCTTGCTAAGCTATAGGAAGTATCCTTTTATGTTGATTATTAATAGTTTTACTGTGCATTTAGAAATATTGTATACATGTGATAACTGAAGTTTTGTTGCCAAAAGGAAAAGCTTTCGCAATGAGTTTACCAGGTAATAAAAATTCACTACTTATTTGCACTTTGGTACATTTTTAATTAGCTAAGGGAAACTTCTTTAACTTCTAACCCAAAATTACACTTTTTAGAAATTTTGGCTTAAAATCTGTGGCTTATGGAAACTGTCATATAGGAATTGTATTTTATTTCCACGTAGAAGTCAATTTACAAGCAAATTGTTAGGATCACATGAATTTGACATTAATTTTACAATTTTAATAACAAATTTATTTTTAGAAGCCATCTCGTTATGATTTCTCTGATTATTAACTTGATTCCATAATTGACTTTGCAATCTTTGGTTAGCCAATACACACCCTCTACCATCATTAATAACATTTTTGCTCCAGCTTATTAAGAAATGATGCTCATCTCATTTCATGCTCTGGAAGCTTGATGTCAGGAAAGGCAGCTTTAATTATAAGCTTTAAGAACAGAAGCTTAATCCCAACTTGGATTTAGCAAATTTGAAAGCACTGTTAAGGCTACCTTCATTCACAGTTACCTGGATATTGGGTCTCCTTTTTCTTAAATTAATTGTTGGTATACCTACACCAATAGGCTGAAGCAACAGAAAAATGGTAATTCATCATAGTACATGTCAACATAGGTACGGGTTCTATCCTATAATCAATTTTCGTCAGATATTTCCTTGATTGCAAAAAGGTCTAAATGATAGAATTCAAAATATTTGGTAGGTATGGAGTTCATGAGTCAATAAAATAAGAATGTAAAAATATCTTCAATGAATACAAACTGTTACATTTTTAAGAAAAATGACTATTATTTTTCTTTTTCTAGAAAAGTACGTATTTGGGAAGTGGGAAAAATGGTTGTTTGTCCCAGATTACTTTTCCATTGATTTGACAAAAAAAAAAAAAAAAAAAAAAGAGAGAGAGAGAGAGAGAAATAACAATTTTCTCAAAAAATTGACCCAAATATAAATATTTTTAATGTCCATCCCTCAATTCATATGTTGAAATCCTCATCTCCAGAGATGATGGTATCCAAAGGCTTTTGGGAGGTGATTAGGTCTTGGTTGGTGGGTCCCTCATGAATGGGACTGGTGCCCTTGTAAAAGACGCCCTAGAGAGAGACACGTCTCACCCCTTCTCCTCCATGTGAGGTTAGAGTGAGAAGATGGCTGTCTAGAGGGAGGCAAGCCCTTACAGAACACCAATCTGTCCAAGCCTTCATCTTGAACTTCCCAGTCTTCAGAACTGTGAGTTACTAAATTCTGTTTATAAGCCACCCAGTCTATAGTATTTTGTTATAGCAGCCTGAATGAACCAAGAAAATTGTACGATATTAAAAAGTTTTAACGTTTCATATTTGTGCCTTTGTTTTCTGAAGTGATACCAAATGTTATATCTATGAAACTAATAGAGAATGTAACCATAACAGTGTAGATTTATTTTAAATATTAACTTCTCAAACATAGATTATGCACAATTTCCTATACAATACATATTTCTTAGAATTGAACAAAATGAGATATCTAATTAAGTAGACCTAACCTGGCTACTTCAATGACACAAAACGGAAGAAAGTTAAAATCCATTTTGGAATAAAGCAGAATACATAATTCAACATACGTCAAAATGTGGTCATGCTGGTAAAAGTACACACTGAGAAAATGTTATGAATCCTTAAAAAATTAAATATGTGAAAAGTCCGTAGCTATTTTATGATATTCTGGGGGCTTTTAAAGAACACTCATCTTCTACAAAAAAAAAAAGAGGAATACTTGCATAACATTAGACTTTCACCTTGTTAAATAATAATGGCTGCTATAGATATAGCATTATTTTTCTTCACTTGTATTAATGAATTTCTGATAAAATAATTAAGATTTTGTTAGTATACTGTTACCATATGTTCCTTTGTATTTGTTGATTTCTAAAGCAATTATCTTATACTATATCATCCTTTTATGAGGTCTTGTATCAATCTGTATAGCGTGCTCCTTTAGCCACTAAATGGAATCATAAATGGAAATCATAATATTTACTGAATTAATGATGAGAATTCATAAGCATGAATTTCAGAAATAAAGAATAAATTGATGTTCAGAATAATTTCTTTTTCATGGTGTTCTGAAATAGTATTTTTGGAAATGTCTTTCTGTTACATATTAATATTTGCTTTAATAAAATCCAAATATAAAGATATGCAAAGCTAATTTATAATATGGAAGAAAAATATCAATTGGGCTTTAATGAAGTTGCTAAAGAATTTGTTTTCTCTGTAATATTATAAATTTTAGTGAATTATTTCAAATACGAGCCAAATATAGGTTAATGTCATTCAAATAGTAATATTTTCTACATAAATACTGGTTATTAGTAGAAGAATGTAGAAAAGGAAAAAAACTTCAAATTATTACTTCTCTTTCACTATGAAAACTGCCTAAATTGTTACAGCCCTTAGATGGTAGATTTATATATATAGATATATAGATATATATATATAAATCATATATGCATTATTGTACTTATTCTTCTGTCTATGATATATGTTAGTTCCTTTGGGTAAGGGTTAAGGTTTATAATCACAAAAGTAGAGATCCTTCACACCCTTCATCACATTACTTTTTTTTTTTTTTTTTGAGATGGAGTTTCGCTCTTGTTGCCCAGGCTGGAGTGCAATGGCGTGGTCTCGGCTCACTGCAACCTCCGCCTCCCGGGTTCAAGAGATTCTCCCTGACTCAGCCTCCCAAATAGCTGGGATTATAGGCATGTGCCACCACACCCGGCTAATTTTGTATTTTTAGTAGAGACAGGGTTTCACCATGTTGGCCAGGCTGGTCTCCAACTCCTGCCCTCAGGTGATCTGCCCGCCTGGGCCTCCCAAAGTGCTGGGATTACAGGCATGAGCCGCCACGCCCAGCCCACATTACACTTTTATTCCTTTTGAATTACTTTAGTTAGGGGAATTTAATTGAAAATACACTGGATATACAAAGCCCAAACAATAATACTTCAAAATTATAAAAAAATTTAAGATATAAAAAGTTTTCAAGCTATAGCAAAATCATAGGATGATTAGCCAAACATAAATTACTCTTTTAAGAGGAATTTAACAGGATATGCTTTTAAAGAGCTGTGGTAGTTTAATAATAATATGAAAAAGTACTTATGCAACATTTATATTAAAACAACACATTTAAACATAACTAGGGTGATCAACAGCTACACGTGCTACAGATAATTATGTGATGAATTTGATATGGAAATACGTTCCAAAGTCAGATAAACTAAAATAGACATTAGTTATAAAATGTAATATTATTTAATGTATTAAAATATATAATTAATATATTACATTTAATGTATTTTTGCATTCAATATCAATAGTTCTCTTATGGATTTGAACCATATTTAAATAACACAAGTTTTTGTGTGAGTATGTTCACACACTTGTGATATATTCTAATATATGACTAACATTAACTATCCATGACTCGGGAGAAAGTAGTAGTATGCATAAGTCTGCATGGTTTAAAGGATCTTCAACATTATCTTCAAAGTATAACAATAACTAAAAGGATGCTTCTAAAGTTACAATTATAAGACGTCTAAATAAATTTTGCTATTAATGCCCTGTGAAACAGTTCATGAAGAGTGAAATGAGTTGTACAAGGTAATTTGTGAAAATATCTTGTATCTTGAGAAAATAGGCATAAAAATTAGGATAATATGGTTCATCGATGGCATTTTATCTCTTTCAGATTAACTTGCTGATTAATAAATACTTCCCATTTCTGAAGCCCATCACATGGATTTTACTTATACAATCTCTTACATCTGTTTACAGGCCTGTCCTAAAGTAAAAGGAAAACCATTCTGGGAGATGGAAAGCAGAGTTAATTACTAGAAGAGAAGGGCAATAGAAAATGTGGCCTGGACATAAATAAACATTACTAATATTTATCAGGTTCACACTCCTGTCTGGAGCAATATCCTTTTTATCTTACAGCCTTAAAATCAAAGTCAGAAGTGGGATGCATGAAATTGAGGCTCAGTGGGTGATAATGGCTGTCTTTGAGATAAAAATGTTGCAGCTAAATTGGTAACAGAAAATGAAAACTGCTTTCACACTTTCATATAGTATCATGTGTGGTCCTTGTCATCTAAGAAGAGAGACGCATTAGAGACTGTACTTTGATATTTAGTGTTATACGGTAAATTTTAAAACAACAATCCTATTAAGAACATTAATCATTAATTCTACAAAACACTAATCACTGTAAACAAATTATATACTGACCTTTGGCTGAAGATTTGGATGTAATAAAACATAACCATTAGGATCGATTGCAAAGTAATACCCATTGGGGCACAGCTGGAAAAGAAAAAAAAAAAAAAGCTTGGATATGCCTGAGTCACAATTAGAAATCTATATTCTTTTAAATACATAATGTATTAAATACACATTGTATAGCATGTTGAAAGATAACATGGAATCATTTTATTTTAGAGATGCTTTTAACCATTTAGTTCCTTTGCTAAGATAACTGCCCATAATTTTTGAGAATTACCTAAGTGCCAAGCTAAGTTAGTACAGAGTTCTAAACTAGAAAGGGTATCAAAAGAGCAAATTTCATCTTACTGTAAAACGTGGTGTCAGTCTTTTAATATCTTCCAAAGACACATCTACTCCCATCACACCAAGAATCAGCTGGTTCTATAATAAGAGGGCAAAAAATGGCATTTTATGTCAAAAATTTACGTATTTTTACACAATTATCATATGATCATCTTTTGCTTGCATTATGGTTATATTCCACATTAGTTTAAATGTATATATAGGGTGAAGCACTCTCAGTGTCAATTTACAAGGATTCTCAGCTTTGTTTCCCACAACTTTATCATCATCATTTAACTTAGCAAAGAAAATCTAGATAATTGAGGCTAAAATATATAAAGGATAAATAAAAATGTTTGACACTTCTTGTACCCTTTTCTTCTAATATTTATTTTCACTGCTATTGTACGGTCAGCCCTTATAGCTGTGTGTCTATATATGTGAGTTTAGATTGACTTTATGGTTTACTATAATTAAGAAACCACAAGAATGTCCAGCTTAAAGATTATACAATATAGAATAAGAACACATTGGATTTTTGCTGCAGATAGTTCCTGTGTATGTAACTATCCTAAAAGTATGTGACCATATTGGTGATAAAATCCTCAAAACACTATTTCTAGTCACTGCTAATAACTTCTATATACCAAGCAACAGGCATCATAGTTTTAGGTGCAAGTAGAGGAGGCTTGTGGCAAACTGCTATCATAATCTTCTATGGGACATAAAGATGGAAATTGTTTTAAAATTTTGGGTCCAAAATTGTTGTTTCAAATGGAATTATATAAATTATAAAATAATAAGCAAAAAATTATAAAATCTAGTAATTACAAAAACATTTAAACCTTGTGTAGGCACAGATAGAGTAAGAAAGTTGTATCAACAACTATGCTCTTTTCCATGAACCAATCCTAGTCTGAGCAAAAACTTCCCAACTGAAGCAATCTCTTAGTTCACAGTGAGATCTGTGAACACGTATGAGAAAGTGAGAGTTACTCTTTTATGAGTTACAATATTTAGAACCTGCAGATAGTTAAGAATGGTAATAGGCCCCCAAAGAGAAATAACTGTTTTCTATGGCCACCTTATTAACATAAGGAGTTCAACTGAGATATATAATAACTGATCAAACAATGCTTAAGTGCAGCAGACGTCATGAAACCATAAACTGGAAATAAATATCTACTCAAATCAAGTATATCACCTACATTATAAAATCAGTTTCTAGTATTAAAAAAGTCTTAACTTCAAAATCTCAAATTCCTTCTGAATCAAGCTAAAAAATTGGAATGCAATCCTATTTAAAATCAAAAGCATTTAACAAATAATAAGTACAAGATAAATAATTTTTAGAACTTTTAAATAGGCATTTTACTGCATTGACAAAAAACCAGTGCTATAAAAATTAAGCATTCTATGAAATTATTCTTCCTGTATCCTAAAAATAGAAAAAAAAAGAGAAATATTAATTTAAATCAGATCCTTAAGTTACAAGATAATTTTTAAAAAGCTATTGTTTGGGAGTTGGGGAGGAATGATTTAATATACCAATGTACACCTGATACAAACATCGCCATGCTTTTGGTCTTTGGATTTTTCTTTCTAAACTCCATTAATAGCTCAGATGGATTCTTAAAATGTGCACACAATATTACTGTCCATTTATCATATAATTACTCCCAGAGTCTGACTCTGTGTTCTCATCAGGTCATAGTTAAGTGGAGTTAAGTTGAATCTTGGCTCTAGGGCAACAGAGAGTTTGACCTGCATTTCCTTTTTCCCAGGTGGTTATCGCATAGGCAGCTGTTGCCTTTGACCTCTGGCCTCACAAGACAATTACACTGCATGTATTTTCTTATGGAAATATCTTATCCATGTTGAGCTTCAACGTCACAGTTTGTCATTTATTATTATTAATTTTATCAATTAACTTTTAACCTTTAAGTTTGTCTTATTTTCAAATTGGCCGGTTATGTTGAAGACCGGAAGAGTTCCAGTAATGACAAGTCCCAGTTCCTAAAAATAGATTCAGAGAGAAAGGGCAAATTAAAATTACAATTTAAGCTTTGTCAGAGTGCACTAACCTTTGATATCTGAGATTGCATTTTATAGTTACTTTATAAAGAGCCACAAAAACTAGTAACTCATTTTGAATATCTATTAAAATTTATTTTTAAAATATCAAGGAAAATATCTTGGAAATAATTAGGACCTACTAGGCACCTACTGAAGCATGCAACATTTAAAATAATCCTCTAAGATAACTTCAAAAATAATCAGCTTACACAAATAGTCAACAGCCTGTATGCATTTCAGTAACCCTGTGTCCTCCCCCTTTTTCATAGTGATAGTTCACCTAATATCAGGGCCTCCATAAGCAGAGTGATAATAAAATATTATTTTAAGTGATTATTTAGCTTCCCTTTTTGTAGCCTTATTCTTTATTTTTTATGCCCTAAGCCAAAGACTTCATGCTAAATGAAAAATGTGCAGTTGAATAACATGATAAATAAAAGAAACATTCTATTGATACTGCATATCTGGGATATTCTAAGTAAATGTTACGCTCTTCAGAAGCAGTACTACTTTTCTAAGTAGACCCCAAAATAAGCAGTACTTTTTGACAAGTAAAATTATGAAGAAAAGACAACTGCAAGCATCAAATATAAAAGTCTAGTCTGAAGAGTTTAACATAGTAGAACTAATGCCATCCTATTAATCAGCACATAATTTAATACATTAAATGAATCCATACAGATTAGTCAAAATAAACTGATTTTCAAGTCAGAGTTTGCTTTTGTTACTGACATCTATATCCATTATAATTTTAACCATTTCATGTCAAAACTACATTTAACAAAATCACTCTTTAAAATAATTTTTATTGTTTGAAATTTTGAATTTGCTAAATGAGAAATTATTATTAATCTTCTCACGAATAGTGATTCCAAATCCAAATCTCAAGAACTCAGAACAGAGTTCTGGAATCAGAACCGAGTTCATAAAGTTGGATTTGGAATAATTATTCACTAGAACATTAAAAATATTTATTAATATCAGGGAGCAAATGTTGTGGTATCAGGTTGTGGTTCATAATTGTGCACATAGGAGGCCCAAATTCAATGGGAATATGAATGAATTAGGGAGGAGAGACAATAATAGAGAAGCTTCCAGAAGACCAAAATACCAAATTATTTGCAGCAAATAAAACTAAGGAAACAACCATACATATTTGGGTGCATGATGATTGATATGGTTTGGCTGTGTTCCCACACAAATCTCATCTTCAGTTGTAGTTCCCATAATCCCCACGTGTTGTGGGAGAGATCCAGAGGTAATTGAACCATGGTACGGTTTCCCCCATGTTATTCTCGTGATAGTGAGTAATTTCTCACGAGGTCTGATGGTTTTTAAGTGGCTTTCCCCTTCGCTCAACACTTATTCTCTCTCCTGCTGCCTGGCGAAGAGATGCTTTCCGCCATGATTTTAAGTTTCCTGAGGCCTCCCCAGCCACATGGAACTGTGAGTCAATTAAACCTTTTTTCTTTATAAAGTACTCAGTCTTGGGGATTTCTTCACAGCAGTGTGAGAACAGACTCATACAGTGATAGACACATGTTGGCGCTTATAAAGTCCTAACCAAGAACATTAGACAATGAAACATCCTTAATTATATAAATTAATGCTTCCAATGAAAACCTCCCACCTCAATAAAGTCAGGCTATAGATTAATTCGTAAAACTGGTATCCAAAAGATAATTTAGTAAGGATTTGGTGAAGTGTCTGTTAGAGCTATAATCTATATGCATGGTTTTAAAAATGCTACCATGGTTTAAGACAAGGTAGATATGGATGTAATCATTTCCTTTGCATTACTTTTGCATTTATACTGCATACCATAATTTGCTTCTAAAAATGGTAAAATGTAGCCTAAAGTGAGTTACTAGATTACTAACATATTAAAGATAATTATGAATGAACTCATTTGGGCCCAACTTGAATTTTTTTCTCATTTACTAAGCAGACCAAAAACTTGTACTCTACTCCTGAGTACTGCACATGTCTCTAGAAAATAAGAGAGAAATAAAACAAGATTTCTCTACCCTGGAATTTTAAAAATATTTTCTAGAGCCCAACTCTTGTCATATCTCTTTTTATAAAGAGCTTCACTTTGTCTCCTAATTAAAATGAACTCTCCACAATATTGTCCTAATCTCCCCTTATTACCAAAAATGACCAAGGTATCATTTTTTTGATATACTCAGTGCTTCCCCAACTTTTATGCTATACCCCATTTTTATGGTTTCACTTTTCACCACCAATTGCAAAAATCTTACACTAATATCAGCTAAAATGTCTCCATTTTCTTAACCACAACCCACTTTGCCCCCAATATTGGCTTCATTTTGAAGTCAGAATTCTTTTTCTCATTATATCCATTATATTTCGTTTTGAAATATATTTACCTTTTCCTTTTTAATATAACTGTTTATTTTTGACCAACATATATTTTTAATCTGCTGTGTGGAGAGATTATAAACAAATAACTAGGAATATATGAGGATCACTTTATCATCTTCAAAACAGTAAAAATAACGCTATATGTGTCCAATGAATAGCAAATTCACGTGTTCCTTTTTTTTTTTTTTTTACATTCAGTTTCAGCTTATAGCACAGCACATTTAGAACCAACATTTCCTCCTAATGTCATTTGTGCTATCAGTAAGAACCTTACCAGCAATGCAGACATGCTGGCTAATGAACTTCCAGTCAAAGGAAACACAACAGGGCATAATTATTGACTCCTCCTATCATACACTGTCCTGTGATGGATTTGAAAAGTGCAACATTTTGACCACAGCTTTGGATCACTATGTGACCTTAAGTAAATATGTGATGTCTAAAAGGAACACTGGACAGTAATTTTAAGCTAGGGCTTGAGGTAAGCAAGCTTCATTTTATCTTCCTTAGCGTGCAAGGCTGCTGTTAATAGTGCCTATTTTTCTTCTAACTTCCTGTATATGTTTATTTTCTAAAAACCAAATGATAAGTAATTCTAAATGGACTGCATTTTGCCCTATGGGTTCATCATTACATTTGGAAAAGTAGTAAGAACATATCACTGAACTCCAAGTAGGGAAAAGGGTTACTGAATCAGCATTTATTTTCAGGTCTTATTATTTTGATTCTCTCCAAATATATTATTTTAGTAAATTATTCATAAGTTCTTCTCATTAAGACTAAACATAAGAATAAAGCTTAAGTGCGATGATTATTATTTATAACTTTCATGTCAGGAAAGTAAAAATTACATTTAAAAGATTTTCAACTTTGGCCCTATTGACATTTTTGGAGGGAAAATACTTTGTTGTGTGTGGTAGGCATTTTCCTCTGCATTACAGGATTGTTTAACAGCGTGCCTGGCCTCTGTCCACTCAGGGGTGTCCAATCTTTTGGCTTCTCTGGGCCACACTGAGAGAAGATGAATTGTCTTGGGCCACACCTAAAATACACTAATACTAACAATAGTTGAGATTTTTAAAAAAGCAAAAAATAACATAATGTTTTAAGAAAGTGTACAAGTTTATGTTGGGCTGCATTCAAAGCCATCCTGGACCACAGGTTGGACAAGCTTGCTCTAGATGCCAGTAGCAACCCCTCCCCTCAAGCCATGACAATCAAAAATGCAGATTTTTTCCAAATGAACTGTGAGGGGCAAAAAGACCCCCTTGTTGAGAACCACTGCTTTTAAATATAATGACATATCTTTACTAAAATGTCAATTGTGCGATGGACAATTTAACATGTGTTTGTTATTTCACACCAGATTTGATCGCCTCAATGACGTATTTCCATAAAAAGTATGAGGTTGAATCTAGCACAAAAGATTATATTAATACATGAAGAAGTTTGTGATGATTTCAGTATAAGGTAAAGTTTTTGCCTATCTAATCGCATGTACTCCTGAGTTTTAGCAGATCCAGCTATAGCTGTGGAGGCTAGACATGCTTCTACTAGCTCCTCTACTTTAAAAATACTTTCTTCAAAATTATTGTTCTAACTCTGCAAAAATAGATTCTAATTCACAAAGACTTTCATCTTTTTTTTTACATTAACAATTAAAAAACTTATTGAAATGCCCATGTATTCAACATTCCAGGTTGGAAATTCTACATTCCCAATGAAGGGATCAAGTAGACAATAAGCTAACACTTTGCATTTGTAGTTTTCTACTACATACGAGTCTATGTTTTTATGTAAATTATATAAATTCTAGGAAAGAAGTCTGTGATAGAAGAAATTTTGGGGAGGGTTTAATGAAAAGGAAAACAGAGACATCATCTAGAAAGAAGTAGAAATCATCTGTGTGCTTTTGTTATGACAGTCTTTGACTGAATAGCTCAACCTCTTACCAATGCATCCAGGTACACATTTGTCCATTGGACTTGCTTAGCTTTGTCTCCTGCTAAAACCATTGGTCTTCCCAAAACATCCAAATATTCCTGTTTATGGGAAAAAAAAAAAAAGTCGTGGTTAAAACTAGGAATGCTGTGTTGAAATAAAAATTACAGAGAAAAAATATTCTAGAGTTAAAAATGAATATAGAATCAAAATTATTGACACTGAATATATAATCAGTTAATTTCTATTTTGGGTACTCCATAGGTGGTATGGCTACGTTATTTTGAATGAACAATATTTGACTTACATTATTTATACAATATATCTACCCCAGTTTTTTTCTAGTAACAATCAGAGCATTGTTTTTCTGTGTTACAGCCAGTAAGTGAAATACGTTCCCTGTGAATTGTTTCATGTTAATCTAAACTATTTAAGGCTCTGTGATTTACTGCGTGGAATTGCACAAATTTAAAATCATACAGCAGCCACATACTTTCTTTCATATCACAGATTGTTTGGCTGAAATTCAAAACTACATTTAAACACATCAAAAAATAAAGGAAATACTGTGCCAAATCTAGACATCAGACTCAAATGCAGCTGCTGTTTCATTTCAACATTCAGTGTATTCAGTATTCACGTCCACAAATGCCATGTTATTTATGCTAAATTTTGACTTCGTTTATTTTGTAGATCTTCAGCTATGTTTAAAAAGGAGTAGCAATTTTCATAGTAATTTATGATTATTTAAAAAGAATAAATATTTAAATTAACTTAATTACTACATTCTACAAAAAGTTATTTAACAGGCATGTTTTCAAGTGAATGATGTTAGAAAAATCATCTCCTTGTTGTAACTTTATTTTAGATTGATAAATAGATCCACAGGGGTTATTTGGGAGGTATTTAAGTTCCAACTAGGTCCCTGTAAAATTTGTCCAGCATAATTAGTGTTTAATTTTATACACAGTACCTACAATTTGAAGAAACTTTTAAAAATTATTTGTAGTAGACTCAAGTTCAAATTACATGAAATGTATTTTTAGAAAATTTGATTTTATTTATTTTCTATGATGTTTGTAACATCTGAAAATAACAATATACTCATTTTATTAACCTGAGTTTTGGTTATTTGAAAACACTTGCAATGTTAATGAAATAAAACCAATGTATCAACAAGATACTCAGTATTTTAATATAGGTGTAATATTATAGATCTTTTCATTCTTGCTAATTTTCTCCATATTGAGCATATTTAAACCAGAAAAATATCTTTTACTTGAAAAAAATAATTTAAACAAGTTTTAAATAATCATACCTGAGTATTGATTCTTATTGCACCAATGGAAGGAATTTCATAATAATAACCTGAAATATACATATATGTTTTTATACATAAATGTTACTTTATAATAAAGGGCCACAAAATTATTTTATTTTATAAATATTTTATAAAGAGTATTTTGAAAACAATATATTTCACTTCAAAACTGAGCTAATACTGAAATATCAAAATTAAGGATGGTTAATGAATCTTCACAACAAACACACAGGCTTTGTGAAAAATTTCATTACATTTCTTAGTTACTATAAAATAGGTATTCTTCTATGAAGGAATAGGAAACATGGTATCATTAAAAATATTTTTTCATTGGATAAATTATTAAAGATGCATGATGGATAATTATTATATTTATATAAAATCTTTGCCTAAATATAACTTTCAGAAAAAATTTAAGTTCTTTTTGTTGCCATGGTATCACAGTTCATTTCTCAAATTAACATATGTTTTTCTCAGTAACATCATTCTTTCTGAGTGAAAATATGAGCTCACTGCAAATATTTGAATTATCCTGGAATGTATAAGGTAATATTTTTCAAAAACAGTAATTAAACCACTCAGAGAAAAAAATATGTATGTCATACTCTCATATTTAAGCTTTATGAAATTCAGATATTGTTTCATTCCTAATTTTTCATTTAAGATTATATCTGATATATATCATTCAGTATAATTCAGTGTAATACATTATTTTATGAATGTGGAAATATAATCAGATATCAGAATTTTCATATAATGTAATGCCAGTGTCAAAATTGGTATGTGTTTTCTCTATAAAAACATGTTCAGAATCTTACTCTTGTCTGATTCCTATAAAAGTTAGCTACAATTTTAGCTTATTTTAAATAAGTACACCTAATAACAACTACCAAAATAGTTTTTCTTCTAATTTATTAGAAGAAAACAGATTTGTTACCTTTGTTTTCACAGGCCATCCACTGAATAGGTCCTCTGTCATAATTGTGTTGACCAACTGAAAACGTGAATACACGTACCTGGATGAATTGAAAAATAGGTATTCATTAGGCTGAATAAAATTTAATTCAATGGCAAAATAAAACAGCTAAAATTTCTATTGAAAAGAGTGCTTTCCAGTTGAATGATATGACAAGAAAAACTGAGGCCAGTAAAGCCTTCAGAAAGAGACCAGAGGAAAATCACATAACCTACTGTAAACACAGACTCCAGTTGCTACATTTAAATTTGTACCTGAGTGTCATGTTGCATATTCCAATCCTCAGGCAGGAGTATGACTAATGTTTCATTCATAGAAAGTACATCTTTCATGGCCAGACGCAGTGGCTCACGCTCGTAATCCCAGCACTTCGGGAGGCCCAGGCGGGCAGATCACCTGAGGTCAGGAGTTCGAGACCATCCTGGCTAACATGGTGAAACCCCGTTTGTACTAAAAATACAAAAAATTAGCCGGGCCTTATGGTGGGTGCCTGTAATCCCAGCTACTCGGGAAGCTGAGGCAGAATTGCTTGAACCAGGGAGGCGGAGGTTACAGTGAGCTGAAATTGTGCCATTGCACTCCAGCTTGGGCAACAAGAGCGAAACTCCATTTCAAAAAAAGAAAAAAGAAAGAAAGAAAGAAAAAAGAAAATACATCTTTGAGGTCCAACCTCACTTCACCTGTCTCACCTGGTTATATATGTTATCTACATAGCTAGTCACTGCAAAAAAAGCTTATTTCCCTATTTCATAGGTATGTAGTAATGAAAAAGTATTCAGAAAGGTCATTGTACTTCAAAGTTGCTTAACACAATTAAACTTTGTGATGGTTTTCACCATGGAAATATTTGGGATGCACACATATAATTATGTTGTTAGTATATTACTTATTTTCTATAAAAGTTGGCTGACACATATAAATAGATATTCTAAGCTCCTAGGATTTTTAAATATAATCAAAATATTGACTGTTCCTAACATGCTATAAAGTATGCAAATATTTTAAAATCAATAGAGAGTTTTTATAATTTATTTATTGAAAGACATTGAATTTAAATAATAGTGTGAAAGTATAAAAGGTAAATTCCATGAGGTCAACCTATACTTAATAAAATTATTTTTACATATATATTGATTTTTACTAATTTAGTAATCTAAGTAAACCCATACTCTCAGCTCAACATTTTAGCTATTTCTAAAAATAGACATGCAGAAAATCACTTTTCCATGAGTTCAAATTCCAGTTTGAACTATGTTAAGAGCTTTTCCCTAATTCATGTTGACTGACTATTTGAATGGACATTTTCTAATTGTTTTGTATCTTTTAACTGTTGCACATGATTTCAGAGTACAAATCTCAAAAGAGATTTCACATCTGTTCTCTGTTCTTTCACTGGTCTTGGCCACACAGATCACATTATAACAATCCCTGCCCCCAAAACGTACATCAGGGATGTTGCTATTTCATTTGTAAGGTTTTAGGTGAGCCACTCTTACATCATCCAGGTTTGCCTTAGCTGGTTACGTAAGAGGCCACATGGTGAACATAATCCAAGCTTTAAATACTTCAAACTGTAAGAATAAATAATTGTTTCTAAGTGAATGACAGAAGTTGGTTTTTTTCTCTCTCTCAATCTATCTTTCTCTCCAGGAATTCCCAATCAAAATGCAATGGTTTCATTTTCTTTAATTCATCAGTTAGGTCATTTTTGGGTCTGTCTATAAATTTCAATGTAGGGTTACTGCTTACAGAGTTGAGCTTCTAAATGGAAATATTTTTATAAGCAGGTTGACCACCCTAACTGATAATTCAATTTAAATGCCATACCCTAAACAATCATCAAATGAATTCAAGTCAGGGAAAAAGTCCAGATGCTCCAGGAAGCACTGGGGGATCTCTCTCATAACTAACATTTGAACCCATACCTCAAATTTTCAACGGAAGCATGGCTTTGCCTAGAAGTTCCTGTTACCACAACAATCATCTAGTAAAACATTTTTCATAAAATACTTTTCAGTAAAAAAATAAACAAGTAAGACTATATGAATCTTATATCTATGTCTCAGAAAGGCAAGCACTTCTAATAACATCGAGGCTACACTCAGATCCACACATATGATTATTTGACTGATGTTATCATTCAAATAGTCCAAATAAACACTAGCCGCCCGCCCCCCCCCCCCAAAAAAAAAGCTTGTTGCTTTATTTATTTTGCTATAAAAGTTTCACTTAACTTCTACGTGTTTGCTTACATGGACCCCTCAGAGGTTGTCAAAATTAAGGTATTTGGGATCAGGGCTGGGGTAGTGCACATTCTGTCAGCTTTAATTATAATTTTTGAAACACGCCAAACTCTTTTGTAAACCTCTTTGTTCTTTTTCTTGCATAGGTTCTTGGCTACTTAAATGTAAGCTGCATTAACTAACTGAATCATTCCCATGTCATCAATGTATAATTTGTACCCCTTTTCTCAATTTTCATTTGCCTTGTTGTAGAGATTTTTAAAGACATTATTTTCCTGAAATTTTATTCCAAGTGTTTACTAAAATCCTAATTGCAAATGCAACCTTCTTTATAATTTATACAACTGCTTTACCATTACAATATTTACGCAATCTAATATACCCAAGATTATTTTATCTTGGTTTTACGTATATGTATGTATATATACACACACATACAAACACATATGCACATAGGTATTTAATGATTTTATGGATTATATAGATTATCTTAGAGCTTTCTATAATGATCTTATAAATATATATTCAGTTGAGAAGAAGTTTAATATAAGTCATTCAAAACTTAGGATCTATTGTAGTGCCTTACACACATTCTTTGACAGTAAAAAATCAATATAAAAAAATTTCATTCCCTAGCGCCATACCATTGTTGAACTTGTTTTTTCTTTGTACATTTTAGCTAATTACATAAGAATTTTAACTTCACTGATTTCATAAACTTTCACATTACATATTGTATAGTGCATATAAATAATGTATTGGTTAAATTTAAAAGAACTTTTGTGTACACAACTTTCCACTTGGAATTGTAAATGGTTTCATTCCTCCTATTCCATACTATGCTACTGCCACCATGTGGAATAGTCAATGAACTAAATTCCAGATGCTAAAGTCCACAGAGATGATTGATACCCTGCTTCTTCAGATGTTTTTTTTTTACTTCTTTAAACTTACAGTTCTTGTTTAACCTTAATTTTGGAGTTATAGAAAAATAAAGTGATTCCTTGAAATATGTACAATTTAAAACTTAAGGTAAATTACCTTCTCAAAGATGTGTATTTGTACAGTTCTTTTAAGCACATTTGCATGATCTTACATAAAAACAAAATGACATACAAAAATAACTCAAAATGCTTAACTAGTAGTCACACAAGCTAAATATTTCATCTTAACTCTCACTCAAGCAAATCACTTACATTAGAGGAGGTCTACATCCAGGCTAAGGCGACTTTTGTGGAGAAAAAATTCCTTTACTCATGCCTAGTAGTATATTTATAATCACAACACTAGGTTCATATAACAAATGCACATGAAAACTTTTCTGTTGTGAGTAAAATGTTCCTAGAAAAGTAGCTAATTGTTTCTCAACATATATGATTTTATGTAGGCTCATCTTTCAAAATGTTTGCTTCTATGAAATTTTCATCATAGAGTCACACAAGACATATACAGTAACAGATGGCTTTGACAAATATTTTTCATAATGCTGGAGTACAGGTCTTCAACAGAAATACTGTGGGAAGCTAGTATTGAATAAACGTTGGATTGGGCTTTAAAAGTTCCAAGATTATACAATTTAGCTTCTATTGTAGTGTCTTACTCATAAATGAAAACAAATGTTTGTTAAAAACAAGTGAATAGATGCTTGAGTGGTTTCTACTTCTTACCAGAGGGTAAGAAGACTTTGGTGTTATCCAACATATCAGTAAGTTCATTACAGTATGTGGTAAGAGCAGGACCAAAACTGGGCTATTAGTGTCTTGCATTTTGCAATTTGGGCTGTTTCACTATACTTACATCATCATACATTCTTAATCTTTTTATTTAATATTAAATAAGCAGACATCCTTACTGGAGGTAAACAACTTTTTAGGCAAAATATACTTAGTACACTTATTTATGTACTATATTATTCCTTGAAAATAAAAAAAATTCTTATAATTCTGGATTCACACATAGTTATATAATTGTAAAAGCAATAGTAATTTGGGGAGCAGACTTAATAAAATTGAACTTAAATCCAGGTGTGGTGGCTCATGCTTATAATCCCAGCACTTTGAGAGGCTGAGGTGGGTGGATCACTTGAGCTCAGGAGTTCAAGACCAGCCTGGGCAACATAGTGAGACCCCCATCTCTACTAAAAATACAAAAATTAGCTGAGCATGGTGGCTCACGCCTGTAATCCCAGCTACCCTAGGGTGCTGAGGCAGGAGAATCGCTTGAACCCAGGAGGTGGAGGTTGCAGTGAGCCTAGATCACACCACTGCACTCTGTCTGGGCAACACAGTGAGTGAGATTCTGTCTTGGTGGGGTGGGGGTGGGGTGGATGGGGTAATTAACTTAAAAATTAAATTCGTGGACAGGTGCAGTGGCTCATGTCTGTAATTCCAGCACTTTGGGAGGCTGAGGCAGGTGGATCATGAGGTCAGGAGATCAAGACCATCCTGGCCAACATGGTGAAACCCCGTCTGTACTAAAAATACAAAAATTAGCTGGGCATGGTGGCACACACCTGTAATCCCAGGTACTTGGGAAGCTGAGGCAGGAGAATTACTTGAACCCGGGAGGTGGAGATTGCAGTGAACTGAGATCACACCACTGCACTTCAGCCTGGTGATGGAGTGAGACTCCGTCTCAAAACAAAAAACAAAAAACAAAAAAAATTAAATTCCTATGGCTTTTTCATAGTTATAAACTTACATAATTTTACTTTTAGTTGTTTCAAAACTATTTTTCTTCTGAAAGGAACATTATAATTCCAATAATTAAATTTGGTATTACAGCTCTGGCCTACTTGATTTGAGAAGACTTTTAAGTAAGAGCAGTTTTGGCTATTTACAATGTATTACTGATTTGTTCCTTATATCCCACTGATTTGTAACTTTATCCTACAGTTCTGACTTCTGCTAATCTGTTTTTGTTTTGTTTTGTTTGAAAACTAAAATACTTGTCTTCAATTAAGAGTTTTCCAAAGCCACAGGGTCAACCTATTTTAAAAAGCCATAGGAATTTGTTTCCCAGCAGAACCCAGTTACTGGAAACTGTCACCTCAACAATTATCAGTTACCCAGAGTTCAACTTTAATTTACAATAGGCAAATCTCCAAAGAATAATGGAAATTAGTCTATGAAGAAAGCCAATAAAAATAAAATAAAAACTTCAGCCTTCGAATCATGTTAGAAAAATGAAGTCAGAAATAGGTTATATTAATCTACTCTGTGTACTAAAATTTTTGGCATTAAGCCTATGAAAATACTAGATTGGATGGAATATTTTAGGGTAAAATTCTAATGTGGTTTCCATAATTCACAAATACATCAGAATCCAGAGCATTTGACTAGCCTATATCTCCAGTTTTATAGCATTATGTAATAAATAAAAGTGTCCAAATTCACCTTTCACACTTTATTTTATAAAGCCCAAGGATCTGAAAGTTACTTGCAGCCTGCAAAGTTTTGGTGATCCACCTTAGCCTATGAAAGCTGTAAGGAGCAGATCCCTGTGGGGAAGTCTTGCTGTCTGACTTGAAGGCAGGCTCCTGGGTGGGCAAATTATGATTAGCATAGCCACAGAGCTGCTCAGAGAAAGACACAGACAAATGGCCAGTCAGGCGCATTCTGCATGAGGTTACGGAATTCAGACTGTAGATTACCATCTTGACTCTGCCACTTAGTAGCCACATGACTTTCAGCAAGTTACTTTACTTTTCTGATTTTGCTTTTCTTATTTCCAAAATGGGGGTGATGGTGATGATGATATTATTATTATATAATATGATTATTCCAGTTGTAAGTGAAAAGTAAATATAAGGCATTAATATATGGAAATTGTAAGCTCTGTAAGTATTAGCTATGGTAATGAAGATGATGATGAAGACAACAATGTCTTTTATAGTCAAACTATTAGTATTAAATGATGTAATATTTTCCATTAGTGGGTCTTTAGCCTTTTATGCCTCAAGAGGAACCTAAAATAACTCAAAATAACACCTTCCTAGATGAGCAAATTTGGTGAGCTTTATCATACTTAGCAACAAACTCTAATGAAAAAGGGTATTTTCTAAATGCCATTATGTCCACATAAGATATATCTATACGAAATTTCCTGTATTTATTGCAAATTTACAGATATGACCAACATATGTGCTAGAGTGTCTGACGGAGAGAAGAATTTAATCGATGTCTGTTGAATTCGCTCAAGTAAATAAAACAGAAAAACTGTTTTATAAACGGCAACAAAGTGCAGTAGTCATGTAAGTTTTGCACACACATTCACAAAGAACCAAGCTAGTGTTTCTCTTGTGTGTCTTACCTGTGGGTGTATGACATATTTTCATACTATGATATTTTTAATTCACTAGCAACTATAATGAATCATCCTAATAACATCAGATTATAAGGAAGTAATCTGAAGTTTCCTTTTTCTCTATATGCATTTAGTACTAGATAAAGGAAGAATAAGCTACGGGCCCACTGAATTTCCAAGCAACTTGCAGTTCTGCAAAGAGTATTATCAGCTGAGAGGTCAGAATATAAGCTGTATGGTGATTTATTTCAGATGTTTCTCTTGGGAAATGTCAAATACTTCACTGACACTGATAATGAGAATGCTCATGAAAAACTATGTGTTAGACTGATTAGAGTGAAGGGAAAGGTGCCATCACTACATTTTTTATATAAACGGAAGTGTTCCCTACTTATAAGATGACATATATAAGAACATCTATAACAGTTTTATTCCACATTCCAAATTTAGGAAAATAATGTTGTTTTTAATGATTTCCTTCTAAAAGAACAAAGCTATTTAATTTTTCTAACATTTATGAATTTTGTATAGATTAGGAGCATATTTATTGCCTATGTACTGATATGACCAACATATCTGCTAGTAATGAGCACCTACCATGCATCAAGTACTGTGCCATCCTTTAAGAATTAATTCATTGGTATGTTTACAAATGTATACAACTACTTCGTGGAGTTTATATTAGAGAGGAAGGCTCCAGATAAAAAGCAAAGAAAGCATTAAAATAATTAAAAAATGGTAATCTGAGGGAAAGAAGACCAGGAAGAAAGAGGGTGCTGAAATAGAGAATGATAAAGGGGATGTCTGGGGAAAGAGACAACTGTAGAAAGGTTGACTGGGGGAAAATCCCTCTGATAAGATATACTGTGAGCAGAGTTCTTAATCAGAGAAGAGAGCAGCAGAAAAACCAGCAAAAAGTGCCTTTCTGGCATAACATTTTAACACAAACAATGGGCAATCTCAATTCTAGGTAGTAAATTTTACTTGGAATTTCAAGTGCCATTTCTGTGCTATAAAGTTTACATCATATCATATACTCTGTGCATAAAGTAATACTTAACCTCATTTTTCATTCAGTTTGTTTTAGATATTAAAAGGACTTTGTAAAATGCATTAAAGTCATATTATTCAAAGCTGAAGATGTGCCTGGTAAAATATTCCTTAGTTTGAGGGACTGACAACACTAATTTTACTCTATGAGAAACAAGTGTAAATAAATGTTATCAGAGACAAGAACACACACACACACACACACACACACACACGTGCATAAAACTTATCTTTTAAATTGATGATCGCTCTACTAGCTGGGCATATTACATTGTAGTTATTGTTTTCAGCTTCACAGTAACTCCAGAATAAATACTTGGTTTTTATGAACAAAGGTAGAGCCCTATTCTAAAGCTAAAAATTTAAGAAGCTGTTGAAAGCATCAAAATATCTGAAACAAAAGTTTTTAGAAGCAATCCATGTGTTAAATAGAATTAAATGCTACAAGTTAAATGTCTTTCATTATCATATATTTGAACATTTCCTCCAAAGGCTTTACTTTTGCATGAAGAAGCCAAGCAGAGACATTAGATATGCAATAAATTATTTTCCATGGATTATTTTCCTTACTATCTGTTGAAAAACTGACAATGTTCACTCTAACTACATAAAACACATCTGCATATTCAGATATTTGTAACTTGGTTTAGATTTTACAAACTATTGACCATTTCTAGTTTGGATCTGAGAGCAAAATAGAAAAGACTTTCTCAATCATTTTTTAAAGTGAATTCTTTAAAATAAGTACGTTAAGAATAATGCATTCTCAAAAATGGATTTATTGTCAAGTGATTATAACTTTAGATGTGCATTCTTTATTTTGAAAGTTATTTCATATCATATGCTTTTTTCTCATTTGTTCTCATTCAATTTACTAGTTATTTTGAAATTTTTATTAATTTGAATGTTTTTTCATTTTTTAAATTAATTCTGAGAATTAAAGAATCAGAGAACTATTTCCTTACTGGCTAGGCAATCTTAAGTATGTATTGCTAAGCAGTCCCTTGGCTATTCTATGGAAAATAAAATAATTTTGCTAGCCCTGGAAATTATCTTTCAACTCTGTGTCTGGTTTTACTTTCCTTTATTCATTTGTTTGGACTACGGGATAGAGTTCATTTTAGTTTTGGCACTATTTTTAAGGAGGTCTCATGTACATGGGTGAGCCCTAAGGAATGGCAATGCTGCAGGTAAAGATTATAAAGCAAATGTATTTTAATTTGGAACAGCTGTGTGAGGAGATTAACATGGATCCTGTTTTAAAGCTATACCTATCTATAATCAGGTAGATTAATTCCCAAGAGTAGCACATTTCACAAAAGAACTCAAACATTTTGTTCTAATTCTCAAACCTTTTGGCCTCATTAAATTGTGCTGTGTATCTCCTGCAGCCTCATTCATCAGCTCTCCAATTGTAACTCATCAGGCCTACCTGGATTGCTCTGAAAGATTTCTGATTCATCTAGATGAAATATGAATGTAAATGAAGCATTCTGCAGCCACATTAGTATTAAACAAGAGGCTTGGGGGAAAACAAAGAGTTAGGTTTTTTTTTTTAAGCTCACCAAACTTTCTTTCAAGATGTTGTAATTTTTCTGTATTTCTAAATTTTATTACATTATGGTAAGAACTACCATCCTATGGTGAGATCTACCATCCTAACACACATTTAAATGTACAATGTATTACGGCTGATTCTAAGTACAATGTTTACAGCAGATCTCTGGAGCTTATTCATCTTGCTTAACTGAAACTTTATGTCCACTGATTAGTAACTCCCCATTTCTCCCTTCTCCCCACTTCAGGCAACCACTATTTCACTCTTCGAATCTATGAAATTGACCATTTTTGATATCTCATGTAAGTGGAATCATGCAATATTTTTTGATTGGTTTATTTCACTTGGTACAATGTCTTCAAGGTTCATCCAGGTTTGCACATATTGAGAATTTCCTTTTATTTATGCTGAGTAGCATTGCATTGTATGTATATACCACATTTTCTTTATCTATTCATCTGTCAAGGAACATTAAGGTTGTTTCCACATCTAGGCTATTTTGAATAGTGCTGTAATGAATATAGAAGTACTCTTCAAGATCCTAACTTCAGTTTTTTTTTTGGATAAGTATCCAGAAGTAGGCTTTCTGGATGCTATGGTAGTTATATTTTTAATTCTTTGAGGGACCTCCATATTATTTTCCGTGGGTGCTGCACAATTTTGCCTTCTCATCAACATTGTGCAAGGATTCCACCTTCTCCACATCCTCCCCAACACTTGTCTTTTGTTTCTTTGATGACAGCAATCCTGACAGGTAAGAGATGATATCTCATTTTGGTTTTGATTTATATTTCCCTGATGACCAGTAATGTACATTTTTTCATGTAGCTATTGGCTACCTCTATGTCTTTTCTCCAAAAACATCAAGTACTTAGCTCATTTTTCAATTGGGTTATTAGAGATGTTTTGCTCTTGAGTTGTAGGAGTTATTTTCATATTTTGTATACTAACCCCTTATCAAATATATGGCTTGTAAATATTTTCCCAATTCCAAAAGTTGTCTTTATAGCTCTGTTGATTGTTTCCTTTTCTGTGGACAAGAGTTTTAGCTTGATGTAGTCTCACTTATTTTTGGATTTATTACCTATGTTTTTAGTGCTGTATCCATGAAATCATTACCAAAATAAATGAATGCCATGAAGCTTTCTCCCTGTTCTCTTTCAGGAGTTTTAACATTTTAGGTCTTAAATTTTAGATTTTAATCCATTTTGAGTTGTTCTTTGTGTATGGTGTCAGATAAGGATCCAATTTCATCTTTATTTGCATGTCAATATTCAGTTTTCCAACACCATTTGTTGCACAATGGGGAAACCATTATGTATTGTTTGCACCCTTATAGAGGATCAATTGGCCATATATCCATGGAGTTATTTCTGGGATCTCTATTCTGTTCCAAAGGTCTAAATGTCTGTCTTTATGCTAGTGCCCTACTGTTTTGATTACCAGAAGCTTTGTAATACATTTTGATATTAGGAGGTGTGATGCCTCCAGCTTTAGTCTTGTTTTGTTCAAGATTTCTTTGGCTATTTTGTGGTCTTTTGTAGTTTTATATGTATTTTAGAATTTTTTTCTATTTTTATTAAAAATGCCATTGGGATTTTGATGGAGGTTGCAGTGAAACTGTAGATCACTTTGGGTACTATGGAAATTTTAACAATATTAAGTCTTCCAATCCATTAACATGAGATGTCTTTCCATTGGTGTCTTCTTTAATTTCTTTCATCACAGTGTTACAGTTTTCAGTATATAAAACTCCTTTGTTAAGTTCGCCTCCTTTGTTAAGTTTATTCCTAACTGTAGTATTCTTTTTGGGTCTATTGTAAATGAGATTGTTTTCCTCATTTTCCTTTCAGGTAGTTAGTTGTTAGAGTATAGAAACACAACTGATTTTTCAAATGTTGATGTTGTCTCCTGCAATGTTACTGAATTTTGTTTATTTGTTCTAATGAGCTTTTTGAAGTCCTTTAGTGTCTTCTATATTTAGATCATGTCATCTGCAAAAGGAGACTATTTATTTCTGCTACTAATTTCTAGTTTCACTCCACTGTGGTCAGTAAGGAGACTGGGTATGATTTCAATCTGAATTTGTTAAGAATTTGTTGTGACCTAACGTATGATCTATCCTGAAGAATGTTCCATATGCACTTGAGAAAAATGTGTATTATTTCTATTGGGTCAAATGTTCTCTATCTGTTTAAGTCTATTTGGTTATAGTGTTGTTCAAGTCCTCTGTTTCCAGATTGATCATCTGTCTGGCTGTTCTATCCATCACTGAAAGTGAGGTATTCAAGCTTTCTAGTATTATTGTATTGCTGCCTATTTGCCCCTTCAGTGCTGTCCATGTTTGCTTTATATATTTAGATGTTCTGATGTTGGGTGCATACATCTTTGTTATATATTATTGCTGGATTGATGCTTTTATTATATAACATCCTTCTTTGTCTCGTGTCAGTTTTTTTTTTTTTTTTACTTAAAGCCTGTTTTGTCTGATATAAATGTAGCTATCCATACTTTCTTTTGGTTATCATTTGCATGGAATAACTTTTTTCATCCCTTCACTTTTAGCCTATGTGTGTCCTTAAATCTAAAGTGAACTTCTGATAGGCAGCATATAGTGTGGTTTTGTTTTTTATCCATTCAGCCACTCTGTGTCTTTTGACTGGGGAGTTTAATTCATTTACATTTAAAATTATTATTGATAAGACAAAATTTATTAATGTCATTTTGTTATTTTCTGTCTTATTTTTCTTTTGTATTTTCTTTCTTCCTTTATGTTTGTCATTTTGATATTTTAAAGTTACATGTGAACTTATTTAAAAAAAGTTTTTTTAAAAAGTTGCATTCAAACATAGAATTTTTAAGAGTACTGAGCATTTATATTTTACTAAATCTATCGAATTTCATTTTTACACATTGGCCATTTGAAAGATAGTATTTCTGTGGAAAGTGAAATGCTGAGTTGATAAACGTATTATGTAACATTAATTTTGTGGCTCTGGAATTAGTACTGCATGCACAACTTTAGATAACAATAAACAATTATCTTTGTTATTAATATCTGTGGGCTGCAGATCGCTCACACAGGGTGGGTGTGTGTACAGCAGGCAATAAAGTTAGAACATGTTCCTCAATTCATCCACACACATTTGAAGCCATATTTGAAGATGGTGAAAAATATATAATGTACATATGTACACTATTTTATGTATATAAGCACTCTACACATACACATATGTCCTGGGCATAAACAATTACTACACAAATGCTGTTGTTTTAATAAAATACAGGTATACTCAAAAGTATAACTGAATTAAAGGTGGTTGTCTGCTATCATTTATACTCATTATTAGTGGACACAGAACATGCAAATACTTGTTTTCATTTATTTGTGGGATCTAAAGATCAAAGTAATTGAACTTCAGGAGATAGAGAAGAGAATAGTGGTTATCAGAGGCTGAGAAGGGTATGCTGGGGGTTTGTAGGGAGGTGGAGATGATTAATGGGTACAAAAAAATAGAATGAAAAAGACCTAGTTCTTGACAGCACAAGAGGGATATAGTAAATAATAATGGTACATTTAAAAATAATGAAAATGTATAATTGGGTTCTTTGTAATGCAAAGGATAAATGCTTAAGGGGATGGGTACTCAATTTTCCATGATGTAATGTGATTGCATGCCTGTACCTAAATATCTCAAATTCCAAGATGAACGTTTTATTCATTTAACATGGCCTTCTCACATTAGAAAATGTGGGATGTCATTTAACTTCACAGTGCATATGAAATGTGGGACAGCAATGTTTCCAGAAATTAATACCTACTTGTCAAATTCAGAAACGTGTTCCATCTCTCTCTCAATCCCTCCTCTTTTCAAGATCTCTATCAATTAGCCTTTCTCAGTTTTGTATCTATAAGCTTTCCTTGTCTGAGTATCCTTTCATTCATCTTTAGCCTATAATAATGTATAAGGTCTTCTATTGTAAAATAATATGCATATAATCATATGTGTGTACAGGTATATCTCATTTTATCATGGTTCTTTGTTGCATTTTTTACAGATTGGAGGTTTGTGGCAACCCTGTATCAAGTAAGTCCACTGTTGCCATTTTTCCAACAGCACACGCTAACTTCATGTCTCTGTCACAGTTTAGTAATTCTTAGAATAGTTTAATCTTTTTCATTATTATTACATCTGTTATAGTGATCATTATATCTGATACAGTGAATATAGTGATATCATACTGTTATATTCAGTGGTCCCTGAAGCTGGCAGAGGTTGGCTCATGAGGTGTAAGGAAAAAAGGCATCTCTATAACATAAAAGTGCAAGGTGAAGCAGCAAGTGCTGATGTAGAAGCTGCAGCAAGTTATCCAGAAGATGTAGCTAAGATCACTGGTGAAGGCCACTATAATAAACAACAGATTTTCAATGTAGAGAAAACAGCCTTGTATTTGAAGACAATTTTATCTAGGACTTTCATAGCTAAAAAGGAGAAGTTATTGCCTGCTTCAAAGCTTCAAAGGACAGGCTGACTTTCTTCTTAGTAGCTAATGCACTTGGTGACTTTAAGTGGAAGCCAGTGCTCTTTTACCATTCCAAAAATCTCAGGGTCCTTAAGAATTATGCTAAATCTACTCTGCTTATGCTCTGCAAATGAACCAACAAAGCCTGGATGACAGCACATCTGTTTACAGCATGGTTTACTGAATATTTTGAGCCCACTATTGAAACATATGTTAAAAAAAAATTATTGCTCACTGACAATGTAGGTAGTCGCCCAAGAGCTCTGATGGAGATTTACAAGGAGATTAATGTGTTTTCATGCCTGCTAACACAACTTGCATTTTGTAGCACATGGATCAAGAACTAATTGTGACTTTCAAGTCTTATTAATTATTTAAGAAACACATTTGGTAAGACTATAGCTGCTATAAATTGTGATTCCTCTTACTGATCTGGGAAAACCCAACTGAAAACCTTCTAGAAAGATCCACAATTCTATATACCATTACAAACATTCGTGATTCATGGGAAAAGACAAAAATATCGACATTATCGGGAATTTGGAAGAAGTTGATTTCAACCCTTGTGGATGGCTTTGAGGGGTTCTAGCATTCAGTGGAGGATGTAACAGCAGATGTGGATGTGGTGGAAACAGCAAGAGAACTAGAAGTGGACACTGAAGATGGGCTGAATTGCTACAATCTCATGATAAAACTTGAACAAATGAGGAGTTGCTTCTTACGGATGAGCAAAGAAAGTGGTTTCTTGAGATGGAATCTACTCCTGGTAAAGATGTTGTGAACATTCTTCAAGTGACCCAAAGGATATAGAATATTAGATGAACTTATTTGATAAAGCAGTGCCAGGGTTTGAGAGAAATGACTCCAAGTTTTAAAAGTTCTGTGTGGGTAAAATGCTATCAAATAGCACTGCATACTACAGAGAAATCTTTTGTGAAAGGAAGAGTCAGTCAATGCAGCCAGCTTCATTGTTGTCCTATTTTAAGAAATTGCCATAGCCATCCAACCCTCAGCAACCACCACTTTAATCAGTCAGCAGCCATCAACATTAAGGCAAGACCCTCCACCAGCAAAAATACAAAGACTTGCTGAAGTCTTAGATGATCGTTAGTGTTTGTTATACATTTTGTGAATTAAAGAATAGAGTATTCTTTAATTAAGGTATGTACTTTTTTTAGACAAAGTGCTATCACACAATTAAGAGACTACAGTATATAGTAAACATAACTTTTATACACAATGGGAAAACAAAAAACTTGTGTGACTCACTTAATTGCAATTTTCACTCTATTGTGGTTGTGGTGATCTGGAACCAAACCCTCAGCATCTTTGAGGTATGCCTGTGTGTGTGCGCACAACTTGACCCTGAGTTAACTGTCTTATTCTTCTCTTTTATTTCTTAGCAAATTTGCCATGATTTAAAAAAGAAAAACAGCTTATATTTATATTCCTACTTCCTCATTCCTCATTTACTTCTCAACCATCTGTTGGCTTTTGCTCATATCACTTTATGTAAGAGAGGTCATGCCAAAGCTATATACATGGTTCCTTGTTCCTGGAGGGGATATCCATTTGAAACAGATATAAATATGTGTGGATATATATATATGTATGTATGTATGTATGTATGCAGGCTTTTATATATGTATTACTGTGTATCACAGAACTTTGTTATAGCCTCTGAAGTTAGAAAAACAAACAATATAATATGCAGTTCCAAGAATATTTTAATTTTTATGTTAGAGACAAAATTAAATGAAACATCACCACAACTGAATGTTAACTACTTAATTTTCACAATTGCCTTGGCATTAATAAAGGTTATATGTTTTCAGGAAAAATGTGTGTGTCCTTAAAACACAGCATCAGTATGTTAGCAGACAAAGAGCAGGACTGTTGAAGTTGAATATAACTTGATTTATTAGTTTTATAAAAGTACATGTGATATGAATCTTTTTATCATGTGGTTTATCTTGTCATGAAATGCAACCTTTGTTTAAAAAGTTGAGCTCCTGTAAAAGGTGACTGGAATGAGAAGCTGTATTTCAAGATAATGATATTTAGATTGGACATTTTTAGGATCCATACATAGAAAAGAAGCTTTAAACCCATAAATTCTTCACTAATTCAACCAACTGAACAATTTGTGAAAATAGTGGATGGAATACATTTACTTTCCTTATAACATAAAACTTTGTGTGTTTAAAAAAAAGAAAAAGATCAAATTAATGATATGCCTCCAAGACACTATGTGTTAATCCTGGATGTATAGAGAATTCCGAAACAGGAAAAAAAAAAACAAAAAACACCACATTTCTGAATTTACATGAAAGCAACTTGTTCTTATTTATATACTTTTAGTTAAATCCACCTGAAAAAACCTTTATACTCTTTTAAAATCGGATATATCTCATGCACAAATTTGAACACAGAATGTAAAATTCATTGCCATCTTTGAGTCAAAAACTTTTCATTTTTGAAATAAAGTATGTAGAGGTGAACAAGATTCCTAGTGGTTGCTTTGGATGATTACATAATGAAAGGAAAAAAATGATTTATTTACACTTAGTACCTATTAAAATGATATAAGTAGTGGCTTGCACTTATATACTTCTATCACAAAATAGTATACTTAAAATTATGACAAATATAAGATGCTAAAAAGTCCCTTCCAATTATCAGAGTAAGATTAATTTGTAAATTTTTGAGATAGTACATTTTATATTAATAGAATTGAATTTTGTGTTAAACTTTTGTTATATTTGAGTTCTTCAAAATAAGGAAATGCTAGATTATTTAAAATATGTGAAAGCAGCATATTCCTTGCCCCCAGTTATATTTTATAATTATAAATCTGTCCTGTAACAGCACTCATGCTTCCAACCTCTGTTACGTATTCTCAATTTATTTGTTGTGATGTATTAGGAACTATCACTGGATCTGTGCTCTGGGCTGCATGCCTAAAGTTCACAGTTAAACAGGACACTGTCCCAATACTGTAGATTTTTTTTTTTTAATCCAGAGAGGAACAGAGGAGAGATGCCATGGGTAGAGTACAGAGTGAAGGATATGTATATGGCTTTGCACAGTGTGCTATGGGATCAGAGGCCAAGCATCTAAAGGAGCCTACAGTGGCAAGGAGGTTCAGGGACATCTTCCAGGTGGTGAGGATTACCCTGAATTTTGATTAAGGAGTAAGAGTTATTAAATAAAGATATGCACATATTAGTTAATGCATCTGGATATTCCCATTCATTTCTGATGATTTCTTTGAAAGAAATATTCGTAGAATCTAGTTATCACTTGAAAATATTCACAATCTATTAACAGCTCAGTTCATTTATCAACTTTTCAAAAGTGGTTCCTCTATGCTATTAAAATCACCAGATGCTAAACAAAAACCAAAAGATGTACCCTTAAACCTTACATTAAACTGTATGACACTGTAGTACATGCAGTAAGCAGAGTTTAATTAATTTGAAATTATATGTGTATTATTTCAGTCTTTTGATCATTTTCAAATACTCATAGGCCGAAAATTTTAGCACCTAGAGTATCTTAAAGGGTTCCAAAAATTTTCATCAAACTGTTCGCCATTATTCACAATATTTTGTCACCAAACCATCTGAACATATTCATTTTTGTCTCGCTTTTCAACACCCAATCCATGTGTGTTCCTCAAGCACATATAAAACAATCCATTAGAGCTAGCAATAACCACACCTTTCAAAATGGTGAAAATTCCAATCAGAAGCAAAGTGAATGGGCATTTTACCCTGCAGAGTCTTCTTATATATAAATGTATGATTTTTGTAGAAATTTTTGAAACACCAGAAAGAGTTTATAATTTCTCATTACTTTTTAAATGAATCATTAGCATTTTAGGAAACCAGGTTGAGAATCACAGTATTCTTACAAAATGTGGAGTGTTGGTCAGAAAATTGAAATAAGCTGATAATAGGACGGCTAGAAAAAGTAGTTAGAGTTTTGATTGAAGCTGATATTCCTCCACAGTATCAGGTTCAATGAGGTCCCTCTCTGTAATACTCTTCCCTTATAGTAAAACATACATTCAAATATATTCCAACTACAAACACTAATCTTCACAGTCTTCATTTGCTTATGAAATGCTTTCTTTTAATACATTATACCTATAAAAGGATTTGTCTTCATCTTTTCTTGAAAGGAATCAGTTTTCAAATGAGGATGTAGTTTTTGCTGTTGTAAACTGCCTTTTTGTAAATTTACAAAACAATACTTAGACATTTTTTGAGTATTTAGGAAATTTGAGTATTACTGCAATCTTTAATAATTAAATAATATAATAAATTTTATCCAATAAACCTTAAAGTTTAAAATTTTTCCTATTTTACCATTCCTTTGATTTCTCTATTTTAATAACATTTTATTTACAATCTATGCATAAGAATAAAATAGGACCCATACATATACTTTATTAACATATTAGGCATGAGTTGCTTGTGAATATGATATAAATATTATACTTAACAGCTCTCTAATACACCTATTAGTTTATAATCTATGATTCATATGGCTTTATAATTGGCACAATCAGGTTTTAAATCAAAAATTCTCCCCTCACTACCACTACCCACTATCTCTTTAAAAACCACCTAGATCATTATTAAAATTTAAATATTATAAAATTACACTCACTTTTTTATCTTTATTGTATTTGTTAAATATCTCCTGGGCTCTCTCTTCTCCTCCATCCGTGAATAGCATAATAATCTTATTGCAGTTTGCTCTGGAAACATTATACTGTTAAAAACAAAACCAAACAAAACAATATGCGTATTATTCACAATAAAAGAGAAAATAAAGCTATATGGAACGAGCATGAGCAGGTTGCAAGTAATTAATGAAATATCTGCTCACAAAATATATTCTAAGAACTGGTTCCTGGATCAGTTCAGGCCCACCCCCTTCACCAGGCCTTCCCCTCACCACCCAGATAACCATAAGTCTATCTCACTTCCTTCAGTCTTTGATCATACGCCACTTTATCATGAGGTGATTACTCACAACTATGTTTTAAATTGCAGTCTCCCTCCAAGATAGTATGTTTCTTCATAGCATTTTACTTTCTTTTATATACATATTTTATTTTCTTGTTTGTTTATTGTTGGTATCCCCCAACAGAATGTAAGCTACATAAGGGAAGGAAGCTTTGTCTTTTTTGCTCAAAGACTTCTTTGTCCCTCCATAGAAGACTGCCTAGCACATAATAAAATCTCAGTAGTTTATTAAAAAAATGAGCTTTTAATAAATGTCAATTTTATGCACATATGATTTTATAGTATAAACAAAAAATAACATTAATTTAAAATGTGTATCTTCAATCCACTTTCAAATAAGTGTTTTCTTCCCTCTTTATTCATTCTACTTTATTCACTTCACATGTTTGAAATCACAAATCCTAACACTGGTCACCTAAAATGCAATGCTCTTTTGTTCCTTTGTAAATGCTGATACCTATTCCCAGGATGTCCTCTTATCCTCTCTCAACCAACCACACATATTCTAATCCTGAAAGACTCAAGTCCATGGTAAATCTTCTTACACTTTAAGGTCTCCAAAAGAGTTAGATATGGGAGAATGATGGATTAGCACCAAAGGGCCATTAAAATGAACAATTAATTTAGAAAGCTGGACTTCTCCGAGGTCCAAAATTATTATCTTAACTTTTCTACTGTTGTGAAATGTGTTTGCTTTAAATGCTGAGAATAAAAGATCACACTAATTTATGAATGCTCAGCTTCTTTGAAAATGTCAACCCTAGGTTCAGTGCTGTCCAAAAGAAATATAACATGAGCCTCATATGGAACTTTAAATTTTCTAATAACTACTTTAAGGGGAGTAATAAGAAATATCTGACATTAATCCTAATAATATATTTTCTTTAACCCAGTCATCCAAAATATTAATCAATATTAGGTATCAATCAATATTGAGATGTTATACAGCTTTTTCTTCCATAAGTCTTCAAACTTCAGTATGCATTTTATACTTACACAACATATCATTTCAGATCAGCCACCTTTCAAGTGCTCACTAGCCACCTGTGATTGTTGTTACCATATTGTACAGCATGGCACAGCCCTGGCTTTTAAATGACTAATATTTTTTAAAAATTATTTTTTCTTTAGTGTTCTAAGTCATTGAAGGTCCATGCTCTACCTTATTTTTTCAAAGAAGATAAAACCCATTTTCCCTTGTGAAAATTAATAAATACAACGTTTTTCTTTATTAATGAAAAGATCCTGTTTCAGGTCATCTCATTCCATGGACTCAGCCATTAGAACATTGGCAGTAAAAGCTTTTAATCAAACATTGTGAAAGCACAAGTATTAACTAATATAATTTGTCACTTTCAACATGGCTGTTATCTTTGAAGGTAACCTATCTGAAAATCTGACTACACAAAAAGTTGCCTATTTTATCATCAAAATAGTTTTGTGAAACATGCCTCAAATCCCTTAACTAAAATTAGTTTCTCTAGTGATTTGTCTTTTTTATCTGCATGTGTAAAATAGTCAAAATAATATGTACCTAAAGAACTATCCTGTAAAAATGTTAAACAAAACCATAGGACATGGTTTTGTTTTTGAAGTACTGAAAGTACTATTATTGGATGCAAATATCAATGTAAATCAACACATTAGGTCTTGCTGATCATTTGTATACTTACGTAAATAAAATTATAACAACATTTCCCGAGAGAGAGATGTTAGGGCATACACAAAAGAAGGAATATGGGGAAAATAAAGAAATTGTTTTGCCTTCAACATGATTTTTCCTAGGAGTAGCCTCTCAGGACTTGTGGTGGAGCCAAGTACATAATAGCAAATTTTCCATGCATTTGCAATTATCTAAAGAATCACACAGCGACAACAATTAACTGGCTTTGAACAAATTAAGCCAAAAAAACAAGATTGTTTCAATAAAATTACAATTAGTAGAGTTGGTAACTTACTTTAATATGGTAGTTTGCTGTATTTCTGTGTGCCAGTATATAGCACAGCATCTATCATATATACACTCTATATAAAGTTTTTTTGAAAAATGCATATATATGGTAATATTTTATGAAATGGTACCTGAAGATTAATTCAAATCTAAATGTAAGTTTTACTTTGGGACTGATATGTCTAATGCTATTTAATACTTGCTTCAGTGATCTTAAAGGTAAATGCTGCGAGGACAAAAAAAAAACCAGAATGGCATTTGAGCAATAAGATGACTGGAAGTGTTTGAAAGAAAACACAATATGCTTCAAATTATTTTAACATAAAGAATTTCAATATATATGTGGGATGTATGGAAAGTAAAACACATTAGACTTACTTAGGGAACAACTGGGACCATATTTTAAAAATCACTACAATTGTAGCAGTTATAAAGGCAGCAGGAGAGGCCAATAGGAGTTAAATCATATTTTATCAGCAACTAGTAATAAATCTGGAAGTTAATGTGGCCTCTCTAGTGAGGCTACCTCTGAAATTGTACTTTACACTTGAAACTCCTGATCATTTCACAACTGAAACCTAAACAGGAGGCAATGAAGTGAGGGGAAAAAAAATACTAAGAAGAATAATTAAAATGCCAAGATCAAGGAAACTCAATTATTGACTTAAGCAAAAAATAATTTTTATCAAAAACAACCATATTCCTTTACTAGAGGAAGGATACATCTTAATCTAACGGTTAATTACAGTACAATTTTGTAGTTTTGAGCTTTTAATTTTTATTAATGAACATACAACATTTAACAAACATATGCATCTCACCACACATTATTTCCCTTGGAAATAGCAGGGCTGCACATCTCTGATTTTCTGTCTTCTTAATCTAACGGTGTCTATTAAATAACATGACCTCAAATTCAACATATCTGAAACTGAGCTATTTCTACCCCCACATTTCCTCTATGTGTGTTCCTGTGCAATCATCTACTTACTAGTTCAGTTCAGAGAATGTAGAGTCACCTAAGCCCCTCTCACTCTGCAACCCAGCCCACACCACTTAATCAGTTCCCATGCCATGCTCCTTAATAGCTCCTCACTTCTATTCCCACACCAGCATCTCTACGAATACCTTCCTTAACTTAGAACACTCCAAGGCCATACTATAAAGTTTTCCTTTGCCCCTAAACACTTCCTTAACTGATACCTCATGGCCTTTCCATTTCCATCAAGTTCCTATATTGCTCATGTCCCAACTATGCCAGCCATCTGCAATTTTTTACTGTGCTATGTTGTGTCACACTTCTGTGATTTGTCTAAAATATGCTCCTTTTTCTGAAATAATTTTCCCTTCCTCTACCTACCTAAGTTCTAATCATTCTTCAAAACCTCATTTTCACGGAAATGCCACACTTTTCCTGACCTCCTTTGAGGAGCTGGGCCCATCCTCTGTGCTGTCCCAGGGAACACGCTAAATATCCTGTAATGGCACTTGCACACTGTTCTGTGGATGATGATTTAGCACTCAGAGCAGCTGGTCCTGTTTACTTCTATAATTCCAGCACCAGCACTATGACAGGAAATGGTGATGCATTCAATAAATTTTGGCTGAATGAATAAATGAATCACCCAATTGGATATCTCAAAAACTATTTAGAATATTCACTCAGGAACAACAAACTCATATTTGCATAAAGATCAAATATAAGAGTTCATTCAGTGATTCAGCAAATATTAACAGACATTATGATCTGACTTTTTACCAGATGTGGGCTAGTAATTACAGCAATAATGACCATGACTCCAATACCACCCAGCAACCTACACCTGCGTGTGGTTTGCTACATGCCAGGTTCCGTGGACAATCTTATGCACAATTCTCTGAGGTACATGTCATAGTGACCTCTAATGCATACAAGTGGAAACCAAGGTGCAGAGAAGTAAGGTTCCTACTCTCAAACATGATAATAATATTGCCTAGTAAGAAATAAAATAATTGAACAATGGTCCCTGCTTTTAAGTAACTCAAAGTGAAATAGAGGGCAAGGCAATTTAAAAACACTAGTCCACAGTATGAGACACACACTATAAGGCTGGAAGCGGTAGCTCATGCCTGTAATCCCAGCACATTGGGAGGCCAAGGCGGGTGGATCACCTGGGGTCAGAAGTTCAACACCAGCTTGGCCAACATGGTGAAACCCCGTCTCTACTAAAAATACAAAAATTAGCTGGGCATGGTGGCGGGTGCCTGTAATCCCAGCTACTTGGGAGGCTGAGGCAGGAAAATCGCTTGCACCCAGGAAGCGGAGGTTGCAACGAGCCAAGATCGTGCCACTGCACTCCAGCCTAGGTGACAAGAGTGAAACTCCATTTCAAAAAAAAAAAAGACACATGCTATAACATGGGGCAATAAGCACGCCAGTATCTGACAGTCTAGACACTGATGAGTGATTGTGGGGAATCCTCACTCAGAAAGAATTCCTGCTCCGGGAGTTGCATTTCTGTTCATCTTAATGTCTACCATTTGGAACTTTCTGTACATTTTAGGAACAATTTAAAGACCCAAACTAGATGTTTAAAACTAAAATGTTCTCAGTAACCATTTGATGATTGAAAGTGCAAGGTTACAGATAAATACTGTGGTGATTGAGATAAGAAAAAGTAATGATATTCTATATAGGCCAATTAAGTTTCAAGTGCTTATTCAAAATTAAATTATTTCCTTATAAATTTTTTTAAAACATAGATAAAAAATATCAAAAACTTAAAAATCTACATTTTAGATGCCTTTTGAATTTTAAATTCAAAGATAAAAATAGTTCAAAGGTTTCTTCTGCCTGCACACATCTGTGTTTTAAATAAATGAAAAACAGCACTATCTAATCCCAGAGAGTAGTAACTATCAGAATATTGAAATTCAGATACTACAATTGAACAACAACAACAACAAAAGACATAGCATGATACTTACATTAAGCAGCTGTTCAAAAGCAAAACTAAAGCCCTTCTTATAATCTGTAATTCCTTTGGCTGTGATATTATTCACCGCGTCTTTCAACACTTTTTTATTTCTTACATTTGCTTGGACAAGGTGCTGAAAACAGCTTACATCCTGAGCATTGCTGTTAAACTGCAAAAGATTAAAAAGTAAATATATAAATGAACATTAAAATCAACCATATAGTTTTCATAGAATTTGTGTTTGATACTCCTAAACGGTATTGCATTGCTTACTCTTTCAAATGGAAAAGTGAGTAGGCTGGTGACAAAGGTGCATTAAGAAACCAATGGCTATTTTCATCTGAGCTACCAACCCATACTGGAACGCTGAGTCTGCTGCTTATATTCCCGAAGCCTGCTTTCCCTGCTTATAAATTTGAGAATTAAATTATATGACATCCCTTCTAGTTCTCAAATTTAATGAGCATGTAGAAAAAATAATCCAAAGCAATGAAATAGATGCAGGATCCAGAAATGATATGGGATGCTTGCCCTGGTTGTGTGGACATGTTAAATATTTTCATTGCCTCTTATTAGGAAAGACTGGTTGGAAAAGTAATACACTGAATAACATGAATCAATGTTTAGTCATTTTGAAATCTGATGGTACTGTCTTTCTACAGAGGCTAACAGAGGAAAGCAATCTGAATCAAGAACAACTGGTAGCCTTTTAGAAATATCACTTTAGAGGTTACTAAAGAGTGCCAGGGGAACCTTGGAGGCAAGGTGATGGAGCCCTGAACAGCAGAGAGGCTGTGGGAGAGAAAACATCAACTCCAACGATAACTGCCCAAAATGGAAAATTTAAGAACGATCATCAAAGTAACTTCGTCAACCCCATAAAAAATATTCACATCGTTCCCTGGATATTTCCAAAAAGAAAGAACAATAGGAATGCTGCAACAAAATCCAGGATAAGAGGATGAGTGGAGTCATCCAATCATTTATTAACTCTGTAATTTGTGAAAGTTATTCAGGCTCTTGGCACCTAAACTGTCACATCTGCAGAATGGGAATAATAAAAAAAAGCATATTTGCCAGAAAAAAGGGACTGGCCAGATAAAATGTTAAAGATATTTTCACATCAAAAACATATACTTATTTTAATGAGTGGGTCATAAGTTATTACATATTCTTGCAAATATAATTCATCATTTTTTTCTCTGAAGATCACTGAACGTAATTATAAGGTACATTGCACAGTTCATCAGTTTATTAAGCAAATATTTACTAGCAGCCTATTATATGCCAAGAATCATGGCAGGTAGTAGTTTTATGCTTTCAGACATAATTATCTGCACACACAAAAATACCATAAATATATAAACAGTTATATAGTGTCTACTATGTGCTGCATTTACTACATATTCTACAAATGTAAATCATTTCGTCTTTGCAAATGCTCTGCAAGATAAACATTATCATTATCCCCATTTTATCTACGAAAAAAACTCATCCTGCATTGCCTCTCAATATAGTATAATAAATTATGATTCATTCTATAAAGCAATATAATATTATGCTCTAGAAGACAATATCAGGAGAGGCATTTCTAATTTGGACTGCAAACATTTGAAAGAAAATTCTCCTAAGAAAAGGCATTTCCTGTGATTCCAGAGAAATGTTCCAGTGAAGAGCACAAAGGAAGAACATTCCAAGCAAACAGAACAACATGTGCAAAGGCCCTCACATGGAGACAAAAGAAGCCTTTTTAAGAAAACATAAAGAGAGTGAGTTTAGCTCGGTCTCATAGGAGGACAAAAGACATAAAATGAGTTCAGAGAGGGAGGCAAGGGCTAGATCATGTGGAGTCTAATGGAAATGCTGAAGATGATTTTATTTTCTGTGAAATGGAAAGTCACTGGAAGATCTTAAGCCAAATGTAAAATAATTGAATCTGGAATTTTAAGAGTGCATCCTAGCTGCTGTGTGGAAAATGGACTTGAGATGAGCACAATATAAAGCAGGGAGAGTAATCAGAAGGCTTTGCAGTAACCTAGCTGAAAATACATAGTGGTTTTGTTATTTGTGGAGATGGTTAGAAAGGGAAGAATTCAGGAGGTATTTCTGAGAAAGAATCAAATAGGACTTGGTGGTGGATTTAGCAGGAGGATGCATAACAGAGCGGTATCTTCAATAACTGCCAGGTTTCTGACATGGGCATCTGGAAGGATAGAGGACTGGAGGGATGACTGGTTCAGGGATAATTGAGGAATAGAGAAGAGAAGCACAGAGTTCAATTTAGGGTGAGGTTTCAATACATGTGAGATATGCAAGTGTACATGTCAAGAAATGATAACATTTAAAGCATGAGGCTCAAAAGAAGTCTTGGCTAAATAATTTATTCAAAAAAAAAAAAAAAAAAACAGAAGGCTTCAGGAAAAAAAAATGGTTTAAAGCCATAGGAAAACAAAACAAAAAAAAGTAGAGTAGAATAGCAGTCCCTGAGAAAACTAAGTAAGAGCAAGTTTCCATGGAAACAGGAGAGAAATCAGGAGATTGGACTGTTTTGGATGAGAGAAAAATGTGTCAAAAGGAAGACACTGTGTGGAGACAGGGAAGATGGGGACTTAAAACTGCCCAGTAGGGCCGGGCACAGTGGTTCAGACCAGTAATCCCAGCATTTTGGGAGGCCAAGACGGGTGGATCACCTGAGGTCGGGAGTTTGAGACCAGCCTGACCAACATGGAGAAACCCCGTCTCTACTAAAAAATACAAAATTAGCCAGGTGTGGTGGTGCATGCTTGTAATGCCAGCTACTCATGAGGCTGAGGCAGGAGAATCACTTGAACCAGGGAGGCGGAGGTTGCAGTGAGCCAAGATCACGCCATTGCACTCCAGCCTGGGCAACAAGAGCGAAACTCCATCTCAGAAAAACACAACAAAACAAAACAAACAAAAAAATGCCTGGTGAACTCATCCACATTATGTAGGCAGCCTTGGGTTGGGGGGGTGGGGAGGGCAGAACGAATGGACAGCAGGAGCATCTGAATGCAGGCAAATCTGCAAAGTGCCTTGGCTGGATGCAGAGCTGGAAAACAGGGTGGCATCTGTAGGGTAGACTGGGGGTCAAGAAAAGTCTATTTTAAAGCTAGGGGTCACTCAAGCATAAGAAGACTGGTGTTAAAGAGAGAAGGAAGAAAAAGATGCAGGAAATAGAAGAGAGGTAAAAAATAAAGCTCGTCGAAAGGTAGGGACAGATGGATCCAGGTGACACACAGAGGAATGGCCCTTTAGGAAAATGCACATCAACTTCATTATTCTAGGAAAGAAGAGTGGAAGCTGACCGAGCCAGGTGGTATGTGGATTTGGATGATGATAGTTACTGTCTGTGGCATTTGTCTCCTTTAACAATGAGGCAAGATGATCAGGATAATGAGAGGAGAAGGAAGGCTTAGAGAAAAGAAAAAACAAGAGGTAAAATGTCCTGCACAGATAGTAAGTCCTTTTTCATGTTTATTTTGAACAAGACTTTCATGAATATCACCAGTGTGAGAATAAAGTTCCAGTATATTTATTTACTGTTTTCTATAAATTCAAATATTGAAAACTGAGTATCTTCAGGTCCAAATGACCAGTCCCACTGCCTCTTTTATCACTCTTCTATTCTTTGGTTATTGGATGCAAGCTTATTCTACATGTTCCATTTTCAAAACAAATAAATGTTAGCATTTCCCTGTATTGGTAAGTAAAAATACAGTTTGCCAATACATTAATAGTAAAGTGACCTTAGAGAATTATTAGAAATGGTTACAGGAAATATTATTAACTGACTTATTTAAACCATGAATCACCATAAAGGTACAAGTTATGCAGAAATTGAGCACTGAATAATGTATTGCTCAGAGTCTTTCAGTTGGCCTTGACCTGCTTTTAACACAGAAAAGTGAAGCATCTCATTAAGTGACTTTAACACAAACTGATTAAATGTAAATTCATTCATTAAATATATATTCAGTAGTGTATAACAGAATTACTATAATTGCACTCATAGTAAAACTCACAAATAATGTACAGAAAGGAATAACTTACAAAGTATAACTCCCTATAGCAAATCTTACTCTCCTAGGAAAGTGATGAGAAATTTGAAAGTTTACAATCAGATAAGACTATATTTCACAGATATCTTAGACTCATCAGCTTATATCGTATTATGTATGTTTTAAAAATAGGTTAATTTTCATGGGCTGAAGTGGCAGTCTTTGATAACACGTGCCTACATACTAATTTAAAACCACATATTAAAAACCTTAGAGCAAAAGTGTAATAGCAAATATATTACAGAACTTTGAAATGGTATATGGCGAGTGAAAAGAGATTGAAGGAGCTCTGATTTTTTCATCAATTAAGAAAATACTTCTTGTAAAAGTGTGTATTTAACATGACAGAGTCAGAAATCCAAACTAACATCACATTGATTCCTTTTCCAATCCCAGAAAATTCAACTAAGTAGGTCACTCATTAGAACTGCTGAGGACAATTTCTGTTAGCCTGTTTAGATAGGAAGGCACGTGTGTTAACATGGGCATCTGGGGTAAAAATCCTGGAGGGTTTGTATTTCTACTCCAGCATTGGGGCATTCTTTCCTTTGCCCTTCCACATCTCTTGTTCCTTCTGCCAAAAACACTTTTTCCCACTATATGTACTGTTCCTCTGCCTACAATACTTTTTCTCCCTTCTTCACTCAGTCCTCATGAAAGTTTTCATGACCTTCCCTGACTAGATTAAGTCACCCAATACTAAGCTCTCTTAAATCTATCTCTTTTTTACAGAGCACCAGTTATAATTTCATATTTCTCTGTATCCTAGCTTAATAAATAGACCCCTCTATTGGATTATTAGCCCACATGGCCAGAGAATATGTCCACACCACCACTGCATTTTCTGTACTTGGCATGTAATAAACATGCTATAAATATTTACTGAATAAATGAATAATGGATAAATGTTTAAACTCTTTGGATGTGGACTTTAAGAAAATTAGAAGCCAGTATAAAATGTTGATCAATAATCAAACTATGGAAATTAGAAGTCAGTGTAAAATGTTAATCAATAATCAAGCTATAGATTTATAAGTAGATGAATTGCATCTTAGCTCTGCAATATGTTGTTAAACTTGTACATTCAAAAGTACAAATACTCTGTCCAAATAGACATTAAAATACTCAAATAAAGATATACAGAACATCTAACATAGAGTCTGACATACAGTAGATGTTAAATGGCAACTCTATTGTTTTAAAAATTATTTTAGTAAAAAGGATTAGGATACTCAGTACTAAAATTAGAACAGATTCCTAATTCATAAGATTCAGATAAACTGCCTCAGCTGTATTGAGCTTGAAATAAAGTTCACTAACAGGATGATACAAGTGTCCCTCAAACATTAGTTTGGTGTTTGAAACAGTTTCTGATAAAACTATGATCAATGCATTTCAATACTTCCAAAGAAACTTCTTATTAAATATCCCAGTCAGGTACACAAATTGAAAGATGCTTTCCAGTCAAAACAAAGTATCAGTATCTCAAATGAAATAACCCAAGCTTTTGGTTTTGTAAAGGCAGTCTCTATTTTTGCTCTAATTTCCCCTGCTGAATATGAAATCATTCCATAAAATATTTCTGAGAAGAGGGACTCTGCTTGTCATCACATTATGTCAGGATACAAACAATGAAATATTCCTGTTGCCTTAATACACGCTACAAGTCAAAGAAGCAGAAAGTTACGGGAAGTGCCCTTTGTCTGGAAATGGCAACTAGAACACATCTTCTTGGAGTACCAAGTCTTCCTTTGAATGGTTTAGTGCAGTCAAGTAGTTCTGCACTGGAAACATTAAGAATTAATGACAAAAGACATTCTTAAGGTCACATATTCTACTTGAAACTTCAGTGAAAGAGAAGTAGCTCATTTATTATTTGCCCACTCAACCTGTCTTTTTAAAATTATTTTTAGTTTTAAAAATGAGAAAGGGTCTTACTATTTTGCCCAGACTGGTTTCGAATTCCTGGCCTCAAGTGATCCTCCCACCTTGGCCTCCCAAGCAGCTGGAATTACAGGCATGAGCCACTGTATCCAGCTCTCAACATGTCTATTAATTCGCATCCCTTCCCCTCAGAAAGACCGTTCTCCTATGTATGGATTCTAAATGTTTAAAGGCAGGCTTTCTTTAGGGTACTTTGTACATTGTTTAGTCCTAAAGCATTTTTAAGAAGCAAAAATAGGACACAACTATAGTTTCTGAAAAAATTGTTCAATATTTATTACTTAACATGTCTTAATGTTTTATTTTCTCTATTTCTGGCATGTAAAATAAATAATGGTGCAAAATTGTTGGCTCAAGCCATGTAATCATCAGCAAAAATAATAATTCAAATCCAGACCTGACTGCTTTGGAAAAGGATTTTTTAAATTAAAATAATATTAGTACACTTATTTACACAAGTTAACTATGATGGATAACATACACAACAAATTTATATTTTGTAAGATTAAATAATTTAAATAAGAAACAATAAAATTTTGCATATTAGTAAGTACAAACACAAATTATGGTATCAGACACTATCCACATTTTGGCCACCAGATGGCAATGCAGGAAAATAAAAGGAAAATGACCAGAGGCTGTGCGCTCCAAAATTTTGGCTGTGCTTGTTTTATGTACTTATTCCTATTTTTAAAAAACTTTCAAAATTTATTTTGATTTTCATATTTTTCATAGTAGATTTGGACTATAAGAGATTATATGAAAATGATTATTCTAAAATCCGGATAAAATAGCTGATAACATTTATTCTTACATATGTGGATACATTCCCAGTTAAGAGTTATTTCTGGAAAACTGATAAGAAATAAGATTTATAAAGTGGCTGTTTAGAATTCAATGTCTGGGTGAAATGTTATAACTGCAGTCAGGACTTTGGTTCATTTGCTACTGTGACTTAGCTGCATTTTTGTATGTTTAGTATGTCTTTGAATTTCAGAAGTCAATAAATGAATAGAAAAGCCCAGATTAATAGAAAAAAATGCTTTCTAGGTTATCTGTTACCAAATTACTTTCCAAAAATTTTGTGCCAATTTAAAGTATATATGTGCTAGTTTCACTGCAGCCTCATAAACACTTCCCATTTTTTATTTGCTGAACTGTAAATAAAAATATTTCAATATTTTAACTATTTGAATTTGATTGCTAGCAAAATGACCCTTCTCATATATTAATTTTTGTGTAGTTCTGTTTTTCCAGATTGTTGCTTACTATTTAATCTAAACCTATGAGCCTATTCCTTTACTATTTCTTAAAAGAGTTTTGTACTTAGAAAATCAACCGTCTATCAGTCAGGAAATTATTCATCTGTAACCTTACTGATGTTTCATGGGTTTTGGTATATAGTCATGGTGGAATTTAGTTTCCCCAACACTATGAGGTGATAACAAAATTAGGCAATTTGTTTTTACAAATAGCGAAATTTCCCATTTATGATACATTCATTCATGATACATTCCTTACAACAAATTAAGATTTTGAATACATTTCTGTAATTTTTTAGTCCTTTGTCCCTCCGTTATTTCATGAGCTTGCTTTTTAATATGAATAATTTTAAAAAGTATTAGCTAACATGTATTGAGAATCACCTGCGTGCCAGGCTAAACACTTGATATCCATTAAGTTGTTTAACTTTCAACAAGCTACAGTTTTAGTTTTAATAGGCTTCCCATTATATAGTTGAGGAAATGAGGTGTACGATGTTAAAGTGTTCAGAGTCAAACAGCAACCAAGATTCAGAGCTCAACCCCAAGCGCAAATTCCCTGACGCACTTTTCTCTAAGGTCTTTAATCATTTTCAATTACAGTTTAATAACAGAGGAGAAAGCTACCACATCCCGTCATGTGATATTCTTCACAACTGTCTTCCTACTGCAGTAACTTTAGAAATTTTTGTCAAATTAAAATTGCTCTCATGAGTAAATTAGAAAAACTGCTATCTTCACATGGGTATCCTTTTCATTCCAGGAAAAATTATTCATTAATTCCAAATATCAAATCTTTTAAATATATCTCTCACACTCTTTTCTCTATCTTTAATATAGGTCCTAAATATATTACTAAAAGTACTGCTAGTTAATTCATGACTTTTGCTAATGTTGTGAATGTGATTTTAATTTCTGTCGTTAATCCCTGTCCAGGGAAAACTAGAAGGTATGGTCACCCTCTCACAGTCAGAGACATAAATATCTTCACTAATGACACTCATGGAGTTGGCCACTCCACTCTTCAAGTTGACGGTGCTGTTCCCAACAGTGGCTGCTGGTTTGCGGTTTCCTTGGTCCATTGTATAAAAAAAGAAACATATTGAGAATGAATTATCTCTTCTTTAATCAATTTAGGAAAACCAAGTCTAGTCCAGGCCTTGCCTCTAATAAGCATTACAGCCAAAACTGATTCAATTATCTCCCCTAAGCTGCAGATTGCTCCTTTCTGAAATAAAGGGTTTTTCTAGATTAGGTGGAAAGCCCTTCAAATTCTAAAATTATATAATTTACATCAGCTAGTTTAACAATCAGGACAAAAATGTAAATATGGAATAAATTCTGTATATGTCTAAAAAATGGCACCAGTAGATAAAATGGAATACAATTCCCTATAATTATAAAGACACGAATTGTGTTTGCCTATAAATGTAAATCATCATTCATCAAACATTTCAATAAATATTTTCATTTTTAAACAAATATTTCAAACAACTCAAATCATGATGTAACCTATATTTAGTCTGTTTACCTTGTTGAAATCTTGGATGGATTTCTGAATAAGTCCCAATTACCATTTTTAATATATTCTTTTTATATTTTGATAGAGAAAATTTTATAATTCTCTAATCATATTCATTTAAAAACATTTGAAGCCATTGAAAGTATGCTGTTCTTTTACTTGAAATGTAAACTGAATTTAGGATCCCCCTGCATCTCCACCTGACATTTCTGTCTTCTCAACCATCTCTTAACCAACCACTGTGCACTCCTGAGTCCACAGCACTTTTCCAACTGGAAAAATGGGCAGCTTTCTTTCCCACTCCATCATTCTCCAGGTACAATAACCTTATCAGTATTATTTCCATTACAAATGTTTTTTGCATAGCCCTCTAGAAATTTGAATGCCAGCTCCTGAAGACAAAACCTTAATGAAATGATGAAACAATCACATACTGTCTGATCTGGTCCCCTTTACCAACACTGTGAAGCAGACATGACCAATATGTACAATATTTTCATGATACCTGAAGCTGAGTACTTGGAAAATTCCCTAGTTGAAAAATAAACTAAAACAGATGGCTCAGTTTGCTTGAAGAACACAATAAGAATGGCATACATAACTAATGTGTTTGTAGAGCAGAGATACTACAATACTGATCATATGAGTGAGGATGACTGGCCACATAAGAACACAAAGTTAACTTATCACTGATTGAAACTGTTTATAAAATTCTGACATCCATCTAGTACATTTTTTGTTCAGCACTGTTCTGATTGACAAAAGGTAGAGTCAATTCAAGAACCACCACTACGTGCCTTGAACTACTCTATGTACAGTAACATTAGTACAAAAAAGACTCTCTCTATACTCAAAGAAGCGTACATTCTTGGAGAGGAGGGAATACAGAGATATAGAAAATAACAAACATATGTAAAATATCAGGTGAAGAGAAATGATAGAAAAAATGAAGTGACGTGAAATATTAAATAAACGAAGTGGTTGAATAACTAAAATCGGAATGCTGTCTGAGAGACAGTAGTCAGGGAAGGCCTCTCTATCACGCAGTATTTGAGCAAAGACCTGAGCTGGGGGAAGATCTGGGGGATGATCAGGCAGCTATCTAGGCCTGGAAGCATCCAGATTCATGTAATGGTAAGCAGAAGTAATTTCTCATCTGTACACATCTACAAGACATTCACTAGACAGAAAGGATACATCCGCCTTTTAAGAAAGTTTATTCACATCACCAATGAATTCTTATAAACATTAAATTGTATCTGGGATGCAGAAACAGCTGATGACAGTTATCAACTAGGGTTGAAGGAATTATATTCAATTTAACTCAGTTCCACTGAGACAAATTATATACATCTGGAAAACTTAGAGCATGATTATGATATAAATTAATGACAAAAAGATAGGTAAAGAAGATACCTATCAAACTACATAGCAGGAGAGATTTCATAACATTTTAAAATATATTTTAAAGTGTGCAATAAACATGGATTACTGAACAAAACATTACAAAGGTGAATTAGTTGTAGAAAAAATTGCCAATATTTTTATTTGAAGTTTAGAACTTATACAAATTGTCACTTTATGAAAAATCTCTTATACATTAACATAAGGTAAAAATATTTTCATGTCTTAGCATATTAGTTTTCAAGCTATAATATATACATCGAAATTCTCAAAATGCTTTTTTTATTCCTCTAGGAATTTGATGAAATAGATTTTTATTCAACAATTAAGATTGCAGTGTATGCATTTTACAAATAAGTTCTCATAGTGTCAATTTACATTTGAATTTCTTTTGAATTTTAAGCCTACTAAATAATTAAGAACAAATATGATAGTTTAATTTAATTTAAAGAACTCTGAACAATTCTCCTACATCTATTGCTCAGGCCAGCCCAAGTCACTCTCTTTACCTACACTCAAAATTAAATGAAACTATAATTTAAAAAATTTCATCTAATAAGTACTCACATACATGACATCTTTTCCTAGTCCTTCAAGCCCCATCAAATAAGTCAATAACTTTTATAATTCTAAAAACAATAGTTCAGTTTAGAATAAAATTATTCCCTTTGCCTCACCCTGAATATTACTTTGCTGTTTCCTTTTTACATATACGACGAATTTCTAAGTGCCAAAAACTTAGTGTACCATGTAATTAATGGGAAAAAAATACTTATTGTACTTGTCAACACCTTCTTATAAACTCTCTTTATATTTCCAAAGCAATTAAGTTATCTTCTGGCAACTCATAAAAAAAAAAAAAAAAGAAAAATCCTAAATAACCTTGGCGGCTTTGCCCTGCTATTATAACAACTAAATTTGTCCTTTTCTTTGATCTTTTCTTACTGTCCATAATTTCTTTATGTCTTTTAAATGAAAATACTTTTATAAAGGTCCCATCTTTACCTAAAAAAAGTGCATAAGAAGATAGAATTCTTCTTCTTTTAACAAATTCTCTTAATTCCATTTCTTCCTGTTTTAAGACCTCCTCCCATCCCCAAAGAAACAAATGTCTACAAAATAAAAATATTCAAACATCCATAGTATTAAGAATTCTATAATTACCAAGCTCTTAAAATCTGAGTCAGTGAAAAACATGATTATTTACAACAAGCCCCAGTTAATCATCTGCTGAACTTGCTAAAGGTACCTCTTTAGTATACTGATTTCCTCTTCTATAATGACGCAAAGCCCGCCAGTTGTACACACAGTTAACAGTAATGCGATAAAAACCCCTGCACAGGAATCACCCGGGGGACTTTCCAAATGCAGATGTTCTCCTTAGCTCTGGAGTGCAGCTTGAGATGCTGCATTTGTACCCATTGCTTAACAGAGCTCCCAGGCAAGGCTCAGACTGCTTGGCTACAGGCCCCACTTCGATGGCAAGAGAATAAACTGCAGTCTTCTTGTTGACATAAATGAGCAATAGATCAACATAAAGTTTTCCTGAACTCTAGATGGATGGCTTTTGATAAGACAAGAAATTATTCTCTTAGATTTGTCACAAAACTGTATTGACATGGCAAATATCTTTTATTTTCTTTGAGCTCTGGCAAAAAGAGGGTCTGTTTTCTAAGAAACTTTTAGCACTGGGGGATAGAAATTGCTTTTAAGTTCAAATTGTGCAGCAATTTACAATTGTACTCATTTTCATAGGCTGAGTAGCGAAGTTCCTTATCTAAAAAAGCCAACAAAACATGTCCTTGTCTAGGAATACATTAGGCATATTTTAGAAGGAAATCTGAAATTTAAAGCACATAGGAAATGGAACAATTGAAATCATCTCTTACTTGCCTACACAGTGCAACTCCATATTTAAACAACCTCCTGCTCTGGTATTAGTTGGTGTTAAACAATCAAGTCAGGAACTGAAATGTCTGAGATTTTATAGCAGTTGTAAGCTAACAAGTAAGCCTCCTACAGTGTCATAGATAAAAGGCAGAAAAAATACAAGCCCTCTGAGTCAGAGACAAAGAGTTTATTACTCATAGCAACAGAGGAGCAGAGTAACATCTTTGTTTGCACAAGCTGCCCAAACCTCAATTCCCACAGGATGACAGGAGGACAGCCAGGGGTCACCTGCATAGGTAGTGAGATGGGTTTCCAGCCAGGAGTCCCAAGATGAGGAAGTCCCTGATCTTATACAGGGGCTTCTGATGGCCCACACTCATCCTCCCCTCCAGAGAGACACAATAGTTTAATTACTCTGCATTGAAAATCTCTTCGGGAGAAGGAGAAATCTCTTTACTATCCTGGAATGCAAATAAATCTGAATAAATTGGCTGTTAATGCTTAGACTTAAATGTGAAAGATTCATAAAGAAATGTCTCCCAACAGTTGGTGGAAAAATGTTGGAAGATGACACTAAATAACAATAATCATCATCATAATACATGATTACAATATATAAGCACTTTACATGTGACATTTCACTTGGTACTCAACAACATTTCAGCAAGTTAAATTATCCTGTCCATTTTTAAGATAAGGAAACTGACAGAAGCCCTAGGTTACTTGTGTAAGGTCATAAAACTAGTAGTTTCCAAAGCTGCACAGTTATTCCTATGCAATTCTACCAGTCCATCTAAGAGACAGGGTTGCCTGTGAAGAATGAGTCAAACCAGATGTGAGCTTACTAACACTGTCCATGCAGGGATAACGTGTTGGCAGGATCATTCCATCGCGTTGCTCTTTACTTGATATAAACCAACATATATTGGCTCCTTGAACCGCATACTGTGGGAAGCAAAGACTTTTACAATCTTTAGAATACCATATTCAGAATTATTGTTTATATAGACAAATAATAAGCACAGACCTGTCTCACACAGAGGTCTGGACCCAGGAAATCTGCAGGCTTTTATAGCAGTTGCATTTAGGGAAAAGCTTCCAGCTGGGAAAGGGCTCACCTTCCTTTCCAGCCTCCTATTTAGCTATGGTTCTTCACTTTTGACTTTGTACTTACATTTATAAACTGTCACTTCTAGGACTGCTGCTTAGCGACTACAATCTGGACAAAAGGTACAACTAACTTTTTAAAAAGTTATTTCCTACAAGCAAGAGCAAAGATATAAGGAATTATATTTTGATTATTTTTTTTTCTGGTAAAAAATCAAAGACAGTATTTTATAATGACTGTGAATTGGAAAAGCTTCCACGAGGAAAACTGACTCAAAGATCCTTAACATAATCATAACATGTGCATCTAATTCTTTAGTAAGAAATGTGTGGTTTTATTAAAAGACATGAAGATCTCCTTTGGTTGTTAACTTTTAGCATATTGTCTGCAATCCATATACATTTTCCCATCATCCTCCACTGGCTTGCAGTATTTTACTCCTAAAATGTCAAACTCCCTCACATTCATAAACAAATTCAAATCCCTGTGTCAACACTTGAAATTCTGCCTGCAAATCAGAACACGCTGTGATTGAATTGCTGCTCCTATCATCTACCACTGACTCCTATCAAAGCATATAACTGGATTAGTGGGAAAACAGCTACATTATGCTTGCATTTCAGCTTTGCTAACAGCAGGCTTCCTTTCTGCAACAAAGAACAACCCTGGAGATAGTAGAAACACTCAGAAATGATGCAGCGTTAGTTCTGACATCTTATACATGATTTAAGCATGAAAAATTACTGTTATTTTTAAAAAGAATGAAAGAAACTTAGAAAAATAACCCTAAAAATGAGAGGCTACTTGATTTTTCTGTTTGGTGGCTTCTGGGCAACTTTGGGAAAGTGTTAATATAGATTGCATCCTGAGTCTTTGGATGACCCACATTCTTTTGGGTATGAAGATAAAGAGAAATGCATGAGGTCTCTAAGGAAAAATTACGGTCAAAGTTAACTATAGAACCACTCCCTCCTTCCTCAGTGCCTTATTACTATGGATTCCTGAAGTTACAAAAGCTAAAGGTATATTGTTGCTTTCCTGGACTTTCAAACAGCTTTAGAGAGAAAATAAAATACACATGCACACATGCACGCACACATACAACTTGACATTATAAATATATTTTGAAGGTTTTTTTCCTGAGAATTTCCATATCAGTAAATTGTTAAATCTGTATTTAATGAGAAGGGCCTATATGTTAAAGATAAAAATGTAATTTTACTTTTTTCTTACCAGAATGTTGCATAAGAATCAATTCTCTTTACCTGTATCAATTTCAGACAGTATATACTCAAAATAAAGCAGACTAACTCATAAGACTGAAAAATTTCTTTAAAATTATGAATTTAACGTGGTTGACACTAAAGATTATATATAATGTGGTTGACACTAAAGATTATAAATGCAAATAAGAATATATGAAGTTTCATAAGAGCAAAAGATACACGGTAAAGAAAGTAAATAAATATTCCTGAAGATTTAGCCTCATAACTTTTTGGTTAAATCTAGAATCATGAATGAAGATGGCTACACTCCAGTTCTTTCTCTTTTCTTGGAAAAATTGCTAAGACTTTTTCTACTGTTTTCTTATCCGCAATATTAAGAATAGTAGTATTATCAACCTCACAGGGTTGCTGTAAAGACTAAACAAATTACTATGAAAAACACTTAGAACAGTGTCTGCCACTTGAACATTGCTTTAAAAAAATTAAATGGCCTGTAATCCCAGCACATTCGGAGGCAGAGGCGGGCGGATCACAAGGTCAAGAGATTGAGACCATCCTGGCTAAGAGGGTGAAACCCCGTCTCTACTAAAAATACAAAAAAGTAGCCGGGCGTGGTGGCGGGTGCCTGTATTCCCAGCTACTCAGGAGGCTGAGGCAGGAGAATGGCGTGAACCTGGGAGGCGGAGCTTGCAGTGAGCCGAGATGGCGCCACTGCACTCCAGCCTGGGTGACAGAGCGAGACTCCGTCTCAAAAAAAAAAAAAAAAAATTAAATAATTACCTATCAATTATGATTAAATAGAAGGTTAATGCACAAATAACAAAAATAATGAACACGTGTTTACTTTGGATTTTATTTGTACTGATTTTCTGAGGAGCAAATCTATGTCTCAATGTAATCACTTAAAATTATTTAGTGAGTTTTCAATCATAAAAATGTATTAATGATTATTTTGAAATAATAAAATTAAACAAAAGTGTACAGTTAACAAAACTTCAGAGTGTAGTTGACAAAAAAATGATATTTTTATAGTAAATAAGAGCCATAAACAAGTAAATAAGTAACCAAAACTAATTAAGCCTAAGGAGGAACTAGGAGCTGGGACCAGTAATACCAGGAGCTGAAACCAGTAATACGTATCTCCAGAAGCAGAGTGGAAAGTCACTATGACCTCATCTTTCAAATGTCTTCCTGATTATTTATCTTTTAAGTTCCATTAATTGTGCGTGTTTCAATATTACTTTTCTGCCCTGTTTATGACATATTAATGGAGGTATTTTAATAACTTTTAACTTGAGGTACTGAGGTGCATACTTCCAGGTGAAATGTATTCCCAGTTTTTCCTACGAGTAATATATTCTGTTTTCCCATATGCTTTTAGCTCACACATTCAAACCACACCAAATGAGTACACCCAGCTTAGGATTTACAAAGAGCTGTCAGTGCATCAGTAAAGTCTGTATTAACCTGGTTCACAGAAACCACAAGAAGATATCCTGCAGTTGTGTTTCTTAAGAAATTAGTTAACAATTTTCTTCAAATAAATACACGTTTAACAACATATTTTTTTTAGGAAAATCAATGGCCTTTAAAACTGGCAGGCTTTAAGAATCCCAATGCCCATTCTAAGTTCTTTAGGAAATAAATGTTAGTTGCTGACTAAATGTTGACAGTATAAAATTCATTCAAAGCTTGCTTAATCAGAAATCATTTTAAAGCATTTTATTGATAGCATTATTCAGTTTCTAATCAAGCTAGATGATATTGATGCCCTATCCATTTTTCCATTCATGTCAACCCAACTTTTAACTGCCTGAGATTGCAGGGAACCCTCTGCTGTTGCACATGGTGGTCTGGGAATGCCAGAGAATTAACATTACTTGGGAATAGTCATCAACTTTATATACTCCAGCATATTTTTCCCCTTGGAAGGGATAACTCTAATTCATGAAATCTATACTTATTCCCAGAGAAATAAGCTGCACTCACTCACAGTGGAAACTTGTTTGAAGATGAATCATTTATTAATTCTCTGCCTTGTTTTAATTCCCACATTTCTCTAAGTCTTTCCTAGAGTTACTTTCCAAATAAACCATTTAAGCTTGAATCCTTGTCTCAGTGACTATTCTGGGGAAAATCAATCTAAGCAGATACCAACCAGTGTTCTTAGTAAGCAGACCTTCAGAATGGGATTCCAGAACTGAATCATTTCCTAAATTACATACGGCAACAAAGACCCTATTTGTACCTGGGGGCACAGTCATCACTGGAGTCAAAAAACTCCTCAGATGCTATGGCAACACAATTGCTAAGATTTTCATCTGCAGTGATCAGAATAAAATACTGATTAATGGGGATGCACCTAGCATTTGAGAGACATGGGGACAACAGTAATCATAAAACTATGAGTTGGCTGGTTGTTGAATTTCACTGAAGAAAATGATAGCCTTATGTCAGCCAACTATCAACTAAGGCCAAAGTAAGAAAGCCAGAAAACCTGTGTGGCAACTAATTAAAAGATTCTCATTTCCCATTTTGGGAAGGTCAGCATGTGCTAGAAATTTGGCTCAGAATTTTCTTTTGAGAATCTCAGAATTATAAAGTACGCTGCATTCACAACCTTGGCAGCTTTCTATGCAAAAGTCAGAACATCAATAGGCAAGGAGAAGCACCCTTTGTACTAGGATGAGGACATCTAAGTGGACTTCAGAATATAAAATTCTGGATTCCCCTATACCCTCTGGACAGGCAAAAGTAACCTGTGACCCTTAGTTAGAGGGCAGTAGCTTCTGCGTTCCTAGAGACCATAAAAGATGATGCATACTTTCCTCATGATCTGATCCTATCTCATCTAATGGCTTTAGACAACAAAAAGGCCAAGTACCATTTGACCCAGCCATCCCATTACTGGGTATATACCCAAAGGAATATAAATCATGCTGCTATAAAGACACATGCACACGTATGTTTACTGCAGCACTACTCACAATAGCAAAGACTTGGAACCAACCGAAATGTCCAACAATGATAGACTGGATTAAGAAAACGTGGCACATATACACCATGGAATACTATGCAGCCATAAAAAATGATGAGTTCATGTCCTTTGTAGGGACATGGATGAAGATGGAAACCATCATTCTCAGCAAACTATCGCAAGGACAAAAAACCAAACACTGCATGTTCTCACTCATAGGTGGGAATTGAACAATGAGAACATTTGGACACAGGAAGGGGAACATCACACACCAGGTCCTGTTGTAGGGTGGGGGGAGGGGGGAGGGATAGCATTAGGAGATATACCTAATGCTAAATGACGAGTTAATGGGTGCAGCACACCAACATGGCACATGTATACATATGTAACAAACCTGCACATTGTGCCCATGTACCCTAGAAGTTAAAGTATAATAAATATGTGTGTGTGTGTATATATATATATATATAATTTTTTAAAAAAAGGAAAGAATCCCAAAAGGTTACATGACAATAAACCTACTCAAAAGTTAAAAAAAAAAAAAAAAAAAAAAGGCCAAGTATCAACACGGCCCACCTTGAAAAGTACAGTCTCTACTCCAAGAAAACAAAAGAAGATATTTAACAAAAGAGTTGCAGGATCTGCCTAATATGAACCAGAAGATACTGAGATAATATGCCAGGGAATGGATGTTTAGGGTTATTGAGGCAAAATATAACTGGCCATCAATATGTTGTGGAAAATAAGTAACCTACAATTAGAAAACTCATGGACTCCTATACAGTTATAAATGGCATGGCTGGTTGTCCAAAGTCCTAAAAGGATCAAGATTAGAAGATGTTCCTCATACATAGTTTTGGAGAAGCAACATGAGGATGGACCTATGGAGGTAGGCATGAAGCATAAAGATGTCTTTGTTTTGCATCAATGTGTGCTAGAGAACATTCGTCACAGAAAAGGCACTAAACAATTGGGTAGATAAGATGATCTGTCCACTGGAGATCATCCAGCTCTGTATGTGTCAACTGTACTGCTTGCAAAATAGGCCCATGAATGGAGGAGCTTGATAGTAGAGAGAGAGGATACACATGGGCCTAAAAGCTCCTCCAGTTTGATGCAACTACTGCCACTGGTAAATAACCAACCCACGGGAATAGTGTGATGCTGAGTCCTCATTATAGTACCACTTCTCAAAGAAAGCAACCAGCAACTCGATGTAAAAAATTATTATATTGCATTTTACCCCCTTGGAGAAGGGGTCAAATTTGTTTTTCCTATTATGGATACAAATTCCAGTTATGGGTTCCCCTTTCTTGTTCACAGATGAGGTGTCATCAAGTATCACTAATCCTCAGGTTCACAAATACTGACTGATTTATCGTGGGATACTGAATAACATCTCAAACTAAGCAACACATGTTATAGTACAGGGAGTCCAATAATAAGCACATGACCACAGGACTCACAGGGTCTACCATATGTTGCATCACTAGAGGCTGCCAGCCTGATAACATTGGGACAGTCTCCTCTAAAGGTACAACTAAGGCTCCAGCTTACAGATGAAAATCTGATTTGGGGATGTTGTCTTCAAAATGCGATATGTATTTTGAACCATGGTGCTATGTGCTGAAGCCAGCTTGTAACTGCTAATAATAATTTTTTAAAAATGGTTGAAATTTTCACGAAACTTAAAAGCCAGTTAACCTCACATTGGTAGCTTAAAATTGGTCATAGTGGGAATATTTGCATCATGAAAATTGGCAAATGCTACACATCAATTTTCTCCTCCACCCCCCTGGCTTTGCCCCTAAAAGGCAGAATGTATCAATATGAAAACCAAGGGGGTAAAGTAGGAAAGTCCCCTCTTACTATAATTAAAAGTGACCCACTTGGGAAAGGTGTACTTCTTGTCATTGAGACTTCAGGCTCCACTGAAATAAATGTTCTGCTTTCCAAGTGTGTATGTGTTGGGGGAAAGGGGCAGGTAATGCAGTGCTCCTATCAGGGTCCCAGAAAGAATTTAACTAAACCTAAATCTATAGCTACTATCTGAATATGCTTCAATTCTCATGCCAGTAGACCTACAAGAAAAAAAAAAAATAAGTGATGCTACTGGCAGGGTTCCAGTTGACAAGAGGAATATCATGGGTGTTGCTGCTACATAATGGTAAGAGGGAACTTGGGATTCGTTCAAGTATGTCTGTGGTTGGAGATAACTGTGAATGGACAACTGCAGAAACCACCATTTGAATGGGCACAGAAACCATGGATTCATAGGCCCCAGGAGGAGTAAGAGTCTGGTTCCTCCTATCAGGCAAGCCACCAGCACAGGAGTTGGCCAAGGCTGCAGGGAAATTAGGAAAGGTATTAGAGGAAAGAAAAGATGAGTATGAATTATGTCCTTGGTTCTAAATCTAGAAGTCCACCATCCTGATGTTCCATGTTTCTTTGTTTAAAGATTGTGACCAGTCTCCATCTTTAAGAATCATTGACTGGATAGACTGGATCCTGGGCCAGGCTTCTAACTACCAGCACCTACAACTTTTTGTTTCAGTACTCCCTCTTGTGCCCAGTCTGTTTTTCCCACACACAGGGAAGGCTGCTACCTAAAACCTCAGCTCCTTTGCATTTGGGGCAGGTTAACTCTGAAGTGAATATTACGTATGGCTTCCAGAATTCCTCAGAGAATTAAGTTCCTTTAAATTAAAGTAAGATTCTGTCATTGTTTCCTTCCATCCACTGCCTGACTTCTTTAAGTAGTAGTGTTTCCTGTGATCACCTCCCAAATACACTATTTATATTTGAATCTGCAAGTGAGATTCAGCTTCTCGAAGAAGTCAGAATAAGACATTCACCACATTGAATATCTGCTAGTTTTATATAAATTTCACCTAGATGTCAAATCTGCACTGGATTTAAGACTTTCTCTTTTGCTATGCCACAGATAGTATTTTTAAAGAACTATCCCAATGGTTTGTTATGAACTATATGTTTATATACAAATAAAGCCAAATAAGTATCTTTCCTGATGATCTTATTTGAGAGATCAAGTATTACATTCTACTTGTTTGCATTCTGTTGAAATACGTAGTGAGCTGACATACAGGGTCAGATAGATTGTAAAATCAGACTTAAATGAATCAGAGATCTTATGCAGTATCAAGTTTTAATAAATAATGTTGAGAATATGTTGAGAATATAGACAAGCTAAAGGACTTCTGAAGGTTCAGATGAAGTAGATAGAGGCCTCACACGGAGGAGGGCTTCCCAGCTCCTCCTTCCTGTGCTGAACACATTCTTCTTGCCCACATGAAGGGAAATCACAAAAAGAGTTTCACAGGGCTCCTTGTAAATTATAAAATACTTACAGTTTATTCCCCAGAGAATTATATCACCTGTGAGAGTGTTTTGCCAGGAACCTTGCCTTATAGGTATCGTGTTTTCCTATACCTACTCTTAGGCCGCGATACACCACTAAAAACATTTCAGGGATAAATTCTCTTCCTCCTAGTAAATATCAATAATCTAGCTACCTGGAGCTTCAGGTGAGAAGGGACTAAACAAAGTCTCCTGCCTTCTTCTTTCTAGTCTCCCTTGGTGAGTAAATCAATTTCAGACCAGCTACTTTAACTTCTTCCTCCCAAGTCATTTCAGAGACAGATCCATTTTTCAATACAAAATAACCCTTACCACAAATTCCTCGTCTTCACATCTCTATGAATATATTTACCTCAAGTGTAAATATATCTTCCAGAAAATGGCCATGAAATATTTTGCCTAAATTCTATGAATTAAAATGACACATGGTAACATTTGTTTGTCTTATTTCATTTGCTTCATAGTTCAGTACTTTCTAGCTATGAGTAGGAGGGTCTATGATGGTTCTGAGGAGACTTTAATAAGAGCACATTCAAATATCTATTGGTTTTTATGTTAACAAGAAAAACATACTATAAAAACATAATACATTATAGATATGTGTCCAAGATGAAATGAGGATGATAATGAATAGAAAATGCCATATAATCATACTGCCAAGTTGCTATTTTCTAGGAGTTTCAACGGTGTCCGTGAGTAAAGGGGCTCATATTACTTATTTAAGCTCTTCTGAGTGAAGGAGGATATGTGGAATGCTTTTTATTTATAGTCATTACTTCAATTACTTTAACCAGGGATAAATTCTTAGAAACTCAAAAAGGCTCCTGGCATAGAATTATAAGAAGATCCACGCGGCACTATTCACAATAGCAAAGACTTGGAACCAACCCAGATGTCCAACAATGATAGACTGGATTAAGAAAATGTGGCACATATACACCATGGAATACTATGCAGCCATAAAAAATGATGAGTTCATGTCCTTTGTAGGGACATGGATGAAGCTGGAAACCATCATTCTCAGCAAACTATCGCAAGGACAAAAAACCAAACACCGCATGTTCTCACTCATAGGTGGGAATTGAACAATGAGATCACATGGACACAGGAAGGGGAACATCACACACCAGGGCCTGTTGTGGGGTGGGGGGAGGGGGGAGGGATAGCATTAGGAGATATACCTAATGCTAAATGACGAGTTAATAGGTGCAGCACAGCAACATGGCACATGTATAAATATGTAACAAACCTGCACGTTGTGCACATGTACCCTAAAACTTAAATTATATATATGTATTATATATATATAATATATATATATAATATATATATATTATATATATATTATATATATAATATATATATAATATATATATATAATATGTATAAAAAACCTTAAAAAAAGAATTATAAGAAGATCAGTCGCTAAAATAGGACAGGTCAGTAAGATAGTCTTGCAATATATCAAAAATGTCTCAGCCTCTATAAGATAAAAGTATAAAGTACCTAAAGTCAGGAGAAGATAGAAATTGCAAATTTAATTCAGGAAAATGCAGTCATCTTATACTTACTGAAGCTACATTCACGAAATCATCATCTGAGAGGGTTTCTAACATTTCGGAGACAGATGTTCGGATCAGTTTAAGTGTCAATCCACTAACACTTCCACTCCTAGAAATAGACAAATGGGTCCATACATGTTACTCATCATGTATTTAATCAAGAACATCATAAGGAAAGATAATGTATGCACTGACCCTAGATCTTTTATATATTATTTAAATAATAATTTTGCCCTTGAAAATCAGTTTAAAAAGTTACATTTTTTGATAGAAGTGGAAATTATAAGAAATCCTGCCTTTTTTTCCTCCCAATATCAGTATGTGTACATTTCTAACTGAAATTATCAAAATTACATGTTAAGTGACAATTAAAAAAAAATATGGATACTGATGGTATAGTCACTCATTCGGTTCTGTTAGCCAAGTTAGAAGAGAGGAGTAGAGAGATTAATAGACATAGTCATTGCTCCAGGGAACCCATTGTTTGACTTGATTAAAACAATAATTATAAATCCACATAACAATTATGATAACAGATTTGCAAGAAAATGCCTTGTTCTGCATCCTAAAGTAAATATCCTCTAGAATTTATTCTTCATTTTTCTTTCCTCTACATATTCTACAATACTTGGTGACTTCACCTATGTGCAGGGCTGGCTCAACTCTAGGCAACTAACCCCCACTTCTACATCTCTAGCTCCCAACACTTTCCTGGTTTTATCCTTCGAGCTGCCTGCTGAACCACTACGACTGAATGTCCAAAATGACACATTACTTCCAAACATATTTTTCATTCCTATTTATGTTCTTGGTACCAAAGAGTCTATGTCTCAGCCATCCAATTTGTTCTTCCCTCTCAACCTTCCTGTGCATTCAGGCAAAATCCCTTATTCATTCCACTTAAGTGTTCCAAGGCTATGGTCCCCTCTCCATCCTCACTCCTCTCTGGCTCAGTCTTCATTATACGAAGATGCTGAGCTACAGTAATAGCCAGTCAACCCAGCAATTAGTCTCCTTCACATGCTAACAGGTGAAAGTTCTAGAAACACATCCTGACCTAATATTTTTAACAGCTCATAGATACCGACTAAATAGCCAGAAATCTCAATAGCCCTGTATTCCAATCCTTTCATTTTGGCATTTTCTCTCTCTCCTCCCTGTAACCACCCAACAGGTTCTTCCTGCCCGCTGCACTAACAAAGACCATGGCATTGCAGTAAAGAAAGAGTTTAATTGATGCCGGGCCAGTCATGCCAGACAGGAGATGGTGTTATTACTCAAATCAATCTCATCAAAGGCTCGGAGGGAGATTAGGGATTTTTCAAAGACAGTTTGATGGGCAGGGGACTAGGATATCAGTGCTGCTAACTGGTTGAAGATGAAATCACAGGGGTGTGGAAAATGGCCCTCTTGTGCTGAGCCCACTTTTGGGTGGGGAGCACAGGATTGGTTGAGGCACAGGTCCCCGTGGGACCATCTGCTAGAAATGCAAAAGCCTGAAAAGATATCTCAAAAGCCCCATCTGAGGTTCTAGAATAGTGATGTTATTTACAGGAATAATAGGGGAAGTTGCAAATCTTGTGACCTCCAGAATAATGGCTAGTAATTATTTAACTACATCTACATCTTAGTAGAATTCAAGTTTCTCTTATCCTATAATTTGGTAGCCTTTCATTAGTTTTATAAGGGCAGTTTCGTTTTAGGGAAGGGCTATTATCATTTAAACTATAAACTAAATTTCTCCCAAAGTTATCTTGGCCCACACCCAGGAATGAGCAGCCAATCAGCCTGTGAAGCTAGAAACAAGATAGAGGCAACCATGTCAGATTTGTCTCACTGTCAAAATTTTGCAAAGGCATTTTCAATCCTCTACCTCCTCCATAAATGTCCCCAGACTTACCTGTGCAGCTTCACTTCTGGCAATTCTTCCACCTGAAATTCCACTGTCTTTCCTCTCCCCTCCCATGCTTGCCTTTGAAAATATGAGCCATGAGGATTCAATCCCAATTTTATCTCCTTAATGCTTTCCTGATACATTAAATCAAGTTGCTATCTCTTATGTATTCCTTTAGTGCTATGTCATACTTTATATCTATTAATTTCTACAATTATTTTTGTTATTTGTTAAGGTCTAGTTTACCTAATACATTTGAATTATCTTTGAGATCAGGTACTATGTCTTTTTTTTTTTTTAATATACTTTAAGTTTTAGGGTACATGTGCACAACGTGCAGGTTTGTTACATACGTATACATGTGCCATGTTGGTGTGTTGCACCCAGTAACTTGTCATTTACATTAGGTATATCTCCTTTTTTTTTTTTTTTTTTTTTTTTTTTTTTGAGACAAGCTCTTGCTCTGTTGCCCAGGCTGGAGTGCAGGGTATGAACACAACTCACTGTAGCCCCCATCTCCTGGCCTCAGGCATCCTCCCACCTCAGCCTCCAAAATGTAGCTGGAATTACAGGTGTGTGCCACCATGCCCAGCTGGTTTTTCTTTTGTATTTGTTGTAGAAATGAGATATTGCTTTGTTGCTCAGGCTGGTCTCAAACTCCTCGGCTTAAGCCATCCACCTGCCTTAGCCTCCCAAGTGATGGGATCACAGGTGTGAGTAACCACGTCTGGTCTCAGTAACTATGTCTTAATCATCTTTGTTTCTATGTTACTACACTGTGTGTAGGAAGACCTCAATACATTTCTGTTGAAAGAATTTTTGAAAATAGTATTTAAATTTCATATACACTTTCAAGTTTGGGATATAAATTTGGCTTCTATAGATTTTGAAATGACATTATTTCTGGATATTATTATACATCCAACAGGATTATAATATATTGCATTAATATATTGATTTATACTTAAGAAGAATATCAAGGATTAGCATATAAGATCCATAATTTAATTAAAGTAACATGAGGCTTAAATGCATCTTAAGAAATAAAATAAGAATTAACATTTAAATTACATTTGTTGAATTCATTTATCTTCTCTTTCTCAGACTGGGTTATGAGGGTTTGGACAACTAAATTAAATTGGTTTACTTGAGCTTAAAATGGGGAAAATTCAAATGTTAATACTTGCCTGTGGGATTTAGCTGTCCCCAAATTACTAGATTTTGTTTCTTCCAATGAGACAAAGATTTTTTTTTTTTTTTCCTCAGGGAAAAACATGAGCATTTCTTCTCTTGAGGAAAAACATGAGTAACCTAAGCATTTTACACTTCATGTTTATTTTAATTCCTTGATTATTGCTCTTTAAAAAAGTAAATCTCCATAGCAGGATATAATCTTTTCAATTTCTACATCTTCAACCTTATTAGAAAACATGTACACTTGCAAACATACACATATATCTTGAATTGAAGCACTATAACAAAGAGACCAACATAAAAACTCAAGGAATTATTTTTTGTATATCACCATTTCACTTTTAAAAGTCCCAGATTTTTTTTTTTTTCTTTTCTGAGACATTGTCTCTTCACCCAGGCTGGAATACAGCGGCAGGAACATGGTTCACTGTAACCTTGATCTCCTGGGCTCAAGCAATCCTCCCACCTTAGCCTCCCAAGTAGCTGGAACTACAGGTGTGAAGCTACCATGCCCGAACAAGTTCCAACATTAACTTATTTAATATATTTCATATTTAACATTATATGATATGTAATATTAATATATGAATATCCATATAGATTCTCTTCATGTTTAATTAAATAATTTGTTTTATTATTGTCTTGATATGGCTTCATTGCCTGAATATAAAAGTCATCATAATTTTTCTTTGTTTCTTTTTTAACCTATCAAACCTTTCTTAGTCCCACCATACTACTGTTATCTACAAATCCTCCCATATTCTCAATATATAAATAAGTAGTATTTAACAACTCACACATCCACCAGAATAAGCATGTCTTTAGGAGATGCAGCTCCTTGGATGTACCTGAAACAAATATTGTAATAAATGCTTTTCTCTTCCAAAATATCAAACACTGATATTTGTTGAATTGATATTTACTGACTCTGAGACAAGGTTTTTTTCCCCAAGCAAAGACCCACTTCTATCTAAGTAGACAATGGTTTTCCATTCATATTCTTCAATGTCAGTTTGATAAAAGCAATATCCAATATAACAATAGAGATGTCAGAAGCATAATATTTAACATTTTTTGATATTTATAACAGAAGATGAAGAAACATATTTTAACTTTGAGAAGAACATTTTTCCTGGAAAAACAATTATCTAAACTCCAATTGTTGACCACAGGTTTAAAAGTCACTTTAATGAAAAATAGACTATCATATTTTTAAATGTAAAAAATAAGCACAAAAAATAGATAAGTTGCTTAGGAACATCAAAAAGCAATATCAACAAAAAAGAAATATAACTGGCCAATAAAGAGATTAAAATTAGGCAATATGTGATGTTATTACCAAGAACTTCAATGGCTCTCAAACTTTACAGTGTTTAAGAATCACCTGGGGAATCAGTTCAGAATATTAATTTCCAAATTCAACCCCGTGGAATCAGAATCTCTGCATTTTAAAGAGACTCTAGAAGAGATTTATGCAGATGGTTCAGTGGTTGTGGAGAGAGATCATCTTGATTGTGTATGACTGACCCAAAAGCTCACTCACGTTGCCTGGCCACCGACTGGAATGGGGCCTGACTTCTCCGACAGGAAGGGCTGCACCTGACATCAATTTTTTTACTTATTTCTGAAGCCATCACTGTAAATGTAACTTCTCAGGAGGCTGCCAGTTAACTTTCCAATTAGTTTTCAGACAACATACAGCACAATTAGTTCTATGTGTTGAGGAAGCAGTTGGAGTTTGTAACCTGCACCCTTGCTTGATAAGAAGGTAAAGTGGCAGAGTGGCAGGTGAATTTTCATGGACAGCAAACCTGGCTGATGCCTAGTATCTTAATGCTGGTCCAGGTATGCCACTCAGTGGGAAGATAAGAGAAGACAGGACATGTCTGCCTCTACTGATTGGCACCCAGCTTCTAAGTCTCCTCCAAAACAACCAATTCCTGAATTAAAACAAGACTATATATTAGTTTTTAGCTCCACTCAACAGCCCCATGGCTCCACAGGAAGAATATGTAAATTAGTAATAATTGTCACTATTAAACATGGTTGGTGTAGACATAAATTGCTACTGGGATATTTAAAAGGACATCTAAAAGCCTCTAAATACAAGTCTTTGGAATCAAACATTATGCTCTTGCAATTTGTCTGAAGCCTAGAAAAAAGTTAGAAATAACCTAAACGTCCAATAATAAGGGATTTCATAAATAAGTTTCCATATAGTCTTCATTCAAATGATGGTATGTGTCTTTTCTCATGAATATGTACTCAAAAGTTATTGATATGAAAAGTGTGGGATACAAAGCACTTATACTGTATATGTGAACTCATTTCTTAAAATTCACACATTAAATACATTTTTAAAAAGCAAATAAATACAATTAATAGTTTTAAAAAACCCAAAAATAGTTGTTTTCCAGTAAGTCCAATTACAAATTATTGGTATTTTTCCAGTTTTATGTTAGGAGAACAAGTTGCTTCAGTAGTGAGGAACAAATAAGTCTTCATTTTGGAAAAAAAATTAAACCTAAGCTATATGAATATAACTAGGGGCAGCTTTTACCTTGGGGCCAATTCTCATTAGTTCACTGCCAGAGGCAAATTATCTCCTACTCTATCTCATCTCTCTGTTGGAGCTCTACTCCAAGCAAACTGGATCCCTGCCATAGAAATCCATACCAGCTAAGAGGTGTAGTACTGAGATTAAATATAAAACTTAAAGTAGTCCATTTGAAATGAATGTGATAAATGGGTTCACCTATATTAATTAGCATTACCCACTTGAACTCATCATTTTCATTTACCTTTACCTATATTTACTTATTTTTAAAAATCAGATCACTTTCAATAAGTAGTTAATACTCATCCTAATAATAAAAAATTCTGACTTTTTAGCAAATATATATCTTCTTGCCTATTTTATCTTTTCATGGCTAGCTAAAAATTCTTACCATGGTCTTCTGCGTACATCATAAAGGTCAATCTTATTTGGAGTTCTACTATTATCAACCCATGGTGAAGCTAAAAAAAAAAAAAAAAGAGAGATATTAAATCAAAATATTAGATATGCTCTAAAAATAATGAGACTTTAAAAATCACAAAAAGCAATAGATACATAATTTCACTTACGTACTTCAATGTTCAAATGAGAGATATCATTTTTAAGCCCTTATATTGCTTTAACATGGAAAACAACACGGCAGTACAAAAAGGAAATCAATGATAGTCGATTCTCTTTTTACGAGTTATTTCAGAAATAAATTTACACATACAGTTTTTCCGGGTGCTAACTTAATATGTTTTAGTAGGTGTCCAGAGGTTATAATTTTTTTCCTAACAGAAAATTTATGTGCCACTAATGAAAATTGTGCTTTCAATTATTTCCTCCTTATATTTTCGTTCAATGCCATATTCTCTTGGTCTATATAAGACAGCTGTTTTTCTTGGGTTTTTATGTAATAGCATAATTTTACTCAGTCCATGGTAAAATAACTAAAAGGTCAGCTATAATTAAAACAACTCCATAGAAAGCTGTTTTCTTTAAATTTATTGTAATGATGTGAAGTAATTCAAGCGCAGATTCAACAATCTTGTATGACTTTCACAGCCTTTATCTTTTTGCAATAATCAGAAATAACTTCATCTAATTGTATTGATTTTTAAATGCAATTAATTTAAATCTATTCTAATTAAATTGATACTTACTTTAATTAAAATGCTTTACAAAGCTTTACATGCATGCACACCTTAGACCTAATGAAAAAAATAAATGCTGATGAATTGGATGATAATTTCATGCTGAAGTAGTCCCCGTACTTGGACATGTTTAAACATATGACTCCTGGGCAAATGCCTAGTTCATATGACTTACGTTCCCCAATCAATTTCGCTTTTCTGAGAAACTGTGGAAATTATGAAGAACTTTACTGAGAGTCAGGTTTATTAGCCAACTAAGATAATTTGGCCAATTAGGATATGTCAAAAACTATATACAATGAAACTCTTCCTTGACTGTGAAATTTTTTTCTTATTAGTAGCTATATTAAAAAATGATTTATTTGTTCTAAATGACTAATCATATTTACAAAGAATAGTAAGCTTAAATATAGCACTCTTCCAACCATTATTGACACAATCAATGTAACTGAAATGGTGAGTTTACTGCAATTTGTTCAATTTGCACTTGCAGAAAGTGAGAGTCTGCGATGTAAAATAATCCTTTTTGTGTGTATGTGTGTGGTAGCACTAGAATTAAGTAACAAGCATGCTGATACACACATCAGTTCACTTTCATTATCCCTCTATGATATCTGACTCTCCAAGATAGGGTCTTAGTAATACCTAAAATTTTATAGAAATTGTATCCTACTTTCAGTACCATGCTATGCTGATAATACATTTCCTGCCACTCAACTCCAAATGCATCCTTCTACCTTGCCCTATGAAAATGGATCTGGGCCCTTTCAATACTTTTCCTTTATCAGATGGCACAATTTCAAGGTTTGCCTGCAAATGATGCAAGACAGACACTGAATGAGAAAAAGGATTTTTCTTCCTTGTTCTGGTTTGTTTGCTCACAGGCTCTTGCAGCATGTGCTGCTGTCTGGTGTCTGTCTCCTGCACTGTCTGTATATTCTCCAGAGCTCAGCTCCTACAGTGTTGCAGTTTCCCCAGATTGCCCACTTCCAGCAACATGGCCAGCTTCACCAGGCTCAGGCTCTAATTTTGTCACCTGTACCCCTCCAGCCCCGCCCCCTGCCCCAGATATTTTTGTAGAGGAGAGCTTACAAGGAAAGACCTGGAACCTCAGAGGGTAAATTTCCAGCAAATCCTATCAGTGTGGCATAACAGTGACTTCTCCACCTTGGTGGGCCATGACCATGGCCTCTACAAGATGTTAACCTCAGCCCAGGGGAACTGGGGGATTAGGACCTCTGCCTTGGGCACTCTATCTCAACCCTAGAGGCAGTTGTTATTACACATTATATAATATTATATCGGATATTCATAAATCCTTTAGAGTTCTCTGTACTTCTAGCCAATCCCTCATTACTCCAATCCCTACTGTAGATAATTTTTTATTGAAAAATAAATTTTCCTTGTTCAAAATGCTGTATTTTTTCTCTCTTCTGATTGAACCCAGACTGACACAAAGGTAGATGAGAGAAGTGATTAGTTACCACTGCCAATATGACAGCAGCAATCCTGAGTTAAAAGTGGTCTGCAACGAATCTGATAAACAACTTAAAGAAATTGGAATTTGAAAGTTATGTTTCAATTAGATTTTTGAATTGTTTACCGATCACATTCATCTAGGATTTCTGTTGTCACTACCATTGCTAATTGAAATTAACTGTGATATATATTACTATATTCCATAAAATGTATATCTTTAAGGAAAGAAAAAAGTTAAAAGGCTATAATTTACAGTATGAGCCAGACTATTACATTTTAATATTGTTTATAACCTTAGGTGGTTTATATTTCAAAATATTAATAATCTTCTCTTAGAGGCTTTCTGAGATATTTACTCTTAGGTAGTATCCCTTGATTAAACCAAATTAAGATATTAATGTTATGGTAAAATTGAACAACATAATTTCTTCTGTGATATTACTAATTCCCTTGTTGTAAAATCCCATCATGTCATTTAAATAGTTCATTCCTTATATAGGCTCAGAATTATGAAAGATCAAAGAGTAAAAAGGCTAATAACCATACAAGTTAATTCCCTGAAATAATCAGTTTCATAACCATGCACAGTGAAAGCTGCATGTTTAGAAAGGGAAAGAGAACTTCCAAAATTCCTGTAAAAAGTGAAATGTTGCTCAGTTTAGATGACTTTTTAGTGTTTCAGGAAGATTTGGGGATGGGCAGAAAAGAGAACTGAAAATGACAGTTCACAATGTAGACGTCTCTTTTTTGAATGTCATCATTAAAGGTGATAACAATGATTTACAGGAATGTTTTCCCCTGATCAAAAATGAACTGTTAGTGTGTCCTTTACTAAATCTACTGGTCTACCATTTACTTCACCTGATACATAGGATGTGTTACGGGTGTTATCAAATTGTTGATTTAAGCAGGTATTTACTTGTGCATTAACTCAGAATACTGATATACGTAATAGGAAAATATTCTTGAGAAAGTACGCAGATTTTAGTGCCATTTTCTGGTTAACATGGTCTAAAAATAATAGCGAAGTACCCCTTTTTTTTTTATTTCAGCTGCTAGGAAAGAATAAAGCAAATAATGATGCATTGAGGACTGATTCTCTCGGTAGAAACATCAAATGACAGCTAATTGCATTTCCCAATTAAAAAGTTCAAATGTATTTTTTCTAATCCTAAAAACTTCACAGTCTTAGTCTCATGATAATTTTAAAAAGTAAATTTCATATACTCAACAATGCCTTTAAAAGTCACTCCTGGTCCTTTGCCTAGATCTAATTGGTGGACCATTATTTTCGGTTTGTCTCAATCATCTCCTATAGAGTATTAGTCATGGCTCTGAACTGCAAGCCAAGATAATCAATTGGGACTATTTTCAAGCCCAAATTATTTCACTAAATGTGTACTGCATAGCTCACAAAATTTCCATAAATTTCAGTGTTGCTCAATTACTATCATCCCAGAATGGATCCTCCACAGTCCCTAATTTGCACCATGGCTCCAATAACCAAGTTCAGGGTAGATGACTGTCATTAGAAGAATGTGGATTATACCCACACAAAGGTGCCAAAAAATCTAGGAAAGCAAATAGCTGGCCTTTTCAGATTTTGAGTTATCTGCTCCCGAATAAAACTTTTAACCTGGGAAATACTTGACATACAGGAACAAGATTCTATGTTACCCATGGTGGCACAAATGCCTTAATGAAAAATCTGAAATCTTTTGTATCTTAGTATAGTAAAGTACTTCTAACTCAAATAACAGGCTAAGTTGCGCAGGGTGTGGAGAGTGGTAGTGCATGGATAGATTCTGCTCCAGGCAGTTATGCAGTCTTAAAGCTGGGAGATCTTTTGCCTCCTTCAGCACTTGGATTCCAAGGGCATCCAGGACATTGGGCTTGCAGCTGCTAGATGGAGGGAGGAAGTGTGGAGAAAGCAGTCTCAAGTCCTAAAAGTCTCAGGCTGGAAGTGACACATATTACTTTCACTCATTCTCTATTGGTATGAACTTGTCATATGGTCCTACAGAGACAAAAAGGTGGGAGAAATGTAGTCCCTGGCTAGGGAGTCTTATTTAAAAGAAAATTTCCCAATGGAATGGGAAGACAGAACTTTGGTGGACAGCTAGCAACCTTGGTCACAGGTACAAATGGACAATTTAAAAATGAGTAATATCCAGTACCTATTTGAACATCAAATTTTCTGTACTCAGCAATGTCTTCAAGTAATCCACCACAGAGATGACGGAGATGAGGATAAGCTAAATTTAGAATCTAACAAATAAATAAAACATACCAGTATTAAGAATTATTTCTAGACTAAATTTTAGGACTGAAGTGGCTTGCACAAGAAATTTACTGATGAAAAGAACAACAACTAGAAGTCATCTGGGCATTGTTGTTGATGTTGTGTTACTAACGAAACCACAAACCTGATCTGCGGCAATGCTGTAGTTGAACCCTAAAGCAACTTTTGGGCTCTAAACCTGCACCAGTAACAGCAAGCAATAAAAGCTGTTTAGCCTCAAGCACACCCCTGCAGATGTGCCAGAAAGTGTTTTAGACAAGATAGTTAATCCTAGAGAATACTACCAGAAACAGTGAGATGAGCTAACCAAGAAACGTAGCTTTATGCAAAAGAAGGATATCTTTGTATTTCTTGCCTGATAGAATGAGATAGGGTGAATGGGTCAGTGATTGTTCTGTATTTCTCACTCTCATTTTGCAGATGGGAGTTTTTATCGTAGTTACCCAGCAGACATGACCAATGAATATTATATATTTGGGCAGCAATGGGAATAGGGTAGAGAAAATAACTGGCATAATTCTGTATTATAGGTAGTCAAATGAGGAAACATCCTACCTGATGGAGAGAACTGCGTGTGACCCAGAGATCCTGGATTTTATTCATTTGTTGAGACTTTGAATCATCTATGGGGAGGAGCTGAATATGTTCTACACGTGGAAAAAAATGGTATGCACAGATACTTGAAATGCCAGAAGAATGGCCTGTAACAGGGCTTCAATATGCATTTCCTCCTCCTTCCTTCTAGTAAGAGTCCTCAAGACTGCCCTGCCAGAAACTATACTTTTCAGTTTCTCCTGTCATGATGTAGCCATGTGATCAAATTCTAGTAGATAGGATGTGAGCAAAAGTGATATATGCATGACTCTTCAATCACTCTTGTTGCCTTCTACTAATTTTCCTGTCTTCTTTTGGCCTCAAAAGTTTTACGGTGGTATTGAGCCCATTTTAATCAGACAGATGAGGACAACAACCTAAGGAATGGCAGATAGCTGAAACCTCAGTTGCTGGACAACATCATGGACCAGGGTTACCCTAAGCACTGATTTACCTATTCGGTAGGAATTTTTCCTCCGAGTATTTTTTAAATGTTTCCTTTGTTATATATTATTAAGTAATTGAATCAGTACCTTGATACAGGTCAGGACTTTTCTCAATCATGCCAACATGGGTCAAGCATTAAAGCTTTGAGAATGCAAAGGAGGCAAAACCTTCATGTGGTGTCTTGAATAACTGATGGAGTACAATTGGAATGTTCATAATACAAAGAGATGATGAACACTTGAGGTGATGAATACCCCACTCACCCTTATGTGATTATTAGACATTATATGCTTGTATCAAAATTATATACCTGCTATGTGCCCATAAAAATTAAAAATAAAAGTAAAAAACTTTTTAAAAGTCTGCTTCACTGTATTGCTCTCATTCCCATGTATTTTTAGGAGAGTATTATTTTGTCCCCAGGAAACTGCTTATTGCTATATAAGACTTCTAGTGAGTCCCAAATACATGGTCCCAAGTAATCAGTTACTTTTGAAAAATAACAATCATTCCCAGATGAAATTTTCAAATGCTGAATGTCTAAAGCTTTATGGCTTAGAACCATCAAGGAGATTCACAAGCAGAAGACAAGACAGGAAAGCAAGCATTCCAGGTGAGTAAATATTAATATGAAGAGTCCATTCTGTTGTCATTTTGAAATTGTCTTCCCTGGTTGGACCTAGCCTAGTGTAGAAATTAAAATCATGAATTTGGGAACCAGCCTACCTGGATTTTTCACTGGGTGCATGAATTTGGATAAATTAACTTTTTTTTCAGTAAAATGGGACTAATAATGCCACTTACTAGGATTACAGCTAAGACTTAATGAATTTTACACATAAACACTTAGAACCATAGTTGGCACAAAATAAGCACTCCATTTACAGATACCTGAAACAGTACCACTGAGTCACTGGAACTATAGATTATAGATATTTAAAAATAGATTTTTATAAGATATGCTTAGATGTTAACCACTTAACATGTTCCTGTGACTGGGGCTTGAACATGATACTATTTTCCCATCCCATTCCACCTCCCTGATGCAGGCTGGTGTTACACAGTCAATAAAACTTTCTAGGAATCTAAAAACTGACTTCATGATATTATCCTCAGAAACCTCATGGAGAATACTGACATAGATGAGAGGACAGGATGGGCAAGATGTGCAGACAGGGACCTAGAAAACAGTAACTCTATGTTCCTTAACATTCTCCAACTGCTTGTTCTCCTTGTTTCATTTTTATTTAGAAACTGATCCTCTAAAATTCTACTCTAAAACTCTCTTTCAGTTCTAGTACTTATGATCTTGACTTGTTTATCCAGCTTAAAAAAATACCTATTATACACTATATGCACAGAACTGTGTTAGGTGATACGAGGCATACAAATATGTAATTAACTATTTCTCACTGCATAGATTGAAATGGTTTTTAAAATGGCATATGCAAAATAAATTCTGGAAGAAGGTAAAATTCACTATCTATTGTAATATACATAAAAACAAAATTATCTGTGAGAACAAAATAAAGAAAGATTGCTTTGGGGGCAAGTCTTCATATGTTGGTATTTTATTTATTTTATTTTAATTTTTTTGAGATGGAGTTTCACTGTTGTTGCCCAGGCGTGAGTGCAATGGTGCAACCTTGGCTCATTTGAACCTCTGCCTCCTGGGTTCAAGTGATTCTCCTGCCTCAGCCTACCGAGTAGCTGGGATTACAGGTGCCCACAACCACACCCGGCTAATTTTTGTATTTTTATTAGATACGGGGTTTCATCATGTTGACCAGGCTGGTCTCGAACTCCTGACCTCAGGTGATCCGCCTGCCTCGGCCTCCCAAAATGCTTTGATTACAGGCGTCAGCCCTCACTCTCGGCCTGCATTTTATTTTGAATGAATGATAAGATGCACACAACCAGAGATGGGCTCTAGGAACTAGGCACATAGAGACACGAACACAAAAAGGCAGATTTGTAGAATTGAAAATAAAACAAAAAAATTAAAAGTGGAGAAAATATAATACAGGGGTAAACAATGAAGTTTGAACTGTACATTAAGAGATAAAACTGGAAACGTAGATTGAGTTAGAATCTTTGGATGGTCTGAATGTCATGGTAAGAGAGCCAGATGCCATTAACTAGACAATGCCAGCTTGTATAATTCACCAGACAGCTGATAATCTAACTCTACCCCACATCACTTTTATTACTTTTTTATTTTTTGAGATGGAGTCTCAGTCTGTTGCCTAGGCTTGAGTGCAGTGGTACGATCTAGGCTCACTGCAACCTTTTCTTCCCAGGTTGAAAGCAATTCTCCTGCCTCAGCCTCCTGAGGAGCTGGGATTACAGGTGCCCGCCATTACGCCTGGCTAATTTTTGTATTTTTAGTAGAGATGAGGTTGCACTATGTTGGCCAGGCTGGTCTTGAACTTCTGACCTCAGATGATCCTCCCTCCTTGGCCTCCTAAACTGCTGGGATTACAGGCATGAGCCACTGTGCCTGGCCCTCCACATCATTTTGAAATAATTTTACTAGCACTTTGTTTGCATTATATTTTAATGTGTTTACAAGTTTTCCTTTTCATCCACCTGTGAACTCCTCTAGAGAAAAATCTTCTCTTACTGGTATTAGAATCCTCAGGATATCTCAGTTTCTTCAGAAACAGAAGTTCTGCCTTGTTCTTATCAGTCTTTCCTCCTTCGTCCAGACTTAATTACACTGATCTAATCAAATAATTTTGAATTTTAATTTTGTTTCTGGGCAGTGAGTCTCGGTATTTAGGATATTCAGATCATATCACTATATTGGTTGGAGAGTGACTTTGATATTTCCACTGTAATATTTCCAGAATTTTTTTTTAATTAAGTTCTGGGGTACTTGTGCACAATGTGCAGGTTTGTTACATAGGTACACATGTGCCACGTTGGTCTGCTACACCCATCAACCCGTCATCTACATTAGGTATTTTTCCTCATGCTATCCCTCCCCTAGTCCTCCATCCCCTGACAGACCCCAGTGTGTGATGTTCCCCTCCCTGTGTCCATGTGTCCTCATTGTTCAACTCCCACTTATGAGTGAGAACATGTGGTGTTTGGTTTTCTCTATTTCCAGAAGTTTTCTCAAACTTCTTATAAACAATAGGCAGAAACCCATACACAGATACATGGTATTACAGCTGAGGATAAATCACCATAATTAAAAAAAAAAAAACCCTTATTACAAAGTGGATTACTGGTAATACTGAAGATGCCAGATAACACACTTAAAGCATTTTTATTTAAAGGGGTATCTGTCTGTCAGCAGGAGTAGCAGTCAACAGGGAAAAGTCGGGTAGTTAAATGAAATACTCAATAAAGTAAATGGTACACAAACATTTAATCCTTTAGATGTCCCATAATGCAGTCATTAAGTGACTTGGAAATAAGCGTGAGCACAGTAAGTTCTATGAGGCAAGTGTTGGGGAGGATTTACTGGGAAATGATGTTAGATATGTGCTACACAGACAAAAACGTGAAGTCTGACAGAGAAACATGTTTCTTATTTTTGTAAGCAAATAAATTCAATTAGATGACAATAATGACATTGCTAAAAACATAAAACAAACTATGATTCTACAGGAACAAGTTTCCTAGTTCTGTAAGTGAAAATCTTAGATGATGGTGATAGTGATAGATTTCTTTAAAAGTTTATATTTAGCATATCTGAGAAAGTGCTTGAAACATCTGAGTTTTTGACAAAAAAATCTTTTTAATTTTTCATAATCAAGTATACTGAACATAAATGAATTACACAGCAAAGATGTTCTATGCATCTAAAAATGAATGGCATAAGTACAGAAATTTGGTAACACAGAAAGAAAAAAGAAACAGATTGAGAGATATATCTTAGAAGTTGAAAACAGCTAAATTTTTTTAGCAATACTTATTTACATATTTTGCATATAATGTTATCCCCATTCAAATTACAAATGGCTCTCATTTTCATATTACCAACCTGTTTACCTACTCTAACCTGTGAGCAATAAAATCAATCATTTAGTCAGTTTAGGTATGACTGCATCCTTGGTTGACCATAAGGTGAACAATTATTACGACCATTATCTGTGAAAAATAAGACAGATTCAGGTAAGAGATAAGGTTATACAAAATGCAACAAAAATGCTACAGAATTGCCTTCATAATCATGATGAAATCAGAATTTTAAAACAGTATGTCATCCTTTTGTGTATGTGTAAAATGCATCCCCACACAACACAATTGATGGATAGTATACAGCAAAGAAAACCACGTAATATGAAACCAGTGCTTGAGCGTAAACAGAGCTATTTGTACCCTCTTGTCAACACCTCAAACTTTACTGTTCTAAGTTAAACTCATCACTTTTCTCCCAAAATAAGAACTTTTGATTTTTAATTTTGGTAAACAGCTTTGATATTCTCATCCATTCAACTTAAAAAATGATACTCAACTGACACTCTACATCAGTCATTAAATTCATGTTTTTAAAAAATAAAGTCTGATATCATCATTTCTATTTAAGAATTAATTCCTATTTGATCCCTTTTTCAGATCTTTAAAATTCCACATCTGACCATTAAAATAGCATATCTTCTGGTCAAGCTTCCCCAAGTCTTTCTCCTTCTAATCATAATATTAAGTGCTTTAATCATTGCATTACAGTGCCCAAAATGTTTGTGGTACTTTGCCTACACATTAAATCCCAAACCATTCTGACATTCAAGGCGACATATTCTACCATTAATAAACCTTTTGATTCAATATTACTTTTTCTATAACAAACTATTGGATTAACTGACCTCACTAGTCTCCAGCAGTGGTTATTCATCTCCTTATATTTTTATTTTATGCCATTCTTCCCTCCAGAAACATTTTGCCTTCTCTTCTTCATTGACTTGGTTTTCAATCCAAAGTTCATAAACCTCTTATATGACTCTAATCCATAATTACCTCTTCTTTTTCAAAATTTCTATAGCAAATCTATTGCTATTCTATTTAAGTGACTTGGCATTTAGTCATTTAATAATTTGTATTGCAATCTAAATTTAAGATGTATTTAATTTAGATGTATAAGTTGACTACCTAATTAAATTTAAATTTTCTAAAAGGCAGAAACAACTTGTTATTTTAAAACACAAATGTCCATATAGTAACCATAGCAGAGATGCTTTTTGTTCCCCAATATCTGTTTTCCTTTTCTTACTTAGTACAGCCCCCTGCCATTTAGCTGGATATATGGCCATTTTGAAGGTAACTATGACCAAGAGACCACTAAATTCTGGCCAGAAACAAATGAAAGAAAATGCTTTATGTGATTTCCGGGAAGTTCCCTTAAAAAGGGGGCAAAGAAGAATACCATTCTTTGCTCCTAATAAAGAGCACAAGTAACAACAATAGACTCTAAGGCAGAGCCCATGCTCAGAGAATGACAGAGTAGTGAGATCTGGGTGCAGACCCCTTATTTGTGTAGTTTCCCTACCTGCCCCAGTCTACGTTAACTCTGATTGACATGAGTAAAAACCAAACTTCCATAGTGTTAAAAATCACTATTATTTTGGATTTGCTTCAACTGGTAGCTAGTAAGAGTCCTAACTAATACACTGGACTTTAATAATTATTAGCATAAAATGTAATAAACACTTCAATTTAAAGTTTATATAATGATCAACAACTATATACATTTATAGTTGAACTATGTGTCCATAAACAAATGTTAAAGTAAAAAAAAAAAAAAAATCAGGCATTTTTAGAGAAAACCAAAAGCAGTACTTCTATAAATACTATAAATGTTGAGGCTCCACTGGTATCCCATTTTCTTCTAGTTGGCTAAAAATAGATCGAACGCTTCATTTATGACTAAACTTTAAAAAGTATTCTTTGGACTACCTTATCATCTGCTATTTGATGCTTAAAATATTCCTAAATTATTGTTCAAAAAGTGGTACACAATTTAAGAGCTATTGGCTACCTGTATGGAAAAAAAAAGTCATTCCATATACTTTGTAAGAGATTCTTTTGCATTTTATTCCAGCAAAATCCTAGCAGAAATAGCAACAAGAAGATGTCTCTCAGAGGTCTACTTTACATTAACTTAATACACATTAGGTTCCTTTATTGTAATCTCATAGTTTTGAAATTAACAAACGAGGCAGGGCAGAGAAAGAACAAATAATAAGACATTAAGTAAACGTCATACGGAGATGAAGTAGATTTTTAGTTTTCTCCCTTTTTTAATAAATACAACTAATTGTCTAAAAAAAAGAGTAAGTGCTGGCTACATTGGCATTTCAATGAACCACTGATTCCTAATAACAATCCCAATTACTGCAACAATTGGTACAATTTCAGGAGATATTAACAGGTGAAATGACCAGTTTGTACCTATGGTTTTTATGATGCATAAGAATTCACAAAGTTGATAGCTATTGAAAGCAGTTTTTAATAGCTTTAATTTATATAAATAAGTTAAGAGCTTCTAAAGGAAAGAACTTGCAAGATAAACTGATTTTCCAATGAGCACATATTCAAGGAAGACATCATTAAATATGAGTTCCTAATCATATCTATGTCATGAGCTAGCTGTATGACTAGGGCTAGTCATTCTACTTATCTTGCAAAACAAAGACTGTGGATGTAGCAAATGCTACAGCAGGCTATAAGCAGATAAAACTAGTGCTTGCTTTAGAAATCATTTTGTTCAATCATCCCAAGTTACTGATGAAGAAACAGGTACAGAAATATAATATGACTTAAAAGTACAAAGTGACGGTGATGACAGCTTTTATAAGAACCTAGAACTCCTCATAGTCTACCTGCCTTCCAAGAAGGAGAGGAGAAAGAGGAAGAAGAAAGAGGGTGGAGAAAGAGGAAAAAAAGAAAAAAGAAGAAGTGAGAAGAAAAAGGACAGACACCAATGATTTTCTTAGCTTATTTCCATATACATCAATGAAATTATAAAGCAGGTTCATGTTCAGTCCAAGGACAGACATTAAGAGTTTAAATCTCCATTAATTACGGAACTACTGTTTTGAGTCAGCACTGCATAGGTACCTTTATATTACGCTAGCTCTAGAGATCTCACTGGAAGTCAGTGTTTCTATGTATTTTAAATAATCTGATAAATGAAAATCATGAGAGTACTCTAACTTTCCCCTACATCTGGGCAATATGCTCCAAACAGATTTAATGCTTCTTATTCTCTTAACAATTATACCATCTAAGCATTGTTATCCTCCTTGTTTCACAGCTGAGGTCAATGAGGACTTTCCAAAGGTCATCATCATACAAAGTATACTGGTGGAGGTGGGGTTTATATTCTGGCTATCTGATTCAAGAATATAATTACTGTGGAATCTAAAAAAGTCTATCTTAGCTGGGTGTGGTAGCTCACACCTGTAATCCCAGCACTTTGGGAGGCTGAGGCAGGTGGATCACCTGAGGTCAGGACTTCGAGACCAGCCTTGCCAACATGGAGAAAACCCGTCTCTACTAATAATACAAAAATTAGCCAGGCATGGTGGCATGCATCTGTAATCCCTGCTACTTGGGAGGCTGAGGCAGGAGAATCGCTCGAACCCAGGGGGCAGAGGTTGCAGTGAGCCGAGATTACGCCACTGCACTCCAGCCTAGGTAACAAAGTGAGACTCTGTCTCAAAAAAAAAAAAAAAAAAGTTGACGTCATAGAACACAGAGTCTATAATGGCGGTTACCAAAGACTGGGTTGGTTACAAGGGAGGAAGAGATGGGGAGATGTTGGTCAAAGGACGCATAATTACAGTTAGAGAGGAGGAATAAATTCAAGAAATCTATCATATAAACGGTGACTTTAGTTAATGATGATATATAGACCATAATAATAACTATGTTAGGTGAGGCTTTGTTAATTAGCTAGATTTAACCATTCTACAATATGTGTGTGTATGTCAAAACTTATACATATTATCTTTCAATTTTTAATTTTTTTATTTTTAATTATTATGGGTACATAATACTGATGGGGTTAAAAATATATATGTGTGTATATATATACGTATATATATGCGTACATATGTATAGATGTGTGTATATATATACATATATGTACACCTATATATATATACACACCTATATACCTATATATGTATATAGGTGTGTATATATATAAAAATAAATTGCTCACCTGCCTCTTTGTATGTGACTCTGCTTTAAGTAGCATATTAATAATCAACAAGGATATTTTTTAGCTTCTATTGTGAATCAGAAGGTTCTAGTTCCTGCAAAATATTTTATTTTCAATAGCTCTGTGGCAAGTATTCACTTACAAAAATAAAAATAGGTAGCTTACAGAAGTTAAAAATGAAAATTATAAAATTCTATATATCTGGACGAATAGGCTTTGCTTGATCTTTACAATACTGTGAAGTAATGGGGAAGCTGACTTTCCCATATTACAAATATAGAAACTGAAAGCCTGAAAGACAAGGTTGATGAATTTAGCAAAAAGAAATACAAGACAATCAGTTAACTTTGAATTTCAATAAAAAATAAATACCTTCTTAGCAAAAGTGTATCACAAATATTGCATGAAGCATACTTACACTAACAAGTTATTCATTGCTTATTTGAAATTGACATTTAATTGGACATCTTTTATCGTATCTGGCAGCCCTACAGAAAAGTGACCTAAGGCCATCAGCTACAATCCGTCTCCTGACCAGTTTCACTACGTGGTGTTATTGCCTGACTTTATGGCTCAGTCATGTTTAGATTCCTTCCAGAGTTCTATTTCAGTTTCCTTGTCAACTCACTGTAAGCTTCAATTATGTTCTTTAATGTCTGAGATAAAGAGAAAGCTGCATTTAGGCAAAATTATTCTAGTTGACATGCACTATTGTAGAAATGCCTACTGTTTCCTATTTTCAAAGTACTTTTCATCATATTATCTCATTGATCACAATAACCCCCAGGGGATAAAATGAGGAGTTATTAATGTTCCACTTTTTCAAATTTAATGATTAGGTCTCAGAGAGTTTAGGAGACCTACCTAGGTTCTCACAGCTAGCAGGGAGAGCCTAGCCTGAGGGTCAAGTCTTCCATGTAAAAGTTCAATTAAGTAGAAGTAACATATGTGCTGTTGCCATTTATTGTTAAGATAATTAAAATACTAAAAGACTATTTTTGACCTCTGGTTTAACATACAGTAAACAGGGGTGAGTCCTTCTATATTATTTTGCTTCTATCAAAATGATATGATCAGAGAAGTATATATAGTCTCCCCAAAAATTTTTTAATCATGTCATTTCAACAAAGCTGTGTTTTTGTGTTAAAAACACAGTCTTACAAAAACAGAAACACAATCGCCCACTTTTAAAGTTATGACATTGTCTCAATGTCTTTACTAAATACTTGGTTATATTATATCATTACTGTCATAAAGAGCAACTCAGTAACAGATTCACTAAACTAAAATCCATTCAAGTGTATTCCCTAGCAGTCAAGTGGGCTATTTTAATGACCTTCCTGTAACAGGTAAATGAATTCAGCCTGTTATTTGGTGAGTCATTTTGCTTGCCAAACTCTTACTTAAAACCTAGGTATTGTGAGTGGGCACATGGTTGCTTCCACAGCTAATGTTTTGGAAAGACTAGTGCAGGACTTTTCTTGGTCACTTTGCCAGCCAGAGACCTCTGGCCAGTGACACCCCTGCCCAGGCCTTGCTTGGGTCCGGGTTCACCGCAGGAGACACCCCATCTACTGTGCCTGCTGGTCAGCACCCGGCCTGCACTCCAGCGTGGTTCCCACAGCCACTGTGACTGTGCACCCAGCCTCTGGTGGGAGGGGGTGTGTGAGCAAGTGAGTGCAGGCTCCGGTCCGCCATTCCAAGTGCTGGCACAGAAGCGGGCTCTATGTGGGGCTTGTGGTTAGACCAGGCATGTCATAAGTGACTCTCATGGTGGACTCTGGCACCTCAAATGCGGAAACGTGGTGGCACCCAGGCAGGGGTGCCCCTGACCCTGAAGCATGTGTTACAGCATGCTAATTAGTTCTTTAAGTCCCGCCATCTGCAGCCTAATGGATGGTGGCAGGTTAACAACTCTGTCAGTCCCTTGCTCCACTCTGGCCCACGGCTCTGGGGCTGGCTCAGCCCTGCCACTGCTTCCTGATGTATGGGGCAGCTGTCCTCCACCAGCGGAGGGCAGAGGACCATAGTGTTACAACTTTCTTTGTACCCACATTTCATGGGTTCTTGTCACACTTCCAAGAAGAATGAGGTTACGCAGACAACTGAAGGGTGGGGAGAGCAGAGAAGAATCTTATTGAGCAATGAGAAAGCTCTTAGAGCAGAAGGAATGTATGGGTCATCCCTCTACCTGATGTCAGGTGGTCTCTTACTCAGTGTGGTTGAGTCTGGGGCTTTTATGGACTCAGAACGGGGAGTTCATGTTGATTGGTTTGTAAGTATGCAAAAAGGCTAAAACAAAGGCACTTCTCAAAGGTGGGCATGACAGTGTAAAAAACCAATTAGGAAAGGGTACGTATATGTAAAATAGATGAAGGGTGGGGATCAATCAGAGGAAAGCACATCAAACAAGAAGGGAGGTTCTCAATCTGGTCTGAGGATTTACCCAGGACTTATAGCTAGGCTTTAAACCGTCTTCTGCTTGAAAGTAATGTTTCACTGGAAACCCGTCCCATCTTCATAGATTTTTGTCTGTCTCCTGCCTCTATCAAGACCACATGAATTCTGCTAAATATCTAAATATGTTTTCCAAAATGAAGTGAACAAATGTCAACACATTTGAAAATATATGATTAGCATCAAAAAATTAAAGCCATCATCCCTCAATTAGCATTTGAAGTTAAAGAATTACAGAATATGTTTTATTAGTAATTTTTAAAGTTAACTGCTATTTGTTAAAAGAGCCATTTTTGAAAAGGGTTCATAATACAACTTATCTTTCCATCCATCTCTTGATCCCCATGTTTTCTCTCCCATTTTGCATGCATTCTTTCCTTCCTCTCCTCTTCTTGTTTTTCTCTTGTAACCCTTTTCTCTCTTCCTCTATATCATCATTTTCTCTCCGATACTGGGCTCTTGACTGCTCATTATCATCCTAATTTTCTTTTAATTATCATTTCCCTCTTTCCCTTACTTATATATGGAATATTGTTATGATAAAGGATATATGAAAAGACTTGAAAGCTACATAATGCTGTAAGTTACTGACAAATATATTCTTATATTTGTATATTATAGGATAGGACATCAGATATCTATTTCCTATATTTTAAATTATATCAGGTCTTCTAATTTATAATTGTTTTATAAGACCTGATACAATTTTAAGGTTTATTACATCAGGTTTATTATGCGCATGAGCAGTGTTGTCTTTTTCCTTTATGTTGTCTTATATAAGTATTATATAATATAATACTCAAATTTTAAGTCTTCTGATAATAGTATTTAACATGTTAATAAACTAACAAGATTATGTTTAGAAAGGTTCTACTAAAGTGAACAATATTCCATAAAGGGAAAATTCCACTATTATAATGATAAACTATGTAATATATTCCCATCAGATAATAATACAAATATTTAATTATAACTCATTTTTTCAATATTTAAATCAAACTTGGCTTTTCCTAGTGTGTTGGACTTATGCGGAAAAAAATTATTACTGATTTTACCATCTGGCATCTGCAACCCTGCAGAAGTTATATGGTTTTTACCTAATTTGAGTACCATTCAGTCCATTGATACCCAGATACTTTCATTCATTGCTATAATATTACAATCCAAACTTATATATTTTCTAATTTTTATTTCACCCTTATTTACTGCTGTGACTTTTTATATGAATAACTCAATTTGTTAAACATGTTTAGGACACCCAAGTCTCAAGAAGAATTATGCTGTTTAAGGTCATACTGTAGCAATTTAAAGCCAAATTACCTAGCACGTATCCCATAACTCAGATCATGTTTGAGAAAGAAAACGCATTTTATGTTTTTCAGCTTGCTCTAAAAAGTGGAGAAAGTAAAAAACACCAGTAGACATTTCACTTAAAGTGTTTTCAATAGGTTTTCAGGATGTCCTAGGAATTAATTTTTCATTTTGTTATAGAAATTACTATTTCTCCTTACTCTTTTTATAATACATATTTATAAAAAGATGTTTTCACTTTAACATAAAATATATTCATCTTCATTGAGTATGTATGATCACTGAGATGCACTCAGAAGTGATATAACCTGACACATAAGAAAAACTCTATTTTCTTTGTGATTTCATTTTATTTCTTGTCCTACTCATTTTAACAGATCCACGTCTACTGATTAAACACATTAAACTTTTGTTACAAATTTCAATCAATTTATAAAAATTCAATTCAATTCTCTAATGTGACTCACAGCTTGGTGCATGCTGAGCAGTTGGGCCTTTATCTCAGAGCTGTTTTAAGATTGATGGTAATTTCCTGTTCCAGGTATATACCTAAGGATACCTGCTCATGGTCTCACAGCAGCATGGCCTGATTCCAGGTACCAATAGCTCCACAACTGCTCCTTAGGTATTTCAGTTTAAAGTGACTGTGGTCAATCCAAAGCCATGTAAAGAGGAATGTTCTTTCCTTATAAAAGTAGTGTGATATAGTCATATTTTTCTTACAGTATCAGGGAAGATAACAGAGTATTCTCCAGAAACATTGAGGCTGGAACTTGACAATGATTGAATCACTAAGCACCTACCTGGATAATATCGAGCTAGGCCAGTGGCACTGCCAAAAACCTGCCACAATAATGAAGGGTCTTCCTCGCGATTCTTTTTGAAAACTTCATCTAAGGCACTTGTCCAGTTGAGTTCATTTAACACAATTGTTGCTAACAAAAAAGAGAGAAACCATTAATTAATTCAAATTTGTAATTAAAAACTGAATGTCTTCATTTATTTACAAAATAATATTAAATATGTTCATTGTTCTACCTATAAAATAACTCTAATCCAGTAGTTATCAACAAGTTTTCGACACTTTAGAGGACAGTTTGACTGGATCTACTACCAACATGTACATAGTATTCATCGAAAGATGTTTTTCAAGAGGTTTATACTCTGGAGAGAATTTCTGAAAACAAAACTTTGTATGACAGTGTCCCTACTGACATTTTGGCCTCGGTTATTCTTTGTTGTGAGGTCTAATCCTGTGAAAATGTTTAGCAGCATCTCTGGCCTCTATCCACTAGATACTAGTACCTCCCCACCCCCAAGTTGTGACATGCGAAAATGTCTCCAGACTGTCAGATGGCCCCTGCGGGCAAAATCACTCCTGCTTGAGAACTACTGTGACACATAGAATATGAGGAGAAATGAGTGGTATTCCTTTTTATCCTCAGAGGTAGTTCTGAGGAAACCTATGGGGCACCTTAGGACAGAGTTTTAAGACCACAGTAATCAACTATTGATGACTCTCTGCGGCAGAGCAACATAAATTAGCCTGCTACCTTAAAAAAAAAAAAAAGAAAAAAAGTCATTGGGCATAGCTAATTAACTATGTTTATACAACAAAAATGTACATATTTTAGTAATGGGAAAATTTACTCAGAGGCTTGACAATATCCGTGTTAGAAACAAACTAGTTGACACTTTATCACTACCTTCATAAACAATAGTTTTTTTTTTTCTCCTGGTTATTTCTATTAATAATTAGAGCATGGTGCCGATAAGGGCCAGGTGATTGATTTTGATACGTATTTATAACTAGAAACTAATCTTGGATAGGTATTACAAACATATACCACTCATTACAATGAAAGAGAAGCAATTATAATGTAGGATATAATATGGGTTAAGTGTAAGATATAATATGGGTTAAAATAGTGCATAATTTATAACTGACCCTTCATGATCATAACTTCTCAAGTCTAGCATACTAAAAATTTAATTGGCCTAATATAATTTTCCCTTTACACAAAAAAAGGCATAATTTTCTATGTAAAATATACACCATGTCCCCAGAGATTAGCAGACAGGGCCACTTTGCATTTGACAATCTCTGACCAAGCCTGAACAGTGGAAATGTGCTTAGGATAAAGACTGGAGATACAGCTTAACGTCTTTCTATTTTTTTCTGTGATGACAGCAAATAAAAGAAATGAATGCCATCATGGTTAAATCATGCACAAGCCTTTTTAAAGGTAAAATTAAAAACAGCGCCTGTGAAACAAGATGCACGGCCTATGTGTTTATATTTTAAAGTTGTATCATTTACCAAAAAAGAAATCAACAAAAACAAGGTGATTGTGAAACTCTTCTGGGACCAGCATGCTAAAGCAGTCCTCATTATTGAAAACTAACAAGATTTTCATCTTTATGGATGCGATTACTTTCAAAAAGATCAGTTGTGTGTGTGTGAATATTCATGAGCTGCATCAGATCCATCGTGCATCTGAGATACTAGAGAATTCATATTCAAAAGCATGATCCAATGAACACTAAGCAGCCAGTTATATGAGAATTTATATTCACACAGATAACCTGAACTGATACCCACTATTCATGAATATTTATATCAATATACAAAATAGCATAGAAAGAGGAACATTGTGTTTTCTCTTAAACATTTATGACTTTTATAGTAACATTCTACTAAACAAATGTTTATTTATGATCCAGATAGACTTCATTAATCCCCAATCTATTCTATCTCTTTAATTTCCTTGATTCTTTCATTCATATTAGGCAATAACATCTAGTTATTTTTAATAAAGTTTTATTTGTTTTTAAGGCTGCTAACTTTTTCTTAGTTTTGTTTGATAACTCAACAGCTACTAAGTATTGGGTACTGACACACTGATTGTGAATTATACTTTTATAAACTGAGGGAAAAAGTCAAGCTCTACAATATTCCTATTATCCTGGCAATATGTTTTAAGATTTCCAGTTGATGCTTTGAAAATTTTCTTTTTCAGACAAGCCATTACTAAGGTAGATTTCAAAATATTTCTCTCAAAATGTGTTCATCTACAAATGAGCAAATCATATAAAGAATTCCCAGACTAGGCACTAGAACTGATTTTAAATTTGACTCAGAATGAAAGTATTGGCATTGCACACCTATCACATCAGTACGGTTTATAAATTTGATATACCCAATGTGTAGTAAGATGTAAGAATACAGACACTTCCATGTGTTAGTATATAGTTGCAGGGACTTTTAAATGCAACCATTATCCTATTAGTCACAGTCTTTTTATGGATGTCTAGAAATCAAAATTCAAAGACGATCTGCCATAGGAATGCAAAATTACTACAGCCTTTGTAGAGAGCAGTTTGACTGGATCTACCTAACAACATGCACATCGTGTTCACTGAACAATGTTCTTCAAGAGATTTATACTACGGAGAGAATATGTGTCTCCAGTTCTTCCTCAGAGTATTATAGAGCAAGAATCATTCATTCAATTCCTTAAAATACCAAAACTAGAAAGTAGGATAAAACTGCTTCACTAGGAAAGTTTTTTCTCAAATAATATTGAAAGCAGCTAAAAAAAAAAAAAAAATGGAAAAGAAAATATATAAAGCATCAAAGCCAACAAGGAAGAATGAATACTATTTTAGACCTTGGGTTATCTGCCTATATTTTTCTGATCCACATTATGCATTATATTTGACTAATAAACCTATATTACTCTGGTACCTTGAAAAGACCAGACTTTTTTTCTTCTTAACCTTATAAAATTAAATAGCTCATCCAAGATTACTAAAGTGCCCAACATTTCTCCATTTTTATGCTATTAGCACACTCAGGATAAATAATGCTGAAATAAAAGGGTAATCTGTAGATGATAGATAATATAACACTAAATGCACAATACCGGCCATGCTAAAACAAGTTTATGTCATTTCCTGGATACGAATTGTGCTCTGCCATTTCCATTGTATTTATACACACATTATCTCTCTCTCTCTTCCCTTGTCTCTATCTCTCCCCAGGATGCCCCTTAGCCCCTATCTCTGTTTCTGTCTGTCTCTCTAAATATGTGGGTAGAGTTTATTTAGGAAGTTTTTTTTGTTTTGTTTTGTTTTTTTGTTTTTAACTATTCTGGTTACAACCGGGTAAGTCAAGTGCTTTTTAAAGTTAAAAGTTGTTTTTCAGGAGATCTTTTGTTTTATATTATAAAGAGTTTATGTGGTTATGCTGGTGCCTTTCTCTATTCTTAGACAGTATTTTTAGTCTCTCCTGTTTTCCTGACACTGTAGTTCTTAAAAAATAAAAGGTACAAAACGTCATTTTTTCATAACAGGAAAAATAAAACAAGGCCAAATTCCTTGGAAAATTATTTTCAGCAAATATTACTCTAGATTATGAAACTGTATTTTTCATTCATATAAAACCTAATCTCAAAAAATAATTGTGGAACTCTGATTTACTGAAGTTCAATAAATATCAACAAAATTCAACAAAAAGTTTCATTTGTCATTGTATATCACAAAGACTTTAAAATGCAATTATTATTTTATGTCATAATCTTTATTTGAATGTCAAAGATTTTATTTAATTGTGGAAATATCAATGTAAATTAGTAGCCAAATAATGTTTAATATAAAAATTCCAGAATAAATTTTCTTTACGAAAAAACTTAAAATATTTTTGACCGTAAAAATCCTTTGATTTGGCAAGATATATTTAATAATATGTATAACAGGTGAATGGTATTCTATAAATTGGTATTATTTAAAATTATATTGTATTTTATATTCTCAATTATATATTCTATGATCTTTTTGGCACAGGGACTGGTTTTGTTAAAGACAATTTTTCCACAAATGGAGGTGGGACATGGTTTCAGGATGACTCTGTTCCACCTCAGATCATCAGGCATTACTAGATATCTCATAAGGAGCATGGAACCTAGATCACGCACATGTGCCGTTCACAACAGGGTTCATGCTCCTATGAGAATCTAATGCTGCTGCTCACCTGACAGAAGGCAGAGCTCAGGAAGTAATGCTCTCCTGCTGCGTGGCCCGGTTCCTAACAGGTCAGGGACCCAGACCGGTCCATGGCCCAGGGGCTGGGGACCTTTGTTCTATATGATATTATTTATTATATATTGACAGTTGCCCTCTTTTTCCTCCCTACCCCTGACAAATAGTAATGTTTTACATTCACATATACTTCCAGTTTCTTGCTTCAGATGAGATTAGAAGTACATGAGTGTTCAATATTTTTTCACTATAGAAGACTGCTCAGTGACAATCTAGCCTTGAACCTACTACCAGTTGCTGACAAATTTAGCTAATTGTCTTAGATTAGGAGTAAAATTAGTTCTCATTTTCTGTCAACTTTTAAGAAATGAAGATCTTTATCCCTGTTAGAAAATTCGATTTTGTAAAAATTAAGTCTTTTATAGATGTCCAAGGCCAAGCCTACTAAAAGCAGTGAATGCTTGGAAATCAAACCTTGACTTTGAGGCCTTTATTCTGAACGGCATAATAGGATTTCACTGATAATCGATTCAGAAAGCCAAGCATACATCTCTATTCTTTGTTTACTTAGTTTTAAAAAACTGGCCTTGGTGTCAGCAATTCTCCCTTTTAGAGTATTCTATTGTTCAGTCTGGATTCTCAAGAGAAGAAAGAAAAATCTAATTTGTAACAGCACAAAAGAAACCCCTTATATTTGCTGCTAATTCTTCTAAAAGACACGACTCTTCTATCTATATCTTGTTTATGACAAGGAATACAGAATATTTGACGAGCTCTGAATCCAGTGTTCTTCTGCAAACTTCAACCAATAAAATGTTGCACTATTGCTCCCTCTTAAGTTTGAATTAAGTTTGTATTAAGTTTGAATACATTTTCTTGATTTATTCAGGGTCCAAGGCCTCACCATACATTGATGGCACCATATGACTATTTGAAGAATCTTACTGTTATTTATAATGTCAACTACAGCTTTTGTAACAGCTTTGAGATGTCATTGACATATAAAATAGTATAAAGTATGAAATGTGATGTTTTGATACACCTGTATGTTGTAAAGTAATCATCAAAATCAAGTTAATTAACTTATCCATCACCTTTACATAACTACCATTAGGGTGGAAGTTGGGGGAATTAATTTAAGATCTATCCCTCCTAGAAAATTACAATACAATATTGTTAACTATCCTCGCCATGCTGTATATTAGATCTCCAGAAGTTACTCATCTTTTAAAACTGAATCTTTGTACCCTTACCTATAGCTTTCTAATAAAGCAGATTTATGCAAGAAAAAAAGAGAAAAACATTTGTTAGGACTTACTGAAAATATAAAATAACTCTAATAAGTCTTTAAGAGATGTAGCTATTAAAGATATGTAAGGGACTAGATACTAAAAATTATTTTTGTTTAACAATACCAAATATCATACAGTTAAATAAGAGAACAAGCAAAAATGTTTACCATTTCATGTAATTTATAATACTATTCTATTACAGCCTTGCATTGAGATAAAAATTAGCATGTTATTTAAACTATTGTTACTAATAGTTTAGTACTATTTTATATTTAAGTACTATTTTATATTTAAGACAGTATATTTAATACTGTCTTTGTGACAGTAAATTTTGTCTATATTTCATTCTACATTTTGGCACTCTTTGGGTTGGGCAAATTTTCATTTTAGTTTTGGAAACTTACTATTCCTTAAACAAGCAAGCAAGGGTTTCAAATCTAGTTTTTAATGCCCTTAAATGTTACCTCCTCCACACCTTTAATTTTTGGACAATCATAGAATATTAGAAACTTTGTTTAGTTTTAGATTCAACACTTATTGTAAGTATGATTCTAAACAAAAGATATCTTTTGTGGCAAACGTTCATTTCACAACATATAAATAAGGTAGTCATTTATATGTTGACTACCTTAAGAAAAGTCATTTATATGTTGACTACCTTAAGAAAAGAGCTGCATTATCAGATAAGCTGAGCCAGATGTCACTAATTTTATTCACCAACCCTAATCTCTGAAAAGAAAGATGTTAATAAGAAGAAACCTACTGATCTAATTAAGTGCACAGGGAAAAAAAGAATCCACTTTAAGGAGTAGACAGTGTGCATAAATATTAAAATGAATGAATCTTTTCAGTGGATTTGGCTAATGGAATCTCATCTAATCCCAGTGTAAATGAAAGATGAATAAGGTACAGGGAGATGGGAAGACCAAATCTAATCTCTCTAATCATGTCTCGGGCACCAGAATCCACCTCGCACTGAGGATGGGAGAGCAGAAGGCTCCAAGGCACACAAGGACCTTGATGAGGAGATAAGCCTTATTCCTACAGTTAATTTGGTACAAATATGAAAAGGCCCTTGTCCTTGTCAGTTGTCTAGCCCCTGTATTACTGAGATTTCTGGCCTTGCCCCCTATCACTTTAGTTTCCTGCGGATTGAGCACCTGGCCAATGCCCAGAACACAGCTGTTCTGCTTTAATGAAATCTGCACGCTGTGGAGCACAGAGGAGGAGCTCAGAAGAAATCCACTTTATTATTAAAGAAAACAAGGGTAATGCAAGGGGAATAGAAGACACTAGTATCTAATATCATGTCTACTAATTGAATGATTTAATGTCACTTGAAATAAAATGATAATTGTAAGATTTGAGGAGGGAGAAGGGCTGTATTTTGTATAAGAAACCTCAGAAATATAGGAGCCCCAAGGTCAAATTATTGTTTTATCCTTTAAGCATTCTAAGCTTTTCTCTCCTTAGTAGTATCAAAACCAAATAAATTATTAATGACTTTGATAGCCTAGAATCACAATCACTGGCACAACATACTACTTAAAACAAATCATTTAACTTCTTGTGCTTCTGTTCTATTCGTCTAAAAAAATGAATATAGCTATACTAAGGATCCTAGACAGCCTATAGGGTTGGTGTGAAGGTCAAATAAATTTATGAATGAGAACTGAATTAGCAAGCATATTTTTATTCCAGTTCTTTCCTCAGCTAGATTAAAATACTGTACGGTGCACATCTCCCTAAGTGTCTTACATAGACAACAACTTTTGACCTGTCAGCATACTGTTTTAGTCCAGTCAGTAATTTCCTCTTCCTTGAACAAAAACACATTTCTTTTACATAGAGCAATTAGAATGTAAATCTGTTTATGTTGTGTAAAGCAATATTCCTTCTGCTTAATCTCCTAATTTATTTAAACACTCACATCATAAGATATTCTTCATTAGAATCAGCTAGTTGAAAATTTTCATTTCAAATTTAGGAACATTATGTAATTTGTAAAATAAAGTAGAAACTTTAGCATAATTATCTGAAGAAAATACAATATCTTCTATTGATAGTACTTCACAGTCATTTTTTTTTTCTTGAGACAGAGTCTCATTCTGTCGCCCAGGCTGGAGTGCGGTGGCACAATCTAGGCTCACTGCCAAGCTCCGCCTCCCGGGTTCATGCCATTCTCCTGCCTCAGCCTCCCGAGTAATTGGGACTACGGGCACCCACCACCACGCCCAGCTAACTTTTTTTTTTTTTTTTTTTTTTTTTGTATTTTTAGTAGAGACAGGGTTTTCACCATGTTAGCTGGGATGGTCTCCATCTCCTCACCTCATGATCCACCCACCTCGGCCTCCCAAAGTGCTGGGATTACAGGTGTGAGCCACCATGCCCGGCCACTTCACAGCCATTTTTATGAGAAATTTTAGTATTTGTAATTAAATGAGTAAATAAATTGTTAAATTTCTATTCTATATTTTAGAGTAATATTTCAGTAAATACATAGCCTGCTAAACTCTCGGTAAATGAAAACAACAAGAAATACCCTAAAGATCTTTCATTTAGACCTTAAAAAGAGAAATAAAATGTGTGCGTTTAAAAAAACATCAGAAACTCTGAGAGCAGAGAAATGAAGCCGGAAGCCATAGAAGAATGAATATGCAATTAAGACCAAATTTAAAGGACTCCAAATTAAAGTGTGTGGTTTTTTTTTGTTTTGTTTTCATGCATACTATAGATTTTCTTTCTGGTGAGGCCTTTTTCTAAGTGGTATTTTTAAAATGAGCATGTGAATGTATGTAATGTGTGCAAAAACTATTCTCACCCATTATCCACCCTCTCACAGACTGCACGTCTTTCTGTCAGAAGTAACCACTTGATCTTGGGAAAGTGTTTTACCCTCTCTAAACCTCAGTTTCCTCACTCGTACAGTGGGGATAATAATAGCATCTGCATCACAGGGCTAGTTTTGAAGATTATACATACTTAGAATACTACTTGTCATTTAGTAACTGCACAATAAGTGTTACCTGCTCTCATCATTAATCATCATTATTTTCTCTGTCTCCTAATACTCAGCATTTAAAATATATTTTTAATTTATCTTGATAAATTCTGATCTGACTCCTAAAATCCAAGTATGAGTGACTAAAACCTAGTATTTTCTTTTTCCTCAAGGAACTTTTGCCCTTCTTACCCCAACCCCAGTAATGTCCAACAACACTACTTAATTTTCTTGCTATGAATCTCATGAAGAAAGGTTAATAGTCTATTAACCTTTCCATTTCAATTGCTATAAGACAATGGCAAACTGAAAAAAGATTTTTAATATCTTATGTAACTTGGTGAGAAAATAATTTTTACAATGGCATATTCCAAGTGTTCCAGAAAGCAAACCACACTGATGAATGCTGCATTGAATACAGAATAGTCGCACTAAGATTCTAGTAAAAGAAATGAAATTATATCAGGTCTAATAGGCATAACAGACACCACCCACACATACACAGGCACACACACACAAAATTATGCACATACAAGCTCCTGTTAATGCTGAGAAGAAACTCTGGCTGAGAAATACAGACCAAATTAGATAAGGGAAATCTCTTGGCTTTGCTGTGAGACTGCCCAACTGCATAAGAAATTTAGTGTCTCCATATAAATCTGGACTGCTGAATTCACAAAGAAGGATCAAAAGTATTAGAAGTGACTAATGAGATATGGTTGAAGAAGGATAACAAGGCTCCTGGGGACAAGGGTGATATTGTCAATGAGGCACACACAGCTTGGTACTCAAGGGTTTGTGTCAACCAGTTTTAGAGCAAAGAGTTGCCTGGTGATTTTAAGATGGAAAGATCAGATCCATTGAAGCACAGTACATAGAAGTCGGCTATAATCAAGAACAGTGACCCGTTGGTTTAAACATGTACTGCTTCAGAATGAAAAGAAAAAAAAAAACTATATACATCTCAGAAATTGAACTACAGATTAATACCGAATCATAATATATAAAGGTATGAATGAACTCAAGCACTATTTCTAAGACAACATGAGGTTAATATCCTTGTATCTCTAGTTGCACATGTATAGAGATTGTCCACATATACATGTATGCATACATACATGCAGAACATTACATGTTTTACGTACACAGAGAGATGGACATCTGTATACAAAAAAATCAATATTGTTAGTATTCAGGATGCCTACAACATAGTGAGCATGACTTGTTTAGATTTTAATGTACTCATTAGAGTTGACACATTAAATTTACAAGTCCTTGCTCGTGTATTACTCAGCAGATCTTAATACAGACAGGAATCTTTTTCTCTTCCAATAAATCATGTATTTTTAATTTTCATTCACAACTCAATATCCCACAAAACCTTAGATTTTTCAAATAGATTTAAAAAGCTCAAATTATTCTGACATGATCAAAACATGTACCCATAAGACTTTTCTAAATGACTTAAAAGTTTTCCAATCTGACAAAAGATAATAGAGGATGGTAAACAACCAAGTCATGTCGGTTCTAATGCCAGTGTAGCTATCCTCGTTTCTGCTCCTAGCCGTACTCTTGGGTCTTTTGTGTAACCTTTAAATACCCTCCCTCCCTCTAATTCCAGCTCACTTCCATCCATTCCTCCTACTGCTGCCACAATATTCTACTTGGCAAATGTCTTCCCTAATTAAAAGTATTTGTTGGTTCTCCATAAAAGCTGGTCTTTTATGACTGGCTTCCATCCATCCTTCTGGTGTCCTCTCCTACTGCTCTTTCAAACACAACAAGCCCAAGCCATAACAAGACTTTTGCCATTCTCAGAGGATGCAAAGTTTACTCCTGCCTCAAATGTCATTCTGTATGCTGTCTTCTCTGTCTGGACTGAGTTTTTTCCTATGCCTACTTGTTAAACTTCTCCCTTCTTTTTTATTACAGTTCAGCATCACCTGCTCTACAGGGTGTTCCTCGATTTTCCCCACACCATCTCCCCTCACCCAGCAGAGTATCAACTCCCTCCCCACTCCTTATTTTTTTCTATATTCTTCTATTAAAATACTTCCTACGTTTCACTATCTTTATGTGTGTGCCTTCTATTATACTGGGTAGGGTAGGCACCACGTTATTTTCCCTGATGCCTAGAATATAGTGAAAGAGGCAATGGGATGTGACAAACCTGTGTTTAATGCACAGTTGTACCACCTTGAGTAAACTATACAATTGCACAGACTTCTAGTTTTCAGGAATGAGGTGGAGAAAACATTATGTACAATAGCTAGGGTTGTGAAAATTAAAATATGCTATACTTAACGTATAACAGGCACGCCATAAACAGTAATAACTAGTATGTTTTGGTACATACTAACAATATCTATTTGTTAATGAATGAAAGAGTGTGTGAATATATGAACTGTACCTCTCTGTTGGATATTTTTAAGTTGGAAATAATTTTCATCATATCTGACCAAGTACAAATGGTAGAACATTTCCTTTTCTTTCCTTCAACCAACAATGATAGGCGGTGGATGGGTATCATCTGAATCAGAGAGATTTCATCCATTCAAATGTCCATTTAATCCTGTTTTTAGTTTAACTTCAAGTTCTGTGATAAAATCACCCCTTTTAATGGAGATGTTCTGAAGAGCGTGGTGTAAATACTGGCCCAATTTTTAGATAAGTCCTTTAAGTCAGTGAATATCACTATGAAGCTTCTTGTTAAGTATTTCCCAATGTATGTGCTTCATTTTCTAATCATCTCATTTCTGTCAGACATTCATCCAATAAATATTTACTAAACACCTATTATGTGTCTGGAACCTTTCTAAGCTCTTGAGCACGAGAATAGGCACACTTTTTCTTAAAGAACCAGGCGGTAAATGTTTTAGGTCTATGGTCCACATGGTCTCTGTCACAACTCCCTTTACAGCAGTAGCACAAAAACTTCCTTAGACAACACATAAACAAATGGGTGTGGCTGTGTTCCCATAAAACTGTATTTATAAAAACAGACAGTGGGCCATACTTTGCAGACTCCTATACCCGAGCTCCAGGGCCTATCAAGACAGACAGGACTTCTAACACTTTACTGGAAGAGAAACACAATAAACACATAAGTAAGAACATCATGAGTGCTCTTTAAAGAATTAAATCTGGAGATGCCATAGAGATTGACTAGGTGGCTACCGTAAATCAAGTTCTCAGGAATATCCTCTCTGAAGAACTGTATTTTAAACTGGGATTTTAAAGACAACTAGCCATGGAAATATTAATATAAAGCATTTCAATAAACCAGTAGACACAATGATATTGACAAATAGGAAATACCTAGATATCAACATGATGGTATGATCTAGTATGATATTGCAAGGACAAACTCTCAATATCAAAATATCCTGCAATAACAAAACATCCAAACAGATACAGATGGCACAAAAGAGTATTGTGACAGATTACAGTTTCAATTTTTTACTGTAATTGATATATCCTAGAAAGAAAAAGGTCTAACTCCAGCATCATATTTAATCATTTTTAAAAATCACTATTTAATAATTCTTCATAAGGCTCTTAAAATTCAATTTCAAATAAGTTGTGATCACTATTTTTGAAGATACTTTGAGTCTAATTGAGAAGACACATAGATAAAGCATCTAAATCAAATTTTGCTTTGCATAACAGACCCTATGAGTAACACCTGCCTATCAGAAACTAAGCAAAGGTTTTGAGGGGCAGGGTAGAAGTAGTGGTCACAAAAGATTTTCTGAAAGAGGTGATAAGCAGTATTAAAGAAAGGGCAGAGAGGTAGTAGAAGGACCGCATGCCTGATCCAGTGAACTCGCTGTACAGGCACACAGGCAGAAATAGACATAGGGCATTCTGGGAGTTGAACATTGTTCAAAACAGCTGAATGGATGAGGAATGTGGGGCAATTGCAGGGATGTTATTAGAGAGACATGATTATAATAATCTAGGAATACTAAAGTTAAAATAATTATTCTGAGAATTACAGAGGGCCATAATAAGCTGAAGTATGAAATAATCATATCTGCAAAAGCCAGCCAGATGTGAATAGAGAAGAGAGAAAGCAGGTACCATCAGACTGGTGAGGAGTAATACCATTCTGAACTAAAACAGCGGTGGTGGATATAGAGAGTGGAAAGAGATTAAAAAGATGTTGAGAAAAAATCTACAGGCCACAGTAACAAATGTGGGAAAGGAGAAAACAGGAAGCATGGTTTTCTGACTTGGGTTCTTAGTGTTATTAACAAAGATATGAACATTGGAAGAGAGGTACACTTGGGGACAACAGTGATACATTCAATTTTGAACATAACGTGAGGTGCTTCTGAGATATCCATTAAACCGCGTTGTTTAAAAAAGGCAATCAGAGTAGTCAATCTGCATCTTAGCCATGAAGTGTATAAGGAAGAATCAGATTTGGGAATCATGTTTCAGTGACAATTCAAAATATTGCTTGACTAAAATTATCACTAAAATGACACCAATAATGTCTATGAATCCTCAGGTTTAAGAGGCAAGCAAGGACAGGTCCAGTAGCTCACGCCTGTAATCCCAACACTTTGGGAGGCCGAGGCAGGCAGATCACTTGAGGTCAGGAGTTCAAGACCAGCCTGGCCAACATGGTGAAACCCTGTCTCTACTAAAAATACAAAAATTACTCGGGCATGGTGGCATGCATCTATAGTCCCAGCTACTTGGGAGGCTGAGGCAGGAGAATGACTTGAACCCACGAGGCAGTGGTTGCAGTGAGCCGAGGTTGCAATGAGCCGAGATTGCACAACTGCTCTCCAGCCTGGGTGACAGAGCAAGACTTCGTCTAAAAAATAAAAAAAATAAAAAAATAAAGCAAGAAATAGGAATCAGATAGAAGTTGCTAAGAGGAAGCAATGTAGACCCAACTCTCACAAACAAAAACATAATTTCCCATTAAAAAGTGATCAGTGACTGGTACACTTTAACATTGTTTTCATTTAACTAAAATGGCAAAATGTGCCTTTTGCATTAAAATAAATGTACTGATTATAAATTCCATGTATCTATATAAAACTCACTCTATCAAGAAGAGATAATATGAAGGATGTTGAAACCAATACAAACCCATTATTTTCTAATGCATTGTTTTATTTGCCTTTTTCAAAATCATTATTGATGTAAATCATGTACCCAGGGATAGAACGCCTGCATATCTTACATGTACAGCACTTTGACTAATGCTTGCTGTGCACTTGGAGAATAAGCAATTTCCCTGCTGCCTCCATTAGAATGATGAGGTAATCTACTGTGCCTTTACACTTACAGCAAGCCTCAAGAGACTGAGGCTTGATGATTACATGGTCTTATAAGGCCATAAAGTTCTACCACAGGAGTCATATATGTATTATAAAGATACTTCAAATTGCTGACATAGTCTCCTCACCATCAATGCGTGACTCTTCTGCAATTCACTTGCACCTCTGGCTTTCTGAAATGATTTAAAACTGCATCAGAACTCAATGCATGCATGCCAAACATCATCATCAGAAGGCAGGTCTGACAAGATTTAATTACTTAGAAACTTATCAGATTTTTAATCCTCAACAATAAAACTATAAATGACTTTTCAGTAAGATGTAATACCAAAATGCATATTTCTCAAAACACAAAATTAGACATGTTAAGAATAAACTCAATTTAATTTTAAACCAGTAGTTACTCTGATGTAAACATTGATGTTATACTGAAATGAATTTTACCATTCTTCCCAAAACGCATTTGCCTTCATATTAATCTTACTCATGGTTTTAAAAGAATCCTTTACTTTCTTGTCAGTTTGCATTCTGTATCAAACTGACGGAAGCCAAGATCTTTCACATTATTTGTCAGTTTCACTGCCCTTTCCAAATATATCTGTAGCAAAACCTTTTCATTTGTCTGATCCAGTTGAAAATCTTTTATATTCATTTTACTGAGACATCAGTCTTCAATTTTTCCCTTCCATTCACTATTCCTAGATGTGACACTTCTAACAATTTGTAGTTAAAATTAAAAGCCAGTACATTTTATTACTGTTTAATATATTCTTTCTTTTTCTATTTTTAAAATTACATACTCTAAAACAGGTAGCAATACCTTCTTTTTTTTTTTTTTTTTTTTTTTTTTTTTTTTTTTTTTTTTTTTTGAGACGGAGTCTCGCTCTGTCGCCCAGGCTGGAGTGCAGCGGCGGGATCTCGGCTCACTGCAAGCTCCGCCTCCCGGGTTCACGCCATTCTCCTGCCTCAGCCTCCCAAGTAGCTGGGACTACAGGCGCCCGCCACTACGCCCGGCTAATTTTTTGTATTTTTAGTAGAGACAGGGTTTCACCGTGTTAGCCGGGATGGTCTCGATCTCCTGACCTCGTGATCCGCCCGCCTCGGCCTCCCAAAGTGCTGGGATTACAGGCGTGAGCCACCGCGCCCGGCCGCAATACCTTCTTAAACAGGAAGGTAGGAGTGTGTGTGAATCACTGTAGGAATCAGATCATATTATTCTGTTCTCTATGTAAACTGATGTGTACTTAATACATGTACAATTAATGACATTTACATCATTTAAAAAGTAGTTCTACATGGACACAGGGAGGGGAACAACACACACTGAGGCCTGTCAGGGGGTAGGAGAAGGGAGAGCATTAGGAATAATAGGTAATGCATGGTGGGCTTAATACCAAGGTGATGGGTTGCATGTTTACCTATGTAACAAACCTGCACATCCTGCACATGTACCCTGGAACTTAAAAAAAATAAGAAAAATAGATTTCAAAGGAAAAAAAAATTTAGTTCTGATACATCTACACACTGCAAAAACCTTATATAATTTTTTGTGTGTGTGTGAGGACAGAAAAAAGTGAGTTTTTCAGGCTTTTAGAGATTCCAAATGCAATGAGATTGAATTTACTGTTTGTGTTAGTCTCAAAGGGGCTTTTCCTTAATGCAAATTTATTTTCTTGATTCCAAGGGTATGCCCTGTGATCTTTTCTACTTCTTGAAATGTCTTATTATTTCATATAAAGTTTTTTATTTTAAATCAAAAATCAAATTTTTTATCTAGAATTCACATCCTTTATTAAAATATAATAAATCATTCACAGGTATTATTAGTGTTTTTAGAGCATAAAGATGTGTTCATTAAGATGAAAACTTTCCTGAAACCCCTGGATGTTATTTGTTATGTCCATTTCTAAACAACTTCCTTCTTTCAATTTGTTCAGAATAAGTTGAAATAAATGCTATCAACGTCAAAATACAGACTATCAAAGTGTACTTATTTTCTAGCTTAAGAAACTTTTATCTGGAATTTGAATCAATGCACAGCTTGCTGGAAAGATTTCTATGCATGAAAGATATACATATATGAAGTGTATACACATGTGTATTTATGCCAAGTAAAACAGAGATTTAGTAGAAGATTTGAAATGGTATTCTAAATATTTCAATTTTGAGAATGTTACCCACAAAGGTATATTTTATTTTAGACCAAGATTGATTTCCTGAACTTTTTAACTTTTTTTTTTTTTCTGGCAAATGCTGTAATGCTATTTTCTAAGTAGAGCTTAGAAATGTTTAATTGTACAAATTTTTGAAATGTACAAATCATAGTAAGACCATAATTTTGTGGATAAACTCTTTGAAATATAATGGAATTAGAATATTTGGCAATATTTCATGCTGAAATCTAGAACTTACTATTTATACCAAACACAAATATAGATACAGATCTGCCAAATGTGTAAATGTCATATTCCTTTGTAGACTTTTATCCTGGAGGATTCTTATTTATATAAGATATTATATAAGTAGATTAAATTTGTAGTCACCACACACTAACATAAAATGAAAATCTAAAGAAGAAAACAATTCTGCACAAGTACCAACTGTATATTACCAACAGAATTTGAAGTTTGGAACCAAGTGGGTGGGTATTGGTTAGAACAGACTTCTCAACATTCCTGTACCAAAGTCTCCAATATTATCATTAATATTACAATATAGCAGAAGGTCTACATTTGGCATGGCCAAAGTCTTGGGGGAGCACACAGGTGATGATGGGTGACAAATGCCTTCTACATTATTTACCTAGAAATTCAACAAATGAAAGTCAGTAAAACGTTACATGACAGATGGAAGTAATAAGACAAATGAAAATCTAAAAGTTCCAAAGTAAAATTTCCAATATATTTTAAAGTATACTTTATTGATAAATTGAAAATCAACAAGGCACATAATAGTCATACTTAGTCCATTGATAACCTCTAATTTATTTTCGGTTTCCATTTAGGTTTTATCCTTTGTGATCTTAATGAAAAATATTTCAATTAAGGTGAGTATAGCAATGCTATAGTTGCAGTAATGGTATTAGAATATGATACATAGTTTCCCATAATGCAAAAATGTCTTATTTTATTGATAGTTTAAATATGCTTCTTTCCGTTTTTTACCGCAATCTACCAATTCAGGTTAAATTCAATCTCTTAATTTGATTTTGGCCTCTAACCTATGATTATATAGTACATGTTAGTTCAATTATTTTTGTCATAAATTAAGTGGTGTAACTGTATCAGTAGGAAAGGTTAACATCACATACTGTGGGTCACAGATTTTGAATTTTATATAATAAATTGGAGATATTATTTCAGCATATAAGATTTATGTATTCAGGTAATATATTGATCTGTGGACATGGAAAGGAACAAAAATGTAGACTTAAACTATCAAGAGCCTAAAATCAATTTCTCCTCCAACCTCCTAAGAGAGTAAGCTGTGGGTTTTTGTTTTCCCTAACCTGCCATTGTTTTAAAATCGGGACTAAAGAGAAAAAGGATAGAAGATTGAAAATAAGAGAAGGGAAGTAACAGTTCTATTGTGCAGCTCCTGAAAATCTGATTGAGAAAGGTTTTAAGACTTGAAAAAAATAAGCTTTAAAATTTATTTTAGAGATAAAACTTTTAGATAAAAATTTTGATTTTGAAACATCTTGGGGAAAAAAAATCCTGAGAAGCAGAGGAAGCCAGATTTAAATCAATTCATTAGTAATTTTATAAATAGAAGGATGACACAAAGATAAGTAAATGAATAATATTTCAGGAAGATTTAAGTGGAAATACCATATTTGTTGTGTGTATTTGAGATATATATATACACATGCATATATACATATATATACACACACACACACGCACACACACATATATAATTTAAGTAGGTAAAAACATCAAAGTAGTTGGTTTGTTGCTGTTTTTCACTCATCCTACAACCCACTGCTTGCTGCTGGTGGAATTCAGGTGTGGAAAGTGGGGCAGTCTGCAGTATGTTTTCATTCAACGAAGGAACTTAGACTGATGGAGATTCCATCTACAAGGTCATGGGGCAGAAAGAGAGTTCCAGAGGGCCCTGTGCTGGCAATTAAATCCACCAGCTTGAAAGTCATACATGTCACTTCCACCTATAACCAATGGAAAAATGTCAACCACATATTACCACCCTGCTGCAGGTTAGAAAGGGTGCATAATCCTATGTGTTGAAAGGAGAGATTCAGATTCCTTTGAGCAATGAAGTATCTACTAAGCCTTGTCACAGCACAAAACACTAAGATGTATTCATGAAATGATTATTTTTAACTTCATTACAGACATAACCTATATACTAGAAAATCCGTGACTTTTAATAATTATTTATGTGGATAAACAAAAGAGGAACAACTTGGCCAGGCGCTTGGGCTCATGCTGGTAATCCCAGCACTTTGGGAGGCTAAGGCAGGCGGATCACTTGAGGGCACGAGTTCGAGACCAGCCTGGCCAACATGGTGAAACCCCATCTCTACTAAAAATACAAAAATTAGCTGGGCATGGTGGCAGGCGCCTGTAATCCCAGCTACTCAGGAGGCTGAGAGAAGAGAATCGCGTGAACCAGGAGGTGGAGGTTGCAGTGAGCTACTGCACTCCAGCCTGGGTGACAGAACCAGACTCCATTTTAAAAAATAAGGAATAATCTAACAAAAAAACAGAAAGTCTGGAATGTGTTTAGAATTACCCATGTTGTTCTAAATGAAGCAAAAGGTCTATTTTAATTAAGAGAGGAGAAAAGATTATGTGTTGAAAGTCTTGAAAGGCAGAGAAAGGAATATTATAACACTGTGGTTATGGCATTTTTTTACATAGAGTCCTAATGGCTACTTTTGTACATAATTCTTAATGTCGAGTTTTACCGAAGTACTATAATACTCAACAAGACACATGATTACCAGTTACTCAAATTTACATTTTATGTTAATTTTTTATTATTTGTACAAGTTAATGCCAGTTATAAAATTAGATGCTTGCCAAATAAACATTTGTGTGTGTATATACATATTCAGATTTTGATAGAATGCATAAAAATAGAAGTCAATTTTAATCTTAGCACATCCTTTCTGAGAAAACTAAAAACAGTATATTTAATGCTCTATGAGTAAAATATATTTAACTCCCCAACCCGAATATGTATAGTTAATTCTACTGATCCATAAGAACTGGCTTTATTGTGGCCTAATGATAGTTTTTATTATTGTATTTTCATAAACTTAACTGAACTTTATTTAAAAGATTATAAACAAAAAATATACTTTATTACACACAGAGGGAGGCTGCATATTCATAACTTGAAGGCCATCAAAGTGAATAATTTCATATTCAAATTTTCAGGTTTTGTCTATTCATTAAAATATAAACCATCTCAAAATCAGCTACTAAAAGTTTTATTCACAAGCTATTTAGAATACTGTAATATTTGTGCTAAAAGAACCATGAAAAGAATCTAATTAATTAAATTAATTTGCATTTGAGCAAATTTAATTAATTGTATAATTCATCACGTTTTCCGTTATTTTAATACTGACTTTTTTAATTTAATGAATAAATGAATGAAAAGAGGATGTTTATATGTACACAGTTCCATGTTCAAGAACTTGTATTAACAGTAGATGACAACATTCTCATTAGACAGACTAAACAAAATGATTTATACTTGTTTTCTTATGAAAATGAAGCATACTGATAAATAAAATTAGACTGATTTTGGTTTAACCATCATCTAAGAGTGATCTAGTCACCTCATACATGTTTTCTTTTAATCCACATTACAGTCCTTTGAGGTATTATTATAAATATTATATTCTTATGAAAGACAATTTTGTCATACTATTTTTACTTAAGGACTGTTTATTCAAATGTTCACTGAATATCACCGTTTTCCTTTTATAGTTTAAAAATTTTATTTCTTACCCCTTATTTTTGGAACCATTCCACTTATGTTTAAAAAGGCTATCCAGTTCACACTATATTACTTCTTCCCTGACTTTTCCACTTTTAAAAGCCTTTGAGGAATCTTCAAAAGCAACCCACAACATCCTTTAAAAAATAAGTATGAGACAATCAACTAATAGAGTAAATATGAACTCCTATGTGAAAATTTTAACAGTACGATACGATTTAAGAATACATGTTGTAATTGAAGTGATGTGACTACAATATATCAATAGTATTCTTCATTAAAATGATTATATATAACACTTGCATGGTCTTTTAAAATTATAGATGACTGCCTTTCAATTATACCATCTAGACATTAGAGGGAAGATTCTATTTCTCAAATATTCTTGGAAATCCTTATTTTGAATTATACTTGAAATTGATGACAAATATTTTGGACCCTTCAGGAATTATCTTATTTTTCAAACAGCTATAACTCCTCTAGAATTAAGTCCGATGAAAAACACTGTCTTATTCTTTTTAAAATATGGTAATTATTTTCCCTAGACTAAAAAACTGTTACTGAAGGTAATTTCAAAAGAGAATTGTAAGGTTAAAATACCAGAAATAGCATATATGCAAAATTATTGTGTCAATCTTATTCTCATTTAAAATACTAAGAGAAAATGATTTTATATAATTTAAAACTTGGTTAATTTGAGAATACACAAACTGTTAATAATGAATGACAAATACAGAGGATAATCAATTTTATCCATTTACCCTTCTATCACAAATGAGAAAATGTTGGTTATATATCCTAGAAAATTAATCAAACCAGTTTTTGTCTTTTTTTTTTTTTTTTTTTTTTTTAGCTTTGAGGTGGAGCTGAAAATTTATGACGGTCACAAATTAAATTATTCTGGAATTAATGATTTTCTCCTCCAGGTCAAAAAATTCCTCTGACTTATAAAAGGTGTAGATTAAATAGAGGAGCCATTTTGAGTATAAATAATACTATCTCCATATAAAATTTGTTTCTTTCAAATATGAAGCCTTCCACCAACGGCCTGTATGACTCATCTGGGGACTTCTGCTCTATACTCAAAGTGGCTTAGTCACTGCCAATGTATTTCCATATGAGGGACGATGATTACTAAGGAAATATAGAAACAACAACTGATCTTCACAGACTTGGAAGTGTAGTAATGGCACACTTCTTCAATCACATGGCAATCTAGGTGAATACAAGATAATAACTGGCCCCAGTGTCCATGACGCCTACATGAACATCCACACATGTTCCAGTGACTGTCATTTGAAAGAAGCAAGCAAAAACAGAGCCACCTTTTTAGAAGACTGAAACAATATTAGCATGGCCTTTAGTACTATTTTATGATACTCTATAACTCAGGTAGTATTTTTTTAAAATAACATTATTCATTAAACTAAAATTTACATATAACTTCATTTGATCTAATGACAAATGTTGACTAAATCCAATCTGAATGTTTGCATATCTCATAACCCGGTATCTTTAAAGTCTGATCTTCGAATTTTGAGACAAAATAAACATGAAATCTTTATAGTCCATTTAAAATCTTTGTCGTTTTAATAAAATTTTAGAAATATCTTTTAAATGCCTTTCTACCTCTAGGGAGAAATCGAGTAAGATTTTATCCACGAAGTCAAATGCCAAATGATTAAAAAATCCTCATCTCAAATTCCAGACCCCCATTTTTTTTTCCAGTTGTCAATCCCTTTTTAATTTGCTGTGAACAGTACTGTCAGCCTGTTTTGGAAGCTATTTTAATTTAAGATTATCTCTCTTCTTCAACCTTTGAATGGCCTGTCATTTGTTATACGCATCATAAAAGCTAGCCAAGTGCACTTCTGATTTCCAGCTGTCAATTTATAGAGGCACTGAATTTTGCACACATTCTTTTTCATGTCTTCCCTCTGGGTTTCCTTTTAATTTTTTTTTTAAACAGTAAATTTTTATTTGTATTCCCTACTAAACAGTAAGAAAAAATAAAGCAATAACTGGATTTTTTGCAAATCCCTGAATATTCTTATTCCATAATAGACTAAAAAAAATCACAATATTTTCTTTAAACATTGTGCCTAGGTAATTGTGAAAACCAAATGGAAATGAAGAAAATCTAGTATTGTAAAATACTTGAGCTCCTTCTTAAGAAAAGGCACTGAGAAATATCAGCTCTGAGAAGTACTTGTGGAAAAATATATGATATGATATTCCTTTCTGACTTATGTGCACACACTAGACAGTGTGCTAGGATTTATGTGATCTGCATGTGGGCATTGTTCTCCTAATTAGATAGAAAACATGGGTTCAATACCAAGATTAACCATATATGCTGACATAGATTCTTAAAAACTTGAAGTACTCTTAACTCACTGAATGTCCTCCATGAGGCTTTCCTAAGAACAGCAGAATTTCCTTTGGCTGTTTCTTATATATTTGGCCAAATATATAACATGAGATAAATTTGTAATGAAATATAGTACAAGAGATACAGAGTAAAACATTAAAAACTATCCAACATTTTATGCCTTGATTTTGGCAGACTTAGTAGTGTCTACTAAGGCTGGCATGAAGCATGTAAGATTCAATCATTCTCCTGTAGTACCCTAGGTAGTTCTGGGGAGCAAATCCAAAATGCTCCCAGGGCCATGGAAGGAATGGACAGGAAGTTTTCACATACAACAGAGATGTGTGTTGCCTGGGTCAAAGGAACCAGAAAAAAACAGAAATCCAAAACAAAGAGTCAGCATAAACTAGCTACAAGGCCCGCCATCTACCCAGCCCTGCCCTAAGTTATCCAGACAGGTAACGACTAACCATCCTTGTTCTTCCCTTCCTCTCTCTGCTTCTCCCTAGTTTGGGCAAAATTCAAAGAGCAGCTATCAAAGCCCAGCCTCCACTGAAGGCTTCCATTAGCTCTTCACTAAGGTAGGGAAGAGGAGTTAACACTAACACAAATTTGGAAATTTCACTATTACAATGAAAATAAACTTTTTTTTTTTTTTTTTGAGACAGTCTCGCTCTGTCACCCAGGCTGGAATGCAGTGGCACAATCTCAGCTCACTGCAACCTCCACCTCCCAGGTTCAAGCCATTCTCCTGCCTCAGCCTCCCGAGTAGCTGGGATTACAAGCACACATCACCACACCTGGCTAAGTTTTGTATTTTTAGTAGAGGCAGGGTTTCACCATGTTGGCCAGGCTGGTCTCGAACTCCTGACCTCAGATGATCCGCCCGCCTCTGCCTCCCAAAGTGCGGGGATTATAGACATTAGCGTCCGCGCCCAGCCGGAATTTCTTAATTGAGACATTTTTATTGAGATTGTTTTTATGTCTAAAGGTAATCTAGATCATTTTGTTATTTTGAATCTCCAGGAAAGTCATCCTTATCCAGGGTCACTCACTGAAAAGGTTTAATAGGCTATCAAAATAAAGTTGGATTTTCACAACAAACCACGTCACATTTGTACAAAGTGATTCATACAGAAAGCAAAGTGAGTTATAAATGGTATCAAATTTAGAATATGCCCATTTCTTAATATACAGCTATCTGAAAAAGTGATTATGTGAATTAACTGAAACATACTTGTGAGAGGTAAATGTTACATAGTCACATACATATATGAAAAATATTGGGTAAAACAAATTTTATTTATTCCTAGCAGAATTTCTTTGACCTTTTAAGGGTTAGTGTGTACTATGAACCTCCAAAGAAGTAGCTATAAAGTATAGCTACTTACAGATATCCTCATATCTGCATGTACTCAATGAAAGAGAAGGATTCCTCTTCATCGTAGAAGGCCACCAACCCTTTCAGATTGAGGCCCGCTTTTGTGACCTCATTTAATCCTAATTACTTCTTAAAGTCCCTACCTCCAAGTATCACATCACATTGGAGGTTAGAGCTTCAACATATAAATTGGGGATGGAGGGAACACAATTCAGTCTAAAGCAATTTACAATATCTATAAAGCTATTACTAATTGGTCTGCTGTTCTGTGATCTGAAATGAATTAAAAAACCACTATCTATATGATAAGAATACTGTATCTTTGGCATTTGGGTTGATAAGTAGTCAATATTCTCTTATCAGAAAGTCAATAGTATATTGTTCTCTATGAATATGCATGTATTACATAAATGTTATTTTAAAAAGATAGTGAAAGTAAAGGCCATCTTTACCTCAGAAGTAGAATTGTTTCTCTTTGTGCCAAACTTATTAATTATGGTCAAATTAGCCTAGCTTAAAATTTATATTCTCTAACTCAGGCTTGTCCTCAATGTCTTATGATGTTCTTACCATTTCCCTGCTCGCACCTAATGAGAAACAATGTTAATTATGTAAGCTAATCACTTTATTACAATAGACAATCACTTTGTTACAGAAGCAATTGTACTTTTTAAAAAGTGCCCTTTCTTAGCACTTAATCAGATTTCTGGTTGCATGAGTCAGAATCAAGACTTTATAATTTAAATAGCTCTTTAAAAGAAAAAAGGAAAAGCTACTCTGCTAATATCAGAACCATGACAACATTTTACTGAAAGTTCTTTAAAAACATTCACTTTTTTAGTCATTTAACATACAACTCTATATATTATATATAATGATGTACTTTCCAGAATTAAAGAACCCTTTTTTTTGCAAATTATCTGGTTTTAAAAAATCAATAAACACAAAACTTAAGAAGGTCCTACTGATGAAAACTCTTTTATGATTCTATTGTGATCCAGATTCACACTTGTGACAAATACCAAGCATAGAAAACAATTACCCTGAAAAATACCAGTGGGTTGGAAGTGTAGTGGATTTTTCAGCTCTTCATCTGAGCACTAGATATGTTAGGAAATTTGTCACGGTGAGGATATTCATATATGGCAGCTCATGTAAGTCATGTCCTGTTAGACTAATCAGCAATTTTAACAAGAATGAGTCAGCATCCTGTAAAATTTAGAACAATTGGTTGAAAGCCTGTTTTGATTTCTACCATGGTAACAATGAAACTATCAAATAAAAAAATATTTTTTGGAATTATTTGACTGTTGTTCATGAAACAAGTTTGGTATGGTTTAGATTGGAGGAACATGGTAATATTTTGAGTTAGTGAGAAAAATTGTTCTGTTTTATTCATCTTAACTTTGCTATTTGGGGATTTAAAAATAGGAAGACAGAAGCATTTCCTATTAGATAGATTCCTTGCATTACTTACTGCATGCAATCCTCACTGCACCCTAACAAGGTATATTCACCTCCTTTGATTGTAAAGAAGTTGAATATGTAATTCAGCAATAAAGCCAGGACTTGCATCCACTTCTGTTAGGTTCTATATTCTTGTCCATGATCCATAGCTAAACCCTGATGAAGTGAATGACGTCGTTTTTTACCCCAGGATTGTACATGTTTAAAATTCTAGCGTTTGGAGGCTCAGATTTTTTTGTATAAATGTGTTATTTCAGCCTACCTGTCCATCATACCTCCTGTTCTTATACCTTTTATGCCTATTCTTATCAACATAGTATCCAATGTCCACAACTTTTTCATAAAGATGGAAAAGATTACAAAATTCTTCCTCCAGAAAACATCCCGCAGCTTTCCATTTATGTTATGGATTGGATGTTTGTATACTCCCAAAATTCATATGTTGAAGCCCTAACCACCAATGTGATATTATCAGGAGATGGGGCTTTTAGGAGGTAATTTCCATGAGGTCATGAGTGTGGAGCACCTACAATAGGATTAGTGGCCTCATGAGAAAAGAGCTTGCTCGCTCTCTCTGCTAGTGCAGAAGAGGTCATGTGAGGACACACTGAGAAGACCCAGGAAGAAAATTCTTACTGGGCACCAACCTGCACCTCGATCTTGGACTTCCTAGCCTCCAAAACTGTAAGAAATACACGTCTGTTATTTTAGCCTATCTGTCTGAGATAATTAAGACAATCTCAAAGTAAATATCAGAGTCTTTGCAATCGTCCATAGGGCTGTGGCTGACATGGCGTCTGCTGCTACCCCTGCTCCCCGTTCGCTTGCTAACTCTGCTCTGGCCACAATGGTCTCCCTGCTGATTATGAGCCCACCATGCTCCTGCCTGAAGATCTTTGAGTTTTCTGTTTCCATGGCCACAGCCTTCTTACACAGGTGATTTTTATGGCTCACTTGCTCACAAACTACAGACTTCAATTACAAAATTGCCTTAGCCACAAGGCCTTCTCTATCTACCCATTATAAAATTTCACTCTTCTCTCTTAACCCAGGCACTATCATTAACCTCTTCTCTATTTTTATCGAGAGCACTCATTACACTACGATATACACTATTATTTTAATTGTTTGTTTTACACTCCACTCCCCTCCAATAGAATGCAGGCTCCATGAGTACAGAGAATTTTGACCATTTAGTCAGTGCTATATTCCCATTATCTGGAAAAGTACATGACATACTAGGTCCTTAATAAGTATTTGCTAAATGAAGAAATGTGTTAAAGGCAAAATAAAGAGAACATTTAATATTTTTCATTCCTATGATATATATTTTAACATACATATATATTTGAAGTTAGTTTTAATTAATAAAATTTCACTTGATGATTGACTGCTTCTGAGGTAATTAAATGGTAATACCATGTCTAAAAAAGCTATTTTCCTAGTTATGATGAACTTTTCCTTGATATATATATATACACACACATATATATATGTCTGGGTATATATATATATATATATATACGTGTATATACGCATACACGTATATATATTCATATATATGTGTATATATGTATATATATATTCATATATGTGTATATATGTATATATATATTCATATATGTGTATATATGTGTGTATATATATATATATATTTTTTTTTTTTTTTTTTTTTGAGACAGGGTCTCACTCTGTCACCCAGACTGGAGTGCAGTGGCACAATCATAACTCACTGAAACCTCTGCCTCCTGGGCTCACATGAACCTCCAACCTCTGCCTTCCAAGGAGCTGGGACTATAGGCGCATGCCAGCACCCAAGGCTGTTTTTAAAATTTGTTTAGAGAGACAGAGTTTCACTATGTTGCCCAGGCCAGTCCCTAACTCCTGGGCTCAATCGATCCGCCCACTTTGGTCTCCCAAAGTGCTGGGATTACAGGCATGAGCCACCACACCAGGAGGAGCTTTCTATTCCAATAAAAGATAGTAACAGTTTTTATCAAGGTATAATTACAAAATAGATATTTTTCTTAACACATATAAATATAATCCATATTATTTTGTTATTGAAATCACAGAACAAATGTGATTTACTTTCTAACATATTGTTTTTTAAACTAATCCATCAATAAATCAAAATATTTGTTAAATAAAATATGCCAAATACAGGTCAAAATATTGTACACTTCCAAGTTAACTAATATATATCAACTACTATAATCAATATAGTTTGAAAGAAGATAATATTTCAGAAACAAAATCATTATAAGAAAAAATAAATATTAACTCTATAGTTTCTGCCTAATATCATTTTTCATTAACTTTTAAAAAATCCACTTTGGTTATAAACCAATTACATCCTAAGTAATCTACCCTACACATATTAATCATTGTAAGTAACATCAAATAATCATATATCTCTCGTGGATTGCATTTCCTTTAAATCATCTGTTATCCAAAGAATAATTTCACTCTTTAATTTCAGTATTTTAAAGTTGCTCTCACGTCTTCTCATTATTTCAAAGCTAATTACAAAGAATAACATTATACACCAGAACTGAATGGTCTACCAAAACCATGAACAAGTTTCCCCTCTTACAAAATATATTTGATGACGCAGTATGACAAGCTAGTATCACTCCACTGAAGTATTTTCACTGAGACTATAATTTTCTCAAAAATATGCAGATACAGACTTTAGAGCACAACTATTCCATCTGAATCAAGCCTTTTGCCCAAGAACACCAAACACCTTAAAGAAGCATTGTTTTCCTCTGCCTTTTATACAACTATCAGATCTATGGATTTAGCCTGATTTATGTACAGCATGCCAGTCAACTTGAATACTAACTTTTTTACTCTGTTAAAGGTATACTACCCACACTGGTTCTTGGAGTAACAACAAAATGGGCTGTTTACAACAGCTAAATGTAAACTATTAGCAAGTGGTGGACCTTGTTGGAACAGATTAGTTACTAAAATTTACAGGAGATTATGCAATTGTCCAGAAAGACTGCAAGCACCTTTTTCCTCTGCAATTTTGACACTGATGTCATCTAAGATACAGCGGCTATATCTTTTAAGATAACACAATTGAATATCAAGATAAGTTACAAGGATAATGTCAGTGATTATTAGCTTAAATTACAAAAATCAAGCACTTTTAGTAAAGCATATGAGACATCAAAAGATAATACAACTCATGAAAATTGTCTTCTTTTATCAAAATGAAGATATCTTCATGATAAAAGTATGTTAGGTATTTTTACTTCTAAAACGTAAATAATAATTGCCTTACTTAAATTATAGGGTAAGTATAAGGACAAAAGTATCTGGTCCCTGAAAGCTTTATGCAAGTTGGGGTTTCTTCCTATTATTTTCCCTCATTAATGTTATTCTTATAGAAATATAATTATACAAAGAACTATCAATACAAATTTCCATTTAAAATAATTATACAATATTCTATGAAGACAGCCCTACATTGAGTCTAAAGTGATTCAAAAATTAATAAAGTTCTGAGATTAAAAACAAATTAACTCAGAATATTCAGCCCTTGTTTTTACTAAGTTATATGCTTGTCTTGTATAATTCTAAGCAGATAAATTAGATCTGAAAATTAAGTATGGTTTGGGTGTCCTCTAAAAGAAAAGGAGCAACCAGTGAAATTCTCAAAAATGGAGATTTTGAGATGGGGCTCTAATTAAATACAGTACTCTAAAACTTTAAATATATCATTGAGCAGAAATAATCACATTTCAATTCAAGGGACTTTAAAAAGTAATCATCTTTGTGAAATTAGAACACGAGGTTTCTTATGAGAGTGTAGCTACACAACTGTCTTAAAATGAAAAAGGCTGTTTCCTTCAGTTAAGCCTTCAATTAAAGTGCATTTTCATATTCATTAAACTCAGAAGCCGAGAACAATCCTCTAAATCGGATATGTTCCCACACACCACATGAAGAATACTGGTAATTATTAAATTTTCCAGATCTTGTGGACATTTCTGATTTCATTCCTGTCATTTATTCATGCAGCTTATAACATTGGACATGAATTTTAAAGGAGTACAGGCCAGGAAAGGTTAGAGTCTTACTGATGAGATTTCAGCAAAGATGAAGATGCCAATATTAAGATGAATGGGACTAAATAAATAATCCAAAGACAGAGCTTCTTTTAATTATGACATATCCCAAAGAATGCCTATGACTTCTGAAAACATATTAAATATTTTATTGATTCTCAAAATGTTAAGTTGTATTCTCTGAGACTATTAAAATTATCTGTAGCTATTTACAAATAGTTTATTTTAAATTGGAAAGAAAAACATTGTTTACACAAATTAATTTGTGTATGTAAATTGTAGCATACTAAGATATATGTATGCCTATGTAAACATTTTTAAAAAAATTTTTTAAAAATTTACGTTCAAATTTGTGAGTCAGATTTCATATTTGTTCTAGCATACAACAGATGGATGCTTAAGTTATAAAGTGATTTCAACTCAGTAAAGGAAGCAAAAGAGTAAGAGAATGCAGATTCTAATGCAAAGTAAGTATCTTACTGCCTCCTGTGGACAATTCTGGCTCACATATAACCAAACAATAACCTATAAACTTGTCCAGACAATCTGTCTTGACTACCAATACTAGACAGAGAACATTAAAGTAAAGAGGGCCGGCGTGGGGGCTCACGCCTTTAATCCCAGCACTTTAGGAGGCCAAGGCGGGTGGATCACGAGGTCAGGAGTTTGAGATCAGCCTGGCCAACATGGTGAAACCCTGTCTCTACTAAATACAAAAAAACAAACAAAAAAAATTAGCCGGGCATGGTGGTGCATGCCTGTAATCCTAGCTACTCAGGAGGCTGAAGCAGGATAATTGCTTGAAGCTGGGAGGCAGAGGTTGCAGTGAGCTGAGATTGTACCACTACACTTCAGCCTGGGCAAGGGAGTGAGACTCCGTCCCAGAAGAAAAAAAAAAAAAAAAAAAGAAACAGAAGAAAAGGAAGTAAAGAGAAAGCAGCTAGTGTTCTGGCCACACCACATTTATTTCAGGCACACTGGTTTTGGCTTTAACTTCTTTTACACATCAGTCTTCTACGTAAATACATGTTGTAAACAAAATGTTCATAGAGCAAAGCTATTAGAAAATCACTGACTTAAAATATCTTGTGGACATTTATAAATTACTAAATTTAGAAATAAAAAGCCTCCCAGATATCAACAATACAAAACCCAATCATAAAAGATTTCTAATAAATGAACAACATTCAAGTTGGCTTCAGTTTTCTTCAACAGAGTAACGCAGGTTGAAAAGCAGTGCCATGATGTACAGAGTACTGACAAAAAATATTTTGACTCAAAGCTTCTATACCCAGCCAGTTTTTCTTCCAATTGGAATTCAATAGAAAGATACAGAAGGAGATTATTATTTTGTTAACATATCCAACAAACAACAGGTGATAGATCTGAAACTAAAGTGGAAAATATATTATTCAAAAATTGAGAAACATAACCATATAGCTTAGCATTGTCTGAACAGTTAGAATAATGACAAAAACAATTACAAATATCAAAAGTAACTACAGAAAAATAATACAATGGTCAAAGAAAAAATATTAATATATGAATCCAAATCTCAAGTGATTTTAAAAAGGGCTTGGAATTAATAGTCTCAGTTGTATTGTAAAGAAGTTAAATTATGTTTAAGGCTCATGTAAAAAGAAACTATATCTATACACACACACACATATATATACACATACAACGTTTCTATTATTATATGTAATTATAGGTTTAAAATCAAAGAATTGATAGGATGAAAACAGTGGTACTTTTAAAACACTTAAAAGGAGAAACAAAATAAAATAATTTGATCAAAGATAAAATTTATAATAAAAAGAATCATATATGCATTAAAAATTGTTTTTAAAACCAATAATCTCAAAGTGAATAAAAAAAAAAAGCTCATATACAATGTGAGTCCCTTAATCTTGTGAGTCTAAATAAACTTTAACTGTAAATAATAACAACAACAAACACTTACATAGCACTTACTATGAGCCTGGCACTATTATGAGAATTTAAATACATTAAACTTGCTTTATCCTCAAAGGACATTTCAGGATACTAATCTTATCTCCATTTTACAGATGAGAAAATGCCTACTCAGAAATTTGAAGGATTTGCCAGAGGAAATAATACTGCTAAAATTTAAATTTGGACACAGGTAGTCTGGTTCCAGAACCCAGGCCATCTGGATAATCTGGATTCCAAATACACTCTACCGCGTCTCAATTAAGAGGAATACAAGAAACACGTTCTTTACAATCGCAAGCAGTTCTTTCCCCTTACCCTTTACTATGTGAGAAGGCAGGGAACGAGGTGCAGGATGGGGTGGAGGGATGGGTTAAAGAATAAATAATATGGAAGACCAGGGATATGACTGAACAAATACCCTGTTTCTGGTCACAGTTCATTCTCAGACATGATAGAGCTGTCTTTTGGAAAATTCCTAGTTAGAATTCTCAGGCTCTGCTCTGATTAATGCAAAGCGTGTCTCTAAAAAACAACACCTGCGCAAGCTTCCGCCACTATTTTCCTAAACACTTTTTTTACCCCATCCCTTTTTCACAGGGAAGCCTTCTCCAACCAATATTTCCAGTCACAGCTTTTCTAGTTTTTAAGGTCTCTTCCTTTTACCCAAGCACTTCTTTTGGCTGGAAGCCCACAATACATTGAGAGGAAGGTACTCTTTACCTATATCCTAGGGTAAGGCAGAAAAACACAGACCGGGAGGGAAAAAGAGAGAGAGACTGACAGACATGAGAAGTCATAAGAACTGGAAAGAATCTGAAACATACAATTTTCTCCCTTTACCCATTTATGCAAGAATATTTTTGCATGTGTGTATAATACAGCTGCACAGTTTTGGCTTTTGACAAATATATCTATATACTTTGTAAGTTATGGGTGGCAACTGGGAAAGCAGAATTATTTACCAAACATTAAGTTAGAAGGACCACTCCATGGATGCAGGCTGTCCTACAAATATTCGTTTAGTGAGGGTATACTCACATAAACTGTTCATGAAAATCAGATTGATTCTTTCACATAAATCAGAGTTTACCACAGACTCTTATATGACAAACAAAACAATGTCACATTTGCTCTTTTTTTTCCCCCTCAAACATGGGAAACATAAGACAGGCGAGAGCATGGTATTCCAACAGATGTTAACATTCTTTTACTTACAGCCCTCATAGATGTCAGTAGGAATATGGACTGCTGCGTGCTGATAAGATATTTGTCGTCCAAAATTAGCATCTTCAATGAAAACAGGTTTTATCCTCTGGCTGCCTGGCTCACTGTCATTTTTCTCAGGCTATATAGAAAAAGAATAAACAGAATATTACAATTTTTGCTAACATAAATATTTTCACATGCACTTCTTTACTTGCCAAATGCATATTTTTCAAAAAATAAATCTACAACAATTGTTTAAAATATAGTACCTTGATAGCATTGGATACACAAATTTCCATTCAGGTATTAGCACTCACAGTATATCTTTATTGTATTATTCACATTATAACTAACCACTCTCCTGATTTCCTCAATGTTGGAGTCATTCAGGATCATCTTTGGGGGACGAGGGAGACCAGACTTCCACACATATAATACTTATTAAGATGTAAACTTAAAGAATTGGATAGGCCAGGCCCAGTGGCTCACGCCTGTAATCCCAGCACTTTGGGAGGAAGAGGGGGGCAGATCACTTGAGCCCAGGAGTTCTAGACTAGCCCAGGCAACACGGCAAACCCTTGTCTCTATGACAAATAACAGAAAATTAGCTGGACATGGCAGCACAGGCCTGTAGTCACAGGAGGCTTTAGGTCAAAAGATCGCTTGTGCATGGGAGGTTAAGGCTGCAGTGAGCCATGATCACATCACCACACTCTAGCCTGGGCAACAAAGTGAGACCCTGCCTCAAATAAATAAACAAACAAACAAACAGACAAATAAAATAATAAGAAACTAGAGAGGTGCCTTTAAATACAACCTAACTAATATTATCCACTTGAAATAAATTTCACAATTTATTTAACTAAATTTATATTGTGCAGTTGAAGATGATTCTTTGACAAATAATGGTACACGTGACAGAAATAATATGGCAATGAAGGATTATTTAAATCTCATCCTCTTGCTTTTTGCATGTTTTTCAGGTATATCAATTTTTGTTTTAAAAAAGAAAGTATGCTAGGAAAGAAGCGATCTATTCTAACTCTAAATACAATTAAATCCTAATTTCAACCAATTTGACTCTTGAGGCAGGAATGAAGATCCAATCAATAATGATTCAAGAAAACCCCTCAGGAGTCTCAAGTCAAAGATTAATTTTCTATCTATTGGAACTATACTTTTGATACTGAATTACCTGGTTGCCTTCCCCTGGTAACAAACTAAGAATTTCATTCATTTATCCAAAATGCATCTATAACATTTTTTGATATTTGTGTTAAACTTTTTTTGTTCAGTCAAAACAGGTTTTAACTCTACCCTAACTGTATTTGTTTTTAAATGATATGAAGTTTAAAAATTACGAGTTAAGTAAAAGTGAAAAGAGAAAAAATCCTATTTGTTTTGGGTAGAAACAGGTAGAGGGAGAAATGAATGGATGTATACATAGCAAGTGTTACCAGTATTATTCCTGGCTTTGCAATTTTAAGAAATAACTTGTGCTTTCTGGTTTTTCCAATAATACAATGAGAATATATTATATTTGTGATAAGAATAAACTATTAAGGTTTAAGTCTTTTCTATTAATATTATAAAGCTTGTCTTACATAAAAATTACTTCTGTTTCCTCTGAATCCTCTCACACTTAACAATTAGCAGTTTTAAATTCATCTTATGGAGGCTCTTGCTCTTTTAAATAACCATATAAATGGCTTTTAGAAATAACTTTAAAATAATAACGTACTTCTCAACTTGTAAAATCATGTATCAAGACTCCTTAAGGTACAATTGTTAAACATATTTTAAAAAAGAATAATAGTGCTATTTCCATGGTTCTCCTTTTCTAGTTTATATAAATTAAAATAACTTCATAAAAAGATGAGAATTTCTCAATTGAACTCATTTATTATCTTTAAGCTACTGGAAACTACTGTTCCTTATACCATCATACTCCATGTCTTTACTTATCTTTATATATTATGGCAGTATATTTTTAATTGAAATACAGTAAATATTATATACAAAGGACCTGACTTTTATGAAAAAGGCTACTTAACACAGAATGTCTCATGTAGTAATTAACTATTTCAAATAAATTCTCCCTCTGAAACAAAGAATTCCAGTTCTTCAGAACACATACAAGAAAGAACATCTATGTCTCCTTCCAGTGTTTTCTTTTCAAAATATATCTTCTGAAGTCTACAGACCACCATATACAAATGTGTACAGAGAAAATGAGCAAGTGGATTCTGAAATATATTCAAATGCATTTGATAAAACGAAACTGACACATGAAATGCATAATTCTCAGACTATTCTTCTCAATATAATTTCAGCTATTAAATAATAGATTAGATCACTCAGAGACAGAGATACAAGCTAATGTTGGATGAGGAGGTCATTCAATTTTACAACCAGTGCATATTAGCAAATTTAATTTGGAAAGTCATAATGATAATTCTTTGACAGGTACAAAAAGCTCTTGCAAATTTAACATATTTGTCTCACCCTTAGAACTGATATTTATAAAAAGCATTGATTTTTAATATTTTGTTCTTTTTCATGTTAACTTAAAAAATATTCCTACTTATAGCAAAATATTCAAAAATTAAAGTCTATATATTTTACCTAAATTGCAATGGAAATTTACTTAACTATTTTGCACAATTCAGATTTGCAAACTGATAAACTTTGCTTGCAATCATACTATGGCTACGTTTATGTCCCCAGTTCTGTATTATTTTTGTGTGCCACAAAGTTGTAAAATAATTAGTTGATATAGAATAAAATGGCTCACTAAAACTCTCTATGGAAGTATCACAATTTGTATTTCTATCTCACTAGTAAAGGAGTTAGATCAACAGTCTTGGCTAGGTCCAGTGGCTCATGCCTGTAATCCCAGCACTTTGGGAGGCCCAGGCTGGACAATCACTTCAGGCCAGGAGTTCAAGAACATCCTGGACAACATAGTGAGGCCCTCATCTCTACAAAAAATTTAAAAATGAGCCTGGCATCGTGGTATGTTCCTATTATTTCCAGCTATTCAGGAGGCTGAGACATGAGGGCCTTGAGCCCAGGAGTTTGAGGCTGCAATGAGCTATAATTATGCTACTCCACTCTAGCCTGGGTGACAGAATGAGACTGTGCACGCACGCACGTGTGTCTGTGTGTGTGTGTGCATGTGTGTAGGATCCTGTGTGATGAAACAAGCCTTGCATGCAATTCTCCAATATGTATGTATGTACGTATATTTTCAAATTTCAATCTCTAAATACATCCTGGTTTTTTGTAGTTTTTGTACAGTTGTTATTTACATTAGGGCTTGCAGCTTTTACAATACAGATATTACTGATTTTAGAATTTTTTAAAGTCTCGATTACTATCCTCAATATCAATTTTGGATATGTAATATGCCTTAAGGCATGGCATCACGGTCCAATGTAAAGCATTATCAAAGATAGGATGTGTTATATTTAAGGTGGACTTTCATACAGGCATCAAGTCTGAATATTCTGGCATACTGGGATACTGGATCAACACTATGGATTAAAAAGTAAAGTTTAGGCCAGGCATGGTGGCTCACACTTGTAATTCTGGCACTTTGGGAGGCCAAGGCAGGTGGATCACGAGGTCAGGAGTTTGAGACCAGCCTGGTCAACATGGTGAAAACCTGTCTGTACTAATAATACAAAAATTAGCCGAGTGTGGTGGCACATGCCTGTAGTCCCAGCTACTCGGGAGGCTGAGGCAGGAGAATCACTTGAACCTGGGAGGCAGAGGTTGCAGTGAACCAAGATTGCACCACTGCACTCCAGTCTGGGTGACAGAGCGAGACTCTATCTCAAAAAAAAAAAAAAAAAAGAATGTTTAAACATTACTTTAAACATTACTTTTTAATATACAGTATTACATTACTCTGTTATGGCTAGTTCAGCATTGGAATTTAAGCATCCTGTGCTGCTCTGCTAATTAAAGATTGTTACCAGGTCTGACTCACACAGAGGAAAAGCCTTGTGATTTTTTGTTTGTTTGTTTGTTTTGTTTTGAATCAGGATCTTGCTCTCTTCCCCAGCCTGGAGTACAGTGGCACAATCATGGCTCACTACACCCTTGAGTTGCCAACCTCCTACCTACCTCAGCCTCCAGAGCTGCTGGGACTACAGGTGCATTCCATCATACCCACCTAGGTTTTTTAATTTCTATTGTTCAGAGCCAGTGTCTTGCTATGCTGTCCAGGCTGGTCTCAAACTCCTGGCCTCAAATAATCCTCCTGCCTCAGCCTCCTGAGTTGCTGAGATTACAGGTGTGAGCCACCACGCCCATCTTGAAAAGCTTCATTTTTGGTAAATCTCTTGGATCAATGAGAATGAAGACTCAACAGAATTGCAGGTGATGATGCCCAAATAAAGAATGAATAGAAAGAGGTGTGGAACTTTCATCCAGTCAGTTGTTCTAAGTCAAGTTGGAAGGCCAGGTTGAATATTAAATGATGAATCTAGTACAATGACAATAAGAACATAACTGAGCCTTCTGATTTCATTGATTTAAGCTGCTATTTTCTCCTATGACTTAGAGAAGTATTTGGTAGATGAATAGATTTAGAAAGTGTATGAGTTGGATGACACTGAATATGCACTTAAGGACTTACACATAATATTTGTACTTTTACTGAATCATAACAAAAAATAAAATTTTGAAATTATGTATTTAATGAATAGAAATATTGTTCTTGCAAAAAAACATATGAGCTTAGGTAATATATTTGATGAAGAACAAATTATTTTATGGATTCAGAAGATTATGCCCATTCTTCAGGTAATAAAAATATTGTAACTCCTTAGATTTACTCTGGAAAAACTGTAGCATTGATTCTTCAGAAGCAATTTATTTAACATACTAAGAAAAGAAAGTTTTAAAATTAACATGAAAAGTAAATTTATAACATCAGTGGCGAAAGAAAGGTGAAGAAACAATTCTAGTTTTTAAAGATTAGATTCAGTGTAAAGTCTTCATGTATTATTCTACTAATAATTATGATGTATAAAAGAGAAGAAACAGTCTGAGATATGTAGATTTTGGGGAAAAGTGAAATCACAAAGCAGCTGAAATTGAGCAGTAACAAAAAGAAAGTTAAAAAACACTGTAGGGAATATTAAAACAAAGAATATATAAATTTTCCAAATGACAGTGAAAGATAAATTAGAACTAAATTAAGTTAAAATGCAATACTGATCCCTGCAATAACTTGTTTATTAAATTTAAAAGACAAAATTGACATTCTTCAAATAAGATTAAAGTCGCTGATGAGGATTATAATGATGCATTCAAAAGATCTGAAATACAGAACCTGAGGACATCCTTGAAATAAAACTGATGTAATTTTAGTTTGCATGATGAATAAATTTAGTTTGCATGAATGCCCATGAATTGCCTATCACAAGACCTAGCAGGGAGTAAGGCGAGCCATTAGCAATACAATACAGTTGAGTATGATGGAAAAGAGTTGGAGGCTGATTTAAATTCCATATGTAGTATGAAGTTTTCAAATATCCAGCATCAGAAAGGGATGTAATACAGTGCTACAAAAGTATACCCATATCTACACATTATATCTAAATATGTAACCTATATTTTGGGAAGAGAGTGATATTTATCTTCTGCTCAAGGATTGTAAAAGGCACTATGTGATTTTTACAGAGTCTGAAAGTTCAACATAGCACTCCCCATGGAAACCATGTAGTAGCATGCATTATATTATAAAAGGAAATGTTTTAAATGAAGTCATTCTACTTCTAAAAAATTAAAAGAATTTTTTATATTATGATACACAAATATACTTTTCAAAATATTGCCAGGGCAAATGAGGTTTAAAACAACCTACCACCTTGAAAGGTACGAAGATCAATGATATTCTCTTGATACCTGAGGCAAAGACTGGCTAAAGTCATACAACTAAGATCTAATTTAAGAGATCACACAGTAGGACTCCAGGTTCCCACCATAAATGCCACTAATCCAGGACGACTGGGAACCCATGTTTAAACCATCTTTGCAAAAGGAGCATGTGCCCAAGTGTGTAAAGCATTAAAAATATATCAGGACAGGCTTGAAAAATTTTGGAAAGCAGCCCCAAAAACATAAGGCAGAATTCTTAGAAGACACTGAGTCTAGTCTACCTTTTTATTGGTTTTATAGTTTCTCCCCCCAGTGATTCCTGAGATGGCTACATTCCATACAGAGATGCACACATTAATTTTAAGATATTCATGGTAAACATCACTGGGAATACTGGATCAGATCAGCAGAAACTTAGGACTCAAAGTTTAACAAGCTTATACATCACCCACGTTTTATTTTGCCTACTGCAAGAACACTGTAACCTCACAACTGTCAATGATAAAATTAGTTGGATGAAATATAAGCCAAATGCATCAAAATTAAATACGGAGAGAATAATGGATAGATGTAATAAATTCAAATTTTAAATCAAAACTGTCTCCAAAATTTTACCCTTAAGTCTCAATTTACAGCAGCTCCTTCACAGGCCCTCTTCTTCCTCATAGGTGCCCACTGCCCAGGCAGCACAGCATGGTGACACAGTGTTCCAGCTCTGGATCATACAGACTGCACTGCATTCACTTCCCTACTCTGACAAATCCAAAATGTGTAGCACTGGACAAGCAGCTTAAGCTCATTAAATTTTACTTGTTTTGCCTGAAAAATAAAATAATATATGTGCCACAAAGGGTTCTCGTGAATTGTAAATGATACATAAAGTTATAGTAATAGCTAGTATATATTATACATACTTATTCTATACTAGGTAGTAAATAGACTAGGTAGTATGCTTTAAATGCTACCACTTAGTAGAGAATAAGCATATGTATATAAGCATATATCATACAATCAGTATATATATGTATATATAATATATGCTAGCTATTATTACCCAATCCAAACGTATCACATCAAAAATATTTAAACCATTTATTTTAGAAGCAAAAAGAACCAAAGCAATTATGGATACAAAGCAATTAATATTCTACCTGTATGCCATCCTATTCAAGGATTCAATATTGGCCAACATCAAAAATTGAAATAAAGATTGCAAACTGTAAGGTAATTTTTTAAATGTTAGAAAAGAAACCTATGAGGCAGGAGAATAGGGTTTAGAGGCAGGGAACCTAAGGCCAATTCATACTGATTTTCTAGAACTAAATCAAAAGGAAAACTCAACTTTCCACACCCAAGTAACAAAAGGATCACAGACTACTTCCTTTGCAAAACCCTCCACCCTCTTCCCAGGGCAGAGGCAAAATGGAAAGTACCTCTGATTGGTCCCCTCCCACAACCAATCAGACTGGTCACAGTCTTTATTTGCATAGGAGTGTAACTTTGTAACTTCACTTCAGCATCTAATTGGTCCCCTTCAGCAGCCAATCAGACTGACTGCAGGCCAAATCTTCTTCTGTAACTTCACTTTCAGCCTCTGATTGGTCACTTTCTGCAACCAATCAGAATGGTTGTGGGCCTCTACTTCATTTACACAGAGTGTAAACCAAGTAAGCAACATGAAACCTCTAGAGTGTATTTAAACTCCAGAAAATTCTATAACTGGAGCTCTTGATCCACTTGCTCAAGCCCGCTCCTACTCTGTGGAGTGTACTTTTGTTTCAATAAATCTGTGTTTTTCTTTCATTGCTTTCTGCATTTTATCCAGTTCTTTCTTCAAAATGCCAAGGACCTGGACACCCTCCACCGGTAACACCTAGACTCTGATTCTTTCTTCAATAATTAGACTTCATCAATGTTTGATACCTAAAAGTGTAAAATAAAAGTTACATACTATAAGACAGCTTTTTAAAAAAAAAATGCTAGAAAAGAAACCTAGATTTTTCCTTTTTCTTTAATAATTAGATTTCATTGCTGTTTGATGCATATCCCTACTAGCTTATTCTAGAACCAGGTTTATTTATTGCTATAAAGTAAAATATAATCATTAAAGATTGGGCACTGAAAAAGACATTTAGATAGGAGATTATGTTGGAATTAATTTTAATGTAGACAAGACTCTGCTGCTAAGAGGAAAATAAATAGCAACGTAAATATGCAAGGGAATTCAGCAGACTAGCCAAATGTCCCAGACAGGAGAAATTTTGAACATGATCAATAAAATAAAAAGGAGCAAATAAATCAACTCAATTTAATGACATGGGAATTCTAGGTTGAACTTACTTCATTTGAATTTTAGACAGATCTTGGAATTGGGTTAATAAGGCTTTGTAATGATCTGCTTTCTTTTTGCTTACTCTGGGAATTAAGAAAATAGCACAGTTTGCTGGCACAACTGAAGTCTTCTGAGGAATTTGCTTCACTAATCTTCAGGGAATTTAATGACTTATTGGGTCAGATGTCTTTTGAAACCTAAACTAGGAATCCAAATAAATTTCAAAACTAATGATAACTTGAATTTGGGTTTTCATAGATAATTGTTACATTGCTAGCTTTTTTTTCCCCTCAGTTTATTTTAACATCTACTTTTTCTTTAAAATCTGAATAAACAGAGCCAGAAATGATGGCAAGTGCCCGTAGTGCCAGCTACTCAGGAGGCCGAGGTGGGAGGATACCTTGAGGCAGGAGTTTGAGGCCAGTCTGAACAACATAGTGAGACCCTGTCTCTAAAATTAAAAAATAAAATTGAACATATGAAACCTATAATGATATGAAAACAATCTTCCCCGTTTGTGTTTGCATTTTTAAAATGTGTTTTGAGCATTTAACTTTGCTTTGTATTTTGTGCATGCATTATCTTAAGGTTTTCATACAAAGATTAAATTCATGACAATAAAATGAAAAATATCTCAATATAATGCCCTTTCATTATTAACACATTCAGATACACAAACACGCTCCATTTGATGCTAAGATCACTTCCACTTAAGTTGTAATGATATTAATAATTAATGTTTTTCACAATTACATTCATTAACATTTCTAGACTGCCCTCTATGATCCAGGAAATGGTCTGTATGTTTTATATGTGTTAATCTAATCTTTATAATAACTGAGGTTGCTATTACTATCACCTCCATTTTAAAGACCAAATAACTAAAAAGCAGAGAGATTATGTGATCTTGCCAATATCACCCAGAAATGGCAGAGCTAAGATTTGAATCTAGCTAGCACTCCAGTATATAATCTCAATTATCACACTCTATTGCCTCTACTGTATAACAAGGCATACAGCAATTGTACATGTATGCCTTGTTATTTAGAAGAAACAAAAATAGAGTTTCATGTAGAAGTATTTGGAAATAAAACATTGTCTCTATCTTAAAAGACTTAAGCAACAGATGACATGATTCATTATACTATTTCTCTCTTCTGTATATTTAAAATCTTTTTCCTGATAAAAATAATCTTACATTGAAACATTATGCTCATTTGAATGATGTAGGCTCTTTGGAAATAAAACTCAACTTTTTTTTATTAATACTATATGTAGAATAAGAAAGTGAAATCCGCCCAATTTCCTCAAAGAATTAATGTCTGCAGTGTTTTCGAATAAACACAAAAATTGACCCAGCTGGTCTTAAAGCTTGAAACTTGTATTTATCTTCTCTGAATTCCTTTCTCAGGAAACCAACCATCAGGCCTCCAAGGAACTGAAACTCACCAAATCACCACATTCAGACAATGAGACACCAGACCCTCTCCTAATTCCTGTTTTTCCTGCATATAGCTACATTCCTTTCATGCTATATAAACCTCCAATTTTAGTCAGTTGAGTAGACAGATTTGAGACTTATCTCCCATCTCCTCAGCTGCAACACCCAAATAAAGCTTTCTTCCCTGGCAATATTCTTTGTCTCAGGGGCTGGCTTTCTGTGCATCAAGCAATGGGACATAGACTGAACCCCTGGTGTTTTGTTAAAAGAACTTGGTTCTGATGGAAGAATATAATACGCCTGAGTTCATGTTTCACAAATATTCACACTTGAAACCAAATATCTTGATACTTACATCACTTGTAGTAATTACAGACAAATATTCTAACTGCACTGCTTATTCTCCAATTTCAATTAATTTTGGACCTAGGGAAACTACATTGTCTGTTTTAACTCTCCTCTTAGTCCTGATGGCTGTCCCCAGGGACAAAACAGAGAAGATGAGACAACACTGTCCACTGCCACTCTCATCTGCATCCAATCCCATTAGATGAAATTAAGGAAGCAAATGTCTATCTTAAACATTAATTCAAATATCATCCATAGTAAAAGCTAGCTTTATTATTTCCTCTCTTCATTTTGCTTCCACTAACCTTGAAGCAAAATTAACATTTTCATTTCCACCACGCTTACAATATAGCACCACTTTAAAAGGTGAACACATCTTCACAAACACTATGAAAATATGGGTATACAAATTTAACAAGCATTATTTCAGCAATTACTGTATACTATAAAATAAACTAAATATTATTTCTACCTCAAATCACTAAAACTTTAGTAGAGAAGATCAAACCCTGTACACATATTCTATTGTATAAGGTATTATACCATTAAAGCCAAAAATGCATTACAAGTTGCTTAGAACGCTCATAGGAAGGACTACCATTTGCTACCTACAAAAAAACAAGGAAGGTTTAAAGAGAGTTATTATTTAAATTGGGTTTTTAAGTAAAGCACTTGATTGGAGGAATTGTATGGTATCATGATCAGGTAATTAGCATGATTAGTCATGTTAATATTATCTAGGATAAGTTAACTGGACACAGCAAAGATTTTCTTACATATCCAGTAAGGCCATATGTGCCTTCTATCCTTCCATGAGAATCACGGCTCATCCAATAATTTATCCCAGTTATACCTGCATAGTTTGTTTTGTTTTCTGAGGTTTTTTGTTTGTTTTTGAGACAGGGTCTCACTGTCACCCTGGCTGGAGTGCAGTGGCACAATATCAGCTCACTGCAGCCCCGACCTACTGGGCTCAAGCAATCTTCCCACCTCAGCCTCCCAAGTAGCTGGGACTACAGGTGCACCCCACCATGCCCAGCTAATTTTAGTTTTTTTTTTTTTTGTAGAGACAGGGTGTCACCATATTGCCCAGGCTGGTCTTAAACTCCTGGGCTCAAGTGTTCTGCCTGCCTCAGCCTCCTGAAGTGCTGGGATTACAGGTGTGCACCACAACGCCTGGCCGCTACCTGTGTTTTTAAGTTTCAAGAGGAAAATCTGTTTAAATGACTAAAGCCATAATTTTTATATTATACAATCGTAAGGAGACATTAATTCTATACTTAATTTCAGCCACTGCTTTAGCTAAACCTGGCTGTATTTATTTTATAGCCACAAGGTGAATATAAATAGCATTGCTCTAAGTGGAGGAACGTAGATAACTATAAAATGCCCTTGAGGAATTGTCTTATACCAGAGTCCTTGAAGAGCATAAACTTTCCCACAAACTGACTAATTCGGATGCAGCTAATAGAAAGCTTTCACTCTAAAGGAAGCATTGATCAACTTTAAATACTTGTTTTACCTTGGAGGCCATGCATCATCATTATAATGAACAAAATCAATAGATTACACTCGAATGTATCCTTCTTTCTACACAAACATGATCCTGGTGCTACACCAGCCTAATAAACACGAAAGAACAGTAGAAATCAGGAAATTCCAAATTTTGTCCTGATGCCAACATGTACTAATCTCATGACCTTCTTTGTATGATTTACTTCTATTATGAAGGCTGCTACTACTTCATCTCTACTCATATCCCATACTCCCCTCCCCTGCCCCCACGTTCCCCTGAATGCTGGTGTTCTGAGGAGTCTATCTTGTATTGTCTTAAGGTATTTTTTTTAATGTTGTGTAGATGTGTGAAGCAGGCTGAAAGTAGACAATAAGGAGTAGTGGCATTACAGCAGGCTGCAGAATATGTTATATCCAAAGGTATTCAAATTCATTTTGTTTTTAGCTTTGTGTAAGCATGCCAAAATTTATCTGTAGATGAATCTGGCCTTACTATATATGTAACTTCACACTTGCTCAGGAAATTTCAGCCACTTGTTTTCAAATTCCCCTCATAAGCTAAACATAAAACTCTATTCTAGGCCACTCTCCTAAGCAACCAAACTAAATACTTAGCTGCCTACTAGAAATCTCCTCTTGAATATCCTTGAGCAAGTTTTTGGTATAAATGTTCTTGACTTTTAAAAATCTTTGTCTGAAACACTGCAGGCCTTCCAAATCTACAATTATATACAGATTTCTTGGCAGACCTGAATGTTTCCTTCCATTAAATCCTTGATGATTATATCTGATACATGTGCTTTGACTTGATCTCTGGGAAGACAGGACTTATGAATACACCTATGAATTCTGACCTTCATATTTATTAACTTTGTTCCCACATTTTTTACTTTTCTGGCATTTGAAGAGTACTTCTCAAACTTATTCTGAGGATTATTGATAAACAATTCACATTGTCAAATTTGTTAGTTTCTCCATTGAGAATTTTGTTTCAGTGGTTTTCATTTTGATGGTTTTAGTCTACTTTTTATAGATCATTGACTCTTTCTTTGGGGACAGTAAGCATATATTCAATGTTGTTTTTCTGCCTGACATATCTGAAGTAATACTATCTTAGAGAAGAATTTTCCTCTGTGTCTTTAATACTTACTTTACTGTTACTGAGTATCTCATGGATTTCTCCATTGACTGGATTTTACTTTATTAGTCTTAAATGAAGAAAGGCCTATCTAGTCTCAAGACTGGGAAGTAGTCTTTCTTCCCCAAGTGTTTGTCCTTGGTGCTGTCATATTTGTAACTACAGAAGTGCTAATGATATAAAACATTTGGTCCTGCCACTGGTCAACAATAGGGCAAGCGTTTTCTTCAAGGTATGTATTTCATTGCCAATCCTCTAGATTATAGAGACCTACACAAGTCTGGACTAAGGTTGGGATAGTAGGGAAAGGATCTCTCTAAAAATTAAAGTATGGGGAAGTAATTCTAGAATATAACTATGACGTGTTCTTAAACTATACTTCAGAACATTCCTTTTACAGTTGTGTGAAATGAAGCTTTAATATGAACTTAGATTTATTGGGAAAGAAAGTTTGAGTGATTACAATGTGTACTCGATATTGTAAGAGTTACATCAGCTGCTATAAGTGCATAAGAGCTGCTCTCTGGGAACTTATACTCTTGAGGGACCCTAAGATAATAATTCACAAAGATTGGCTGTGCCTTCAAGAAGGAGAAACTTTCATTTCACTGCCAAACATTATATGTTCCGCTTAGGGAAGTTACTGGTAAAGTTTCTGCACGGTATTAAACATCAAAAAAAGAGTCAGTAATAAGTGACAAAGATCTTGACAATGGAAAAAGATATATGAATATAATGTTTATAAATTTATATAATAATGTATCATAATTAAATGCATTTAAAATTTATAATCATAAAATGAGATAATTTCAATAGCTCTTAAGAACATATTTGAGACCAATGTCTAAACTTAGATGATTGTATTAGAGCAGTGAAAGGAAATGATTGATATGAGTACTAGGAAATCCTGGAAATGATCACTAATCTACTAGTCTTAGGAGTTGGAAAACAAATCATCTCCAGCAGAACTGGTGAAAAAGTTAAAATAACCAGAGCCTCAGGATTTATAATCTTTTAGTTATACCCAGGAGGTATAATATTTAAAATAGAAACTTTATTTAGTGCTTGTTTTTTTTGTTGTTGTTTTTGTCTTTTTTTTTTTTTTTTTTTTTTTGAGACAGAGTCTCGCTCTGTTGCCCAGGCTGGAGTGCAGTGGCACAATCTCGGCTCACTGCAAGCTCCACCTCCCGGGTTCACGCTACTCTCCTGCCTCAGCCTCCCAAGTAGCTGAGACTACAGGCGCCCGCCATCATGCCTGGCTAAATTTTAAAAAAATATTTTTTAGTAGAGACAGGGTTTCACTGTGTTAGCCAGGATGGTCTCGATCTCTTGACCTCGTGATCTGCCTGCCTCAGCCTCCCAAAGTGCTGGGATTACAGGCATGAGCCACCGCGCCGGCCAGCTCTTATAAACTAAATTTGTCCTAAGGTTACATTTGTATTTTGAATTTCTTTACAGTAAACTGCAGCCTAACTTAGTATGTTAACAAACTGCAACCTACTTTAAAAGTATATTCTTGTAACTAATAACTGAGTCTCAGCTAATCATAGCAGCTGAGTTTCAGCCAATCACAGGCTGCCCACTGATCAGATTATGTCCACAGAAGGCAAATGCTACATATGCCCAAGTAAGGTAAATGCCCAGCTATCACCATGCCCAAGTAAGGTAAATGTCCAGCTATAACCAATCAAGCTGTTTCTACACATCACTTCCTTTGTCTGTCTATAAATACTGCCTGGCCATGTTGCTGGGTGGGGCTCTGTCCTAATTTTGAGTACTGCCTGATTCATGAATCATTCTTTATACAAATAAACTCGGGTAAATTTAATTTATCCATAATTTCTTTCAACAGCCCTCGGATATTAATCCCCATTGAAACATACTGAGGACTAAATTTATTAATAATGTTATCCCAGCAGTTAGTATGCCAATTAGCCCCACTGTTTTATTAGTTGATGTAGACGTATGAGATTGTAAAGTTACATTTTATAATCTCAAATGACAAATTTTTAATGAAGAATATGACATTGTAGAATTTGAACAATAAAAATACATAGCTAAACTAGCATGTATAAAAGTGAGAGCAAAGAACAGTGATAGTAGCCAAATTCAAACAAAAACAATGTGATGATATGATTTGTGAACACCTGATATATAAAATACCAGCCAACGCATATATAAAGTTGTAAACAAAAGATCCAATTAAATCCACCCTGTACTGCAAAACTTTTGGTGAGGGTGAGTAAATTTCATCATCCATAGGAGTCTAACTTCATGAGATAAGTAACAATCTTTTTTTAAAAAAAATGTAAATACTGAAACTTGTTAACTAGAATATCAAAGTACAACATGTATTTACAGTTCTTGACTTTCACTGTAATATAGTAAATATTTCTATTGCAGAAAACAATTTGATCATTAGTTATCAAAATGCATTAGGAGATATTAGAAAAAACTCAGTACAGCACCCAATTTTATATTCATTTTACTATAGAAAAATTATCTCCCCCAAAGGGTTTGATTATATTTAAAAGATAATAGTCACTCAGATGAATGAGTAGAGTGTTTGCACTAACTTTAATATGTCAAGAAGAACAAATTGAAGATATGTGCAGAAACTGCTAATTAATGATCTCTCAATTACTATCCCTTCTCTCTTTAGTAATGTAACTCTACATGTTAGTTGGGTATGTACACATGGGTCAAGGGTTGGGAGGAAAAGTACTCCATATCCTCTTGCAACAAGGCAAGGCTGGTCACTAAGTTGTGGACAATGGGCACACATAGAAGTGATGTATGCAAACTCTGAGACATGCCCCTAAAGGCAAAGGGCATGTCTCCCATTGTCACTTGCCTCTCTCCTCTAATCTAGAACGCAAAAAGAATCATGGATATTGGAACACCGATCTTGGAGCACAACATGGAAGAGCTACACTGAGGAAAGCAGAGAATGGGGAGAAGAACCTTGAGGGCTGGAAAGACAGGGAGTTGCTGTATTAGCCAGTGTATCCAGAATGTTCCTAGAGAGGAATCAACTTCTGTCTAATTTAGGCCACTTTTACTTTAGGTATCTCTCTAACAGACAAACTGATATACTAATCAATACAACATAATTTGTTTTGATTCAAGGTTTAAGATCTTATAAGAGCATTAGCATTATGTTCTAAAGCACTCTGAGCTTGTCCAATGAAAAATTTTCAGTATACAATAAATTATCATATAGTTCTTTACAAATTCTCAGAAAAATTCACATGAAATATTCCAAATACAGAAAACTGAATGATGTCACAAGGATCAACTTTGTATTTTACACTCAGGTTGATTTGACATGATAATTTATTGGTTTTTTATTTTATAAAGCATTCTACAAGTAGAATTATATTTCCTCATGTGATTTCTCCCATTTTTTCTCTTAACAAATTACATTCTTGCTTTACTTGAGCAATGACAGCCTTAAACATGGCCAAATGCAATAAATATTTACATACTGCTTACGTATATCAGCAATATTCAGACTTGTGTAAAATAATATTTTACCCATTATTATGAAATCCATATTAATATACAGATTTCACAGATATGTAAACAACCTCACTTTGGCTCAGAAACTTTCACAAGTCAGTGAGCCTGAAAAAACATGGGTTTCCCATGTTGAGGGCAAAATCTGAATACTGGAAGACAAGTAATCAAAACAGTGAAAAACTATTTGAATGTGTTAGATTATCTTTTAATATAATGCTGAGCAGCCTGTGAGGAAATAATGTCTCTGTACCTTAATGATGGTAGAACTTGGTCTGGTCCTTTTTGTAAGTGATATCGCACTATGTATCAAAATTCATTAAAATGTCAAAAATTACCACTTTTGGGAATCTATCCTAAAAATAAGTTTAAAACTTTGAAGAATAATATTTATGTGTAAAGATGTACTGATATTTATGTGAATACTCACAAAGGAAAATTAAACTCCAAGGTAGAAGTGGAGTTAAATGAATTGTGTTATATCAGCTCAAAAGAATGATCCAACAACTATTTCCCAAGATAAAAAATGATTATGCCACTTAATAACTTGTGTACTTAAAGAATCATGCAGGGCCGGGCACGGTGGCTCACGCCTGTAATCCCAGCACTTTGGGAGGCCGAAGCGGGTGGATCAGGAGGTCAGGAGATCGAGACCATCCTGGCTAACACGGTGAAACCCCTTCTCTACTAAAAAATACAAAAAATTAGCTGGGCATGGTGGCGGGCGCCTGTAGTCCCAGCTACTCAGGAGGCTGTGGCAGGAGAATGGCGTGAACCCAGGAGGTGGAGCTTGCAGTGAACCGAGATCGCACCACTGTACTCCAGCCTGGGCGACAGAGCGAGAGTCTGTCTCGGAAAAAAAAAAAGAATTATGCAAATAAGTAAACATATATGTTCATGAGAAAATATTAAAAATGTAACAAAAAACCAACATGCTTATAGTAGGGTAAAAGTCATGAATGCCATCTTCTTCCCTCCTTTTGACTATTAAATTCTATAATGTGGTCATATTCTTTATCCATTTAAGTATATTCTTTATGTATAAGTATATATTTTCATTAGAATCTAAGAATATCCAGAACTGAAATGAACGTTATGGATCACCTATTCATCTGTATCATGTCTTAGATGAGAGAATAACAGTTCAAATTTTAATAGGTGTTAAAGCCCTAGGATGACTATAATTTTAGGGCTGGATTAGGGCATGAATTATTCTGATTCCTATTCTAGTTCAGTTTGCACGAAACAACACTCTTTGCGAATTATTCTGATAACGTTATTGTTTGTATATAAAGCAATTGAGTTTTCTTCAAATGCTGACCATCATAGTTTTAAGTTTTAAATTTAAATGTGGACATTTTACTATTTATAAGGCTTTAATTTGCTAAATTTCACCTCATGGCAGAAAACAGAGAAGGAATCCTTATCCTAAGCATAAATATATAACCCACAGTAGTAGTAGATACTATTTTTTTAGATGAGAAAATGGGAAAAACAAGACAAGTTTAATAAGTTCACTTACACATTTTTTTCTCTCTCAAGAGACTTTGATTTAAACATTTGAATGAACATTAGTGAAGGCAAACTATGTAACAATATTAGAACAACTGAAGTATTACAAATAGTAACACGTGCACTTTTCCACTTGTAGTGGACATATATGCTCAAATGGGCAACTTTGAAGCATTGATTGAAACTGGAGTGATAGTTACTAAAAAGTCATATTGACAATTTACATATTATTGTTAAAATCTTGAACAAAAGAAAATCACCAATTTCAATGTAAAATAAAAATTACTTTCTAAATAATGAGCAAACCTAAATAAAACTGTTTCACATATAAATGTAACTTCTTTAATTAGTTTAGAGAAGAAATACTTATTTGCAGTATTGGTTTCATTATCTTTATGCAATCCTTAATTGGAGGATTGCACGTCAATGCCATTCACTTTATTCTAAGGCTTTGTCATCGCTTTACAAATTAAATATTAAATAAATGTTGCAATTTATGTACCAGGAAGGTTGATGAAGATTTTGTATATATTTTTAAATAAGTTTAAAAATATCAAGTGCTAATTATAATGGTGAAACTAAACATCTCTTCAAAAATGGTACTTATTTTGATATCAATAAACCATTAAAACATTTTGTTTTAGTTGACAGTTTGTACTTAATAAGCCTCCTACATCATTAAAATAATATATACAATCATGACAAGAGGAAAGATGTCATGGGAACGCCACCTATGTCTAGAGGAAAAAAAATACTTTTTAAAACACTCTTAGCTCTTCAACTATAAACTGGAGAAAATAAAACCTTCTTCATTAACAGTATTGTAGGAACTAAGTAAAATAAGTTGTGTAAAGTGGTTAGTAGTATGGTTTGAGATGGTGGTGGTATAATTTGTTATAATTTGGGAAACTGTGACATTATCAAGCCATTATGTGTTTTCTCATTTTTTAAGACCAGATAGACTTGTTTTATGTATTTTTTCATTTTCTTCTTTTAAATAGCTGGAAGAAAATTCCATATAATAGTATATAAATACAATTATTTTGATTCGGATGAGAAATGTGTGAAAGACATGTAATACTTTTATTATATTTGTTTGCTATGTTTACTGAAATACCCCAAGCTCTTAAAATAACTAAAATATAGGATGAGCTTAACAAATAATTTTATCTTAAGAAATAAGTATACATAGGCATTTTTTTGATCTAAGAGTCAAATACAAGAATTTTAAAAAATTAAGTGTAACCTTTATTAGATAACTTCGCAACTCTATTCACCAACACTAAGTAATAAATGTGTCCTCAATGTCTATCCAGATGTAGCAATATTAGAAGTAACTGATTAGCACTAAAATAATCCATGTTTTCAAGTCATTTAAATGTGTACATTAGAGTCATTTATTTAAAAAGTCATATGGAGCAACTACTTTGTTTCAAAGACTGTACAAGCAGGGCAGGTTGTTGCACAGCTTCTGGGGTGTCATTCATATTGTAGTTGAAGTAAATGGTTCTCCCTGGTGTGCAAAGTTTAAGTCAAAGCAGATAGGCGTGGTGACCCTGGTGACAGGAGCCAGGATACAGAAGTAGATGGGATTGGATAGCTATTTTCAATATTGCTAATGGAGTCCAGAGTATCACAGTTGGTACAGAGGACTGTGGTCTGGAAAAAGTGCAGTGAGGGTTCAGATCCAGAGAAACACATGGAATTTTTACTTAGGAAGATGCCAAGAATAAGTTGTTAAAAATCACAAAAGTTCTTCATTATCTCGTATCTAACTAGTATTTTGCTCATGCAGTCTAACATTGTCTTAAAAACTAAAACTGCTAGCTCAATTTATTCTATATAAGGCCAATCATTTTACTATAATTTTCTTGGAATTTAATGGAAAACATTTAATACTCACATCGAGATCATCCTTTGCATTGTAGTAGACAACTTCATTGCTCTACAAAAAAAAAAGAACGCTTTATTGATTTTAATAAAAACAATACTGTATCAAATACTGAATACATTTTATGCATATTATAAAATAAACTCCTTGTCATCTTTCTTTCACAATATATTCCACAATGATCCATAAGGATTAGCCACTATTTTTCCAGGAACATATTAAAACCGTTTATCAGTGATATTACATCTTGCATTGGGAAAAAGATCCCAGTGTAAGTCTGAGACCCATTTGTCAAGAAAAAAATAAGTGAAAAATTGGTAAGTAAAATAAATTATAGACAAACACATATATACACTGATATATTAATACACAATGAACAGGATAATTCAAGAAGCATGTAAGATACGTGTCTTAATACTTTGTTGAAGCCATGATTTTTATATACATACACAGAGTGTTGAAATGATTCTGGAGGAAATGTGCATCTATACAATATTGGCAGAAATTTACTCATGGAGTCAGAAAAGAAATGATGAGCACCAGGGAATTCAGATAGTAAAAAATATCAGATTATCTCACACTAATACTCTCATATTCTAGCAAAGTGGTGAATTAGCATTGGTGTTCTAGCAAGAGTAAATATATATGGATGACTCTGCTAGCCATCAGTTTCCTGAAAAATACCATAAATATAAATTAGGGCTACAAACTATGTTAGAAAGGAAAAATGGAAATGGATTAATAAAATGACTGTCAGGAATTTAAAACTCCTATTCTTTGTGTCTCTGAGGCTAGTTCTATGTAGTGTAAAAATAATCCACTTAGACTGATTTCTCTATCTTATTCCAAACTGATTGAAGATATAGTTCATCTTCCACATGTCTTCAAGTAGTAAACTCACTACGATGTGAACACATATTTTTCCCTGCCTCTTAAACATCCAAAAACATAGATGCTGTAAAATTTTAGGCTGACGCGGTGGCTCACGCCTGTAATCCCAGCACTTCGGGAGGCCGAGGTGGGTGGATCATGAGGTCAGGAGATCGAGACCATCCTGGCTAATACAGTGAAACTCCGTCTCTACTAAAAAAAAAAAAAAAAAAAAAAATTAGCCGGGCGTGGTGGCGGGTGCCTGTAGTCCCAGCTACTCCGGAGGCTGAGGCAGGAGAATGGCATGAACCCAGGAGGCGGAGCTTGCAGTGAGCTGAGATCGCGCGACAGAGCGAGACTCCGCCTCAAAAAAAAAATTTATTAAAAGCAAACATATAATACACAATTTTTAAAACGGAAATTACTTGGGAAAAGTTCACTAAATTAGTGCTTCTCAGTGTATTCCCTTTCCCCCTCCCCGCAAAAATCACTACTTCTTCAAGATATTAATGGATGTCATGTGGGCAAAAGCATTCCATGATCATATGACTTTAGAATATAATAAAGTTAAAATTGTCTCTTTTCGGCAGAACTTCACAGAGACAATGTATAACTGTACATTATAAATCTCCAAGAGGAAAATACATTGTGTTTTCTCAGTTTATTTACCACAGAAATCTGCCTGTTTTTGTTTGAGAAACATACCACGAGACTGAAACTCTAAAATATAGGTCTCCATGAAGACCAAACAAACCAAAAATGATATAAATATCACAGCATATGAATCATAATAGAGACTGAAACCCATGAATTTGAATTTCATTTAGAATCACTAAAGTTTTACATTATTTGATTTTCAAAAGAATTATTCAGTAGCTAAAAATTTTAACATGCATAAAAATTCTAATTCCTGAAACATTTCTTATAGCATTAGTTTTGTTTTTTTTGTTTTTTTTGTTTTTTTTTTTTTTTGAGACAGAGTGTCGCTGTGTCGCCCAGGCTGGAGTGCAGTGGCGCGATCTCGGCTCACTGCAAGCTCCACCTCCTGGGTTCACGCCATTCTCCTGCCTCAGCCTCCAAAGTAGCTGGGACTACAGGCGCCCGCCACCATGCCCCGCTAATTTTTTGTATTTTTAGTACAGATGGGGTTTTACTGTGTTAGCCAGGATGGTCTTGATCTCCTGACCTCGTGATCCGCCCGCCTCAGCCTCCCAAAGTGCTGGGATTACAGGCGTGAGCCACCGCGCCCGACCTTATAGCATTATTTTTATAAAAAAGCAGAGCTCATCACATGTGCAAAGCAAGACAATCTTCTGAATCCACCTGAGACCCAAACCTAATTACTAGTTTATTGATCCTGCTTGTACCTCTGCAGTTTATACTTAGGAGACGATTTTCAATTTAAAATGTGGATTCTACGAAAAGTTAAAGCACTGAATAAGTTCATCTTCATTTTAGACTTTATTTTCTGCCATCTGCTTGCTTATATTAACAGAATGGGAACACGTAGAAAACAAGGTGAGGCTGCATTGAATTTCAAGCAGTTCAACATCGTCATTTTCAACAGATACTCACTAATATCTATATGCACACACTGTTGTGCCAAGAAAGGCAAAAAATAACTCAAACCTATCAACTCCTACTCTTTTGGTAAAATAATGGATACAAATCAGTTGCATAAAACAACATATGTATGTAGGATTACACTTGGTCCATGGTACTAGAATTAATGATTAGTCAATGTATTTCCTAGTAATAAAATATAAATAAATAATCATCAAGGCTAAGATTAAGAGTATTTCACCTAGTGTCAGAAGGGTTACAAGTATGATTTTTTAAGTGCCAGTATTGATATAAACTAAGTATTTTGATCCTGTTAAGAGCTATGCATGAAACTAAAATTAAGTAAAATTAAGAATTAAAAAGATCTAAGTTTATTTGAGAATTTCCCAATGGTTTTGTTTCCCTTTTTTGTGTACTACATTCTACAAAATCTGTTACTTATCTCTTCTTTCAGAATGAGGGTCCATGGTACAATGATGAGCACTCTAAACTCTGAAACTCTATGTTGCTTTTAAAACTGTCATTGAAAAGGTGCATTTCAAAGTTCAGTTAAGTGTTAACGAATTTGTACAAGGCTTTCTGGATTCTGGATTGCATATAATTCCAAACGCTGAGTTTTTAAGTAAACTGAAGAAACAAATATATATTAGTTATAAAATTATATTGCAGGTCAAACATCCATACTCATCCATACTCCTTTCTTGTTACTAAGTATTTGACATTTCCTTTTTTTTTTTTTTCTTTATTGAGATGAAGTCTCGCTCTATCGCCCAGGCTGGAGTGCAATGGCATGATCTCGGCTCACTGCAAATTCTGCCTCCTGGGCTCAAGCAATTCTCCTGCCTCAGCCTTCCTAGCTGGAATTACAGGCATTTGCCAACACACCTGGCTATTATTATTATTATTATTATTATTATTATTAACGGTGTTTCATTATGTTGTTCAGGCTGGTTTCGAACTCCTGACCTCAAGTGATCTGCCTGCCTCAGCATCCCAAAGTGTTGGGATTACAGGCGTGAGCCACCATGCCCGGCCTTGACATTTCCATTCTAAAAGAGTTCTTTCTCAATATATCATTCATTTATATGGTCAAAATATCAATGAAAAAAACAAAACTGACTTTTTATAGAAAACAACAAAATGAGAAAGCACTTACTCAAATATGCATGCTTAGACAGGCTGTCACATTTTAAGAAGAGAACGTAGACCTTAGTGGAATTTGCAACCAATTATGTCCCATACCGTAAAACTAAATTTCTTCTTCACCAATAAATGGGATATTGCTTTTGGCTTAGGAGCATTTTTACAAACCTCATATGATAAATATGCTTTTCTTTCCCAAACCCCAAATTTTCATTCATAGCATATACATTTCATTATTCCCTTATTTCATGAAACAGAAAAGCTCACTTGATCAATTTTAATAAGAATAAATTTATACAGGGCATCAGGAGTTGGAGAAACTAACTCTGCATCTGCTCTGTCAACCAAATCCACCTCTATGGAATATGACCTTAAAATAAATGCCAAATATTCAAAGAGCACTTAATTTATATCACCACATCAAAATATTTTCCAAGTCTCAGTTCATATTTTCTTATAAAAAAAAATTGCAATTGGCTGGGCGCGGTGGCTCATGCCTGTAGTCCCAGCAGTTTGGGAGGCCGAGGCGGGTGGATCACAAGGTCTGGAGATCGAGACCATCCTGGCCAACACGGTGAAATCCTGTCTCTACTAAAAATACAAAAAATTGGCAGGGCGTGGTGGCGGGCACCTGTGGTCCCAGCTGTTCGGGAGGCTGAGACAGGAGAATGGCGTGAACCTGGGAGGTGGAGCTTGCAGTGAGCTGAGATCACGCCACTGCACTCCAGCCTAGGCGACAGAGCAAGACTCGTCTCTAAAAAAAAAAAAAAAGAAAAAAAAATTGCAATTATTCGTTTGTGATTTTTGTTTGAATGCTTTCAGAATTATTTGGCTCAGAAACAATTTCAACTATAATTTTGAGAAAAATCATATTTTGGAGAAGCAGTCATTCTCTTTCCTATCAATTCATTTAAAGCTATCTTTTTGCTATTTAGAAATATATATTAAGATATGTCCAGCTATGTTAACTAAATCAGTCTTTCACTAGGAGTTATTCAAATCACTGAGTCACCACAATATATCCAGAACCAATCTTAACAGAATTGGGAAAGGACAATTCTTAGGAATAAAAGATGATTCACACCAAATCAACTAAATTCTGTTCTGATGCTTTTATAGATATGAGTTTTACTTAAAATGAATTCTGTGCTAATAGAAAATTAGGGGAGGAAATTTAAAAAAAAAAATGAAGTTAAATGCCTTAAGTGGGTAAAATTAAAGGAGAAGAGGAAAAAGTCTCAGCTGAATTCTTTCTCCCTTAACCCAGTCTCCTGTTCCCATCCCACTTAGACTTTGTACAGGGAGATTTTGGGGTTTCAACAACAATCGGGGGAGCCACACCACTCATTCAACAATTATTTTGGCAACCTTCTCCGTGCTACGTATTGGAGAAACGAAGATGAATAATATCTACACCCTGACCACAGGGAGCAAGTGTTCACCCTACAACTCGTCTGTGGCAAGGATCTGACCTCGTATATATGAAAAATATCTCATTATGGTTGGATGACATGACCACATAAACTAAAGCTTTCTCAGTTTTCAAAACAGTTGAGAATTAACAATTTTAGATAGTCAAGACATTGCCCGTCTGTTGATCAGTTTGAGCATATGTGTTTCTTTCTTAATCATTTCCCTGTCTTATCACTAAAAATTCCCTCAGTCCCTTCTCTAGAAAGTACAGTTATACCAGTATCATTTAATACTTTAATTAAAACTATGGCATATAAACTAATTACCATGGGAACAAATGATAGAATAGAGTAATCTTGTTTCTCTATTATCCTTCAGCCTAAATGTCTTTATGCAAATTATTAAACAACATCATCTTGGAAGGTTTCACACTCAAATACACAGGTTTTCAGTGGATTTCAAGGCATTATGTGCAGTATGATAGAATAAAGTCAGCAACAGCTTCAAACTAGATTCAGGGATTAAACCTTTGGAGAGCTATTTTTCATAATTTAAGCGCCACCAGATGACAAGAACAAATTGTTTTCTTTCTGATTTTTAACCATGCAGTTTAGTTATTTATTATCTCCTTGAAACAAATTTGCCCAAATGGTCCATGCTAATATAATACTGCTGCTTACTGAAATTTCAAACATCCCCTAGCAAGTTGAGAGATAAATTACTTTAGTCCCACATTGTCTCTTGGGAGTCAAAAATTAAATCTGAGCAAAATAGACCTTTCCATCTTAAAAATGTATATTGTGAGTGACAGCCCCTTGCATGCCACTTGCTCACAAATGTGGGCCTCTGATGAATAGATTATGCTAAAAATCTGAGGCACACATGCAAAGCTTCCCCATGGAACTAAGATGTTGCCAGGAATAAGGCTTAAATATTGCAACTGAAAATTAAGATTTTATAGTCAACAATTAAAATATATGACACATTCAAAATTCAAATAGAGACTAACTTCCTGTCCAATTTACTAATTCTCTTTCTTGGCTATACTCAGCTCTGCACATGATTCACAGCCTGACAAGTTTTGGGCAACTGTACTGTCTGATAAAGTCACTTTTACAAAATATTGCAATCTTATTGTCATTTTTATCACTCCTGAGTTCCAAATACCAAGTCAATTGGTTAAACATTGTAGATACTCTTCATTAAAAATAAGTTATGTTAATGATTCATGCCAGCCAACATCTACACTGTTTAGCTAAAATCATTTATAGCTCAAATTTTCTGGAAATACATTTGTAGCAATTTGACTTAGCAACCACTGCTATTTTGTCCATTATCAACTGTTGTACCTGGGATGAGTTCAACCAACAGCACTGTAACACTGTGTGAATAAAAGAACTTAGGAACATGTATGTGTGTGTATGGCTGTCTGTGGGTGTCAGTGGTGAGGGGGGATATGAATGTGAGTAAATCATTTTCAAGACAGTGCTCCAGGAAAAAAAGTATTTTTTCCTGTCATTATATTTGTTTGAAGTTTGGAAAACATGAACATATTGAGAAAGTATGTAATTTAGAAGATGAAAAGAAAAAATAAAGATGGACACAAGACCATCTAGAGATAAGTGCTACCATATAACTGAACTGAAGACGTGATAAACCTGCATTCATATTATGTGACAAGAGACAATAAGATAATTGATATAAAGTGTTAAGTACAGTGCATGGCACACAATATATGCCCCGTAATTGTTAACTACTTTTTATATATGAAAAATATCAGGAATATACATCCATAGAATTTATCAATTAACTTTAGTTAATACCTACTTATACATGAAGTAAATTATAATTTTATTTTCTTAGATCAGTTAGGATGCAATGTGTCTTTTAAGTGCTATCTTCAAAGATTCCACATAGCAGAGTGGAGAAGAAATAAAATTACTAGTTGTTGTCATGCTTTTTAATCTGATAAACCAAATGAGATGATTTATAAGAAAGCCTAATGCAAATGGTAATTAATTGGAGTGGAAGGGGCTTATACGCATCCTGTCCACCAAATGTGTTGCTGTGCTCCAGACCTGTGTGATTCTGTAACTCTCCAGTCTACATGTACACCTCCACATATCAATCATCATTCATTACTGCCTATAAAAACTTTCACCTTGTATTAATCTAAAAGTTTGCTTGTCCATCCCAACATCCAAACTGCCCAATCTTGCTGGAGAAAATTACACACCAGTAAATCAGGAGTTTCTATGTTTTAAAAACTCTAACAAACATGTAGGGTTCTTTGGTAAAATGTTTTTCTATTCAGAAATCCTATAGCTTTTCAGAAACTGTTTATTCACCCAATCTAATCATGTGATTCTGTCTGGCTAGTAAATCACATCACCCCACTTATCTGATGACACAAATTAACAAGTACCTAAATATATTCAAAAACTGTATTCCATCTCTCTATTTCTTTGGGTGTAATAGGTCTAGGAGTAGTTACGGTCATAAAAGCTGAGCTGGTTACAGCCTGAATCCTTGAGGCTTCCTTCATCTGTTGGCTTCTTGGTGATAGGAAAAATCATTTTTTTTTCTTAAGCTAGTAAGAATTTGGTTTCCAACACAATCGATAGTACTGATACTAATACCATACTTCCTACAATGTTTTCTTCGAATCTGATTTTCTATTACTAATAGTATTATTTGCTTAAAGTTTAATTTTTATTTGTAGCTTTACAAAAATTTCAGTGTTCTAGAAATAACTCCTAAATCTGTGTCCTAGATGCTAGCTCCTGCTGATTCATTAAGAATTCCATTTCTTCATCATCCCCTTTTTCTCCCCTGTGTATCCATCTTTTATTTAATCACATTCAGGTAATTTGCAAAATGCAACTAAGAGAATTTGTGGAATAAAAACTCAGATGTGTTCTGGCATGAAATATTTTTTCACCTAAAATTTAAAATTCTAGCAGAAGGTTAAAAAAAACATCAAAGAAGCCAAGTTCAATGTTTCCTTAGCTCCTATATAAAGCATTTTAATATTTTTCTAACATTTCTCTAATGAACTAAAGGTCAAAAATCACCTACTGCCAACTTAATATTTTATAAGTGGTATATCAGTAATCATTACCATTTTTAAAATGATGGATCAATTTTTTTACATCAACTCTTCACTAGCCTTTAAAATTAGTTGCATAATAAAAAATCAAATAACTCTACATTTTGATTGCATGCTTGAATATCAGAGTTTTATTTAAAAAGATTAAAGTAAAATGATTTTGCTAGCGTGGTTCAATAATGTATGGATTATAATGAAATCATAATCTGTTCCTTCTTTGAATTCTCAGCATTCTTTCATACGAATAAATAAGCATTGAGCTTTGTACACATGCTCAGCCTGATTTAGGTTAGAAACCTAAACACATGTGTTTTTTGACACCCTGATTACTAAAGATGACCCAGTGAGTTAAATATTCTCAATGTCATTTTATGTATTGAAAAGCTAAGACTAGCAACAGTTAAACTGAGTCTTCTTATCCTCAATCAAATACTTATACCTCCTGTGTACTGCTATTATGAATGCAGACATGACCTACATCTTAGAGACAGTGAATTTTATATATATATAAAATATAAATTATATAAATATATAAATTATATAAAATATATAAAATAAAATAAAAAATAAAAATATATAAATTATGTAAAATATAAATTATATATAAATTGTATATAATATATAATTTATATATTATATATTACACATTATATATTATATATTATATATGTATTATATATATTGCATATTATATATTATGTAAATTATATATAAATTACATGTATAATTTTTATATATGTTTATATTTTATATATATAAAATTCACTGTATAGATACAGAATGTGTGTATGTATGTATATTCTGTATATATACAGAATGTGTGTGTATATATGTGCGTATATATAAAATTTTTACATATAAAATTTATATATGTAATTTATATATTTTACATATATTATAAAATTACATATAAAAATTTTATATGTAAAAATTTTATATATATGCACATACATACATACACACACATTCTGTATATATATTATACACAATTTTATATATATATACACACACATATATACCTATATGTACACCCTCTAAATAGTTTACATAATAAAATAGTTAATCTTTGAGACACATTCATTCACTTTATCCATTCTTTTAACTTTGTCTTATAATCTACATTAAAATATAAATTTAAAATTATTATTAATTTATTTCGCTTACTGGAAGAACAACAAAAAGCTAGAAAATAATTTTGGCCTTTTGTAAGCTTGCTTCTGTTACTTTTGCCACATATCACTTTACATTTCTTCATCCGGTATTTTCCGTTGCATAATTGTAATATTTTAGTCTGCTTATTTTTTCAGTTGTCATTATGGTGCCTGTAAATTAAAGTATCACTTCATAAGTTGTCCGGCATATTAACCAATCTACAAGCCAAAGCCATCTAAGAGGAGTGGTCACATCGAAAGATAATAGATCCATGTGTCTTTACTATGTTTAATAACCTAACTGCAAAGATACTCATGTACTACAGCCCAGAGCTGAACTATCATGCTGGTGACACAAATGGAAATACCTCCCTAGAAGAAAGAAACATTCATGACGTTCACTAAAAGGAACTGCTCATTTCTTCTACATATATATATACGTGTGTGTGTGTGTGCGTGTGTGTGTGTGTAGAAGAAATGATATATATATATCTTTACATATACATATTTATATTTATATATATAAAGATATATATTTATATATATCTTTACATATACATATTTATATTTATATATATAAAGATATATATAAATATATATCTTTATATATACATATTTATATTTATATATATATAAAGATATATATCTTTATATCTATATATATATCTTTTACAGGTAAGAAGATTAAGCTACTACAGTTTGAGTAGAGACAATGTTCTATTGTGCATATACTCAATGCTAGCAGTGTCTGGAATGCTGTATGAAGTGCTACTGAAAGGGCTGATAAATGATTAAATGAATATGATAGGCCTATGAGCAACTATTACAAATTCGGCCAGGCGCCTTGACTCAGGCCTGTAATCCCAGCACTCTGGGAGGCCGAGGCGGGTAGATCACCTGAGGTCAGGAATTTGACAACAGCCTGGCCATCATGGTGAAACCCTGCCTTTACTAAAATACAAAAATTAGTTGGCCATGGTGGCACACACCTGTAATCCCAGCTACTTGGGAGGCTGAGGCAGGAGAATCACTTGATCCCAGGGGCAGAGGTTGCAGTGAGCCGAGTCAGCACCACTGCTCTCCAGCCTGGGTGATAGCAAGACTCCCATCTCAAAAAAAAAAAAAAAAAAAAAAAAAAAAAAAAAGCAGCTATTAGAAATTCTAATAAAATAACAAGTACACACACACATACCTGCACACATACACATAATTCATAACAGTCAAAAAAAAAGTGTAGAGCTTTACAAAAGCTCGAATAAGTTAAAAGGTAGGCTACTTTCACTCTCATAGGAAATCAAGGAGAAATTCCAAGTAGACTGATTTCAGAGTTCATTGGCTCTTGAACTTCAAAGGAGATCAATTCTTATTAAACATTAAGAGCTATATCAATTTATTTATTCATCTGATAAACTTTAATAGGAATCTGCCTGTAAGCTATTTTGGTGTTCCAAATGATATCAATAAATATATGATTTAAACTCTATGAGAAGAGCAAAGGTAGAATATGAGAAGGTAAATATATTATTTTCCTCAGGCACCAAATCTCCCAGAAACCTCATTCCAGAACTGAACAAACACATTCATAATGCTGTGGAACTTGCTTTAATCTCCTTTAATCTGTAATTCCAATGAATCTTTAGATATAATCATCTAAAGCATTAAAATTTAATCTTCTAAAACATTTCATTTCTTATGTTTCTTCCTATTGACTCAGACACCCCACAGATCTTCTTGACTCATGATCCAGGTCAACAGCACTTGATCATAATATATGATGTCTTAGCAAGAGAGCTGTTAATTTGTCCAATGGTAATATTAGCCCTTCCTCTCCAGATTAATCATTATCAACTCCAGATTATTATCCTACTAAAACAAAATATGAGGATTAACACTATGGTCAGTGAATAACTTAGTTTAAAATAATCTGTTCAAAATTGGAGCCTCAAAGAACATTAGGTTGGTAATCACTACATCAATTTCATTCATCTTTCATCGGGCTTATAGGGATATGTAGGATAGGAAATAAAGGTAGTACAGGGACATTTATTATGTGTCTATTATGAAATAAACATTCACATATATACAGTACTCCTTGCTCATCCCCAGGAGAAACATCCAAGACGCCCCAGTAAAGGCCTGACACTGCAGATACAGATAATATTAATATGTATACAAACTTATAAGGTTTAATTTATATATTAGGCACAGTAAGAGATTAACAACAATAATCAAATAGAATAATTAACTTTATGCTGGCATCACTATTCTGTGAAAGTGGTAACAGCTAAAACAAATATATCACTGTTCAGCTCGGATAGTGCATTATGTTCCTATAAGGCAATAGTCTTAAAAGCAAGGCTTGTTAAAGTAGAAAGGAGATTTGTAAGTTTCAAAAACAGATGATTTTACATATAAGACAAAACTAAGAAGTCTAAATGATGAGGCATAGTTAGAAAAAAAAAAAAAAGTCAAGGGATGTTCCTCCCTATTAGAAAAAGGAATATTGAGAATTTCCTAAATTGAAAGAGCAAAAGAAAAGCTGAAGGAGAGAGCTAAAAGTGACATGTATATGGACTGGCTCCAGTTATAGGTAGGAAACAGTGGGAGAGCAAAGGAGGTGTGTTTGGGAGAAATTTGCCACATTTTCTACTAGGAGTCTGGAATAAAGACTTTTCATTATTAAGTAAAATAAAGGTGCATCCAGGAAGCTTTCTTTGCCAGAGAAAACTCCCCAGCTTCCCTGCTTCATGTCAAAATTGGACAACCTTGTTTTTTGTTTTTTTGGAGATGGAGTTTTGCTATTGTCGACCAGCTGGAGTGCAGTGGCACAATCTCGGCTCAGTGCAACCTCCGCCTCCCAGGTTCAAGTGATTCTCCTGCCTCAGCCTCCCGAGTAGCTGGGATTGCAGGTGCCTGCTACCATGCCCAGCGAATTTTTTATTTTTAAAAGAGGCAGGGTTTCACCATGTTGGCCAGGCTGGTCTCAAACTCCTGACCTCAGGGGATCCACTCACCTCAGCCTCCCAAAATGTTGGGATTACAGGCGTGAGCCACTACACCCGGCTGGACACCCTTCTTAATGCCTCTCATAGAATCTTCTTGTATTTCCCCACTCTATAAATCAGAGAGAAGAGTCACTACACATCACTGGTTTGTTGTATTGATGAAATGGGCAAGTATCTGGGTCAAGGATCGGCTGCATTCCCTGCCTCAGTCTGTGTACTCAGCACAGCATAGTGTGATCACCTGCCTGAGCCCTGTGAGAGACTACACCTTAGCCATGTTTGAGCTCAATGCCTGGCCCATCACAGCTTAGATGTCATTAACTACTAAACAAGCCAGCCTCCCTCATAAGGTTGTTGAATCATCTGATGAATTATCTTAATATTCCACAGACAAGATGTTCACTGACTGGTTTTTAACACTGTCCTAGGTTTGGTTACCTAGAAATAGACACTGAGACTAGGATTTGAGCATCATTTATTTGGGAGGTGATCCCAGGAGACACCAATAGGAGAGTAGAGAAGTGAGACACCAAGGCACACAAGCTGTGGTCAAGAGCAGGTAGACAACTGGGGCTGTTTCCCTAGGAACCCTGGGGAGGCTATATAGAATTTCACTCAAAACGGTCACATCCAAAGAATGAGGAGGCTCAGGTAGTATCCACCCATACCAACTGTCACTCGGAGTGTTCACTCCTGCTCATTCTGGCCACCTGAGAAAGCCCTCAAGGCCAAGATGTGCAGATGCTTAGAGGAGGAAGCTATAAGAGTATGTGCTTGGCCGGGTGCTCACACCTGTAATCCCAGCACTTTGGGAGGCCAAGGCAGGCGGATCACAAGGTCAGGAGATCGAGACCACCCTGGCTAATACGGTAAAACCCTGTCTCTACTAAAAATACAAAAAAAAAACAAACAAACAACAAAAAAAAAAACATTAGCTGGGTGTGGTGGTAGGCGCCTGTAGTCCCAGCTACTCAGGAAGCTGAGGCAGGAGAATGGCGTGAACCCGGGAGGCGGAGCTTGCAGTCAGCCGAGATCGCGCCACTGCACTCCAGCCTGGGCTACAGAGCAAGAGTATGTGCGTGTCTCTGTGTGTGTACATGTGCGTGTGTGTGTGTGCATGTGTGTGTGCATGCACTGAGGAGATGTGGGCAGGGAACCAACAGCATCTACTATAGGCATGCAGTGAGTGTTTTAAAATGCTTACTGAGCACATGGCTAAATGCTTAAACGGCTTTAAGCATTGACTAGTTAGTAATGTGGCTTCCCGAGGCTTTGGTTCCTCCCCTGTGACATAAACATTCAGTTGACAAATACGGTCTCTAGAATCCTTCCACCTTTAAGGTTTGGTGTTTCCACTAACTGCTTTGCTTTAGATCAAATTAAAAAAAAAAAACAAAAACAACAACAAAAAAAAACACCCTAGTAGCTGGGTTCATCTACTTTTTTTTTCCCCCCAGTAAGCCATTATTTTGCTTCTCATGTGAGCACCCAACAGAACTTAAAGAGCCATCTCTCTTATTCTGAAAACAAAGCAAAGCTTTCCCTTAAAAAAAAAAAAAAAAATTGAAATCTCTAGTACATATTTTTGTAGAAGCATGTAAAACTGTAAAAAAGAAAAACCTTTGCATCATTTTTTTTCTATCTTGAAAGGTCAAGTTAAGGTGTATTCATTTATTCCTGAAAAGTAATGACTATGTTCCAAGGATAGATGTTTGCAATAGAAACATCCACAAACTAACCTAAATCAACCCCTTTGCACCTACCAAATACAAGCTGGCAATTTCCCCATTATGATATAAATTACCTGCTACAGATCAATTGCTGCTCTCTTTCATTAATATAATTAAATGACATTCATTTGTATTTAACTGAAGTAGAAATCAGTGTTTTTATAGGGCATAGATTACAGTTTAAATCTGTACTGCTTCTTTGTAAAAAAATTTTGTTAACAGCACAAAGAAAGGAAGGCTGTTGCAGAAGGAAAAAAAATGAAATGGCTTCACACATTAAAGAAGCACATTTGAATAATATATAATTGCTTGGAAACAAAAATTTCTAATAGCTTATGTTTCATTACCCTAGTTTTAGTAACTGTATTTAAGTTATATTTCAAATAGCTTTTTAAATTCAAACTGTTTACTGATTCAGAGATAACCTGTCTTTAGTTAAAACATGCATAATTGTTAAAATGTTAATTTCTGAAAGCAACAATCCAAAAGATTCTCAACAAATTCAAAAGACTCTCAACATAGCCCTAGTTAAATTGTATTCTTTATTTCATCTCTTGTCCAAATTTAAAAGAAAAAAGTAAAGGAGAGGCAAGGAAAGGGAATTCTGTGGACCATGCTTCATTCCTCAGGCATATTTTCATAGGAGTTATTTTAATTTCAAAATGCATAATTGTTTAGTAAATGCAATCTTTTCTTTTCTTTAGAGTAGTAAATGAAGATCTGTATACTTTTCCAAAAAATTACAGACAAAGTTGTACCAAGGAAAGGCTGAATCATGGCAATACAGATGCACTGAATGTCAAATTTAAAAATCTACATTCTTTTCCTTGGTGCAATTCTTAGTCCATGGTTGCTAACAAATCAATCTATCCTAAGTTGTTTTGGCTTCTCATTTATCAATTAGGCAAAGAATTCCAAATTCAGAGCAGTATAAATGAAGAAATTTGGATGGTTTTTAAATAAGAAATTGAGGTAAAAAGAAGATAAACTGAATAGCTAAAGAACTAAATAAAACTACTTCAGTCATAAGAGGCTGGTGTCACTTCGGTGGAGAGCAAAAATACTGCAGAGAAGCTGAGCCAATTACAGAGTTGTCTACATTTTCAACTGTGATTCCAGATGTGTTATGGAACAAAGGAACACATCAACATACTCATCTTTTGATCATATTAACTTCTTTCTAGCACGTAAGAAACTCAGTATGAAAAATATTTTACATTTAAAGAATCAAGCAATTTCAAAGTTAATATCCAGGTGAGAAGAATAAAGAGAATGTATTAGCACCTAATTAACCTTTACAGACACAATTCCCTCTCTACAAAACTAGAAGGAGGTATTTTTTCCTCCAACATGTTGTATATTTTTGTCCACTTTCATGGACTGTTTAGTAAAAACATAGCAGATCTAGAAACACATAAGAAGAACAAGTGAACTGAAAGCAGATCAAGTGAGATTATATCTAAGCTTTATATTCCAAAGTTAAATGTATCAAACTATATATTTACAGAGGACAAGCTAATCCTAAAAATGATTAATCAATGCTTATAAGTATTAATATAATAATATGCCTTCCATTTACCATCATGTAAATGATATGAAAACCACATTTATATTAATATAATTCGCCTATTGTCTAGAAATTGTTTAGAGACTGCCCCCCCACCCCCCAAAAATAAATTAGATCTTAATATACAAAGTTGAGCTCAGGCTAAGAATTTTCTTAAAACCTTAAGAAAAGGTTAATACTTGAGAAAAGGTAAAACCTTGAGAAAATATTAATACTAATAGGTTTATCAGGAAAAATACAGGACATCCAATTAAATTTGATTAGATGATGAATTCTTTCTAGTAAAAGTATGTTCCAAAGTTCTACAAAAGGTATAGTTACTTGAAATTCAAATGTAACTGGGAATCCTGTGTTTTTCTGTACTAAATCTGGCAACTTTCATTTATGAGATAGTATTATATCATTTATATGGATTTTACATTATTTCTGATAAATTTTAAAATTCAATATTGTTGCAGAAATTGGGGAGGGGGAGAATGCTACATCACTAAACACTAGCTTTGAAATTAAGTCAGGAACATGATCTTAAAGGAATGACATCAAAATTGCAAACAGCCCCAGTCCTTAGAAAATGTAATTACCCAGAAAGGCCAAGGTGTATTTCTGTTTTTCAAAACTGGAGTAACTCTTTAGTTAAATGCATTATATGTTTCGATGGTTACTTCCAATTTTACATATAGAAGAATTATTGGGCATTGTTCATTTAATTTCTCATTTTGAAACATACTAAGGCAATATCAAAATGGCTGCATTGGTAATTTAGTAATTTATTAACTTTCGAGAACATTCATAAGAGGGAAACATGGCTGTAATATCTGCCATCCCACTGATCACCTAAGCTGATTTCTGTGAACTGATCAGCCAGGCAGTAACATTCAAAGTAGATTGTGCAATCCTTCTAAACTTGCACACTAGATCAAATGAAATTACTTTCAGACAGGCACTATTCTTAATGTCAAAGGTATATGAAAGGCTGAGACCTTGGCAAAACCTACAAACTCAGCATTTTAAGTGATCCTTAAATAACTGTTTTCCTTTTTGAAGTTTTCTTGCCACCAGTTATTCTGTTGAGATGACCAGGAGCCTAGCTCTCTCAGGAATTAATGAAGAATTAAAACTGAGATAAAAAAATCTGGACACTAAAAGCAAACTAGTTATATATAAACAAAACAGGAAACTTGAAAGAACTAGGTGGCAGATTATATATGATTAATAAAATATTTTTTAGATCTTATTTCTAATAAGTTTAATCATTACAAACTCAAATTCAAATTTCCATTAAGTAGAAGACAAATGCCCAATTGCACAATCTAAAGTTGCTCATGGAAACATTTTTCTCCAGTCTTCATTTAAAAGACCCTTGGATCTAAAGTGGTATCTAAAATTGACAAATTATGTAATAGAATCTCTAACTATATAATATAAATTTATTTGTGACAATCATCATGACTACGAATTCCAATGCCTTAAAGCTTTTAACTATAGCTTCGTATGACTACTTCTTGATGTTTAATTGACCAGTCATTGATTTATAACTGGATTATGTATAGGGATAAAGAAAATTGTTTTAAAATGTTCTGATGAAAAGTTGTCAAATTCCTCCCTCCACCCACCAAACCTTACCAAGCATCATTGTTCTAAGATATACAATTCTACCCTTAGAGCAAACTATAAAAAAAAAACACCCATTGAACAGCACAGTTAAAAATAAATATTTCAATGATAATAGTTTTAAAGAAAAACACTTAGGAGGAAGAAAAAGATAACTGTTGCAGAGCTTGTAATCCTGTAATTAAGCATTAAATCTTGTGTTAAGCTTCTTGACAGACTGGGAGAAAAGGAAATCATGATCACTAGCATGATTCTCTGTATGTGATGAAAAGGATAAATGAGATTTTTTGCCATGAGCAATAAGCTTCTGCTTATAACCAAAGCCTGTAGGACCGTGAAAAACATAATGTGTGTAGTTCTCAACAAACAGAAAAAGATGCTTCACATAACGTCTGTGTGTCTCACCCTGCCCCATATATCTGCATATGTAATGATTATCTATATTTGTATAAAAAGCAGACAATAGTCTAATATCACTTTTAATTTTTTAAATATTTGTCAGCAGAACGCTCAAATGCTTCAAGAAGTATGTGAGTTTTGTACGTGTACAGAGAACAAAGAACCTGAGATAACTGGCACTCAAGTTTCCTTCCATTAGTAGAAAGGTATGGTATGTACTGTTCTCACTCCTAAGTGGGAGTTGAACACATGGACACAGGAAGGGGAACAACACACACCAGGGCCTGTTGTGTGGTGGGGGACAAGGGGAGGGAACTTAGAGGACTGGTCAATAGGTGCAGCAAACCACTATGACACATGTATACCTAAGTAAAAAACCTACGCATTCTTTACATGTATCCTTGAGCTTAAATTTAAAAAAAGATATGGTATGCACACAAAAAATACATGCTCACGTAAATATTGAAGAAGAGTATTGTACTGAAATTAAAGAGGTATAAAATTTGATTCAGAAACTGAATGCCATATTCTGTTTTCAGATTGTATAAATCTTTGCCTTTTATAAAAAATGAACACTAGTTGGTCTTTGTAGAGTCATTTCTAGTAAAACAAGGTATAAGCAATAATGATAATGTGGTATCTATCCATTTATTGATTCAATATGAAAACTATCTGATATGGTTTGGATCTACGTCCCCACCCAAGTCTCCTGTCAAATTGTAATCCTCAGTGTTGGAGATGGGGCCTGGTGAGAGGTGACTGGATCATGGGGCAGTTTCTTATGAATGGTTCAGCACCATCTCCTTGGTGCTGTACTCATGAGAGTGAGTTCTCAGGAGAACTGGTTGTGTAAAGTGTGTGGCACCTCCCTCCTCCCCTTTCTGTCTTGCTCCTGCTCCCACCACAGGAGATGCCTTGCTCCCCCTTGCCTTCTGCCGTGATAGTAACTTTCCAGAGGTCTCCCTAGAAACCAAACAGATGTCAGCATTATGCTTGCTGTACAGCCTATGGAACCATAAGCCAGTTAAACCTATTTTCTTTTTAAATTATCCAGTATCAGGTATTTCTTTATAGCAATGCAAGAACCGACTAATAGACCATTTCATACAGTACTCACCACAAATATTAAAAAGATATACATTATTACAATTTGCAGATGAGGAAACTGATGTTCAGGTAGGTAAGCCAATGTCTCAAAGTAAGTATGTACCAAAAAAGAAATCTGAATCCAGGTCTATCAACCACAAATGCTCAAGTTACTTCCTCTAGAGCAAATTTACATTTTCATTTACTAATATAACACTACAAATATACCATACATTTTTTTGTGTAAATAAATATATTTATAAACAAGCATATCTAACTATAAGAATAATAAATCCTAACTCTCTCAACTTCTGTATGAAAAGGTTCCCTCCTGGAGCTTCCCAGGTGGTATTTTTTGCTATTAGCAAACAGAAAATTGGTTCATCAAAGCTAGATTTGACTCTAAAGTGGTCTCTGCTTCCGCAAATCTCCCTACTACTAGCCAACCAAAGCATAATGCTGATGACATTTTAAAAAATGACAAAGAGTGAAAAGGTGCAGAATATAAGATGTCATCAGCATGAAGAAAGAGTATAAAAATTACTGTCTTAATTACTGTGTATTTTGCAAAGAGCAGCTGAAACAGACAACTACAAGTTGAGGAAAAACACAGTCAAGTAGTCAGTAAAATAATACTAAGAAATATATCCTGCATACTAGTCAATGTATTCACTTTGATACTTTTAATAGTCACACATTGATATTTTTACTTACCCTCTCACCTAATTCTTGTAACACTCAATTTACTAAAAATTAAAAAGTGGGTTTAGAATTACAAATGAATTTTTATATCACCATAAGATTTGGTGTTAGCATATAAGGTCTAAAATATTTGTACCTGAAATGTAATTACATAATATTTAATGGCATACTTTTAAAAAATAATTTTAAATGAAATATGTTGGTATACCATGTGATTAACTTAATTTTCCATGCTTTTACTTTAATTCAGAAAATCTTGCTTTTAAATTTAGTTACAATCAGTGTCATCATGGCTATTTAGTTACTTGTTTTGTTGACTTCTCTTTACTCTAGCTTTCTATTTACTTTTGGTATCAGTTATCCCAGCAGGAAGCCCTTTATAACCCAGCTGTGGGCCACAAATACGGCTCCAAGGGAGCCTGAAAGCAGTTAAACTACTGCTATAGATCAGTCTTTTCCAAGGGAGAACGTGATAAATCAATCTTGAAGCAACTCAAATAGTTCTCTCTGTGTAATCAACTTTTGCTCTACATTCGCAAGTAATATATTGTTAGTCCACTTATTTTTAAAAAAGAAAATTATATATCCTCCCCATTTTATTTGACTGTATATCTTTAAAAGTATATAAATAAGAACTATAATTTTAGTATAATAGTAAATAAATTTATTTTCTTTTAATAAGAGAGATCAATGTGCATAATATCAAGTATAATCAAGATATTAAACGTTTTTTTAAATCTTTTTCTTTGTGAACAAGTAAATTGAAATGAAAAGCTGAGTAGATTTAACTTTTTCTTGAGTTAAATGTGGTTGAACTTTTTCTCAAAGGCCCCTGTTTATAAATGCATTATTAATCTGTCATGAAAGTTGCTTAAATGTTTTAGTTTCCACATTACCAAACTGACTAGCATCAACATAATTAAGTAAATTTCCTATCAAACCACACAATAGATGTTTTATATTCTTTGAAATAAAAATATTTTGATGAATTTAATTTGCTCAACAAGTAGCCTTGAATCTTACATCTTCTAAAGGAATGTAAAGCTGTTGGAGGATACGGCTCCATGGCTCTCTCAGCCATAGCTATGAATTATGGTACAATTGCCTGTCTTTCTAAATTCACAAAGCTTGCAACATGGCCAAGCAATGCTTTTGTAGCTAGACCTTGGCTTTTCTTGTCATGCTGTTTTTACTGTGAGTCAACAGAGCATGGCTCAAGATAATTTATAATCATCAATGAAATATCCTTGACATTTTCAGAATACTGTGAAAAGAAACAAAATCAAGTAGGCCATATAAAGCCCCTACACCAGAGAATCCCATGATCTAAATTTCTACAACGTTCTCTTCATGCTTATCCTGTGGGCAGTTTGATGAAAATGGCTTATAATGTGATTTTATTGATATGTGGATCAAAATTATTCATGTCTTTTTCCACCATATCCATGTATTCCACCATTTCCCATTGCCACCACAAATAAAGACTTGTGAGACAGAAGAAACTTCGAGGATTAAAATCCAGGTTATTAAATTTATGAATCAGAACGTCAGAGAAAACCTTGTAAAAATAGAGACAATTCTGGGAAGCCTCAGGATCAACATCTATGATACTAAAATAACAGAAACACCAATACTCTTTGTCAGGTCATTCCATTCCCTCCTAGCCAAAGAAGCAGGCTTACGTTATCTTGAATATATGATCTAGTCATTTTCAGCATAGGACTTTGAAAAAAGAATTTAGCAATAGGGCCACACAGATAGTTTAAATTTATTACAACTTTCATTCTGTAATCTACCCTCTCCTGAGTGTAACTAATGCTCTTTGTTTCAAAACCCAAAATGCTCAGAACATAAATACCTCAGATTTTCAAATAAAAGTATGAAAAGATAAAATGTATTAGATTTCACCAATTGTTGAGTTCTAAGGTAACAAACTCCAACATTTATAGAAACACTAAGATTGCAGTAATGATTTCAGGACATTTCTAGAGCTTAAAAGTCATGCTGAATAAACATATATGTTTACATATATATATTCAGCATAGCTGAATATATATACACATACAAATGTTTACATATGAAAACATGTTTTCAGCATGCTGAATATATGTAAACATATCTATTTTGATAAACTGGATATTTATCAGAATGAATAAATTGGATATTCATTTGAGAAATTATATTCTTGCTTTGTACAAACATATGTAAACTATATATATAATGTTTATAATATATGTTTCCATATATTTGCATAAAGCAAGAATACAATTTATCAAAATGGATATTTTTATTCTGTACTGCCCTCCTTACTTAATAGTTCATATGTATTCACTTTGCAAAGCTTTAAAATTATGTTCCAATAGGGAATTAGCACTTTTGCTAACACAATCAGTCTCAATGAAATGTATTGGCAATGTGTATGTGAAATGTGTTTGATAATGACAGGTTGCTATATACCTTGCAGATTCCACTACAAAGCAAACAGGGGAAATGGAAACCAAGTTAAAAAAAAAAAGAAAGTAAATTTGATTGCCAATAAAAGTTGAGTTATGTTTGTTTAGCTCACATGGGAATATCAGTTTGTAAACAATGTGACATTACTCATTGTCCTTTATTTAAGCCTGAGTCTACTCAAAAGCCTCAGTGAAGTCTTAGGTGAATAATTTCAATTAAGTATCAAAATAACTTGTGCTACTGGAAACAATATTAGTCCTATTTTATTGATGAGGAAACTGTGGCTTAGAGGTTAAATAATTGGCTGAAAGTTACACAATGGAAAAATGACTAAATTTCTGTCATCTTGGCTGGAGGTCCTACTTATTAGAATATGTTACTTCTACACATGATAGTTTTGATACTTACTTCATGGCTCAAAAAATAAGATAGACTTTATGTTAAACAGCAAATATCCTATTTAATAGAGTCAGATGCACAGTAAATTCTATGTTGTATAATCAATATATCTCATGTGCAAATGGTAACTTTAGGGTATCTGTTTAAATATCAGAGTATTTTCTGCTCTCTGTATTGCTGTACTGGTTTACATCATATTTTCTTTTCTTCATATTTTCTAATAACTTAAGACCAGAATTTAGAATAGCTAGCAGGTATCTAGGGGATAATCAGATGCTGCATATATTTTCAGGAACACTTATGTTGACATTGCCTATTTTGGCTTTGAAGTACAAGCTAATTGTACTACCTGCAGCTTTCTACTTTTTCCTAATAACTTCTAGCTAAAAGTATGAAACAAAATAAATCCCAGTAAGAAAGCAAAAATGGTAATCATCAAATTGCAAGACAAACCATGACTTAATCCTTTTTACCCTAAGTCTTATCAACTGCTTGAATGCTAAAAAAACTGACTGGAATGTTTGAAAGGAAGCACACTTTGTAAGATATTTGAGACTATTCATCAAGTTTCCAAGCTACCTCAGCATCTTCTCCTTTTAATCTTCCCTATATTCCATCAAATCACTAGCTTATTCAGAGATTCAGGAATCCGTCCATATCCATATTTTTCAAAAGGTGAAAGAAGAAAAACTAACCAAACACATGAGATCCTAAAATAAAAGGAATAATACCCATTATTCTTCAGTCTCAGATAAATTACAGATCTGTTCTTCAAAATGGTGATGAGAGATCTCCCCAAAAAGTGAAAGAAAATAAAAGATAAAGGGGTTCAGAATCTGATGTTATGAACCGATATAAGTTGACAAGGAAGTTGCCAGAAAACAGAGAAAAAAATCAGGTGAAAATAAGAATGGAGAAGAAAGACATGTACACAGCCAAAGCACAGATGCATATGAAAAGGACATTATTAGTGACAGGCTTTAGGAAATCATGCAAAATGAAATGTTAAAAAAAAGACTGTAATAAAGAGAAAATACCAGTTATAGAAAACAGAAAATGTAGCTCAATTAACGTGATGTTCCTGATGAAGAGAGAACATACACACACTCTCAAAAATATGCAGAAACATTATATCTCTGAAATAAAATTAAAACTTTAATATAAAGACACCAAACAATCAAAAATAAGATGTACAAGATGTATTATTCCTACTTCAATCTCAAGAATGAAGAATGTATCATTCGGAAACCAGTGGGAAAAAAATCAGTTCAATATAGGAGGAGTCTATGAACTGGAAACAGACTGATTTCAGACTTCCTACTAGCCTCTATGAATGACAAAAGACAGTGAAGCAATGTCCCAAAATTTTGAGGAAAATAATACATAATTAGCCAGGGCAACCTTCAAGTCCAAAATGAAAAGGCCAGATATTCTTAATCATACAACAACTCAGATTAGAGCATTCTACCACCTCCTTGGTCAACATACTTAACAAAATCCAATCAAATTATGAAATTAAAAAGAAAAAAATTAAAAAAGAAATAAAGTAATGAAGGGGCTATCATAAAAGTATTGCTGATAAAATTTAATCCATCAAAATATAAAATCAGTATTAAATACTGTCAGAATTTTTATTATTATAGAACATAAGACAAACCTTAATGTAAAAGTAATAATTTAATAAGATTTGGGAGATATGTGGAAGGTGAGAAGAAATGCTCCATTACCTAGGCTGGAGTGCTGTAGCACAATCACTGCTCACGCCTCCCAAGTAGCTGGGACTACAGGTGTGTGCCACCATGCCCAGATAATTTTTTAATTGTAGACCTTGTAGAGACAAGGTCTCCTTACGTGGCCCAGGCTAATCTTGAAATCCTGGGCTCAAGTGATCCTCATGCCTTGGCCTCCCAAGTGCTGGGATTATGGGCAGAAGCCACCACACCTGGCATTTTCTACTATTTTATAAAATTGTTTCTTAATTCCAAGAAAAAAATCTCATCATTCTCTTCTATTTAACTGACTAAAAATCTTATTTGCCTATGTGTATGCTGGGTCACTATTGTAGGGAAAAAATATCTTTTCATCCCATTTTAGGTTCCATAGCTGAGACTCCTATAATAAGAGTTTAACAATAGAAAAGCTATACATTTACTTAATATATGTTTTATGTGACACGAGAGCCTTCATAAGGAAATGAAGACCCAAAGAAACAGGGCACCTTGTGTATTTTTTATGCTAGGTTTGATGGGCAAGTAGATAGTTGTGGAAAAGTCTGATTGGATTAAAAAAGCTTCATCTGATGGAGATAAGCTGGGGGAAACTCAGCAAGACCTGTTTGTTGAGATTTTTCTTTGTATCCCTGTATCTTCAGAGATGAGGATGTTCCTTTCCTTCCTTTCTCTGAGGGTTTTATGGCTTCAGGAAAGAAAGACATGAGGGAAGGTCAAAGAGACCTCCCTGCCCCCATGGTTTTCTTTGATTCCTTCAGCTTAAAATATTTTGGGGTAGCATGTACTGAACCTCATTATTAGAATTCTATAAAACAATTTTGTGGATACCAAAGAATAGTGGAGTGGATTCCGATTCATAATTTGATTAATAATCTCAAGATTATGCTGCCTGCAGGATATGAATGTTTTCTGGGGAAAAATGTTGTTAGTGGAGATGAAGAGAAATGAATGCTTGCTTGGTAAATTTTGGAGTTGGAATTGACAAAATTTGCAGATTAACTACATGTGGAGTTATGGCAGAGAAAGGAATTAAGATTACTCCTGAATTTGAGCTATATTAACTGGAGGAGAAAGTGATCCTTTGAGATGCAAAACTTAACAGAAGATCAGGATGCTGATGGAGAAAAGTAATAGAAATAATAGTTCACTTGCGAATGTTAGTCTTGACATGCCAGTGAGACAGGTAAATGAAAACAGCAAGCATGTCATCGGATAAATGAGCCTAAAGCTCAGAAAAGAGGTTTGGGTGTTATTACATGTAAATCCAACAATATGGATCAAGTGTCCTTGGAGGAATATGGGCATTAAAGATGAGAGGGCAAAGACTGTGCCCTAAATTTAGACAACATTAAAGACACAGAGGTACTGTAAAGGAAAAGGTACCAATAAAGACTGAAAAGGAATGGGTAGTGAAAAGTAGGAAATCAGGGAAAGTGAGGTTTCCTGATAACTAAAGAAGTGTTTGAAGAAAGGAAATACAGTAAGTGGTGCACTAAAATGATGAAAAGACATGAAGTGTGAAGATAAATAGAACATGCTCATTCGATTTGATGACATAGAGGTAGTTGTTAACTACAAAGAAGAGCTTCACCATAGATGAAATTTAAAGTCAAATTGGAGTGGGCTGGCCAGTGAGTAAAGGTGAAAATGTGAAAAATGCAGAGGTCCACATAACTTTTGGAGGTTTGCAGTATAAAACAGCAAAGAAATGTGGCAGAGCTAGAAGGGGTAATAGACTTTTTTTTTTCTTTAATGTTGGAAGATACTGGAGCTAGTATGTATGTGGATGAAAAGATAAAGTGAAAAAACTTTTTGATTAACGAAAGAGAAGATAGCATAAGAAAGAAATCCACGGCTAGGCTGGTTTGGAAGGTTGTAAGTTGATGAGACTATCCACAGAAGGCATGAGCTTTAAAGGAGGAGGTCATTTTGCACAGCAGGGGAGAGCTGGTCATTCCTTTCAATTCCTATAGCATTTCTTTAATATGTAAACAAATCCAGTACAGACATCCAGCTACAAACTTCTTAAGAACTTGAAGAAAAATGTAGATGAATATTCTTTAGTATTTCTTCTTTTTTAAGAGACTTTAAGTTTAAATGACAGATCTCTCAAAAGCATCTTCTTTCTACTTAGAGACATCTTTTCTGACTAAGCTTCTGGTTGCAATATCCACTCTCTCAACCCCAATCCAGACCCTTTTCAGTACTCTGGACAAATATTATCTCTCCATTGAAACCAGTCTACTAAGCCCTCAGTCCCCGGGGTCAGCTTTCCTGGGTAGCTCCCAATGTCAAAATGTATTCCACTAGTGACTGCACCCCATGCCTATATTAATCATCTGTGCCTTGTACTTTGCTTCCTTATTTTAAAGCTTCAATTTTCACTGTAGTGTCAGCCCTTTAGGAAGAAAACTCTCAGGCCAGGCCTTCGAGTCCTGGAACATTTCCTCTTTCCCACAGTAATATTAACATAGCCATTAATATATCTATAACTCCACCAAATTGAAATTATTCCAGCATCTGATGTTATTCTTCATACAAAAATTATCTCTGGGAATACAGTGATTTCCCTAGGGTTCTGTTCTGAAGGATTGACAATAAATGGAAATATATATTAGTCTCCACATTTTCCAACTTCTTTGAAGAAATACATCTGAAGGGAGATAGTACCTCTATATTAAAATTATCATTTTTAAAGACTTTCCAAAATTTTAGGCATATTTGTATAAATTATCTCATTTAATTTAAAAACAACTTTTTGGAGACATGAAAGTATATAGCAATAGGTCCCCTCTAGGCTAAACCTGAATGATAACAATATATGTTTGGAGATGGCAAGTTATCAGGAATGTCTTTTCATGCATTCAGTTCCTGGAGGTCAATTGATTATCATTTCCTAAAGAAGGAGAAATACATGGACAAGAATGCATACAGACATTGAGAAGATGAGGGTAAAGTAAGAAATAAAGACACACAAAGAAAGGCACTTCTGCCTTTAGAGAGAGAATGATTAAATAAATGATGAATGAGCCGTTTTCTTCAGAACTTTGTGACACAGGTAGTATGAGAAAGAGCTTCAGGTCTCTTATTAAAAACCTTTTGGGTTGGAAATAGGGGCACTCACCCCATTTTTGCATAGAGCACATTGAATCCAGCTCAAAGACTTCACACTTTGGGATGTTGCAATGGCAAACATAGTACAACAGTAATAGGAGCTGGCAGATGCTCACTAGACTAGGCAAATATCCATCAAGAGACTGTGCCAACTTGCTTGTGAACACCTGAGACAAACCCTGGGGTTTCTAGAAATATCATCCTTGGAAGAGAGATAGTACTCATAGAAGCAGAGAAAGACAATTATCAAGCATCTTGCAGTAATAATTATGCTGCTGGAGATCACAGAGCCAAGAGTTTTTAGATTAAAAAAATTAATATTCAAATAGGCTATTATTTTGCTAAAAGTGCACAGCAAGTTGTTGGCAGACCTAAAATCTGAAGTAGATTTGCACAACTCCAAGACTGAGGCGCCATGACTATACCAAAGCTGTGTACAGATATATTCAGACATGTAAAAGTGCAGTTCAAATTTTCATTATCTCCACAGTAATATTGTCAATAATGCTTACAAGCAAAAACAGATATCCTAATACTACAAGTAATTATTTTTTAATTAAAAAATTGTATATAGGCCACTCTGGCATATATTGGACTAGACTATGGTTTTCTTAGTAATGCATTAGCCACGGTTTTATCCCCAAGAAGTTTATATTTTAGCAGTTAAAAGTGAAGAAAGGAAAACTACACAGTGAGCTATACTTGAATTAAACATATATTGGGCATTGGGGAGCATATAAAACAGAAATAACATTGTTAGACAAAAAATCTAACATTGGTTGATCAAAAATATGAAGAAATTGGAGAAAGAAGAAATTTCTAGGCAGAGATTATCAAAAGGTCTGAAAGTGAAGAAAAGAATACTGTTCTAGGGAAATGTCCAGTCATTTACTCTGCTTTGAGCTTAGAATTTCAGGACAGGAGTAATAGCTGCTGGAGAGATTATGCAATACAAAATTTAGGAAAGGCTAGATGGGGCCAGGTCATAAAGGGCTTAGTATACCCTAAATATATGCTATTAATAAATGGAGAGTCACTGAAGATTTTTGAACAAGGATATGAAATGGATGGAAATACGTATATGGAGTAAATCTTCTTAGATTATGCATTAAATGAAAATTGCAGTAATTTGTAATGCTTATGTATTTTTTTCTTAATTTTTTTATTTTGCAGTTCAGAAATACAGTACACTCCCATTTTAATGCAAATAAGCAGTATACAACAATTTTAATAAAATGTAGCTCAAGTTACGGAGAGGCTAATGAAATTGGAGTTCAAAAACCCTCTTTTGACAGCTGCAATTCGGTACCAGCTGGTGGCAGTAATCTACTCCAGACTAAACATCAATGAGGATGATTCAGCTCTGCATGGCTGAAATTTTTAGGACATTGGCAGCAATCCCAGGAATCTCCCAATAATTTAGCACTATTTTCATCATCTCAATCCCAGGATATTGAAGCAGCGGATTGGTCCTGAAAATATAGAGAACCACCTTCTACCTCCCCATTTCCTAAGCCAAGGGTGTTTGTCCTCTTTTAACTTTTCCCTCCTTTCCTGAGAGGAGAGGGAAGGAAGAGAAAGAAGGAAATTTACCCAGCCTCATTTATATCTACATGTACTTTATCACAGGACATATCATCATGATGTCTGACTGCAGGGGCTTCCACTGTACTATCACGTACTATTGTCATTTTGGCTTTAATAGAAATGGAAAGTGAGGTCAGTAAAATCATTAGAAAATATTAAAAATTGTTAACTGTGAAACCAGTGTTTTTGACTAGGTAATTAATGATTAAATATTTTGCTTCTTTTCAATATAAAAAACAAAAGAGATAGGTTATCACCCAGCATAACTAACAATTTAAAGCCCATGGTTAATATTTTTTATGCTGGTGTTGTAATACTCTTACCATGGCATTTATACGTATGCATGAACAACAACAGTAAGGCACACAAATACGCCTGACTCCTTTACATTACATTGGTTTTCCAGAATTTTGGAGTAAATGAGCTTTGCATTATGGCTTTTAATCTATCTTTATGATGAAGATAAAGTCTCAAGACTCTTAAAAAGCCGTAACAAAAAATTGTTTCCCTACATAGCAGAAATGTTGCAAAAACATTAAAATATGCAAGCTCTTGATTTCAAGAGTGTTTCAACCAAAGGTGGAAACTAAGAAAGACTAAATAAAGCCAGAGCCTAAAATCATTTTGGTGATCTATTAAAATTCACTTATTTATTCATTAAGACAATGCTACGCTCTCACTTTTTATCCCTAAAAGTCAGTTCTTTCAATATCCAAGACCTCATACCAAGTGACTGTCTGTCTTCGATTCTAAGTAAAACAAATACAGTGTGTTTTCCCATTCCACATATTCAAAAATGTTTCTGCTACAATCAATAAAAACGATGCAATTTCATGAAATGAATAAGGATAGATGAAATGATTAAATACATAATGCCGGTGCCTATTAGTTTAACTCGCATAAACACAAAATTTAAAATATCAACATTTCAAAATATGATTTGGCAAAGTAATTTTAATATTATAAAATTAAAGCTATAACTGGAGAACTAAATTAGCCTGACGGACACTCAATAACGTACAACTTCACTAGAAACATTTTCACCTTCTAATTTACTTTGTGAAGCTGAAGCTAAAAGGGACTCTTCAAATGTTTTATTTACCGGCCAATTTCTAGACGTCTGTACTCTGCCTGCACAGTAACAAGCTGGTGCTAATAAGCCATACATAAAGATCCTACTTATTAAAATACAAATTAGACACCCCTTATGTTTATACATGTGTAAGTACAATTAATATTGCAAGCTTCCTTGGAAACAAAATTGCTTTAGTTAACCAACCATTGCAATGCAATCAAATGAGATTTGAAATGCAATTGGAAAAGATCTGTTTGGTAGAAATAGCAATTATTTCATGCAGAACAATTAGCTTTCCAAGCTCTTTTTTGCTTCTCCCACCTGCCCTTAATAGAATAATTTGTCCATCATAAGTGACATGAAATGTCACCTTTAACACCCATAAATTGTATGGAGACCTAGCAGGCAGCTGGTAGACATAGCTTATTTACAAATATTAGTTTGAACTTGTAAATGCATGACCACATAAATCTTAATCCATTTAGGGTGTACGCCCTTTGTTCCCTCAATTGTGTATTCAGTTGGGAATTGAATGGAGCTGAGAGAGAGTGTGAATTGCATAAGTCCTTTGTTGTTGCCAGCATATTAGTGCTTTGCCTTTTGTTCTTGTTGTTCATGAGATTTCTCTACATTACACAGTAGGGAAGGTTAATCAACATTTTGCCTAAGTAATATTAATGAAACTTGCCTACTTACACTTGAGGGAAGAATCAGAATATTACATTGCTCTTTGAAATGTTAATGTACCTTTTAGGAAATTATGTCTGCCTTCTAAATCATCTTAGTGTTAAATTATTAAAGGATGGCATTAAAGAAATATTGCACAGATGCACATTGTTAAATACCTTAAAAGATAAAAGAATTATAAAGTTTAAAAGAAGGACCTTTTGAAAGATGATAAAATTTATCTTCAAATTAACCATTTTTAAATGTTTGGTTAAAATATTGAGAAAATTTACAATTGTTTTGTGTGCTTTCACAAAACAAGAGATTTAATGTTAATGATTTATAAGTTTCAACCACGAATTTGAACTGTATTCTGCTCTGGTCTTGAAGGATTTATTTAACCTTGCTGTATCTGTGCACTAAAGCACCACCTAGTTTATTAGGAACAAAAAAAAAGCTGAGAGGAATGTATTATTTTTGTACTTTTTACTTATTTGAGTCTTAAGATTAGATAGTCTTCATTGAGGTTCTATTCTCCAAGCACAAAAACGACCACTATCTAAACCTTCTATCACTCTATGGCATTTCAAAGGGAAGGGCTATCATAAAGACTATGTATGGCTGCCAAGGTTAGATATGGGAAATAGCAATTCTCAATGTGCAAACTGTGACAGACCTGTGTCCTGTCAACATCATTCACGGTCCTTCAGGAAGGATGCTCAGGAAATGAGTTGACAGGACTCTAAGTGGTCTAACTTGTTTTCCCTTTAACAGTCTCTTTTGATGTCAATCAGTATGTCAACAGGCCCTAAATAAATTGTGAGGTAACCAAGGGGGAAATTAGGAACAGAATTTCTTCAAGAATTCTCCCACATGGTGACCACCATTTGCTAAGAATTCCTAATACTTACTGGGCAAATAATTCATTTTCTATTTCACCATAGAAGATTTAGTAATGGCTTTTGTATTATTGTGGGACTGATTTGTCCTCTTGCACAATGTTTTTTTAGCAGTACTGCTACTTGGATAGAGGCACCAAAAAAGTAGAAAATAAGGGTTACATTTCAAGATAATTTTTTTCACTTTTTGACATCTCTAAGAATACAGCATACAATTGCTGATGCATCATAATTTAAGTGGCTTTTTTGGTGGGGGCTTGGGGGAGATGAGGTCTCTCTCTGTTGCCCAGGCTGGAGTAGTACAGTGTCATGATCTTGGCTCACTGCACCCTCCACCTCCCAGGTTCAAGTGATTCTCCTGCCTCAGCCTACCAAGTAGCTGGGATTACAGGCATGCACCACCACGCACAGCTAATTTTTGTATTTTTAGTGGAGATAGGGTTTCTCCATGTTGACAAGGCTGGTTTTGAACTTCTGGCCTAAAGTAATCCACCCACCTTGGCCTCCCAAAGTGCTGGGATTACAGGTGTAAGCCACCATGCCCGGCCAAGTGGCTTTTTCTTAGAAATAACTAAAATAAATAGAATGACTAAGTGCCTTACAATTGATGATTTACATTCAATAAAATATGGTAATAGCAAACTTGAATTTAGAGTTTTTGTATTGTGTTTGTGTTGTGGTTACCCATTACCTCAATATAGAAAACAAAATAATTGCCAAATGTTAGTGTTAATGAGCCCAATATTAAAGAGTTCACAATGTCTAGGAAATGAAACCTTATGTCTAGAAATTAATAAATAATAGTTAAATGAAACAACAATGATATAGGCATTACTACAACCCTACTTGCCAAGTTATTTTTTTCCACATTATTGCTCTTTAGAAAAGTGAAAACAACATACAACTAATAAATGACTACTTAAAATACTACCAAATGAATTTAAGGCAAAGAAAAAGGGTGCTTTGAACAGGGAATGTATAATCTATATATTTCAGAGGCTGAGTTTGTGTGTCTGTTTTGAGTTCTCCGAATTACTGAAGATTCAAACTAAAACAGCACCAAGGGTATTATATCTATGCTAGGCAGAATACATGATCTAGCCATACATCTATTATGACTTTACACTGCTTTTACCATGCACGCTTTATGTTGTGGGACATAAGGGAAGAGTAATTTATATTTAATGTTGTTAATCAAACATATATTTAGCTAGATTTGTTTTGCTGCTTTTTCCCTATTTGCAAAAACAAAAAAAATCGTTTTTATCTAAAAGCAACTAAGTATATTGTAAGCCTCTTCATTCACTAGATGAGCTTACAGTTTGCTCGATGCTCTAGGAGCTTATGTTTTTAGCTTAATCATTGATTTTTTCCTTAATATATCATGGATAGCAAATTGATCTTTATTAACCTGTGTATGATAAAGGTTGTAGACAAAGCCAATACCTACATAATATTAATACCAATCAAGTTAAGTGATATGATCAGTTCAGTAGAGAATCAAACAAACTGGCAGTTGTCAAATAGAGTCTCTCATTAGTAGACTGTTTAAAATATATAAATAAGTGATAAACAGTAAAAATAAATAATATCACAAGTATCAAGAATGGAAGACTATTATATACATGAATTAAATATCATTTAGTGCATTTTCCTTTGATATTCAACATAATCATAGAAACACAAAGAAGTGCTAATTCTTAAACCTCAGTTTAGTGTCTACTGAAGCACAACTACATACCTTCAAATTTGAGACTTTTGCTTTGCAAAGAGTACAATTAAGCTGTCGCTCACATTCTAAACCTATTTTAAATGTGGGAAGGTAGAGGGCAGTTGTTTACATCCCCAAAATGAGTTGTCTGGAAGTTTTCTGTGATCAGAAATTATAAAGATTTTCTTTCACTACAACTGTAATCACTCAAGTATGTAACAGAAGTACTTTCTGATTATTAAGGAATTTTTTTTTTTTTACTGTGCCCCTTGGCTATAAGAGGATAGATAAATGATAGATATGCAGACCTTACCACAAGGAGAATTTCTGCTATTTCTATAAACTAGTAACTCTTAGTTCATAAAACAAGTTTATTAAGAAAAAAAAAACATGCAACCGCTAATGTCAGCTGACATTTCTCAAAGTAGGCCAGAGTAGAAGAGAGATTACTTCTAGCTAAAGTGAAGCAAATTAAATTTTAAGAAGTTGAATATATTCATTCTCACTTTCATCATATTGCCCACCATCAAGGTGATTATAATATGTATACTGCTTCTTACAAACTCAAAGTAGTTAAAAGCAACTTTTTCCAACTTGTATATTCATAATATCGACAAAAATTATTCAGATATTAAAATTTAATGCTATTTTTAATGTATTTTATAAATAATGTACCTTTAATTATGGGAGAACATTTCAAGGGTTTTAAAGGGTTTTTTGGTTTTTGTTTTTTTTTGGTAATATGGAACATAAAGTACATTTTGGCTAACTTAATTGGCCCTGATTACCCAAAAGCAATTTATTTAAAAAGCAACAAGTATGATTATTTTTAATCCCACAACATCATAAGATTCCATCATTAAAATATATTTTAATATGCATGTAATTATCCATACACAATATGTCAAGCTATTTAAATCAAGTAGTTAAAAGGGGTTCTTACTGCAAAATCTTCTCTCCACTGGTGAGCTGCTTGAACTTTCTCCGCTTCCAATGCCAGGCGCTGAAAAACAAACAATAAATCTTAGAATTCAAATGAACACGTAATATGGAATTGTTATATAAAATGCTTGCGCTTTCTAATCAATTTTGAGGACATAAAAAGCAGAAGATGATCCTTATTTATGATTCATAAATTCTAAATCATTTAGTAATCTAACCTACTAAAGTTGATGTTTGTATATTTACTCTTCAGCAATATAAATAATATACTATTCTTGAATACCATTAAGTTTGTTACCTCTGCCATCATCAGCTATAGTGTCCTCTATGAGTGCTTTCTTTCAATGACTAATACTTCAGTTTTTAGAAAAACACTTAAGTATACTAATTTTCATAGAATCTTATTTTTAGTAAATACCTTTGGAGCATACATTTCTCTTAAAAAATGACATTGAGAGATTAATATGCACTAAACAATATACTAGGCACCTTCTTAAATGCATATTGAGTTTTTACCAAAAGCCACAAAAGCTGAAATAACTTCCCCTTTGATGAAGTACATCTTTAGTAGTTCTTTCAGCGATAATCTTTGATAGAGGATTTGTGCATCTTAAAATTGCTTTATTTCACCTTCAATCGTGTATGCTAAAGTAGTTAAGAATTATAAGCCAATTTATTTTCCTATAGCACTTTCGAAATGCTATTCCATTAAGTTCAGTGGGAGATGACATTGCTAGTGTCAGCCTGCCAATCACTTTTTATAAACTTTTTTTTCCCCTATTCCAATAGCTTTTAGACTTTTCTCTTTGTATTTTTCAACTTCACTATGATGTTCTCCATGTGATAGGCTTTCATAAGACAGTGACATTTAATGGTTAGGAACACAGAGTTGGGGACCCGACTGCCTAGATTTGAATATCAGCCCTTGCAAACTACTAGCTGTGCAACCTTGGGAAAAGTTAAGACTCTTCTCCCATTCTCTCATGTGAGTAATGTGAAAGCCTGCCTCATGGCTTATTGGAAGGACTAAATGAGTTACAAAGTGCTTAGAACAGTGCCTGGCACAAACTAAACAATATATATGTCAACTATCAACTTCAAAGAGTAATGGTTCTGTTTTCTCCCTGGATCCCCTAGAGAAAATAGTGCAGTGTTGAGTTTATTTGTGGTTTGCCTTATGCAGCTAGAAGATAGTGATAAAACTGAGCAAACAGAAAAGTAAATATAATAAATATACTAAACTCACTTATTAAGGTATAGAAATTATCAGGTTAGGTTTAAAAAATTACAAATCTCAGAGTCATTTATTGATTCATGCTGTTTGTGATCTATGAACTATTCCTTAGCGTAAGTTCTTCCTGTGGAGGTCCAGTCTACACTGGATAAACATCCTTCTAGACCAGTTTTTATATTAATGTATTGGCTTCTATCCCTGTGATTATAATCTATTCATTTTTCTAAGCTGTTGCATAGGTTTTATCAGTGACTCTATAATATTGCCTAGTGGGAGATCTCAATTTAAGAGTCCCAAAGCTAAATTTAAGTGAAAATCTATCATAGTGTGCCAAAAGGACAATGGTTTTGTTTTTCACTACTAGGTAGAAATGGAGTATATAAGAAGCTAGGAAATGTTAGAAATTGTACCACATAGAGTAACCAAAAGGCGGCTCCCTCTCCCTACAAAAACAAAAAACTAAGCAGCAAAGCCAAAAGACAAGCATATACATTTCAGGAACACTGCATCATAATACTTTTAGAAACTCAACTTCACATGAAAAATGAAGCAAAACATGAATAAAATGGCAAAAGGAATGGAAATGGAAGCAACTCTTCTATAGAAACACTTCAGTATGGGAAGATAAGGAAAGAGAAGATAGAATGAGAAAATAAGCATGAAGGCTTTTTCTTTTTTTCTTTGTTTTGATATAGGGTCTCACTCTGTCTCCCAGCCTGGAGTACAGTGGTGCAATCATAGCTCCCTGCAGCCTTGACCTCCTGGGCTCAAGTGATCCTCCCACTTCAGCCTCCTAAGTAGCTGGGACTACAGGTTTGCATCAAGAAACCCGGCTTTTTTTTTTTTTTTTTTTTTTTTGGTAAAGATGGGGTCTCAAACTCCTAGCCTCAAATTATCCTCCTATCTCAGCCTCCCAAAGTGCTGGTATTACACACATGAGCCATCCTGCCCGGCCAAAGACATGCCCTTGACAAAATTTGCAATGTAAATCTTCCCCCATTTAAAAAAAAAAAAAAGCAGTATAATAATAGTAACTAAACTTTTACATGTATGGGCAAAAAAAAAATTCTGGAACTTAAACAAAATTCTGAATAAAATACTAAACCTTTTTAGATTAAGAAACATTAGAACTCTAAGATGTCTTTGTGTCTTAGAGAAGAATATTAAGTTTTTTCTTCAGAATACACAGGAAGATGCTGTTTCAGCAAACAAAACACACTAGTGAGCATTCACCCACAGGGCTATGCAGTTTCCAAGGTACCAGCTGTTAACTCTACCAGATCTTTCCTCCTTGGGAGTGCATGAGAAAGTGCAATTCAACTGATCTGACCCAGAATCACGTGGCTTATGACATGAACATAATCCATGTTTAGTAAGTTATAGTGACAGTAATCATCACAGTTAACTATTTCCAGAGAAACAGAATAACAGTGGCAACAAACTATAACACAATTCCCTAGGAGGAAGATAGTCCAAATCGGCTTTATTTATATGTATTTTGAACACTAATTTTATAAAGTAAATGCCCTGTATTGCAAGACTCTGAAAATGTTTTTAGAAAAATAAAGGCATGAAGTTATGTATACCAAAGAAGTTATGTATTTTAAAAGGCTGGTCTGAAGCTTGAAAGTTGCTAAATTTCATATCCCCAGGTTGGAATTTTAGAAATATATAATCATGAAAACTCTACTCCTGTTAATTTCTTTGTTCATGAAGAAATTAATAAATATTTTTACCTAGCAAATTTCATGACAAAGCATATAATACTAAACTTTAGAGACTTAGTCTATCTCGGGACTAGAGTCAACAGTCACTGGGTGGTGCTACAAACCAGCCGGTCATTACTTATAGAAAACCGACATGTCTTCTAGACACTTTAAGCCTTTAATTCACTTCTGTTTTGGTCAAATGACATTTTATTTTTAAAGCTAATGAGCTACCATTAAATGGCACCGGTGAATTGTGTTAAGGCTGTCAAAGGCCAGGCACATGGCTCATGCCTGTAATCCCAATACTTTGGGAAGGGGAGGTGGGGAAAATCTCTTGAGGCCAGGAGTTCAAGACCAGCCTGGGCAGCATAGTGAGATCCTGTCTCTAAAAAAATAACACAATTAGCCAGGCATGGTGGCACATGCCTATCATCCCAGCTACTCAGGGGGCTGAGGCAGGAGGGTCACTTGAATCCAGGAGTTCAAAGTTACAGTGATCTATGATGGTACCACTGCACTGCAGCCTGAGCTATAGTGCAAGACCCTGTCTCAAAAAAAAAAAAAAAAAAAAAAAAAAGACACAAAATACCCAATAAAATGTGAGTATCTGCTCAACAGAACATCCCTGTTTCCATAGTTGGCTATATAAGTATATCCTGTAACAATAACTTACTTCAGAAAAAAAAAAATAAAAAACAGAACACTTTTCTGATTTATGGCACAGCATAATATAGTATCAGACCTTAAAACCAGACTGAGCACCACACAGAAATAAAAAACCTGGATTACAATGAATACCTATGAGAAAAATTTGAAGCTTAATTCTGCTAATATTACGATATTCAGCAAGGTTTATTAAATGGCTTTATTGTAACTGAGATACCACATGTATATATGAAAATCCTTTGGATATCAAATAAGTATTTATAAAAAGTAATAGATGTGTTAAGAATGTATACATCCCTACCTACTTATTGGTTTGAACATTTAAAATAGAAAATCACTATAAAGGTTTTAAGGACTTACAACTATAACAAAATAGACTTGACCCCAGACTTTCTGACTCCAAAGCTTATGCTCCTTCCACAAGACCATTCTTTAGATTCCTATAAAACTCATCAGAGTATATATGAAGACAGAGTAATATCAAAACCAAAACACTAGAATTCAATTTTAGGTTAATAAAAAAATCCCCAGCAAGGTTTTAGAAATTACTAAAAAATGAAAAACAAAGCCAGCAGCAACAACAAAAATCATATTTTAGTTGGGAACCATCTTTACAGGTCTTGTCCTCAAATCCTGGGAGATTATTGCTAATCAGTAAAAACGCTTTTGCTATGCAGTGGTCTGCAGGGAGAAGGATAGAGAATGAAGAGGTTTTATCAGATCACAGAAAGATCAGCTCCCTTGAAAGTCTATTCATTCTCAACCTTTACTTTTTGTCATATCTTCATCTTTTCCATTAGCGTTGAATTCTGTCAGGTGATATAAACTTCTATAAAAGCAGTATTATACAGTATATAAAGATATAATTCTACTATCCTAATCAATATCCACATATATTTTTCCAAAAAAAAGACTATTTTCCAAACATGTAAGTAACTTGCTTCCTAGATTGCAAATTTATTGCAAGTTAAAGATAAAATTTGCTTTCTGAAATTATGAGAAATTTTCTTTTGATAGCTTTAAAAAAAAATCATCAGGGATCATATAACAGTTCAGTTACACTCCCATAATGTTGGTACTCTTGTTTATATACAAAGATTTGACTTACAGACACCATTTAAACAAATATCACTAAATTTCAAAACAATTTCTTCAGCTAATGTAAGTCAAGATTTTCCTTTTTAATAAAAGGTAATAGAGATCTACAACAGCTAATCCAAATAAAATATGCATGTGTTATGTGATTAATCTTCAAACAGTTAACACCCAATAAAGATTAGCAAATTCTTGTATTATACCTATGTTGACAATTCAATTATCACTCTAGGAGTTTCACCTACTATCTTCATCAAACGGTTCTTAGCATATCAAAAGGATCAGGATAATCATTTGAATTTTCTAACAATACCTACTGAAAATAGCAGACTTAGGTGAATAAACAGACTTCAATGTTCGAAAGAAAAGCCTACAGATACAATCAATTACTTTGGATCTATGGTACAATGAACATGCACTGGTAAATCAGACAGATCTGGTTTCCAATTCTGGTGCTGCTTTTCACTAACAACAAAATTTTGGTAATAAAGCTAACAATTTTGCATCTAGGATTTTCTTAACCTTACATTTTCTACTTGGCATTCTACATATCTAGCATAATACAAACTCAGTAAAGTTTTGCTTCCGTTTGAACCTGACAAACATGAACCCGTAGAATAGGCTATGTCAGAACTATAATCACCAATGACCTCTTCAACACGTACATATGAGCGAAATAAATGAAAAAAAATCTTAGTAGACCTTAAGTTTTCACTGTATTTTACCCTGCAGGAAAGCTCTGGTCTATAAAACCATAGGGTAACCAAAAGCATATGCAATTCAGGGAATACAACAGCTCAGTTCAGTAAAATAAGTTCAATTTTATTTTATTTTTACCACAAATAGAATAAGAAAGCAGAGAAGATCATTGTGTTCTGCCTGTGACACCTTATTTTTTCTGAAGGGCAGAGAAGGGTATAGGCAAGGTGTGACATTTCTTCAGCATTTCTTATGCTGATAGGAAGTCTTGAAGACCTCAACAGACATAACAGCATAATACTTCCATGAATATTGAGTATAATATTCCATCTCAAAGGTAAAATGTTCTTTTTCCAATAACCTTAACTAGATAATGGGAAACAATGCAGCTGAAATTCATATAAACATGTATGTTCAGCAGAATTCTACCAAAGGCTTCTAACAATTTGTTATATCCTAGTGAACAAGGATTTTACTAGGAAAATCTTCATGTGCAGAGAAATTGCTCTGTATGTTTAAATCACATGTGCTGTACTTACAGATTGTTAAAAATGTTTCTATAAAGAAATATTATTAGTACTCTGAAAAGGTTCTGTTAGCTAAAGAAGCCAGGCTGGAAACTGGGATTTGAGGATTAAAAGTTATAAAATGTAAACAGACTAACCAGGATGAGTTAACTTTGGTACATTTCAACATTTGATAATTGTAGCAACTAGATAAATACCCTGACTAGGGGGAAAAGTTATTTCTAGGACAAGAAGCCTAGTGTGTTTGCTTCTATTCAATAAATATTTACTAAGGCTCGTTATATGCAAGTTCACAGAATAAAAAATATAAGACATAGTTTTATCAACTATGCTTCTAAAGGGACCTTATATTCATATACCATATACATCATATACACTCACACATAATATCATGTGGTGTTTTACAGATGCTTTCTCAATAGTTAAACTATACATGCTTTATTCATTTTACTTTATTTCAGTGGCCTCTGCCACATGGAGAATACATTTTTAAAGTACTGCTTCTATCATGATGCAAATATCTCAAAGGACAGGAAGGATCCTAAAAATAGTGTCATTAGCCAATGACAAGATTTAGCTACAGGTCTCTATTTTTTTTTTTTTTTTTTTGGCGGGGGTTGGGGGGCGGGCTGGAGGGTATTGGGGAAGCTGAAAATACTGAAAAGCACAGAAATAGTCTCGAGCCTACCACCCCAGAATTCACCTTGATCTTTATATTTGCTTTATAACTTTATGTAAGAAAAAAAAGTATTACAAATCACCTTGAAGTTCACCTTATTCACCTCTTCTGACCAATTTCCCTACACAGAGCAATCACCATAATAAATTGATCTATAACCTTAGGCATTGGTTGGAAGTGTATTTTTAAAAAATATGTAAATATCATCTGATATTGGTATTGTTGATTCTCCTTGCTAATAGGCTACATGCAAAGAGAAATTCCACAAGTTTCATGAGGAATGATTTATCTAAGAAGAAACCCATCACCCTTTCAAGGTTTGGATTGAACAAACAAATTACAATCAATGGTGTATGAGAAATTATTTGCTGAAGGTTTTGGAAAGTTAAGATAATATCTGGAGGAGGACAAAACCCCTCAGGGAAACTAAGCTGGAGCCATTTCTAAGATTTTTTTCAGCATCAAAATGTTATACATCAATTGCATATTTACTAACAGAATGTAGAATAGGTATTATTTCTTAATACAAACCTACCTATTCCTTCACTCCATCAAGAGACCATCAATCTTTCTTCACAGGCACTCATGATGCAATTTGAAAGATTCTAAATCATAACTTAAGCAAGGCAACTTAACCAAAGACATGTTGATCCCCTCTCATTATTGTGCTATAGGTTAGCAAGCCCACCCTTATAAAGATGACTAAACACTGTTTATATGTTTTACTTATGCTTGCTAAAAAATTTTTGCAGCCACATTACAGATAAATCTTATAATGTACAAGGTATAATGTAAGGATACAGATTAACTCTTTTTGATAGCTATCATTTTCTTACAACTGATTTCATGCCAGATTATGGGAAATAAAAATCTCATAATACAAATACAATTTCTCTTTCTAGCCTAAGCTTTAAGGGAGTGTAATATATGCAAAACATATAAATAAAACTTGCTGAAATAAAGCCAGTCATTTATTTTTCGATCTGTGGCCAAGTGAAAAATAAAACTTTCGCCTCATAGCTTCTGGAGTGTGTCCTATAGATTTCAACCTGATCTGCCATATTCATGAAATACTTCAAAATTAACCACAAAGCTTCAAATCTAATCTTCAGAGATGTAATTATTTCCAAATAAATTGGAAGACCCTTGAAATACAGAAGGCAGGGTAAGGGAGATATCATCTGGTGAGAACAAAACTCCTTTTAGCAGTATGAAAATAAATAATACACAACAATTATCATACCTTCTTTTGGGTCTACAGCGCAAAATAAAAGGTTGTCCAAATGAATATAATTTGCAGCTCTACGTTTTGCCACCTGCAATGAATTACGTGTTGAACTTGTTGAACACACCTGGACCCCATGAAAACCCCTCCAATCCCACCATCATCCAAAGATTCTGATTCTATAGCTGGTGTCATTCCTGAAAATCTACGTTTAATATATTACACCTTTTCCATAGATAAACCTTGAAAACACTCTTCTAGAGGGTAATATTTTGGAGCTATTAGACATATGGATTGAGTTACTTTTTAAGAAGCACTGTTCTAAATAGCAATATAATTATCCTGAGACAACAAAACAGTCCATGCCCTTCACTAGTTCTATAACCTCATGCTATCATGGCCCATCATGCTATACTCAATTCGCCCTCCCTCTAAATCACTAAATGTGCGTTCATCCAGTGCAGGAAGCAGTTCTTTCACATCTGCGCACCTCCAGTATCTTATACAACGTGCAGAACAGTGTAGGCATTCAGTAAGTGTGTATGGAAATGTGGAAACAATCATTTCCAAGCATTTTCAAGGTTGTATCAACATCTATAACTAGGTTCACCAAGTCATCGTCATTCAGTATTATAATACTTTGACATTCTGTGACTTTCTGGCCACAAAAGCTGTCCTCCTACACGACAAGCATACATCACCACCTAATTCTTAAAAATTGCTAGATTAACTCAACACTACCTGTCACTTAAAAAGTAGTAGAATATGGCTAGGGAAGTGGCAAGGATACACCCTAATCCATGTAATTCCACTCTGGGGTCTTAGAATTTTAGATTCTAAAATTCTAAGACCTTATTCAGTTACCTTATTCTCTACATGTTGACTGCTGCAGATTCAAAAACCCAGGAAGGAATCACTGTGGAGAAGGGAGAGAAAATGGACTGTGGAGAGGAAAAAAACAAACAGAAAAGAGGACCATTCCTAATACTATAGTCCTGCTGATAATCTAGTCTAAAATCCCACAAAATTAAGTCACAACATCAAACTATTTACATTAGGAGATCATCCACTCAGAGAATGCAAATATCTCTTCAGCTTGAGAACTGCATTCTGGTATGTCACACTAATTCCAAAGGCCTTCAATCACTTTGCATAACAACCAAATTGCCTACAAATAAACACCAACCTAAGTTGCCCTAAAATGGTTGTTTTATGTCCCATGTGACCGCTCCTTTACATATCTAGCAATTATTTTTTACTACCATGAATAACTAAGGAAGCATAATATAGTAAAAACAGCTCTGCCACTTATGACCAGCAGCATATTAATAACTTTTACCACAATTTCTCAACTATAAAATGAGAATTTTAGTAGTGCATATATCATTTTGTATTATAAGGGGTAAGTATGATATGTGCTTAGTATTCAATAAACAGAAGCTATTATATATTAAAAACTAAGGGGGAGAAGTTAGACTCGTCATAAAGTCAATAAACTGAATTCTTAAAATTATCACCAAAAAATATTACATACACCTGAGAGAAAAAAAAAGCCATCTTAAATTATTTCCATAATAAAGTTATTGGAAAGGGCATACCTTCGCTGAGACTAGAAACTTCAGAATTGTTTTGACCATATTAGTCCTCTGAATTAGTCCCAATTTCAATCACCATATTGAGAGAAATTTCTCCTCGGGTCCCTCATGTTTCTGCATGTCACATGAACAGAGGCAAAGAGAGACTAGTTTTTCAAGAATGCATAGCAAACAGCCTTGGAATATAGAGATAGTGTCTCCCTCCAGAGCGAGGGCAGATTTGTTTCTTGCCCCAAAAAATAAAAGTGATCCTCTGAGGCAAGTGCGGTGTCCTGGCAGACCCCTTTAGATGACTGGGGTTTCCCAAACTCAGGGTTCATCAGCTGTAACACATACCATTGCATACACCATAGGCCCTTGGGTCATTCAGCAGCAACCTCACTGGGTTTGAGAGTCCAGAGATACTGATGCGAACACAAAGCTCACGCTACCTACTGTGCCATGAGGCATAAGGTCCACTGTGTCTGAATCAGGGTATCTCCTGCATCTGTGAAATTGTGGTCGGCTAGCTTATTAGGTTGCAATTAGGGCAAAATCTCAGACCCTTTACATTTCTTGACACCCATGTTGTACTTTTTGTTGTTACGGTTTCTAATTTGGTCTTGAAAACTCTATTGAGAGTGGCCAGAAAGCAAGAAAGCCACTCTCTAGGAGAGCCCTGATGAGGCGCTGGGTTGTGAGGAGGAATTAGTCCTATGGGACGGGTAAGATACAATGTGGAGGTGAAACTAAAATGCATAAAACAGAAGAAATGCATTACTTACAGATCCCAGAGAGGTTGCGGGGGTCAACAGGAGGCCAGTGGGAAGTCTTGAGGTGACAGGGAGCTCAGCTAGCAGGTGGCAGGTGGGGGGAAGAGGGACAGAGAGAAATAGAGACAGAGACAGGCAGAGACAGTGAGGAGGATCTCTGGGACTATGCCTTTCTTAAGGTGCTCAGGCTTTCTCGCAGGTGTTGCAGATTGGCTAGTTTGAAGAAAACATGCCAGAAGGGGGAACTTATTTATGTAACTCTGGTGTTGGCCATTAGGTTTATCATGGTCAGCAGCTGTGGGGCATGTCGGATTTTTTTTTTTTTTTTTTTTTTTTTTTTTTTTTTTTGCGTCAGTGAGATGAGAAACAAGAAGGTCATATCAAAAACGACTACGAGGGGAAGAGAAGTTTTAACCAGGCCGAAAGTAATGGGGTATTACTGGGTTTGAAACAACTTATGTGAGGCCTAGAAATGGATGTCAAGGCAGTAACCATGTTAAACAAATTTATGACACACCATGTCTGGCTGAGCCAGCTTGTCAAAGTGTTCACTGATCCATCTCTCTGGCTTCAGACTCTCACTATCATTTAACTAGTGTCATCTTTATTTTGTCTTCAGCAATTCTTTGGTGACTCTGCATTTTGGACCTTAAGAGTCACGATGTCTTTAGAACAGTACTTCTCAAAGTGTGCCCAGACCCGCTGGGGCAGCATCACCTGCATCTTGTTAGACATGCAAATTCTCAAATCTCTCCCTAGGTCTACTGAATGAGAAACTACTGGAGTGGGCCCTGTGAATCTATGGGTTAACAAACATCCAGGTTATTCTAATGTGCATTGAAGTTTGAGAAGCACTGCTCTAAAAGAAAACTTCACAGCATCGTTCAAGGAAAAGTTTTAGATTATCTTAAAAAAGCAAGCTCTCATATCTGAGGGAAATAAAACAACAACTACAACTTACGTGTTCTAAAGCTCTTTTGAAAAAATAAACCTTGTAAAGGAAACAGAAGTCACTGGAATGATACCCATTCAGAAATTTAATTGTAACTTATTCTTTTAGTGATTATTGTAATTTGATGAACTTTGTCTCTGAGCCAATTAACTTTAATGTGAAAACAGTAAAATAAAAAGGAAAAATGATATTTGCTTTTTAGACAAAATATGTAAAGTGACAGCATAATATATTATTACAATCAAATGTATATTGGAAATGTTATTAAATCCTCAATAAAATGTCCTAAAATTTATTAATTTGCATTAACAAAATTTCATTTTGTAATTGTCTAAAATTATCTTTTCTAATTTTTTTCTTTGAAATGTACTGTGTATAGTCTTTATAATTCTCCTTTCCCTTCCTTTTTTCCTTTCTTTCTTGGATGGAGGATGCTCAAACTTGCTTGTCCTTGTGAGCCCATTACTCACAATTTGCAGGAATTTGTGTAGGCTTCAGGATTTCATTTTATTTTAGTATTCTGGTTGCCAAATGCATTAAAGTTTATAAAAGGTAGAAGGAAGAAAACTGCTATACTCATAAGAAAATGATCAAATCTCTGTAGGAATTAGGTAAAAGAATTAAACTACACAACCACTTTAAAAAGGAAAAAATATGGAAAGGCCCCATCTCACTATCAGATTGTTGCATATAAGGTTCTGTCTTTACAAAAGTCTACAAATATATCAAAGTTCATGTGGGTCTGATTATTCTACCAAAATAACAAAAACAAAATGTAACTGGACATGATCTAAATTGACATAATGAACAAAAAACTGTAAAATGTAGTATAATAGGGTAAGAAGTACCTTTGAAAATTATTTTTGGTACTTTTTTCTGCGTTTTTTTTTTAATTTTAAGAAGGAATAAAAGGTAAATCTAAAAATCAACTCTTCAAATAATTTAATTGGAGATAAGAATACAAAAATTTAATATACATCTGACAAAAGAACATACTTTACAAATCTTTTCATTCACATATACATGAATAAGCTTGCATATGCATATATGAAATGAGATGAATAAAAATTGATTGCCCAGGCACGGTGGGTCCCACCTATAATCCCAGCACTTTGGGAGGATGAGGAGGGCGGATCACGAAGTCGGGAGTTCGAGACCTGTCTGGCCAACATAGTGAAACCCCGTCTCTACTAAAAATACAGAAAATTAGCCGGGTATGGTGGTGTGCTCCTGTAATCCCAGCTACTCAGAAGGCTGAGGCAGGAGAATCACGTGAACCTGGGAGGCGGAAGATGCAGTAAGCGGAGATTGCACCATTGCACTCCAGCCCGGGCAATAGTGTGAGACTCCATCTTAAAAAAAAAAAAAAAAAGTGAGGCGCAGGAAGGGTAGATAAAATCAACAAAACTTATTTTGACCTCCATAGTGAAAACTAACTTAAAAGGTTTATTTTATCAGTAAGGACCATCACTTTTCTCATATATTTTTCAACATTTTACAATCCCTAGAGTGTTTATCATTATATTGACCTTGTCATAATCCAAGAGTTTTAAAACAGCCTGAATGATTAACTTTCCAAATCACCTGGCAGAGAGATATCCATTATCTTACATTGCCCCCAAACTGGTCTTAAATAGGTATTTAAGATGGGCAGATACTACACATAAATTTAAAGAACTAGAAAATGCAGTACTGTCCCAATAATACATGGTAACTAAAAATATCATCAAGTTTTCACTTCAGTTATTCTGAATATAATTCTCAATTTGGTTTTTATTTTTAGTTAAAATTTTGTACAATTAAGAATATAAGAAACCATAAAACACATACTGACTTTGAAAATATGGGTAGAGGAGAGTTTTTAAAATTTCTCTGAACTTCTGGTTCTTCTTCTATAAAATGGAGAGAAATACCCATTTCACAGAATTTTTTAGGAATTTTTATAAAAAATTGAGAAAAACATTGCAAAAAGAAGAGATTTTTGCAAAACAGAGTAGCGACATCTTATTCAACATTAGCTATTATGAATGAAGAAGGAGGAAAAGGAGGACAGGGTTCTTTTATTTTATGGAAGGTCTAATCAAATAGGTATGTATGACTGTGGTCAACGTACGTTACGCTCCCAAGATTGTGTCAGATTCTATCTGGTGAACCACTTCCAGTCCTTTTAATTTTGCAATAATGATTTGTCATCTCCAGCTCTGCTCCTCCCACCACCCACACTCTGACTCTTCTTATATCAAAGGGGATTCATTTCCAGTTATCTCAACCTATTCTTTGACTGGTGGTAAACTATTTATCATTCCTGACTTGTTATATTAATTTCCTTTTACCTTTAAATAATTTACCTTTGAGTTTAATTAACTTGCACAGGCTGCCAATTCAGTGAGTAGGATGGTTTTAAAAAAAAAAAAATGAAAAGTGTGATCTTAGACGGTAGGCAAATTTTCTGTTTTGCTAACGTTGCTGTGGAAACATCGGTTTCCTCTTTTTTTTTTTTTTTTTTGTTAATACATGGAGGGGGATGGATGTATCACATTCTGTGGCAAAGAGTGTACTATATGCCCCTCTCACTTTGTAATCTTTCCTCCTAGGAGTTGGAAAATTACTATGATGTGTAAATCAATCAATCAAATTTGTAAAATATAAATTTACTTGGTTTCTTAAATGGCAGAAACATCATCCACTAATAATCTGAAAAAAATATGCCACCTCTGTTTTCCCCTTTTTCTAGAGAACATGATTTTTTTAATGCTGTAAAATATTCAGTAGCTCTTTAGTTTTTATTTTAATTTGAGTAATACTATTATTATTTCTCTTCTTCTTAAGTGAGTTTTAATGATTTCGGTAAAAGCTCCAGTAACTGACATTATCAAAGATTCTTTCAATAATTCTCATACTATTATCCTGTAATTTTCCACTCACGTTTTTTAGATATAAAGCTTCTAAGCAGTGACAAATTTTAAGCTCTCGAGTCTCAAGTACAAAGTTCAAGAAGCCTTCTTCTTTTCCTTTTTAAGAAAAATTAAAATTACATTCATTATACAGTATACATCATGTTATTAAGAATAATGATGGTTAAAATGTGTATGTTTTACAGTTTATGAAATTTCTTTTACATATGGTATCTCAGTTGAACATCATAATGAGAAATAAAGAAGGGCTGATATATTTTCACTACTTACTCTTTACCAAGCACTTTACAGAAATTATCTATATTTCCTACAAACTTAGTACATACTCCCATTAGTTCCATTTTACAAAGGAGTAAACAGATGTTATCGAGCTTGAGCTCCCTTAAGTCACCAGCTAAATGGTGGACCAGCTGGAATTTAAATAGAGGCTACCTATTCCAGAGTCCTTGTCTCTACCCTACCTGATGAAAGAAGTTATACAACTTGCTCTCAACATCACGTAAGTAGGAGACAAACTATGAATAGGAGTAATTTCTTCTCATTCTACATACAGTAGAGCATACCTATGGATATGTGTCAAATAACCAATTAAGCATTTGAAAAAAGTCTCCCTCAGCCTTTATTTAATTTGTATTCATTTTCTAAATTAGTAGCATCCTTTTACATCTGGTATTTTTTTTGTCACTACCCCACTGCATTCCACCACTTCGCTGCAGCATTCACAGATTGGAACATTAGGCCAAATGGAGGTTAGGGCTGTGTGGCAGAAAGCTATATAAACATTACCCACCCCGATAACTCAAAAGGAGCAATGTTACTATCAATAAGAAAAATAAATATCAACAATGGAACAAAGGGTCAGACAAAAAAGAGAGGGGGGGAGGGGGAGGAGGAGGGGGAGGGGAGGGGGAGGGGGAGGAGGGGGAGGAGGAGGAGGGGGAGGAAGGGGAGGGGGAGGAGGGGGAGGGGGAGGAGAAGAAAAGACCAAAAGTGCAGTGTAAGGGTAGGAATTCCTCTTCAGAAACTCAACTAACTGTTAGTTCTTCTGGAGAATTTCGTGATATCTATTATTAAAAAGGCAAGCGAAGGGCAAGGACAGTGCTTACTTTGAACATATAGACTGTATTCACTATGGGAAAGTTTGGAAGAGCAGATGAGATGTTCTTTTAAGAGATTTATTAATATTTATCCAGGGTATCTCCATGCATTCAAGAAACTAATTTATACTAAAGAAAGGGAAAATACAGGCAAACACATTTGATTTAAAGAAATGGGCCACACCAGGCATGGTGGCTCACACCTGTAGTCCCAGCACTTTGGGAGGCCTAGGCAGGCGGATCACCTGAGGTCAGGAGTTCAAGACCAGCCTGACCAACATGGTAAAACCCCATCTCTACTAATAATACAAAAATTAGCTGGGCGTGGTGGTATACACCTGTAATCTCAGCTACTGGGAGGCTGAGGCAGGAGAATTGCTTGAACCCGGGAGGTGGAGGCTGCAGTGGGACAAGTTCGCGCCATTGCACTCCACCCTAGGTGACAAGAGCGAAACTCTGTCAAAAAAACAAAAAAAGAGAGAGAAGGAAGGAAGGAAGGGAGGGAGGGAGGGAGGGAGGGAGGGAAAGAGAGAGAGAGAAGGAAGGAAGGAAGGAAGGAAGAAAGGAAGGAAGGAAGGAAGGAAGGAAGGAAGGAAAGAAAGGTGGGCCAGATTTGAGGAAGGTGGGCAAGGTTAATTCTGAGTGAAACCTCTTAAATACGCCCCCTGATTGTCTTTATCCCAGACCTCAAGGACTCTTGAAAGAAAACACTAGAAGTTATTTCACCAAAATCTTTGTAAAGGACTAAAATCACAAGGAAATGACACTTCGATGTATGTTACAGAGCAAAGTTAAGGTTGCAGGGTATTTACTTCCTGCCATTGGCATTATGGGGGCATAGACCATCCATAGAAGGCTCAGAAACACCCCAGACCTGACAGAGGTACGAGGGCGTTACCATGTATACAGATAGTCTCAAAGAAATATTTTTAGGTAAACAGCTTTTAAAAGTTTATTATACACTATTTTATCACCTAGCTAGGTAACATAGATGGAACACGTTAGGACAAAAGAAATAGAAGGTAAGATTTCTGGAAAAGCAATCTAGTAGCAATTATAATAGCAAACATGTATAGATCTATAATATATGATAGTATGATATGTCCAAGAAAAAGGCACTGTGGATTTAGACACAGATTTGAATTCTGAATGTGGCTTTCCACTCATTACATATAATCTCTAAGCCATACCTTCTTCTAAAAAATAACGATAACAATGTAAAATATTGAAGCTTTAATGTCACAAGAAACATAAACATAAACCATCTGATGAACCATAAGACTCATTAGTATTCAGTGACTCTAGATCTCTAAACTTCTTTTTTCCTTCCATAATGCTTGATCCATTTTTAAGGCTGCAAATGATAATAAATGATTTTTTAAGATCCATGTATCTAAACCTCACAAATATCTGGCTTTTTAACAAATATCAGTCATATAAAATCTGGCATTTGAATTGGCAAATACTAAAAGAAACAAACAAACGCTATTTTCAACTGAATATTTATGAAATCTGTGTCTCTACCTTCAGTCAATCCCAAAGGTTGAAGGTAAGTACCACAATAATCCACATAATAAATACATTTATTACTCATTTGCAGTTTAAAACTGTACAGAAAAATTTTAAATTGGAATCCTTTCAAGCAACACAGAATCACAAGCCTAAAAACAATCTAACCTATAGAGTAGGCATGGAAAAAATGTAAGCTGATTTAAATTCACCAAAAAGTTAACAACAGAAATAAGGACAATGTACAATAGTATTTATTACTCCAGCAACATCTGTAGATAAGATTTGTTAGCATTTTCAATTACAAGATCACAGAAGGTCAAAAAATAATCACATACATGGATAAACATTGCCAAAAAAAAAGATATTAATAGTCAAGATTTCTGAGGAAACAGCTGATAGCCATCAATGAATTAGAATTGATTTAATAAATTAAATCAGTCAACTTGGTTTAATCAATTAAATCAGTCAATGCAGATTTATTCATCACCTACTTTCTATATGTAGAGTTTGACTTTAGGAGCTGTGTAGATTGCTTTGATAATTGAGAGCTAAATTTGGGCTACTGTAACAGAAATACCATAGACTGGGTAACTTAAACAACAAGCATTTATTTCTCCAGTTCTGGAGACTGGGAAGTCCAAGATCAAGGCATTGGCAGAGGCAGTGTCTGGTGAGGGTCTGCTTTCTGGTTCATAGGCATACATATGTATGATAGTAAGATATATCCAAGAAAGAGATGTTGTGGACTTAGAGACAGACATGAATTCTAATTGTAGCTCTTCCACTTATTATATCTAATCTCTATACCATATTTTCTCCTTCTATAAAATAGAAGCCTCAGATGACAGAATTGGTGAGGGAGCTCTCTGGGGTCTCTTTATAAGAGCACTAATCACATTTGTGAAGGCTCTGCCCTCATAAACTAATCACCTTCCAAATTCCCCACTTTCTAGTATCATTGCCTTGGGGATTAGGTTTCATCATAGGAATTTTGGGGGACATAAACATTCAGCCTCTAGCATGATTTAATCAGAGAAAAATATCACAAAGAGAAATATAAAATAGACCAAAGTATACTAAAGATTTGTAAAGAAGGTAGGAAGCAAAAAAGGAATTTAGCAGTCAGGGAGACTGTAATATCTGGTAGGTGAGATAATTTAAGCAAAATAATAAAGTAGTCATATTTAAGGCATATTTTACTTTTTTGGCTGATTGAATGTTGACTAAATTGATGTAGCAAGAATCTGTCTAAATAAATCGGTAATATAATATTAAAAAGTATCATCATGGGAACTTGGTACAATGTCTATCTACTAAATAACCAGTGAAGAAAGTTAAGTTTTATGCTTATACACTGCTGATGGGAATGTAAATTATATCAGCCACTATGCAAAGCAGTTTGGAGTTTTCACAAAAAACTTAGAACAAAGAACTACCATTACACCCAGTAATCTGATTTTTGGGTATATACCCAAAGGAATAGAAATCATCCTACCATAGACACATGCATGCATCTGTTCTTCACAGCACTATTCATAATAGCAAAAACATGGAATCAACTTAGATGTCCATCAACAGGAGACTGAATAAAGAAAATGTGGTACATGTATATCTTGGAATACTACGCAGCTACAAAAAAGAATGAGATCATGTCCTTTGCAGTGACTTGGATGGAGCTGGAGGCCATTATCCTAAGTGAATTAACACAAGAACAGAAAACCAAATACCACATGTTCTCACTTACAAGTGAGAGCTAAACACTGAATACACATGGACATGAAGAAGAAAACAGTAGACACTGGGACCTACTTGAGTGTAGAGGGCGGGAGGAGGGTGAAGATAGAAAAAGTACCTACTGGGTGCTATGCTTATTACTTGGGTGGCAAAATTATCTGTACACCAAACTCCCATGATATGCAATTTATCTGTATAACAAACCTGCACATGTACCCTTGAACCTAAAACAAAAGTTAAAAATAATTAGGCCTTAAAGAAGCAACCAATGTCAACACTATGATGAAAATGGTATTTGGGCTGTAGTATTCCATTCTTCTTCAAAGCATAAGCACAGTATAAATGAGATTACTTAGTGGGCAAGCAGTAATAGAGACTCATGTGTGGGAATCTAGAAAGACTCAGCAGGCTGCAGTTGTGCCTAAATTTTTCCATTTAGCTGATAGTGCTCTAAGTTTCTCTATCTAAGATTCACTCATTTGGCCCAAATATGCATTACCTATTCCAAAACTGCTCTTAAATACAAATATCTATGGAAATAATCACGATGAGAAATTTTCTTGGCACTAAATTTACCATGAATTAATTTATTATATCTTTCATAGATTGAAGATAAACAAGATACTAGAAAATGAAAAATTTTGGCAAAGGTTAAAAACAAAGGAGAATAGAAGAATTATTTTAAAATAAGAGATACCAACTGAATATGGCAAGTCTGAGTAAAGACTCAGAGGAGTGAATACTGTGGAATAATGGAAGAGTATAAAAGAGCTTGACACAGAAAAGAATACATAAGGGAGAAGAATACGGACAAAAAAATTTGTGTAAGAAAAATTTCAACTTTCATTCATTGTCACTGACTTTTTTACCAGGCTAGTGCTGGAAATAGATTAAAAATGCAAAGTAGCTGCATTAAGATTACTCATGATTTTGCTTTAGGAAAAAAATTAAACTAATTGTAAAAGTTATTAATAAAAGGTTTACATTAGATAAATGAAATGATAGGAGCCACAAACGTTATTATGCTTATATTTCAAAGATAAGTGATTTAGAATTAGTTTTTCATTTCAAATAATTAGGTAACCCTACTTTGCCTTGAAACAATTCTGTTATGAAGTTTGCAACAGAACTGTGTAGTATTCAATGATGAGAAACTGTCATTTTGGGCCTCTTTAGTGAAGGGTTGTTACGAGTCAGAGAAGCAAAGTTTTATAATTGAAAGTAAACAATCTTAGTCACTAAAATGATATTGTTATTCACCTCCACAGAAAGAATCATCTCAACAGCAAGACTGCATTACTCTTGTTCTATGCATGAGGAATTTAGTTTATCAATTAGTTTTTCTTTATCCTGAATGTGAGCCAATGTTTAATTGCTTCATATCCATAATTGTATTAACTATGAATAAATTGTTTTAAGAAAAAAATCTGCTCCGTGGCACAAAGGAGATTAATTACTAAAAGACAATAGCAATTCTTTGCTATCAATCAAAGATGCAGAATAGCATGGCTACCTAATGAGGATTCAGCTTCATTAACTTTCCTCAAATCTCATTTGTAATATGAAACATCACCATATATTCAATTCCCAGAAAGATAAATTTAATCAACCCAGTAGTGTGTGGATTTGTTTACACCACCCTTACCCATCATCCAACTGCAATTCCAAGTCCTTTTCAAACTGTAATACTTTCATACCAAATTTTTTTTGATAGAGCTTTGGGCCATTTTCAATAAAATAATGAAATCCTCCCAATATCCTTAAATCCATCACCATTTCCTCTTGGTATTATGAAAAAAAGAAATTCATAGAATCATATATTGTTAGAGACTGGAAGGGATCTTAGGAGTCATTGGATCTATCCCTATCATTTTACAGAATGACAAACTAGATTACTTAAAGAAAATTTCTCTTTGAGCCTTGAAAAGTCAACAGGAGCCATCAAAAAACATTTTTCTTAAAAGGGAGAGAATGCCATTGAATGACACTACAAAATTACAAAATATGTTCCATTGTATATGTATAGGTAAACAATTAACTTTTAATAGGTATACTGTTAATGGGGGCAATAATAAACACTATGCTGATAAAGAAGATAAAGGTCTTATGTACAACTCAAGAACGTCTATAATCTGTAAAGATTTTAGCTTTTCTCTCATCCCAAACTCACAATCCCCTTATTACATAATTATTTATACAGGATTTATAAAGAGAAATCAAAGAGTTAAGGGATCACAAAATTAGTAATTTGCCTTAATCATTATTAGAAAACACGTGCTTACTATACATTTATTGATTGTACTTTTTTAAACTTAAGTTACATCTTTGCATCTATTCAATATAATAATTCTAGCATGCTTACTTATTCAAATATAATTTATTTCCAGTCTGGGAAATAATTTTTCAAAAGCGATTAGTTTAAAAGATTTTTGTAGTATTAGCTTTCTGATAAAAGCTTTGAGAATTTCCCAGAGCAATCTGAATTTATCGAGCTGCTTTTCAGCAAAAAGGTGTTTAATTAGGTTGTCTCACACTTCTCTAAACCTGAAAACCTAATCACCACCTTATAACTCAAAGAACACAAAGGCAAGTTGCTTTGACAATTACCCCGTGTAAAATCTTTGGTTTTTCCTTCTACTCATTCCTAACTTCTATCAGGAAGAACTTTGACTTTACAAATGTTTTATATATTTTTAAATCAAAGGAAAAGTTAAAGAAAAAAATCAAAGTCATAACATGAATAAATAATTTCCTTCCTCTCTTGTTAGAGGCATACGTGTGTATGTGTTCATATAATCAACTGCAAGTATAAACAGACGTTTGAAAGCAGCAAATCAAAAACCATGAATAAAGTAAATCAAAAAAAGAGAAAAAGTGAATTATTTTATTAATGAATATATTTCAAAGAAATAGGCTGTAACATACAAGCTTAATGAGATACGCTTTTCTCTCAATGAGGTTTCATATTCATCTTAGAAATACAAAGAATGATTATTATCATCTATTGTGAGTGTAAGCACTCTATCATGCAAAGAAATCTCACCACATACTGTGGAAAACTTCTTAAAGTTGTATTTTCACAAATTCATGCATCTAAAAAAATGTTTGACTCTTCTCTATCCCTCTTTACCTTACTCTGTACTATCAGATACATAACTTTAGGCATGAAAATACAGTTCCTGCCCTCAAGAACTTTCAAATTTAATGTAAAGAAACAGAAAATGAAAAAAAAAACCTAAATAGAATGACTTTGTGTCCAAAAGTCATTTCATATTCAGTAAGATTCCAAACAAGAAAACAAGGTGGATATGACATAAAATCACTTAGTGCTGAGTGCCAAGCATTGTATTAGGTAATTTCACAATAACTCTATTAATAGGTATTACTATCACCATACTAAATGCTTAGAAACTCATTCAGAACAGGCCCCAAGTTATCTAGTTAACAAAAAACAGGGGAAATATATATATATATATATATATGTCTATATGTCTGTGTGTGTGTGTATGTGTGTTTGTGTTTGTGTGTGTGTGTGTGTGTGTGTGTGTGTGTGTGTGTGTGTGTGTGTGTGAATATAGAGACAGGTAAAAAGAATCAAGGGTCAATCCTTGAGAAATATCTGTGTATAAAGTAGAAAGATCAACAGAATCAGTGAAGAAAACAGAAATTAAGAATTCAAGATGTGTAAGTATTAAATGAACTCTCTTTGACTGAGCCAACTGCCTGGCAGATAATCCTATGTCTTCTATGCAATACTCTCTGTTGATTCTATGTAGATTTTCAAATGCTATTAACCTGAGCAGCTGTTCCTTTTTTTTTTTTTCCTGAAACATCTAACTTTTCTTCTGTAACTCTAACTAAACACACACACACACACACAAACACTATACATTTGATCTCCGTACTTTGAGATTGCTCCAGAATATATTATTATCTTGCATAGTACCATCTACCTTGACTTGTACAGAAAATATTAGATGGTTAATGATATTTTAGTCATAATTTCTTTAAAACAAAAAGTTATTTTATGAAGGTCGTCTTGAAAGCATCAGTTAAACTGGAACTAGATCCCATTTGTTCTAATTCCCAGTCCCCTTTGTCTGATGCTTCTTCTGCTAAAATACATTGGTAAGTGATGTGCTGTTCTCAAGGGGTCGTACAAGGATTTAGCCGAAGCTTTATAGTTAGCTTTGGAATGAGAATTGCACTTTACCCGGGCTTCAACCCCTCATAATTCAAGTAAATAAGGCCAAACAGGTACGATAAATAATTAAATACTATTAATGTTAGACACAGTTTGAAATTTTTCTGAAGATACTTTGAACAATGCACATTTACAGATTACCTACTTCTTAAAATTACTAATGGCAACATCACAATAAAAAATTAATAGCTTCTATCATGTGTGTCCAAAATAGTCCCGGGCAAACTGACAAATATCTGGGATATTTTAGCAGTTTTTGGAATTAACAATAATTGCTATCATTGTAGTTTGCCAAATCTTTTGAGATGCGTGGGTTTGTGGAAATATATTTAAGTCTAAAAAGATTAAGCGTGAACCAAAATGAAATGTCTCATTTTTTAAGTAGATTTAAAAATAATTAAATGAAACATTTATTACACTTGAGCACACCATAATCTATGGAAATGCATACTATATTGAAGTGAGTACAAAAAAGTTAAGGCATTGCATTTTATGGTTAGATTTTTCCGAATCACTTTTACAATGTTTCGCAGGTTTGCTGAAATTTATCTTCCCCCCAACAAGCGAAATTCAGTATTTGAAGAGTAGGCATTATTGAAAACAAATTTGTTTAACATAGTAGCCAGTTACATACTTGATATGTTTTGTGTTTGTCTTGATTAGCTGCTTTACAACCTGAAAATTCATTTTGTGGTGCTGAATAAAATCAAAGAACGTATTTACTTACAAATAATGGCTTTCAAAACATTCCCTTTATCTATTATGCATATTTTATCAACTTTATGTCATATTTTTAAAAGCATCATATCTGTATAATTGCTTTCATGGTGCACTGGAATCCCACTATAATAATTTTGGCATCAAAATTATAAGGCTACATTGTTGTTCTGGTAACGAATCTCCTTAAAGGAAGTAGTTTGTGTTGAATTAAATTTCTAAAGCTAAATGACTTTATTAGAGTAAGATTTCAAAGTAGCTGCTAAAAGCTGTGTGTATTTCTACATGAGTTGGCATGAGCCAGTGACAGAGTGTGAATCATTCTCCCATCAGCTGCTCCGTAGGGCTGGGTTATCAATTATCATAAGCAACCTCCAGTTGGTAGTCAAGCTATGGCTCAAGAGCTCCGGTGACTGTCTCAACCCCACCCTTGAAGATAACAAACCTCATTTTGCTTTGTGCCAAAAATGACAAACTCCTGCATGTTCATGCAGGGATAGCAAAATATGTCCTTATTTCTTATGCTGGAATGGCAAAAAACAAAACAAAAAAGTTTCTTCTCTTAATGATTTGTGTGTATGCTGGAGTATGCATATGTAAATACCAAGCAAGAGTTGAAGTAGTTACATAGTGGATCTCACATCCACTTTTCTTTATATCTTCACTTTTTTTAATGAATAATAGCTATTAAACTAAAGTCCAAGCTGAAACATTCTAAGTTTTAATGAGAAGAGAGGGCAAACAATACTCTATCATGTTTTCATTTGACATTTATATATATTACGATATATTTTAATGAAAAATTAATTTTGAAAACATCTTCAGATTTGGGGAAAGGGCAGCAGTAACAACAATGTCTGGCAAAGGTCAGATCAGGGAGAAGAGATAACAGTAAAATTATCTGTGAGGAAGAACTGGAAAACCTACGATAAGAAATAACTCTCAAGTGCATTCTAGAATGAAGTAAGAGTCTGTGAAAATACTTGATAATGAAAGGTAAGCAGTATTGTACTTTCACATCTATCCAGCACAAGAATGGGGGGCGGGGGAGATAGAGACAGAGACTGAGATTCCAAGTAGTCATATGAAGATAATCGTAATAGGCACAGACAGCACTTTAAGTTGCACTCTTTTATCTTTTACAGAAAATGTTTCATGTGCAATTCTGTTTCTCTTTCTAGTGACATATACTTAAAGTATCTTTTCAGATTTATATTTTATCTCAACTCAATGATTCCATTACCAATTAATTTTTGTTTACAAAATTATTTAACCTATACTCTGTTAATGACACTGCAATTAGTACCAGGGATACAGATTTAAAAGAGAGTCCCTAGATTATAGAACAGTCTCATAAGGGAAATAGATGAGACCATCACTATCTGGGTTGATGCGTGATGGGATGGAAGTGAGTGGTGTGCCGTAGAACACATAAGGTAACACTTCATGTAAAATGGGGTGGGATATGGTATTAGGGAAGGTTCCATTGAAAAGGTGATTCCAAATAAAGATTCAGGAATCACCTTTGGTGATGAAGGAAGGAGGTCCAAAGTATATTGATACAGCACAGATTGGAGATTGGAGGGATAGTGGTGAAAGATGAGGGTAGTTAAATAGGAAACAAATATTCTGTTTAAAGATCGTGCTTACTATTAGAACTGGATTTTTGTTTTTAGGTCTGTAGAATATTGTAGGGACAAATAAATTGCCTTTCTTCTTTGCCAGGTGAAATCTCCTGTCTCTAACCCAACATGTTATCTCTCCCAGAGTCTATAATTTCCTAATCAATTTCATGTATTTAAAAAAAAAAAAACCCTCTGGCCTAACAAAATCTCTACCAAATTGAAACCTTTCAACCCTTTCACAGCTTGGCCTGGCTCACCCTGAGAAGTTCACAGAATAATCTGCACCACAGAGTCATAGCTCTGTGACTACCATCCCACACTTTTGCAACTCTTAATGACTGGATCAGAGGAGGGAGGATAGATAATGGCAGAAAGGGTCTTAACTCAGCTGCAGAGAGTTACACTTTGCAGTGGGTGGGTGTAGAGAAATTCTAGTGCTGACTGTCTCCTGGAAAGCTTTTGCAGTTCTGCAGAAATTCCCACTTTGGGGTTATCTAAATGTAGTCACTGAGCAATTGTGATTCCTTCCCCAGCTACTCAGTGAGCCTGTCCATAAAATCTGGATTCTACTAATTTACAACCACCTCTTTTGGTTGGAGACATCTTGATCCCCCTACCCACAGCCAACCAACTATCCTCTTTGCTTTTTATTACATAGCTTCAAAGTAGAAGATTAGCTAAGGTTAGAACTAGATTTTGGAACCATTTTGCAAGTCCATATACATGGTCTAATAACTCTCTTTAAAGTAAGGATGTTTGGCATTCATAACCACTAGCTTTGGGGCCTAGCCAAAATTTCCAGACAGGAAGAGTGCCATGTTAACAACCAGTTTACTACACTATGAGGTTTGGATTTTGTCATAAAGACAATGCTAGAAGAATTCTATGGGGGATGCTTGAAAAGGCAGACTAGCTGGACACACCTGAGGTGGGGATTCCTGTTGGATAGCTACTGCATTGCTACAGTAGGGAGAAAACGACAGGATCACAGATCTAACTAGTGCCATTAGGAATGGTGCTGTGGAAAAAGATTCAAGAAATACTAAGGAAGGAGAATTGAGATGATTTAGGCTTGGAGCTTGTTGTTTTAGTTGGTCTGTTTGTAGATTTGTTTGCCTTAGAGGAAGCACAAGAGAAAACAGGGACAGTTGATGGAGGGGAGCAAAGTCATTAGAGAGTAAGGAAAAAGACTGAAATAACAAGAGAAGATTGTTAGACTTGAACAAAATAGACTCCGATTTATATTTGTCAGAAATAAGAGAGATAGATAAAGACGATTCAGGATGAGAATAGTCTGGGCAAAGAAACTGAGGTAGTTCTCATCTGGTACATTTTTTTTTTTTATATATGTGAATAGAGGATGGTTGCCTTAAAATGAAAGAGGATATGGTAGAGTGGGAGAAAAGTAATACAAATTTGAAATAATACACTTCTTTGGGGAATTGAGCAAGGGAATTATCTAAGAATAAATAGATTTTACACTCTTCAATTTTCTGAGGAAAAGTATCCTTTTCTCATGTAATTTTTTTAAAGTCAAAGTACTGAATAATAAGAATCAGTGAAAAATTGTGGCTAGTTTAAGCATGTTGCTATCAAATAAATGCCTTAATTGTTTTGACACAGAGAAGAAAATGTGTCTCCAAGGTTACATCGTTGGATATGAAAATTTATAGAAAAATTAATCTTTACTAAAGATTACTTAATTAGGAACATTGTTATTGTGACAGAATATATTATATAAGAGTATTCAGAAACAAAACCTAAGGTTTAAGGAAAATTTATGAGATGAATAGGAACAGGAAATTTTACATTTCACCCTATCAGCGGTTCTCTGAATAATACATCTGATGTTTTAAGCACTCCAGAATACATTTCCAAAATAAACTGATTTTTCTAATTCAAGATTATTAGAAATGTTTAAAATCATGTATGTGCTACAACTTTGTAACTATAAATCATAACATAAATGTAAGGCATTATACCACAAAAACTAGAATTGACAGGCATATAATTTTCTAGTATATGGGGCTGAGAAATGAATTACAAATGGTCTTTTTGTTGTATGGTAGAAATCACTTTTAATGCAGTGTGATGTGTCACAAGCACTAAAGAAATAACAAGGCTTTGATAATCCTGGTCATTCTCCATAAATTCTGTTGTTACGTGGCATGTGCCTCAGGGACGACACAGACAAGTTACCAGTTTTCAGAAGAATTAAACATTCAGCTACAATTACTTTTAACATAATATGCATGAAAATAACATTTCCAAGAAGAAAATTAAGCATATATTTTCTCCTTCTAATGTCTTTTTTAAACTATACAAACACACACACACACACTACCATGTGTTTTAATTATATCTTATCTTGCTATCCCATCAGTTATATTTATGGGAAATGTGCATATATATGACATTATGCACACACACACACATATGTCTACCTGGAATAAAGGCAAAATATATGCAACACATTTTCCACATTGAAAAATACTTGTATTAAATGTCAGGATCTTTCCTGAATTCCAGGTACAGAGAGAGGAATCCCAGTCCCTGACTTGAATGAGCTCATGGTCCCAGGAGAATGCCATTCATTTCTATACCCCCAGTATAAAACAAAAACAACAATAAATAGATGTTATTTGCTGTAAACCAGGCACTGTGCTCAGCACTCTACAGACATAATATTTGATCAGCACAACAATCCTATCAGTAGGTGCTATTAAGGCCCATATTTTACAAATGAGGAAACTTAGTTAAAAACCTAGAGAAGCAGTAGGATGGGAGGAATAAGTTACTGGAGCACAAAGTACTATGCTCCTATTTTGGCTTGGCTAGAATTAATCTGTGCTGAGTCTGGGCAAATTCTTTCCCCTCTCTCTGAGTCTCATTATTTACCACCTGCAAAATGGACTCATGGAGCCTTGTGAGCTACAGGGCTCGAAGGCAGTGATTTCTTTGCTGCATGTTAGAAAGACTAAGAGAGTTTCCAAATATTAACATCGTGATACCATGCTGGGATCCCACATCACTTAATTCAGAATGTCTGAGGGTAGAAGTCAGGCACCAGTTTTTACGCAGCACTTTTAATGGACCTAGGTTGCTATCTAACTTGGTTTAAGAATAGGAAAACAAGTGGGCCCCTTCTATTTTACATTCAAACACAAAGAGATATCTGGAACTTTTTTTTTTTTTTTTAAGTGGATACCCTTGCTTTCTGGAATTCCCATCAAAGAAAGCAAAGGGCTTATGGATAGGAAACCTAATAAAACCTTAATCCTCTACTCTATTAATACTATGCTGCTCCAGTTAAAGCGAGAGTTTGTGACCTTCCTTTTTATTAAAAACTAATGTGACACAGTTTTTGCAGGTTTGAATTACCCATAAGTATATACACCCCATCGTTAAGACATTTTGGCTTTGTGAAGAGTTTCACTTAATGCTCCATATTGGGGTTATAATTGTGTATTCTCATTTTCTCACATTTACAAGGAAGAATTTGGATTTCCCCTGCCTCTGTCTTTATGGAATAGCCAAGATGCTGACACCTTTCCTCCCAGACACTTATGATTCTAGTTTATAGCTGTAATAATCACAGGCATTGTGTCTCTTGTAATATCCACTTGTTCAAAGAGTAAAGTTTTATTTACATACTTTTATTTTCACATATTTACTTTGCTTTCACTGGCCTGTATTTACCTATTAATTTATTTGCATTACTGAGTTAATTACATATTGACGATTCTATGTGTGTTCAGTTTGTGAGCATAATCTTAATATTTGTTGTGTTACAAAGGCTCACAATAAGAGCAGAAAAAGATATATTTTAGAAATATTAATGAAAAGAAAATGCCTTAGTGGATTTTATTACAACGAATGTTAACTATTATAGTAATTCAATTTGTTTCATCATAAATGAACACAGATTTGGGGGCTCCAAAACACGTAAAAAATGTTTTGCAGTAATTCATCTTAAAAGCTTTTATTCTTTAATAAACTATGCTGGCTTTGTGGGAGAACTTTATATGAGTTATTTCAGTATACAGAAACAAAGATTCTAATTGCTTCTGAACACTTCATCTTTAACCCTATTTACATTAGCAGAGAGAAATTAGAAATTGATTAACTTTTTTCAGCCAAAAAATATCTTCAAATTGAGTTTTCTTCTTTGGCAGTTTCTTATGAAGTTATACATATTCTCACTTATAATCTAGCAATTCTACTCATAGATATATAACCTCCTCATTCCAGCAAAGTAAAAGCATATGTCCATAAAAAGAGACATACAGGAGAAGTTTCACTGCTATTTATAATACCAAAAAAATGAGAAACATGAAGGTACATCATTACGAGAATGGATAAACAAATTGTAGTATATTCATATTATGGACTACTACTCATCAATAAAAAAGAAGAAATTCTTGCCACACACAAAACACACAAATGAATCTCAAAAGTATGATGCATTGTGAAAGAAGACAGATACAAAAGGAATACATACTGCATGGTTCCATTTTATGAAGTACAAGAATAGGAAAAACACACCTATAGGACAGAAATTGGAATAGCATTTTCCTGGGTTGGAGATAAACTATAATTTTTCCCTTGATACACAAAAATCTCTAAATATGTGTGCAAACACACATATACGTATGTATAACAAAGCCTGCAGCAAAATATGGTATAGAAATTATTGATATCTGTTTAATACTCTTAGCGACTCAAGTAGAATATATTGTTTAGCAAAAAAGCAAGGTTATCCAACAGAATTTTTAGTGTAAATAAATATATCACATATATAAATATATAACATTCACATACATATTTATAAAATGTATACTCATGCATCATAATATTAATTGAAATATACCTGTGAATAAAATAATGAGATCTTTTTATTTTGGGTTTTAAAGCATTCTCTATTGTCTTTTCAGTAATACGCATATATTTTTACTTAAAAAGGATATTTCTATCTTAAAAAAGAATAAATATAGCAATTGAATTTAGCCTTATTAATTACTTTCTTCTCTCTAATGAAGAAGGAACATGAATTCTGCAAATTAGTTGTATGTTTTTGAATTTATACCATGGTACTCTTTTTTTGTGTTTTCTGTTCATTTATTTCTTGAAATTTTTTATAATCCTTTACTTTGATCCTTCAATATTTTACTCTTTTTGTCAAGTTGCTATTTTGTGAACACACCCTATTTACAAGCTCTTCCATGATTCTGGACAGAACTCAGGCCTAAAAAAGATTCTAAACACCAAATATGCAAAAAGCACATTCCAGGAGAAATGATATGTGTGAAACCATAGAGTGATTTAGAAATGTGAAGCTGTTTAACATATCTAACTGAAGCCAATTACACAAGAAAGGCAATGAGATATGCAGCTTTTGAGACAAGCAATCTTATGACTGGAGAACGATAAGGCATGCGTGTGCATATATGTTATGCATGGGTAACAGAACTGTGCACTTTATAAAGGGTTCCTAATAAAACAGAGTTTTAAAATAATCTCAAAGTGTATATGTTTATTGATTATTCAAGTATATCTACTGTTAGGTGACTCTATTCATTTCTAGTACCTCTTGTTCATTTGCTCAACAAATAATAGATGTGATACCACTAGATACCAGGTAGGGTATTGGAAGAGGTGTTTGTGACAGCAGTAGCTCGACAGATCTTATTTGCACTAAGGAAAAGACATAGCAAGCAAGCCTGTGTGCTAAGCACAACCAAGGAGAAGTTGAGGGTGTTAGAAAAGGAAGGTTAATGATTTAAGGAAAGAGAAGTGCTCACTAGTGACACTGAAATCTCAGAATTTCAGTAAGGATGTATCACATATAATCTGCTTTTGGTTCTCATGCATCTAGTCACATTTTTTTAATCACTTTAGAATGTGTACCTAGTATCACTTACAAAAATACTTCAAACAATACATTAGGTGTCTGGATAATTTGGCCAGCATCATGGGCTCACAAAGACCACTTAGCAAATACACTGGATTATCAAAAACGACACTAAGTGTTGGACAATGTTGGTGACTGCACAATGTTGATTATTCAGGTCCCCTTTACATGCCCAGGTGCACTCTTCCCCCAGGTGCAGTGTTAGCTGCAAACAGTTTACAGCTGCCCCTTCTCTAAAGAATGACCCTCAGCTGAACAGAGGCTCCTCAGAGGTTTTGCTACCCTTCGCTAGTCCCCACCTCTTCTCCCTGGGGCCTACAGCCAATGATGGATTCTAGCAGGAATACAAAAGGCTAACCCCTAACCATCACTGATGTGAGACTGATTTTGTAGTGCAGTTCATGCTAACCATTCCTCATGGGATCAGGCTGAAAGGAGTGTTCTGGCTGAAAGCTTGTTCTTGCTTAGCTCTTTCTCTGGCTTCCCACATTCCCTTACCTGTTCTTCCTGAGTACCCTCTGAACAAACAAGAAATTCAATTTCAGGCTCTGCTTCTAGGAGGCCTGGACTAAGACAATGATACTGTCCTGTAAGGAAAACGGATGGGCCACGGTCAAGAACAGGCTGAGGCAGACATCTGATCCAGCAAGACACAGCAAGTTTGGAGTGCGGGCACACAATTCCACTCATTATATAACCAAGCCAGGTGAGGTGCATTAGGTGATCACCCATGTGAGTTCGTACTTGGCTTGGAGCCACTATTGTATGTACAAGGTATAACTACCCTGCTGACGCTGTACATACGGCTTGCACCCAGGCGCGTACCCATGACTTGCTGGCGCCCAGAGAAAGAGTAAAGCCATGTCGAAATTCCCTACGATTCCTCAAGTGTTCTTTCAGCTGCCCACCACTCGTTCACCCACTCCCCTCGGTCCTCAGCTTGGGCTGGAACCTGACACTTGGTATAGCCAGCAGGATACTGAGGAGAGTGAGCCTTTGGTCCCCACTGATTCTGAGTCAGCCATGCAGCTGAAACATTGGTTGTGGTGGCCGGTGGCAGCTTACTGCTCGGATGGGATCCAGTGGAAACCTGGGCGGCAGTAGATGGGTCCCCCGTGAGGATGGAGAAGGCGCTGAAACAGCTGAAGTACAGAGCACCAAGAAGGAATAAGCCTTTGCTGGCAGAGTTGGATGTGCATTTTTGACCGCGGTACAAGAAGTACACACTCAGCCCCTGAGGGATGCAGCGGAGGTAAGGGCACTCCAGGTGCTGGTGGGCACCTGGAGGCCTGGCTACAGAACTTGGAAAAGGTATTAGAGGTTGCTGTGAATGCAGGCCTGGGTCCGTTGTCTCAGTCGGAGACCCCATTAGGTCTGATACAGAGGAGGCTGTTGGCAGAACCAAGGGGTCCGCGCTGTAAAGACGGGGAAAATGCGCCACCTCAGAGGTCCTCCCAGAGGAGAAAAGGGACCCTAATGAGTGACACGCTGACAGATGTGGATAGATTTGATTTTGGCCAGGTTGACAGAGAGAAAATAAATAAGCAGCCCAATGAAGTACTCTTAACTTTGTGGAGACAGTTGTCCCCAGAGCAGCACTTCCAGAAAATGCCCAAGCGGGAGAAGGACATTGCTGTGCAACCCGGTCCCCCCTAGGTGCTTCAACTCAAAGACTACGTGCTGCAGCCATGCAGGGAGTATAAAGCCTTTGCTGTTTGATGAGGGACCTGGCTGAAGTGCCCGGCTTGCAGGGATACCTGACAACCAGAGGCCACGTGTGGAGCTGACAATCGACTTGTACCCCACCAACATACAGAGAGTGCTGGTGCTGGTAGACACCAGCACGGATACATTCTGGAAGTAAATATTTTACACAGCTTGGTAGCTGTGCCATCTATCGTGGACTTGATGGACCGCTTGACAGTACTGGGACAGTACCACTGTGTAGTGGACTTGGCCAATGCCTTCTCTTCCCGAGAGCCAGGAATAGCTTGCCTTCACGGGAGGGCGACAATGAACTTTCACAGTGTTGCTGCAGGGCTATAGCATAGCCCCACCATATGTCATGGTCTTGTTAATGATACTATGCTAACCTCTGATTGTCTTGCAGATTTAGAAGTGGCAAAGCTCCCCTTGCCTAGAATTATGATGGTGCGGCTGAGACCACCTTCCAGGCAGCCAAACGGGCTATTCAGCAGGCACAAGCCCTACGGGTAGTTGATCCAGGGCACCTATTTGAGCTGCACGTGCATGTGACCACAGATGGTTTTGGCTGGAGTCTATAGCAGCGCATGGAGTGCTTGAGAACACCAGTAGGCTTTTGGTCTCAGCTATGGAAAGGAGCTGAGCTCCATTATTCATTGACAGAGAAGCAGTTAGTAACTGCATATGCTGCCCTTCAGGCTCATGACAGCATGGCCGGATGGGCTACAGTCATCGTGCAGACAACTTACCTAATAGCAGATGGATGCATTCATGGAAAATGACCCCCCAAACTGGGACGCACAGACATCCACTTTAGCAAAGTGGGGCACCTACTTGGAGCAGCCAAGTATGCTGAGTACAAGTCCCGTAGCAGCAGAGTTGCAAGAGATCTTGGGACCTGTAGTCCTAATGCAAGATAAGGCCATGGGGCCTGAGGCACCCCTAGACCTCAAGCCTTCACCGTTTAAGGAAGGGCATCCTCCATTCCCTATGGGGCATAGTACACAGATGGGTTTAGCCAAGGTGCTACTGCTGCCTGGACTGCTGTTGCACTCCAACCTAGTATTGACACCATATGGTTTGATACCAGGTGTGGACAAAGTAGTCAATGGGCTGAACCTAGAGCAATGTGAATGGTGATCACCAAGGAGGTGACAACTATGATAACCTGCACCGACAGCTGGGGAGCTTATCGAGTCTTAGCCTTGTGGTTAACTACCTAGAAGTTACAAAAGTAACTAGTTGGTCACAGGCCCATATGCGGCCAGGCCATGTGGCAAGACCTAGGGGAGGAAGGATGACCTTCTCCAACCAGGTATGCGGATGAACGGTAACCTGTTGCTGCCTGCCCCAACACCCTTAAAGGTAGGGAAATAAAAACCTGGCTTAATGTATGAAGCAACATTAGGGTAAAGTCACCATGGGGTGGTTGCCTGCCATAACCTGGAGTTGTTGTTCCCTGTATTACTGCTGTGAACTCTGGGTCCAGGATTCCACCCTGTGGGCACATCTCCTCACTAGAAAAACTCCCTCAGCCTAGGGAGTGGAATGTAAGGCCTATGTGTTAAACCTGTGTTTCTGGGACCTATGTGCCCAGAGCCTATGCATAAGGCTTATGTGTTGGACCTGTGTGTCCAGGGCCTGTGTGCCCAGAGCCTATGTATAAGGCCTCTGTGTCAGACCTGTGTGTCCAAGGCCTATGTCTGCCTTGGCCTAGGGGGTGGAGTGTAAGGAAAATGGATATGCTGTGGTCAAGAATAGGCCAAGGCAGACATCCAGTCCAGCATGACTCAGCGAGTTTGGAGCACTGGTGCACAACTCCACTCATTATGTAACCATGCCACGTGAGGTGCATTAGGTGATCACCCAAGTGAGCTCATGCTTGGATCGGAGTCACTGTTGTCTGTCAAAGGCATAACTACCCTGCTGACACTGTACATGCAGCTTATGCCCAGGTCGGCTTGCACCCAAGTTCATGCCCAGGCTCACTTGCATCCAGAGAAAGAGTAAAGCCATGTCAAAACTCCCTATGATTCCCTGAGTGTTCTTTCAGCTACCTGCCACTTGTCCACCCACTCCCCTTGGTCCTTAGCTTGGGCTGGAATCTGATATTTGGTGTGACATGCCCCAAAATTTATATAATGATTTAAAGAATATAGATTTATATATGTAACACATAATTATTAAAATCATATATTTGCAATGTGTTTCTTTATATATTCATATGAAATGAATATTTTGAAGGCTTGGGGGGAATCTTTTGCTCATTAAGTCTGCTCCTATTAGAGTAGTAATGGGGGCAGTACCTACTGAATCTTACTCCCTTCCAGCTAAGTATTATTCCCAACTGATAACTCTTTCCCTGTCTTTTAAGTTTCAACAAGTAGGACAACATATGTTGTCTTTCTATTGTTGACAGAGGACACAGATAAAATAAAGAAATTACCTTTTTAAAAAAAAATTAGAATACACACACACACATATTTGCTATATTTTCCCGTCAAAAATGGTTACAATCCAAATAGTCTAAGTTATTAGAATATCCTAGAAGAATGCAGATACTGTAGCCCCAATTATTTCTACAGTATAAGTCATTTTGAAGAGTAGATTTTGCTATTTACGTTTTCCAAGATTACACAAATATAAATTCAACTCATGTAATGCATAATTGCTGACCATTTGAAGTATTAAAAAGGTAACCACAGAGCAGTGATACACTCTGAAATAATTCCCATTAAAAAGACTGAACCAAGTTAAACTGATTTGCTCCAATTATTTTTATTACATACACCTTTTCTAATCCTTTTCATTTTGATAGATATATAACTTAAAAATTTTTTTGTTAAAAATGTTTTGTTAACTAGTTAATTAAAAGTTAAAGAAAAAAACACAAGAATGTGCTTTTATCTGGAGGTTTCCCATTAATCTCTAAAGGACAATTTGTTTCTGAAGTATATGATTCTTCTATTAATCATGACTTTAAAATATGTACTTAACAAAATATGACTTGAATGTAAATGTTTTGAGTTTCTTTTTTCAATTTCTTGAATTAAATCCTGAACTATTATTTCTGAAATCAAATTTACAAGCTCAGTGTGAATCAATTAACTGCACTTAGATCATACTTCTTAGTTGTTGGTAGATAAATATATATATATATTTGTCGTTGTTGTTTAAAGGCTATATTTTTGCACAGAATGACTGTTTAAAAATTTACCAGTTTTTAAAATTATCTTTCATGAATGAGAAAGGTAAAAGAGCTAAGTATATAATAACCATGAAATCAAACATTTATTATACACTAATTGTAATAACTCTTAACAAGTAACAACCATGCATATTTTACTTCCTACTTCATCAAATGGTAGCAATACTACCACTGCTAAAACATTCAGTAAACCAAATTAGATACTTAGGAAACAAAATAATTAGCTGCACTCAGATAAAATATTAAAAATATGCCATAAAAGATGCAAATTTAATTGCAAGAACAGTTTCTATTCCATTTCTTCCAGCAATGCCTGAGGCTTATTATCTTTTTTCTAGGTCTCAAAATGGCAGGAGGTAACCAATGCTTTTGGTAGTAAAATATAATAGCAGGATCCCAAATTTAAAATAGGATAAAAACTATTTTTCCAATAGTGGCATTACTAACTTGGAAGAATAACAACTAACAGGATATACAGTGAGAGATATAGATATGTTTATATGTGTATGTGTTACAACTAAAAAACAAAACAATAATGAAACTTATGTATTATTTTAACCATCCTATATATAATATTCTTTAGAGAATAAACATCTTTTTTTAACCATATAACATTAGACTCATTTATAAAGACAAACAAAAACAAGGAATACATTTATTGAATGGAATTTAAACATAGTTATAAAATTGCAAAAACTCCCTTTCCTGGTAGGCCAGGTGATTGTAAATGTTCGCAACAGGAGCATTACAAGATTTTTAGGCAGAACAAGTCCTCTTCTATGGGAGTATCCCTGGCCCCACCCACTAAATGCCACCAGGTTTCACTGTGACAATCAAAACACCCTCACATATTTTCAAAAACTTGGGGTGGGGAGCTGGTAGGTGTCAGAGGGTATTATATCAGCCCCTGGCTGAGCACATGATCGCTCCCAGGTCTCAGAATGGAGCAGGCTGAATTCAGTAAACATGGTCCTACCATAGTAGCTCTGTGCTCTTAGAAAAATTCCCTCTCTATGCCTCAGTTCATGCTTCTGTAATATGTCTTTTTCTTAGCAATTGTTTGCAAACCTCCCAGAATCATTGTATGGGACAAATGAGACATTCACAATAAAACAGCTTTGTAAAGTATCAAATGCCATCCAAAAATTATAACATTTTGTTTCATTTAACAATTATCCTATGCTGTACTTTTCATGTTTGATTAGAGAAGATTTGAGGTTAAAAAAAAAAAAGTATGCATTACTGTTTAATTTGGACACAAGTATACTAATTTGGAGGCTGCAGTTTTTTCAGTTATCAGGACAGAGGCAATTTTAATCTTTGACCCTGTGCTACGGCCTTAATGAGGCCACATAGTCACCTGCTGGTAGCTCCAGAGGTGAAGAAAAAGAAGCTGGTACTTAGTAGGAATTTAATAACCTCTTTAGGTTTTGTTCCAAAAAATTCAGTCTTGTTTAAGTGGAAGCAACAACAATATGCCCATTTTAATTTAATTCTATAGATTTAGGAAATTACAGATTTTCCCATTCCATAGATTTGTTTTCAATATTTCTAAACACATATATATTGAAAAACATGCACAGTATATTGCTATAGAGGGTATACAAAACCCTCCCATTTCTTCATTACTGAAGTTGAAAGATCATTGCTTGCTCTCCTAAGAGGCTTATAAAGCTGTCTAACTTTTAATGGCAAATAGCAACATATCACATTCTGACTTGCTGTGAACTTGTGCCATATACCTTAAGGGTGAGAAAAGGTGGCTGTCACTTTATACAAAGAATGGTGCTTCTATAATATAGTGACAGAATTCACAGTGCAATGCATGATATTGCAAGAATTACTGAAAATGACTCAAATTTAGATTTGATCCTTAAAATTGTTTTTTACCTTTTAAATGTTTAATAAATATGCATTATATAAGTGTATGTATAAATATATGTATGTAAATAATATACATTAACGATAGTACTTAGGTTCTATTTTCTACAGGAACTCTTATTTCATAGCATTAACGACTTGATATCATTAATAGTTTGTCAGAAAGCTATAGAATTTACATTAAAAAATATTCAGGCTGATTGTTCAATTTACCAAATATGTTTGTTGCTATTTCTGCATCACAGAGGCTATATTCAAATAGCCTGAAATCAAATATAAAATTATAATTAGATTAACAACTACACAGGTAACTTCCCAATGTGTTTTTAAACAAAAATAAATCACTTAAGATGAGTGACATTATTCATATTCTAAATCTACTATTCATATAATTCCCCTTAAATTTGCTTCTGTAACTCTTGTTAAAAAGTACTGAAAATGGTTTTAGAAATATCTTTACTTTATCAGATTTATAAGCATTCATTATCATTATCAAATTTTATCAGTTTATATTTATCCAAGAAAAGCCCCAGTACACAACGTTTTAGTATGGAGGAATAAGTTCAAGAGTTGCATTGTACAACATGGTGACTATAGTTAACAATGTACTGTATTTTTGAAAACTGCTAAGAGAGTACATTTTGTGTTCTCACCATAAATGAATGATATGTGAGGTAATACATATCTTAACTAGCTTGATTTAGCCATTCTACAATGTTTACATATTTCTAAATAATAGGTACATAACAGATATATACAATTTTTATTTGTCAATTGAAGTTAATTGATTTTAAAAAGAAAAGCTCAGCTTATATATAAAAATGATTTCCAGTGATTGCCTTACAAATATAATTTCCCATATTTTACATCAATGAAGCAATTCCAGATTCATACACATTCCAATTCACACACATCTACACTCACAGCGTCTCATGCAAACATACACACAGAGAGCTTTTTAAAATAAAACCTGCAGAGTACATTTCAACCAAATATGTCTGGGGGAAATTAAACTGGGAAATGGAGACCATTCATGGAGTCTCAGTGCAGTAGCAAACTCTTCACTTCTACTTATTCATTCTGTGAAAGCCGTCATACATCTATGTCCACTGATCCACTTGCATTTGGCATAGGGGTTGGTAGATTATTTATTGAAGGGATTTATGTCAGACTGGGATTAAGATGTCCTAAGAATTCCCAAGTGTGCAATTCATCACAACACAATTTAGAGAGTGAAAAGAGAGCCACAATAGACCTTGGTAGCAAAGTGGAAGTGAGTGATAGGTGAACCGAAGCCCCCAGCTTGATCTAAAGAAAGCAGACAACATATACCAACGGTGTCAATCAAACCGCCTCATAAGCAGCCCCATGAATATAAAATAGGGAACAAACAGATTGGTTTTTCTTTCCTTGTTCCCAACAGTTATAAGAAGATAGATTCCAACACTAATGAGCTTGTTTTTGTATATATGCCAGGGAAGTTCTATCTCTAATTTTTTCTTATAACCAAAGAAACAAAAACACGCATTTTTCTGAAATAATGGAGGTTGTGAAATATTTTATTTTTGCCAAATTGTTCCCCTACATAGCCGGTGCCACATTTTTGCGCTGTGTGAATCAAATAAATCTTGCCTCTTTGTTTCTAAAAATTAACAAACTGAAGTATATTTTTGGTACTTTCAGACCCACATTTATAACACAACCTAAAACCATCCCCAATCTAAGTGTGAAACTTAAATCATCATGTTAAACTTAGATTTAAAAAATTAAAAAGAACTGCTAACAATAAAGCAAATGTCACTATGTACCAGAATTCTTTGTGGAGGTCAGTAGTCAAGTTAGTCAAATTTTCTCAACTTAAATATAAAAGCTATATTTTTCACAGAGGCTATTATTGATAAAATTATGGTCCCCAACATTAGTGCCTGGCAAATGGCTTGCACTATAGAAGTATTTGTTGAATAAATGAATTGAGGGTAATTAATAATAAGTTCATTGTTTTATTTATTAAGATTAGTTCAAAACAGTTCTCCTTAAAATTATGCTGAATTTGTAATAGTTTGAAACTAATTCTAATCTTATTTGAAGTATGCCTCATTTACTCTATTTATTGGTCTGATATGTTATGAATGTATTGGAAAATGTCACTTTCGAAGGAATAAACATCTCTGGAAAAACGGTAACAATATTGACTCTTCAGGTCTCTTGGATTGGATTTCAGCTAGGAGGTGGGAGTTCAGACTGTCTCCCATGCCAGAGAACTATAACCAGTAATTGTTAACCTTGATCTGTGACTTCAGCAGTAAGGGGTCATATGAGCTGGGACTTAGAGATAAAGTTTTAGATTATTGGATGGGTGTGTGCAGGCTCTTCAGAGGTTACTGGAAATTGCACTGTGTCTGGGTAAAAGGGAGACAACCAGACTCCTTCATTTGGAACATGGATTTTTGCAGAAGTGTCTGTTAGTTCAGCATAAGTATCAAGGGATTTCAAAACATTCATGCCTTCTGAGCTAGTAATTTCTCTCTGTTCCTAGGAACAACTCCAGTTAGGTAAGGGGAAACGTCTAATGCACAAACATGTTCAACAAAGAATTACCTCACCATTCTCCTGTTGTTTCCCTTTTTTCTATTAAATTTGAAAACAAGAAACTTATGAAATAATATAGAAATGCTCAACTCATGTTTGTTTAATGAATGGGTTAACTGCTTAATATGTTAGGACTAGAACAGTAATAATATATGCAGTAGAAAAAAATACCTGAGGTTTTTTATGTGCTAGGCACTGTGTTAAGAGCTTTAAAAGGATTTTCCCATATGATGTAATCTTCACAGACGTGCTATAAGTAGACCTATTTATATAAAACATTATTGTTTATATGTTTTCATTTTCTATCTGCACAGTATCTCTTCTTTGATAATAGCACCTCAATTTTTATGGTGAGGCTCCTTCTAGAACACTCTCAATCAATTTCCCTTGGGACAGGGGGATTCTTTTTAATAAAAGTTCTTTTTTTCTTTTTCAAATATTATTTTAGGTCCAGGGGCACATGTGCAGGTTTGTTACATGGGTAAATTACATGTTGCGGGGGTTTGGTGTACAAATGATTTTGTCTACCAGGTAGTGAGCACACTACCCAATTGGTAGCTTTTTGACCCTCACCCTTCCCCCACCCTCCACCCTTAAGTAAGCCCCTATGTCTATTATCCCCGCTTTGTGTCCATGTGTACACAATGTTCAGCTCCCACTTATAAATGAGAACATGCAGCATTTGGTTTTCTGTTCCTACATTAATTCACTTAGGATAATGGCTGCCAGCTGCATCTGTGTTGCTGCCAAGGACATGATGTTGTTCTTTTTTATGGCTGTGAAGTATTTCATGGTGTAGATTTACCACATTTTCTCTTTCTAATCTACTGTTGATGGGCACCTAGGTTGATTCCATGTCTTTGCAATTGTGAATAGCACCACAATAAACATACAAGTGCATGTGTTTTTTGGCCAGAATGATTTATTTTCCTTTGGTTGTATACCCAGTAATGAGACTGCTTGGTCAAATGGTAGTTTTGTTTTAATTTCCTTGAGAAATCTCCAAACTACTTTCCACAATGGCTGAACTAATTTACATTCCCACTGGCAGTACATAAACGTTCCCTTTCTCTGCAACCTCACCAAACACCTGTTTTTGTTTTGTTTTGTTTTGTTTTGTTTTGTTTAATTTTTAATAGCATCCATTCTGACTGGTATGAGAGGGTACCTCATCGTGGTTTTGTTTGCATTTCTGATTATTAGTGATGTTGAGCATTGTTATATGCTTGTTGACCACGTGTATATCTTCTTTTGGGAAGTGTCTGTTCATGCCCTTTGCCCATTTTTTAATAGGCTTATTTGCTTTTTGCTTTCTAAGTCCCTTATAGATTCTGAATATTAGACCAGGGCAGGAGAATTTAGCCAGAAGGCATATAACCAGGACTAATCAACACTCTATCATCTTGATCCAAATGATGGATATAAGAATAATCAAGGGGCCCAATAAAGGTTGCCAGATCTAGCAATTAAAAATATGGGATACCTAATTCAATTTGAATTTCAGACATAAAATGAATCATTTTTTAGGTTAAGTGTATTCCATGCAATGTTTAGGTCACACTTTGTTTACAAAATGATTCATTGTTTATCTGAAATTCAAATATAATTGATGCATTGAATTTTATCTAGCAATCCTACAAGGGGCAATGTTAAGACTCAATCCAAGACTTATACTCAATCATTGACAAGAAGTATTTCATTTTTTCCTTGCAGTAGATAAATTTGTAGAACATAAGCCTATAGTTACTATGTGCTATCTTTTATTCAACATGGGGAAATTCAGCCTGGGAATAAAACTTTCACAGAGAATAGCAGAGTCAAGGTTCATGTGAGCAGATATGGATGCATTTTATGTCATTTGAGCAGATATGGATGCAGTCATGGCTGAAGCCATTTGCCCTTTAGACTTTGTCTGAACTGGCACAATTCAGTTTATGTTACAATACATTTTTTATTGAAACATAACTTTTATTTATGTCACATGGGACTGAAATATGCTGGTATAATATGCCATTATTATCCTCATAAATGATGAAACAAGTATTGCCTTGATAGATTTAAGGTTTCAGAGCAAGTATGTGGTGGATTTGGGAAGACAAGAAGTCTAGGTACAATATCCTAGTTCTTTTTTTTTTTTTCTGAGATGGAGTCTCACTCTGTCACCCAGGCTGGAGTGCAATGGTGCGATCTCAGCTCACTGCAATCTCTGCCTCCCAGGTTCACACAATTCTCCTGTGTCAGCCTCCTGGGTAGCTGGGATTACTGGTGCCCACACCACGCCCTGCTAATTTTTTGTATTTTTAGTAGAGACGGGGTTTCACCATGTTGACCAGGCTGGTCTCCAATTCCTGATCTCAGGTGATCCACCCACCTTGGCCTCCCAAAATGCTGGGATTACAGGCATGAGCCACTGCACCTGGCCCAATATCCTGGTTCTTAAGTAATATTCTAGAGTGTTTTTCAAAAAGACAACTATATAATATGATAAACTGCAAGTAAGTCTTTAAAAAATATTTACACACACACAAACAAAAAGAGAGACAACCTCTTGAGGAGCTAGTCTTGTTGAGGCTGGCAGAGTACAGGATCCCTTGGGTATATTCTTAAGGCTGATATATCTAAGGTCAGACAAGGTCATAACACTTCCAAGTAAAACAGAAGAAACTCAGCTCTCCTTCCTCACCTGTTTGTACTTCTATAAGGCTGTACTTTTTCTTGCTACAAAACACCCACTAGATTTGAAATGCAAGCTCACTAAAAGCCAAAAACTAAAACAAAACCTGCTTTCAATTAAATAATAGAATAATGCACACCTAAAATACAAATTTGATTATGCCACTCTCCTGCTTACAGGCAAAGTACACTTTCTCTATGTTGAATGTAAGAATTTTAATTTTCTGACCATTGTTTACTCTTCTGTCCTCATCTTTTGTCAATCTCTGCTGGCACCTGGCTGACTTGTCACGCTGAAATTCTGGCAGCTGTGTACAGACTCAGGCTTTTTTTTAGCCTCAAAATATCCTACACTGTTCTGTGTACCTGGAATTCCCTGCTTACCCCTTTTCCACCTGTCTTCATCTACTCAGGCTACTATAACAAAATACCACAAACTGGGTAGCTTTTAAGCAACAGAAATGTATTTCTCACAGTTCTGGAGGCTGGGAAGTCCAAGATCAATGCACCAGGAGATTCAGTGTCTGGAGAGGGCATGCTTTCTGGTTCATAGATGGTGACTTCCTGCTGTGTCCCCACATGGTTGAAGGGACTAGCCAGCTTTCTGGGGTTTCTTTTATAAGATTACTAATCCCAGTAGCCAGGACTCTACCCTCATGACCTAATCTACTCCCAAAGGCCCCACTCTTTAATACCATCACCTTGGGGATTAGGATTTCAACATGTGAATTTTTCAGGGGTGTAAGAATTCAGTCCATTGCAACACTGGAAAAATTCCTACTCACATTTGAAAAGTAAACTTACCTACCTCTTCCGAGAAAGCCTTTCTTAATCTATTACAACCCTTCCTCAGTTGGTGAGATAGTGCTCTTCTATGTATGATACAATTCAATAGTTAAGATGCCTATTTCATGCTGTATTGTACCCTCTCATTAACCAGTCATTTGGTGCAAGTTTCCTTCGGGGAAGGAGCAAGCCCATGCGCAAGGTGGCTTTTTTTTTTTTTCTTTTTGGCTTGAGACCATCAACTGTTAAAAATCCCAGCAGCTGGGAAAGTAAGGACCTCAATCCTCAAAGAAGGTTCTGAGTGAGCAACATAGCACACAATATCCAACTTGGAAGTTATGGAAGTCTGGAATAAAACTATATCATCAGAAATCAGAAAAAATACTCTATAACTTAAAATAATGGGCATAGTTAACACATCCATTTAAAATAAAAAGCATTGTAAATGACTGCAGCCAATCCATACATACAATGGATTCTGTTTACAATGTATCAAAATTATTACTTGTAGCAAGTTAAATATCAAGAAAATCAATTAACTCTTCATTTCCTGATAAGTCTTGTGACCAAAAATAATTTACAAACCTCCAAAAAGTTAAACTATTATGAAGTAATCTAAATAATATAATTCATCATTTCAGCTTTATCAACAGTCTCTTCCTTTTGGTGAGACATTAACAAAAAGAAATATCATTTAAGTCAGCATCTCAAAGAACAATTAATTCAAATAAAGTTTAATGAAAGCATTTAGCCATATGTTGAAACCAACCCAATAGTCCCATAGAGAGTTTTTGGCTAAACAGAGAAATTGACCCTCCTGGTCTTAAAGCTTGAAATTTACATTTGTCTTACATGAGTTTCTTCCTCAGGAAAGGAACTTCAGGCCTCTCCAAAAAAATGATGAAAGAAATGAAACTCACCAGATACCACACCCAGACAAGACAGACCGCTCATTCATCATAATTTCTTCCTTGGCCCTCCATTATTCCTGTTTTCTTACATATTGGTTCATTTCTTCCCTGCTATACAAAACCCTAGTCTTATTAGTCAGGGAGATAGGTTTGAAGCTGAACTCCCATCCCCTTGGCTGCAGCATCAGATTAAAGCCTTCTTCCTTGGCAATACTTGTTGTCTCAGTCATTGGCTTTCTGTGCAGTAAACAGCAGAACGCAGACCAAACCGCAGGGTGTTTCAGTAACAGTATCAGAAACATAATAGCAAGCAAGAAATCTTGTAATTTCACTCCAAATAAACCATTCCATGAAAATAAATATGATTTCTTAGAAACTTGAAATATGATTTAGCAATAAATATTACCTAATATATAATATAATTAAGCTCTAATGTAGGTCATGTATGAGTTCTTTTATAACTATTTTTTAAATTTTTCCTGTTACACTTTATTTATCATGTTCTAATATATTAAGCATTTAAAATAATTTTAATTAATACTTCTTTAAAATTCAATGCCATAGTCTTTTAATTGTTTCATATTTCTTATTGACCGTGATTTCTTCTTTTATGCCAAAATCTCCTTGACAGGAATTATTTTCTTAAATCACTAAAATTCAGAATTTGCTTTACCCAAAAGAATGTTTTTCAAATTAGTTCTACCAGTATTTTTGCATCTTGTTTTTATACTGAGATGCATTTATTCTGATATGCCATAGAAAACTCTATGCAAGAAAAATATTTCCCAGAATCCAATTCAATTTGACATGAAAAAAAGACACAAAATAAATCTTAATTGTGCCTCAGAAAATAATCTTAACTAGTCAAAAATCATTTTGCCTCTAACTGAGATCTTTCTGCTCAGTTTACTCTGTCACTTTATCACAGATTTCTTGGCCATATTGTCTAATTACAAAACCATGGCTCTTGTTTCTTTATACAGAGACTTGTAAATAGTCAACTCAATGGAAAAAAATGCATCTTATAAGCCTGTGGTAGAAATAATTTTTCACAAGTGGTATGTCAGTTCAGCATCAATTTGAGAAGTTCCCAAGCCTAAAACAATCCAATGGAGAGCTCATAAGAAACTAGAAATTAGAGCCCACCAAAACAAAGATTAGCAAACTATTTTCTTGTATAGAACAAAGGCATGACTTTGCAAAGCACTGTTGCATTAAAATTCTGTTCTGGAAATTGTTTTTATTCACCTGACATTCACTCCTCTTTCTGTTTTCAAATATTCATTATACTGTTTAACTTTCTCACCACACAAAGCAAATCTTTCTGGACAGAGTAATGACAATAGAATATGAAGCAGTTTATCAAAATCAATTTGGTTTGCTACATATTCATGAGATATTTTATTATAACTACTCCAAACTTTCCTTTTTTCAAAAATCAAACTGCTGATTTATTCTTTTTTCTGAAGCATTCTGAAGCTTAAAGCATCACCATAATGAGATAGTTTGCTCCTAAGAAGGGTTCCATTTTGTCAAGCATTTCAGCTATCCAAAGACCAAGACGCCTAGCAAAATCAAGTAGCTAAAGCACAATGAATCCAAGAGGAAAGACCAAAAGGACAGAACGTCCTAGATAGCAAAGAAACATCCATAAATTTTTTTTTAAAAAAAGTAAATATATCTGTCAAAAAAATAGCTATACATTCTAAACTTGATCTTCAAATTGCTGTTAAGCCTAAATCCAAAAAAAAAAAAAAAAAGAAAGCTGGTTAATCCTCCAATAATTATATTTTCTACAGATACAGTGTTGAAGATGTTTTTAATTACATTATATGTCATTCTTTTTATGTCAAACCAGTGGAGAATTAATGTATAGTTGCCAAATTTATAAGGTGCTGTTTCCTTTATTTTCATAATGTCTTTGACCAACTCCATTAACGACAGAAGCTCAGGATCTTTTTATTAGTATCATCTTTCTGACTGACCAAGCTTGTGAGTAAATTTTTAATTTGTTTCTCTCAAGCACCTTTTTCCTGGACCCTTAAAACAATATACTTTGAATTAATTGCAAGTCATACACACAAGGTGACAGTATCCTGAAGCTGTAAGATTTAAAAGAGGACAATCAACTAATAAAGATAAACAGAAAATAAGATGTTTTACTTCGTGTTACATTGATGTCTGTTGCATCCTGCCTTTTTAAAAAAAAAATATATATATACACACATATACACACACACACATACATATATATATATATATATATATATATATATATCAGGAAAACGACTATGTCTTTAGGATATAAAGAAATTTCACGGCTATGTCCAAATAAATTCAATCCATTTCCAAAGTCAACTAAAAAGTTTTTTTTTAATGAAAGAGAAATAGAAAATGTCAAGTAGAACTATAATTTCAGCAGTTATACAGCAGTCATTATACTGTTGCCAAAAACTGAAGATCTATCAACATTCATGGCACAGTTTCACACACACACACACACACACACACACACAATCTTTATCATCATAATTGGTATAGGTCTAACTTAATTTAAAATAAAAACAAAAATAAATTTAAGGTTATTAAAATTCAGAATAGTTTCAGGGGTAAAATATACCACTAATACTCCATTTTGAAAACTACTTTTCAGCTAGTTTTTCATCATTCTGTCACCATCATCATCAGTGACCTACCTACATGTACTGAAATTTTTTTTTTTTAATGTGGGAGGCACTATGTAGGGCTTCACCAAGACTACATTATTTATTTATTTATTTATTTATTTATATTTTTATTTTTTTGAGAGGGAGTCTCGCCCTGTCGCTCAGGCTGGAGTGCAGTGGTGCGATCTCTGCTCACTGCAAGCTCCGCCTCCCGGGTTCATGCCATTCTCCTGCCTCAGCCTCCTGAGTAGCTGGGACTACAGGCACCCACCACCACGCCCGGCTAATCTTTTGTATTTTTAGTAGAGACGTGGTTTCACCGTGTTGGACAGGATGGTCTCGATCTCCTGACCTCGTGATCCACCCGCCTCAGCCTCCCAAAGTGCTGGGATTACAGGTGTAAGCCACCGTGTCCGGCCGACTACATTATTTATTATTTAACTCTCAGGAAAACGCTTTCAGGCAGACACTATTTTTATTCTCACTTAAGATGTAGGAAAACAGGTACATAAGGAGGCTCGCTCTCTTATTCAAGTTCAGACAACTGGTAAGCAGTGAGCCTAGAATCAATGAAGACAGTTTCCCTCCAGACCAAGAAGCAGTAAGCCTGAAAACACAGCTTCTCTTAGGAAACAGCAAAGTGATTTGCAGACTTTATTCCAGATTGTTTTCTATTTGATAATATGTCCTGGTAAAAATAATGACACCTTACTATAAAATAGGAGTGTAGAACTTGTCTACACCACATATTTGTAGATTTTTTTAAAGTTATAAATTGATTAATTACCAGGAAGGAAGTACAGAACCAAGATGAGTGATCTAACTTCTAATATTGACTAAAAATTTCTTTTCTCTGTAGCAGCTGAGGAATAGCCACAACATAAGTTGTGTGTTGTGATACTATACTAAAACTCAAGAAATAGAAGTTTCTTAAAGCTTGTAAAGTTTAGTGCAATGTGGAATCTTAAACTCTATCAATAAACTTTATTCCTTTATTACATTAAAACACACTGATCTATCTACTCATGCATTAATTAAAATATCAAATAGTTATGTATTTTCATTAATTTTTAAATATTTCTATATTATCAAAATAAAAATATTAGCCTATATTTAAGAGAAATGAGCATATGTGGCTAAGTTTTGCCTAAATGGTCTTCATGGGATCCTCCATTTAAAAGGCAGCTTCTTTTCTATATTCTGTGATGCAAGTATTAATTGTGAATTATAAAAATTTATCAAAAAGATGTTATTAAAATTAATTCACTTGTACAGTGGTATAGCCTAAGGAATTTACAATGGTCTGAGGTAGCTACCTAATAAACACTTGTCTAAAATGCATTAAAAGTCTTTGGGATTGCAATGCCTTGAGACCTATACAATCTGAATTCATGCAGAAAAAAGTGGCACAGGTCAAATCTCTGCTACTTAGTAGGAAATAATTTGATAGTTTGTATTATTGACAATCACACAACAATATAGCATACTGCATAAAATTATTTTACATATTTTCTAAACTTGGAAATAAGCATAATTGGTTCTACATAATTTTTTTTCAATTTCTGTATCACTTAAATGAAGACATCATGATCCATTCCACATCTACATTTCTGTTTCCAATATTAACAAAAAATCATTAACTTAAGAATTTTTGCTGTTTATGTGTGACATTTAATATATAAGAATTAAAAGGCTATCCATTATCTATTGTATTTATTTATAAACAAAGAATTGTAGTCTAATTCTAGGTGACATTAAGTTGTGTTTTAACCATTTTAGAAAGATTTTCAAAGGAATGTCATTTTCTTTGAAGAGCAAAGACCTAGTCTCAGCTTTCTGAAAAGTTTAATAAACTAGAAAACTGTCATAATAGTTAAAATAACTTTAAATTTATACATGCTTAAACAAAAATTACAAGCTTGACTCAAATTTCAATTACATTTAATTATGAAATATCTAAGCACATTTCTCATCTATGCCTTATGATTTAGTTTTATCTTATTCTGATGAGAACAACATTTAAATATCAGTAGTTACAGGTACCTACCAAAGAACAGCATATTCATGAAAAATATTTGAGAGTTAGAAAAACACCTACAGGTTTTCAACGGATTTTATACTTAGAATCTTTATAAAATTATTATTTCCCTTTTGCATGATACAAAGATTATTGTAGATTCACTGTTTTTTTCCATTAAAAATAGAAAGTATAGCTTTTGACAACAGCAGAAGTCACAGGCATTAATAAAAAACTGCATAAAATTAGAAATAGTGATACTTGGTTTCCACTTCAAAACAGAGGGCACGCAGCAAATCTTTAAACATGTCAATATCTGTTAACATCTACGAAAATGTTCAGGCATTGTTGTCAATCAATACAAAAAATAATCTGAAAATAAGATACTTTTGAGAACTTAATTATGTAGGTCTGATGGAAATCAATAGATTGACGGTAATTATTTTTTTTAAATCCACAAGATGCAGGAGTTATATTCAAATATCAATGTAAATCTACTTTAAGAAATTCGCTGCTTGGGTTTAGGTGGATCTTTACTGTGTTTGGTTGAAGTCAAAGCACATCTTTATGTTATAGATGACAATTTTGTTCCACCAGCATTTCTCAAATGTTTTGGTCTCATGACTCTTTTACATTCTCAAAAATTACTGAGGACCCAAAAAGCTTTTGTGTATGTGACTTATAGCTAGTATTATTTACTGTATTAGAAATTAAACTGAGAAATTTTGAATTTACTATTTATAAATCATTTAATAAAAATAACCCCCTCATATGAGTAATAATATATTTTAAGGAAAAATAACTGGAGTTTTAAAATAAGATGAGTGGCAGAGAGCTATAGTTTGAAAACAAATAAATATTTTAATAGCCATTGCAGATAGTGCTGGAAAATCTTTTGTGATGCTACAATAAAACTCGAGAAACAGAAAAGTTTCTTTCTTTCTTTTTTCTTTTTTTTTTTTTTTGAGATGGAATCTCACTCTGTCACCGATGCTGCAGTGTAGTGGCAAGATCTTGGCTCACTGCAACCTCCACCACACAGGTTAAAGCGATTCTCATGCCTCAGCCTCCAGAGTAGCTGGGACTATAGGCGCGTGCCACCATGCCCGGCTATTTGTATTTTTAGTAGAGACAGGGTTTCACGATGTTGGCCAGACTGGTCTCAAACTCCTGACCTCGCATGATCTGCCCACCTTGGGTTCCCAAAGTGCTGAGATTACAGGTGTGAGGCACTGTGCCCAGCCCAGAAAAGTTTGTTAAAGTTTTTAAGGTTTTGTGCAATGTGGAATCTTAAATCCGATCAATAAACTTTTCATTCTTTGTTACATTAAAGCACAGTGGTCTATCTTACACATGGAGTGTATATTCTACACACATGCATGATTTGTACTCTGCCGATCCACTGAAAGGGTTTTGGGTACTCCTCAATGTCCTTGGACCACACTTTTGCGAACTGTGTTACAGTGTTTTAATAGAGAAAAATTTTTAAACACTCTTGCATTATACACATATCAAAAAAATATGATGACTCAGGACTGAATATTACACATAAGACTCACTCCAAACACATTTTCTACAGTAGATTCTCTAATTCCGATTGAGCTATGACCTGGCTTTAGATTTCCAACCTCAGCCGGGGGCGGTGGCTCAGGCCTGTAATTCTGGCACTTAAAGAGACCGAGATGGGTGGATCACTTGAGGTCAGGAATTTGAGACCAGCCTGGCCAACATGGTGAAATCCCATCTCTATTAAAAATACAAAAAAATAGCCGGCGTGATGGCAGTTGCCTATAATCCCAGCTACTCAGAGGCTGAGGCAGGAGAATCGCTTGAACCAGGGAGATGGAGGTTGCAGTGAGCCAAGATCCCACTACTGCACTCCAGCCTGGGCAACAGAGTGAGACTCCATCTCAAAGAAGAAAAAAAATCAGTTCACTGTTACCAAAAAAAAAAAAAACACTACGAATTCAGATAGCATATTAAAATGATTTCAAGATAAGTAATAAAATATTTTCTATAATATTTCTTTTTGGGTAAGTAATGATGATTTTGACATGAAGAAAAAAACTCAGTCTGAAAACTGAGCAGCTTTTGTGACTAGTCTATCCGCTTAAATAAAAATGAAAAAAAAAAAGAGCTTCCTTTTAATCTATATAATACCAAAGGTTTTTACCAGTTTGTAAGAAACACTAGCCCTAATTAAAAGTAGGTCACATTCTTTTAGGTGACAGCAGAATATTGTTAAAAGAAAAAAATAAGCAAAATGGGGTTTCTGCAGGAGGCAAAGAGAATACATCTGTTGCTCACAGAATCCAAATAAACAGCCCAAACATGCTGTTCAAAGTGAAGACAGTAGAAAGTGGAAGCCCCAAGAAGAGTTACTACTGTATGGCAGGGATTTAGATGATGTTCAGCCAGAAATGAGACTTCTGAGAAGGAATTTCTAGGATAAAATGCCCAGAAGCTGATCTGATCCACAGTCAGTTGAGACCGGGGCAGCCAGAAAGAACTATACAAGACTATAGCCATATTACATACTTACCTGTAACTGCAGTCATATGGTTTTCCATACTCTATGCTATTAGAATACAAGGAGACTCAGGACAAACAAAACTAGCTTGTCCTGTTTCTAGCTTGAGCCACAGGAAAGTCTTCTTAAGACCAAGAGTATTGGGAGCAAATGAATGAAGGTTGTTCTACTCCATGGATCAAATGAACTTCCTAATTGTAACAGAAGAGCTATCACGAATGCTTTCTCCTCTTCGAAGACTTCCCTGCCATCCTCAAGACACATAACTGCCTACTGCTTTTGACTTTCTAATACAACACTTTTTTTTCCTTTAACATGGGCTATTATAATTTATTATAAAGCTGAGCTCTTGAGGGCAGGAATCTTTTCTTTTCTTATTCATTTTTTTTATCCCAAGCATGTAATATAGTACCTACCACATACTAGGTACTAAATAATTATAATAATTGTTTCTTGAATGAATGAATATCCAAATAAAATCAAAATTAGTTTTTTTTCCAGAATATTATATCTTTAGCTTTATTTTTTCTTTCTTTCTTTTTTTTTTTTTGTTTGTTTGTTTGTTTGTTTGAGATGTAGTTTCACTCTATTGCCCAGGCTGGAGTGCAGTGGCATGATCTTGGCTCACCGCAACTCTGCCTCCTGGGTTCAAGGGATTCTCCTCCCTCAGTAACTGGGATTACAGGCACATGTCACCACACCCAGCTAATTTTTTTGTATTTTTAGTAGAGACAGGGTTTCAACATGTTGGCCAGGCTGGTCTCGAACTCCTGACCTCAAGTGATTCACCCACCTTAGCCTCCCAAAGTGCTGGGATTATAGGCCTGAGCCACCGCGCTCAGCCAGTACTTTGCTTCTAATGTTTTATCTTAAAATGCTAAATTACTTTAATCTTGTTCTAAAAGAAGTTTTGTACTTCCAAAGCATTGGATTCCAAAACATAAAACCTCCAAAACGTGCTATACAATTTTCCATTCTTCTCAATCTGCCAGTCTTAAAATTTGTTTCCCCAAGGTATCCACTAGGGTTGAAATTAAACATACTATATATTATTTTAAAAGTCATAAGTTTACTTATCCTAGCAAAGCGATTGACATACAGGTAATTTTCTTTTCTCTTTTACTTTTGGCTGTAGAAAGCAGGAAAGACAGAGAGCATCAGGGCATCCTTGCACTTTAGATGCAATGACATTCGGTAAATCATACCTCAAAATGGTAATAATACATCCTGTTTCAGGCTGTTGTATGGATTACAGTAAATTCATGTCAGGCATCTGGGTCATGTTCAGAATACTATCAGGCCTTTTGTGTTGTTTTTTACATTTCCTGGCTAGTCCAGGACAGCATCATGTCTCACTTAAACCGCTGCAATAGCTTCTAATTGGCCTTCCTGATTTCACACTTGTCACCCCAGTCTCCACAAAGGAGCCATAATGATGCTTCTGAAAATGTAAATCAGATATGCCACGCTCCTGCTTAACCCCATCCAATGGCTTCCCTTGGTCCTGCCTGTTAGGGCTGACATGAAGACTCCACCCCACTCCAATTTCATCTCCTGACGTGACATTCCTACTACTACATCACCAGCCTCCTTGTGGTGCCTTAAACATGCCAGGCACGATCCAGCTTGGGCCCTTCCTACATCTAAAGATCCCTTGCCTGGAACGTGCTTCCCTTCACTTTCATTACTTTAGGCCTCTGCTCACATACTTCTTTATCCTCTCAGCCTCATTCCAGTCACTATGTTTTATTCACTACTATTTGCCCAAGATCGACAGCAGTGCCTGATACACTGTGAGCCTTCAAAAATATTTGCTGAATAAATAAATAAATATATTATTGATAATAATTCCTTAAAATCCTAGTTAGCATGCAGGAGAACTGTAAAATCATGGGAAAACATTTTTCTTTATCAGAAACTTAAAAATAAGAATAGCTAATATTTGGCCGGGCGCAGTGGCTCACGCCTGTAATGCCAGCACTTTGGGAGGCCGAGGCGGGCGGATCACAAGGTCAAGGAAACAAGACCATCCTGGCCAACATGGTGAAACTTCGTCTCTACTAAAAATACAAAAACTAGCTGGGCGTGGTGGCACACGCCTGTAATCCCAGCTACTCAGGAGGCTGAGGCAGAATTGCTTGAACCCAGGAGGCGGGGGTTGCAGTGAGCCAAGATCGCACCACTGCACTCCAGCCTGGCAACACAGCGAGACTCCGACTCGAAAAAAAAAGAAAAAAGAAATAAGACAGAACTTATTTCTCAGTCAGCCCAGACTTGATAGCTCATAATGGTCTGAGGAGATGTAGCTCCCTGTCTTAACAGAAACTGTGTGAACTGCTCCTGTTCATCAATCATGTAGTGGCTGTTTACTCGTCCCCAGGCCACATGTCTCTCCACATAGCATCTGGGTCTTCCCCTCAGCAAAGCCAAAATGTGCGATGACAGATGAAATTTCTGCTTTTATTTGGATGTGAAATTCAAACCTAAGTTGGAATGCCCCACTGTTGGAAAACAAACTTAAATCATTCATGAGGCATAAATTTTATGTCTAGTTTATCCAATTGACCAAAAAAAAATACATCAACTATTTAATGATCATGACGTAAAGGTAACACTTGGAATTATATAAACTATCATTCTCTTTCTCTCTCAACTTTTTCTAAGGGTTTTCCCATTTACACATTATTTTTTGTCCAAGTGATCTTACTACTTTGTTGAGAAAAAGGGTCAAATGTAGAAAATAAACTAAAATGACAGAAATATTAGGAAAATTAAGAAACAATAAGAATTATGAACAGAAGTGTTTAACAAAGAAAACATTGTACAGACTTTGCCAATTATGAAATTAAATCACTCTGGATGCAGCAAGGAAATAAAGAGAGAAATTGATAGAGTAGAAATTAAGAACTAGGTTGATTGCCCTGACAAAGGTAGCTGAATAACTTTAATTCTCTGTACTTCAAAAGACTTATTATAAAATTAATCTCACCACGTAGATTATCCTTCCAACTCAAGTTCATTGAATTGCGGTGTTAAATCTGAAATTCTACCTACTACCTACCAGAATAGGATTCAAGAATTCCAACAATCTCTAGAAAAAATATGCAAAATTTTGTGCAGACATTTAATATTCATTTTACTCAGAAAAGTTGCACATCTTATATGAATTTTTCAAGGCAATTTATGACCCAATACAAATTTAGAAAAAGCCTATTCAATAGAATTGGCATGAATCATTGATATTTATATATTTTACACATATAAGTTTATATGGAAGACAAGTTTTGTAAAACATAAGACCAAGACTTTTCTTTTTGGGACGAAGCCATCCTACTACCTAGAGGAATGTCTATCCAACCTCTATTAGATGGCAGTCTTAAAGTTGCTGGTTTCAGTCATTTTTTGAAGGAAGAGAGGTATTGCTTCTGATCCCTATTCTCTTTTAAAATAACAGAATTTCTAAAATGGATGTCAATAACCCATTTAATTGAATATCAATGCATATTAATCATGTTTTTCAATGCAAATGAAAAACTTTATTAGGACTAAGGCCTGTAGAGAAACTAAAAACTAAAAGGATAATAGTCATCTATTCATTACTCAAAATAAAACCAATTCCAAAATGTAAAGTCCATGTTAGGAAACCTAACATAATTGTATTTTAATTATTTTTTTTGAAATGTATCAAATAGGAAATCATTTAAAACAAATGTCCTAGGTAGTTGTCAAGTTTGCTTATTAAGTTGTCAGCCCTTCTTGGACTTCTTTTGCAAAGCACAGGTGAATAACCATCTTATTTATGGCAAAGTAACTGTCATAAACCAAAGACTCATTGACTTTCATTGATTCACAAAAGTACTAACAGCTTAAAATGTACCCCCAACATCACCACGGCCACCTCTGCTGCTCTATAGCCACCATTTATTGAGGGCTGACTCAACTCTGCTGGGCATTTCACATCTGTTTTCTTATTTGTCCTCACAGCAACCCTTCAAGAAAAATATTGAACTGGAGCTGCATTTTAGATGAGGTAAGCAATTATGACATAGACTTCCTTCCTGGGATGAACACTTTTCCTATTACCCATCCCTTCTAGAGAAAGGGGAGGACTGATTTAACTTTGTAGACAGGTGTGCAGGCTCTGAGATATTTTGCCATTCTGCTAACATACTGACTCTTCAGAGGGATCGATTAAAAAGCAATTGAGCCACAGAACCATTGGTGTCGGCCTCCTGAGTACAGAAGAGGAGGGAGCTCATTCAATCGTGCATTATATTAGAAATTAGAACTGATCCATAGATGAAAAAGCAATTAATATCCTATAGGAAGAAGAAATAAATACTATGAGATCAGAAGAGATTGATCCTATAATATTAGACCTAGAAAGTATCTTAGCGACTGTTTTTCTTGCATCCTTCAATTAAAGGCTATATTTTATATTTCTGTACTTTATTATCTACTAGATATTTTCAACATTTCCTTCTAAAAGAAGAATCAGGTGAATCAGGCACTGTGCCCAGTTTAACTTGTACTATAAAAGCTGGGGTAGAAGGCCTTCCCTTTGCCTTATATAAAATACAGAAAAATATTAGAATTCCTATTTGCACAAGGACAAACAATGATTTTATATTACCTTGGCACTTATTACTTATCCAAAGTCATGTTAGTAATTTAAAATATGTTTTAAAATCTTGGATACAGATTAGTACAACTGAAAGGTGTTATTATAGAGATCAATATAGAGCCTAGAATATATAAAGTTGAAAAATAAAACAATAAAATGGTATCCATTCCCCACTATGTGAGTGAGTTCAAATTTATCCATTCTCAATGAGTTCAGGAATTTCAGTCTGAAAGAACAAGTCTTCAAGGTTGGGAAGACTTGAAAACAAATCTGCTGAAACTATTACTATGGTCTCAAATGATTCACAGAGAGCAGAAAAGAGGCTTTAAGAGCCGAGATACACAAGTGCAACTGATCTGAAAGAAATAGAAAATAAATTGTATAATGACAAAGTTGACAACTTGGTAATGATTTTGGGCAAGGCTCTACACTTTGGGCCCTGAGAAGATAAAACAGAGTCATGTATCAGATTAGTGATTAGTTTAGGAAGCTATTAAAATTTCTTCCAACTCTGAAAATATGGACTTATCAGTAATAGTGACTAGTTTGGATTCTCTGGATAAACATGTCCCTAGAATGTAGAAGGGAAATTCCTTGGACTAACATAGCTTAATAATTGCTTGATAGCAGTACAGCCGAGTAGTTAAGAGAGTTACTCTAGACTTGATTAAACTGACTTCTGCTCTGCTACTTATTCCAGGTTCATAAACCATTGTTTGAAACCTTAAAGCCAGAGATTTTGCAATTTGGATGTTTTTTAACTTTAGAAAAAACTACAGTGAATAGTCTATATATTTTATTAACATTCCCAGTATCCAATACTCAAACACATTATTTCTACAGTGACTATTCATACTAAGTATAATAAATAAAGGCTTTATATATCCTCACCTCAATTTAGGTCAGATTGTTTGCCTCTAAAATAGCTCAAGTCTGTGGAGGGTAGAATTCTAAAATGAACCCCAAGTGTACATGTACCCCCGGCTGTACATGTCCTTTATAACAATCCCCTACCCTAGAGTGTGCGTGGGGCCAGTGAATATGATGGACATCATTCATGTTACATTATATGGCAACGGCAAAGGGATTTTTGCAGATGTAATTAAGGTTCCTAATCAGTTGATATTGAGTTAATAAAAAAGGAGATTATCTCAGGTGGACCTGTGCTAATCTTATGAATGCTTTAAATGAGGATCTAGTAGTCAGAGACTATAAGGAAAATAGGCTTTCTCCTATTGACTTTACAGAAGCAAGCCACCATGAGTTTTACAGCTGCCAAAAAGTAAATTTTGCCAACAACCCATAAACTTGGAAGAGGATCCCAAACCTCAAATAAGGTGATAATAGGCTGCCTGGTGAGACCTTGAGCCGAAGATCCTGTCAGGTCATACCCAATTCCTGACCTATGGAAACTGTGAGGTAATAAATGGCCATTGCTTTAAGCTGACAAGCTTGTGGTACTTGGTTATACATCATGGAAATGCATGGTAATTCAATCCAAGGTTAGATCACCTTTTGTTAACAATTAGTTACAAAAACATTTTAGTTCTTAGAGATTTCTGAATTTTGAAATTGTGAATAAGGAATTGTATGCCTGTGATTGTATGACTTCATGAAGTATTTAATTGCTATGAGCTTTAGTTTTCTAATCTTTGAAAGAGAGGCAGTAACAACACCTACCTCACAGGGTGGTGGTGAGAACTTAATAAAATAGTGTATATAAGATACTTGATATAAAACATGAAACCACCATCCCACTGCAAACGTTTTATTATTATTATTATTTTCTACCCTTTGCTCTAAACCAGTGATCTCAACACTATAGCTACATGTTAAAATCACCAGGACAGCTTTAAGAAATAGCAGTGCCTGTGCCCCACTCCATATCAATCATACTGGGATCTCTGGTTGCAAGACCAGTACCAATGCAGTTTTAAAAGCTCCTAAGATGACTCTAATGTTCTCTAAGACCCTAAGATGACTCTAATGTTAGCTTGAGAATGACTATTCCATATATGTCACAGAAAATCTTGGCTTTTTAAAAAATTTGGTAGCATTTAATGGGTTTTCTGAATAACACCATCAAGAAAGGGAATATTCAATTTTTAAACAAGCTTTGCCCTCCACTTTACATAATGAATTCTTTCCATTATATATCCCCATTAGATTAGTCTAGTAGATATGGGTTTACTAGGTAGCTTCTTACAGTGTAACTCCTTTTGGAGAACTGACAAATCACAGGCCTGGCTCCCAAAACAAAAGACATCAAACCTTGTATCCCAAATGCACCAAACGCAAGGCCCTTTCAGAGCACCTCACTTTCCTTGTTCCCTGCATAATGCTCCACTTGATTTCTACTCTAATGAGACTGAAGATAGAATGCACACTGGTCAAACTATAAATAGCAGTAGAACTCTGACCCACAATCTATGAAGCAACCAACCTAGAAAGACAATTTACACAGAATAGTCAGAGCTCGATCACAGACTGCCAACTCCCAATTTTATTATTTCTTATTTTTTTGGTCTCTGCTTCCAACTCAGAACCAACCAGAAAATCTAATATGCTCCTCAAACTAATCACATACCTAGTTCACCTCCTAGGTGAACTAGTTCATGTTCTCATGCCAACAATCCCAATCAGAGCACACGTAGAGCCTTCTTTCTCTGCCTTTCCCACACTTCTGGTTTACTTTTTTTATTTTTATTTTATTTTATTTTATTTTAATATTGACAGGGTCTCACTTTGTTACCCAGGCTGCTTTCAAATTCTGGGCTCAAGTATTCCTCCCTTCTTGCCCTCCCAAAGTGCTGGGATTACAGGCATGAGCCACCATGACCAGCCTCCTGCTTTACTTTGAGTCTCTACCAAATGCATGTGATGATGGCTGCTATGGAAAGCTTTGAATAAACTGCTCTAATTTGTATGGTTTTATTTATAATTGCCACAAAAATGTAGGTGAAGGAGGAACATGTTCTTATAAGCACAGCTCCAATTCCTGTTACACATTTTTATCTATTCATGTAATTTAACTGTGAATGTTTAAACTTTGTGTTGGAGTATAATATCCAGAAAAGTGCACATTAAGTATAAAACTTGGTGAATTTTCACGAACTGAAACACCTGTGTAATTAGCACCAGGTGAAGGAACAGGTTGTGACTAGAGTCCCTCCTTTGTGCTCCCTTCCAGGCACCACAGCCTCCCCAAAACAGGTGACCACTATGCTGACTTCTAACATCACAGAGTAGATTGGCCTGCTTTATATTTAATTGAAATGGAATCAGAGAATAGTATCCACATTTGGTGTCTAGTTTCTTTCATTCAATGTTATGTTTCAGTTTTGTCCTTACTTTTGTATGTTTTCCTTGCAATGTGACACTCCAGTGTAATGAATGCTTCACAATTTATATTGGGTTGTTTCTAGTTTGGAGCTATGAAAAATTGTGATGCAGTGAACATTCTAGTACATGTCTTTTGCCAATCTGCACATTTCTGCTGGAAATGTATCTAAGACTGCATATGTTTCACTTTGATAAATATAAAAATTATTCTTTAATTTAAAAAAACGCGCAAGAATCATGTATTGGTCCTCAACTAAAACTGAAGAAGGAATTTGGTAGCCAAATGGGTGCAACCTGAATCCTGTATTTTCTTTCATGGTAATGCTATTTTAAAATATTGCATTAAAAATGTTTATCCTACAAAAAACCAACATTGCAGATATTATGCCATTTTCATTTCTTCTAGAAATACACAGACTATCTTATGTAAAAGGTAATTTACATCTACTGGAAATATACATATCTCTGAGAATACCAGTATAAGAAAAGCATCCTTGGCTTTCTTTTTGTGTAATATAAAAAGAGAAAGAAGCTTGGATTTTAGGAAGGCTTGAACTAAGCATGACAAACTTCTCCCTTATATAAGCTGCTTGAGGCAGGCGCCAAGTCAGATTCATCTTTATAGTCTCACATCTGTACCTCTGATACATGAAGGGTTTGGCTCAATGTTTGTGGAATAAATGAATCCTCAAAAAGCCATGTCAGCAAATGTTCCTCTTGAAATGTTCTTTTAATGAGCTGGTATGACACTTGATAAAATTCATTAAATCAGACTTCCTCGCCCTTCCTTTTGTTGTTTGTGCTTCAGAGCTCAGCACTGGGAACCTGCCCTCAAGTCCTCCCCTTCCAGGGAAGGCTGGAAAGGGCTTGAACCAAAAGAGAAAAGAAAGCAAATGTTTACATTTACCTGCTCTGGGAACACAGACTGCTCACCTCAGCATTCAAATAAGTGCCCTCCAACCCCAAGGTGGGATGGAGAGAGATCCTGTTGTATTATGAATGTTGCTACTATAAGGCATAAGAAGAAGCAATAGGAAACACAGTTGGGCCACTGAATCTGGCAGCTTCCAGAGGCCTCAGAACATTCACATTTGCAGCTGCATTAACTGTGCTTGTTTAGTAGCTGACATTCACCATTCACATTTTCAAAGAGCTATTTAGATCGAATTTCAAAGGTATGTTTTGAGGGGACCAAACACATAGCACCATGGTAAGCTACCTCAATTTTGTAGATTTTTCATAAATTGCCATTAAAAAAAATCACATTGTATAGTAAGTAGAAATCAGCCTCAGAGGAAAAATGTACTAGATCAGATTTTTTTAAAAACTGCCCTTACATTTATTATGCACTTTCCCTCTTCACCTCACCCATCCCATATGGAAAGAACAAAATCATAAAAACATTAAAGAAATAGTATCACCCCAAATTCCACCACTGTAGCCCGATAAATGTTTACATTTTTTCCTAATTCTTGTAAAGTCTTTGTTCAAATGCACAATTAGAAAAATAATGGTAATCATGATATTACAATTGATCTGAAGTCATGTTATGTCATAGACATTTTACATTTTACTCTTCCCCAAGGAACACTGACCATATTATAACCAAGTCTTCATAATATTAGTTTTTAAATTATGTAATACCCTACCCACAATAAACTGTCATTCTATTTTATTACTCTGTGACATTTTGACCACAGAAAGATTTTTACTATTCCATCTTTGTGGCTTTTTAGTATTTTTCCTACTTTTAAAATTATTTTCTGAGAATAAATACTCAGCAATAGGAATACGAGCCAAAGAGTATGTGTATATTTATTGTTTTTAAAACAAATTTACTTTCCAAAATAATTTTTGCCAGTTTTACAAATTTAAATAGTCAGAATACTAAAATGTGAAGAAATAGCACCCCAAATTAGGAAACCATTCTAATTTGGCTTATACCCATCACATTGCTAACCACCATCTATAAAGATTTGTCTGGATAATGCTTTCGTTAAATGATGCATATTTTAAAGTAACAAATGTTCGCCTTTTTGTACTGCTGGCAAGTCAGAAAAATCATCCATTTTCAACAGTAGATTGAGGTAAGATTTCCATAGAGAAAAAGAGTAAAAAGCTAAACTTAGTTGAAAATAGATCATATGCCATAGTTTGTACTATGGGCTTTCTCAGTATCATCTAATTTAATGCTGCGAAGTAAATAATAATTGCCCCTGTTTTTACAAATTGAGATTCTAATATTAAGACTTGGTTGGCCGGGTGCAGTGGCTCACGCCTGTAATCCAAGCACTTTGGGAGGCCGAGGTGGGCAGATCACGAGGTCAGGAGATGGAGACCATCCTGGCTAACACTGTGAAACCCCGTCTCTACTAAAAATACAAAAATTAGCCGGGCATGGTGGCAGATGCCTACAGTCCCATCTACTCGGGAGGCTGAGGCAGGAGAATTGCTTGAATCCGGGAGGCAGAGGTTGCAGTGAGCTGAGACCGCGCCATTGCACTCCAGCCTGGGCAACAGAGCGAGATGTCTCCAAAAAAAAAAAAAAAAAAAAAAAAAAAAAAAGACTTGCTTGAGGTCACATAGATTTAAGGTAAAACACAGATCAGGTTGTTTCTACTAAAACATTCTAAATACATAAAAAATTAATAAACGAATTACACAGATACTCCAGGATTGCCTTCAAGCAGACGTGTCCAAACGTTGAAAATCAGCTAGCAAATTTCTTATAACGGGGAAGTAATTAACTGATTATTTGGGAGATACTGTACTTTTTCTGACTTTGGGTTAATTATAAAGAAGAATCACTTCATAAAACTTATTTCAGGTGAAAGAATTAATTATAAAGTGTTATATAGTGATGGCTACATAAAACTATATTTCAAACATTATTTTATTCTTGACATATTACTATTTTCACAACATGAACATTTCTACAATGTTCCACCAGTGTTCACAAATATTATTTTCCTCTTTTTTGTCAGTTTATTGCTGAAAAACAGTATACATACAGAAAAGTGTATAAATTTTAACAAGGTAAACATATTCATATGATGCATTCACATCAAAAAACAGAAATTACCATTATCCCAGAAATCATGCTTTTAACACCAGAGATTAGTTTTGCCTTCACAGATTTTTTTTTCATCTAGCAAAGCTCTGATAAATTCTGTGACCTTTATTGAAGTATTCATTTAATTTCTGCTACCTCTTCCATTTCTTCCCTGAAGACAGAAGTTTATCCCATGAGATCAAGTGAAGTACACCAGATGAAAATAGTAATATCAAATTGGCACTAGTAGGGACAACCTTTGAATACCTATCAGTTGGCGCATACTATACAGGACCTTTTTTTTTCCCCACTCTTACAACCACATCAAAACTAAAAAGATTATGTTTCCCTAAAACAACTCGCAGAGAGTAGTTATATTTGCATAACAGGATTTATTCCTGCTTAGTTCACTACCATCTGTTTTCATATTTTAAGTCAAAAGATTTATATATTAAACAATCTTATATAGCTTTTCACATGCTATTTTAGAAGGCAATTGGCCCAAATCCTGATTATTTTTTCTAAGTATATAAAGTTGTTTCCATAGGTAGGATACAAACCCTCAAACTCAACATCTTTTTGATATAAATAATTTAAAGCCTTATCACAACTGTGAAAAGAGCCACTACTTATCCCATTTGTGATAAATTATTAATTGAAGTATGCATTCAAATGTACACTTCCTGATAGCAACTTCTTTAATCCTTATGTAGAACATAAAACACTAAACAAAGGAGAAAAATCTTCAATAATTTACTTTTCTCTGAAATTTACATTTCTCTGAAATGGTTCAAGATGCTTCCCCTAATGGAGGATAAAATGAATTATGTGTGGAACTAGATAATTATTGTAATGAAAATGTTAGGATTTAACTATCAAAAGCACATACATAATATATGCTGTGTCACATCTTCCTATATTAATAGGTTTTAAATATTAGATTATTTATAATTAAGATTCAACAACCTAAAAAATATATTTTTTACTACCTTACCCATACATCTAAACTAAAATGTCACAGAGGGTAGGGTAAGGAAAGTAATTATGCAGATGTTATTCAAATCAGCCTGAACAGTTACCTATTTACATAAAAAATTGGATGTTTGACTTTATGTTGATTAAATAAGCAACTGATGTCTTTATTGCCTCTGTAACAATTTTATGATTTTTAAGCCACAGCCTTAGAATTTTCAAGAATATCACTTTAGAAAAAAAATAGCTATTCTTCCATCTTGACAACTTTATATCATTTAACCACAAGGGGGCCGTAGCTATCTTCTTTGAATTGTTTAAGCATGCCAGGAAGCAGATAACATTGAAAATAAAATCAATCCATTCTCAAAAATTAAGTAAACATAAGAAAACAATTAGGAACATACAAACCTGATTTTTGAAAGTAAAATGAATATGAAACACATGGGTTTTCCCCATACATGTTACACATTTGAAGCAAGATACTTTTCCCTACTTCTGTCTCCAAAACAGGCGTATCTCTGTACCTTCTGAACTCACAACAGACTTCTACCTTAAACAGAATTAGTATTAAGTATGATCGTTTGTGAGAATTATTAATAAAGCCACTATTGTTCAAGTGCTGCGATTTATCACTTGGGAAATAATAAATGCACCTCCAGTCTGTGCTAACCTGATGACCTGAGGTGAAATTTGAGAATGAGTAAAATTACCAAAATATGCTCCCCTGGCTAAGTGAGCACACTAAAAAAGGAAAATAACATCTAACAATGATATGCTTAAATTATGTTCTTTTTTTTTAAAATTAAAATTACAAAACAGTTGGAATGGTAAACTATACAAAGCAATAAACGTTTTGTTCAAATATTCTCTCTGGTACATTCGGCAAAATAAACTCCTCTCTGCAGATAAAAATATAACATTTGTCTTCTGAAAGAAATATTCCACACAAGTGCTAGTATAAAGTAGAACTAAACCAGCTGTTCCACCTGTGGCCCTGTGTTAATACTTTAGTGCCTTCAAAGATGTTATCCAGAATCCTCACCAAAGGCAAATGAACTTTCCCTGATGGGAGGGGCAGGCTGCTTCTAAAGCACTGGCCACATTATGAATTCACACTATATCCAATGATCCTTTTAAATTTCCAGTCGCTCATGCCATCCTCACATTATCACTTTAAATTTTGTTATACCAAGGAAGCAAAATGTTGATAACAGTAATAATAAATGCTGGAATAACAGAAGTATTCATCCTTTTAACAATATTGATGCAAGTTCTTAGACTCTTCTAATTTTAAAATTTCATGCCATATCTTTCATATTCATTCTCATGTTTTTATAATATCTGGATTTCCTTCATTTTTTAAAGATTTTTCCTCAAATGCCAAGCACCATTGTCTAACTACTCTGGTGGTTGGAGGATATTTCGGCTTTGAGATAACATTATGACAAGCCAACTGGACAATACAGAAGAGGACAAGAATGGCCTGGATGTAGTCCTAAAATGTTACAGTGTATGAACCCCAGTAATGTCTCTGTACTAAGGAAATGGATATTTCCATGACTCATTCCCCTCATTCATCTAATGGAAATGTACTCATCACCTGCTCTATATGCGGATGACTATGTGCCCATGAACTGTGGAAGAGGTATACATAAATTAAGCCTATTAACCCTCCCCATATTCTTATGTGAAAAGCCAAGGAGTGAACAGAAATGAGTAGGCTAACATTTGGCAAAATTCTCAGTTACACAGCACTTCCTTGTCGAGGGAAACCAATATTTGAAAAGAAAAAGCAACCACGGAGAAGAGAAAAATCCTCTCTAGAAACTCGTAACAAGTTACCAATAAATAGCGAATTATAGAATGTGAAACCCAACTTCCTAGGCCAAATGTTATTTTCTGCACAAATTTTAAAAGCCTTTGGATCCATTCTGTTTTAGGGTGGCATAGGCTCAGTCCATTCCAATGGAAACCAGAGGGTGATTCCAGGGCCCAACCTATATTAAAAACAGTGGTAGTCAATAGTATAATATGGCATCTGTATTCCAAACTGATAGGTACTCTAGACATGCATAACTAATGCACAACAACATCTCTCCTACACGTTTTTCAAAAGACCTTCAACAAGTTGCACTTGACATTCACAAAAGAGCACATTCCCTGTGATAGTGCTATTTCTCTCTTTAGTTTTAAATTAAATGTGACATTCATAATTTAATCTCTTCACTAGTCAAATGTATATCAGAAAAATTGACTTAGAGTAAGCATTTTCTTCACTGATTAATATTAGAATGGAGAATTCAACCAAAGCTATTAAAAGCTTTTGTCCCTTTCTTATTAGTAGTGTTTCTTACATTGAGCTTTTTATAAAAGCCTATAACTTGATATAACAAAAGTAGAAGAAAAAACAGTATTTTTAAGCTCTATTTCACCATGTTCTTAATATTTCCTCACTTACGGCAGATTTTCATGCCATAAAACTAATTTACCACCTACTGTAGGTGATATTAACTCTAAATTTTAAAATTGTATGAAGACTGAAATAAAATAATAAATAATCCAATTACTAGGAACTTACTAAAGAGACTCTCCTTCCTCAACCATGGTTAAATCCATTTACATTTCTAACTCAGTATTTTAATCCAATTATAAATAAAAATATCCTTTAATGGATCCACTTAAATCATAAACCAGCACTTGTAAAATTAAAAATTACCACAGTAATTCTATAACCTGGTACTTATTTAAAGTGTCTTTTTTAAATAGCTGGGTATTTACCCAACCCTTATATAAATTATGTAAAAAGTAAAGACCAGAAAAAAATATGTTCTAAATTCTAAAAAAAATTTTACAAGTCTCCCACTCTTAATACATTTCAAAATACTAAACTAATGATAATCATTTTCCCCCTGACATTTTCAATTTGAATAAAGACAGGAAATAAAAAGACAGTCTAATAACTAAAACTTCTAAAGCTAGATCAGCAAATTTTTACTGAACATAAGGCATCAGAGTGATGTGTTATTGGCAAAACATACAGACACACACACAGATATATACTTATATCATGTTTTCTAGATTGTTTTTTTTCCTACCTCCAATCTTCTGTGATTTTGTTCTATTGGGCTATACATCAGGTATGACTAGGTTGTCTCAAACCTTATTCGTTTAAGTACTTCTTATTTTATAATCAAATTATGGGCAATTTATAATCTCACATTAACATTTTGATCTAATTGGATTATTTTCTGAAAGCAAAGTACAGATTGCAAGCTAAAACACACATTAAGTATAAGCATTTGCAAAGATAGGACAGAGAGTCTTGAAAGAGCTTAATTTCAATATGCTATAACCTATAAGTAACTTACAAAGTGTATTCAAATATATATTCAGTACTTCACTATGTGTTGGTCACTATGTTAGTTGCTTTGTTATATATTAAAAAGAATCAGATACAAAGGCATCAAACCATAAAACACATTAGCACAAGTTATATGTGTGCAATTAGTAGCTTACCTAAAATCTAAAGATGTCAATTAAAAACTAAATATAAAGAATAAAGTACAGTTAAATGACATAAACATTACTACTCATTACTGTTACTCATGGTTGCTTATAGTTACACAATATTTTTTTCCACACACTATCTCATATATATTACAATCCAATTTCATCCCCTCAACATCTTACATGTTAAATAAAATAGATACTATCTTCTATTGTGAATGAGGAAATGAAAAGATAGAGGTCCTGAAACTTTGTCACACAGAAAATCACACAATAAATTCATATAAGAGGGGAATAAGATTTAAGTTGTCTGTCTTCTAGTAGTGTCCCACCACTACCTCACATGTAACATACCCACACTTTCTCATGCTATCACTAGCGAGGGGATTTATGCTAACCTTTTGAATGTGTTCTTATTTTTGACGCCTCAATTTGTGAACCAATCATCTACAACATAGGGGAGAGGCAAAATTATATCACACAAGTAGACATTCGCAAACACATAATGAAGTTACTAATAAGTCACATTAAAAATGGTCCTATTAAAAAGTGAACAAAGGACATGAACAGACACTTTCCAAAAGAAGACATATATACGGCCAACAATCATATGAAAAAAAGTCCAAAATCACTAATCATTAGGGAAATGCAAACCAAAACTACAATGAGATACCATCAGAATGGCTATTATTACAAGTCAAACAATAACAGATGCTGGCAACGTTGCAGAAAAAAAAGAAACGCTTATGCACTGTTGGTGGAAGTGTAAATTGGTTCAGCCACATTCAGTAGTAACTGATCTATTTGCAAGAAGAATCTATGAGGTTTTTTGAGAAGAGGAATCTTGGATCTTGACTTAGACACTTTTGTATCGTCAGTGTTATCTGTATGTCTGTTACACAGAAGTCACTCTTAAATGTTTATTGAAATGAAAACTGTCATCACATAATGCCACACCTAGAGTTGGCTCTGATGGATCTGTCCTTGCAAATAGACTAGATATTGCTTGGGAATAAACGGGGCAATTGGATTCCTTCATTTTATTATTCTCAAAACTAATCACAATATCTGACCCAAGATAGATATGCAACAATCTTTATTGAATGAAAATAAAATCATTGAGTAGATGAATGGTATATTGGGATATGGGCATTTTGAGGTAAGTAATATATTCAACTGATGAAAAGAAAATAGCAACCAATAGAAACTAGTAATGACTGTGCTTATCTTTACAATGAATTTTAGTTACATTCATTTCTCCCTTTTTCTCTAATATCTTTAAGAAAAACAGAATATTATTTTAGAAATACTACTATGCCAAGAAAATAAGAATATGAATCAGTACGCTCATTGGTAAATGGCTAGATCTTATTGCCCCCAAATGGCAAAAACTTATTCAAATAAAGCTATATATGGAACCAATACGATAAATTTGGTGGTGTACTGTTCTAAAAAAAAAAAAATCAAGCCTCTATGAAGGCACCATAAGGAAATCAGAATTTTAGCTCCACACAATCATGATTTGACAATACTTTTTAAATACTCAGCAGACCCCACGTCCCTGAAAAAATCCCACCGCTATAGTAATGCTTCCACATTTCCTTAAAGTTTCTCATTAGTAGTGATAACAATAGTAGGTAAAAATAATTGTGCTATTTAAATGTATTTATTGCAGTAAATTTATTGTTCTCTTTAAGAAGCACTTTGCGCTTCAAAGCTTTTCACTAGAAAGAGACAAGGAATAATATTATCAATATCCATCATAAAAATATCAAAGCCCCTATCATTAAAGGTAGTGGAAGAGTTGTCCACAGAAATAATACTGAAGCCTAAATTGTCATGTAGCCTAAATGTCTCTTTTTTTCATTAGATTAGGAGTCAACTGCATTTTCCTGACTAGTGAATTACTTTGTAAAAGGCTGGAAGGCCCCATTGGAGGTCATTACCCTATCTGCAGGGTCTACTGGAATTTGACTCTGTGCTTCTGATGTGTATACATACACATTACCACCCCAACAATGGGACTCGTTTTCAGGTTTTCTACACATTTATGAGATCTCAGCTTATAAGAGTGCTCTTTCCATGGTCTATGGTAAAAAGATTAGGACATTAAGTATAAAGAAGCAATAAATAATGTAGATGCTATTTGCTTAGCTAAGAATTGACATATTAGAAATGAATATAGCACTAAGATTATTGTGCAAAAGAACAGTTATGAACTACAATTTTAGACTCACTTTAGGGCATCTATGGAATAAGAAAAGGATCCTTGACTTTGGAGTCATACACACCCACGTTTAAACCCCATCCCTGGCACTCAGGCATACCAGTTGCATCACTGGGACCAATTAATGTCTATGAGCCTTGGTTTCCTCCTCAGTAAAAATAACACTACTGAACTCATAAGTTTATTTTGGTTATTAAGTAAAATAATATCTCTCAAACAAAGGAAAAGGATCTCAATCTATGTTATATCCCTTCATCTTCTCCATTCTGCCATCATAGATAAGCTCCAGCAGGAATTGAATTTCAACCCTGATCTAATAATCTCATTTTATATTTTGGATCTAAATCTATTATGTGAGTTTAAAAAACTATTAGCCTCCTTTCATAAGGACATGAATCATACATTGAGTTTTAAAATCTCAAAGTTTAGAGGCAAATACAAGTGTATTACTGACTTGGCAGTATAAATACATCAAAGAATTCTCACAAACCGTATCTTTTATATTGCTTTATGTACCAATAATTCATCAACTAATTTATTTTACTAAATTCTTAAAACACACCACTTATGTTTTACTTAAAAGGTAACTTTAGGCCAGGCACGGTGGCTCATGCCTGTAATCCCAATCTCAGCACTTTGGGAGGACGAGGCGGGCGGATCACAAGGTCAAGAGATCGAGACCATCCTGGCCAACATGGTGAAACCCTGTCTCTACTAAAAATACAAAAATTAGCTGGGTGTGGTAGTGCACGCCTGTAGCTCCAGCTACTCGTGAGGCTGAGGCAGGAGAATCACTTGAACCCGAGAGGTGGAGGTTGCAGTGAGCCGAGATCGTGCCACTGCACTCCAGCCTGGGCGACAGAGCAAGACTCCATCTCAAAAAAAAAAAAGCAACTTTAAGGTCTTACTTTAAAGGTGTCATAAAGTATAGTTATGGAAATATTTTACGATTTTAACTGAATGGAGAGTATACAAACCTAGGGATCTCACTCAGTCCTTAAATCATCTTTGAAGTGGCATCGAATTCTCAGTGTTAAAATTCTACCAGTTGTATGTAGGACTGATATAACTCATGTGTATTAAAAATAATTTTTAAGATTTCCTCAGTAGTTATGACCCTGATTACGAATCAGACACCTTTGTAAGATTTACTAATAGTTTACATTAACAGATTATCACTTATTAAAAATAAAGCCATGTCTTCCTATTTCAGTATTTGACCTGAATACTTTTTACTTTTCTATATTTTATTCTCTACACCACAAGGTAACTGCAGAGAGAATAGTGCTAATCTGGACTATATTTTGCATTAATTCAGGGACTTTTGAAGCCACACTGAATTGCTTTTTCAGACCTGCTTAAGGTCAGACAGCTGAGGAAAAGCCAATACCCCACAATGAAATCTCAAACATCCTGGGAATACTCACTTCAAATCTGTGGGATCAATTTGGGGATTCATGACAAAAGGAGTCCCAAGAGATCTACTTATACCATCACCATCTCACATTTCAGATCCTAATCTCCTAATTATTCTAGAGTGCTTGATGGAGAAAGAAGCAGAGGGGGGAGGAAGAGAAAGACAGTATGTATATGTTTAAGGATGCATGGAAGGGAGGGAGGGGGGAATTAGGTCAGAAGGGTTAATTCTGGGCCCAGTCACATATATGTAATTAATTTCTATGTTTAGTGCAAATACGACTGTATCAACAGTATTAATTTAATATAATGGCAAGGTAAGAGCAGGAATATATGCTACTATTTTTAATTCCTAGGCGGTAAATTTGTGTCATTTTTCACAGTATGGTCCTATTGAAAACCTTAACACAGAGAACATATTACTTTCTGGACTATAAGAGCCGACTGATGATGACACCTCTTGAAGTCTATTTAGCCATTTAAATATTAAGCTTTTAAAATCATTCTCCAATAAACTTCCTAAATTGTTTCACTCGCATAAGAAGGATAAAATATATCCTCAAAAGAATGCTATGAGGCTTGCTAAGAGGGGGAAAAAAGTGAAAATGCCTAATGGCATACATGACTTAGGTTAGGGATTAGTTGACATTATGTAAATCTGAATATCATTAAAGTAACAGTAAATGAATTTTATCGCCAAGAGTAAGAACCGTATAAGGGAGCGTATAAGAACAGTATAAGGGAGTGTACAATACATCATACTAAAATAATTTTTAATACAATATATTTTAATCAATTCTCTAGCCTATCTGAGACATATTCAGAAGAAAGTAATCTAAGATGTAAAACTGAAAAAGAAATTAACACAAAGCTAACTATATGGAGCAGCCACAGCAGTTCTCACAATGTGAGAATAAACCTGTTAAAGTCTCATATTCAACTTCACTACAGCTATTTTACCTTTCAGTCAAACAAAGAATTTCATTTGAGAATCTTAAGTAATCTATACTCATTTCTACCAGTAAGATTTTCTGGCTGCACATTTTCAAATACAGTCAACTTTTTCTTGCTCATATGCTAACCGGCATTCAGTCTTTTATAGCAGTAATCACTGAAAGAACACACTTCTGTCAAATGCAAGAGATCTTATTCAGAAAATCGAATAACACAGAAGAAATATTCATTATATGATATAGAAAATTTTCCTTCTCCAAATAGAGTCACTGCATTGATTTTTTTCTTGATTTGTTTGTTGTCTATTACACACGTCTACACATTCCAAATCAATTTTATGAGTCAGACTCAATACTGAATTTATTGCAGAAAAATTAAATACTTTGTAAGAGCAAGAAAAAATGTATTTTGTTTACATTTTATTAAAATAAAGGGTATGCCTTAGAATCATATTTAGTGTAATGGTTAGGAAATAATCATTGTACCATGAAAGTTTATCTTGTTTTAAAACCATAAATCAGGCTGTCCAGAAACTTTTTAAAGTATTCAAAAACTGTACTTTCAACTCTGGACAGTTTATGTTATCAAAACATTTTAGCATATGTTAAACAGATATTTGCATTCCAAATATCTGTTTAAATTCTGTATAAAAAACATTTTAAACTGAACTGTTCTGATATTTTGTTTTATAATGAAACCAAGCCTTTAAAGATGGTGTATAAAGCTAAACTCTTCTTTAACTTTTACCTCTGTTTTGTTTCAAGTTCTCTCCATCCTGCTACTGCATGCTCCACTATCCCACCCTTCAGAGGCACCATTAAGAAACAATTTTTATTTTCATACAAATTTCTAAACAAGAAAAGAATCCTGGCTGATTTTAGCTACAGATCCTTTAAAATTCAATTCTGCAGTAGGGTTTATGCCTTATAAATATTTTTTAAAGATGGTTGACATATGATTGACTCTTATATTTTTCTACAATAGAGACACAAAATTCTCAATTATACCCGAGTAACTATCCAAATATTTACTTGCTATTGTGAGTAGTTAATATTAATCAATTTGTTATAAAAGTAACCAACAATGACTAAATACTTGTTATTTGACAAGCAAACGTGTTTTTGTTTTGGTTTTTACACATATTATCTCTTTTATTCCCCACAACAAACCCATGAACAAGGTGTTGTCACGATCCCCCTTCAGAGGTGAACAGGCTGAAGTACAGGGAAGCCATGTGGCTTACCTATACTCCCACCATGCTACATGGGTGCAGACAAAAGAAAACACATGTAGTTTTCTTACTACATGTAGCGAATCCCAAATTCTTCTTCTTTATTCTATATAACCTAAAATAGTGAAATTACAGAACTATTTACATTTAGCTCTAATTTTGAATTTTTAAAAATGGTTAGTGGTTCTTTTACTTAAAGGTCAAAATTTCCATTTTCCAAGGTGACCAGAAATCTCATACTGCCTTCATAAAGAAAACAGGGACCAAAGACTTAAAGATTTTCTGGGCTGAGCTCACTCTTTCTTTAACAGATTAATTTAGATGTAGAAACTCTTTCAAACTTCACCTTGATTTGTATCTTTAAGTGAGAGGGGAGTTTTCATTCATTAGTTAATGTGCACATTAATGAGATAATTTGTGGGTTTTATTATTTCTTCAAAGACATTAAACTTCTCAAGGGAAAACATTTCATGGAAACAACATGCATTCTTGTTATTAAAATTTTCATTTTAATCTCGATAAATAATACTTCATATGTAGCTTCATTTATTAGGATTTTAATCAGCTTTTAAGTTCAAATCCTTTATGACACTAAAGGATGAGTTATCTAAACCTACCCAGAAATCATTTTATTTATCAAGGGCGTTTCTATAATCCCATAAGACAAAACGAAGGAAGTGAGCATGAAGAAGCAAGAAATCTAAAATATTAATCATATTGCATTTTAAAATGTTCTTTGCAGCCTCTTTTTTAGGTGTAAATTGGATGTTTAGGCTTAGTTTTGGTTTTCTACAGTAGACCAAACAGTGCTAACCTGTGTTAAACTGAATCAACTAATAACTTCTAAGAGGTATGCTGGAAAACAAGTGGAAGTGAAATAATATCATGACCTGACGTCTTAACATCAGTTAAAATAAAAGGAAAATAAAATTAAGCAAGGGGAAAAAAAGCAAGCAAAAAAACAAAAAAAGCACAGAATGGTTATGATTACAAAAATAATCACCACACAAAAACAGGTCACATGAAGGAAAATTATTCTCAATAAGAATAAGCCTCATTACTTAGGAATCCTTGATACAGTGTCCTCTAAAATTTTCTCCATGGACAGTAGTGCTTAATTTTTTTTAAGTATCATCACATCCTTCATGTGATGTCACTAAGGCCATTTAAAAATCTGTTTCCACAATCTTTCCCTAACAGTCCCAACTTTCCAACTTTAACATACTTATATAAACACAACTACTAGTATTATTTTAAAATGCATAATTTTAACCATATTCCACTGCTGCAGACAATTGCAATGTGCTTTCCATCAAAATCACATGAATTATACATAGGAAAAAATCTTTGATCATTACTGCCTCTCACACTTGGGAAAAGTGGAATAAAATAGATGTAGCAACAGCTCAGAGCCGATTTTCTAACAAAGCATAAAGCTTCCTCCACCATATATGGAGCAGCACTGACACCAAACAAGAAATACAATGTCTTGCTTGCACAGCAATTCTGTGGCAAACACTATGCCAGCCATGGAATATTAAGGTTTCATAATGTCAGTGTCTACTGTCTTCCTCACATCACTGTCATCACAGGTGAGGCAAAAGTCTCTGAATCCCCTTGGGCTTACAGCTTACTCTGCCCTGCACTGATGCATAATTTGCTTTGGTCTTGAATACATCCCTGGATAATTCTTTATTCTTGCAGAAGTCTCCCCTACACAATTGAAATTCGCCTTTAATGGTTTCCAAGAGGACAGAACTCCTCGGTTTGGTGTTTCCAAAGATGCAAAAAAACTCTAAAAATGGAGTAACTAAACACAGCATATGATAAAATTGGTGAGATTATCTGTTTTATGAATACAAAAATACAACCCCAAATTTTCCTAGAAGACTTTCGTAAATATTCAGTAATCTAAAATGTTGTAAATTGATTGTCCAGACACACACAAAATGTCTCTCTCTCTCTCTCTCTCTCACACACACACACACACACACACACAGAATTTAGAAAACTGGTTAGTTTTGTAAAATTCACTTTAAAGGGAAGATTGCCAATTCTCCATTTTGATCTAGGAGAAACTGGTAACATTAAAGATACATGTATGTTATGGTTTCTTATAAAAGTCATGGTATCTTCACCTTCTGGCGTAACATAAACTATTGATTTATATTTAAACATTCTTTCAATGATAGTTTGTAGTTTATTATAAGCATTTAACTTAAATTTTTTCTATATGACTTCATAGTTATCAGTGACCTCACCTCATTAAAGGTCTGACATTCTATTGTCTATGTATAGAGATCATTTGTATTCTGTCATAATAATCCCTTCATAGACCTAAACCTCTGTGTCCAAGTATCCTAATAAATTGCTAGGTTTTTTAAAAGACACCAAAGAATATTCATTTATTTTATAAATGCCTCATGTTTATTGTAGAAAAAAAACTAGAAAATACTGATAAGCAAAATAAGCAAATACTCTATAGCCCGCTCAGTTAATATCTTAAGTACTGTCTTTGCATATATAGATATGTATATATCTATATATATATCTTTATATATTTATGCATATGTAGAGATACTAATATATACATTTAATTTATACATATCACATTAAAAATATACTTGTGCACCTGTTCTTGCTCATATGATAGCAGAAAGTGAATGTAGTTCATCTCAATAAATATCTGGCACCATAAACAGATCATATTTCATTAACCAATCTACTATTATTTGAGAACTGAACATCTAAGAAACATCATAGAACATTTTTGGAAGTGCATGAGAAGCATTTAATTTTAATAAATACTTTATGAGCATAAATGGGACAAAGCCTCTTCTTTAAGCCCTGTCTGATCTGTGAGTGTATGAGTGTAGGTGTATGTGTTTGTTTGCAGAGTAGGGAGAATGTTGAAGGGTAGGGGGCTAAGAGAAGAAACTTTCTTCTTTGATCAGCTCACAAATGGTTGAGATACCTATAGAAGTTCACCCAATAGCTAGTTGTTCTGTAAAAGTGTTTTACACTTAAAAGCAGGAATATTCAGATCATTCTGAACTTTATGAAAATAAAAAACTATATTTGGCTGATGATATAGACATAGGCATGGGTGTGAGTGAGATGGAATTTAGGGGTCCTTTTGGTTAAATTCTGTCAGTATTGTATATCAACATATTATTCATTCTTACCTCTCTCCCCACCATCACCCCACAAATACACACTTAAAGAAGACACCCCATATCTAGGGTCTTCTTCCACTTCTCCAGGTCCATTGCTTATCCACCAGTCTCCAGCTTTGAGAAGAAGGGAGGTCAAAATGTGCTGGACAGAGTCCAAGTAGAAGTCTTCAGACTGTCAGCCATATTAGCTAGCTTTCTACTTTTCTAGGTCTTTTGGGGATTTTAAAATAGAAATTTTGATTATGAAGTGGGGAAATACAATTACAGTAAGTAATGTATTTGACAGTAAAAGCTTTACCAATATTCTTTCTATTGTATTTAACACAGATGTATGGCTCTGGAAATGAAAATAGAAAGACCCAGGCTAGGCACAGTGGCTCACACCTGTAATCCCAGCACTTTGGGAGGCTGAGGCGGGCAGATCACTTGAGGCCAGAAGCTTAAAACCAGCCTGGGCAACATGGCAAAACCCTGTCTCTACAAGAAATACAAAAATTAGCCAGGGGTGGTGATGTGCATCTGTAGCCCCAGCTACTTGAGAGGCTGAGGCAGGATGATGGCTTAAACCCAGCAGGTGGGGGCTGCAGTGAGCTGACATCATACCCCTGGACTCCAGCAAAAGAGCCAGACCCTGTCTCAAAAAAGAAAAAAAAAAAGGAAAGAAAATCAAAAGGCCCAATCCTTCTCACAAGACCCACTGAGGTCTGTCCAAAGTAAATCCAAGCATGCATTGCTGAATCAGCTAGTGCTTTATCATGAAAACACAGGCTTGTTTTGATTTGATGACATCAGGTTGACAAAGTCATTTTTTAAATATTTTAACTACAAGGAAAGAGCCTCCATAATAATTTTTATCCAGTTTTTAAATTTTCCTTAAAACAAATTAAACTGGTAATGTTTTAACATTATCAATTCACTATTCAGTAAACCCAAAATTTGGAAAGAAAAAAATACTGTACCACAAACAAATGTGAATTCTATGAAATACTGAAATCTGGGCAGGGGACGGGCGAAGTCCCTTAGCCTTCCTAACAAAAACTTTAATATCTGATTAGAACAAGCCAAGTTATCCCTATTTTAGGGAAATGAAACCAGGAAATAACACAAATGCCAGGACTAAGCAATAGGCATTAAACAGCCAGTTATACTGCCACCTATCTACCACCTTTAAAACACTGGGCATGCCAAGCACAGAACATCTGCAGATATTACAGAGGCTCCAGTGGTAACTCTACTGGAGATTTTAAGTTGCCATAGGTCACAACTATGTGTATAAATAATAACAATAATAACCATAATAAAATGATAATAATAAAGTACTTCATGCATAAGGTTAATGATGCCCATTCAGCAATCAGGCATTCACTTTGACTGTTTTTTCTAAATTGTTGGAAGATTTCCATAGATCCATTCATGTCTCTGTGACGGTTCTTTTCCCTAGGCCCTCTTTTTGGAAGACTGATCATTGGAGATGAAGGCCCTTCTGCTGACCTGAGAAGAGAGGACAGCTCTTTAACCCACACAGAAACTACACCCAGGGGTGACCCCATTTGAACTGTGCTGTTGATTTTCCCAAGCACATTGTTTCATAGTCATTTAAAAGAGGATTTTAATAATCATGAAAATATGAAAGAGAATATTAAAATCCAAGAGTTTTCTTATTCATAGGCTAATACTTTGAAGAACAAAGTGATTTATTTTCAGACAACTGAAAGTAACCTTGCAAACCCAAGTAATATTTTTCTTGCACCTATTGCCAATTGAAGAATAATTTTTCCATACTTTGAGCACAACACAGAATGCAGCTGCATCTCAAATTATAAAACAGAGCATTGATGCAGTAGATCAAAATCCTGCTATAGTACCATTGGGGAAGAATAGATGGTTCTTTGGACACAGTGATCAACAAACACCTATCCTAAACATGCTCTAATGAGAGAAAGGCCAAAAAAAAAAAAATGCCCTCTTGCAGCTGGGCGCGGTGGCTCACGCCTCTAATCCCAGCACTTTGGGAGGCCGAGGCGGGCGGATCATGAGGTCAGAAGATCGAGACCATCCTGGCTAATACGGTGAAACCCTGTCTCTACTAAAAATACAAAAAATTAGCTGGGCGTGGTGGCAGGCATCTGTAGTCCCAGCTACTCAGGAGGCTGAGGCAGGAGAATGGCGTAACCTGGAAAGCGGAGTTTGCAGTGAGCTGAGATCGCGCCACTGCACTCCAGCCTGGGTGACAGAGTGAGACTCCATCTCAAAAAAAAAAAAAAATGCCCTCTTAAAATTCAACATAGATGTTTTCCCAAGGTGTCATGGGAGCACAAAGGAGGAGCACCATACTCAGTAGATGTAACCGGGGTAAAAGACACTAGGAAATACTTCAAAGAGACAGTTACTCTAGAGTTGAGTCTTAAGGAATAAATGTTGGCTAGGCATTCAAGGAATATAATTAGTCAAAGGATTCTGGGTACATGGACTTGTAGAAAAAAAGACTTAGGATAAAATAAAAAGCACACAATAATCCGGGAATGGAATTCTTTGCAGGATCATTTGGCTTGGTTAAAAAGCAAATGTAGGGAACAAACAAAATGAGGCTGAAAAGGTGTTCCAGAACCAGATTATGAAAGATCATTTTGACTGGCTAAAGAAAGACATTTCCTTGGTTCTTAACTTCTTCATATGTTAGCATTATCTTTAACACATCATGTTCAGCATTGCTAACCTCATAGTTACAAAATGGTTGGAAATAAACCTGAAATCATCCTTTTCATCCGTCCAGTGGGAGAATAAGGGTCATATTCTCACAACCATCAAACAATAATACTGAACCCACCTATTAAAATACCCTTGATGTGATCTCTATAATCATGCACGCATGTTGTGCTGATTGGCTTAGACAGATTTTATCTCAGTCCTGAACCAATCAGAACCTATCCCTGAAGCTGGGCCTAGGATCAATCCTACATAATCCTATCTACATTTTATGACAGTTACAGTATGAGAGTTTTGAGAAGGGGGGAAATAGGAAAATGATTGGTGAGTAGGTGTCTTAGTCCATTTTCTGCTGCTATATTAGAAAACCATGGACTGGGTAATTTATAAAGAACAGAAGTTTATTTGGCACACAGTTTTGGAGACTGTCAAGTCCCAGAGCATGGTGCTAGCACCAGCGAGGGTCTTCCCATGGTGAAGGCAGAAGCAAGCAAGTAAACAGAGAGAGGCACCAGTGGCAGGATTTGTAATAACCCACTCCCATGATAACTAACCCATTCCTGAGACATTGACATTAATCCATTCATGAGGTCTCCACCCTCATTGCCCAATCACCTCTTATTAGGCTCCACCTCCCAACAGTGCTACATTGGGAATTAAGTTTCAAACATAAGAACTTTTGGGGAATACATTCAAACCACAGTAGTAAGTAATGGGCAAAACTGTCTCTACTGCTCTTCTGCAATTCTCCTGCATTTTAAGGAAGCTTTATAATACTACGTGGAGAGAGAAAAGCATAATCCTATAAAAATAAATTCTCATTGTAGGAAAGCATTTTTGTTTCTTAAATAACATATAAAATCTTATATAATTTCCTGTGGATATATCCTGAAATATCCTTTTAACTTCATCACATAAGTAGGTACATACAGGCAATTCTTAGGGATCTGCACCTAGTGGCTTTAATTATCTTTTCTCTGAGGAGATTCACTATTCTAGTAGGAGTCTAAGCTTCTATTGTTATTGCTTAAGCAATAATTTTATGTGTTAGCTCTCAAATTTTAACAAATACCAACTTCTAACATCATAATATAGTAACTTTATTTTAATTTAATTTCTTACTTAGCATTTTGCTTTTAGTACATAGCATTCTTCCAAGAAATTAAATAATGGCCCTTTTGTCTGTTCTTCTTTTCTTGAAAAGATTTCACAAGAGTTCTGGTTTACTGGTAATTTCAAATACCTGTCACATGAAATAATTGCTTTCTATCACTAGCATTTTTCCCAGACTATCAGCAATCAAAAATCACTTACAGTTTGCCACAAGAATATCTCAGGACTTGATTTGTATCATTTTTAATAACCTTTTCCCATATATTTTCAAAAATTAGAGAGTCTGTTGTACATATTTATCTATTTATTTGAATAAATAAAGCCAAAAACTATAAGAAGCAGTCATATGACACATAACAAGTCAGATATCTGTATCTGTATTCAAAAATCTTCTTTAAGCAAGGGAACATAATAATGAATGCTGTTCTCATACTCTCCTGTATCTCCCATCTCTCAACGCCATGATGTAATAAGAAGTTACTGAACAGTATTAAAGCCAGAAATCACCTGCTTCTGCCACTTGTATAATTTCCACATTTTTAAAAAGCCTGTAAAATGATCAATTCACTACCACCTAAAATAGGTTGCTGCTGTGATATCTGAAAACAGAGATTTTAAATCCTGTACTAAGAACAATCACAAAAAGAGACACAAAACTATGTTTTGGGTACTGGAAATTATCTATATCTTGATAGTAATTTGTTATACATTGCTGTAGGCTTCTGTCGAAACTCACTGAATTTCAAACTTAAGATTTGTGCATTTCATTGTACATTCATGGTACCTCAAAGGAAATATTTACATACACACATATATAAAATAATTTAAGAGTACAATGTATTATCATTGTGCTGTGACAACTAGATCCTTGTAAAGCAATTACTCCACTGGTTATCTGCCCAAGGACAATATGGGTGTGAAAGGATTAAGCTGTAATGCTTTTTTCCGTTGCTTTTCTAGGTATGTAAGTGATTTGATGTTATTATGCCCTCTGTTCTTTTCATTTTCAGAGCCATACATTGAAAATCTTTTTCCAGCTTTGTGTATGCCATACATTAGATTCATTAGAATAACTCCCAATTAGAAAATATCAAGTAGTCCATTAGTGGTTACATAGCTTGGAAGGAGCAGGAGATAGGATGCAAATCTGGACCTATCTGATGACACATCCTTAGCTTCCCATGGGCAACCTTTAACATTTTTTGTCCATAAACAGTTATGAGTCGCAGAACTACAAGGGACATGCAAGATAAAAAGCCTAGTGATTATCACTTTATTTCTCTATGATATATGTACTTTGGAATACCCCAATCTGTGTCTTTCAAAATACAAGAGATTTCAATTTTTTATGTCATTTACTATATTTTATTTATTAGACAATATAACAATGATTGTTTTCCAAAAACATCCTACCCTATTCTTCTTGTTTTAAAATGAGAATGCGAGTATGCTTTGCAAGGGGCAAAATAGAAACTAAATTTCAGTAAGCTTCTTCCCTTTGCAACAATAATAATAATAAACATTTATTTGAGTGCTGATGATAGGCCAAGCATTTTGCAAACTGCTTGATGTAATCCTTACAACTATGCTCTGAGGTAGTTATGCTTATAGCACTCATTTTTCCAAAGTAAAGAGAGGTGAAGTTACTTGCCTTTCAGTAACAGCTAATGAGTAGTGGAGCCAATATTTGAAAACTGGCAGGCCTGTCTGGCCTTATCACAACTATACCATCCATACTCTCTTAATTAAACATGCATTGGCTCATTTATTAAGCATATATTTATTGAATGCCCGCTGCACTCATCAGTAGAGACTTAGAGTTCCTGACCTCAAGGAGTTACAAAAATAGTAGGTGTTACACTACTAGAAAATGTCACTGCCATTTGATAAGAACTATGCTATTTAAGCAAGAGGAGGAAACACTTGGCCGGGCGTGGTGGCTCACGCCTGTAATCCCAGCAGTTTGGGAGGCCAAGGCGGGCAGATCATGAGGTCAAGAGATCGAGACCATCTGGGCCAACATGGTGAAACCCTGTCTCTACTAAAAATACAAAAATTAGCTGGGCGTGGTGGTGCGTGCCTGTAGTCCCAGCTACTCAGGAAGCTGAGGCAGGAGAATTGCTTGAACCCGGGAGGCAGAGGTTGCAGTGAGCCAAGATCACGCCACTGCACTCCAGCCTGGGTGACAGAGTGAGAATTCGTCAGAAAAAAAAAAACAAACACTTAACCCAGACACAAATTGTGGTAGCTGGCAGGGTGGATTGAGGGAGAGATAAGAGAGGCTAAAACATACGAAGGTTCTGTGGAGAAAGCCCAATTTTAAAGAATGAGAAGTTAACCAGCTGAGGAATAAAATTAAGGGTGTCCAAAGGTCAGGGCACAAAGTGAACATTCAGGGAAATGGAAGTGTGAGTGGATTATAGAGAGGAATGGCTGGAGAAGAAGGGCTTATACTGGATTTGACTTTCAAAATAATTTGGATTTCATAACAAAGAGAATGAGAAACCATTACAGAATTTGGGATAGAAAAAGTGATAAGTTTTGAATCTGAAAAAGATGATTGGCAGTAGTATGGAAAATGAATCAAATCACAGGGCTGTGAGAATCTAAAGCAAGAAGACAGAAACACAGACCAGAAATGATAAGCGCATCATGTGAGGCAGGCATAGGGCCATGGCCAGACTTCTACATTTTACTGAAAAGGAGATCCATGAAGAGAGAAAGGAACTTTGTAATTAAGGTATTGTCATACTGCATGTATCACACAATGTTCAAGAACTTTCATCAAGGGCATGATGAGAAAAACTGGCTCTGGAAGATGGTTTCAGGTTACAAGGAAATCTAAAAGATACCAATAAATATTTTGATACACAAAAGTAAGATAAACTAAAAGAATCTGAGAAGTCTTGAGATACCGGCATACAAAATAAATGAACATTAATGTTAATGATCTTTCATGTTAAATTCTTATATAACTTTTTGTTTAATAAATGTCATGGTCCTATATAATGTGTTTTTATGATATTACATGATTTTTACACTAGAAATAATGTATATATGGTCTTTATTCTCCAGAAACTTGCAAGGTCTCAGAGCAGATTACCTGAAGCTACTGAACCTTGAATTTAGTATGTTCCCACATGGCTAAGAAACATGAGGTCAAAATATTTTTTAGATGGCAGATTTTTTTTGGAAAGAAATAAACTCTTTTGTTTTCTTGACAACACTGTTTGATGAATAGCTTTACCCTCCCCTAGATTCTGTGCTTGAGGAGTGTTTCTATTCCAACTTAAAAACAAAGCATTAAAAGTTGATGCTACCAATAGATTACTCATCTAATCTCTGATTTACCGAAAATAAATAGTAAACATATTTTTGCTTCACTACATACTAAATAGGGTGCCATCGAATTATACATCATTAAAAGTTTTAAAAGATCACATCTTCCCTTACCCCAATCCATCTCCGCAATTTGGTTAATTCTTTTTCTGTCCTTTCAAAAATAAATATAAAACAAACAAAATAACTTAACTTTCAGCATAAATCCTGTGTTTTCCCGAATGTGCTTAGTAGGAAAAAAAAAGTATACTACCATATGTTTGTAATTGTAGGGAGAAGGAACCATAAAAGGTTACTTGTTTTCATATACCTTTTATTGGTTCACTTTGCTTTAAACCTTTCTTTGTTTTGCTCTATTATTTTTTCTTCCAGCTTCACTGATGTATAACTGATAAGTAAAAACTGTACATATTCAAGGTGTATATTATGATTTAATATATATATATTATGTAATGATTATGACACTTTAATTAATACATCCATCATCACATATGGTTACTATTAGCAGCTTTTAAGTGTCACCCTATTATTTCTGTTCCTAATTCTTAAGCGTCGTTTTGGTGGAAACTCCTAGTGGTAGGAGGAAGAAATAAAAGCATTTACATCCCTTTAGGTTGTGTGGCCTTTCTTTGCCTAAATAAGCATATCATTTTCTGAGTTAGCAATATGGTATCAGTTATATGTTTTGAAGCAATAATCATCAAAAGTATGACATTTTATGCAACACTGTTGATACATATAATCTTCTGCTATCATTCATCTTTTTGCTCTAACATAGGTAGGGAAAGTCTAAAGGCACAGGTTGTGAGAGAAAGTGGCTTCAAAAGATCTCATAGGGTACAGTTCATTACCTTGTTTAATTACCCACATTCCAGAGCCAGTCTTTCACCTTTACAAACTTAGATTCTGGTTTCATCAGTACTCTTGGAGTGGACATCTCCCAGATGTAGATATAAAATGTATTCATTTATTGCCTTTAGAAAAAAATCCAAACTCACAGATCTGCAAGGTTCTAGTCAGTCTGATCTTTCCCTAGCTATTCGGCTTCATCTTATGCTGGTGTCCTTTAGGTACTCAAATCCTAACCTGTTCTGACCATTTGGATTTCTCTGCTTGAAAAACTGTTTTCCCCTCACTTGCTAAACAAAAGTTCCAAGCCTTTCATATCTAGCTCAAATGTCACCTCCCGACCACCCACACTAAACTGCCCCTTCCCTCTTCCACTAGTTCTCTGCATCTTATCACTATGTTCATTTCCTCCACTGTGTTTTTCCCAATGTGAGTGCATCTTGTCTGTCTCACTACTCTAGAATACAGGCTTTTTGAGGACAAGCAACATGTCTGTCTGTTCTTTGACGTATGTATCCCCAGAGTACATAATAAAGCTAGCTCCAAAGGTGAGCACTTTATAAATATGTCATGTGAGAAAGAATTAACTCAGTTAATAATTGGTATACCAACACAGTTGGCATAACAGAAACTGTCAATTATTTACAAGAAAATTCATTCCCTTAATTTTCATAGATGGCATACTCTATACATTATCTGCCTGCAGGCAGAACTTCTTTAAAAGCCCAATGATAAAAAGAAAATTGTTTTTGAGCCTGGAATTAGAACAAGAGGCCTTAGATTGACATAAGAATTAATGGGAACAATCAGAATATACTGATACATCCAGGAACCTAAAAGTCAAAGACTGATAACTAAATACTTTCTTTAGAGGTAATGCTTGATTGCTCACTGGCAATCTTCTATGATGTCCCTTCTTTCCTTGTTTGAATTACTGACCAACTGCCCTACAGCTTACTACTTTCATGCCCTAAGTAAGTTAATACATTCAGTCAAGTTAGTGAAATAGTCATTCTGGGTTAATTAGGATCATGTTTCCACCTTCCAGTGTGTGTATGTGCCTGTGCCTGTGCAAGTACACACACTGAGTGACAGAAGCCATGAACTAAAGTTTGACTATCAGGCCGGGTGCAGTGGCTCACACCTGTAATCCCAGCATTTTGAGAGGCCAAGGCAGACGGATCACTTGAAGTCAGGAGTTCGAGACTAGCCTGGCCAACATGGTGAAACCCCATCTCTTAAAAAAGAAAAACAAATAGCCAGGCGTGGAGGTGGGTGCCTATATAATAGCCGGGCATGGCGGTGGGGCGTGGCGGGAGGCTGAGGTGGGAGAATTGCTTGAACCTTGGAGGCGGAGGTTGCAGTGAGCTGAGATTGTACTACTGTACTACAGCCTGGGTGACAGAGTAAGACTCCATCTCAAAAAAATCAAATAAAATTAAATAAGTAAAGTTTGACTATCAGAGTTTGATCTTCTCTCCAAGTTCTTGTGGAATGATTCCATTCAAGCTGCCAGGTACTAAGAATATATAAATGTCTAAATTTATTCTTACATTGTACAATTCATTGTGAGTATTATCTAATACTTTTTTCTAAAAATCACATTAAGTTTGGCCATAGAGAAATACTGGTTATGAAGAGCATGTAATCATTGCATGCCTACATGGTGTAGGAAAATACAGGCACACACTGATATTTTACATGTATAGTGTATACAGCAAAGAGAGAAAAAAGAATGGTAATACAGAATTATGAGAATTGTTTTTAAAGTATATTTGAATCTTTACTAATGACTTTATTGTCTTATTTAGAAAATATGTGACTTACAAATTAAAGCTTAAGGACGAAGACCCTTAATGGAACCATTCATTAGAAGATGCTATCATATTCTGACAAAAGGAAAGCATGAATAACTAAAATAATACGAATCTCTAAGGCATTTAAAATATGAAGCAAAAAAATTTTAGGTAAGATACATTTCACAAAAGAATTTTTGACTTATTAATACTTGGTACTTTCTGTGAATATACTATTGTCACTGGAAATAATATATACTATAGTGAGTTTCAAAAATGTAACTACTTCACCTAAACTATGTGCTGAGATTTCATTAGAGATGGTATCAATGGTGAGGATGGCAGGAACAAAACTAACCTGAATTATTACAATTTGGAAGTGGTTTGTTTTGCTCCCAGTACTATCCAGGTTTTGCTACACTGGCTTCATTTTTTGTATTTGTGTCAAGTTTTAACATTTTTCATCATAAAGAAAAATAAAGTTTCTGTGAGTTTCAGTCAAGAAAATAGTTCATTTTCCTCTCCTTTTATGAGACTCAGTGTGGTAGCTTACATAAGGCATTTCAGCTGAGCAAACCAGCTCTAGTCAGCTCTTCTCCTCAAAGGGACTGGCACAGAATACAAGACAGGATTTTGGCCCCAAGCCCACAGCAGTCTATATTTTTACCACTAATCATATACATTACCCCTGTCTTGACACTGAAAACACACATTCTGTGCCAATCATCTATTTTCAGGGAAAAATGCATACGCATCTTGGGATAATTTCCATTTACAACTGGCAATTCAATCCACTGAATCAAATTGTACTCGTTTTGATTCAAAGCCAATGTGGTAATGCCTAAAGTGTGAATTACAGGCACTGGTTGCAACAATGAGATCACAATAAAGAAATACAGGAGTTAATGAGAGTAAGAATTCTATACTCCAACACTATGTAAACCATAAAACATTGTCAAAATGGAATAATCATAAACATCTCTCCTCCTTTTGTGGTGTTATAATATCCTCTCTTTCATGACATTAAGTTGGTGAGATATAACAATTGTTAGCAATCTGGACTGGTTCTCACATTTAAAAAAATACTGGTGTAAGAAATTTGAAAATCTAGGAGCTCTGATAAAAGCTTGGCTGTAAAGTGAAAGAGAGAAGAAACATATTAGCTAAAAAAGACTACAGGTTTTAATCATATTTATTTTGTTTGTAGATTTATCTTATAAAGATGGAGGAGATTAGAGAATTAATAAATGCATAAACTTTGAGGCAGGAGTCAGTAACGTGGAAGAGAATAGAAATAAAATAGAAGCAGTGATTGCTGGTGGAGGGAGACCCCAGTGTTGGAAGAGATGGGAGGCAAATGCTTCTGAAAGCAGGTAAAGCCATTTGCTTCTACAGAAGAAAGGACACTTTTTCTGGGACTGGAGGGAAAAGAGCTACAGGTGGATACAGATAAAATTTGAAGATACAGGAGTTCAAAGAGGAAGGAATGAATCCAGCACTCCACTCTTACGCCTAAAGTAAATCAAATACTATCCATTCTAAACAGTATGTGCTCACAATGCCTTTTATTCCTTCCCATTTCCTTTATAAATTACAGTTCTCTTTTTCACCTACTCCTTTCTCCTCAGACAGAAGGCAGCAAAAAAAAAAAAAAGAGCTTTAGTGACCTCAGCCAAATAAATAGTTCCTTGGCCAGTCTGAAAACATGTAAGGCCGTCTAGTTCAATGGAAAAAAACTGTACACATTGTTGTCCTTAAAAAGAGCTTCAATTCTTGAGTATTCCTGGCAGGTCCATCATCTGAGCCCTCCAGCCTTACATAAACTTTATTGAGTCAGACGGTATATAGAACTAAAGCTCCCAGTTCATAACCACTAGTACTCTGACAAACCAAGAATTTCCTAGCTTAAAACCTTGAGCATCACTCTAAACAGTTGTGCATGGCAAGATGAAATACATCACCAAGAAAGCTCTTTTCAAAGTATTTAAATATTAATCATGCCTCTGTCTTCAAAAGACGATGTTCTCCCTTTTTGGTCAATAATCACTTATCTGACCAACCAAAAGAATACATAAGCCAATACTTTTGAAAATGTGTTTTCTGCTTATTAGAAGAAGGTTAAAATTTCTTTCTTTCTTTCTTACTTTTCTTTTTTTTTTTTTTTTTTTTTTGAGACAGTTTCGCTCCGTTGCACAGGCTGGAGTGAAGTGGCACAATGGCCCAGTCTCAGCTCCCTGCAACCTCCGCCTCCCAGGTTCAAGTGATTTCTCTTGCCTCAGCCTCCACAGTAGCTGGGGTTACAGGTGCACGCCACCATGCCTGACTAATTTTTGTATTTTTAGTAAAGACAAAGTTTCGCCATGTTGGCCAGGCTGGTCTTGAAATCCTGACCTCAAGTGATCCACCAAATGGCCTCCCAAAGTGCTGGAATTACAGGCGTGAGCCACCACACGTGGACAGAAAGTTGTAATTTCTTAAAAAATAAAGTCTTACATCTGATTCCTGAATAAACAATGAGATAGATAGATAGATGATAAAAGACAGATGAGAGATAAATAGACAGACAGACAGACAGACAGATATATAGGCAGGCCTTTTATGGATTGTCAGCTTGTATCCAAGAAAGAACCATTATGTATGGTCTCAACCCAAATTGTTTAGCTTGTAATAGGGTTAAAATGTAAAATTTAGTTTTTAAATTTTATTTTAAATTATAAATATTTTAGTGTCCTTCTGTATATAAGTATACCTCATTCGTGTCACATTTGTTATTTGGAATACTAATGAGCAGTCTAAAGCTTTCATGTGAATCTCTCTGAAATATTTCTATGGTAACACATTTGAGTTATTAGGGCTATAAGCCTGAATTTGAATGTGATATTAACTATATACTACTTTCAGGCCTAAATACTACAGAGTGATGAAAGAAAGCAGAAAGACATAATTATAAACATCCAGGAACACAAATATTGGAAGGATAAAGCTCTGCAAAATTAGGCTTGGCTTGGGTCACATGCTCATGCTGACATAGGTGGGGAGACAGGAACAGGGGCCCTTCACTGCATAAACTGCAGTGGTTAAGAGCTCAGACTAGAGCCCTATTGGTTAGGTTTGGTTTGACTACTGACTAACACTTATTAGTTATTTTATAACCTTGAACAAGTTACTTAACCTCTGTTTTGTTTTTGAGGATCTTTGTCTCTAAAATTGATATAATTATAGTAGGTATGTTGTAGGGTTGATATAAGAATTACGTGAATTAAAACACTTAGGGCTGGACACGGTGGCTCATGCCTATAATCCCAACACTTTGGGAGGCTGAGGCGAGTAAACCACCTGAGGTCAGGAGTTCGAGACCAGCCTGGCCAACATGGTGAAGTCCATCTCTACTAAAAATACACAAATTAGCTTTGCATGGTGGTGGGCGCCTGTAATCCCAGCTTCTTGGGAGGCTGAGGCAGGAGAATTGTTTGAACCCAGGAGGCAGAGGTTTCACTGAGCCAAGATCATAGCATTGCACTCCAGGCTGGGTAACAAGAGTGAAACTCCTTCTCAAATAAATAAATAAATAAAACAAAACAAAACACTTAGAACAATGCCTGGCACTTAGCGAGTGTCATGTATAGTTATTATTAACAATATGATCATCAACACCGTTATTGATAATCTCACTAGGATCATATGTAATACAAGTACTTTTTCCATAAGAGGTGAAAAGAAATACCAAGTAGGCAAAAACAAGTTGTTTACTATAGGGAACTAAAGATTTCCTTGAGGAGTAATGCTATAACCAGGTCATAATGAGCATGTAATTCAAGCAAGACTCAATTACACATGGTTAACCCTAAGCAAACTTTTGAAATATGACTTTAAAGACATCAGCCTCTCTAGTATCAAATGACTATATGGTAAAATTTCAGTAAGAGTTTTACATATGGCGTCCCATCCTTTATACAAATCATGTGAGTAGAAGTTATTTCCACTAGTCTACAGCTGAAGAAATGGCCTTAGAAAGGTTACATAACTTGCCCAAGGTTGCTCAGTTTAATAGAAACAGATTTTGTCTTAAGGGCTTCAACAGCAAAGCCTGTTTTTAACAATGACATCAAAAATATCTCAAGGGGAATATTAGTTCCAAAAGGCATTATAATGAACTAGACTCAACAAACTTAAATGGTTTTCTAAATGTAGGATTTTGCCATATCTTTTATATATCCAACGGTTTAATGACTCTATGAGGAGATATATATATAAAATAAAATATGTCCAAAATACATTGGACCACCTTTTTTTTTTTTCTTCTTGAGACTGAGTCTCACTCTATTGCCCAGGGTGGAGTGCAGTAGCGCAGTCTCGGCTTACTGCAAGCTCCGCCTCCTGGGTTCAAGTGATTCTCATGCCTCAGCCTCCCAAGTAGCTAGGATTACAGGTGCCCACCAGCACGCCCGGCTAAATTTTGTATTTTTAGTAGAGACAGGGTTTTACCATGTTGGCCAGGCTGGTCTTGAACTCCCGACCTCAAGTGATCTGCCCGCCTCGGCCTCCCACAGTGCTGGGATTATAGGCATGGGCCGCCGCACCCGGCCTGGACCACTTTTTATAGTGTCTCCCAGAACCTGGATGCTATAGAAGACACTTTGGCAAACCCTGCATTGTGTTATAGCCTTTCCTCTCCTAAGTAGCACGTTCACATGACTGTAAGATCTTATCTCCAAACTTCCCATCCTACTCTTTTTTGCTCAGAGGTGAATCTAACATGTAGCCCTTTGCCATGGTATTTCCATTTTAGTAAGCTTTCCTTAGTAAAGTCTGCTTTCAGGTACCATTCAATGAGATAAGTATTAACGAGAAGGCGTGTTGTCTTTTTAAGGATTCCTAATACCACATCATAAAGGCAGTCACTTCACCTAGATATAAGGGTAGTATTCTACTTATGCATTTCTAATCTAGGATAAGCAATCGTATCGCAAAGATTATAACCAACATATAGGGTGAAATGGAAATCTGAAATGGATAAAAAATTTTCATTCTAAGTGAAAAAATTTGGAATTTTTTTTTTCAGTGTTGGTAAAGCCTGGTATCCTACTGCTACTTTACTTTCAATTACTTTGGCATTCCGTGTTAAAATGGGTTCATCTTTCTTTCCTGAATGACTTCTTTGGATGTAACACTAAGTTCAAATGTTAATGTGGGAGCTGACAAGCCTGTCCTTTCTCCTGAAGACTACAAAGCATGTGATGTTTCCATACTGACAAATACCAGGAATTAGTGAATGTTAACTATTGTTGTTGTTGCTATTATTTTTTATTATTATTTTATCATGTAAGGCTCACTGACTTATATGCAACCTCTGGAAGTTTCATATAAAAAATAAAACACAAGGCTGGGTGTGGTGGCTCACGCCTGTAATCCCAGCACTTTGGGAGGCCGAGGCGGGCAGATCACGAGGTCAGGAGATCGAGACCATCCTGGCTAACACGGTGAAACCCCGTCTCTACTAAAAATACAACAAATTAGCCAGGCGTGGTGGCAGGCACCTGTAGTCCCAGCTACTCGGGAGGCTGAGGCAGGAGAATGGCGTGAACCCAGGACGTGGAGCTTGCGGTGAGCCGAGATGGTGCCACTGCACTCCAGCCTGGGCAACAGAGTGAGACTCTGTCTCAAAAATCAATCCATCCATCCATCCATCAATCAAACACTAAAAGAAAAACAGATATGTTATCCTTTTACATATGTATAGCACCATGCTGAGAAAAGTGCTTTGGTCACTGGCTCCAGATAAACAGAGAAAGCTTTAGCCTACACTTGAAAAATTAAACATGAATGGTGTTATTTCTAGAGCATTGCCGCCAACTAAAAAAAAATTCACTTTTGTATTTTTCCTTTTAAAAAAATACATGAGATTGACCCAGTCAGGACTCAGAAAATGATACCCCAAAGTATGATGCCTTGGCATGCTGAGTATTTTGAACTAATGGAAATTGGGAAGGTCTCAGTACCATGTTTTTCTGACCTTCACCCATCCTCCTGTCTCCTACTCATATTTCTCTCATGAAACAAGCCATAAAAACCAGAATTCCTCTTCCCCAAGGCAGTTATTGAAGCTAAAATTTTTCTCTCCCAGAGCAATCATGAAACCTGTAAGAGTCACACTCTCTCCTTCCTCCCTTCTCCCTTTGAACACCTTCATTCAAAAGGGGTCCTGCTCCATACCCAGGAGTAAGGAATGCTACACAAACAGGCCAAGGAGAATCTGAGCAAATGGGCCTTGCTGAGTTCCCACCTTGGTCTCTCACCATTAGATCATGCCTTTTTGTCCAATCGTATTTCTTCATGGCTGTCCCATTCTTCATTGAACCTAAGCATAAAAATAGACAAGTTTCCTGGGTCTTTGAGGCTTCATTTATGAAGGCTCCTATGTCACATAACACCACTTTTTTTTTTTTTTTTTTTTGAGACAGAGTCTGGCTCTGTCACCCAGGCTGGATGGGGTACAGTGGTGTAATCTCAGCTCACTGCAACCTCTGCCTCTCAGGTTCAAGCAGTTCTCCAGCCTCAGCCTCCCAAGTAGCTGGGATTACAGGTGCGCACCACCAAGCCTGGCTGATTTTTTTGTATTTTTAGTAGAGATGGGGTTTCACCATAATGGCCCGGCTGGTCTCGAACTCCTGACCTCAAGTGATCTGCCTGCCTCAGCATCCCAAAGAGCTGGGATTACAGGAATGAGCCACCACACCTGGCTAAAACCTTTATTGAATAAATTTGTTATGCTTTTCTCTTATTAACCTGTCTTGTTGTAGAAGTGTGGGCTATAACCCTGGTGATGAGTGAGGAAAGATATGACATACCTCTGCCCCTATAACCCTATCCACAGAACTAACTCTGAAATTATAAATGAATGACTTTTTAAAAAATGAAATAAAAGTGATTATTCCAACAGACTAGTAACATATTCCACTTAGAGATAACTTAAAAGAGACATTAAAATGAAAATAAAGGTATAGATATACTTTTGTTTTGTTTCGTTTTGTTTTGGTACCATCTGAATTATTATCCATCATTATTGGCCATTTTTCATGGTGAGGAAGAAAAAGGCAGCAAAAGCAAAGGTATGTTTGATTTTCCTCTAAATGATATGAATAAAATCTACATGGGTATGGCAAACAAATTAGAGAGAAGATTACCCCAATCTCTGCAAAATGAAACATGCTACAATATGTTTTTTCCTCCAAGACTGAGATAAGGCTATAAATAAACACATAATATGGGTTTTTTTTTTCCTCTGAAAATTTGGAAAATATTCTAGTTTAACATGATTATGTAGGCCGTCACCGTTTTTAAAAATTGCATTAAGCCCATAAACTCATTCTAAATTGGCAGATCTTTAAAAAGGATGTTTATGTTTACAGATTCTAATGCTTTTGAGAAAACAGACACCCATTTCCATTTCCTTTGCTTCTCAACACATCATGCTGGTGACAGATGTTTCTGAACTGTTTCAATGTCCCTGTCTAAATAGAAAATGCACACTTAATGATACCCATGTGTGTATATTTCTATTTCTAGTCTTATCTTTATATATCTACAAAAGATTGTTCCCCTTGGTAATTATAGTCCTATTCAATATTAATGAATTATTGGCAGAAAGTCACTTTTTATGTATATATCTACACACAAAAGATCTGTTTTTGTACATTATGATGACTATAGATACTCACTTATGTTTGCTTGTAAATGTAAATGGTCACAATGTTTTATATATTTTTCTTTTAAAAGCTTAAACTTCATATGCTTATTTTCAAGGCATATAGTGAAGGTATTGTTTATTGTGAGAGAGTAAAAGAAAAGCAGCTTAGTGTCAGCTCTGCTGTCTCTGACTAATCTGCAAGCCACCCACTTTAATGGCTCTTCATAAATAATTCAAATTTTAATTATGCTGCCAGCCTCTGACCTGAAGAGAAATGAAGAAAGAAAAGGAAAAGAATGGGCCAGGGAAAGCATATCAGTTGAATCAAATTGTGCCTACAGTAAATGACTTTGTGTCTCACAGCTGCACTTTCCTACTCAAGATGCACCTGCTTCCTCATTTGCGATTTTTAAAAATAATATTAGTGTCATCTAGGATACACCATTTATGATTATTTACTTTCTCTATATCTATCATATTTACAAATACACACTTACAGATGAAAATATATACCTAGATTATAATAGAGTCCCCTAATCAGATATCTCCCCATTGTTTCCCATTTCAGACTCTGTTCTGTCTCCTAAAAAGTCACTGGGGTTCATCATAATATCAGGCATGTTCATATCACTGCAATGACACATCAGGTTTCTGTTATATTAAAAAAGAACACATAAGTCTTCGTCCAAACCCAGGTCTTGTAAGTTATTGTTGGAGGAACTGCTGCCAAATGAATGGCTGGCTGAATAGATTTAGGAAAATCGAACTGCATCTGTCACACAGAAAGCTGGCCAAGGTAGATCTGACAGGCGATACATGGCTGAATGATCTCTTCCCACCTAAAAACATCTTTTAATTGCATCAGGTCTCTCAATCCACAGTTGAGCATCTGCTCATTAGAACCAAAGCACTATTTCTCAGATTGAAATGCTGAATCTCACTGTATAATTTTCTTCTAAATATTACCTTACAATTTTCCTAAAGCAAGCAAACCCAGTCATATTTGATGTAAGATCTCTGGGGCCAAATCTAATCTATGCATATTAACAATTTTTCCTTTCTTTTTTTTTTTTTTTTTTTTTGGTGTCAGTATAATTTTTGTCCTTCTATTTATTTAACAAAGAACACATTTGGATTTCATTCAAGAAATCCCCACATCCCATTTACAATAGGTCCTTTTGGTTTATTTGGAGGACTCACAGATATATTTCCAGAAGTTGATTTAATCTGCTCTGAGTTCCTTTTTATTTCTGAATAACTACCTTTTACAGCAAACCCCTGTGAAAGATTTGGAAAATCTATCGGACTTTATACAGAAGTATTATTTAGCTGTCTCGAAGATGAATTCATCTTAAAATTATATCATTCTTCAACCACTTGCCATTATTTGCAGCCCATTTTCTGTTTGCCTATACCCTAAAATTTTGACTTTTCAATCATTGCCCTCTTTATTTTCCTCCCCCCTTATCCAGGGTTTAATTTGGAGAACTGAGAGGCAATAAAGAATCTCTTAGAATCTATATTTTTGGTAACTTATTTTATTGGTCTAATCTCAATAAAGAACCTATATTTTTGGCAACTTATTGCTCCAACTCCGTCTGTATGATGATAAAACAGTTAGATGGAAACACATTCTAGCTCATTAAACTGTCTATTTGATCTACAAGATGGCAAATTTATTTGTGTATATGCATCTTTATAATGTACCATTTCTTATAAAATTATATCAAGACAGTCTTACAGGAGCCATTCAGTTACCTTGAAAAAAGCCACAAAAGCATTTTTATTCAATAAACCAATTTGGAAGATGAAAGAGAAACTGTCTGGCTTTTAGACAATAATTAGGTGTGTCTTCTTTGTCTATGTGAAATCTAGGTTTTGATTTAAGATTGACAAGTGCAGGGTGCTATTTGTTATCAAGTGGACAGGCTACTTTGTAGGTCACTGCTGTTCTAATCTATTTATGTTTCAACCAATTAAGATAAGAATATGCTTCTCTAAGTACTAGTGAGTTAGTTTAGCAGAAAATTTCATGAAAATGGTTGTAAATTTACATGTAGAAATATAGCAGTATGGAAATCAACTCATAAGAAGTATTTTATGAAACCCTAAATGCAGTAGGTCAGTGCTTCCTAACAGAAGTCTACTGGCAAGAAAGGTTTTCAACTCTTTTTTTTTGAGATGGATTTTTGCTCTTGTCACTCAGGCTGGAGTGCAATGGTGTGATCTCGGCTCACTGCAACCTCCGCCTCCCGGTTTCAAGCTATTCTCCTGCCTCAGCCTCCCGAGTAGGCAGGATTACAGGTACCTATCACCACGCCTGGCTAGTTTTTGTATTTTTAGCAGAGATGAGGTTTCACAATTTTGGCCAGGCTGGTCTTGAACTCCTGACCTCAGGTGATCCGCCCACCTCTGCCTCTCAAAGTGCTGGGATTACAGGGGTGAGCCACTGCACCCAGCCTCAACTAATTCTTAACAAAAATGTGTTTGACCTTTTCCTATGTCCAGCTAAATTGTAAGAAGAACTGTACTACCTTAAAGAAAGCCGAATCTAAAAAGTATTTGATTTGCTTGTCATATCCATTTCAATCACAGGACAAACTACTTCTGAAAAATTTTTATCCATCAAAAAATCTATTGGACTCTATGCAAAAGTCTCAAAGATTAATCTATCTTAAAATTATATCATTCTTCAAGCACTTGCCTAGAAGTTTTCAATGAATGTGTACAGAATATAGCCTTCTTAAAACTGGCAAATCAATTTAGATTCAAATAGATTCAAGACAAATATCACAATCCTAAAATGACTCTTTATAAAAATAGCATTTATTTTTCAGTGAAAAATACATTTGTGAAAAAGGCTATACTATGGTTTTGATTTAAAGGATAAGCACTTTTTATATGTGCATTTGTGTGAGTGTGCGTGTATAAAATCCCTTTACTTACATTTTGCCCATTTTTCTTCAGATTGCTAATCTTTTGCTTATTGATCTGTAGGTCTGACTTTCTGATATAAATACAACCTTACAGTTCATAAGTGTCACAATTAGTTATGCCCCAGAACCAAATGAAAAGAAATTCAAATCAGGAAAACAGCTCAGAATAATTTGTTTGCTAACGATTCATCTGAAGACTTTCAATTATAGTACCTAATTGTATAATATGGTATTACTGTATACCATTATTGAGTACTCATCTATTTCTCCCATTAGCCTGGAAGTTCTAATAGGGTTCTAAATAGAATCCTTCTTTTTATAACTGTCACCTCATACTTTTCCTCATTTACAACAGCAAACATGATTATCTTACTGAATTGAAGAAACGAAAGCTTTTGAAAGCCCTTAAACCTACAAACTCGGCTGGGTGTGGTGGTTCACTCCTGTAATCCCAGCACTTTGGGAGGCCGAGGTGGGCGGATCACGAGGTCAGGAGATCAAGACCATCCTGGCTAACACGGTGAAACCCCGTCTCTACTAAAAATACAAAAAGAAATTAGCCGGGCGTGGTGGCGGGTGCCTGTAGTCTCAGCTACTCGGGAGCCTGAGGCAGGAGAATGGTGTGAACCCAGGAGGCACAGCTTGCAGTGAGCCAAGATCGCACCATTGCACTCCAGCCTGAGTGACAGAGTGAGACTCCATCTCAAAAACAAAACAAAACAAAAAAACCTACAGACTCTACAAGCTGCCTATTTAGGGAACAAAAATAAATAAAGAATTAACAATTATTTTGCTACTTTTGGTAAATTAAGTTACTTAAATATTTTACATAGGCAGAAGAAAAATCTACGTTTGGCATAAAGTTGTTTTTATCCTTTTACACAAAAGTATTTGCGAAATATTAAGTGGAGTTTAGAAAGATTAAAATTGTTCAAAGAACACAGTGCAATAATTGCATCAAAGTTAAAATTTGTCTTTTTTAAAGGAAGTTTCACGGTAAATGTCTAAGATAATGTTTCAATATTAAATACTCAGCAAATACTTAACTGAGCATAATATATCACAGATATGATATAACCTTTAAAGGTTCTTTCACAAAAATAAATAAAACAGCCAGCAAAGGTATTACGGAGAGAACCTGAAACATACTGTTTAACGTTTATTTAATTACAAAAATTTACTGGGGGCAACCAAGTCACTCACTCTCCCTCTAATTACACGCAGTCCTTTTTTTTCTTCTCTTCGCTTCTTCTTATTCAACCAAAACCAGAAATATCAAAACAGAAGAGTTAATTATTGGGGATGTGTGGACCATGGTTGGGAAAAATGTTGAGAAATTATTTGGGCTATGTGGAGCAAGCTGTCTTGCATAAAAAGCTATATTGGGCTCTAGAGAAAGTGAGAATGGAAAGAATTTGAGAGATACCTGAGACCAAAAAAAAAAAAAAGACACAATTAAGAATGTTGAATAGAATACAATGACAAGAAGCCTTTCCAAGACAGTAAATCCAAAAAGCCTGCTAAATAGCATAAGACAGGAAAAAGATAAGGAAGCAAAGGGTGGCTGGGAAGCTTTAATCCAGAGCTCCCGATGTACAAGAGAGGCTGGCAACAGGAAATTGAAAAGACAGTGGTTCTGGCCAGAACAGGAGCAGATGATGAAATGGCATAGAAAAATTGATAGGAAATGCAAACAGTTTTAAAAAGAAAGTTGATGCCTCTCTTGTATACTCTTTCTTGGTTATGCAAACCTGAAACCTAGATGTCTTCTTTTCTATCAATGCTCACCTTCAGCGACGCAACAAGACCTACACATAGTCCCTCTTTCCTATATCTCCCATCGCCTCTATTTGCAGAACTGTTTCCCTTTAAGCTGTCTTCACCATCCTGAATTTCTTTAATAGTCTCCTTGGTAGCTTCCTGCATCTGATTTTGAACCCCTCTGACTCATACACCCCTTACAGCTGCCAATGTAAATTTACAAAAATACCAATCTTATTCTCCTTTTTTCATACATTTTACAGACAAGCCATAGAATTCAAATCCAGATGTGCCCACTCTTAAGTGTAAAGGACTCCAAGGGCAGATGCTATACAAGACCCTTCATTACTGTCCTCTACCTACTTTTCCAGCCTCATGTCTCACCATTTTCTTCCTGCTTCATAACTTTGCATTGTGTACCACCCGAAATTCTCTAGAATATTCTCTTTACCTAAGGAGTCAGAGAATATAGATGAGTTTAAAATTGATATGCTTTATCATCTATATGCTTCCATGGTACTTGTGCATCTACAAGAATTACTTGTTTATTTGACAATTTTCCCCACTGCACTGTGAGGTCCTTAAGGCAGACACTGTCCTTCAACTCTACATCCTTTGTACCCAGCTTAATGTCCAAAACATAAGAGGTACTTAGTAAACATTTTCTGAGTGAATGATTGAGGCATCAGCAACACCAGGAAGAAAGTGGCAGACAAGAATTAACCCCTTCATTTACATTCTCTCTTCTTCCAATGTCACAGCAATTTTTTCAAGCTCCAATTCACTTTTCTTATTATTAGAGTGCTTCAGTAGATGAACAATGTTACCAACAGTCAACACAAACTTTACTGACATATTCACAAAAAAATCATCTCTAAAATCACTCCAATGTTTTTCTATGTTGTAACAGCAAGCAGCATTGGAGGCTGAGGCATCTAAGATACAAAGAGAATACAAGAAAGACTCCAATGCCTTATTTTGTTATACAGTTCTGCATCATTGTTCTGCCCTTCTGGTTTCCATATCTTGAATTCCAGCTTTATAGGCCCATAACTTGGCTTTCTATCTAACTAAATTCTTCAGCTGTTCTCTCCTCAGCTATCTCTGACATGCACTGTTAATCTTTGTTTTTGTTTTTTGCTTTTTTAGTATTTATCCAAACATCTTCATGCTCTTGAGTCATTGGCTATTCCCCAAACCCAAAAGGTAGCTATTGTCATGACTTCTATTACTATAAATTAGTTTTGGCTAATTTACTTACCCCTTTACTTCATATATATTGAATCATATAACACGTAGTCTTCTCCATCTGGGCTCTTTGGCTCATCACTATTGTTGTGAGATATATAATTGTTGCTACGTACAGAAATATTTTGTTCTTTTTATTGCTGTGCAGTTTTCTGTGTATGTATACACCTCGGTTTATTTATCCAATCTTTCGTTAAAGGACATTTGGGTTGTTTCCAGTTAAGGACTATTGTGAATAAAAATGTGTATCTGTTGGGAGACATGTATTCATTTCTGTTGGAAATATCCTAGAAATTGCTGGATTGTAGGGTAGGTACTGCCAAAGAATTTTCCAAAGTGGTTTCTGTGAAATGGATATCCACACATCTAATGTATTTAAGTTCCAGTTTCTCCATATGCTAGCTCCTCTCTTCTATCCAAATTTTAATTCTTGTTTTTTAAGTTGTGGTCATTCTAGTAAATTTCTACACAGACTCTTTCAAAGTCGTCATTACCAAACTCCTATTAACCACTTCTTTGGATTTCACTCATTGTTTAACTTATTTCATTATGTCCTTTGTCTAACTACTCTTATGTCCCATTTCAAGCTAACTGTATTTTCTCCATAATCATCTTTCTTGAACTGTATTCCTTATTTAACTACAAACTACTTCTTTATCCAAACTCATTCCTGTGCTGCATCAGATGACAAATGAGTGTCATAATTCCCATGAGACTCTGGCTCTATTTCATTCTTCCACTCTATAAATACAGTGTTTTAACCCCAGATTCAGGCCTCTGCTCTGGCTTTTTTCATGTCAATTGTCACCTAAATGAAAGTACATATCCACTACCATCCTCTCTCTCAGAAGTGTCAATCTTCTAATTCCATTTGCTGTTCGACAGCTACAGCAATAGAGTCTACCATCACCTCAAATTCATCATGTAGAAAAGAAAAGTACCACTTTCTCTAGAAACTAGATCCCCTCTAGTCCAAATACCATGATGTACACAGTCATTCAATCTGAAGACCTGAGTCATTCATTTTTACTCTTATTTCTCCCCTACATGCAGTAAATGAATAAATTCTCTTGATTCTTTATCAAATTTTATTTCCTTTATCATCTAAATATATAGTTATTTCATTAAAATAGAACATTTTTAATTATAATTGTATTCATTTTCTACCATCCACAAATGAACCCATTATCACTTGTCAAATTTCACACATGCTTGCTAATTTCTAATTTATTGATTGTGGTTCTCAGACTATCATCAATACCACCACCATTAACAAAGCATATCATCATGCCATATTTTTGAATAAATATATTCTCCCTTTTGTGTGTGAAAAATAGTACGTTGTTTTATTATTTCTATTTGGAAGTTGAGAAAAAATAAGCTTTAGATGCACAGTTATTAATTAGAGCCAAGGAGATAAACAGGCATCAAGAGTAAGGTAAATGGCTAGACCAGCAAAGCAGCTAATTACAATGGAAAACTCTAATAATCATTTTCCTCTTTCCTGAATCGATTTCAACTTTTTCAAAATAAATAATATTTATAATCATAGACAATAGATGATGGATAAATGGCTAGACCAGGAAAGCAGCTAATTACAATGGAAAACTCTAATAATCACTTTCTTCTTCCTGAATCTATTTCAACTTTTTCAAAATAAACAATATTTATAATCCTAGACAGTAGATAATGGACTAGCAATCTAAACATTACTAAAAAAAAGGAAAAATAAATTTACAGAAGTCAAAGCTCAATTAAGCAGAAACCCAAAATGAGTAATTTATGAGAGAAAACTTCTGACAGATTTTTTTCTCTCAATATAATCTCTAAAAGACAGATATTCTATAAAACATAAATAGAATCTAAATTGTAGTATTCCAGCTTTTAGAAAGGAAGAATTCTGACAGCAAGAGTATTGGAATATATGACAAAAATATAAAATAGCCTTTATTGAGGAACTTTTGTACTATAGGTAGTCCAGTGGCGGCATCAGTCATCCAATAGTAATAATAGTTGTAGTCATGTGTTCAACACCCTCTAATATGCCAGTGAGAAGCTGGAAAAAATTACTGTAGTGGCTTAAACATATGTCTACAAATTTGATACATCTTCCTTCAAGTGGTCGGCTGGATACAGCAACTCACTTCTCACAAATAGCATAAAGTAGAAAGGATAGCACGCAACGTAAGAAACTAGGTTGTAAAAGGTAATGTGAATCCCTCCTTGTACTTTCTTGAATTGCTCACTGTTGGGGAAGTTAGCTACCATGGTTAGGTGTTGTGGAAAGAAGCCCAAGTGGCAAGGAACTGAGGTCTCCTGCCAATAGCCATGTATACAAACCACCTTAGAAGTGGATCTTCTGAAAACAAAAGAATAAAGGTACTACTAAGAAAATTCAAAAATCAGCGTAATATCCTAGTACTTCTTTTGGTAAACTTATTTCTGAATGTTTCCGTTTGTTGCTATTATAAATAACATTGTTTTCTTCATTTCAAAAAAAATGTGCACAGTGAAAATTTAAAAAGTAGATCTTGCAGCACCAGGTAAGCCATCAGAGAAGCACCACCTAAGAAAGCCTGAGAAAGACTCATTCAGGTAAGCCACTCCTAATTTCCTGACCCATGGAAACTATGAGATCAGAAATATTTGTTATTTTAAGCCACTTTATTTTGAGGTAATTCATTATATGTAGCAATAAGGAAACGTACCAATAAAGAACTAATACTACTAACTAATAAACAACTTTGATATTATGTTCTAAATAAAATCACAAAATAAAGTTAAATAAATAAAATAAAAGTGAGATGCCATTTGTTATCTACCAACTTCGTTGCCTAAAAAATAATATCCAATATTGAAGAGGAGATAGAAACACACTATCATAAACTGCTAAACAATTCCAGATGGATAATCTGGCAAGCTCTATTCATAGTTTTTAAATAATAATAATATACCTTTTGATATAGCTCAACTTTGAGAATTTATGCTAAGGAAATAAGAAATTTGTACATCTATTTCTATATAAAAATGTTTACAGGATTGATATTTGTGGTATTAAAAACTGGAGTTCTTCTAAATTAGTCATAGGTACTGGCATATACATACGATGTTGCCATTATGATTCTATTTTATATATTATTTATTATGTATTATTGTATATCTTCTCTATAATATAATATTTTCTATTTTATTATTATTTTTAGAAACAGGATCTTGCTATGTTGCCTGGGCTGTAGCTATTCACAGATGTGATCATAGCACACTGAGGCCTTGAACTCCTGGCCTCAAGTGATCCTCCTGCTTCAGCTACCCAAGTAGCTTTGACCACAGGAGCACCCTACCATGCCTGGATTATTTTATTTCATTTTTATATTTGATGAAATAGGAAAACATTCTGAATATATTAATTGCAAATGAAGGGTATAATTCCAATTTAATAAAAGTTGTGTGCGTATGCATGCATAAGTGTGCAGATGTATTTGCGCCTGCATACAGGTGCACGTGATTATGTAAGAATAGAAAGAAGAATGAAAATAAAAGCTTCTCGATGTTAATAATATTTATACCTGGGTGTAGAATTAAGAATATGCTTCATTTTCTACTTTGCACTTACCCATATTATCAGTTTCTTAACAATGAGAATGTAATTTTTCTACTGAAGAAAATAATCCCAGTCATTGTAACACACTGTGACTGCTGTTCTAGAAGACCATATGTCATTTGACCCCTGGCTACCCCTCTGAACTCTCCTTATATACTCTCGCACTTGCTCATTAAGCTCCAACCACAGTGACCCTCCTGATCTTGGAACTCAAACAGCTCCCTCTGTCACAGAGCCTGCGCACTAACCCCTCCTTTTCCTAGAATGGCATTTTCACATCTTCTCATGGCTCCTCTCACGACTGTATCTTCCTCTCCAGTCACTGAGAGTATCTTTTGACCACCAAATTCAAAGCAGCCTGCCTTGGCAATACATTAAAAACTATGTTTCCCAGATTTCCAATCTTCTCAGTACTTTTATACTATAAAAAGTCTATTATTTTCTTTATTGCATATTTACTTTAATTTGTAAACATAAAATTACCATCTGGAAACTTGCCTGTCTTGGTTACTACTGTATCCCTAGTTCCTAGAAATAGCAAAAATTCATGAAACGTTTTCTTAATAAGTGAGTCCTAGAGTGAATGCTTCATTTAAGTTGCTGACCATCACATATTCTTTACACTGTCTTCACTCTTGGGTTATAGACACCGCACACTCTAATTTTTCTTCCTACATTTCTAATCAGTACTGCTTTCTCGTTCACTGAGTCAATCACTGTTAGATTATTCTTATTTAAGTGCAAAAAGGGGAAAGCAATGTGGGGAGCACCATATCTATATTGAATAATGTACAGGGGCTCATATGAATACAATACACTTCCACACTCAAAAGAACACTAGATTACAAACTCTATGAGGGGAGGCAATTCTTTTTTGTTGGTTCTAGCTCCTAAATCAGTGCCTGACATACATTAAGCACCCAATAGATAAATATGTGTTCAATACAGGTATTTATGAATGAATGAATGAATGAATGAATGAATGAATAATGGCCAATATATTTTGTTCCATGCATCATAAAAATGACATAACTTAAAGGAATAAAATAAAACAAGCCAAATTTTATTATCTGCAAGGTCACACAGTATGACCTAAAGCATGTAGCAACAAAAGTATACTGAGTGAAAATTATTTGCTCATGAACCAATCTCATATGCAAGCACTAAGCAAATTTGATATGAAATATATAGACTGCTTTACAATGCACAGCTTTTTCCATCAAGCAGCCAGCTATCCGGTGATGCCAATTAAATCACAGCATAAATTTATCACTTAAATTTATTAGTGATAAAAGATCAAAATTTACTTAGAACCTACAGCAAGATCCTTGCCTCTGTCATGTAGTTCCCTAAAAAAGAACTGGAAACAATACCACATTTGAACTGTTCTCTCAAGTAATCAGAATTTCAATACCACTCCCCTGTTTATAACTCCTTTTTAAAATTCAGATCCATCTCAGAGCATGTGCCCAGCAGTGTTTGCCCATTATTTAACACTTTCTTTTTAACTTCTCTGATCTTCTTGAATAGATACCACAGCTGTTCACCCAAGGTGAATGTGAAACCCCCTATCAGATTGCTCGCTGATTCTATCAGTCCCAAAAGCAGATCTATCATTATCTCTGGAAGGGGTCTTTCTGCAGAGAGCCCAGAGTTTGTGTATGCTTTTAGTATACTCTCCAGCATGACAAACACCATCTATCTGGCTTTACACTGTCATTTCCACTGAAAACCTGTAATTACTTTCCACAAGCAACACTTCATCCTGCCAAGCTGATTAAAGGCAATACGCACAGGAAGGCAAAGAGTAGCAGCGCTCAGATATCAAAACATTTATCTTATAAGCAACACTGCAACGGCATGCACACAGTAAGCACTAAATAATTGTTTTTAGATATTACATTTGCTCTTTGACAGACAATATAGTTAATGATTTTCTCATGAAACATAATAGTCTCTTAAAGAGTGAATAGGGCAGATCAAAATGGACTTCTGAACTGCCGTTTATTTAAAATATTCCACCATAACGGACATATCATTCCAGGGTCTTCACTCTCACCATCTAGTTTACATCTACACCAAATAAGTTAATTACTTAACTATTATCATTTCTTGACAGGCAAACCGGTAGGCAGGTACTTTTCCTATCATATTCTTTAACTGAGTTGAATCTACTTACTTTGGCTGATTAGAGCCATCAGGTTTCTGCAGAAGAGTGTTTGGAGACAGCATCAAGAAGTATTTAATTGCAATTAGATAAACTTTATAGTGGACACTTGTCACAGTTTTATTTATTTGTTGTTGTACATTAAAACATCTTTCTATATTTGGGGAATTTCCCAAGATATAAACTATGTTGAAAGTCAATGTTCACATCCAAGTAGAGAAATCAAAAGCTTGTTTTCCCTACTTCCTTCGCACCTGGGACTTGGCCAAACAGTTTCATTTAGCCAATCAGATGGACCTGCCTTGGATTTTTAATCCTAAACTAATGACGTAGAGAAGCAAGGATAGTGACAGACCCACCCTGGCCGTGGCAGCAACATCAGGGCAGCAATAGCCAGTTTGTTTTAGGGGCAGAAATAGTAGCTCCAGGTAGCAATGTAAACTATGTTTCTGTTCAGGGATGGTGGCAAGAGTGTCCTCCCCAGTCTGGCTCTTAATGTGATTTTAAGTTTAGTTCTTAATTCTGTGAATTAGCCAATATATTCTTTCAATAAATATGTCTGCCATTTAAGTCAGCTTGTCACTCTATTATTTGAAACCACAAACACTTACTGGGACAGCTTTCCAGTAGTGGGTACTTTGATGGATACATTGACATCCATCTCTCCCTTTTTCTTTTTCTTTTTCTTTTTTTTTTTTTTAGACAGAGTCTCATTCTGTCGCCAGGCTTTAGTGCAGTGGTGCAATCTCGGCTCACTGCAACCTCTGCCTCCTGTGTTCAAGCGATTCTCCTGCCTCAGCCTCCCAAGTAGCTTGGACTACAGGCAACCACCACCATAACCAGCTAATTTTTGTATTTTTAGTAGAGATAGGGTTCACCATGTTGGCCAGGATGGTCTCGATCTCTTGACCTTATGATCTGCCTGCCTCAGCCTCCCAAAGTGCTGGGAATACAGGTGGGAGCCACCCTGCCCAGCCTCCATTTCTCTTTTTTTAACATCACTTTATGTTTGGCCATTTAGAGATCGTTCAAAACGCTAGCAGCTAAAACACAATGGTTTTGTTGGACAGACTTTTCACATTTATCTGTGTAGCAGTGTCAGTCTAACTCTTATTTGAATATTTAATTGCGTTTTGCCTTTTCTTTTGGAGGGGGATGAAGTCTCGCTGTGTCGCCCAGGCTGTAGTGCAGTGGCACAATCTCGGCTCATTGCAACCTCCACCTCCCAAATTCAAGTGATTTTCCTGCCTCAGCCCCCGAGTAGCTGGGACTACAGGTGCCCACCACCACGCCCAGATAATTTTTGAATTTTCAGTAGAGATGGGGTTTCACCATATTGACCAGACTGGTCTCGAACTCCTGACCTTGTGATCTGCCCACCTCAGTCTCCCAAAGCATTGGGATTACAGGCATGAGCCACTGCGCCCAACCCCCTTTTTTTATATTATACAACAATGGCTATAGACTGGAAAAGTAAAATTGCTGGTACTTGGAATAAAACCATGAATGTGATTGCCTTAGTAGGGTTGTGACAATGATAGACCTAAAAGAAACCAGTCTATCTTCAACCTCAACCGGTTGTGTGAGGATACACACACACATACACAAAAATATGTTGAGAACATATAATTGAAGATTGTCATAAAAAAATGCATATTTGATTTTTTAATTTTTTACTTTTATTTTTTTTTTTTTGAGATGGAGTCTCGCCCTGTCGCTCAGGCTGGAGTGCAGTGGTGTGATCTCGGCTCACAGCAACCTCCACCTCCTGGGTTCAAGCAATTCTCCTGCCTTAGCCTCCCAAGTAGCTGGGACCACAGGCACATGCCACCACACCGGGCTAATTTTTGTATTTTTAGTACAGAGAGGGTTTCACCATGTTAGCCAGGTTGGTCCTCGAACTCCTGACCTCAAGTGATCCAGCCACCTTAGCCTCCCAAAGTGCTAGGAGTACAGGTGTGAGTCACCACACCCAGCCTATAACTGAATTTTTAAAAAATAATTTTTAGCTCTCTGACAACAAGGCTCCTCTCTCCTTTAACATGTATGTTAACCTTCATTTATTCAACTTTTGGTATGATTCCCATATAAAAATAGGAGATTGTCTGTATCTATCAACTTCTTATGTTAATACAATTTATTCAAAAGATGGAAGGCAATTTATTTATTTGAAACATCACTGATTACCTAATATACTTATATCAACAAACAAAATTACACATCTTCCTGGCTGGGCGCAGTGGCTCATGCCTGTAATCCCAGCACTTTGGGAGGCCAAGGCAGGCAGATCACCTGAGGTCGGGAGTTGGAGACCAGCCTGGCCAACATGGCAAAACCCCATAACTAATAAAAATACAAAAATTAGCTGGATCTCAGCTACTCAGGAGGCTGAGGCAGGAGAATCGCTTGAGCCCAGGAGGCAGAGGTTGCAGTCAGCCAAGATCATACCACTGCACTCCAGCCTGAGAGACAGAGTGAGACTCTGTCTTAAAAAAAAAAAAAAAAAAAAAAAATTACATATCTTCCTGACAAAAAGAAACTTCCAATCTTGAGTGGAGATGATAAGTTCCAAAAATGGTTACCAAGTCTGTTATAAAACTCATGAACCCTTTTATTTCTTTGGAGTAAGAAATACAACAATTCAAACAGAAATTAATAATAACCTACAAGATTGTAATTGAATCCCCACATTTTTAGTTCTATTAGTTTTATTCGAATAGAGGATCCAAAATTTAAATTAAACCTTAATGGCATCAAAGCAGATACAGAGGGGTAAGACTTAAAATGCAAGCACATGTAAGGGTCTACTCGTTCAGCACAGACACTCCTGTTGAAATGTCAACAGAACACATGAATTGGTTCTCAGTAATTTCAAAGGCTTCTAGGAACCTAAGCAAAACCATGTGACTTCTCTTTCAGCTTCTGGCTCCCTTAAAGCTTCCAACCTTCCCTCAGCCACCCATCCCAGCATTTCATCCAAGGAAGCTATGCAGAAAAGTCAGTGCCAAGGTTTTCTCTTCCATAAAAATTTCACTGTATTTTGCAGGCCAACTACATGGTCAGTATTTGGAGAAAGAATAGAATTTTCTTGTTAAGGTAATTCCATTATGACTAATAGGTTCAGAGGGGCAATAAACTGAAATGAATATGTTCTGCAAAAGTATGTGGATAGAGGGTTCTTTCTGCCCCTCCTCTATTTCAGGCTGCAATGCATCCATTTCCATTAATAACTGGAATTTATTTATTTATGTATGTATTTATTTATTTATCTGAAGTTATTACAAGTGGTATAGCCCACTTCTGAACAGTTGGCAATTCAAATTTTAGGGAAAGACACATACTGCAAATTAAGAGGCCATCTATAGAATCTGATTATCAACCAGTCTGTAGTTGTTATAATCCAAAATGACTGGCTAATAATGTTTTCTCTAGGGCATTTCTTCATCATCGACTATTAATACTTCTAAATCTCAGTGACAAAGACCTCTTCCCCAAGTTTATATTCATCTCAATGAAGATAAATCTGTATAGGACTAAAACTAAACAGATTCCTTAAATAATATCCAGTCTCTTCTTCTAACCTAACTTTTCATAATTGCTCTCTCCTTAGACTGCAGGGTTCCCATAACCTACTGCTCCTTTAATAGTTCCTTTTAATAACTGATCTGTTGTTAAGATTTGAAAAAATTAGGTCTCCCTGAATAAAATCATAATAAGTATATATACCGCTTATTATTTGTACTCTGTAGCTTTAGAGTTATTTTTTTAACCTAAAATGTAATTAGATTGTGTCTTACCACAAGACTAAACTTGGTCCAGGTAATTTTCACACAATCTGGTCTCTCTGTTCACAGCTTAAGTGATCAAAACTAATTGGACCTAAATATCTGTAACAATACAAAAATGATATAATTGCATGCTATTTTCTATGTCTTCTCTTTTAAGTGACAAGAAAAAAAGGCACAGTGATTACACAAACAAAACACTTTTTAAAAACCTGGTATTGATTTATTTAAAGTAAATCTTGTGAATCAAAAAGAAGGACTAAAAATATATTAATTTTCAAATGAACAATGTATTTTATTTTGAATCATAAGTGAAAATACATGTTACTTGTATGATATTTTATTGTTAGATTTGGCTAGTTTCCATTTCAAGACATTTAACATATAAAAATAGTATGTGTGCATGCTCATGTACATGTACATATATATTACATATGACAGAGAGGAAAATTTGAGTGACAAAAGTACTGACAAATTATAATTTTCAGAATTCCAGGACAAAAGAGCTCATAAGGACAAAACACGAGGCTCAAGTAATTAATAAAACAGTTCTGTGGCATTTTTTGTTTATGCTAATATCTTCCCAAATGACACTTTGATGTGTGCCATCTTAATATATCCTGAAGAGCACACAGGCCTGTCTTCCTACTCCCAAGCTGTAGTCCAGCTCTGGAAGAAGCTAATGATCTTCACCATTACATGAAATTTACATTTTTTAAATTTAGAAACCAATTTAGGATCACAGATTCTAGAATTTTAGCGTTAGAAGCTTTTTATGTAATCTCATCTACCCCTTTTACATAGAAACCTTACTTATTAATTATTTTAATTTAATTTTATTTTTTAGAGACAGAGTTTTGCTTTGATGCCCAGGCTGGAATGCACTGGTATGATCATAGCTCACTGCAGCCTTGAACTCTTGGGCTCCAGTGATCCTCCCACCTCAGCCTCCTGTGTAGCTGGGACTACAGACACGTGCACCAGTGCCTGCCTGGAAATTATTTATTTGTCTGAGGTCAAACTGCAAGTAAATGAAGAACCAAGACACAAATTTAGGCTCCTGATTTGGAATCCATTTTAGTGTATTTCCACAGCAGCAGGTATATCATTTGGGTTTCCTTTAGCTGCAAGTAACTGAAAATCCAACTCAAATTGGTCTGATCATTAAGGAATTTACTAAACTGGAGAACAAGGAAGTCCAGATGTAAAGTGTGATTCAGTGTTAGTTGACTGACCACCTCCACATCAGCATCAACTAATCAAGTCCTCCATAATTTAAAGGCTCCTCTTGTTCTCAGGAGACTCTGGTTTGGGGCCAGTGGAAAAGAGAGATTTTTCTTCCTCACACCACTACTGAAGAGACTTGAGCTTTGCATTGATAAGACTGCTCTTGAACCAGTTTTTCTAGACAACAGAAGACCATGTGTTAACCAACGGAATCTTGGGTTTTTATAAGAACAAGTCATTGTGTCGAGAGACGCAGTCCCATGTCAGTAACTGGTCAGTGTCATCCAAACCAGATGGATGCTACACAAAGGAGAGGGGTGGACTCACTGTTCAAGAGACAGCCACAATGTCCACTACACAAGACAATGTGGACATATAATTTTTTCACCCAAATTCTTACCAACTAACTGTCATTCCTTAGAAAGTGAATATTCTCAATTATATGGAGTTTCACATAGATTAAAAAGCAACATTATGCCAAAAAAATTCTGTCCTCTATAATATTTATAAAATTCAGAGTTATGCCTTGCCTTTCATTTTATCTGCACAAATATTTCTATTAAAAAATAGTTCAAAACACTGTAAGCATATAGCGGGATATGATAAAGATGCTATTTTTATAGAATTTGTATCAATGTTAAATGTAAGAATGAATATAAATATCAAATGTACGTGTCATTATGAACTTTCATTTAATAGCTAAAATGATTTATAAATTTAAAATATTATATTTAAAACTCTCTGATTCCATTCTAAAATTGACAATTCCCTTTATAAATGTAATGTCATACATCCTGCAATAACTTAGGATGTTTTTCATGATAGCAATTTTGAAAATCTTTCATAATATTGTAAATATCAAGAAAACAAAGCAAAGAAAAAAAGAAAAAAGAAAGAAAAAAACTCCATGTGCCAAAGCTAAATCTAATCTGTTGGCCAGGCACAGTGGCTCATGCCTGTAATCCCAGCACTTTGGGAGGCCGAGGTGGGTGGAACACTTGAGGTCAGAAGTTCAAGACCAACCTTGTCAACATGGTGAAACTCCTTCTCTACTAAAAATACAAAAAGTTAGCTGGATGTGGTGACCCCCGCCTGTAGTCCCAGCTACTTCGGAGGCTGAGGTAGGAGAATCCCTTGAACCCAGGAGGCGGAGGTTGCAGTAAGCAGAGATTGCACCACTGCACTCCAGCCTGGGGGACAGAACCAGATTCTGTCTCTAAAATATAAAATAAAATAAAAATAAATCTAATCTGTTATTGCAGTTATGTTCGGATCCACCGAGTGATCTAGGGAAGTTGGGGAATATCGGAATTGAAAATACCCAGTATGCTCCCAACAAGTTCCAGGGAGAAAAATCTATGTGAAAGTTGTAACTGATGCATCCTGATCCATGGGTTGACCCCTTTGAGACAGGTAAGAGCTGTGGGCAGGAAGGTTAGCAGGATTTGTGAGAAAAACTCTTAGCAGAAGGAGGGCGTGTCTGATTTCCCAGTATACTTAACCTAAGTAATTATCCTATTTTCTTATATTTATAACTAGTTCATATACTGCCAACAAATAAAATGATGTTTTCATAATTCCATTTTATTAAACAAAGTGTTGTGTAAATAAAATTGTAAAATGTGGGGGGGGGAATCACAGAGGGTTATCTATAAAAATATCCAAAACAATAAAATTGATTCCTAAGTAAGAAGACATCTTTGAGGATATTTCTGATTTGTTTTCCTTTAGTTCAAATTTATTTTATGTGCGTGTGGCAGGGAGGGTGTGGGAAGGGGCACCTCAGGTACACCATGCACATTCCTACAATACATTACAAATTTAAACGCTGCAATTCGCCTAATATAAGAATCAAATTAAATAAAACTGGTAATGCCATGGCAATGGTGACTATGCATTCAGAATTTTTCAAATATTTTTAACTTTATAATAGAACCTTCATTTAAACATCTGAATCGAGAGACAGATTTTGTTTCCCACGCTCCTTACAATGTATTATAAGAAATCTGCTACTACAATTGTATTTTGACCATATTAGACCTTCCCTGAAGAATACCAATCTAACTGCGGCTATTAAAAAAAAAAATTGAAGTTAAAAAAATTTCATTTCAGAAAATAGTGTACCTATCTTTTCCATTCTGTGTTCCAGAATTCAACCTGAGTTTTCTCAAATTGTTGTTTTATGAGACATTTACAAAGCTGTCTTCCACAAAGTTTCCTTCTAACATTAGAAGAAGACAACTCAATGCTTATTATATGCAAGGCTGGGCAGGTGAACAGTGAAAAGATAAGCCAGGAAGGATCCAGCATCTAAATAGCTTATGATTTTATAGAACTTTAAAATTTACAAAAAAGCATAGATATTTATTCAAGTATTAAAACATATAATCAAATAGCATAAATGTTGATAGAGTTCCTAACAAGCAATTTCATATGGAGATTAAAACATTAATGGAGAATTTTAAGTGAACGGTATCTGTGAAAATGGAGAGCAAGTTCTAAGGACTTAGGAGTAAAAATGATATGGTCTTGGAAGAAGATGATAGGAGGAAGATTCTTATATACTAACAATCACCATAAAGAATCTCTATTTTTTTTAGTAACATAAGGTCACACATGGACTTTGGGACATTAAATTGCATAAGGGAAAAATAGCATTAATGCATGTAACTAGTACAATAATGCAAAAACTAATGAAACAGAGCTGAACATCTAGAAACAAATTAGCAGATATATAATTTTTTAAATAAATGAGAACATGATTCTAGAATGATCACTTAACTATTTGGAAAGAAAAATAAAAAGATGCCCACCTTGCAGCATGTAAGCCCATTCATATAGATTAAGAGGTTAAACATGAGGGGAAATAAATCAGAAAACAATGAAAGCATAAATTAAAAGAAAAGGAAACAGCTCAAGTTAGAGATGGTCTGTTTAAGCAAAACTTCAAATATAGAAACTACAAAGAACTGGGTGTAGTGGTGTGCACCTGTAGTCCCAGATACTAGAGAGGCTGAGGCAGGAAGATCACTTGAGGCAGGAGGTGGAGGCTCTACTGTGCTATGATAACCACTGTACTCCAGCCTGGGCAACATAAGAGCCTTCTCCAAAAAAAAAAAGAAAAAAAAGAAAAAGGAAAAAAACTATAAAGAAAAAGGTAAATCTACACAAATTTAAAAATAAAAGATAAAAGCAAACTGAAATAAATATGAGCATCACGTATCTTGTATCTCCAAGGGCGAGACCATGCAGGTTAATGTAGAAACTGGCTTAGAGGTTTAACTGATACATTAAAAAACCACTGGAGTTTGCCCAGGTATTTACTATTTTCCCTCTTGTTGTGAGGGTTAATACAGTTGTCTTAGTCCATTCAGGCTGCTGTAACAAAATACCCTAGACTGAGTCATTTATAAACAAAGAAATTTATTTCTCAGTTCTGAAGGCTGGCAAGTTCAAGACCAAGGCACCAGTACATTCAGTGTCTGATGAGGGCTTGCTCTCTGCTTCAAAGATGGCACCTAGTTACTGAGTCCTCACATGGCAGGAGGAGCTGAAGAGCAAGGAAGGTAAACTCTCTCCTTCAAGCCCTTCTGTACAGCGCTAATGGCATCCAGGAGAGCAGAGCCCTCATGACCTTATTACCTGTGAGAGGCCTCACCTCATAATACCATCACCTTGAGGGTTAAGTTCCAATATAGGAGTTGTGGAGAAACATCAACATTCAGGCCATAGGAATAGTATATATGTGGCTTGGGTTGTCTTTGTAATGTACATAAGACCCTGAGAGGTCCAGCCCTTCAGAACTTAACAAAACTCAAATTTTTACGCATCCATTTTTTTTTTAAATAGCCCCAACAAACAGATTTTTAGCCACACAGGAGACTGCCTCCTTTGTGTATTCCTTAAAACTCCACCCACATCTACTAGCAATAGATCAAATAAGCCCGGGGCGATGAAAATCCCAAGGCCCTGCTGCCATGCAGAGCTCTTTGATCCACAACCACCCCCAGTGCTGCTTAATCACTGCACATAGACATGTAAGCCTCCTCTCTGATTCCCCTCTTCCCAGGAGCTCCCCTTGCCCTCCTCCTCTTCTCGATGGTGGTCATGGCCATAAGCTTCCAGATGGCTTCATGCTGTGAGAGACTTCCTCGCTCTTGCATTCCTGTTCAAGGGCTGCCCAATAAAACCTGTTTTGTGGTAATGCCTCTCATGGTCATATCTTTCCTCAATCAGGCCCCAAATCCTTTGAACCCCCTACACAGCCCAACCCTGTGCAATCCTGCAGTCCTAGCCAAGGTACCTTTCCCAGACTGAAAAGTGTCATGATATGCAGTACGTACTCTTGAAATAGTTATTCCCTTATTTACTTATAACATATAAGTAACTCTGAAATTCTTCAGCTCTTAAATGAAGTACGTAACTGTTATAAAAAAAGTAAATGCTGAGCAGGGGGTGATAAGGAGGTGTCAGGGCAGTACTATCCATATATTATGGTAGCTTTGGGTTGCAGCACATTGGCTGGATCCACTATGATTAGTGGACTATATGTAACATTTTAAAATTGAACCCTTTGAAGAGTAAATGTGAGTAGCATATATGAACGCATGGGACAGGACTTTTCCTGGTAAACTGGAACATATGGTTACCCTAATTATTTTGACAATGACATATTTAAAAACTTGATACTGGAGGCCATGGGACCCTCTATGAAAAACACAGGTTATGAAGACTCTTTCCTACTTGGTGATGTCTTACGTTAAAGTACGCAACACTGGCACAGCTGATAAAATACAGTTGGGGGTATGCACATGAATGAATCATTCTATTATTTGTAGATCAATGATTAAAAAGCCACAGATGGATTCCAGTGAATTACTCCTGAGGAACTGAAAGCATTTTCTTGGGCTATCCAATGGCAATATTTGTTGTTCTCCTTTTCCCTTGTCTCTTCTTCCTCTCTGTCTCTGCTCTGCCACGCCCCCTTGTAATACACCACTGTTTCGTACTTTTTCTCCTTTTTTTCCTTCTCTCCCATATCTGCTTATTTAACATTTGTGTGTCTGCCAGTAGCTTTTATAGATATTACTTGCTATCTAGGGGCTTTAATCACCTAGACAGCAACATAAAGTTGTTTTGGAAGAAAGGGTCCCAAGCGATTGAGAAACACCCTTTCTCTGGGAAGTCTGTTTTTCCTGTCTTATCACTGTCCCTGTTGGTGCTTGTCCTCTGCTCTCTTACCCTCATACTCGCTATTTTTCTTGCTGAAAAAGAAACAGATTTATAATCACTCGCAGGAAACTCTGATTCTCACATATTTACTAAAACACACACACACCCCAAAACTACCTACTCAAAATAATTTTAAAACTCATTGAAATGGACACAAGGTTTATCCAGGCAAAAACAGATATACAAGTATCTTATAGCTTTTTATAATCTAAGCAAAATACAAAGTTGTACAATCTTTCCAAAGTGATTTTCTGAAGTCCTGTTTCTAGCTTGGTTCATTGTCCTAAGTTTCCCTACTTTCATATTCTGAGGCAGACACTGATTATTGACGTAGCAAAGCCTGGTGGGAGAAGGCAGATTAGATCATGTCTCAATACCTCATCTGGTCTTAAAAAGCTTTAGTTTATTCTCACACAAAAAAAGAAAGAAAGCAAAAAGAAAAATGTTTTATTTTCTTTTTTTTAATCACCAATTGGTTTTTGCTTCTTTAGCCAAGTTACTTTGTCCCCATGCCTATTTAAGTGTGTGGAGATTTTTCCCCCCATTTACAAAGATGAAATAGACTCCATGGGCTGCTTGGAACACATTTAACTTATCTATAGGTTTCAAAAGCACAGCAGGTCCAGGGCATGAAAAAGGCAGGCAGGTGCTCTTTGCATCCTGCACCATTTAACAAGCACGCACAGATTTAAAGAGTAATTTCTTCTCTTCTCAATCATCAGCTGATCTAATTTATAGTTCATTTATTATTAATTATCACTGTCTTCACATTCTTTTTAATCATATATGTCTCCAACCAAGGGTAATGACAATTAGCGCCAATGTATTATTTTTCCTTTTCCTGTAGAATTCCAGTAAGTAACTTCAAGTCTAATTGCACAGTCCCTGACATACAAATATATTAGCATGTGGTAAATCTAGCTTAGACTTTTGGCTTCTTCTTTTCTTTCTTTTTTTTTTTAATACACTAGAGTCCCTTGTTTATTTCCAAAAACAAATTTCTTAGTAACTTAAATTATATTTAGGCAGGCAGTTTTAGCAATAAGGTCACTGGCCTCAAGGATGGATGTTATCCTTGGCTGGGATGTTCTGGAGAAATAACCACATTGAATTCTATTATATCTCCTCCCACATGCACCCCAATGCACAGTTGTGTTTGTTTTCCATTTTCTTTCTCATACACAACATCTGTCCTATATGCTTCACTGCACTGTTTTTTAGTGAAGAAAATGCAGCTGAGAAAGGAAATGAATATCAAATTCAGAGCTCCCAGGAGAGGTGACCCAAATTCTCAAATGATAGCATTATGATGCACTTTCTACTTTCAGATCTGGGATACCATAGTATGATTCCTTAATGATTTAAATGTCATGTACTTTGGCAAGCTCTCTCTGACAACCCTTTTAAAAATGATGCAGACAATTAAAATAATGAGAGAACAAATTATCAGCCATCTAACAACAAACATAAAAGTATAAAGCTCTGAGAGTTACAAGGGCTAAGAATAGGGCTTGTTTATCTCCTTACTTTTTTTTGTTTTTTTTTGAGACAGAGTCTCGCTCTGTCGCCCAGGCTGGAGTGCAGTGGTGCGATCTGCAAGCTCCGCCTCCCGGGTTTACACCATTCTCCTGCCTCAGCCTCCCGAGTAGCTGGCACTACAGGAGCCCACCACCATGCCCGGCTAATTTTTTTTTTTTTTTTGTATTTTTAGTAGAGATGGGGTTTCACTGTGTTAGCCGGGATGGACTCGATCTCCTGACCTCGTGATCTGCCCGCCTCGGCCTCCCAAAGTGCTGGGATTACAGGCGTGAGCCACCGCGCCCGGCCCCAAGTTTTTTATATAAAGGTCTTCAAGTGCCATAGAGTAAACTTTCCTGCAATTCTCTTCTTAGCATCCATTCCAGTATTAAAACTTGTTTTGTTTTTCAGTATTTCTTAAAAGATGTTATTATTTGTGACTCCCTTTTATCCTACCCTTGTCCTCTAAAAGTTATATTATGAATAATTTTAATAAAATTACAGGAAGAGAAGATTGTTTGGGGCAGTTAAGGTAACTGAAGGGACTATAGAAGGAGCACTCACATTAAAAGATGTATTATTTTGCTTCTATACACACACACACACACACACACACACACACACACACATTTGAATGCTTAGCTTCTTTTAACAAAGAGTTATTGAATTGATACATTCTGTTGAGTCATCCAGGCAGACTAAAAATTATTCCTGCTAAAATATTTGTATCTCACAAGGCATACTTGTCTCTGAAGACACTGATTTAATATTCCATATCTGTAAGGAATCTGATGCTAATTGAGCAGGTTTTCTTCTAGTATTAATTTTAATTATTTAGAACAGCATGAAGCTCTTCGTAATTTCCCACCTGACAACTGGGACCCAAAAGAACAGCTGCCTATGGTTTTATGCTCCTATGAGCATGCTGGATATCAGAGTCAATAAGTTTAGGCATGAATTCTCTGTGTGTTCCATTGAGGTTGTGAAAATCAAGCCTTTTGGAGGAGTTCAGAGGAAACCTGCAACTGAGAATGATGTCCATGCCACTGTGCAAAGTGTTATGACAGTCATAGATCTCAAAGGAGCTACAGGAAGCGAGGCTCCCTGCTGTAATGAACGCAGCCCATAGTTAAATAATAAATCACAGTCATGTATCTAGTCTGCAACAGCCACTACCTATCAGAAAGTCACCATGACCACATAGTGCAAATATTTAGTTCCACACAGTTATAAATCTGGATGGGATCCAAATAAAGTAGTTATCTATTTGTCCTTTATAAAACAGAAAATGAATGCTATTTGTTTATGGTGAATTGAAAGTCAAAATATTTGAATTTATCAAATGCAAAAAAGTACAATAAGACCTAGTCATATACCTCCACATTTAAATATACCCCCCAGCATGACTTTAAGAATCAAGTATCCAACATATACATAATTTAGTACAAACATCTTTTGACACCTCACATTTTTTTCTTTTGCAAAAGAACAAAAGGCTTCTTGTACAAACACACACCATTGTATCTGCTCTCAGATATGCCAATTCGCAATACAATGAACAAGATGAATTATTCATTTGACAACTGAAATTGTTTGTGGACGTAAGTTTGCAGAGGCCTAGAATAAAAAGGTAGGTAAAAATGGGACTAGAATTGAACACAGTAAAAAGGCATTAACCATTCCAAATAATTTAACCAACTACATAATTAATTTCTAACTTCAAGGTATGATAAAGGTCTTTCATTAAAAAATTAAATATGACTCTCACTGACTTAAGGCATAGAGGGAAAAAACACCATTTAACCTAACAGAGCTCAAACACAGTTCATTTATCTTGAATCTCTATCAACAAATACTTGGCTCTGAAACCTCACTCATCTTTGAGAAAACTCTAATATTTACGGCCTTTTTAAACGTGACTGAAAAGGGAGGAACTTGTCTTTCTAATGTTTATATCCCTAGTAGTTGGCAGAGTGCTTGGCATATGCCAGTGATCAGTAAATATTGTTGAATGAATAACCTTATCAATGGCACCAGGTATAGGGACATGACATACTGTCCCCAAGACAAGTATTTTCCACTGAAAAGACTGCCTCATCTTACCCTTAACTTTTTTGTTGCTGTTGTTCACTTAAAGTAGAACCTACATTACTGTTGTGATTTCTGAAGTTCAAGCTGAAGGCTCTTTAGAACAAATTAAAGCAGAGAGAGGCTAGAAGTTGAAATATCATTTCAGAAGTTGTTCCTATTAGGTTGGTGCAAAAGTAATTGCGGTTTTTGCCATTACTTTTAATAGCAAAAACCACAGTTATGTTTGCACCAACCTAATATATTCCAGGTAAGAGTTAATGAAGTTCTGAACTAAGCGAAAGGAAGACTAAAGGACAGAGGCAAGCATAATACAGGAAAAATCAAAAGGATGCCTCAAATATTTTCATGAGGAGGTAAAGGAGGAGGAGGCATTAATTGTTGTTATTTTAATTTTAGGTTATGGCAAAAATAGACAATTCGACAAGGAAACAGGTACATCTTTCAGCAGTAATATACTAAGTTGAAATAAGCACAAACCTAGACAAGACGTAAGAGTCCAAGCTAATCTTTGAGGGTAACACATTGTTTTATATAAGAAAGCAATATAAATTCATTTCCAATTGCAAACAGTTTCATTTTATTTTTTATTAAATCATATTTTCCCCATATAATATAGGTGTTCAATTTAAAAGTCAATGAGTACTACAGGTCGTATATTAAAAAAAAAAAAAAAGCCATGAATTTTTTTTTTTGAGAGGGAATTTCGCTCTTGTTGCCCCAGCTGGGGTGCAATGGCATGATCTCGGCTCACCACAACCTCTGCCTCCTAGGTTTAAGCGATGCTCATGCCTCAGCCTCCCGAGCAGCTGGGATTACAGGCATGCACCACCATGCCGGGCTAATTTTGTATTTTTAGTAGAGATGGGGTTTCTCCATGTTGGTCAGGCTGGTCTCAAACTCCCGACCTCAGGTGATCCACTCACCTCGGCCTCCCAAAGTGCTGGGATTTCAGACGTGAGCCCCCGCACCCAGTGAAAGCATTATTTTTAAAAAGCCTGCCACCTTCCCCACTCTTAATTCACTTCTAGAGCCAGTCATTTTCTACTTTCTTTTCTTTTTTTTTTTTTCCTTTGAGACAGGGTCTGGCTCTGTTGCCCAAGATGGAGTACAGTGGTGCAATCACACCTCACTGCAGCCTCAAACTCCTGGGCTTAATGGATCCTCCCACCTCATCCTCCAAACCCCATCCCCTACTATCTGGGACTACAAGTGCAGGCCACTTGTACATATAATTCTATATCGATATAGAATTATAATTCTATATCGATATAGAATTCTATATCTATAAAATTCTATATTATATATTTAAAATATTCTATATATAATATATATACTATATAGAATATAGTGTATATATAATTCCTTTATATATAGTATATATAATATATAAATATACATCTATTTAGATATATAGATATCTTTATACATCTATTTAGATATATAGATATCTTTATACATCTATATCTATCTACATCTACACTAGATATATAATATCTAGATATATAATATATAAAATATATATTTTTATTATATATATTAAATATATAATATATAAAAATATATTATATATATTTTTATATATAGATAGATCTATATATAGATAGATCTATATATGTGATATATAGATATATATAAATATATATATTTATATTTATATATACTAGATATATAATATATAAAAAATATATATAAAATCTATATTTTTATATCTATCTGTGTGTGTGTGTGCATATATATATATTTTTTTTTCTTTTTTTTCTTTTTGTAGAGACGTGGTCTCACTATGTTGCCCAGGCTGGTCTCAAATTCCTGGGCTCTGGTGATCCTTCTGCCTCAACCTCCCAAAGTGCTGAGATTACAGGCGTGAGCCACTGCACCCAGCCCAGAGCTAAATGTTTTCAGTTATGTTAGCTATTTTTGTTATATACTTCCATTTTTAAATATAACACTCTAAAACTGCTATACATTTTTAAAATTTAGATAATATCCACAAAATTGTTTTATCAAAATACATATTTATTTTTCTTTTGTTACTTTCCCTTCCCCACTACAAACACACACATACATACACACATGCACGCACACACACACACACACATTTTTCTCTTCCTCAATTTTTCCAGTTTAGCTAGTGGCAACTTTTAGGTAGTTCTATAATTCAGTGCTGACATAATTATGATAATGAAAATATTACTCATAGCTAAGCAATGTAGTGTGCTGTGACACTTCCTTTATTTTACAACTTATTGATTTCCCTGGAGTTATACATTCTCAGGTTCTCTAAAGGAAAACTTAGTCACTTCAACAGGATCAAATATATTCAGCAATCCATCTGCCTCATGTTTTCCTTGGAGACATAAGTCCTGGATAACTCCATCACCCTGCACCTATTTGATGGGATTAAACTCCTTGCTTGCTGCTCTGCTGACATCAGTAATTGCCTTGCTTCTTCGTTTCCAATTTCCTGTTTCTTTAAAACAATCCATGTATTCCTTTTACTGTTTGTTTCCTTGTTTTGTTGGAGCACTTCCTCCAGTAGCTTCCTGAGAAAAGGTGCATCGGGAAAACAATTTTTTGAAAATTTACGTGCTTTACCTTACACTTGATTGATAATTTGGATATACAATTCTAGTTTGGAAATTATCATTTCTCAGAATTTTTAAGGTATTTCACATTGTCTTTAGCTTCCAGTGTTATTAAAAAGTCTACTGCCTTTTTGACTATTATTCCAATGTACTGTCATTTATCTTTCTCTCTGGAGCTGTAATATAATTTCTTCAGTGTTCCCAAACCTCTTGTCAACGTCCTGTTCATTATTTCACTTCCTACTTATGATGTCTTTCAATCTGGCTTCCAAGTCCATTAGTTATGGGAAATTATACATGGGTATATATAATTTAAATAAACAAATTTTATATGAATATATGAGTAAGCATTCTTACTATATACAAATATATGAGAATCACAAATACATATGTATGCATATATGTATATGTGAGTATATACAAATATATACACACACACACATACACATTAAAAAATAATTTCTTCCCCTTGATTTTTTTTCTTTCTTTTCGGAAACCTTATTTTATACTTCATAGACTGATCTAATTTCCTATGACTTTATCTTCTATTTTTTATTTCTTTGCCTTTTTTCTAGGAGAGTCTCCTTAACTTTACCTTTCTTCACTTCTACTTAATGTTGCAGTTATGAATTTTTATAAATTATCTCAATGGCCCTTTTATATAGCACTCTAAATCTTGTTTTACACATGAAAGATCTCTTATCTAAGGATGTATAATATCATTTTTTGAAGTTTTCTTCAGTTTCCTGCATTGTCTCGGTTGCCTCTGTTTTTTGCTTTTGTCTTTTTTTTCTTTTTATCCTGTTTGTCATTTTGACTTTCTCATTAAGTTCAAAGCTTTCTTCAATCATACATAATCTTTGTTTATCCATATTTAAGAGTAAGACTTTGAAAAGCTAGTTGAAAGCCCATTCTGCATGGGCAGGTTTGCTAACAGGTAAGTAGGGTGTTCAGTTGGTGACCTGGCCATTTTGTTTGCAAATCCCAAAATGTCAGTCTCTGAAGAGCTCCTCTCTTGTGCCAATAGCTGCAGAAATTACGTTTACAAACTCCTTTCTAATTCTAGGATTCAAGAAGGGAGGAGCCTGGGTATCTCACACCTCAAAGAAGAGGCTTTATTTAATTCTAAAATAGTTTCCTGTTTTAGAATGATGCCTCATACATCTCTTAGCTCCAGCTATCTCTGAGTCCAGAGCTTCTTGGGTTCAACCCAGGGCTGAGTTCAGTATGGGAAGGATCTGGGAATATAATTTATTTTAAACACTTTCAATGAATCTTTATGTTTTCAGCTATATTTTGCACCCAGCTTTTTAAAGGCAGCTTGTGGCTCCTGTTTCTAAAATCTTCCAGAGATATGAGGTGCAAATGTGATTATTTCCCAATAGAAATATTTATTATATATTATCCCAGTAGAGGCCCTTAGCTTTTTGCTCTTTCTGCTCTTAGAAGACAATGATCTCTCTTCTGGCTCTACAATTTTGTTAGCATTTCTTATCTGACACTATCTTCTCTTTTATCATCTTTATCCTCACAGATTTAAGTCTTCATTTTTCCTTTATTTTATTCCAATGGGGCATTTGAAAGAAAATAAAGATAGATATGCTTGTTCAAGCCACCATGCTTAATCAAAACTCTAGTAAACTGAACTATTTTAACATAACATAAATTGTTCGGCTATATTTTAATATGGCTAAATATCTAGTCAAGATATTCTTATTTCTTACTACTAAAAGTACTTAAAATTGACAGTAAAAATAACTTGGCCTTTATTACATAAAATTCAAATATTTTTGGTTTGATGTAGAAGTCAGCTGTAACATAGATGCAGGATGGAAATTTTAACTTGATATTAGGCTCCTTTATCACAGGTCTTCTCTTGAATCTAGGAATTCGGTTATTCACACTTGCAATTTCTATATGGTGACATGACTCATCATTTATTTTTACTATAATTAAGTTTTCTGCTGCAACAGAAATATGACTTTTTGTACTCTGAGATGAGCTATTTTATTCTGGAAGGAAAAATAAATTTCACAATAAAAAGCAGATTGACTAATGGTTAATGATAAGTCATGTCATTAAGTATCTCCCAATGTTAAAAATATGTCATGAGTCATGAAATCTAGTAAGCTAAAATAATTACAGAGGAATCCCTGCAACAAAACAGATGATAAACCAAATTTAAAGCAGTTATATATCTGAAGCCCAACCATGTAGAAGAAAATTTAAACCAACAGCCTACAAAGTAAGTATCAATCTTATCATTCTGAAACTTTGTAAAGGAATTACACTAATAAATTTGAGTTAATTTTTTAATTTATATTTTTCTAGCTACATTTTATGTTGTTAAAATGTTTTACTTTTACATGATATATCCAATTTATAAACATCTACATGACAAAAAAAGAAAGTTAAATCAGTCCAAGACATATCAACTGCAGAAAACTAATACAGGGCTCATAGTTATAATTTGTCAATATTTTACTTGCTAAGTTAAAAAGGAGAAAGACAAAAGACTTGCCATCTAATTATTAATTACACAAAAATCTTTCAGGAAAGGAAGTGAAACTTGAGACATCGTTTTTGGAGAACACCTATATTTCCAATACTTCATTTTGCCCATTTCCTCAAATATTCTATAAAGGAAAAAGAACCTTAAACATAAATGTTAATGTAAAAGGTTTCTTGTTACAGTAAAATAACAAAGTGGGGAGATATTGATCAAAAGGTATAAAATTTCAGTTAGACAGGTGGAATAAGTTCAAGAGACACAAGGTGAGTATAATTAATAACAATTTATTGTATACTTGAAAATGTCTAAGAAAGTAGCTTGTATTTTTTTTTTTTTGAGACAGGGTCTCACTCTGTCGCCCAAGCTGGAGTACAGTGGCGCAATCACTGCTCATTGCAGCCTTGACCCCCCAGGCTCCAGCGATCCTCCTGCCTCAGCCTCCCCAGTGGCTGAGATTACAGCTGTACACCACTATGCACTATACCTCGCTAATTTCTTTCTTTCTTTTTTTTTTCTTTTAAGAGATGGGGTTTCACCATGTTGCCTAGGCTAGTCTCGAACTCCTGAACTCAAGCGATCCTCCCATCTCAGCCTCCCAAAGTGTTGAGATTACTCAGCCTCCCAAAGTGTTGAGATTAGTGATTTATAGTGTATAAACATAAATGAGTCACTATTGCTATAACACAGGGCCAGTTTGTGACAAAAAAAAAAGTGTGAGGATACTGGGTTAACATGTAGATTCTGATACCCAAAGGACTATAAATCATGCTGCTATAAAGACACATGAACACGTATGTTTATTGCGGCACTATTCACAATAGCAAAGACTTGGAACCAACCCAAATGTCCAACAATGATAGACTGGATTAAGAAAATGTGGCACATATACACCATGGAATACTATGCAGCCATAAAAAATGATGAGTTCATGTCCTTTGTAGGGACATGGATGAAATTGGAAATCATCATTCTCAGTAAACTATCGCAAGGACAAAAAACCAAACACCTCATGTTCTCACTCATAGATGGGAATTGAACAATGAGAACACATGGACACAGGAAGGGGAACATCACACTCTGGGGACTGTTGCGGGGTGGGGGAAGGGGGGAGGGATAGCATTAGGAGATATACCTAATGCTGAATGACGAGTTAATGGGTGCAGCACACCAGCATGGCACATGTATACATATATAACTAACCTGCACATTGTGCACACGTACCCTAAAACTTAAAGTATAATAATAATTAAAAAAAAAAACATGTAGATTCTGAAGAGGAAAAACTATTTCTGTAAGTGACCCCTTTAAAATGGGATTAACATCTCAGAGCATTTCTGACATCCGAATCAGTTAGCTCAATGTGTCTGCTAAAATTTTGCAGCCTTGGGCACTATAGCTGTTACAAGTAAGTGAAGCTTTATGCTACTGCAATTAATTAGCAGAAAGACACCTAATTATAAACCTCTTAGAATAGCAGGAAGGATTTTAGAGAAATTTAGACCCAAGATGCTTAATTGCACATTTTATTTAAACAAGTTGTATGTCTCCTTTTAAAGCTATCTGTTAAACTCCTATTCACTTCAGTATGGACTGATTTAAAATGCAGCTATAGCATTCCCTGACCCCATGCCATCCCACAACAAAACAGAGTTAATCATTCTCTCCTATGTATTACCACTGTATGTGGACATTCTTTATGATTTCATTTGTTATATAGTATTCTGATTAATTGCATATGTAGGTGAATATGAATTTTTGCCACTCCAACCTGTAGGAGCCTAGCAAATAGTTGGCATTCAATAAATAAGAATCTATGAGATTTAAAATTAAAAGGATTTATGCATGTAGTTGGTGACTGCCTATGTATCTGCAAAAATCATTTTAAATGTCAGGGTTTAGGATACTATTATTTCTCATTAGTAAAAACTCATATTGGCGGGGAGTGGTGGCTTATGCCTGTAATCTCAGCATTATGGGAGGCGGAGGTGGGAAGATCGCTTAAGTCCAGGAGTTGGAGACCAGCCAGGGAAACATAGTGAGGCTCTGTGTCTACCAAAAAAAAAAAAAAAAAAAAAAAAATTAGCCAGGTATGGTGGCACACATCTATAGCCCCAGCTAATCAGGTGGCTGAGGCAGGTGAATGAATCCCTTGAGCCCAGGAGGCTGAGGCTGCAGTGAGCAAGGTCGTGCCACTGCACTCCAGCCTGAGCAACAGAGACCCTGTCTCAAAAAATAAACAAATAGAAAAAACTCACATTAAAATGTATTACCCTATTTAATAGTATAACAACAATCTTGATCATTGATCTGTAACATGAATGTCTCCTGGCAGCTAATACTAAGATACCACACCTGTTAATACTTCCTTTGTGGGGGGAGATGTTGAATGGCAAGCTATCACTTGTTTTCAGTTGGTAACTTCACATAATTAGAAGTGTGTTTCTTCTAATATTACCAATGCTGTTGCACAATAGAAAGAATGTATACAATTTGTAGACTAGCAGAGTCAACATTCCTTTTCAAAAAAAATTTTTGTAAAAAAGTCATTGTAATTATAGAATAAAAAGGGTTTCTATTAAACAAATGAACAAACAGAATTCTAGGATACAATGGCTACGTTTTTATTCCTGAGATCACCTTTAGCCTTTTTAATGTAGTTGTAGTCTTTACCAATATCTGTGCCTTATAACATTGGCCAGCTTATTCTATATAGCACATTTTCTTGGGAATGTATTATATTTCAGATGCTGGAGGCTGTTAATAAAGATTTTACTATAAAACAAAACGACTAATAAGCAATCTTAATAAATAATTATGTATTCATCCACCTTCATAAACAAGAAACAACCTTAAGTTTCCTCAATTATTTTCTTGTAATACGGATATATAAGAAGCAGAATTTATTGCCAAGGGGTGGTTTTAATTAGAATCAAGTAGAGTAAAATTGAAATTTTAATAATTTTTTAAAAACCTTTCCTCATTAAATATATTAAAACAAAATTATTATGAAATACATCACTAACTAGAAAATGTTATTCAAAAACTCTTCAATACAAAAATGTTTGCAGCTATTGTAGAATTATACACACCGACTGGTAATTATTGAGTAATATTTAGTATGAATTTTTAAAATGCTCCAGTAGCAAATAATGACTCTAAAAACTAGTATCATGTAAATGTTTTCCACCAATAGGGAATCCCAGGGCAATGCAGACATTCCCATCTACCACCCAGTTCTTTGATTTCTGAGTGTACTAGTATATATAAAAGGACTAGAACTGTAACTGCCACTAAAAGATAACATTACAGAGTGGCATTATGAAGTCATCTGAGATTCCACTGTCTTCTTTCTTCTTCTAAGCTTATATATTTCAGAAACATAATCCAGGTTTTCCATTCTTTTCTATAATATTGTTAACATCTGAATGACCGTATTTACTCTCTTTACTTAAAATTGGTGACCAGAACTTATGAATAAGTTTCCTTTCTTTACTTTAAATTTCATATTTATAGTTCAATCATACTATGAAATTTATTTTTAAAAAGAGTGCAAATGTCTTTTTTTTTTTTTTAAGAGACAAGGGTCTCACTATGTTGCCCATGCTGGAAAGCAATGGCTTTTCACAGGCACACTTCAGCCTCTAACTCCTAGGCTTGAGTGTTCTGAGTAGCAGGGGCTATAGGCGCATGCTACCACACCCAGCTCCAAATGTCTAATGAGGCAAGTTTATGTACATATAATTCAATTAATAAGTAAAAATAGGCCGGGCACAGTGGCTCACGCCTATAATCTCAGCACTTTGGGAGGCCGAGGTGGGCGGATCACCTGCGGTCAGGAGTTCAAGACCAGCCTGGCCAATATGGTGAAACCCCGTCTCTACTAAAAGTACACAAATTGGCCGGGCGTGGTGGCGGGTGCATGTAATCCCAGCTACTCGGGAGACTGAGGCAGGAGAATCCTTTGAACCGGGGAGGCAGAGGCTGCAGTGAGCTGAGATCACGCCATTGCACCCAGCCTGGGTGAAAAGAGCGAGACTCTGTCAAAAAAAAAAAAAAAAAGTAAAAATAATAGTAAATACCAAGTCATTTTTTACTCACCTGGTTAATTGGGAAAAAAAAATTCTCTGCTTATCATACAAACATGTTGTTAACATTAAAGACATACTATGTACAAAATGAAAGTTGATCATATACCAAATTATTCTCAGTAGGTTTTTTTGTTTGTTTTGGGGGGTTTTAGGGAGAAAGTAGGTTAAAGTGGAAACTTTTACTTTCTCATTATTGTTTTGGGTATTTTGCAATCAGCATTTTCTCAGAAAGAACAGTGAAGATAGTTTTACTTAAAAAGTTAGATGAGAATGGCTGGGTGCGGTGGCTCACGTCTGTAATCCCAGCACTTTGGGAGGCAGGAGTGGGCAGATCACTTGAGGTCAGGAGTTCGAGACCAGCCTGGCCAACATGGTGAAACCCCATCTCTACTAAAAATACAAAAATTAGCCAGGCGTGGTGGTAGGCACCTGTAGTCCCAGCTACTGGGGAAGCTGAGGCACAAGATCACTTGAACCTGGGAGGCGGAGGTTACACTGAGCTGAGATCATGTCACTGCACTCCAGCCTAGGCAACAGAGCAAGACTCTATCTCAAAAAAAAAAAAAAAAGTTAGATGAGAGTAGAATGCATAATTTCAAAGTGTCTTCACTTCACTATCACATCTTTCAAACTTCAGTTTTATTATATGAGTAGCAATCAGATAAACATAATTGATTTCTACAGCCCTAAATTAATAGGATTATAGAAAATCAGAAAATATTAGAGAGCTTATAAAGGGAAAAAACCTATATTTTACTCATTAACCAACTTATTCATTCAGTAAATATTTATAGAACACCCACTATATATCAGGAACGATGTTAGGCCCAACAGGTATGAAGATAAATATGAACTGAAATGGGCGCGTATGGATTTTACCAGTTAGGAGACAATGAAACAAACAAAAACTTGAATCATGACCGATCTGTGATCATTGCTCTGAAGATAATACAGGTAGGTGTCTCTCATTCAGAATAACAATAGGGGTGGGTGTCTGATTTAAACAACATCGTCAAGCAGGCTATTTTGATCTTCACACTGAGACCTAAGGTAAAGAAAGAAAAAGTAAATAAAGCACGAAGTTAGGGAATTTTTTTTTTAAGTAAAGGGAACAGAATGTGCAAATACTCTCAGACAGCAATAAAGATAAAGAAGGCCTGTGGACTGAAGCATTGTAATGGGTAAAGAGGAATTAAATCAGAAAGGAAAGGACAAACTAGATCATAGAAGGACTCATAGCCCTTAATAGGATTACAGATACCATTTTAAATGAATAATATTTTATACGTAAAAGAATGAAAATTTGAAAAGCTCTTTCATCATGTAATATACAAACCATGTTGTCCACATAAAACAAAAGTAAAAGCCATGAGTAATTCATATAAAACTAAAGGTTATCAGAATATATATGAAAAGCCTCAGTAATTTGCTATATTTGCTACCGTAAGTATGCAGGAAAGACCATGTTTTCACAGTAATTATTTCTAACTCCTAAAGTTTAAACACGTCAACCATGTTTTCCAACTTAAGGACATTATTAAATGATAGTCAACCAAAGGAAGAAGGCTTCTTAAATTAGAATACTTAGAATAGTGAGGTTACAGCAATTCAGAATACTGAGAATTCAAATCTAATCCACAAATCTGTCTTCTATAATAAAAATAAATAATGTAAAACTAAAATATTATAAATATAATAATCTAGATTTAGTATTTACTTTCTAAAATTAAAATATGCGTGAAACTGATATAGTCTCATTTTTCAAAACAGTCTGAATACTTTAATATAAGGAAAAACTAGGATCTGTATTACTGGTGTTAGTGATTATAATGAAGCAGTTGATAACTTCCAAATTTAAATTTCACAAAGGAAGATTTGTTAGGTTGATAAATAACATCCAAATGTAGACATTGCAATTTAATTAACATATTACAGTTTCATTGAATTTGCATAAAAGTTGAGATGGTAAGAATGTGAATGACTAAAGAAAGGTTTGCTATCTTTTTTTAATTTATTTTTCTTTTTGATGGCGGGGGAGGGATGGAGTTTCACTCTTGTTGCCCAGGCTGGAGTGCAAAGGAATGACCTCAGCTCACCGCAAACTCTGCCTCCTGGGTTCAAGCAATTCTCCTACCTCAGCCTCCCAAGTAGCTGGGATTACAGGCATGCGCCACCACACCCGGTTAATTTTGTATTTTTAGTAGAGACGGGGTTTCTCCATGTTGGTCAGGCTGGTCTTGAACTCCAACCTCAGGTGATCCGCCTGCCTCAGCCTCCCAAAGTGCTGGGATTATAAGCGTGAGCCACCGTGCCCAGCCAGGTTTGCTATCTTAAGAGAGTAACCCAATGTCTTAGGGTGATCATTTTTCTCTTATAAACTTGATGAATCAAAATATAAATATATACATAGTACAAAATGTAAATGTTGCCCTAACCATACACAACGAAAAAAGAGTTGTTAAGAGTAGCTTGATAATGATCCTTTTTATTCCCACCAACATAGATGGTAGAAAATTTGATACCTAATTTTCAAGTATTTCAAATATGAATTCTTTTTTAAATAAATTTTCTTACATAAATAAGGGATGTTTGCATTAAATTGTGTATTAATTTTGGTAAATAATACACACACACACACACACACACACACACACACACACACACACATAGAGAGAGAGAGACAGAGGCTCTCCCAGGCTGGAGTGCAGTTGTGCAATCTCAGCTGACTGCAACCTCTGCCTTCTGGGTTCAAGAAATTCTCCTGCCTCAGCCTCCCGAGTAGCTGGAATTACGGGTGCCTGCCACCATGCCTGGCTAAATTTTTGTATTTTTTAGTAGAGATGGGGTTTCACCATGTTGGCCAGGCTGGTCTCGAACTCCTGACCTCAGGTAATTCACCCACCTCAGCCTCCCAAAGTGCTGGAATTATAGGCATGAGCCACCGCCTGGCCTACGCTTTTATATTTTATAGACAGAATATATTTAAATTTTCTTTCCTAAATAATGTTCCATGAACCTATAAACTCTATTGAAATAACAAAATCTACATATAACTGTACCCCTTATTAGAGTTCTAGATTTTGGGGGTTTTTGGTGATTTTTCATATAAAAAATGTTTTATGTATTAATAAAATTTCCATTTATGTAATTGACACATAAATTTCTAAATGGTAACCCCTAATGTAGGCAAAGTGTGAGAGAACAAGTACATCCAAACATTAGACCATACTTTCACGGCCCAATTTGATGATGTGTAATAAAACGCCTTGAAATACACAAATCCTCATCTCCATGATTTCTAATTCTTTTTTTTTTTTTTTGGAGACGGAGTTTCGCTCTTGATGCCCAGGCTGGAGTGCAATGGTGCAATCTCGGTTCATGGCTGGCGACCTCTGCCTCCCGGGTTCAGGGGATTCTCCTGCCTCAGCCTCCCCAGTAGCTGGGAAACAGGCATGCACCACCACACCCGGGTAATTTTGTATTTTTAGTAGAGATAGGGTTCCTCCATGTTGGTCAGGCTGGTCTCGAACTCCCGACCGACCTCATGTGAACCACCTGCCTCAGCTTCCCTAAGCGCTGGAAATACAGGCGTGAGCCACTGTGCCCAGCCTACAGGATTTCTAATTCTTAAAATTTATTCAAGCAATAATCCTGAATTTCAGAAATGACTATGTACAAGTCATGCATCCCAACAATAATTATATATGTAGACAAATATAAGCTAAATATAATTGTCTACTAAAGGGGAATAGTTAAGTAAATCCTAGAATGTCTAAAAGATAGTTTATACAACCGTTAAAAACCATGTCACAAAAGAAGAGTTAACATAGGAGGCATGATGATATGTTGGAGAAATGACACAACATTTGGTTTGTTTTTTCTGTTTTTTTGTTTGTTTGTTTTTTGAGACAGAGTCTCCCTCTGTCGCCCAGGCTGGAGTGCAGTGGTGCGATCTCGGCTCACTGCAAGCTCCGCCTCCTGGGTTCATGCCATTCTCCCGCCTCAGCCTCCTGAGTAGCTGGGACTACAGGCGCCCGCCACCATGCCCAGCTAATTTTGTTTTTGTATTTTTAGTAGAGACGGGATTTCACTATGTTAGCCAGGATGGTCTCTATCTCCTGACCTTGTGATCTGCCCACCTTGGCCTCTACTAAAAATACAAAGTGCTGTGATTACAGGCGTGAGCCACCACATCCGGCCAACATTTGGTCTTTAAGACCAAAATAATTATTATCAAGACAACTATATTACTCAAAGCAAGTACAGATCCATTGCAATATCTATCAAAATTCCAATGTTATTTTTCACAGAAATAGAAAAAAAAATTCTAAACTGTGTATGTAACTAAAAAAAAAAAAAAAACTCAAGTAGCCAAAGCAATCCTGAACTAAAAGAATGAAACTGGAGGCATCAGTACCTGACTTCAAAATATATTACAAGGCAATAGTAACCAAAATAGTATGGCATTGCTATAAAAATAGACACATAGACCAATGGAACAGAACAGAGAACTCAGGAATAAATCCACCTGTTTACAGCCAACTGATTTTTTACAAAAGCGCTAAGTTGAAACTGGGCCCCTATCTTTCACCATATACAAAAATCAACTAAAGAGGGATTAAAGATGTAAATGTAAGATCCAAAACTATAAAATTACTACAAGAGAAGATAGGGGAGACACTTCAGTACATTGGTCTAGGCAACAATTCTAAGGCCAGGACCTTAAAAACACAGGCAACAAAAACAAAATTAGACAAATGGGACTATATTAAACAAAAGCTTCTGCACAGCAAAGAAAACAACAGAGTAAAAAGACAACCTATTGAAGGGGAGAAAATATTTGCAAACTATTAATCTGACAAGGGACTAATATCAAGGATATATAAGGAACTCAAACAATTCAACAGTTAAAAAATGGGCAGAGGACATGAATAGACATTTCTCAAAAGGAGACATACAAATGGCCAACAGGTATATTAAAAAAAAGTTCAACATCGCTAATCATCAGGGAAATGCAAATCAAAACCACAATGCGTTATTATCTTATTCCAGCTAGAAGGACTATTAATAAAAGGACAAAATGTAATAGATGCTGTGAGAATGTAGAGAAAAGAGAACTCTTATATACTTTTGGTAGTAATGTAAATTACTACAGCCACTACAGAAAACAGTATGGAGCTTCCTCAAAAAACTAAAAATTGAACTACCATATTATCCAATAATCCCATTAGTGGATATTAATCCAAAAAAAAAAAAAAAGAAAATCAGCGTATTAAAAGGATACCTGCACTCCCAAGTATGTTGCAGCACTATAACACAATAGCAAAGATAGTTATCAGTCTAAGTGTCCATCAGCAGATGAATAGATAAAGAAAATGTGGTAGCATATAGACTTAATGGAATACTATTGGGCCACAAAAAAAGAATGAAATTTTGTCATTAGCAGCAATATGAATGGAACCGGAGATCATTACGTTAAGTGAAATAAGCCAGAAGCAGAAAGACAAATATCACATGTTCTCATTCACATGTGGATGCTAAAAAAGTTTATTTTATGGAGGTAAAAAGTATAATGATAGATAACCAGAGGCTAGGAATATTTTAGGGGAGGGGTGTATAGAGAGGGGCATAAAGACAGGTTGGTTAATGGGCACAAACACACAATGAAAGAGAAGGAATGAGTTCTAATGATTGATAACACAGTAGGGGACAATAGTTAACAACAATGTATTGTATATCTCGAAATAGCTAGAAGAGAGGACTTGATCAGTTCCCAACACAGAAACGGAAAATATCAATGCGACAGACACCCTAAATACCCTGACTTGATCGTTACACATTCTATGCATGTAACAAAATATCATGTGTACACCGTAAGTATGTACACATATTATGTAATGACTCAAAAAATGTTAATGTTAATTTTTTAAAAAAGAATTGCTATTAGTCTCAAATAGTCCTAACTCTACCACTAATTAATGTTGCAATCTTGGGTAATTTATTTATCTGAATTTCAGATAACTTCTCTCTAAAATGATAATTGTGAAGAATAACTTATGAAATTCATTTGAATTAAGACACTGTATTTTGTAAGAGTCTCATGCACACATTCACAGGCATACAAAGTATTTTGGCATAACAATGATTCTTAAAGTAAATATATAGAAATAATAGGATGATAATAAAGGGAACCAAAAATATTTCGCTCCAAAATATACTTCTTTGACATATTTTGATATGGCTATTCAGAGGGTCTACAAATTAACGATAATCCTGAAAGCTGTCTTTTGTCAAGGAGACTTGCTCTGTTTAAAAAGAATCTTATTAGTGAAATAAACAATCAAGATTGTTCTGGGGCCTACACCTTACCTGCAGATCTAGGAAATTAACTCAACCACAGCCTACCATCCATTATTTCTCAGAGCTGCTACCTGTGAGGTTTCATCTACATAACAAGACTACCTTTGCCCCTTTCTCTCCTATAACCTGTCTTGCCATGCTCCAAGTCCCTATACTTTTTATAACACAAGATGGTATAAAAACAACAACCATCTGGCCTATTCCTTGAGTTTTCATATTTTCTATGATGCTCATGCACATGTGTGCACAAATAATAAATTTATATGATTTTCTCCTATTAATTTGCTTTTCGTCAGTTGATTTTCATCATATCTATAGAGGGCAAAGGGAAGGTTTCCCTACACTTTTGGTGCTATGAGCAACGTAACCAAAAGCTCTTTTGAAGCTCTTTTGAAGCTGCAGTCGAGGGAACTCAGAATCTGTCAGGCTGACAGAAAGGTAAAAATTTCTTACTAGTCAGATACCCAGGTGTCTATCTGTGGAATCCAATTGAGCAGATAGTGACAGTTACTGTTTTTCCTTTTCCAAATTTAAGATTAATGAGAGAAAAGCATTTATACAGACTAGTCTTAGGTTCAGCGACTCTGGTATATATTTTGGAATATTCATATTGTCTGATCCTTTTCCTCCCAGAAATAGTCATGTGTTTTCCTTTGTCTTTGTTTTTTGTGTTGTCATAAAGTCCCTTTGGTCTTGTTTTATGTCCCTGAGAGTCTACCTTGTCATCAAATGGAATCACTATTTTTTGGTCTCAGCCATCCAGATGGCATGATTTTGGGGTCATGTCTGGTAGCCAGCGTGAAAGAAGTGAGAACCCTAAGACAAGTAAGATTTTAAGCAGCACACTCTTTGTTCTGAATTTGCCAACCTCTCAGGTGAATATGTCTTAAGAAGAAGTTCCATCCCTTTAAGAAGAAGGGGATTTTGCTGTCTCAAGAAGAAATTGTGTCTTAAGAAGAAGTTCCATCCTCTAAAGAAGAAGAAGGAGATTTTGCTGTCTCAACTTTTACTACATGGTTAGATCTGGGAAAGTCCAATTGCACATGGACTATCCATTGTCACAGATTAATGGGTTAGTGACTGGCAGCTTCCCACAAATTTCTGAGAGACTGGAGACATCGTATGCAGAAATACCATCCTTAACCTGTGGCAAAAAGAGACTTCTGCTATCCTAATCTATTTCTGGGAGTGAATTTTCTGGAGGATCATGAGGCCTGCATCTTCGTTTTTAAAATGCCACTTATATCCATGGTGTGCTAAACCTGGAAAGTTATCTCTGGGACTTTCCAAGTAAAAGGCTTATTAGCTTGAGTCATTAATAGAATAAATAAAATTGGCTACATTTAAAAGAAAACCTTTTAGTGAGTGTTTCTCTTCACCAGCTCTCTTACTGGTATCTACGAAAAAATACAAAAAAAAAAAAAAAATAGCCTTAAAATCTCTCTTGGCAAAAACAACAAAAAGGCAGACAACTGATTTAAATTAAAATTAAAATCCTTTGTGTTCTCAACAGCCTGCTTTGGTTTCTCCATGGGATCTGCAAAAAAAGCACTCCAGCCTGTGGCCTAGTGGCTAGGGTTCTATGCTCCCACAGCTGCAGCCAAGGTTTGAATCTCATTAGACACTCAGAGAGATGTGGATGTAAATTCCTTAACTTAGGAGAAAAAATAAACATTTATAAGAATTATATAATTCTTTTTTTAGGTGTGGGAATAGAGTCTTGTTCTGTTGCCCAGGCTGGAGTGTAATGGCACCATCTCACTCACTACAACCACTGCCTCCTGAGTTCAAGGACTTCTGCCTTGGCCTCCCAAGTAGCTGGAATTTACAGGTATGCGCCACCACACCTGGCTAATTTTTTTGTATTTTTAGTAGAGACAGAGTTTCACCATGTTGGCCGGGCTGGTTCTGAACTCCTGACCTCAAGTGATCCTCCCGCCTCTGCCTCCCAAAGTGGTGGGATTACAGGAGCGAGCCACCATGCCTGACAAGAATTATGTAATTCTTATAAATAACTATATAATTTATAAATTTATAATTCTTAAAATAATTATATAATTTATAAATTTATAATTCTTATAAAGAATTATATAAGAATTAGTTTGAAGTTTTGTAACTTTTGACATTTTGGGGTACCCATTTGTTATAGATCATTTTCCCCTCCAAGGAGGGCTATTGCTCTCCTGTTCATATCTATGTCCCTTTCTTCTTCTAGCCATCTTTGGGGGTGGCTCTTGATCTTGTTAGGACTGCTTCTTTGCATCTCTTTTGAGATACCTCTTGCATCCTTGCTTAGTCATTAAAGACTTACTGGTTTTGATTCTGAGTCACTTGGTAGATACCTTCTGTTTAAATGCAAAGAGGGATAAAAAATATTCAAAAGCTGGAATACTGGCAGTTTGTCCCAGCAAAAACCTGATGGTGAAAGATTTGAAAAGATTTTACAAGAGCTCTATGGTCATCAGCTTAATTAAAAGCTGACATTCAAACTACATATTTTTTAAACTTCTCTGTTCTCTTTTGGATCCTGTTTCTCCCACAGGAATCTTTTTCAGTGAACTAAAACGCCATCCTAATTGTATGTTCAGTCCCTCTGTTGACTTCCTTTCTTATTGGCAAGATTTTTGCTTAAAGAAAAAACTAAAACTTCATTGGCCTTTTGCGAAGCTTGAGATGTATCCACACTGGCTCCTCTTGGACTCAATGCTCCATTTGATTCTTCCCCTCCTTTGCCACCTTCAGTCTTCTACCCAGTTCCCTTTAATCATTGATTGTTCCCCCTTCAAACCCATATTTCTTCCATTGGGTCAATCAATGGATAAAAATGTACTGAAAAGAAACATGAGAGTTACGGTTGTCACATAAAGGGATCAAAAAGGGACTTCTAGGAACGCTGATATGCCTTCAAAACACAGCGAAGGTGCCATTGTCTCCTTTTTGGGTAACCTATCTTCCTCATAGAGCCCCAACAGTCACAAGTAGGTTCAGCCCTAATTCATTCATGGGCTCCACCCTGAATTCGGTAATCTAGTTAATTTAAGAAACAGAAACTTAAAAAGCCACCTGTTCAACTAAATGGATCTTCCAAATACAACTCTCCAATATTTTGCTGCCCATTTTCAAACTTCTTGTAAAAAAGATTTACACCTATAAGAAAACTCTCCATTTGTAAGGGAATCTCCCTCTCTACACCAAAACCACTGGAAACCCATACCATGGGAAAGGCATTCCCTTAAAAATTTCCATAACAAACTTTTGTTTAAGGTATTTTTCCTGGCTATGTGTCTTAAATGGGCCTTTACCTATGCCCTTCTTTGTCTTGGCAAATAATGAAGTTTACATACAAGTTCTCTGTCTTTGAGACAGAAATTTTCTCTCTTAATTCACCTAGGGCCATCCCTTTAGAAGTGCAAGTTTAAGGTTGCCTAGCTAACAGTTGCATAGGGCAATGAAACAGGTGATCTGAAGATTGATGGTCTAAATCGGGTGGAGAAGGGCTATTTGGAAGTTGGCAAATGAGAATTTCAATGAAAGCTGCAAGATTTGATTCTGTGTCTCTTTATGTTATATGTCTATATCTGTTATGTATATGTGATATTTCTAAGTGAACCAACATAATCTTTGGTAAACAAAGCTAGTTTTAAAATTGTTGGTAAAGGCCAGGTGCAGTGGCTCATGCCTGTAATACCAGCACTTTGGGAGACCGAGGCGGGTGGATCACCTGAGGTCAGGAGTTCAAGATCCACCTGGCCAACATGACGAAACCCTGTCTCTACTAAAAATATAAAAATTAGCTGAGCATGGTGGTGGATGCCTGTAATCCCAGCAACTCAGGAGGTTGAGGCAGGAGAATTTCTTGAACCTGGGAGGTGGGGGTTGCAGTGAGCCAAGATCATGCCATTGCACTCCAGCCTAGGTGACAAGAGTGAAACTATGTCTCAAAAAAAAAAAATTGTTGATAAAATGGAAAGTCTTCAGAACTATACTAAATATAATTCAGACATTTTTGCCTGGGTCTACTGGTTAGCCAGGTAATTTAAGGTGTCTGAGCTACAATTTTTAAGGCCATGAAACTGCTGCCTCTGTAATATTTTTTATGCTTGTTTAATTTCTCTGTAATCTAAAGCTGTAAACGCTGGCTGCTGGATTCTTCCAAATCCCTGTAAATATCTTTATGTGAGCTTCTATCTTTGGTTTTGAGCCTCTGGATGCTGGAGTCTGGAGAAGTGGCCATAGTAAGACCTGGAAACACATGTGTGTCCATGGCACGTGGCCCACCAACTGCCATGTTCACACCTCTGTCCTCTGTCCTGGGTTGTAAACCTGGTATATGGATCCAGGACCCAGATAGTCCCTGTTCTTCATACCTGTCCTGAATGCCATGTGAGTACTCAGAACCCAGGGCAACTGGGGAAGACATTCGCAAGGGTACCTGTGTCATAGTTGCAAAATACTTTTCAGTAAAGTCTTTAAGGCTTGTTATGTGAAATTAAGTAATAGTCATAAAAATGTCTGTATCATTTCTAAGTTAAAAATACTATAACATTAATTATTAAATATAACTCTAAATTTATATGCTTTAACATCTTATTTTTATATGGTATAGAAAAGCTAAATATATTTAGATCTGTCAATTAAAAACTAGGAAAACATATCTTTCTTACAAATTATGAAATGGTTTTCATCTACAAACACTGATATGAAACAGTTCAAAATTACTTCCTAGGTTTTCACTAGAAATTAAGGTTACTAAGAGTTAATATTTAAATTAATATAATTAAATCTATTAAATAATTCTATATGCAATGTGTACAAGAAAAGCAGATATATTTTTTGGTAAGAAAAGTTATAAAAGGTATGAGGATGTATGTGTATTTGTTGAGAAAATAATTTTGTCTAGTTTAGAGGTAATTTAAAGGTTGCTTTAAAATTAAGGGAAAAATGATGCAGACAAAACTAAATGGGCATAGAAAGTTGAGGGAAAAGGAGAATTTCAAATTTTATGCGGTTAAATGGATAAAGTTAAATAAATTTATTAATATGGTTGTTAAATTGAGCCTTCATATCAAAAACACATATTAATGCAAAGCTATAATTTGTTTTTTTCTTTTGAATAAGATTTTCATATACTATTAATAAGAAATAATAAAAGACTTGGGTTTACCTTTTAGGAAAACTTCAAAAAAAGGGGAAGGGAGAGAGAAACAGATTCTGTGTGACTCCTGCTGTCTTTACTAGGTCTTTTAAATATTTGGAAAGTTTGAGTCCCCTCTCTATCAAACAGTAAAGGTTTTTGTTTTTGAAATCTTTTAATTATCACTTTGGCTAAATCAATGACTATTATTTCACAATGACCTGTGATCCTATTTTTGATAAAGTGTTTTAAACCTCTGACATGTTTAATAGGCTTCACAGAATAAAATTTTAAGTTGTAAATTAAGTGTTCTGACCACAAATTAGCTTTGGGATGTTACAGAGGACCCCTAAGGCATCCAAAAGAGAGACAATCCGGCTTATTTGATTTATTAAATTGTATAGACCACACTGTCAAATAAGAAATGATGTTTAATCTTCTTTGAGTTATATGTGTATAAATTAATATGTGTCCAAAATTTGATGAAATTCCTAAATATCTGATGTGTTAAATTTCTGTATGCCACAGAAAATAACAAAAGTCCTTGTTAGTTCCATCTTTAACCATGGTCATTTTAAGTCTTGTTGTCATAATAAATTGCTTATTCTGATGCTTTTTGTCCATAAAAGCTTTTTGCAAATCCTAAAATGGTATGTCTTCAAGGAGGTTCATGGAAAAGACTACAAGTATTCTTAAATACACATTTCTGACAACTTTTTAGATCATACAAATGCACTAGGTAAGAATTTCTAAAACTCCAATACAAAAAAAGAAAAAAAAAACTAGACTCATAAAATTGCTAACCTAGTATCAAGCAGAACAAGAATTACATTTAGCTGAACTGATGGAGGACAAAACTAATTTTTTATCACTGTTTTTGACTGAAACATTGTTGATGCTGTTTACTTTTTACAGTTCTTTTCCACAATCAAAAAAAAATCTTTTTTCTTTCAAGTTACTTACAGCTTGTAACAATTGGGTAGAATAAACTTTTGTGAGCACAATTTAAACATTTACCTTTCTACTGCTCTCTCCAGAATTTGGAAGTTATTTATAAATATTCTTATTTTATAGCAATATAGTTATTTGTGTAAGTTCAATAACAATCTGTTTTATTTTGTAACAGGACACAATTGAAGACACTGGTTATTTTACCCAGGCTTTGACTAGAAAGACATATTTTAAAATGTGACCAGTCTGCTTTGAAGCACTGGGACTGACTTTATAACACCAACAGACTTGGAAAAAGACTGGCCCAGGTACCTTGCCTACACAGTTCCCTTAAAAAATTCCCGACCTTGTTGTGATAAGTAAATTATGTCACTTTCTGACAGGCCCCCAAGAACCTCAACATATTTTAAGGACCTTGAGAAGAAAGAAATTTACTCAATTCAGACTGGTATTATAGACACAGTCTTTGGCTTGGCTCTAAACCTTAAGTGATTTTCAAAAGTCTAATATGAAATTTCATATGAAAAAGTTACAGCAAAGTCAACTTATGGCCTATATGACTAATCATTATCCTTGTTGCACTTTAAACAAATAATCAGGCCAAGGTTAATAAGACTAAAACGTATTTTATAAATAAATTGGTCTTACTATAGCATACCCGTTACTAGTTTCCAGCTCACTGAAATTTTTCTTGTTTGATTTTGAGATTTTATTATTACCTGCAATCTGGACTGAATCTTAAATTTTTAGTCCCCTGTGATTCTCCAATCTACTGTTTCCAATTTTTCATCCACCATTCTGACTTAAAAATCACTAGAAATTAAAATTGTGCTTTTGTTAAAGCCCTACAAACTGGAGCTGGACAATCTGTCATAAACTTTGGGAGAAACCACTATAGCCACTTATATATAAACAGTCTTCATGACTATTGAAGTAGACTCAGAAAGTTAACTGAAACTTTTTTTTTTTTTTTTTTTTTTGAGACAAGAGTCTTACTCTGTCACCTAGGCTGGAATGTGCAGTGGCACGATCTCAGCTAACTGCAACCTCTGCCTCCCGGGTTCAAGCAATCCTCCTACCTCAGCCTCTCGAGTAGCTAAGATTACAGGTGTGCACTACCATGCCCAGCTAATTTTTTTTTTTTTGTATTTTTTGCATTTTTAGTACAGATAGTGTTTTGCCATGTTGGCCAGGCTGGTCTCGAACTCCTTAACTCAAGTGATCCACCAGCTTCGGCCTCCCAAAGTACTAGGATTACAGGCATGAGCCACTGTGCCTGGCCTTGAAACTCTTGATTTGAAATACAATCCAAGACTGTGGATTCCCACTGTGCCCATTTAAACCGAAGATGCTTCAAATTCTAAAAGTACTAATTTACAGATGAGTCCAGACATTAGCCTTTGTTTTTCTTGTTTCCATAGAAATGCCTGTTATTAACGATCCATTTAAGTGCATCGTATGTACAGTCCTGGTTTGAGAGTCCATCTGCAATGCAACGTCCTAGAATAAGAAATAACTGTTTAATTGAACTGATCTATCCTCAGGACTAACAGACTGATTCAAGAGGATATGAGCTAGGTTTTCCAATCTACCTATTTTTTCTTCTTCTTTGTCAATCTATCTCACAATCTCCAACCCAAATTTCCCCATAGCTACCAATCTTTGATTAATATGTGAATCTTTGTGAAGATAAAGTTTCAAGTGGGAGACTAAAGGAAACCAAAAAGATTTCACCCTCAAATATATTTCTTTGACCTATTTTGAGACGGCTATTCAGAGGGCCTGCAGACAACAATAGCCCTAAAAAGCTGCCTTTCATTAAGATTTGCATCTGTTGAGAAAAATCTATATTGGTGAAGTAAACAACCAGGCTTTCTCAGAGGCCCTACTTATCTGCAGATCTCAGAAATTAACTCATCCACAAGTTATGCTATCCATTCTGTCTCAGAGATATTATCAGTGAAGTTTCATCTGCCTAATGAGACCACCTTTGTCCCATGCCTTCCATTCTCTCCTAGAGCCAGTCTTGCCATGCTCCAAGCTCCTACTCCTTCCATAACCTCAACATGGTATAAAAGCACCAACCAACTGGCCCTTTGAGTTTTCATATTCTGTATGACTTCTCTGCACATGTGTGCATGTTAATAAAATGTGTATGCCTTTTCTCCTTTCAATGTACCTTTTGTCGGTTTTCAGCATACCTTTAGAGGGCAAAGTGGAAACTTTCCCTTGGTTCTTTCAATATACACCAAAAATACAAATCATGGTTATTTATGGGTAATAGGATTTCGAGTATTTCTCATTCTCATATTTCCTACATTGAACATGTATATTTTGTAATTTAAAATATATTACTCCAAAATCAGCACTAAAAAATAAAATCATATTGCATATCATGTCAATGATTTAGATCAATCTTTTTTTAATGCAAACTACTGTAGTAAACATTCTTTTTGTACATTTTTACATATATCCAGTGCTTCTCTGGGAGAATATATACCTTTCTAAAAGAATCACATGAATAAATAATGCTTAAGCCATTTACTTTTTCAATCGCAATAATGTTTGGGTTTCTTTTATATCTGAATCCCAAAGGATCAAAGGTTGCTAGGGTAGATAAGTAAATACTTTGGTTTGCTTGATTTAATTTTTTTCTGTATTTGCTATACTGGCCATCTTAGCTCAGTTGAAAATTGAAGGAAAAAATGAAGTTATATTTGTCTTCATTAAGTTTTTATAGACACTAAAGGAACTCAACTTGTATTCACAATGCTGAGAGCATTTATTCTTCCAGTCAGCTGTATGTGTTGGTCATTATCGAATGTGAGAGAGCCAGAGAATATTGTTTTCATTCCATTCTTCCAAACACCAGGATAATGAAACTTCTGGCAAAAACAGTATTCTTATTTGTTCCTATAGTCAGCACAGCAAACAAATGTTTTAAATATCAACAATATGTGGGAAGAATTGCAAGAAAGTATAACATTAGTGAGGTGTGCTAACTATTAGTAATCTTACAGCTCCTGAGAGAATTATTTCACTCAAACGTTTGCATGCCACCTTTTCTATTTAAAAAATAATAAAATAAAATCTTATTTAATTTACATTGTTCATATTTGGATAAAAAATATTTACCAATTTTAATTGTGATTTTCAACAGCAGCCCTTCTCTCCGGACTAAAAAAAGACCCTGTCACTGTAGCAGCAGTAATAATGATATTTTAATATGATACAAAAATGCCTGAGATAAACTTATCCGTCATTATGCCAATGAAAATGTGATAATTCAAAGCAGATATGACTGCTGTTAACAGTGGCTTCAGCAACCTGTGTTTTACCACCCCATATCATATCATATTCCAGTGTTAAAGAAACAGGGACCAAAAACTTCATCTCTCCTGCTCTAAAAGTTAAGCATATTATCTTTTTTTTTTTTTTTTTTTTGAGACAGAGTCTCACTCTGTCTCCCAGCTACTCGGGAGGCTGAGGCAGGAGAATTGCTTGAAACCTGGGAAGCAGAAGTTGCAGTGAGCCGAGATTGTGCCACTGCACTCCAGCCTGGGTGACAGAGTCTCAACAACAACAGCAACAACAACAAAAAAAAGGAAATAACGTGTCGTGTCTCTTAAAGTTGTATCAATTGGATTTAGGAGGGCAAGAGAAGTAGGGAGAAAGGAGCATCAGTGTAGAGATACAGTGCATCTTAATTTGCAAAATAGCTGGTACCATATTTAAACAGTAGGGTTATTGAAAGACTAAGGAAAGAATAGAAACCATGATGAATTCAAAAAGCACAACTTTCAAATGATCATGTACAAAGATGGAAAGAAATACAATAAGAAAAAAAAGCAACAGCAGCAATTTTCTAAAACAATAAATGGTAAGTTGGAATAAATAAAAACAAGTTTTTCAGTCATCAAAGTAAACATCAATGGATTGAATTTTCTCATTAAGAGACAGAAATTTTCATATTGCATCAAAAATTAAAAGCTACATATTGCTTGAAAAGAACAGCACTAAAAGAAAGTTGAAAATGTTGCAAATAAAAAGAAAGGTATGCCAGAAAAAAAATCAGGTAAGATAACACTAAAAGACAAGGTGGTTTTTAAAAATTAACCTGCTACATGCAAATTAAAAATGTCATCCTCTACTGATAACATGAAGAAGGGGAGGAAATCAGAATTCTAGAAAAATAAATCCTGAATAATAGATAAGACAAACAGTATTGTATTTCACCACACAACCAATTCTACACACAGTGTAAATCAACTAATGCCCGCTAACAGTAGAATTAATCAAAATTTAACTTGATACTTTTTTCTTAAGAAGTTTTAGTTAATCACTGCTTACATTTTGCAAATACTGGGTTTGGCTAGAAATTAAAATTAATTCCTTAGATCAATGTCACCAGGTGTTTTTTTTTTAAATATTATTTGCTTTAAAGTATGGGAATTCTAGGCACCAAAAAATTCAACAAAAAAACCTTCAAAAATAAAAAATCTAATATGTATTTTACTTGACAAATGATAAGTTTGCTTATGTTTTAAAACCTATAATTATAAATTTTAAATACAATCACTAAGAATTCCTAAAAGACACAGATAATAAATAAGGTAGTTTTAATTATTTTATATAGTAACTACATAAGAATTTAAAATAACTGTTTTAACAGTATTCAACACTGTTCTAATAACTGACAGGACAGAAGTGTTCCTGAAGTCTCTCACTGAATAGCATTGCTTGTTTGTACTTGGGTGTATGTCCTTGATAACTCGATTATTTCCTTTCATTACTTACTGCCTTTATAAACATTAATAAAATTATTTCTTCTCTGACTGAATTTTTTTTAAAAATCAAATATTTTTACCCTTGCCAGTTCTAACTCTAATTCTCCTTTCTCTCACCACTCCCAAATTCTCACAAAGAGAACAATCCGGTTCCTTAAAATAAGACATGCTTATAAGATTTTTCCCTCTCTGATGAGAACCAAATATAATAGAATGATGTTCTATCTGAAAGAAAAGAAAACTAAAGCTATTCAATCAGTAGCTAACATATAAATCAAAATATCTGTATATTAGTCTGTTCTCATGCTCCTAATAAAGACATATCCAAGACTGGGTAATTTATAAAGAAAAGAGGTTTAATGGACTCACAGTTCCACCTGACTGGGGATGCCTCACAATCATGGTGGAAGGCACAGGAGAAGCAAAGGCATGCCTTACATGGTGGCAGGCAAGAGAGATTGTGCAGGAGAACTCCCATTTATAAAACCATCAGATCTTGTGAGACTGTCACTACCACAAGAACAGTTTTGGGGAAACTGCCCCCATGATTCAATTATTTCCACCTGGCCTCACCCTTGACACATGGAGATTATAACAATTCAGGGTGAGATTTGGGCGGGGACACAGCCAAACCATATCAATCTGATTCAGTAATACACTCTTAACACTAGAAAGTAAATCAGAAAAGGCTGTACAAATGTCATCAAAGCCATGTTAGGCAGACCCCAGTCTTTCACTGGTTAATGTTAGTTGAATATTACCGAATGAGTAAACATTAACTATACCATACATGTGATTCTGCATTTATATATAAGCTACCAAGAGTACCTAGAAGTCTTTTGGGGCTCACTGCTTCTTAAAATGCATACATTATTTTCTTTTTAAAATGCTGTCACTAAATTGAGAAGTAGGAAATTACTACTGTCACACAAACACAACAAAAATGTACACTGCCAGCTTCCTCTGTAATGGATGCCTACTTATGTGGCAATTTAAAACACAGGCAGATCATAGGGATAATTCCCGTGTGTGTGTACGGCTGAGAGGAAAAGTATGGCCTGCCTTGACAGAGACTGCTTTTAAGTCTTTAAACTGTCCTCCTTCCAGTATTTATTCAGTATGCCTTCTATGCAGCTGAAAAATGTTGTTTCAAATCAGTGAGCATGTCTAAAATACTTAAGGAGGAGCAGCTGAGAATCTTTGCGGTGACTAAAACCTAGTAACTTTCCTCAGGACAGGCATTAGGTACCACTTGCTGCTTCTTAATATGCTGATTTAGCCTCCAACAGTGACAGGGCAATTGGTGTGAAATGTCAACTAAGGACTGGAGACTACTATTTAGAAGAGAAATTTGATCATGGCAGCATAGCAACACCAAGCAGCCCTGATTTTCCTTGCCAGATGACTAGCAGACATTTGGCGTCATTTAAATTAAAGAAAGAGCAATCTCCAAAAGATAGCTTCATTTGCAAAATTATAAAGCTCCAATAAACAGTTATTTGGGGAAAAAGAATGACGGTGAATACATTAAACATCTGTAAATTTAGTGAAGAATGAAAATCCGAAGAGAGTTTTCCCAAGCTCTTTGTACTATACTAGATCAACTCAGCTGACCTCCATGGTTTACTTTGCCCTCTCATATGATGCCTCTCTCCTTTCTCCTTTAATTGTGTAAGAGGTCTTGTATTTTAACTATATACTTACCCTCCATTTCTCACTAGTTGTAATTAAAAGTTGGTTAAATAAGCATGCCTTATGCTTAGAACTTCAAATGATATACTTCACTTTTCAATTGCCTACAACCTATGCTTTAGAAGCTAGCAAAAATCACTTCTTGAAATACCAACAGACCAGAATGATTTTTTTGAAAGCTTGCTAGTCTCATTGCTAATTAAAAAAGTGAATGTCTGCATGGTATCTAAGCTCAAGTTCAGAAATAAAAACTATTCTAATTAATTTTGATCTTTATGCAACTACATATGCTGTAATATCTAGACCAGAGTTTCCCCAAAACACTCCTAAAATATACTCACTTATGAGTATAAAAGCCCCAGCACACTATGTGGCTTGCAGATACTCTAAAATTCTTGTTTTTCACACATAAAAAACTAAGTAATTACAGTGAGATTAACAAAAACTCATGGATGTTACAATCTCCATCTCCATTACCAAATTCACCACACATTTTATGTAAATACTTAATGCAAGTAAGTCTAGAGAATAAAAAGGCTAGACCCCTTCTCCTTTGTTCTCTCCATGCCTTCTTCTCTTTCAATCCTTCTCTCCTTTTACATAAATTGTAACAATTAAAATAAGCTACCATTATCACTTTTCTATACCACATCTGATGTAAAATAAAACAGTAATACATAATCTCATTTAGAAACAAAAATGCCAACCTAGAACTACATGACCTCAGATAATATACTTAAAACTTTTTCATTCTATACTTCTTGGCCTTATCATATCATGTAATAATAATGAGAAGACAAATAGGAAAGGCAATAGAAAGAGGAAGAAGAAGGGACAGAGGAAGAGGGAGAAGAAGAAGAGAAAGAGTAGGAAGAGGAGAAGTCAGAGAAAAGAGAATTAAATGGAAAAATCTGTGTAAAACACTAGGCAGAGTGCCTGACACATGATAAGTGCAAGGCAGAGTGAGGAGATATGCTGCCAGAAAGCTTGGGAATTAAATGGATCTGGATACAAATACATGGGCAAAATATCTCTATAAAATTGAGACTATCAATACCAAGTATAGAAGTATGTTGAAAGGATTAAATGAGTAAATACAAAAAAGTCCTTAGTACAGTGTCTAGTATATCAGAAGCACATAAAAAATTGTTATTAAGACCTTCTATTTTAAGGTCTCATATAAGATACTTGATATTTTTAGAACATTTTAATATTTAAACTAAAAACATAATTACTCTCTACTGAGAAATCATGAGGATTAATTTCATTTCAATGGATACAATTTTTGAATCAAAATACAGTTGTTAACAAAGACATCAAAAATTATACATTATATTCATCTTTTTATCTAAACTAAAAAATACCCATTTGAGAGGTAGAAATTGATATGTGCAGTCACTTAATGAAAATGAACATTTCTGCAAGAGTCAAACTTGTTACTATCAATGACAAGCAAAAATGGCTATTTGAAAATCCACATTTTAAAGAAATGTTCTGAGCACATAAATATAACACTTGATAATTTATTTAGTTATTTTTTTGTTTAAGAACCACATTATGTTGTTGTGCTAGAAAAAAAGTGGCACAGGCAGTAAGATATAGGGCAATAAATTCTCTCTAAACCCTCTTGTAGAAAATGAGTCATTATTATTTATTATTAGACCTTTAAGTTGACGGACCTAGAATTTCTCAGAAAAGACAGTGTAAACAATCAGGGGTGACTGGTTCACAATAGACCAACATTTATAGGAGTAGCTGTAATTGGGGAGTAATGAGTCCTGAGACTAAATGAATAAATTAACCAGAGAAGGAGTAGACAGTCTTTTGTAACTAATGTCTCAGCTGTCAAGACACAACTTGGTTTTTGCTCTTAACTGGGCCTTGACAGCGTCAGCTCCCGTAGAATACAAGGACTGCCAACAGCAGGAGCACTCATCCACACTGCGGCCTGTTGGCATGCTGCCTGTGGCTGGATAATACATGCAAGATAGAGCATATGAGCTGGTATCTGGAATCAGTAACTGCAACTCTGAGGCTGATTTTTTTTTTTTAAATAAATCTGGAAGACAGATGTTTGCCCCAACCAGCCTGTTAATTCTGAACTGATTATGTTGCCAACAACAAAGGCACTAATCTGCAGAGAAAAGTATGAGTTTTTGACATTATTATAATAATTAAAAATATATCTATCATTTAAAATTAAGTCCTACTTACAGAACCATATTTAACTTATTATACTGAGTCAAATGTAACTTGGTCGCTGTCATTTAAGTCTATTAGAAATTCTGTTATTTAAAAATAAACAAAAAAGAGAGAAGGAATTAATGGAAGAATTAAAGATTTCTATTTTGTTAAAAGGAAAACAAACAATAAATAATGCACCATCTGTGGTTTTGAGGGAGACAGGGTCTCACTTTGTCACCCAGGCTGGAGTGCAGTGGCACCATCATAGCTCACCACAGCCTTGAACTTCTGGGCTCGAGTGATCTTCCCATCCTAGTCTCCTGAGGAGCTGAGACTACAGGTACATGCCACCACACTTGGCTAATTTTTTTTTTTTTTTTTTTTGAGACAGGGTCTTGCTATATTGCACAAGCTGGTCTTAAATTCCTGGCCTCAAGCAATCCTCCTGCCTCAGCCTCCCAAAATGTTGAGATTACAGGAGTGAGCCACCACCTGACTCCCATATGCTGTTAGACACTACAATTTCACTTACATGACTTAAGTATAATAAAGCAATCAAAAGTTTTCTCATATATGTGTAAAGATGTGCTATAAACAGTATTCATATCACCCACATAAAAAATAAACTATCAGTAGGAGATAGCTAAATAAATAATACATTCACAAAATTGAATACTATAAAATTAGTAAACAGATTTTATATAAGTTAATGGCTTATATAAAGCCATTTATATATATATAAAGCCAAAAACTTATATAAAGATTTTATATAAGTTAAAGTCATCTATGACTTAATGAACCTTTTAGCTCTAGCTAAAAGCACATTGTTGAAAAGCACAGACATAAGTCAGACATACCTGGGTATAAAACTTCCTCTACCTGACACTTGAGAGTGAGATGGGTGCTGGGCGCAATGGCTCACGCCTATAACCCCAGCACTTTGGGAGGCCGAGGCAGGCAGAACATTCGAGGTCAGGAGTTCAAGACCAGCCTGGCCAACATGGTGAAACCCCGTCTCTACTAAAAATACAAAAATTAGCCCGGCATGGTGGTGCGCGCTTGTAACCCCAGGTACTCGGGAGGCTAAGGCAGAAGAATAGCTTGAACCTGGGAGGTGGAGGTTGCAGTGGGCCGAGATGGCACCATTTCACTCCAGCCTGGGTGACAGAGCAAGATTCTGTCTCGAAAAAGAAATAAAATAATAAAATAAAATAGAGTCTTACCCCCTCCTCAAAAAAAAGTGAGATGGCTTTCGCCTCAAAATGTAACAGATTACAGACTGTAAGAAGACTGTATCTTATCTTCAAACACAATAACATATCTTCCTCATAAGGTTATTCTGAAGATGAAATTTGATACTGTGTATAAAGCACTTCCCACAATGTCTGGCAATAAAGATGGCTCAGCAACTGAAAGCCATCATTATGCGCCAAAAACACTAAGTTGTGAGGAATTGATGATAGCTCCTACCATCCCCAACGCCCCCCATGCACATACATACAAAATGAGATATTCTTCTAAAAAGAATGCCAATCAAATTTTAGTGTACACAGGAGAGAGAAAAGAAAACATGTTTCAATTAGACAAGGACACAGATGTTAGGAATCATTTCTTAAAAAACAAGCTAAGTGGCCGGGCGCGGTGGCTCACGCCTGTAATCCCAGCACTTTGGGAGGCCGAGGCGGGCGGATCACGAGGTCAGGAGATCGAGACCATCCCGGCTAAAACGGTGAAACCCCGTCTCTACTAAAAATACAAAAAATTAGCCGGGCGTAGTGGCGGGCGCCTGTAGTCCCAGCTACTTGGGAGGCTGAGGCAGGAGAATGGCGTGAACCCGGGAGGCGGAGCTTGCAGTGAGCCGAGATCCCGCCACTGCACTCCAGCCTGGGTGACAGAGCGAGACTCCGTCTCAAAAAAAAAAAAAAAAAAAAAAAAAAAAACAAGCTAAGCAACAATAATGGGGTTTTACAATTGTGGAAGCTTAATCACTAAAAATATTTGAGAAAAGAACTGCCAACTCCCTTGCCTTGGTGGCTTAGACATTCAACTGCAAGAGATGAAAAGACCAGAAAACTGAAATTCCAAAATTCCCAAATTCCATCAAGATTTATGATTTTGGGCCGGGCATGGTGGCTCACACCTATAAGGCCAGTACTTTGGCAGACTGAAGTGGGAGGATCCCCTGAAGTCAAGAGTTTGAGACCAGCCTAGGCAAAACTGGAAGATCCTGGCTTTACAAAAAAAAAAAAAAAAAAAATTAAAATTAGCCAGACATGGTAGCATATGTCTCGCTACTCAAGAGGCCAAGGCAGGAAGACTGCCTGAGCCCAAGAGGTCAAGGTTGCAGTGAGCCATAATAGCGCTACTGCACTCCAGCCTAGGTGACAGAATGATACCCTGTCTCAAAAAAATAATAAAAATAAAATTTAAAAAGATTTATGATCCATGATACTTTAATTAAAGTGACAGAGCATTTCATCATTCTAATGATAAATCGTATCAGGAGATTTTTTAAAGAATCATAGAAATCTTATCTTGCGAATGCAGTTTTTGACTTTAGAAGCTTTAAACAATTATGAAGAACAGATGCAAAGAACACCTGTGTATATAAAAAAGCCAGGATGGGTTTGGGCATCTCACAACGGGCTTCTACCTTCATGTCATTCAGTAAAAGTTAGCAAATGAATTTACAGAGGAAGGTTTAGAGTTTATTTCATTCTGTGGGGAGATAATAAGGGGTTAACAAGGAAAAGGGAAAACTAAATATCAAGAGATTAAAAAACAAAGTTAACATTTAGGAATCAGAACACCACTTTTAGTCCAACTCTATAAATGGCTAAATGTTGTTTAATGTTACCAAACATTACTTGATCAGATTGTCTTTGAATTTATGGGATACCATGAAGTTCTCTTTAAAGATTCCATTATGTGAAATAAAGAGGTTGGCCTTGGATCAGCACTGTTTCTCTATATTTACTTTCACCCAAAACACTATTAACTAGCACATTCAGATCAGAGCATTTCTGTTGAGGCGAGCTTGCTATGTTGTTAAAAAAAAAAAAGAGGTGAAATGACATACGGATTTTTTTCTTTTTTTGCCTCACTTTGGGATTATCTTTCAACAATCATCAAGGATTTCACAGACTCTCAAGTCCCCAAGTAAAGTTTGATGACTATCATCATAGAAAGAACACTGTACAAGTAGCTGAGAATCCCAAGTTCTGGTTCTAGCTCTACCACTAACGACCTATGCGCAGGACCAGCCAGCTTTGGTGGGTGTGAGACCTGTGCAGTCAGACGAGGCTGACTGACTCAGTGAGGACTCCACATTCAGAAGGACCCCATGTTTGGTTTCATTCTCTGATGCTGCCATTTTGAAATTCTAATAATTTCTTAACAAGAGCCTCAAATTTACATTTTGTACTAGGCTCTACAAATTGTGTAGTTTTTGCCTGTGTGAGTTTTGCAAGCCACTTGAGCTAATTCTCATTTTGCTCAAAGTAATTACAAACCCAACACTCCCTTTCCCCCATGCTGCATTACCAGAACATAAATTTTACATTAGATAGTGCTTTCTGATCCTAAAGCCAACTCAAAGAATCTCATTTCCAAGAGATTTCATTTAGAAGACAGAGCCTATCACTGTTGCCCCAACCCTTTCCTTGTCTGAACCTTCCATTAAATAATTAGGTGCCCTCTACCATTAATTGTGCTTTCTATCTTAAAGGTATATTTGATTACCACATTTTTTTCAAAAGTGCCTTTGTTCAAATACTCATTTAGTGCTGACACTACTCCATGGAATGTGGGAGGAAAATGCACTCTCTAGCACTGAGAGATTTAAAACAGAAAGTGTGGTTGGCTGGGCATGGTGGCTCACGCCTGTAATCCCCGCACTTTGGGAGGCTGAGGTGGGCGGATCACTTGAGGTCAGGAGTTTGAGACCAGCCTGGCTAACATGGTGAAACCCGCATCTCTACTAAAAATACAAAAATTAGCTGGGTGTTGTGGTGGGTGCCTGTAATCCCAGCTACTCGGGAGGCTGAGGCAGGGGAATCCTTTGAACCCGGGAGGTGGAGTTTGCAGTGAGCCAAGATCGCGCCATTACACTCCAGCCTGGGCAACAAGAGCCAAACTCCAAAAAAAAAAAAAGAAGAAGGAAGGAAGGAGTTGTTTTAAAAAAAAAAAAACTTCACTGCTAACCTTTAAATAATACATTAATCAGAACAAAATGTTACGAAAATTAAAATGCTGAGTGCGGTAGAGAGTATAGCACAGTTACAGGTATATGGATCTGTCTCCTTAGTGTAATTCAAGAGGTCGTAAACACAGCACTTAGTGTTTCACCATCACTTCTGTTTGGCCCCAAATTCCTACCATTATAATTATTTTAGACTTAAAAATCCATAAAGATGCTGCTCCAGTGTGTAACGTAAGAGAGGAAATGTGATGGTGTATCTGGGGCTTTCCATTTACCACATTAACAAATGATATCAAGCAGGACAGGTATCTCCCACTTAAGCAGTAATCTGCTTCAGAAAAACCTGATGTTCTGAGTGAAAATTCTGATAGCCTATTATTTATTAAGTGGAAGAAAATAGAGCGTTTTTATATCAACCTAAACCCCTCACAACCAGCTTTTAACCACCTAAAGAAAACAGTAAAATAGACACTCACCAAATGCCAAGGTGCGTGGACAAATGTTATAAACCATATATTAAGGTGTAAAGGGCTACAAGCATCACTTCCTGCTCATACAATGAATAAGATGTTAACATACAGTGTCGTAGGCCCTACTTGGCCTTTCGCTGTCAGCAGAAAACATGCACATCTCCTTAGTTGGCACCTGCACTACATTTCAAGGCATCTCCACATGATTCTGATGTTCTACTAACTGTAATGTAAATCACATGTTATTTTGTTAAAAACATTGAGATTGGAAGATGTAAATGTAAGTAGGTGCCTTATAAGCATCAGCAAAAAGCAAAACAAGAAACAAAAACATCTTAGTGAGAGCTCAGTCTAGCCTGTGGAGATTGGATTTCAAAAATCAGGAGGCAATCCACTGGGCAACCATTCACTGGAAAAATATTCTTCAGGTTATGTCTGAATTTTATTCGGTAGCTAAACTAGCTAAACTACACTCTAGGTAGGTGTTACAAGCTGTAGGGCAAGCAAAATAAATGACGTTGCTGACTTTAAAAGACTTGAAAATAATGGTACTATGAGAGCCCAGTAGAGCATTAATATGGCTTTTTTAGTTATAATAAGTACATGCCAACTGGACAGACTGCTTTGATTTAACTGGACAAATGACAGACAAATAAATTTTGGCTAAGATTATTGAGATGCCATGGAGCTGAGAAACATGATGCAGCCACCTAAAAGTTAGATAACATAAACACAAGAATTCCAGACCAAATCTCTCACTCTATGTAAGATTTGGTGAAGTCATTTAATCTTTCTTAGTTTCAGCTATGTACTGTAAAGATTAGATGAGTTAATGTTGTAAGCTTTTAAACAAATGACAGGACACACAAGGGAACACCAAGTATTTTTGTAGATACAGCAGGTCCTCGAATAATGTCATTTTGTTCGATATTGTTTTGTTATAACGCTGATGAGAAAAAATGAAAATCAATTCCCGGCCAGAGCACTGTCTGTGTGGAGTTTGCATGTTCTCCCCATGTCTGGATAGGTTTCCTCTGGGCACTCCAGCTTCCTCCAGCATCCCAAAGATATGTACATTAGGTAAACTGGCATGTCTCAATTGCCCCATGACAAGTAGGTGTGGGTATGGGCATGAGTGCACTCAGTGATGTGATGATGTCCTGTCCAGGGTAGGTTCCCATCTTGCACCCTAAGCTTCTGGGAGAGGTTCCGGTCACCCAACACTCTGAACTGGGATAATTAGGTAAATAATTATCTTACTTGTTCATATTAATCTTTCTTAAATGTACGTATAGCTCACATTTATTTCAGTGTTTAATAACAGAAGTTTTTGGTGTTTACGTAAAAGCTTAGTGATATTTTTGTGACCAAGAATATGCCATAGACACTTCACATTTGCTTATATCAATTAGTCAGTGGGAAAATTGGTTTGTTATATGGCGTGTCATTTAAAGTCACAGTTTCCAAAAACCCATCAATGATGTTAAGTGAGAACTTACTGTATACACAGCTGGGTTTGAATTCTTTGCCAGCTGTGTAAGCTTGGGCAAATTATTGAACTTCTCCAGGCTTTCATTCTCCCATGTGCACAGTGAAAACAACTATATGTACTTTGCAGAACAGAAATAGTGTTAGAAATATATGGAAAGTGCCTAGCAAAGCATCTGGACCATAGCAGACAGTCAGTAAATGCTACTGATTAATTTGCCCCTTACTAGTAAAACTCCGAAAACTTTCACTCTTCTCCATCTAAGTAACCAGCTCATTGACTCATGCCTCTACCTTGTTTTTACCCAGAACACTTAACTTCTTAAATTTCTGTCCCTTACCACAACTTCTTGTTTCTCCACTGTTCCTTACAAACTTACACTTTATCCACATAAAAATGTCTACTACTTACTTGAACTCTTATTTCTTGACCATTATCAGATCCTATCTAACGTGATTCCTGGTTTCAAATACTTCAACTACCATTGACTATTCTCAAATATCCTTGATGTTTACAAAGTTTACTTTGCCAATCCTCAATCCTAGATGGATTCAACAGTCTTTTTCATTCTATTAAGTTTGTGCAAAAGTAATTGCAGTTTTCTACTCTTCGTATTGCGCCAAGCCATATTAGAGAAAGCTGATTTGATATGAATATAACTGTTACATTGAAAGGTGGGGCTCCATATAAAAAATGCCAACAGAAAACAATATTTCCTTTCCTCTCCTCTGCTTCTTTAAAATGAATTTTCTCTAGACCATCTTCCATAAAACTCATATTAAATCCTGAAAAAGTCTTAACATAGACATCAACTGATGGGATATACATTGTAATTGAGAGTTTGCCCAATTTTGTTCAGAGAAGCAGTGGCCTAGCTAAAACCACATTTCTTATCCCCCTTGCAGCCAAAGGTTGCCCAGTGAGATAGACACAGAAGTAACAGAGTGGGATTTCTGCAAATCTCTTGAGTTGCCTACCTACGTATATCTTATTACAGGAGGAAAAATAAATCCACACTCTGTTTAAATCACCCTTTTGTTGTCTTGTCTATTAATCATATTTGAACACAACATTATGCCTTTCAGGTTCCCTAATTTTTCCATTCACCATTGTATATAAAAGTGTTACTGCTAAAAGCAGTCTCAGTTAATCAATTAAAATATCTAGTCTGGAATAAAAATCAAATGTCTAAGCTTAATGTAAAATTCATTTAAAATCCCATTACCAGGTTAGTACTGCTTCAGACCAAGAAACTTCAGATGGAGAATGTGGTAGAGGTCTATGGCCACTCTCTGAGTTTTTCCTCCTGATTTCATCTTGACACTTCTTAGCAGCTCAAACACGGTGATTTCAGCAATGGCACTAAGAGAAAGTTGGCAATGGATGGCTTTTCTTGACTATAATTATGTGTTGTTACTCTCTGGGGCTGATCGATGTTCAACACTGACTTGTTCCCTTATTAAGATACTTTCCTAGTTGTTTGGAGGTACCCAGGACATTCAATTGCAATGTCATGCTTCTGAGGGTCATTTAAACCCCAGCCCCTCAGCTCCCATTTGACAGTGTATTTCTACCCTCTTTCTGCTAAACTAGTTTTGTTCCCGGAGGGAAGCCCTGTTGGGTCCTATCTGAGACCAGCTCCATCTCACTGCCTTGTTTTTATGTAAGTTTGTGCCCCTTGATGCCGTGTCTCATTGCCCTGTCACTGGGTAAACATGTCGAGCCTTAGCACTTCCCTTTTAACATCCACAGGCATGTATCAAATCCAAATAAATAAAAGTAATCTCAATTTTGCAAAACAATTAGTGGATTACCTAATCCCTTCACCACTCAGACTCAAAGGCCTGGATAATTTATACCCTCCAGATAGATTCTGGATTAATGGTCAAAATATGCATATCCACATAAACACACAGAGTTTTCAGAAAGCTCTTTGAAATTCATATGTAGCTTGGGCCTCATTTTTATTGGGCCTCATTTTTAGAACATGAGGGTGTTTTATATCTTCTGATTGTTCTCAGTGTTAGGAAGGCCCTAGATTTTATTCCTCAGTAATTTTACTTACCCATAATAGACTCCTTTCACCTTTTCTTACTTTGCTCTCCCAAATCTTCAACAAAAACTGTCTTTATTTATATCTAATAATATTCCTTCTGTCCCAAGTGAAATATTCCGCCATCTTTTCAAAGAAAATTGCATGACCTCGATCTTCTCTGTCTGCTTTTTCTGGAATCATCCTTCTACATTCAGACTATTTTTTCTTATTTTCAAATTTCATGGATTTCTGCTTTTCTAGCTATAAGCATGCTTATATGTCCTCCAGTCTCAAAAATAGACAAGAAAGAAATACATTCTTTAGTAGTACTCCACATTTTCCTTCACTGTCCTACCAAACTTCATGAAAATCCAGATAAATTTCTTGCCAATGTCTCACTTTCCAATAACTCCTTAACACTACAGTCTTTATTCTGTTCCAGTATATTCTATTGAATCTATTCTCACAAAAGTAAATCAATGACCCCTAATAGCCAAACATGATAAATTTTGTATTCTTCTTTGAGTCTCTAAAGAATTTCAGAATTCCTTCCTGGATCCCCTTCTCACTTCTTTGTATCTAATTTTTCTTGAGTTTCTTTCCACATTTTTTAGTTAAAATCCCTACAGATAAAGACCAGAAAGCTACATTTTTCTAAAATGTTACTGGCACTGCTGACAAATAGAAATGATATAGAATGACTGGCCTAAGAGTTAAAGAAAAAAAAAACTATTTGGTTAAATAACAATCATCTAGCACTTCCAGGAAAACAAAAACAAAACTTACTTTAAAAATCACTTGAAAACATTTGTCATGTTCCTTTTTTTGTTATCTAATCATAAGCTCAATATCAAGGTTGAATTAAGAGTTGGAGTATATTACAGTATTTAAAGCTTCAAAATAGATTGGAGCAGCTTTAATTAAAGTTACCAGGACAACCAGAGGGAGACAGAATATGCCATAATTGGAAAATGTCACCAGAAAAATTTGTTTATTATAACCTTGATCCTATTTTCTTTGAGCAAAATGCCTAGAGACCTTCATTTACTGAGTAGATCCCCTTGGCTGGGCTGGTTGGTGAACAATGAGACCACAGATTTCATTTATCTCCATCTCTCAGAAGGCCGCATTGGAGGTTGGATTGCTTTGTTGAAAAGCTTTCTCCTGTAAATTGTTCATTAACACTTGCAGATATTTCAGCCTAGTTCAAGCTGAAATGTATGTTCATAATAATGTTAAATGATTATATCTTTTTTGCTTCAAAACATTGTTTGATTTGAGATTGCTTAAGAATAATCCAATGATATTAGTTATATAATCATTGCAGGGAGCCAGTTCCTGAGATATAGACGTAGCAAATGTCAGAAAAAAAAGTCATTTAGCAGACACATCTTGGAAATAAAATAGTTCAAATTATGAATGTGGGTTTAGAGGGGAACAAACTGGATTTTAGACAGAAGTCATAAAGTTGAATTCTACCACTACCTCATGCTATCTACACAGTCTTGGATAAGAACATTGGTCTTCTGAATTTCCTCATTTATAAAATAAGAATGTATAAATGTTTAATGTGTCTACTTCACAGAGTTTCTGTAAGGGCCTAATACATAAGAGTCATCAGAATCATAACATGATTTTATATAGTAACAAGCCCCCACCCCCAACAAAAAAAAAGCAAAATTGCTATCAAAGAGATAGCAACTAAAAGGTTTTGATATCGTTTTATCTTTCAGCTCTTCATAAGGCTGGTAGATGGAGCTGATCAAAAGACAAAAGCACAAATGAGTGTAAAATAAAGTTGCAATAAGTAGTTTAGAGTCAAACATATAAACAAAAACAAGCTAGCACATAAGGCAATAAGTTAAATTGACTTTTTATTCAAAAATATTATAAAAGATAGGATTAACAATTTAATCTTCAAATACATAAAATCTGTGTTCATGTATGCACAATAACAATTACTGCAGATACTAAAAAGCAATAATTTCACCAAAAAACCCTCCACTTTTTAACTTCCTTTTTTCAAAAACCTGAATTATCAAAGACTGTTAAGTAATTTCTTTAGTAGGCTTATAAGAAAACAACCAGCTACATTTATTTTTCTTTCACAGTGTTTACATTTATATTTTCAAAGATATCTTATGTTTACTGAAGAATAATGAAGGTTTTAAAATTTTCCAAACTCAAATAAAAATGAAAATTGTTTAAATACCATATATTTTCTTTCACTAAATCATTCTTTTGAAAATGGTTAATTGATACAGGATTCACTGAAAAATTAATAGCCTTCCAGAATATTCTATTATCTAGATCATCGAATGCTTATTCAGCATGGATGAATAGAACTTTACAAAATACTACTTAGCTTCATTTCTTCCTTTGTATAATTATACACTTCTTTAGGTCAAAGGATGTATTTATGTAATAAGTAGGAATGTAGATCTTGAAGCCAGACACACCTGAATTTGAATTTCACAATCAAATTCACATTCAAATTTCACATTCTTGCTGCTCAAAGTATAGTCTTTGTACCAGGAGCATAAGCATTACCTTATGCTTGGTGGCTTATAAGAAATGTACTATCTCTGTCCTGATCTACTGAATAAAAATCTGCATTTTAACAAGAGCCACGGGTGATCTGCATGCATATTAAAGTTTAAGAAGCACTGGCAAACATTACTTATTAGATATATTTCCTTGGGCAAGTTTCAGGAACTCTCAAAGTCCCAGTTTCTTCATTGAAAAATGAGACTAATAATGGTGTCTCTACCATAGTATTATTATGGGAAATAATTAGATAATGCTACTTAGTAACCACTCAATAAAGCCTAACTGGTATTAAATTTTATCATCTACCTTAGATTTGTATATTCATGATGTTTTCCACTGTATTTACCTATAAAATTACATTAGTGTCCCACCCAGAAGAAATAAAGCTCCTTTAATCCAGATGTCTCCCTGAGTATAAGCCTACAACTAAAATAGAAGCAAATTAACAATGCCATCTTGCATTCATTTACAATACAATGTAGCATATGTTCTTCATTAGCCTCAAAATATTTCTCTTTGAAATAATGTTTTATATTTTTGTGGAATCAAGGAAGTTAAGCAAAGAATTTAGTTTGAAAACAAACATGAATCTGTCTCCCTGAAATAAAATTGAACTATTCTACACTTAATTAGCCATTGTGTCTTCAGTATTCTGTCATCATGTGCTTAAGATATTCTACTGATCCCTCACAAGACTCAAATAATGCACCAGGTGTCTTGAGCTTCCATTCCAAATGAGAAATAAGAAAGAAAGTCTCAATAGAATTCTATTTTAATCCAATTAAGGCAAGACACACTATTTCATTCCACAACCTTTTTTAAGAGACTATGATGTCCAAATTACCTGCTTCCTACATCCAGAAGAAAAATGTAGACTGATAAAATCAATATAAATCGAATCATTTTCCACTGTCACCTGAATATTAATCACTTCAGTAGATAGCACCTTATTTTTATTAGATAAGTTTTTATTACAAACATTTACTTAAATAAAAAAGGGTATTCTCTCTCCAAAATTGAAGATAATAATGTTTTCATTTTCCAGTAATGAAAGTTTATCTTCCTATGAATTACTCAATTACTATTTTTATTTATTTATTTACTTATTTTTATTTTTTTGAGACGGAGTCTTGCTCTTTCGCGCAGGCTGGAGTGCAGTGGCATGGTCTCAGCTCACTGCATCCTCTGCCTCCCGAGTTCAAGCAATTCTCCCTGCCTCAGCCTCTGGAGTAGCTGGGATTACAGGCACCTGCCACCACACCCAGCTAATTTTTGTATTTTTAGTAAACACGGGGTTTCACCCTGTTGGCCAGGCTGATCTTGAACTCCTGACCTCAGCTCCCACCTCGGCCTCCCAAAGTGCTGAGATTACTGGCATGAGCCACTGCATCTGACCTCAGTTATTATTTTCAATGAAATGTTTCAACCTCTAGCAACATGGTGTAACAAAAATTCCAACCAACATACCTGCTACACTACAACAATATCTTGGATATTTGAAGAAGCATAATATAAAGAAAGAAACGAAGCATAGAAATAAAAAAGAAATATAAAGAAAGAAAGAAAGAAAGAAAGAAAGAAAGAAAGAAAGAAAGAAAGAAAGAAAGAACGAACAGAAAATTTTTGAGGGTCAAGATATTTATAAAAGATAGTAAACAAAAAAACCTGAACAATGAGTATTAAGCAAACAGGAAATTCAGAGTTGTATTGAGATAAATATCCATAAATGTACTGAAGTCTACACAATAAGAGGAACCAGGCGGGGTGCAGTGGCTCATGCCTGAAATCCCAGCACTTTGGGAGGCCAAGGCAGTAGGATCACTTGAGCCCAGTAGTTAAAGGCTTGCCTGGGCAACATAGGGAGACCTCATCTCTACAAAAAATTAAAAAATAGCCAAGTGTGGTGGTACATGCCTGTAGTCCCAGCTACTTGGAAGGCTGAGGTGGGAGGGCTGCTTGAGCCCAGCAGGTCGAGGCTGCAGTAAGCAGTGATTGTGCCACTGCACTCCAGGCTAGGCAATGAAGTGAGACGCTGTCTCAAAAACAAACAAAGAATAAGAGGAGCTAAACTGAAGCTCCAGCATTATATCTAACAAAAGATGTATAAGAAGTTTATGAAAAAAATTTTTAAAGTTTATCAAATGGTATAAAATACTGCTAAATAAGAGATACTATTTATAAATAGAAAGACAAAATATAATAAAGATATCAATTCTTCTCAATTTGGTCTGAATCAATATAATACAAATCAAAATCCCAGTAGACATTTTCCTGGATAATTATATGCCAAATCTAAAATTTAGATAAAAGGTAAAAGTTTAAGAATACTCAAGATTATTCTGAAGAAGAATATAGTGAGGGACTTAGCCTATGTATTTAGTCTGTTCTCACATGGCCAATGAAGACATACCCCAGACTGGCTAATTTATAAAGGAAGGAGGTTTAATTGACTCACACTTCCACATGGCTGGGAAGGCCTCACAATCATGACGGAAGGCAAAGGAGGAGCAAAGTCACATTTTACACAGCGACAGCAAGAGAACATGTGTAAGGGAATTCCCCTTTATAAAACCATCAGATCTCATGAGACTTACTATTACGGGAACAGCATGGGAAAGACCCGCCCCCATGATTCAATTACCTCCCACCACATCCCTCCCACAACACGTGGGAATTATGGGAGCTACAATTCAAGATGAGATTTGGGTGAGGACACAGCCAAACCACATCAGCCTACTAGATATTGAGCTGGACAACTGGAGTTTACTAGGGGAAGGCAAACTAATTTATAAATGCCCTAGAAAAATTCCTTGGAAAAAATAATTTGAAATGCAGACTAAAATTATATACTCATATAACTTGCACGTGGACTAAACACATAAATGCAAAAGACAAAGCTTAGAATCATGGAGAATGAAATAAATTATGTGTATAACCTCAGGTTAGCCAAGGTTTTCTTAAAGAAAACACTCTACAATACTAATAATTAAAAGAAAAGTTGACTTTGCAATAAAATTAAGATGTTTGCATCATATATAACTAAAATGAATTAGCATCAGGAATACATAACCTACAAATCAATTTTTTAAATGTACAAAAAAATTTCACTGAAGAGGAAACAAGAAAGGTAAATGAATATACAGCAAGATGTCTCCCTCATTAGTGACAAGCAGAGGTAACATTTACACCCATTTGATTGCCTATAATTAAGAAGTGTAACACTTCCACATGTCGGCCAGAATATGTATCAATGTGGGCTCATATATAACTAGTGAAGGTCTGAATTGATACGATTATTTTGGAAAACAATTGTCATTTTATAAAGCTGACTGCGAATACCCTACAATCTAGCAATTCTACTCTCCTGTATTGACCCTACAGATATTCTTACACATAAGTACTAGGAGACTTGTTCAAGAAAATTCAGCAGCACTATTCATAATAGTATCCATCTGGAATAATCCAAATAATAATTTACCCACCTACAGAGACTAAATGAAGAAATTGAGATACATCCTCATAAAATATTTAACTGAATAAAATGAATTAAATCTAAGTGCAAACATACATATAAATCATACAAACACAATGTTGATGGAGAAAACCAAGTAGCTGAAGATTACATACAGTGCAATATGAATTTGATAATGCTAAAAAGTAAGCAAACTAAAGAATAACTTGTTTAGCAAAGCATTTTTGTGAGGGAAAACTATTTTTAAAAAGAAAAAAAATGGTAACTTGAATATCTAGCATTTTGGCCACCTCTAGCAGAGAGGAAGGGTGATGGAATAAGAGACTATACAACTAAAGAGGATGATAATATTCTGGGTTTTATGTTGTGTAAACATGTTCAATTATTATTATGTATCATGATGTACATATGGATTTAAACATGTTCAATTTATTATTATGTATCATGATGTACATGTGGATACATATACATATAATCAATTAAACACAGATTATTAAAATATAATAGTAATATAAAATAAACATAATTAGAAATATTTTGGGGTTTGCATTTAAACCATGATATCTCATTTTTTATGAACATATCAGATGAACACAGTTACTAAGAAGAAGAACGCATACCAAAACCCCTCAATAGAGCATGAAAATTAAATAATAGATAAGTAAGGAAAATAATAAAATGAGCAGATCCAATTTAAACTCACCACCAGGGCTTTAGATCTGTTGCTCAGAAGTTTCTCAATATCCCTGGCTGCAATTTCTACCAGCTGGCGTGCATTATTTGGTTCCACAGTATACAAATCTTGATATTTCTCATAAATCTGTGTGAAAGAAAAAAAAAACTAGTAAGAACAATAGTTACTTATTTGGCTTACAAGTTCCCATTGGAATGTATTTAAAACTATAAACAACTGATTAGAAACACCACCCTGTTCTTTATCTTGATCTTTTTGGAGTTTGAGTGTGTCAGGAAAAAATATGTAAATATAAATTTGCTCTAGGACCACCAGCTTGCCAAAATATAGGTTATGTTAACAGGTTGTAAAACATCTTGTACCACAGTGGTTTGTACATGCAATTTTGAGGCTTGATGCTGCACTCTCCAATCTCGAAACTGGGTATTATCTGTCATCAGCATCGTAAGAGAAAGGGTAGCCATCCTAGACAACAGAAGGCGAAATGGAGCATGGGAGGTCAAACCTGGAGGAGTGTGGAAAACAAAGGCAGGAGGAAGGGTTATGTGCTACAGAACGGAGAGAGAGAGAATACATATAAAGCCCCTGCTAATATTCATCTAGATAACAAGAGGAGCTTAGGAGACAGTTCACATATAGAAGAGATGAAGGTCATTAAGGTTTTGGTTAGAACGGTAATGGAGTATTTTTTTTAATCAAAGTAAATGTTGCTGTTAGTTTTTAATCACTGAATTAAAGTATACTGAATTTAAGCTAGGTGCCAAAAGAAAAATTTGACTACCTTTCTGGCTCACCTTAGTGTCTATGGAAGGATTTCCCCAGAGTGGCATAAGTTGCACCTGTCTTACACAGCCTGTACACACTCAGCAGGAGAGGAAGAATTAAAGAAAGGGGGGTTGGAGGGGAAGCAGTCACAGTGTTTGTGGCTGGAGGGCTGAGATGAGAAGGAAATCCCTCATGCATCCAACAGATGGGGTGCACATGCATGACTAAACCATCTTTGAAAGCCAGGACCTGGCAGGTTTTTACTGTCTTATGAGAAGTGAATCCAGGCACATACAGGAATCAGTTCAACCCTGCTTTTTTCTGGCACAACTCCAGCATTCTGCTTTACTACCAACAGGTTCTACAGTATGATCCCAGCTGCGCACTGATAACACTGGTGAATACTGGCTTCAAATGGACACAGATACATACTAACATTTATTGACCACAGAGCATATTAGTTTTACATGGACTTATAATTTTTTATTTGAAATAAAAATTAATTTGAAATTAAAATTTATTGGAATTAAAATTAATATTTTGTAAAGATTTAAATCAATTTTTGCTCCTAAAAGTGACTTATTCACACTATGAGATTTTACCATACTCATGTGAACTTTGAACTTATAAGTTTTCACTCAAAGTACTCAAGGCACGTTAATTTAGTGATAAAATCTCCATATTTGGATTCATCCAGGAGTCCTGCATTTTACTGGATTGCTTATGCTTTCTGCTAAGAAGCAGATTATTGAATTCTGTTTTTTAAAGACCCATATCATCCATGAAGAACTTCATCCAATGCAAAGCTTTCTCTTTCATTTCAGACTAAGATAAGATTTAGGAACATTGATTAATTGATTTGAGGTACAAACAGATAAACCACAACATCACTTTAATTGATCCAGGATATGTAGTTCTTTGCAGTAAAACCAATAGAGCTAATTGGTGTGAAATGTAGTGTGCATTGTACCATTAATACCTTGTTCATTTCTCTATGCAGTCTAACCTCCTTCCTGTGGTATAGGGAATACAATATGCTTCATAGTTGGTGGGGATTAGTTCAGATGTGCAATCTATACTTCAGGTAATATCATTTATTAAGTCTCTACATACATGTGCCGGACATATTAATTACTTGGTGCTTTAAGGAATAAATAGATTATAAATCAGCAGAAACTATTTCAAGCATATAAGTATCTTCTCAAATATATAAATTTATATTCTCTCAAATTTTCCTTTTAGGATAATTTTTAAATACTTAACAAAAACAAGATGTAACTCACAAATAAATGTGAAATAAATTAAGTCAAGAAGTTAAAGTCTAGAACCCCTAGTGTAAATATCTGGCTGTATTATTTTATATATAAAACCACAATTGAATTGCTTTCTTTGGTAATAAAAATAAATTAAAATTATATAACTGCCCGCCAAAAAAACTAGCTCTTGCTTCTGGTTCCAAAGACTACAATCATCTTTGTTGTCATGACAGCTATTGCAAAGCTCTCCTGATATATGTTTAGTAAATAATTTTCAGAATAGAAGGTTTCATATGGATTTTTATGATCACACAATATATTTTCATAATATGTGTATATTTCTAACTCTTTCCATCACTAAGACATATTTCTACAATATTTCATATATTAATATTTCAAACATATCTTGAGGTATCTTTTCCTCTTCTTCAGTTTACTGTTTTGTAAATAATTATCTGCTTTGCCATTTTGTCCAATTTCTTTCTCGAAGGAAAAACAGCATGGTGGAAATAATACGAGTTTTTGGCACCAGACAGAGTTACATTTCAATCCTGTCAACTCTTCACATGCTGTGCAAAACTGGCCTTCGTTTTTTCTCTACTAGAAAGAATGTAGCATATAGACAGACTTAAAAACAGGATACTTTTCCTCCTGATACACTCACATGCTTTAGTTTCCCTAAAGTTGAAGTTCTCCTGCTGCCACCCTGACATAAGTCTTAACAAAAAGAATACTTGTCACCTGTACATTCTTTCTTTCCTACAATCTTAACCAACTGGCTTTAATGTACTTTCATTGTAACATTCAAAGACCAAGTTTCTCTGTGATGACAACCTAGATTATGGTTTGTGAGATAGCCAAAAAAACCATAATCTATGTTCTAAATATCTTTGTTCTAATTAACATATGTTAATTATGCTAATCAGCTATGTTAACATAATATATGTTCTAAGTCACTTTGCTCTAATTAAGTCTACAGTTCCAAGATAATCATCACAATTATACATTTTAAAATAACTTCAAATTTAATATCTAAAAAATGATATTACTCAATGATATAATTGCTTAACAAAATTCCTAAAGAAACCTCTTGGAAATCATAATACAGATGCCCCAGAAATATTTACTCAAAACTAAATATGCTTCCAAACTTTTAGAGGACGTAAAAATTTTTTAAATTTTTTATTTAAAAAAAAAAGTTTTTTAGAGACAGATCTCACTTTATTGCCCAGGCTGGGGTGCAATGGCTATTCACAGAGGCAATCCTAGCACTCCTGGTCTCAGGTGATCCTCCCATGTCAACCTTCCAAGTAGTTGGAACTACAGGTGCATGCCACTGCACCCAGCTAGATCATTATTAGCAATCAATGTAGGCAGCTACTCTATATCACTTTCAGGTGTTTCACATACATTATATTATTTATTCACTTTAAGAAATCTATAATATACATTTAATTAACCATTGTATTAGTGAGAACAATGGGATTCAGGCTTCAGAATATCTGGAGGGAGTCTGAATCACACTTCATCATAAAAGAGCAAACCAATGTCTAGAGCAGCCGAAGGTGAGTGGTAATGTGGCATATTTAGGCAAAGTGAATCTTCAATGCCATTCTATGTCCTAAATCTTCCTTGGCTTCAGCAGGACATGGAAATTTAAGAAAGCCCTTTGAAATGAGCAAGAAAGGAACAAGGGTCGGTATGTCTGCTAGGAGATAGGCTCCGTGCAGGATCAAAGAAATTCTAATGCAGAGGCTGAGAGATGGAAAGTGGGAAGCAGACACCCAGCTGAAGGATAATGGTAAAGAACCACCTACAGCTGAGGGGCCCTAAGCAGGTTGAGAAGATTGGCCAAGTTCTAAGTAGCAGTCAAGTTCACTATCTATATCAAGAGAACAAAAGCAAGCAAATACACCAGATACCTTGTCATATAAGTTTCTCCCTGCGCCCAGGCATGGAGAAACAAAGTAAAGAAGATTAGAGAATATAGAAAAAGAGTTAGAACTTACTAAATCCTTAGTTGACCACAAAAGGCTGTTTTGATCTGAAAGAGGCTAACCTTCAAGTGATGAGATTAATTTTTCCCTCTCCTAGGAAAGAGAATGTCAGCTCATAAGCAAGTTAAGTTCCCTAAAGAGAAACAGTCAAATTTCTGCATATTAAATCTTAGGTATGTAAATTTTGACAACCCCATTTCCCAATACTTGCACCTGTACTTTCCTTCCATGGAAATTGTCTTGGACAAGCAATCAAGATTTCTGCCATATCCACAGCCATCTTTCTGAGGGACATTTTCCCTTTGACAATCCCTGATGAAATAGGAGCTCCCTTACACATGGCTAGAAATATTCTAATGTATGGCCTTGTCTTTGACTTCTAACCAATTGTATCAGGACTTATATTAGACCTGCAAGAAGTTAACTTCTGAGTCAATGGCATGTAACGAGCCAAATATAAAAGACCTGTATAAATAAAGATAACGCACTGAGCCAATCAGATGCTCTCACCACAAGATGACAGTTGGATGAAATAGCATGGATCAAAGGTTTAAGTAGAAGTAGAACTGAAGAGACTAGTGGGAGGAAAACAGTATTCAGATCTACTGAGCAATAGAATTGGTGGTTATGATAGACAGAATAATGGCTTCCCAAACATCCATATCCTAATCCCCAGAACCTGTTAATATGTTGTTACATAGCAAAAGGGAATTAAGTTTGCAGATGGAATTAAATTTACTAATCAGCTGGACTTAAAAGAAGATTACCCTAGATAGTCAGAGTTAGCCAATGGAATCACAAAGGTCCTTAAAAATGGAAGAGGAAGATGTGACTAAGGAAGAGTAAACTAGGGAAATGGCAGCATGAGAAGAAATCAGGCCAACACTGCTGGCTTTGAAGACCAAGGGAAGGAGAAATGAGCCACAGAAAGGACTTCTCATCTCCAGAATTGTAAGATAATGAATCTGCATTGTTTTAAACCAATAAGTTTTTAGTCATCTGTCACCATAGCAATAGAAGACTAACATAATGAGTTAGCTGTGAAGAGCTCCCAGCAGAGTCAACAATAATAGCTTCTGAGGCTGCCTTGCCTCTGAACTGCCCTTCCTCTGACCAAACTATTTTCTAAATAACTTGAGTTCTTGCTGAAAGCCAGGCTCCTCCTGAGTTCGCTTAATTTGGCTAAGTTTGTTTTTTGTTTTTTTTTTTTTTTAATAGGATCTCACTATGTTGTTCAGGCTGGTCTTGAACTCTCAGGCTTAAGCAATCCTCCTTCCTCAGCCTCCCAAAGCGCTGGGATTACAGGCGTGAGCCACAGCACCCAGTCTATTTTTTTTTTTATAAGTAGATTGATAATAAACTTTCTGAGTGATTCACTATTCCTAATAATGAAAAATTCTAACAGAATCCCATGTCTGAAGTTGTGATTAACATTATTTATTTATTATAACTTTGCATTTTCATTTCATTTATCATTAGATTCTGATGAATATGAAAGATGAGCTCCATTGTGAGCAACATACAATTTCCATTAGGCATCAGGAAATAATGAAATTAGTTCAAGGATACCCATTATTACCTTCACAATTGTGTGAGGTTCTAAGAAGAAAGATGACAGAAAAGCTAAAAATATCGAAATGAACATACATACATACATTGTATAAAACTAGACAAACTGGATAAATAAATATCATCCTACCTCAAAATAATGAGAAGTGGGATTAAAAGAAAGTGTTACATTATATTTCCCACCATCATTCTAATTCCACTCTCTATTGGGTAACAGGAGTAAATTCAATATCTTCAATACTAATGAAGGCAAGAAAAGGGATTCATTGTCACCTCTGCTGCTTCAGATACCCACAAAATCAATTTCACTTAATTTTAGTTGAATTTTGCAACGTGGGATGGTTTGTCTGTGGGTTATACATTTTTTTTTCCTTTATTAAGTATTCCTTGGGCTTTCGAACTACTTGTTCCCTAGCAACTAAGAATGTCTTCTTTCTAAAAGGTGTATTAACAGAAAAGAATGATATAATGTACTTTCTCGGTCACTTTCAAGGATCAAAGTTCCCTTAACTAAACAAATACTAATGTAGTATTTTTCTATATCATTAAGTCTCTTTTTTCTTTATCATAAGTCTCCTCATCATCTAAGCTGGCCATCACACAGAAATGTTGAGAAATGTGAAGATTCCTTCACCTAAGGTAAAGAGTAACTAGTGACTGTAGATCTGAATTGATGTTAGAATATACTTTAACAACAACAAATACAATACAAACAAAACCTCCTTTTCCCCATGAAAATTAGCTGTTTTAACAAAATGAATTTTGCCATAAAAATTATTTAATCATTTCTAATTAGTCCCTGATCTCTTCAACCTCTTCCTTCCCTTTGATTAAAATAATAAATGATGTAATCTACTAAATAAAAATCAAGCTTTTAAAATGTCTTACTCTTTAGCATATTGTCGATTGTGTTTAGGGCTGCTGGGTAAAGAACTAATGCAAATACCAACTGCTAAAATGTATTAATTCAACTTAGTGTGTGCATTTATGAAACTATAGGTAATCATTTTACAAGATGCATGACACTGTATTAATGTCATTTTTAAAAATCACATTTGAGCACGGTGGCTCACGCCTGTAATCCTAGCACTTTGGGAGGCCGAGGTGGGCGGATCACGAGGTCAGGAGATCCAGACCATCCTGGCTAACACAGTGAAACCGCGTCTCTACTAAAAATACAAAAAAAAAAAAATTAGCCAGGCGTGGTGGCAGGCACCTGTAGTCCCAGCTATCTGGGAGGCTGAGGCAGGAGAATGGCGTGAACCTGGGAGGCGGAGCTTGCAGTGAGCTGAGATCGCGCCACGGTGCTCCAGCCTGGGCTACAGCGCGAGACTCCGTCTCAAAAAAAAAAAAAAAAAAAAAAAAAAATCACATTTGATTCTCTGCATCTTCACTCTAAGTAAATTATGGCCTTTTTTTTCTTTTCCCTATAACCTAGCTTTTTGAATTGGGACACTACCTTTGAAATTTTTTATGACTTGATATTTCTATTTTGCTACTTATAAGCATGTGCAAACATCAAAGATATATAATTTATATACGTGTGATGTTTATTGAGTATTTTCTATTCCCCTTCACCACAAGGTAAATCTCAAGAAGACAAAGATTTTTGTCTGTTTTGTTCACTGGTACGTAACCAGCGCATAGCACAGTGCCTGGCACAATCAATACCAATTGCATGAATTAGTGAATGGATACTGATTCTCTGTCAGGCTTTGCTGGGAATGTGAATAATGATTTATAACAACTTCTTCCCTGTATTTTAAAATCAGTATTTATTTTAAACCTAAAAAAATCATGGTTAAGTAAGATGCTATGCAGTTACATAATAGACTACAAATACAACACCGATACAATAATTAAATTCCAACAATAGAATAAATACACAAATTAAGGTAATGATCAGTGTGAGGAAGAATATGAGTGTTCCAATGAAGAGATATAGAAATGTATGCTGTCAGAATTCAGAGGAAATTAAGATCACATAGGATGCAATAGTCACATAAATGAAACTACAGCCACGTTTTGGAGGAAACGTGATTCAGTAATGGATGAAAGAGATCAGAATGGGTGTAATACAAGGAGTTATGGGAAAATAAAGAGTGAAAGGCAAATTGAGACATAATTATGAAGGATGGTAAAAGGATCCTTCATATAAAAGGATGGTTTATATCTTATTCTCTAGTCTACCCAACATATTTTAGACTAGTAAACTACCTAGCTCAGAACTTCTAGTGGCTATCACAGCAATTAGTACATAGGAAGAATCTGAATTATAAATTTGTTTACTACAAACACAATCCAAACATATATATACACACACATGCAATTATATACATACCACATATACACACATATATAAATGCATAATTTGGTCATAGCCTCAAATTTATAGTGCATAATTTTCCAATGATAACTATATCAAACTAGCATTCTAATACCAAACTCACGAGTCTCCCTAGCCACTCTATTCTTTCTATTTGCTGTGATACAGCTTCTTAGCTAGGACTATAGCATTTCAAATGGAGCATCGTCTTTAGAAGGATATTTAGGAAGAATGAAGTCACAATTGGTGAGCGTTCTGCAGCACACACTGCTACTCGCCCTAGCTCCTATTAACAAGAACACGATGGTGATGCTTCCGAGCAATATATTAAAGACAGAAGAAAGAAAAGAACAAGTGACAATCGCAAACAGGCCACTTAATTTTCTCCATGTTATACATAGAACAGGTGATTATATTTAACCAGAAGTGCAGGTTGTCCCTAGAACAGAAAAACTAAACTATAACAAAGACTAAAGAATTTTTTGGTTTTTAGGATAAACGCATTTGACACAAAAAGTAAATTTTAAGTTCATGTTTAAGAATACTTAGATTCAAAACAAGGAAAACATTAACATACACAAATAACAGAAACTCTCTACCTGTTTTTTTGTTGTTGTCGTTGTTTAATTCTGGAGATAATTTATTAACCTAGCCTCTCTTTTTCCATATCTGAAGCTATATATAAATTTGAATACACATTTTGGCCAGAAAATTCATATGCAATTAGAAGTGAAAAAGATCATACTAAATTCATTAAAACTAAATTTAAAAATAATTAACCATAGGCTGAGTGAGCTGCCTGTTTAATGTCTCTAACCCCAAACGACCTAAATATATTTCACTGCCAATAAAACAATTTTTAAAAGCAGCCCAGTTTAATTTGCCCATAACTGTCATATCTTATTAACAAATGGCTTTTCTAAAGCAAAACTGATATGTACCAATGCTGATACACAATTTTACAAATTTATATTCATTTAAAGAATTTCATACACTCAGATTCTTCAGTTCTTCTTGAGCAGTTTTTCAACCTTAGTACAATTGACATTTTACAGATAATTCTCTGTTGTGAAGGGATGTCTCATGCATTGTAGGATGTTTAAAAGCCTCATTGGCCTCTATGCCAACAGTATGCACGTAGCAACCACCCCATGGCCCCAGTTATGATAATCACAAGTATTTCCATACCATCCCATGCCCTGAGTTATGATAATCACAAGTATTTCCATACCATCCCATGCCCTGAGTTATGATAATCAGAAGTATTTCCAAAGATTGCCAAATGTATGCCAGGGCACAAAACAGCCCCTGGCTGAGAACCATTGCACTAAATATATGTTTAGAGTAACAATAAATAATAACATATCCCTCAAGTACTAGCATAACTTCAGAAAATGTTAATTAACGGCCGGAAGAGAATGGGAAGGTAAAAGAAAAAACGTTTTAATATCTGTTGAGAAAATATTGAAAGTCACCCTAAAATTAGAAATCCCCTGAGTTTATTCTGTGTCTTTGAAAATGAATGTAATTAACCACTGTTTAAACAAAAATAGCTTCTTACTTAAAAAACTCCAGTGCAGCAGGGAGGCAGGGGGAGGATGATGGTGAAGGGAAACCATACTCTCTGCATTCTTTATAGTGCTATATTCTGCAGTCAAAATAGATTTCTTTCTACTTAGGACAAAAAGAGCAAATCCAGGAGTATAAGATAATTTTAAATTGCCTACATCGTTATGGTGCTGATTTAGTTACAGCACTTAATTGTTGAGGAAAGTAAGGCAACTCTGAATAAAAGCAAAACATATGGAATTAATAATAAATAGCTGTATTTGTTTATTTAAAGTGAGAAAGCACATAACTTCTTTAAAATTTTATATTGCCTTTTACCCTCAAAACAATTGTGTAAAGGGAATTCTAATATCTGATATTCTAATATGGCTTCTTTCAGCACTCCCGGAAATCTTTCTTGTTGCCTGCGCGTCTTGCTGATTCCCTAGTCAGGATCACCAATGATTAATTGTGCTCTGTTTTTGAGTATCTCCCTCTGTAAATATATTAAACTCTCCGCCACCTAGAAAAAGAATATTCTATTTACATGAGATGACATGACCACAATGTCAAAGAGTAAGCATTAGTCTGAATTACTAATGAAAAGAAATTCTTCACTCAGAACGCTTATGTAAATACTACCTTAATTGAGAGTGTTGAATGCTCAATATTTATACACATTTCATATTTACATCTTTGAGTAGCATATTGAAATGTAAAGGTATTGGTTTTGAAACTTTCACTTAATAAATCATTAACAATGAATCAAAAGCCAGGAAGTTCTATGGCAATGCCACTGTAGAATGGGCCTACCTTCAAAAATAAGCTTCCAGGAAAAATTTAATCCACACATTATTCTAAACATATTTGCAGATGCTATCCTAAAATTTTAGAAATTCAGACAGTTTACCTTTAAGAAGAAAGCTTCATAACAACAATGTGACATGCACCATTTCAAATGGCAATGGTAAACATTTCATTAACTTTAAAACATTGTTTACAGGAATATTAAGACTATTTAATTTTTAAAAATGTTATCTATTCATAAATATGTGATGATCAGCCTTGCCATTTGCCAGTGCAGTAGCTAAAGGAGTGTGTGTGTGTGTGTGTGTGTGTGTGTGTGTGTGTTTAGAAATATATTTCAAAATATTCTATAATTCAGATTATTAAAAATACATATATATTTTTCTAAATTTGGGGACTGTTTTCCTATTTTTCTGTCTAAAATGTTTTAAATGTGTAAATACAGCTTCCATCTCTGTTAATACAGCTTTAATACATTTTTATATATTCAGATAATAATACATACAAGTGAAGACTGCTCTTGTCCTCCACTATTGGTTCTGTCCCCTTCCATTGTGACAGAATTTTAGTGGGGCACATGGCTGCTCAGAAAAAGGCTCCACTTCTTTGACACTTTTTGAGTTAGATGTGACTAAGTTCTAACCACTGGAATGTGAGCAAAATGTCTTACTCTTAAATGACTGGATATCTTCTCTCCAAATCTCTTTCCCTTTACATGACAGCTGGGAAAGAAGAGCAACTGGAAGAATCATTTTGCACCCAGGCATGGAAGCCCCATGCTAAGGATGGCAGAGTCACCCTGCCAGTCCTAGATGGCTTACCTCTCAACTGCTATGTGGCAGAAAAATACATGTTTAGCTTGTATCTTTGTCATACTGGCCCAGCCTGTACCCCAGCTTATACAATGTCACCAAGTAATATGACAAATGAATGACATTTGTTGAGTTCTCACTATATGTCAATAAATATTTTATACAGATTGTATCGTTAATCCCAACAACTCCATGAGATTAAATAACTTGGCCAGATCCTAAAGCTGGCAATTGGCAGAACCAAGGTATAATAGCCTTAGGGATTTTTCAGAGGGATATGCTATAATACTCCATTTAAAGTATTATGGGTTTTCTTCAGTTAGAAGACCATGAAGAAAAAAATCAGTGAAAACTTACTTTCTGTACCATTGTTAGCAATTATTTCAATGGAAATACAAACAAACCATTTCTGTGCTATCAACAGAAATGGGAGGTTTTAAATTATGCATGTATATTATATGTTGACATTTCCTTACACTCTTTTCTTTTTGAAAAAAAAAATCAAATGGAAATATTCAAGAGTAGATCATTGTTAGTGGCAGAGCTTTGGCTTCTTCTAATTTATATCTTTTATAAAAAGAGCATTAGCATAATCTGATATACTCACCTTGTTTATGTGGGGATTTGCTTATGTTTTCAAGGTACAAATAAGGATAAAAAATGCTATTAACATATGTTCTAAAGCATACAAGAAGGTGTTTCAAATTTCAGAGTTGCATCCAATTTAATAGTTGTGTAACTTAGAACAAAATTTTAACCTTCTCTCAATTATTTTACCCATCTTGTGGATGAGCATATACAACTGATGGACATATGTATTCTCCAAATGGTTCAGTAATGGAATAATCCAATAAGAGACATCTTAAAAGTCTAATGCATCAGGGACAATAGTCCTAAACAAACCTATTCACTCTTGATCTTTAACAGAAGACAGGCAGGTAACCTGGGAAAAATCTCACATTTGTAAAGTTGAAGCACTGAATGTATTTAATAATATTAGCAACTTTCCATGGGCTACTATTTTAGGATACAATAAAGCAATTTTCACTAAATTGCAAAAATATATTACTATTTTATTTTATTTTATTTTTGAGACAGGGTCTCACTCTGAAGCCCAGGCCGCAGTGCAGTGGCATGATCACCAAAAATATATTACTTTAGCTGTGGTGCCTGTGTTGGTTCTTGGCCTTCATGTAAAAAGCTAATTGTACCCTGTGAATCCAATAAAAATGAATGTAATTTGTAATTTGAAGAACCTTCATTTCTACAATAATAAATTTCTAACTGGAGCCCTGCTAAGCTCCTGTATTTATTCAACTTCTGGTCCTCACCATATATCCAACACCCCCAATCTCAGCTCAAAGTTCACTCTAAACTCTGACATCCTTCAGCAAAAGGAATGAGGCAATACGGAATCATCTGTCTGTGTAAGATGACACTCTTTGTGTGCCCTAGTACTTAAATTCTATTTCCAATAATGAATTCTGCTCTAATACTCCTCCCACCACCCCAGTTACCTAACACATTATTCATTAATTTGGAATTTTTCTGTGACCGTAATGAGGTATGTATCCCATAAACAGAAAATTAGAGATTTTCTTTCATCTTTTCCATTCTATTTTGTTATGTTAATTCAGTCATTGATTAATTCATCAATATCTATACTCTTCTTAGTAATCTATCCTTCATAAAGCATAATAGAAACCAGGTGAAAATTCTTTTTGGTTAATGATTCATTGCAAAAAAGCAGATTCAGAAAAAAAAAGTTTCACATATTAACACCAAAAGGAACAATGAGGCCAGCCAAGCAAGTTGTTTTTTAAGGCTGGGGAAGCACTCACAGAGTAAGGGAGATGCTCCCAAGAGCAGCTTATTTTTAATCTCCATCTGTCGATAAAGACAGTCATATAACTTCTCACCAGAACCTGTACTTTCTTTTTTTTCTCATTATGATTAAATAAAATCTTTGCTCTCAATTTAAATAGTATCTAAATGAAAATTAACAAAGAAGATTTGGTGGTACTTCCATAAACTCCATGACTTTCATAGAGGCTCACTTACTACCTACACACTTTCATATTCTAATATAGTTTCCCACAGTGAATCATTGCAGATCCCAAGCATCGGCACACAATAACTTTCAAGTTTCTTTGCACTAGTAATCGAGATTTTTTTTTTATCAACAGAGTGTCAGTTCTCTGAGGAGAGGAATACTGTTTCTTTGTTTATCCTTGGCAGCCTGCACAGTGTCTGGGACATATTACGTGCTCAACATAATACACTGACTAGAATTAAATCTGATCATTGTTATTCGCAGGGAACACCTTTCATTTCCAAACGTATTCCTTATCTCACAGACACTTAGGTTTGTTCAACACTCTCTACAGTTGTTTTATAAAGAGATTCTGGTATAATTTTTTGAAGTTTGTGTGTATTTGGTTTCCTTAAGAATTTCTATTAATACATAAAGTAACCACACATTCCAGTTTCTCATATATATTTACATGATAAAAAGTCATGCTATATATGAAGCTGCTTTTATACCACTTTATCTCATTGACTCATCACATTTTTGGAAAATAAAAGGCCTCATTGCATCACTAACAACACAAAATGAGAATATTTTCAAATGTATTATTTACATTGAAACGAAAGTAGTGGGGCCCTTAAAAAGTGACATTTAATTTTTAATAAATCTTACAGAACCTATACATGTAAATGCTCTTACCCATGGAAAATAATCTAGTTAAGATGCCATACAAATATTTATATTGCTGTCACTCAAAAATCACTTTAGAGTGACTTTCATAGCTAATTCATAAGTCACAAGAAAAATCGTCTTTTATAGAGTCTCCTTATCTTGCACCAGAACCGTTATTACTGATCTCAGTGACTATCTCTAATCTCTAGACATGCCTGTAAACACTTTTCAAATAATTTTTACCCTAATAGAATGAATATATGTTTTCACTGAGGATATTCAAAAGAATCCATCACAGGAGTTCAAGTCACCACTGTATGAGGGATTATTAAATATATTCTGAAGAATGGAAACATTATAATAGTAAGTACATGACTTCCCTATTTAAATTTACGGAGAGTATACATAACACGCAGACTCACTTAAGTGAGACCTACGTATCAACTGCAAAGTGTGCTGAGAAAGTTTCCTTAATTTCTAAGGATGGCATTTCCTGTTCACAGTAACTAGCAGTACCAATGGTTTCTCTCAGAATTTCACCACCAGATCCACATGAGAAATCATATCCCATTTGTAATATAGAGACACAGTTTCCTAGAAGATAGAACTGCATTCGAATTAATGAAAAGATTAAGAAATCTCTTTGGTGGATTTTACTCACATCAACAAGCTGATTGACTCCACTTGCTGTTTTTGCCAGTGTGACAAGGTCTTCTTGCATCTTATCCACCCATGATTTGATACTGCAGAAATCAGAAAAGATTATGTTCTATCAGATCTCTGGCAAATAAAAGTCACATGCTGATATTTTATATCCACGCTACAGATAATTCATTAAAATGCCCTTAAATTATTCCTCTCCCTCCTAGCACCGACTATGTCCACCCTTCCACTCCAGCTTTAAATTGCAAAAGCACTGAATCCTTAGTGTGCAGGCTTTCAGGATGCTGAAATGCCTCCAAATCAAAGGAGAAAAATGACATTGATGTCTTGTCCAAGGAGAGTAAACAATTTGCTTATTTTGAATTAAAATTCCATTAAATAGCTATTAAACATTCTAAACTACAAACTTTATCTTTTAGCTTACAAGTCTTCTGAATATAATAGTAAGATCATACTAAATGCAGACCATTTGTAAAATGCAAGAATAATTCCACCAGCCAGGTGGAACATTCAACAATTTGATGCATTCCCTTCTAGTGTTTTAAAATTCATTCACATAGTTGAAAGTATGTTATATAAAATGCATATCTCTTTTAGCTTTATAACATATGATACATACTTTCCCATGACGTTACATTTTGTAAACATTTTATTTTTAATGGCCACTTAATATTCCATTATCTCTATATTCCATAATATACTTGATTATCCTCCTTTTTAAAGAGAAATTTAAGATATCATCAGCTTTTAACCACTACATACTACACCACCACAAATATCTTAGAGCCTGAAGCTTAAGAATATTTTATTTCCGGGCCAGACACGGTGGCTCACACCTGTAATCCCAGCACTTTGGGAGGCCGAGGCAGGTGGATCACGAGGTCAGGAGATTGACACCATCCTGGCTAACACGGTGAAACCCCGTCTCTACTAAAAATACAAAAAACTAGCCAGGCTTGGTGGCGGACGCCTGTAGTCCCAGCTACTCAGGAGGCTGAGACAGGAGAATGGCGTGAACCCAAGAGGCGGAGCTTGCAGTGAGCTGAGATCGCGCCACTGCACTCCAGCTCGGGCGACAGAGTGAGACTCCGTCTCAAAAAAACAAAAACAAAACAACAACAACAAAAAAATTATTTCCTTAGCTAGACTCTTAGATTTGGAATTACTAGATCCATTTATATTTGGAATTACTGAATTTGGAATTACTAGATCCAAATAATTACTGGAATTACTGGATCCAAATTTTAAAGCAATAGTTTTGATCATTACAATTATGATCGAAGGATTGATCTTTTTCAGGTATGCAATGGACATCTTAAAATATAAGCTATGGATGTCAGGATATTTTAGAAGACCCTAAATCCATGTTCTATCTCACTTTTTCCTGGTATGAGAGATATTACCAAATAGAACCACACAAACTTCCCCATTCATATTAAAATCATTTAACTTGTATTCCTCCATATATTTCACTTATTCTTCCTCAGGTTGTAGACCTAAAGCATGTATTCCTTTTTGCCAAGGCAATTGTAAAGAAACATTAGTAAGCCAGTAAGAATGCTAGATGATTTATATTTGAATTTGAACTTTTCTCTACATATCTATATATAATTTCAATAATGGAGATTTAACTGTGTATGTCTTCTCTTCCTTAGGGAAGAATTCCAGTAGTATAAATATAAATTTTTTAAAATATAAATGTAAGTAGTATAAATATATATTTTTTCAGATAAATTTAAATATAACAAAATATGGAATAAAAATATAACATGGAAGAGATTTAAATGACATGTAAGAGAGCATTTAAAAGAATGATGAGCTGATAAGAGAAAGAAAAAAATGGAAAGCCAGTTATAAAAAAGGATGAAATGCCTTAGAGGAAAACACAGAGGCTTGACTTACATATGAAACAAACTAGTTACTAAATGGAATACATTAAAACTAGGAATACTTTAGCACATATGAAAATAAGGAAGAATACTTATTGAACCACGCTGTATGAACAGGATAGAAAAAGGTAAATGAATATCAAGAAACAAAAACAAATAAAAGGGAATAATGTATAAAATAGAGAAAAATTGTTATAATAACATTTTAACTAGTGCTACTTATTAGCTGGTGCCTATATTTGAAAAATATTATAAGTAAATATTCTTAGTAAACATAGTTGTGCCCCATTTTTATATTAAATACAAAAAATTATAGTAGGGTACAGGTAGGAGCAAAAACCATTGATCCAGTAATTTCCTAATTTAGATGAGACTATCTCATTTCTCTAAGCAGGTGCTGAACAAGTCCTAGAACCTACAAAAAATGAGTCATCTCTTCTCAAATATAATTTCCAACACTGACAAATAATAAGACACGTTATACATCCCTTTAGCTCGAAACTGAGAGGCAAAGAATATATATGTAAAGAAGTGAACTTAACTCATCCCTGAATTCTGATTTATACTAAACTGACCCAAAACATGTATTCTAACTTGACACAAGTGCACTGTCACTTCCAGTGTTCATTTAGGTGAGCCTGTTTTGGCTGAAAAGCAATTCAGAACCCATCCAGTCTTCCCTACCCCACTGACAAGCTGTTAGGAACACTTTATAGGAGCAAGGATTATTTTTTATAAATATGAGGTGTTAACTTGGTTTTCTGAAATACTTAGGCACTCTGCCTTTCAACCTGGAATTAAAAGGTTATAAAAAATAGAAAATAAGGAAAGGTCCCATTCATCATGAAAGTAAAAAATTACTCAAGGGAAAACACTCATATGAGCAAAAATTTTTTATCAATCTTTCTCTTTCTTGGTAAACTGTCAAGCACAAATATGTAATCGCTAAGCACTGTTTTATTAAATTTATCCAGAAGACACTATAAAATTTGGGGGAAATTACAGAGGATACAGCTTTTTCACATAATAAGAAACTAACATAGCACTCCATTAGGAAGAATTCATTGTTGTTCTTTGTTAATCCATTCAACAAGTACTAGTAACTGCTGGAAAAGACACTAAAAGATGGAGATGCAGGCTGGGTTTAAAAATGGGTCTGGGAGGAAGAGAGAAAACAACAACAAGAATATGATAGGAAATGTTTGAGGAAGCAGAAGAGAGCCAATGCTTAGTAAGTAGTGGTATGAGACGGTTGATAGAAGAGGCTTTCTGGAGTAGCAGCTACTTGAAGTCATATTTGAAAGACAAGTGGAACTTGACAAAATTGAGCAGAGAGGGAAGTAACAATGAAGGCAAAGAGAATGTAAGACATGATGTGTTCAGTAACTTCAAGAGATTCAAATGACTGAGTCCAAGCTTGGTTCAGCAAAAGGTATGGAATGAGGGCAGGAGTGATAGGGAAGAGTGATAGGCCAGGCCAAGGGTCTTAAATACGATTCTGAAACATTTAGGTTATATTCTCAAAATAACGGAGAGATATTAGAAAATGAGAAGTCAGAGAGTAAAAAGATCATGTAAATGTATGTAAACATGATTAAATAATTTCCCTGACACTGAATGGATGGTAGCTTAAAGGGAGAACAGAAATCACAAAGACAAAGTCTAGTTAAGAGGTAAGAAATGAGATGGACTCAGACTAATTCAGTGGTGGTGAAAGGGATAAAGGGAAAAGAAGGGGAGGCCAAGTACAAGGAACTAGCTCAACAGAAATTCTGAAGGATGGACAGTAAGACTTCATGCACTGTTGGATATAGAAAGTGAAGGAGAGGAAGAATATGGGATGATTAGGGAGTTTCTCAGGTAGAGGATGATGGGAAATTGTGGTATAGAAAGTAAGTATAGGAGAAATAACAGTTTAAAGGGACATTGACAGGTTCATTTTTATTGGTTCGATTAGAGGTGTTTGGGGGAGGCTCAAGTATAAATATACACTAGGCAATTGAATGGCATGGGTTTAAAGCTCTTGAAAGAGAAATCTCCATAGAAATTAAAGATCAATGTATAACTCCCAAAGGAGAGTGTACAGCGAAAGGAAGGAAATAAACAGTAGTGACAACTCTGGAAAGGTACATTTAAAGAACAAATAGAGGAACCTGAGTAGTAACTAGAAAAAGGAATCCAAGAACAATGGTATCACAAAAGCCAAAGAAGGGAGAAGTTTCCAAAGAGAATAAAGAAGTATACAGTCATCAAATAAGGTGAGAAATTTATCCACCTTATCTTTGAGGAGAATGATACATGGAGAATGAGGAATCAGTGCTCCTTTTGGTTTTTAATAGAAGTGAGCCTATTTCTATGCAAAAAGAGAAAGGCAAGTAGAGAAGGAAATATCAAAGATTCAGGAGAGAACATGTAATTTATTGACAATGATGGGGTACAGGAAATGCCACCCCCAAATAGGGCACCTTGGCATTTAAGAAAACAGCAAAAGCAGGAAGGTCTTTCTGACCTTCTCCCACCAAGCAGACAATAAAGCCTAGGAAGATCACTGTCTGACCTTCTCCCTCCCTTCTTCGCTGAAGACTCTCATGTGGCGAGTGTCCTGCCCTATACCAAAGGGAAGGAACATCACACAGAGAGTCCAAGAAGTACTGAATAAACAAGTAGATCATACCCTTTCATCTTCCAGTCATACTTCTGCAATACTGTCCATAAAAACATATAGTTTTCCATAGGTCTTTGGGTCATTTTCTGAAGGCTCCTGTGTCACATAAAATTTAATTCACATGCTTTTCTCTTGTTATCTATCTTTTATTTTATAGGAGATCTCAGCTGTGAATCCTGCAATAGGTAAGAAATCTTTTCTCCCCTACAACAGTCCTTTAAAAGGCTCCAGATATTTTTTCTAGTTTACCCCTCTATTCCAACATGAGAATGTGGAAGTGGGGGATGAATTAAGAAATAAGTAGAACCAAAGAGAAATCTAATCCATGGCTAGAAGAGAGGATAATTCTTCTCTGGAAAATGGAAAGAGAATGCAGATTTGAGGTAAATGGAAATAACTGGAATAACTAGAACAAAAGTTGAGACAGTTTTACTTACTGCTCTCTATTTCCTTTGTAATGAAGGAGGACCAGTTATCTGTTAAGGGACAAGAAGTAGGTATTAAGGCAGACAGTTGAAAAGAAAAATGGGAGGCTTAAAAAGAATAGCTGGAAAGTATTTAAGGACTTGGCACTATACCGGAGGTCATCAGTTTCCACCGGTACTAGTCAGTATGGCTATGTGAAATTCTTACTAGTACTAGTCTGAAGAGAGCAAGTTCAGAGAAAAAAGACATTCAGATGAATGTGGGGCAGATACCAGCAGGTGAAAAAGAAAAACAAGGAAAGGCAAGTTGAAAGTCCTGACAATTTCAAGATCTCCACACATTCTAAATTAACAAGGACTACTAAAATATTTGCTAAAATGTTATTATACTGTATTCATAAACAAGGCTTATCTCTTTATATCTTTTTCTATGGAACCAAGAATTTTATCATAATATTTATAAGAAACTGTGAAAATACCATATTACCAGATTTCAAATTTTTATTTTTTGCATTTTTTGCCTGATAACTTATGAATATGCTGCAGAGACTAAATGAGGAGGGCTGAGTATACACATCACACTTTAAATCACCTGACACAGGCATTTTTAAAAGAACAAAATCCTAAAATCATTGTGAAATCAAATTGCTCTAAGAAAGTTTAATAGTTTGAAAATCTTTCTCTTAGAAATAAATATATACAATCTTTGGCCAGCTCAAGAAAGTGCATGGCAACTCATGTATATCTGGTTGTACAGGTATAATAGACCTTGACTAATAGGTACATTGTTTCCATGAGAAAATACACAGAATTTTTCAAATATGCAGTGGCAAGAACACACTTAACACTGCTTGTTAGAAATGTATATTCCCTGACTTCAAGTCTCCAACAGTAACAGAAGTTTCAGTGTTATAAAGACAGGACTTAAACATGATAGCTAGTCAGAAGAGTAAGAACAATGGATGGTACTTGTGAAAGAAAACGATGAGAAGCTCCAGAGTTTCCGTATGCAGTCAAGGTACATATGCAACAGGACTATGTCTTATCCTTTTCCTAACTAGTGTTCATCACTGCTCCACTGCCCTCTTGAGACCCGTGCTCCTATGGCTCCTATGACCATATTCCCTGGTCTCTCTTCTTTTATATTATTATCATCTGACTCCTTTTCATTTTCCCAAAGCCAAATATAGTCATTTCTCAGCATCTGTCTTTGATTTTACCTGCCATTCTCCTTCCTTACTTCTCTTTTTCTACTCCTTCTCCATATATAATCTCCATATATAATCTCCATATATAATCTCTAAATCTGAGCTCCAGTTCTATCTTAACTACCATTTGATCATTTCATCCAGATGTCCTACCATTCCTTTCAAATATGTATAAAATTGAACTCAATATCTTCCCCCCTCCCCATACTATAAACCCTCTATGTCCCTTCTCGTTGTTGGAAAATCATCTCCCCAGTCATCAGGGTCCATACCATCTTATCCCTCCTCCAGTCCTTTGTTTAATAGTAGTATCTCAGCATTTTTCCAACACAGAGCTAATAGCCAAATGCATTGAGACCTTATTTTATACCATCTCTATGCTAAAGTATTTAATATGCATTCTCTCATTTAGTCATCATAAAAACTAGGGTTCGTCTTTCACTGATGAGAAAAACTAAGAGATGAAGAAAATTTAGAAAAGGTAAGCAACACAGCCCCGCTAGCTTTTTCCTTTCAAAGACTTTTTAATCCAACCAACCTCACACATTTCCATGCATGTTGACTGTCCTTTTCCACATTCTGCCTTTGCTCTGTATATAACCTCTACCTGGAATTAATCTCCCACTTCCATCGCGAATGGATAAATCACACTAATATTCTAATATCACCTTTCACAACTTCCCAAACTAAAAATATTCTCGTCTCTCCACTAAACTTCAAAAGTCCTTTAATTGTGCTGTGCGCTTATTTCCTTATACTTTCAGAATTAGATAAATATACATTTATTCTCATTTATCAATACATTTCCAAAATTTTTATGACAGTGCTTTGAATATAGCAGACACATAAGTATTTATTGAATAGAAAAGTAAATTGAAATGAAATGCAATTGCACTACCATTTTTTTAAAAAAAATAGCTATCTTTATTTAATGTTTGAATGCGTATCTCTCCGTAATCCACATCAGAAAAAAAAAATGAACTGCTGGACCCATGCATCTGTAAATAGCATCCACTTTTCAACAAGTAGCAGATTATCAAAATTTAGACTTGATACTTTAAAGAAATGATTAAACCTCTAGAGTGCATGCCTTAAAATTCCAAATATTTTGTGTGTATTAATTGTCATAGAAAAAAAGTCTTATAATCCTTCTCTGTCCCTTCAATAACTCATTACAGAGTTGACTGGCAGTACAAGGTTTCTAAATGTTTGGTGTCTACAAATTCAATAAAATTTGAAGCAGTCACTAAAATATCTCTTAAAATTGAGGCAAATATTTTATTGAATAATTGAAAAAAATCTTTTATATCCTCTACTTCACTTTATTGTACAGAAACAGCCCAAATTCTAAAAATAAACATATAGAATATGCAGATTTTCATTAAGCATGAGAGAAAAAACTTGCCATTCAATTAATATTGTTCCTTTCAAGGTTGGATTTGTCTGTAATGTGGCTTTCAAAAGAGTAGTGCAGTGTATAGTTCAGTAAACTCTTTATTTTCAAAACGAAAAAAATATGGTAATCCATTTCATTTTGTGTGCATGTGCAAAACAACAAATTCAGAAAAACACAAATTACACTTTGTGTAATCTACTGTAAAAGTATAACAGTTGAGTACAAAGTGTCCAGTGTGCATAGTTATCTATTTAATTGTTTTAAATCCTAAGCTAAAGAGAGAATTTGCCTGGTTGGAACAATGCAGCCAAAATGATAGCTAAGAATTGTTATAATAGGTCCTATCCAAGATTAAACTGTCTTTCCTTCCTATATTTGATGTGGATAAGTCCTCTGGAAAAAATAATAATGTGTGTAAACAGATTTGTAAGAAAAGAATATTGAAACAGACCTTTTTTTCCATGCCCTTCCCAATTTATTCCACTAGCAATTGTCACAGAGACAAAGAGGGAATGGGAACTATACCACAGAGAAAATGGAAAGGAAGAGGGCTTGTTGTGGGGTGGGGGGTGGGGGGAGGGATAGCATTAGGAGATATACCTAACGCTAAATGACCAGTTAATGGGTGCAGCACACCAACATGGCACATGTATACGTATGTAACAAACCTGCACATTGTGCACATGTACCCTAAAACTTAAAGTATAATAAAAAAAAAAAAAAGAGGGCTTGTTACAGTAAGGGATTTATAGGAGGGATAGTGGGAAAGTGAGATGTCTGTACCACTCGGAGCCCTATCCTAAGGCAGTTCTCTGCTTTTTGCCACTATTTTTAAGAAATCGTTTATTTTTAACCGAAGCAAATAAGAGACATAGTTATGCCCTGTGGAGCTGGGGAAAAATTTAAATATCAAAAGATCTAACAAACTGACCACTTCAATTGTGTTGATGCATAAATAGCTTATCACAAATCTGAAGTAATAAGTTCATATATTTCAAAAGTCTAGTGTTCCACTTGCTATAAATACCCTACCAATGCCAAACTGTTCCTATTTTTGTTATATAATAAACCATCCACAGTGTTCCTGTAGTTGGGTAAAAATAACACAAGTAAGCCAAAGATTTAGATAACCTAGACATGAAATTTCGCTAAATATGCTTTTCTTATAACATGGATAAGTATACAATTAATTGTTTTGGTATAAAGGGAGTGCTTGTTATCTACATTAAATCGTAGGATTGTTTGTGAGATGGGTGTCATGCCAGAAATGTTAGTTAGTTCCTGAAATTATTCTCAATTTAAACCATTTTCAATAACACTGCTGCTCTGTTTTTAGAAAGCTGTTTCAACTTGTGAAGTGCTTTAGTATTCCATTTTTGACTAGAGTAATCCTGTAAGAAAGGCAGAAAAGGATGTACTCATGCTAATCAGTGGAAAGGTAAAGTACTTGAGAGTAGGAAAAAAGACTATCACTAAACTCTGATTCCTAAGCTGTTCATGTTTCTCTGCCTTCATTTTCTGTTTTTTTTTTCTGCTCGTGTGTGTGTGCGTGCATCTGTGTGAGTGTGCAGTTAATCCACATTACAAATTTCATATTCATAGATCTCAAAGGCCATGAGATCTACTTTTGTTCATAAGATCTTCTTTTCATGAGATCTAAATTTATTTTCATGAGATCTTCTTTTCCACTATCTTGGATTGATTTTTGTTTTATCCAAGTATTTTTTTTCATCTTTTCTTTATTTTCTTCCTCAGCTGCAGCAATTTGCTTCCAGCTTCCAAGACAACAAATAAAAATTATACTTTGGGGTTGATAGTAACATAGTTCCATGGATTAGCTGGGGGAGTGTTCTCATACATGAGATTTGTTCCCTGAAGCCTTGAGGGTTTTGTTTTTTATCCTTCCACATCACAATTAGTTACAACCTCTAGCATAGTCCCGGGTAGCCTGATGCCAGCCGAGGTGTCCCACGTGGCCACACAATCTGCTGCTGGTGTTTCTATGAACCAAATGAGCTAAAATTCTAATTGCTCATTACAAAATCTCCATTCATTTTATTGAAGATCTTTCCCTTTATGGTTTATCTGTGATTTTTCTCAGTCATTGCAAATTGTTCGCAAAATTTACTTCAGCCTAATTCGAGCATGTATTTAATTATTATTTAATTACCATGATATTACTTAATGTCATGGTAAAAATTTCCTTATTTTCTTTATTTCTATGAATTATTAGCTGATCATTCATAATATTTCCAATACTATAAAATCCTCCAATGCTTACTACTTTTGGATTCTAACCTAAATGGTGAATCTACTTCCCCATATAGATCAGTATCTCCAGTCCAGCGCACTGAACTGTTTTACAAATATGTCAGCTTTGTCATGCTCTTTAAATACGTTTTCTTTCTACTAAACTGAAATCACCTCTCGAATCCTCTTCAGCTACTGAAAATCACCCAAGTCTGGGCTTCAGGTCCCTCTTCTGGCCAATTCAAGTCCTCAAACTATCATAATTTTTTCTTTTCTCTGAGTATCTAAAATATGTACAGCCTGTCCTACAAAATGTTACACATACAGACATACTGTTTTATATCAGTGTTATTTCTCCAACAATATTTAATTTCCTTGAATGGATGGGCCATAGCTTATCATGTTCTGAAACTATCTAGCACAGTTCTGAACATACAGTGGCTACTTAAAAAACAACAGGTAATATCTATTGAGCACCTATATGTCAGGAACTGTTCTAAACATGCTTTGTGAACATACTCTTTAATTCTCACAAAAATCTATTGAGGTAGATACCGTTATTAGTCCTACTTTACAGATGAGGAAACTGAGGCATAGAGCGGTTAAGTTACTTACCAAAGGACACAAAATTAGTAAGTGGCAGAGCAGTTTGCCCTGAGAAGCCAAGAATGTATAACTCCATTAATAAATGCTAACTGGTGCCATGATCTGATTCATGGTTTGGTTTTCATTGTTAAACCACCAGATAGTAGCCCTCAACTCTCCTCTCATCAGAACTTGGAGATACCTCTTGTTTTCTAGTTTATAGACTGTCATAGCCCTAGGTTCAAAGTCTGTTTCATTGATAGAAAGAAAATAACATTTGCAGAAGTCTTTCTTTACATGGCAAGAAAAAAGGCTGTTACAGTTAGAAAATGAAGATTTAAAAACAAGAATACCTAAGTAGGTTCTTCCTTAAGACATCTCAGTGGAAATACATGCATATTAATAATTACCTAAATGCTATAATTTTTCCTCACGTTACATTTTTAAGTTTTCATCAGTATTTTCAAATTAAACAAGTACCATTTATTTTACTTACAACCAGAAGTTGTACTACTTTCATTAACATAACAAGACATCCTCAGTGTTATGCATTAGGTCCACAGCAATTGATTCTGATATTATTTATAACATGCAAACAGACTTGACATACAATAGCAGGTTAGGTGGAGAGACAGCCCTGATATGTTTATGAACATAAAATATTCTAAAAGCAACATTAAGTCCTTCAATATGCATAGAAAATATGACTATTTCAGCTGGCCTTCATTGTTTTTATGATGCAGGTTCAGATATACAAACAAATGTATGAATATAAAACCAGGACCCAAATTGACTCATGTGGCACTTCTTTTAAATATAGCCCATAGTGTAATTTGCTGACAGCTCTTCTAAGACAGGGTTTATTTAACAATCAAAAAGCTGTCAAAGCAAATATATTAACTTGCAAATTAGAAAGACAATAACTCTCTTTCTGAAAACCATCAGAAAAGAATATTGCCAAGTTAGTCCATCTTCAACTTTTTTATTTTTTTAACATTAAGTAAATGATTCTAGAGAAACAGGAATGAAGCCTTCAAATATGAGATGGTAAACATCTTTCTAGCTCAGAAAATATATTGCAATTTAATTGCTTTCAACCTTTTTGTCCTCACAGAACACGGTTCTCTTTGACCCTCTTTGCCTGAGCAGCATATACATTGCCCTTATGTTCCCCTCTGCTGGTCTGAGCACAGTGAACATTCTAAACAGAAGATTGTTTCTTAGATAGGAATTACAGCCAGCTCCCTTTCCTAACCTGCTCAATATAAATGAAAACCTAAACTACGTTTTTTACCAAACTGTTTTTCACCATTAATGCAGTAAAAATAACAATGAGAATTGTGTTTAAAAATAATGTTTATCAAATGGCAAAAAAGTTACAATTTTGAGCACTATCCAATAACCCCTTTCAGAAACTGTGAACCATTAGTGCAAAGTTTATATAAATGTCCAAGTAATACAGAAAAAGAAGTCATTTTTAATTTCTTGGTCATGTTTTCAACTATTTTTTAATTTGAATTGTTAAATGTTTCAAATTATGAAACATTTGCTAATGTTTAAAAAAATTATATAATTGCGATCTTTAATGTATTATATGTTGAAAAGCAGGTCAAAATCTAGGCAATTAAATTTTTTAAAATATTAAAATATTAGGCAGAAAAAGCACTTTGTATAACTAAATCCAATAGAAGCTTGCATATCATACGCTCAGTAGATTAAAAACATGCTTTAAGACATGACTAATGTACGTACAGTTATTGGAGAAGGCTTTTTTAAACATTTTTCTAGTTAAATATTTAGTATCATATAATTTGCTAATACTAACAAAAGAGAAAAATCACAGTTTTAGCTATATTCTCTCTTATGGGGTAGCAAATGTCAAGATGGTTACTGGAATTTAAATTATTAACATAAAATGTGAAATAAACACTTTAAAACACAATAGTTGATCTCATGAAAAGCCTCATTTGTGTTGATGTTTATATCTTTCATATTTCAAATAATTATTCCATAATTAGAAGCAAAGACTTGAAAACTGAATCATATTCAATCATCTCAGATACAGGTAGGAAGCATTTAACAAGCTCCGGTGAAAAGAGAATGGTATTTTAGCTTGAGGTCCCTGCTTAAGATGGCACGCCCATGTAACTCACCATCTTTATGAAATATAAAAGAATCATGAAGCAGCCAGTAACATGAATTAAACATCAACATTCCAAATGAATTGTTGCAGTCTCCCAATTTTTTTGTCATTATTAGTCATTCTGTTACTGTTCCTAGTGCTCCATTTAGAGCACATCCCAACGTAGATTTCAACAAGCAGTTTTAAAATGGACCACCCTGTATTGTAACGTTAAAGTCTAAAGATTTCTGAGGCTAGATCTGTGAATCATATGTGATTCAGCAGCCTCCCACAGGCCTGACAACCCTTATATTCTCTCTCAAAATGTTCCTTCTGTAGAAGAGAGGCTGAATGGACTCCTTTATCACCATTCAGGAAATACAAAAGGACTTGAGCACATGCAATCCATTAGAATTCACACTACCTGTTTTAGGTCACCTGCAGTAATGGAGGAAAAAAGGCCCTTCAGTGCATCTCCTGCTGTCTGCAGAACTGTCTTTTCAACTACCCTACATGTATTTTCCCAAAGCTCTGGTTTATCCTCTCATGTCTCTTGATCATATCAGGGAAATAGTGGCCTCATACTCATTTGTATCACCGTTGGACATCTTGTAAGCGAACCTTGAACTGAGATTATTTCTCCAATTACTGCAAGTAATAAATAATATTTTCAAATACTTCCAGAAACTGCAGAAGAAAACATCATGGTCTTTTAGTCCAGTTCTTAATAAATGGAAGCCTCCTTTATACATTACACATGAAAAATTATCATGGTAATTCTCTCAAATACTTCCTGCAATGGGCATTCATTACCCTACTAAAAACCTTTTTATTTAGGCACAAACTGTCAGAAAGTTCTGCTAGGTGCAAAAGAAATGATGGTATAATTGTCGTATGAATTGTCAGGCAACCCCCTGAAATAAGACCTATTCTTTACATACACTTCTACATTGCTTAATTTTTCAATGATTATTATCACTTTGAAATGCCTAAGTTATAAAAATTTCAGAAAAGAAATTAAGTGTCCTCAGGCATCCAATTTCTAATGCCTACCAAAAGAACACATAAAATAGTCTCTTATAATTTATGCAGCTGACTTAGTTATATATGGTCATCTGACTACCATAGTTTTATTTATTTGTCTCTTTTTTTTTTTTTTTTTTTTTTTTTTTTTGAGACGGAGTCTCACTCTGTCACCCAGCTGGAGTGCAGTGGCGCCATCTCTGCTCACTGCAAGCTCCACCTCCCAGGTTCATGCTATTCTCCTGCCTCAGCCTCCCCAGTAGCTGGGACTACAGGCACCTGCCACCACTTCCGGCTAATTTTTTGTAGTTTTTAGTAGAAATGGGGTTTCACCGTGTTAGCCAGGATGGTCTTGATCTCCTGACCTCTTGATCCACCAGCCTCGGCCTCCCAAAGTGCTGGGATTATAGGCGTGAGCCACCACGCCCCGCCTGTTTGTCTTTATCCTTAGATTTAACTAGAATGAAAGGAGTGAATAAAAGTACATGCATGCAAAGGGCAAGGTGAGACTTTTTATCTTGACCTTATTAAAAGAAAAGCAAATCAGCAACTAAGGGCGAAATAAGTAGTAATGATAATAAACATCTTACATATGTTTTGGATAAATACTTTCTGACCAGGTGGTGTTCAGGCAGCACTAGACATACTAAATTCTAGGACCTAGGCTTGGAGTTAATGGATGGACTGGGTCTGATTCTCCAGCCGGGTTCTTCAGACTATAGATCTAAGGAGAATCAATAGCCAGTGTCCAAGGACAAAGCTGAAGCCAAGAACCAAACAAGTAGCCCAAAGGAATATGATTCAAAAAGGTTGGGTGAAGGCAGGGCCCGGGGGCTCACACCTGTAATCCCAGCACTTTGGGAGGCCGAGGTGGACAGATTGCTTGAGGCCAGGAGTTCAAGACCAGCCTGGCCAACATGGCAAAACCCTGTCTCTACGAAGAAAAAAAAATAGCTGGGCATGGTGGCTTATGCCAGCTACTCAGGAGGCTGAGACACAAGAATCACTTGAACCCAGGAGGCAGAGGCTGCAGTGAGCAGAGATCATGTCATTGCACTCCAGCCTGGGTGATAGAGACCTGTGTCAAAAAGAAAAAAAAAGTTTGGCAGAAAGATTGCAGGGTTCTGGCTAGGGCACTGCAGCTGGAGACAAGAACATAGCAAATGTCAAAGATAGAGCAAATCAATTGAGAACTATGGATCTAGCTCAAGAAGTTCATAGCATGATTAAGGACCTATTTATAGAGTCCCTGCATTGTTGTCCACCTGTGGATATAAAGGTAAAAGCCCTGACTGGTTAAGAGAAATGGTCAAAAAGTTTTGTTTAAAGACCTCCACTCTGTATGTAGTTTCTTGCCCTGGGATACCAAACTGCACCATGCTAAATGCCACTAAAATGAGAAATTAATCTGGTTTTTCTTATTTCTGTAATAAAACTGCTATCTAAGAAGTGCATAATATGCTTCTTTTATGTTAATGCCAGGGCTCGAATTAGAATCTTATTCTTGACCCTCCCAATCAGATTCTTCCTGCTAGATTTTTCAAAAGCACATGGAAATCACCTTGGATAAATTCAAGCATAGTGTATATACTTTCCATCCAAAGAAAACTTCTCTGTCAGGACTGTGCGAAAAGGTTTCTAATTGCCATCCCAGCTGGTCTTGTTCCCTGTGTTCAGTTTTCTGATGGGACAGAAGGGAAAGTTTATGGAATGAATGGGCAGACAATAGGATTAATGCAAGAGACTCTGTTGTGTTCATCGCAATGTCTTTCCTCTTCAGTAGAGACATTCAGGGAGGGCATAAAGCTAGGAAACCCAGGGGAAATAACACATTCCTGATTGACCAATTCTCCCTCAATTTATAACACAGCCACCTGGCACTAGATAAGACTAAAAAAGGGAAAATAAAACAAGGAATTGAAAGAGATTCAGATAACCCAAAGGAAAACAGATTGAGAGAAGGCATGAGGGACAAGGACATCTGGAAGTTGGGAGAAGTGGGGAAGACAGTAGAAAAAGGAGACTAGAAAGGAACGCACATTTTAGAAAAAGGATGTGGGGTTTCCCTTAAAAATGAAAATTTACTTTTGCACATTAAAAAAAATTGGCCTTCCACCAAAAACTGTAAACAATGCACTATCTAATGCACTACTGTTCAAATATTCATTGCAACTTTTAAGGTATACAATTTTCAGTTCTCTAGACTAAAATGACATAACCTTTAACACATATATGATGAAACATATGATTACTTTGGTTTATTTTACATGGAACTGTGAAGACAATTCTCTTATAAGACTATTTTTATTCAGAAGAAAGTATTTTTGTTTACATTCAATTTATTCTCAGGAAAATAATGTTCATTGATTTTCATTACTCAAGAATACATCCTTTCATTGTGAGTAAGGGATTCAAATAACATTGATTTTTGTGGTGTAGACCAATGACAGATCAATGAATAGATGGTGTTTTGTTTATAGCAGTCATTGGGTTGGCTACATAGAGAAATGAAGTTCATAATTGTGCATCTCTACATTTTTAGCTACGCTTTTGAGCCTTTCCATGAAAGACACATTAATTATTTCATTTATCTAAATACTGAAGAGCTATACGTTACTTCTAAATATTAGGTAGTCATCTTTCACATTGTCCTGAAGTGTTATAGGTGGCTAATTGGAGAGATTTGAAGACAGCCTGAACTTATATTGCACAATTTGCATGACCCTCCTAGTTATTTTCTCCTGAACACAGTTAGATGACAGACAAGAATATTGGGTACTCAAGCTACTACTGGGAGGAGGTCTTTGTTGTTCTCTATCATTCTGACAGGGGGCCTCTTTACTCCCTACTCTCTTAGCCAGTGAATGGAGAAACGTTAGCACTGAGAGCCTCAAAAGGGAAAAGGAACCAAATGGCAAATAATACCAAAGCCAACTCTCCTCCTAGACCACTCGTTGCTACAGCACAGATATATAGGCCCATATACTCACTTTCACTTTGGGGAACAGAATGAAATTTTGGTCTTGAACTTGTGTCATCCGTAGTATTTGACACCGTCATTGAAAAGCAGTTCCTTTTATTCTAATATAATGTCAACTTTTGTTCTAGATTTGGGGAGTATATATGCAGGTTTGTTATATGCGTATATTGTGTAATGCTGAATTCAGTCTAGGGTACAAATGATCCCATCACCCAGGTAGTGAACATAATAGCCAATAGGCGGTTTTTCACTCCTTGACCCCCTCTCTATCCCAACTCTAGTAATCTTTGTCTATTATTTCAATCTTTATAACCATGTGCACCCAATGTTCACCTCCCACTTATATCAGTGAAAGGATGTGGTATTTGGACTTCTGTTCCTGCATTAATTCTCTTAGGATACTGACCTCCAGTTGCATCCATGTTGCTGCAAAAGACAATTATGTGTTCTTTTATATGGCTGTGAAGTATTTCATGGCAGGTATCACATTTCTCTATCCAATCCACTGTTGATGGGCACCTAGGTTGATTCCATGTCTTTGCTATTGTGAATAGCACTGCAATGAACATACGAGTGTATTTGTCTCTTTGGCAGAATGATTTATTTTCCTTTGGGTATATATATCCAGTAATGGGATGGCTGGGTTGAATGGTAGTTCTGTTTTAAGTTCTTTGAGAAATCTCCAAACTGCTTTCCACAGGGGCAATTATGGAACTAATTACCATTCCCACCAATAATGTATAAGTGGCCCCTTTCCTCCACAGCCCTGCCAGCATCCACTGGTTTTGACCTTTTTTTTTTTTTTTTTTTTTTTGACGGTGCCTTGCTCTGTCACCGAGGCTGGAGTGCAGTGGCATGAAAAGGGCTTACTGCAGCCTCGACCTTCTGGGCTCAAACAATTCTCCTGCCTCAGCCTCCCAAGTAGCTGGGACTACAGATATGTACCACCATGCCAGGCTATTTGTTTTTTAATTTTTTGTAGTGACAGGGCCTCACCATGTTGCCCAGGCTGGTCTCAAACTCCTGGGCTCAAGCAATCTTTCCACCTCAGCCTCCCAAAGGGGTAGGATTACAGCATGAGCCACCATGCCTGGCTGATTTTTGACTTTTTAAATATCCATTCTGACTGCCGTGAGATGGTATCTCATTGTGGTTTTGATTTGCATTTCTCTGATGATTAGTGATGTGGAGGGTTTTTTGTATGCTTGGTGGCTAGAAAAGCTATTCCTAACAGTGTCTGCTCTTTTTTCTACCTACCATGCTTTCTCTCCATGCCTTTGTATCTTGTCTCATTCCTTTAAGCACCAGGTCAAATGTCACCACCTCACAGAGGAATTCTCAACCATACTACATAAATTCATCACTTTTCCCTGCTTTCTGTCCTTCACATCAGGTTCCTATTGTTTCTTCAGACACTCACAACCATGCAATTATTATATTTGTCTATTTACTTGTTTTCAGCCTCTTTTCTCCAGAATGTAAACAGCCCAAGAGAAAGTGTTTTTCACCAGAAGTCAAAAGCACTTATCTTTGCACTGAGATAAAATAGTTGCCTAGATAAATATTAAATGAATAAAAAAAAGATGACTCTTTGAGGCAAGCAAGCAGAGTAGTCAAATTGGTATATTAGCAAGGCGTGATGAACAAGGTTTCTACTGGAAAAGCATGGACTTTTTAATCCAATAATTTCTCTTTTTTTCTTAACTAGTAGAATGGAGAGGATATGGGTAAAAATAATCTTAGCTGACACAGAGACCATAAAGTTTCTTTTAAAGTTATGTGCAAAAAATTTTTCTATTTGCAATATCTGAATTTGTATATAAAATGTCCACAAAACTGTTTCATATGGAGTCAGAAAAAAAAAATAAAAGGATCACTGTTTCCTCATAAAATTTCAAAATTCAAGAAGGGTGAAGCCATCGCATTAGCAACCTCAATGTAATCAAGAGTAATGATCTCTGGGCTCTGTCCCCCGACACCAGCTTTGATCCAGCAACATACTTAAAAGAGGCACTGCCACCACTGCCAGTTTGCTCAGCTACCTACATCTTCAACTGCCAGCATCTGCTTTGGTTATGGGAATGCTCCTCGTAGCAAGCAGAAACTTCAACCCAAAGGATTGTAGAAGTATTTCCCTATGAAATTCAAGTATTGGCACTAGAATAAATGTTTAGATTCTTCAGAGAAAAGCAGCCAAACAAATTGTGTGGAAATATGCAGAGGGTACTATTTAACATTATATGGCTTTGCCAATTGCTAAAATTACTTTTAAAAGCTCATTAAGTTCTGTGAAGCAGGAAAATAATGACACCATAGCTGATCTCTCATTCAAAGTCATAAGTAGATTCCTAAATGGAAAGGAAAATAGAGTATCTGCATTTTTAGACTTTAAACAAATCCATGTACTATTTTACTTTACTTTAAATTTTTGAGACTATTAGTTCCAAGAAATGTATTATTTCACATCTTTTATGTATGTTTTAATCTAACCTCAATTTCCCAGAGTTGCTAAGAGACTAGAATTCTATTATTGAACAAAAAATAAAAGTAAATTAAAATAAATTACAGCCATAGGAACTTGTTATTTGTAATACCTACAGCCTAACATATTCCTCCTTTTTCAGAAATTTCCAGATACATCACAGTCATAGTTATTTACATTTCAACTATTCCATAAGGAGTCTCCATAAACTAATCCTCCTACACTTCCAATGCTTTCTTCTATCAATATTTTTTCTTTTGCTATACATAACAATGACTCTTGTATCATTCTCATTCCAGAATAACCTAAGTTCATCTTAGATCATTCTGTATAAAATGAAGAAGTTTGAAATATTTTTAAGTAGAGAATGTTACTAATCATATACTTTCCATTTTTCCAATTTACAGACACTTCACTTCCTATTTTTTTCTGCTGGGAATGTCTCTTCCTTGAAAGCTCCTTTCTAGAAAATTTCCAGTCATCTTTTAAGGTTAAATTTAATAGTTTCTTCTCTGTAAATCCCTTTAGGATGCTATAAAATTTACATACAATTATCAAAAAGAGTTTTGCATTTCATAGTAATTATTTATTTATCAAACTCTCCATTAAACTTTAAGCTTCCTGCAGACAGTGACAGTGACTAATGCTTAATACATAGTAGGAATTCATTAAGTGTTTAATGAATTAATGTTAATTCTATTACCTGAATAACTGTCTTTGCCACCCCCTTCTCTTTACATTTTACACTGCCACTGCTTGTAGGGACTTTTTCATCTAGTATATGGACTACTGCAGTTTCCAGCTAACTGGTCAATCTGATCTGGCTTCCTCTGCCTCCAGTACTTCAACAGTTCTTTTTTCAGAGTAAATATTAATGGATGATAGTTTGCAGTAGCATCAACATTACTTTTCTGAATGTAAAATTAATGTGTATATTCATTACATCACAAGAAATTGTAAGAAGTTATTCTACTACTAAAACAGGCCAAGAAAAAAGACAGAAAATAAGCTGATTTCACCTATGACCATAAGCAAAATCCTATATAAAATATTGATAAGTCAAATCAGACAGACATTTTCAAAAATAGTATATCATGACCAAGGAATAGTTGTTTTAGGAAGATATAGATATTTCACCTTAGAATAGCCCAGTTCCTCCATAAATTAAGAGTGAACATCAACAATTTAAATAACTTCTCTGAGTCTGCTTTTATAGGTTTGAGAAACTGAAATCAATTAAAACAAAAAGAAAACCATTCAGAGCAATGCCTGGAAGATACTAAATAAACAACTATGATTAATATTTTATTATTTTCAACTTGTAATGTAATCCTGTAAATTAACAGATGATGGCAAAAGCGGCCTAATCATTTCAATAAATGTCCCCCAAAATCTTTTTATTAATATTCCATTTTTATTCTTGCTAAAATATTAGGGTGTTAGAAAGTTCTTTAACTTTCACATTATCTACCATAGAGATATGTGAAAAAAATACTTAATGTTAAAATCTTTAAAATATTCCACTTAAAGACAAAAGGAAGAATGTTCACTCTCAATTAGTCCAATAATGCTATTACAGAACTCATAGTTAATGTACTAGGACAAGAAAATAAATACAAGGTAAAAGCTTTGGGAAAGAAAAGAACAAAAACTTTTATTATGTAGCAATATGACTGTCTACATAACAATCTAAATAAAACTGATGAATTACTAAATTAAACCAAGGTTAAGTATGAAATTTTGGAAAATCAATATAAGAACTGTAAAGAAATAAGTGGAGCAGTATACAGAGAACTAGAAATTATCAGGAAAAAATGATTAAAATTAGTGATAAGAAACTCAGCCTCATTAATAACCAATTAAATAATTAAAATACACAAAAATATTTTATTACAAATCAGATAAACAAAATTTTTTAAATATTGACAAAACTGGAAGAGATAGGTAAATGGAGGGATGGATGGATGGATGGATGGATGGATGGATAGAAATAGAGATATACAGATATAGATACAGAAATAGATATAAGTAGATACACATACTCTTTGAAAGCAAATCAGGAAATATTGTTCAAATATTTTCAAAGTGAAAAATACCTATTCTCAATTTATCTCTAGGTTTCTATCACAAGAAAATGCTCAAGAGTGTTCACTGAAACAGTATTTGTAATAGAAAACAAATGGAAGAAACCCAAATATTACCATCTATGGGAACTCCTTAAACAGTTTATGGTACATTAATTGCATGAAATACGCAGTAGTTCAAATATTGAATTAAAAATAAAGGATTTTAAAATAATTAATGAAAAGATCCCAAGAACTTTAGTGAAAAAGCAAGTCATAATAACAGACTTATCCAAATGTATATGTAAAAAAATAAATATCTGATTCTATATGCAGTCACACAAGGAGCACTGTAAGCAGTGAACACTACTGAAAAGACACATGTGAACTGTTAATAATAAAACGGGTAGTGTAAGCAGGAGATGGGTTATAAGGGGTGTCCTCTCTAGTTTATTTTGTATATAACTTATTAGCTGCTTGCATCTTTTGCAAAATAATGCATAGTAATGTAATGAAAATAGAAATATTAAAGGCTAATTCACACCTAGTCACAGAAAGAGTGTACTAATTAACATGATTTAGAGTATTTCTCATTTAGTAAGGTTATAGCAAAGTGATGGGTAAAGTTCATGCGCTCTGGGCTAGACTTGGGTTTTAATTCTGGTGTGGCTGTTTATGAGACGATGTGAGACAGTTACATCATCATTTTAAAAATTAGGCCAGTAATGGCACGTAATTCACAAGGTTTTTGTAAGGATTAAAAAAAATCTTATATAGAAAATGTTTAAGGCAATGTATGGTACGTAATAAATATTTACTAAGTTTCTGGGGTTGCACTACAAAGTCTAAAATGCTAAGAGTTCGAGCTTAAGGCTGACAAATAAAAGTATTGCTAATCTACAGCCCTAATTTTATTTTATTTTATTATTATTATTATTTTGCAACAGAGCTTCTCTCTTGTTGCCCAGGCCAGAGTGCAATCGCACAATCTCGGCTCACTGTAACCTCCCGGACTCAAGCGATTCCCCTGCCTTAGACTCCCGAGTAGCTGGGACTATAGGCGCACACCACCATCCCCGGCTATTTTTTGTGTTTTTAGTAGAGATGGGGGTTTCACCATGTTGACGAGGTTGGTCTCGAACTCCTGACCTCAGGTGATCTGCCTGCAAAGTGCTGGGATTACAGACGTGAGCCACCATGCCCAGCCAGCTTTAATTCTTTTAAGAACCAATAATTATTTCCATTAGAACAGCTGTGCTCTTGATATAAAACTCTACCAAAAAATCATTTATTCTAGATGAGACTTTAAAAAAACTTTTCACTTTAATGAAATTCTATGAAATGTTTAACATGCAATTTCTTTAAAAGACTATAGGCCTAGTATGTTGTACAACTGTTTGTCATTTTCATGCTTTTAATTCCCTTCAGTATTTTTTCTATATTTAATAAACATTCTGTTATTAGAAAAAGAAAATGAAATTAACTAAACTTCAATTTCATATACTGAACAAACTAATATAATTTGAAGCTTAAAAACTGTAGATTATTGGATTTGGATATTATCTTTGGTATGTATTTTTGTATGATACAAAAAGCATGCTCAACTACAAGCTTAATTAACTTACATATAAATTCTGTTCCAAGGCAACATCCCCAAAATTAAAAATATAGCAAACAAAAATATTAGCTCAAAAATAAGCTATAAACTTCAAAATATTGTGTGGCTTTACTGTAGCGTTTCCAAAACTACCAGGTAATTTTAACATAAATATTCCTCCAAAAACCTGTTCAATCCTCTGGAAATAAGTATGAGATTCCTCAGTGCATTTAAGATATGAAGGAATTCGTTCTCTAATAAGTCACTTACAAAACTGAGTAGTACAAAGAAAGCAGAAATAAATTCAATGAGGCAAAATCTAATATTGTATAAAATTTTGCAGTATATTGTTATGAAGCAGATTTTTATTTTCTAATCTTACCTAAGACATAAAAGAGAATAATTTTATTCAAATTTAGAATAGGGTTTGCAGAGAAAAATCTTGATAATTGCTTATAAAATCTTCAATTTTCAAAATACATGATATCACCCTGTTTTTTGAAGGACTTGCAAAGAATCTACAGCAATGGATGATTAAGTATTACTATGTGTAGAATCAAGAGAATGGTTTACAGTTTCCTCTAAATATTCTTATATTTTACTATCTTAAGGTTAAAATGATTAATAATATGAATAAACACAATATCAGGCCAGGTGTGGTGGCTCATGCCTATAATCCCAGCACTTTGGGAAGCCAAGGCAGGCGGATCACTGGACGTCAGGAGTTCGAGACCAGCCTGGCCAACATGGTGAAACCCCATCTCTACTAAAAATACAAAATTACCTGGGCATGGTGGCACACGCCTGTAGTCCCAGCTACTCAGGAGGCTGAGGCACAAGAATCGCTTGAACCCAGGAGGCAAAGGTTGCAGTGAACCAAGATCATGCTACTGCACTCCAGCCAGGGTGACAGAGTGAGACACTGTCTCAAAAAAAAAATTGAGTATTGAACACATTTTAGAATTATCAGGTTCTACCTAGACTGCCTTTATCCATTTAACTCATTTAGTGTTGGAAAGAATCTTCTAATTGAGGTTACTAAAATCAAAAATTCTTTATTGTTTTTCTAATAACATAGTAATATGTTTCTCATCCTTTAAGAAAAACCACACGGTCCACAAAAACACTCCACACACTTATAGACTTGTTGATTAAACTAGCTCCCGTCTGTTCCTCAAGCAAGCCTCAACCTTTATAATTCATTTTTAAGAACTTAATTTTCTGTGCTGTCAATTCCCCCTTTTTAATTGTTACAGGATCTCATACATAATGCACAATTGTATTAAAACACATCGTACTGCCTTGTGACATAGCATAAGTTGTCAAGTAAAATGTAATAATCTTTGACCTCCACCCACCCATTGACTTCAATAAAAAATAAAAATTATGCCTACAATCTGGCTAAAAGGGCTTTTAGACTGTGGCACCAGTAACTCCCTAGCTAATGTACAGAACACTGAGCTCCTTAGACACTCTCCATTCTGTTACAAATATTTTCCTATTGTGTTTTCAAGGGTTGAATGTATAAATAGTTATTTACAGAATAAATCTATGCATTAGTGTATCTCCAAATAAGTTCAGTGTGATCATACATTTTAAAACAAAAATATGCAATTGGTGTTTCACTTGCTTCTATCTAGACAAGTGTACGAAAAAAGTAAATCATAGTTTCAAACAATACAATCAGGGCAGTATTTTCTAAAGAAAACCATCCTGAAAATGGAAGGCTATTTAACAAAAGTTGTGTCACCCATGGGAAGGCTTCCTTCTGTTGCCAGCTAAAGGTTGACATGGGTCAGTCCGCACGAAACCAGACATGAACAACATTCAAGGCAAACCAGTTCCAATATAGCTTACTTGCCAGGGAACATTACACTTCCTCTCCAAGACAGTGTAAATGTTTTAAGGTCAGAAGAACACAATGCCTGTCAAAGTGTTTCATGTATGTTAAAAAGACAGGTAATTTAGGAAGAGTCTCTGACATTTAAAAGGGAGTCATGCTTTCACCATCTCCCCCTCCTCCAACTTGACACCTAATTAAGCATCAATACAAAACAATATAATTGACCAGATGTACTAGTCATTAACAGGAATCACCCATTCTCCTATCAAATCAGAGCGTACAGACACGGCTCTATTTGTAATAGGTTGACTTAATTGCCTGAGAATTCCCCAGAGAAATGTACAAATGGATCAAGACATCTCACACATCCACACGCACACACCCCACAGACAAACACATGCGCTCCTCCTAAGCTTTGATCCATGCTTTTGTCACTGTTTCATCCATCTTTGCAAATGAGAATTTATGGTGGCCACAATCAGTACTAGAAGATCAATTAAATAAATGGAAAAATAAATAAAGCCGAATGAAAGGTACCAGCATTCAGATTTAGCAACACCTTAATAATAAAAGCTTTTTATACAGCAGTGCTTTGCACAATGTAGTTGCTTAAATTTTGTTGGTAAAAACAAAGCACATACCTGCTTTGAAAATTTAAAAAAAGAACACACTAAACAAACAAAAATGCCCCCCAAAAAAAGAAAAAAGACTACAAAAGAATTCTTTCCCCTGGCAACACCCCTCTTGGATATGTAGATTGTATCTGCTGACTACGTGGCTCAGTTTTCCCTTATTAAAACCTATCTCAATAAAATCATTTTGAAAGTAGAAAATAAGGGATCTCTCTAAAGGATTAAGTACGTAGCTGGATTTAGAATTCAGAAAACAGATTCCAGTTTTCTAATCCCCAACAAGCTAAGGGCACTAATGCGAAGGAATATAAGAGATTTACTCCCAAAAATATCATATTGGATCTGAATTTCAAATGAAAAATTGGCACTCCCTCCTGGAGTCAGAGAGATAGAAGAAAAAATGAGCAGAAACAATACAGAAACACAACTTTCAAACAGAATGTCCCACCCTCACATGCCCCCACCAACATACACACGCATGCACACACACTGAAACACTGAGGTCTTTCACTTTTCTATCTGTCTTACCCCATCACCCTCAGGCCAGTGGAGAATGCAGTCACTGGTGGCTGCTTGCATTTCAGGTTCTAGAGATGACATTGTCATGGCTTATTCCTGGGCTTTTTCCAGTGCCATAGATTTCCCAGCCACATCACCAAATCCCTCCTGTTAGAACTGCAGGTGCCAAGATCAAATTTCCAGCCACCCTGATCACAAGAGTATGGGGGTGTAGAAATGGGGAGTGTGTGTCCAGTTCTAACCTCTTCTCATACAAAATGTTCCCAGTTGGTTACCCCAGCCCCATGGCGCCTCTTTTCTCCTATTTTCTTGGAGTACGTATTATCTACACCACTCATTGGTCCACTTAATCAGGCACTGCTTTCAACACTTCTTACAATTCTGTATTTTTTTATTACAAAGTTAACGAGCTTTCTGTGTGTATTTTCTCCTCCATAAAGAAGTAGATTTTTGAGGGCAAGGCACGACCTGTATTTCTTTGTATTTAGCACAGTGCTTAGTAAATATATTCAATGCCCCCCAAATATTATTGATTTCATTGTAGACTGTCTTAATTGCCCACAGCCCCAAACAGCATGTCTTTGAGGTCTCTAGGGTGAAAATCAGTTACTGGTGATTGCCTCGGGCTCTCCTGACTCCAGGAGGAAGCTTAATGACTGAAAACACATTGGCTGTCCATCAGTAAAACAAGACCACGTGTCACTGTGTTTCTGTGTCATCTAAAGCTGGGGGATAGAAAATAGGTGTTCCAAAGGGCATCTTCAGGGCCTTAAGCCCCCTACCTCTTGTTAAATATGAGAAGTCTGTGCTTCTTTTCTCAAAAACATACACAAAAAAAAATCTGCCTGGTGTCCAATTCATCAGCCTGGGAGATGGGTAAGAAATGTAGTTAGATCCCAAACATGGCTAAATCCTTTAAAAACAAATTTTTAAATTACTAGGAGCTTTTAATGGATATTTATCCGTCTTGCCATATGACTAAGCAGATGAACAAATACCTATCACTCACACACTAGAAATGAAACAAGATTTAATGCACACAGCACCAATCATACATTTCACTCTATTGTTATCAAAATTACAAAACAGCTGGGAACCTGACAATGACAACCTAACACTCATGATTTTAGATATTGTCCTTGCTTTACTTCCCAAATAGGAGGCTAATATTCTCTTTAAAGGGAAACAACCATGAGATAAAATATAACCTTTGAATATGAACTGTGTATTTTTCTCACAGTAAGTAAACAATAGATATTCCAAAACAGCAGGCATCTTATTAATTCAGTAGGGTCAGCAATGATTAAACTCTTCTCATCTGAAAGGAACAGTTGCACACTTCTTTTCCGAATATACATCTCTGTATATAACTTTTAAAAATTCATGTGGGTTAGAAGCCTGGATCTGTGTATGTATAGAATTTCCATATAGTACCAAGCTTGATTAAATTTTCCCTTGCTACTAGCCTTCTCAGAGACTAGCAAATAAAATATTTGGCTGTGAACAGCATTTCAGCTCACCGTTGATGAAAGTGAGCTGTACTGAGCAATGTCAGCTTTATACTTTTAAGAAAATCTTTTAGGCGATGGAGGAAAACAGAAACAAAACCAACACTACTTTAGAATAAAATGCTGAACAATGAAATGGAGGGTTATTAATTCTCTGCCACTTGAAGATTGTTTTCCACCCTTCAGCATGCTGAGATAATTATATACACATGACACTGTATAATACATGCTGTTTGCCTACTTCAAAACTGTTCTCTAATGCAAGGATTATTGATAGAAGCTTCTTGTGCATCATGTTAAAGGCACAAAAAATTACCTAATTTCCACTAGAGCTAATCCATTATTCAAATTTTGTCAGGAAAATCTGGATGAATTGTGTAAAACTGCCAGGTTCCATTCCTAATAAAAATTGATTCATTTTTATTGGGGTCATACAGTCAGCTTTTAAAATCTAACATCTCTTCTTTTGCCAAAAAACCTAACATTCCAGTTATTGATTAAAGCTTCAGAGTTGCTTTGGAAGGTATTAGATTTTCTTTTCTATTTAGATCAGAATTGTTATATTGGATCAATGCAATTGTAACCATCTGTAGGATTCAACTCTCCATGCTGGCATGTCTTGTCCCCTATTTTATTTTCAGAGCTAGTATAGCCACTATAACTTTTAGTAATTCTAACAAGAATGCAGGCAGAAAAATCTAATAAAAATTATGAGAGGAATTATTTTGGCTTTTTCTCCCTAAATTGAAATATTTGCCTCCTTCTTTCTGGGTCAAGGTATACTCCCTCACCTTCCCCTGCATAATGGAAGGATTTGATCATCTTACTCCTTGACACTTGAAATATTGATTGGCCCATGAATACTAATAATCAAGAGTCACTGTGATTAGAGGTTAGGAACCCTTTAAAGGACAGATCTTTTTCTTGCACTTTCTGCCCCTTGCCACATGATCATAAGGCCTCGACTGAAACGTTCCCAATCTCTTTCTCTTCCTGGTCCAAAGAATTTGCATAGAGAGGAAAGCCCAAGTCCCCTTGTGAACCTAGCTTTTTCTTTCTACGGTTGATGTTAAAAACAAAACAAATTCCTAAAGGTCATCTAAGTCAAACCTTCATCCAAAGGATGTAGTCTAAATATACTACATTTTGGCTTTATCTTCTCACTTGGGAGTTCAGGTCTCCAGAGTCAGAACTGGGATTCCTATCATGTATGGCCTGTATGATCCTGGGCAGGATGCTTTGTCTCCTTAAATTTGTATTTTCTTTCCTGTAAAATATAGCTACTTAGCATTACCTTTCTCTTAGGAATGCTGTGAGAAGTAAATAAAATAATGGATTAAATGGGTTTAAGAATATTAAGGCTGGGTGTGGTGGCGCATGCTTGTAATTCCAGCACTTTGGGAGGACAAGGCAAGAGGACTGCTTGAGCCCAGGAATTCAAGACCATCCTGGGCAACATTGTGAGACCTGTCTCTACAAAAAAATGTTTTTAATTAGCTGGGCGTGGTGGCATGTGCCTGTAGTCCCAGCTACTAAGAAGGCTGAGGCAGGAGGATCATTGGAGCCCAGGAAGTCCAGATTGCAGTGAACCGTGTTAGTGCCACTGCACTTCAGCCTGGGTGGCAGAGCAAGACCCTATCTCTGAAAATAAATAAATAAATAAATTTAAAAAATATTTACTATAGAAGTGCTCAATAGCAGTTATTGTAACTATATTCAACATTATGAGTGATTATGAGCTCAGTTTCTTAAAAATTATATTTTGTTATTGTTTTTTAACGATAGAATTTCTTTTGAACCATACTGTCTCCCTATAATTTTTGTGCATTACAGCTATCTCTACATTTCTGATGCTTTCATTATATGCCTAATTTTGTCATGAATTCTCCAGACTTGTTAAAAACACCAAATTATTAGTTACTCTTCCTAGACTGTGATTTCTTAATACATTAGCATCCTAGTTATCTCCTTAAAAATAACCTAACTTGCCAATAAATTTGTTAAATAGAATTTGACTCTGAGACCTGAAGCCACCATTGAAGATGTCCTCTGGCCAGAATGAAGTTCTGTATTTGTCAGGATGGCAATTTCATATTCATATTCAATTTCACTTCCTAGGTTTTAAGTTATATTGTTCTTTCTGCTGCTGCTGTTGCTACTGTATGTGTGCAGGGGTTGACTCGTGTGTGTGTGTGTGTGTGTGTGTGTGTGTGTGTGTGTGTGTGTGTGTGTTATACTCGGGAGCTGCATCTAAGCCAGTTCTCCTCAACTCTGTATTATAGATTTTAAATTTAATGTAAAATTATATCTGTCTCTGTTAAATTGTGTTTTTTAAACAGGGGTGAGAGAGGGGACTGGGAGAAGAAGTGGTGCCTTTTCATGTGTGTGGCCTATAGTAGTTCTTTAATTCAGTTTCTCAAATGTTTCCCCAACCATTAGCATTATAGTTCATTTGTAAGCTTTAAAAATTACAGATTGTCTGATGCAACTCCATATCTACTGACTGACGAATTTCAAAGCATAGATCACAAGAATCCATGGAAACATAATTCATAATTTTTTTCACCTAAAGTTTTTAAGCCCTTCTCCCTAGAAAAATGTTTCAAAGACAATCTTGATAAATCATAGAAGCATCTAAATATTTTTTACCATTTAAAATTTGAGAAATATTTTAACAAATACAAACATATTTCTTCATTATCACTTGTAACAATTTATGAACTATTTGTTTTAGAAAAAATGATTATTTTTATCTAACTTAAACTTATCTGAACTTCTCTGAAAAGGACATTTAGGAAAACGTGGTCTGTGTGTCTATACTTGTTGTCCTGGGATGCATTCAAAGATTACTGACTACTCAGACAATTGTCTAAAATTTCAAAATTAATACATATCTTGAACCACTCACTAACTTTTTAAAAACACAAAGTTCTGTTGATATGTTTTGTTTTAACTATGGTAAGAACTGGAAATAATTTGTTTTCACCTCTGTTTCTTGACTCTTTCACTGTAAAGAGTGCCAACTCATTCCTTCTATGAAATCTATGGGAATTATCTCATGTGTACTATTGTCCTCTCTTCCTATATATATCCATCTTTCTTTCTCTTACCCTTCCTCCAATCTTTGTTATAATTTATTTTTAATTTTTACACTATTTTCCATTAAAAATAAGTAACATCTTAATATTGGACTATCCATAGGCTTTAGGCAATATTTTTTACTCCCTAAGTATGAAAAGTAAAATAAATTAGTGCCTTGCCACATCCCTTCATCATCCCATAACCCACCTTCTCTCCACTATAGCATTACTTTTAAATTGTCAAGTTTATTACATTTACATTCTATTTTCAAACTATAATTGTCTCCTATCACAGTATCCATGAAGCAGAAAGTTTTGGCATTAAAGCATGGTTCATTTCAAATCTCAAATTTTCTCACCTCCAAAGAAGATGATAAAATTAAAGTAGGAAAATTAGTTTTGTGATCAACTGGAAAGGTAGAAAACATCCAAAACATGTACAACAACTCAAGCCTGTGCTTTCATGTAATTCATAATATCAACTTTATGTCAATACTTCCTTTATACCAGAGTCTAGACATAGAGGAAAAAATCCTATGATTGATAGGTAAAAATATCCTATGATTAAGTTTTATATGTTTGGAGAATTGATCATTCAATTTTTGATGTGAGTGATTCCAAACTATTATATAATAAAAAGTCTGCTCTAACTCTAGACATTCTGCTAGAACATATTTTTATAGAGACAGGCGGCAAGTGAGAGGGAAGGGCCTCCATTCAATAAGCATTTTGACTAATTTCACAAAATTATATATTTTGTGAAATATATAATTAAAATTTATATAATTAAAATTTCACAAAATTATAAATTTTCACAAAACTTTATAACCTCCCAACTACTCATTTACTGTGTATGTGTATGTGTGTGTTTGTTTTGAGACAGAGTCTTGCTCTGTCACCCACACTGGTGTGCGGTGGCATGATCTCGGCTCACTGCGACCTCCGCCTGCCAGGTTCAAGCGATTTTCATGCCTCAGCCTACCGAGTAGCTGGGACCACAGGCGCATGCCACCACACCCGGCTAATTTTTTTATTTTTAGTCAAGACGAGGTTACACCATGTTGGCCAGGCTGATCTTGAACTTTTGGTCTCAAGTGATCTGCCTGCCTTGGCCTCCCAAAGTGCTGGGACTACAGGCATGAGCCACTGCGCCCGGCCACATTTATTATTAATGTGTATAAATATGTCCTTGACGGCCGGGTGTGGTGGCTCACGCCTGTAATCCCAGCACTCTGGGAGGCCGAGGTGGGCGGATCACGAGGTCAGGAGATCGAGACCATCCTGCTTAACACGGTGAAACCCCATCTCTACTAAAAATGCAAAAACAATTAACTGGCCGTGGTGGCGGGCCCCTGTAGTCCCAGCTACCCGGGAGGCTGAGGCAGGAGAATGGCGTGAACCCGGCAGGCGGAGCTTGCAGTGAGCTGAGATCGCGCCATTGCACTCTAGCCTGGGCGAAAGAGCGAGACTCTGTCTCAAAAAAAAAAAAAAAAAAAAAATACGTCCTTGACAGCAACAAAGCTATCTAGATTCCATGATCCTATAGAGAATATATTCTCAAATTATTTGTGACTACCTTTATCATTAGCTTGGTGAAGAGCAACGATATTTATGAAAGACAGTTTAAAAGACATTCCTCTGTTGTCTAATTATATACAGAACAAAGCCATGTTCTTGGACCACAATGTCTCAAAACCCTGCAAAATTACTTTTACTAAGTTTGGCTTTATTATTTTACCCTTACCTCTTATGGGAGGAAGTTTACAAAATTCAATCCTGCAGTTATGAATCTTCAATAACTCAAGTATTGAAAATTTATGGCAGGGCTGTCTTTCTCATCTTAAGCACCAGGAAAAAATACTTGAGCTCCCTTATGCAATTAGTACACTATTTCCATATATAAATTGTACATCAGATTTATTCCCTTCTTACTTTGGCTGGTAGAAAACTCAAGAATAAAATTCTCAGGTCAATTTTTAATAGCTATGTAACATCCATGGTCTACATATTTGCATTCAAACAACCCCGGCCTCTTATTTGCATTTGCCTTTTTCCAGTCTTTACTTTTGTACAGATTTTATTTCCTATAGTTTTATATTCATAGAAGTGTATAAATAAATACAAAAATATTTATAGATACTGCATATTTCCTAATAGACCTATTTTACCCACTGACATATGAGACTATTAAGAAAAAAACATATCAGGGAGGACGTGAATCTTCGTGACTTGAAGGAAGCATCCTCAACAAAGATATTGTGAATCCCAAAGTAAGAGAAATAAAGTTCAAATTGAAGCAGGGTTACAGACTGTACAGAGTTCCAGTGAGAAAGGATTATGATAAATAACTGCGTATAGGAATTCTTTTCAATTTAAGGAAATTTCCTGATTTTCTGATGGCCAGGGTTTTGTCCTTTACCTCTAAAATTTACTAGAACTAAAATGAAAGTGAGACAGAAGCAACTAGTCCTTCCCAAGGCTTCTCATCCTGGAGTTCTCTGTCAAGTGGGTTATTTTGACTGTAAAGCATTCTTTTGTTTTCTTTGTCTGAAGTCATTCCCAGATTAGTTTGTGACTTGCTTGAGCATGTTTCCCAGCAGTGATCTTGGGCTGTCCCATTCACTTCTGACCTGCACCTGCTCTTTTCAAGTATTGCACCAAGAGTAGCTGAGGCCTAAACAGAGGCGTGCTGGCCCATTCACAGAGACTATTCAGAGAACTGCTAGGGGAGGGGAGTGGGCAGTGGGCGGGATGGCAGTCCTCCAGAGAAAAAAGGAAAGTGACCCCTTAAATCAGAGAATGACCTTTTATTTGTTATTAGTTGTCTAAGTAAGTGTAAGGGGACCACCTCCTCCATAATGCGCTTTGTGAAACGGTAAATGTTACATGGCCTAAAATGGTGCTTCTGAAAAGATTAGATGAATTATTGGTATTTAAAACTAATTAAGTGACATGTTCAGATATCTAGACAGGGCATAAAATCTATTATATAACTGGTGTTCAAAAACATTTACTGTTTGTTCCACAAACAAGAACGTAAATGTATTTGGAGACATTTCTGCATGAAATATATCATGGTAACAAGGGATTTACAGAACACTTACTAAGTTTCTCACTAAGGTTTGACATTCAGCCATTCAATACTTCTGTTGAAATGGTATTGTGATTTCTTCTAAATCTTCAGCTCCACAGTTGTAAAAGAAGGACTCACACTTATATTTTATCTAGTAACCTAAAAGTCAGCAGAAATTTTAAAATAAACCCACTAGGTATATTTACACATTTGCCGTTTAGAACACAGCCTTGAACAAGAAAAACAGATCATAAGTCATGTTAGGTATCTGTCTGCACTAGACAAGTTTACAGAAATTGTTCTTCAGTTTCTTTTATTGAGATTTTTGGGCCACTAATCTGTTCCAAAAGAGAAAAAAACTGGCCCTGAGGCTCAACTTTTCCATCCCAAGGATGCTTGTAGGCAAGACTGCCAGCGGTACCACTGCCACTCTGAACTAAAAACTGCTTGCCATTCAATTATTCATATTCAGCCCTTCTAGGGGAGAGAAAGCACTAAAGAGAAATAGAGCAGCAAAAATGTAGACATAGAAAGTAGGAAGAAGATTTGTAATAGTTACATGGGAAAAGGGAATCACAGAAGAATGATGTTATTTAAAATAGGTGATAGAACAGACTCAGGAATTCCAATAAAAATGGACAGTACCCTTGGTCTTCATACATACAAAATGAAATAGTGGCAAATATGCTCAAAAAGGTACACAGTTCCGTGAAATGCTGAATTACCTGATCCTCTCAGAGTAGGAACAAGCCCAGTATTTTTAATGCTTTTGGTTTATCACCTGAGCTGTGCCAGGCACCCACCTCCACAGGAACTTTTATCACTTTGCCTACATTCTCCTATTATGAGTTAAGTATATTTGATACCAATGTTTATTTACTAATATACACATGCTAGGTGACTATTTTGTTCAAAGTTCTTTCCATATAAATTAAGATTTCCAATACTGACAGTAGCAAACATTTATAAAGTACCTCTTCACACTGACACATGTAGATTATCAAAATTTTACACATTTGAAAAAAACAAATAATTATTTAGAACAAACAAGCCAAAGCAGCTGCTGCAAAAATATGTGAGTCTATATGAGGTACATTTCCACCATGTAAAGTCAAGAGGCTGTTGAAAATAAGAAATTGTGAGAGATACAGAAAAACTACCTCCTTTTCGGTTATAGTATATACTGAAACCTCTCATTTATCACATTTCATCTGACTAAAACCAAGAGAATTAAGGTGACAATTGAAGACGTCACCAGGGGTATTTTGGTTTTGGTTTGAATGCTGTAGACTGAATTGTCTCCCCCAAAAAATGTGTATGTTGAAACCCTAAACTCCAGTGTGTCCGTATTTGGAGAAGGGGCCTTTGCAAGGCAATTAGGGTTAGATGAGATCATGAGTATGAGGCCCTCATAATGCATTTAGCAGCTTTATAAGAAGAGAGAGAGAAAGACTGTTCTTTCTCCAGCATGTGAAGACACAGCATGCAGGTAGTTACATGCAAGCCACAAAGAGAGCTCTCACCAAAACTTGAATGAGTCGGCACCTTATTCTTGGACTTCCAGCCTCCAGAACTGTGAAAAATAAATGTCTTTCATTTAAGCCACCCAGTCTATGGTTTTTCTTATAGCAGCCTCAGCAGAGTTGTAAAATATTTTGAAATTAAAAAAAAAATCACTGGTAAAGGAGAAGTGAAGAAGAAGAAGAGGGAGGAAAAGTGAAGTGAAGAAGAGGGAGGAAAAAAGAAAAAACTTTTGTCTGGAAAGAACTTGTTTTATAATGTGAAATAAACATTTTGTTAAATGCTAAGGATAAAAGAAATGTAAAGCTTGTTTGTCTTGTATATAAATGACAAAAATGGCACTTTTCATGTAATTTGAGATCAGTAGACGTTAGGACAGAAATCAACAAAAAATATATCTCACTGCCAAAAACAGCAGAGATGGAGTTCTTTTTTACTGAATGTTGATGCAAGACACAAGAGAAAACTTTGGGGCATGATGTAAGAATCAATTAATGCACATAAATGGAGCATAAATCACATTAATGTATTGCAATGCTCTTGCACACTTTAGCCCCTACTGAAACACAGGCCTAATATAAAAGCTTTCTCCTCTGTAGGCATTAATGACTCCCTCCCCTTCCTTGTCCCAACATCTTTTATGAAACTTCACCACTGCACAAGACAATGAACCTAAACTCCAGCCTTCCCTCTGGATTGCAAGCTACTGGAGGAGCACGATTGTATGTTGCTCAGCTTATGCTGTGCTCGTCTGTCCCTTTCTGTCCCTGCTACTGGCCATCCAAAGAGGCCGGAATCTTCACTCCCACTGCTGGAATAAGAAAGTTCAGAATGTCAAATTGAAATGGATCATAACTTACTACAGAAGGAATTATTAGTTATTTAGAGAAAAAGACTTTCTCATACATACTTTTTCTCCCACATCTCCACCTCCATCCTCTTTCCCTGATGCTTACAAATGTCTTCCACTGATGCTCATGACGATAAATGAACACAAAAGTCTGGTGATAAAATATAGTTGAAATAGTCCATTGTAACCCTATGTGGTACAATATGGGTTAAATTAGCTCTACAAACTGGTGTGGGAACCTGTTGTTTTAATGCTAACATATTGTCTGTTTTCCAAAACATTTTTGCAAATGTATTTTTGGAACACTACAGCCAGATACCACTTACACTAGTACAGTTTCAGACATTATATTTAAGGGGTTTTTTGGTTGTTTTGTTTTGTTTTGTTTTGTTTTGTTTTTTTGAGACAGAATCTCTCTCTGTCGCCCAGGCTGGAGTATAGTGGTGCAATCTCGGCTCACTGCGACATCCATCTCCCAGGTTCAAACAACTCTCCTGCCTCAGCCTCCCGAATAACTGGGATTACAGGAACCTGCCACCATGCCCAACTAATTTTTGTATTTTTAGTAGAGACGGGGTTTCACCATGTTGGCCAGGCTGGTCTCCAACTCCTGACCTCAAGTGATCCACCTGCCTCGGCCTCCCAAATTGATAGGATTACAGGCGTGAACCACCATGCCCAGTCTATTTTTATTATATAATATGAGCTACATTCTAGCATTAATATTTAGGTTTAGAGTTGTAAACGCATTAGAAATGACTGAACTAGAATTTTTTTCAGGTAATTTCAAAATATTTTTGGTTCTTGGAATGACTATGCATTCTTGGAATCCGCAAAGTGCCCTGGAGACCACCAGCTACCATTAAGTAAGCAGCAATTCTGCCTGTTGAAATGACAATACCCACTGCAATAACTGCATTCAGCAAGGGGAAAAAAATACTATAGTACTGCATATTCTTCCCTTTTAATCAGGCAGATTCTCAACTCTTACTTTGAGCTGCATTCTCCTATGGACACTTTTACATAAAATACAACCAAACATCATTACAAAGGTCAAAATATACTTTGGAATACATTTGCACATGAGATTGAGGGGAAAAATTAGTTTTTGTTTCAAAATTACATTTTAATATACTTATCATAGCCTTCTAGAGCCAAAGAAGTGCCTATTAAGAACTAACACTGGCCAAGCACTGTGGCTCATGCCTTTAATCCCAGCACTTTGGGAGATCACCAGAGGTCGGGAGTTCGAGACCAGCCTGACCAACATGGAGAAACCCCGTCTCTACTAAAAATACAAAAATTAGCCAGGCGTGATGGCGCATGCCTGCAGTCCCAGCTACTCGCAAGGCTGAGGCAGGAGAATCACTTGAACTCGAGAGGCGGAGGTTGTGGTGAGCCGAGATTGAGCCATTGCACTCCAGCCTGGGCAATAAGAGCAAAACTCTGTCTCAAAAATAAATAAATAAATAAATAAATAAATAAATAAATAAATAAATAAAATAACTAATACTTAGCAAAAACACACAGTGCAAATATAAATAGTGAAATAAAATACTGCCCTACATCCATTTAAAGACTCTATATGCAAAAGTATCAAATTCCTTTTTATTGTAAAAATATACTATAATAATTTAGCTTTTAACAATCAAGTAAATATAATTACATCTAAGCAACAAGATTAGCACCCTCTACACACATTCTTAATGTATATAGTATAAAGTGGTGGCAAATGAAATATATTATCTATAACATGGTTAAAGAGTTGTTGACTGTTTAATTATTAATTATTATACTTAAGACAGTTCTTTGAGAACAATTAGGTCATTTCAAATGGTCATATGTCTTTTATAAATCATTAAATGCCCTCACTATGATGGCTGGTAAATTAATACATATTGCTAGTCCTTTCCCAAGCATTTTAAAAAAATAAGTAACCATAGAAAATAGTACTAACAAAGGCAGAAATATGTTGTGATGTATCTCTTGGAAATAAGTAAGTGTGGCTCTCTTATTCTTCAAAATTTAAAGCATTCTTAGTTGTTATTCCAATTCCTCCCCCTTTAAAAAAAGAAAGGCATTTTCTTGAATACTGTTCTTTATGTGAAAGTTAAGATTAATACTGGATCAGAGAAGATCACATATGAGTCAAAAACAAAAACATACATGTTTAGCAATATTGTTAGCTGCTTTTGCACTGCCAAATTTAACGTGTCTTTAAATTCACAAATGTTTAATCATGCTGGGAAGTGCCAAGGGTGATAAATTTTATTTATGAAGTTATAATATATTGATATGATGTTCTAACAATGAACAGTACCATGAAAACACCCGATTTTATGATTCATTTAGAATTGTACTTCTGAGACACACAAAATGACCAAGAGCACAATAGTAATAGTTGCTTATTTTCTTAGCTAAATGCAAGTAAAAGTGGCAAAGGAAATTAAAGTACATTAGAATAGCTTAAGTGTTCAGGTTCACAGTGAAGTTGTGCCTGTTCAAATTTAAATCTGAAGGCCGGGTGCACTGGCTCATGCTTGTAATCCCAGCACTTTGGGAGGCAGAGGTAGGCACATTTCTTGAGCTTAGGAGTTCTAGACCAGCCTAGGCAAACATGGTGAAACCCCATCTCTACAAAAAATTAAAAAATTAGCTGGTCATGGTGGCATGGGCCTGTAGTCCCAGCTACTTGGGGGCGCTGAGAAGGGAAGATCACTTAAGCCCACGAGGTTCAAGCTATTGCACTCCAGCCTGGGTGACAAAGTGAGACCCTGTCTCCAAAAAAAAAAAAAAACAAAAACAAAAACAAACAACAAAAAAAACAAACTACATCTGACCTAATCTCTTCAACTCCAGATCTTCCTGCTGGCAGGGTTGGCTTCTTCTTATATAAAAACAGGAAAGAAGTACTGACTTTCTATTTACAAATTCACTTGAATGCTACAAATTAGTAAATATTCTAGAAATTTTATTATATTTCACAATCAAAGGAGATCATGGTTTATTTTTATTTGGTTTGGTTATTTTACTAGCAGCTAAATGGACATGTGACAAACTACAGAACAGATGGATAAGAAGATAAAATCCAGATGTTTTGACCACGAATGCTCTTTTCTGAGAGCAAAACTCACAAAATTGTGAAAATAAATTCAGGTTGATTTTTCGTTTTTCACATTATTGTCCACTTCAGATAAGATCCAGGAAGGTCATAGTATCTCTGCTGTTAGCAGCTTTAGGGGACATGAGAGTGGCAGGAGAATATAATCAAGGGGGCAAAGGGCAAGCCAGGTGCTACAAGGAGCACCAAACTTGCGGTTCCAGTTGCTTCCCCAGAGTGGGATTTTGATTTCATGTGAGGGGAAAAAAAGTTTGCTTAAAGTTTATATGAGGTCCTGTACAGTGTGCACCTTCTGCAGACGAGAAAAGAATGCTTAAGTTTACTGTAACAGCAGTATGTTTAAGATCTCTCCTTAAGATTTTATCCTCTAAACTTTTATTTCCAGAACAAAATGAAAAGAAACCCTGCAATTAAAACACATATATTAAGGTAGGCCGGGCACGGTGGCTCACGCCTGTAATCCCAGCACTTTAGGAGGCCGAGGCTGGCGGATGACTGGAGGCAGGGAGTTTGGGACCAGCCTAGCCAACATAGCAAAACCCTGTCTCTACTAAAAATACAAAAATTAGCTGGGCATGGTGGCACACACCTGTAATCCCAGCTACTCGGGAGACTGAGACAGGAGAATCACTTTAACCTGGGAGGTGGAGGTTGCAGTGAGCCGAGATGCCGCCACTGCACTCCAGCCTGGGCAACAGAGCGAGACTCCATCTCAAAATAATAATAATTAGTATATATATATATATTTATATATATATATATATACACACACACACATTATGTGTATATATGTAAAGGTATATGTATGTAAAGGTAAACAAGAAAACAAGGATGGGAGTTTTTTTTAGTCCCTTTTGTTTCTTAGAAGTTTCTTAATAGCCAGTTTTTTTTATAGAAAGTTATTATTTTGACTGTTATCTCTGCCACCCTGCAAACCTCTTAATGCATGCTCAAGATTAACGAACTTTGAATGTTCATGTTGATAGTATTTAACAAACACTTTGATCCCAATATTCATTTACGTATTACGCATGCTCTGATTTTCATAAAGATGTCCTGAGTTCTTCACTTCCATTCTTAAATATATATTCTGTTAACAACACAGCATTTAGAAGTACAGAATGCTAAATGGTATGAGGTGTTATCTCTACTGAACTGAACTCCTAGTCTCCCTGCCCCCTGACATTTCTAATCAGGAAGCTGGCCCACTTAGCTGATGTACAGATTCGATGCCTCATTCTTACTTGATGTATGACCATAGAAATTCCCCATCTCTATTAGAAACCCCCAGTCTCTGTTTCCCCATCTTTAAAACACAGTTAACTGTATTTAATTTCCTGGGTTATGGGGAGAATAATATGAACTAAGGTATATATCCTTAATAAACTTAAAATAACTGAGCAGAGTGCCTTATACACAATAAACATTCCCATAAATAGATGTAATTGTTTTGAAGTTAAAATTCTGACGTGTTTGTTTAAAGTCTCCATAAGTTAAAATTTATTGATAAGTTAAATATATCTCACGTGTTCTTTGTGTTGTTACTTGAGTTTTTAAAATTGCATATGCAACATGAGCTCAGGGGAGAAGACACTTCCAGTCTGCGGAAGTTTCTCTGAGGTCTTCAGGGAATAGGACAGAAGAAGCAAAATAAAGATGAGCTCATATTCCAGAAATCTGCAAAGGTTTACAGAAAGGGCAATGTAGGTGTGGCTCATTTGAATGACAATCAGTAGAACACTCTACTCAAAGTCAGTGAAATTAGCTGTAGGAATAAGATTGGAGACAGCAATTCCTTTCTAAGGTCTTAACCTTCCTCTAACAGAAAGTGGAGTCAATAACGTATCTGTGTTCAAACCTTTGTATTTCTTTGGAGTAAAAAGAAAAACCTCTGACGTGATCATTATACACTGTGTACATGTATCAAAATATCACATGTACCCAAGCAATATGTATAATTATGATATGTCTATTTAAAAATTTAAAAAAAGAGAGAAAAGTCTCTTGGGAAAGTTGGTATTCTCCCTGCTCTCAGGTAATTGAGCAAACCTGGAGTTGAAATAGGGTTGAAGCTTGAGAAGCTCTTTAGGGATTTCTTAAGGCAAATCTTAAGAACTAAAACATCAACAAGAAAAGTCAATTATCGAAGAAGCTAATGCAAAATGACTAGCAAGAGTGTAAAATGCTACTTCTAGAAAAGTGGTTTATGGAGCCATTACTGTGGATGTGTATGGTTCCAGAGATCCTAGGAAGCCCAGCCCCCATACCACCTATTCAAACGACTCATGTGATATATTTTTTCCTTGCAGTGTTTACCATTGGTTATGGAACAGCACCACCCTCACACACATAAAAATGTACAAAGCTCTGTATCCAATATAGAAAACATGAATTACTGAAGAGACTAACAGGGTTATAAAAATGAAAAAAATTTTTTTAATCTTTTCAAAGAAATTATATTATTTTTAGAGAAATTTTTCTTTCATGATATAGTAGCTCCATTTACTAAGGGTAGTTTTATTTAAGGCTCATGCTATCTTGACATTCACCTCCTTTTTTTCCCCATGAAAAACATAAAAGAGATTTGGGTTTTTTCCTCCTTCTAAGGTAGACAGTGTGGAAAGGCAGAAAAAAAGGCCAAAACTCTGCCAAAAAGCTGTACATCTAAGCAAGACAACTGGCCCATTAACAAATGTCTCCATCAATATCTTACCATCTGCTGTTTGTACTGTACTTGTCAATATTGAGCATCACTCACAGTTCATGTGACCATATAAAATCTCAGAAAGCACAGAGTACCAAGGTGGGAAAAAAAAGCAAATTCAAAGATGGTTTTAGAATCTGACAACACATTCACCACACAAGTATATAATTAGATGGAAACAAGTTATGTACTTTGCATGCTTTATGTGTCAAAGGAAATTCCTCATAATTTCTAACAGTAGATTGATTATGACTGGCAAACCATGCAGTGCAGTCTCCACTTCTCCCTCTGATTCACCTGACTTTTTGCCCACTCATCTAAATCAGAAGCTCAGATTACCAGATTAAGCTGCTTAAATTCAGATCAGTGAATTTTAATTATTCATGTTATAAAAGGATACTGATGTTGTGGCACACTTAGATAGGATATAGCCCAAAAATGTTACACTGGTTTTATTAATAAATACCTTAAATGTTTTCCAACAATACAATTTTTTTGTCTTTTATGTTTTGTTTCTTTGCACAGATTCAAAGGAAGCAGAAAGCAGGAGTTGTTTGCAGAGGTACAATTGATAGTCCCATGTGACGGAATTTAAAGGGGACTGGAAAGGGGATTCCTTAAGGGAGATCTTAAGAACTAAAACATCAACCAGAAAAGTCAATTAGCAAGGAAGCTAATGCAAAATTAGTAGCAAGAATGCAAAATGCTTCTTCTAGAAAAGTTGTTTATTGAACCATTACTGTGGATGTGTATGGTTCCAAGATCCTTCCCAACTTTTGTCTTTCTGAGTTTGACATAAACTTTCCTATTTCATTAAATATTCCTTCATTTGAAAATATTGCTGTGAAGAGTGACACTGATAGTGGCAAGAAGCAGACTAATCCCTAGGCAGACAGGGGCAGGTCCCTGGTGAAACCAGACCTTCAAGCCAAAGACACTTTAAAACCTAAAAGCCAAGCTACAAGTTAAATCCATGGACTGGATTAAAACCCTCTCTTCCCATGTGGCACACTTTCCTCTGATTGATCCTTACCCTTCACTTAGTTTACATAAACCTACCCTTCCCTAATTGGTTTTTCATGCTGTCCTGCCAACCTTTGAATGATGCCTTTGTTTTAGCCTCTTGCATACTCACAAACCAATCAGCACGTGCTCCCCCATTATGAGCTCATAAAAGGCCCAGACCCAGCCACACTGAGAGAGACAGACCACCCAACTTCAGGTGGGGGGCCACCCTCATGTCCCCTTTCTGCTGATAGCTGTTCTGTTGCTCAGTAAAATTCTTCTCTGCCACACTCAGCCTTCAGTTGTCGGAGTAACCTCATTTTTCTCAGACGCGGGACAAGAACTCGAGAACCATCAAACATGGGTACAAGCCGTAATGCAGGGGGGCTGGGACACACTCTGCCCAGCCATGGGCTGAGCTGGTATGCAAGCCAGGCAAGGCCCAGTGGGCTGAGTGAGTGTAACACCTCCTGTGGCAGGCCTGGGGCCAAGCAAGGCCTAGGTGGGGGCATTGCTGGCCACAGAAGTCCCTGACTGGCAAAGTGGCCACGAAAAATCCTGCATCAACATGTTCAATCATTAACAGTTTAGAATGAATGAATGTATTAACATGATTGGAGAATAGATAGTATATGAACACTAGGTACCTTGGGGAAAAGAAAATCATTGGGTCTTTTCCCATATCAATACAACAATTCCAATTAGAAATATGTTGCTTTGGATTTAAATGCTTGAGTGCCTCTATAAGGCATTGGGAAAAAAACAGACAATAAATAAATTTATTAGCCCTAACCCTGAAAGATACAGTTATCCCTTTCCTACCTAATATTCTAAATTTAATTTTGCACACAGGTTATAGGTAATTGGTCTTCTAACTCAGTCCTAAAAAATTCAAATACAATAATAAAGAGACAGAGAGAGAGGAAGGAAGGAAGGAAGGAAGGAAGGAAGGAAGGAAGGAAGGAAGGAAGGAAGGCAGGCAGGCAGGCAGGCAGGCAGGCAGGGAGGGAGGGAGGGAGGCAGGCAGGAAGGGAGGGAGGCAGGCAGGGAGGGAGGCCGGGAGGGAGGGGCAATAACACTTTAATTGCCTTGAAACAGCACTTGCATATAAAAATTGTAGCTATATACAAACATGTAGGAGTTTAATGAAGTAACAGAAATGAATTTCATCTTGCAATAGGGAAACATTGACCTCTTATACAAAGAACAGCAGTAAGCATGCTCTTGAACGTAATGAATATATGATCCATGCTGGAGGCAACAGAGGTCTGTGCAAGTTATGCAACAGCTCAAATACCACTACTGTATCCATGTTAACAAAAATATAAACAAAAATAAAAGCTAATAAGATATATATTGAAATTAGAAAATGGGATTAAAAATAAAATTTAAGCCCTTGGCTGTTTTATTTCAATGTAATAGCAGATATAAAAGATGCAGTTTCTCTGCATTCTTATATTTTAATATAACAAACACTGAGAATTGAAAATATGCTTCCAACAATTAAAATCCACCTATACAAATATCTGTCCCTACCAGTGACTAAGCTCTCGGGTGTGGCTACTAAATGCTGCACTGTATTTATACTAAAGCTTTCATTTGCATCTTTATGATATAAACAAGACAGGATAAAACTCTTAAAACATTGTAAAAAAATTATTCCTAATATTCGAAAATTTAAAATCATCAAACAAATGTGTAAAATAATAACATTTGAGTTACTGATATATATAATTTGCATACATTGTTTTATTTACAGATAAACAGACACCTCATAGACTTCTAGTGTAGCATCAGTGAGAAACTAGCAGCAACAACCCTTTGTTGAAATGAGAATTAGGGAGCAACAGAAAGGTGGAGTGAGAAGAGGCAAAGAAAAATTTGCCCAAGGTCAAGTTGAGAAATAAACAAAACTTTATTGAGACTGTGCTGAGAATATGCAATGCAAATAAATAAAGCATATTAAGTTCGCCAATAGAGGCAAGTAAAAGGTAGAATGGGACTCAAAGGAGGGTTTTATTAACTCTAGGTTGAAAATGGAGGGGGAGGGGTCAAGGAGGGCTCCAAAAGACACATTTCTTGATACGTCTACCTGCATTTTAAATCACAATCGAGTGATTTTTATCTTATTCCTCATTCTTCTTTATAAATCTTATAGAGCTTAGAAGAAAAATGACAAAAAGGAAAAAGAAGAAAGAGAAATCTAGATGAAGGGAGGGAAGAAGGGAAAGTGGGAGAAAGAAAAGACGAAACAAAGGAAAAATAGGAAGAAAAGAAACAAGGGAGAAAGGAAGGAAAAATAAAAACCAAATTTTCTCTGTATTAAATGAAATCTATCATCATAGATGATAGGTAGCTAGACAGACAGATGGAGATGGATAGATACAGCCAGGTTATCAACAGCCAAGAGCAGTACAAGTTTGCTTCAAAGACATTTTTTGAGAGTTGTACCTTGTATTTGAGACACAGAAAAATGAATCATTCCTGAAGCGGCAATAAGCAGGTGGTTTATTTCGGGTAAGTTTTTAGGGGCTTTTTTGGTTTTGTTTGCTTGTGTGTTTTCCCAGAATCTTGTTTCATAAAGATTTATCAAATTCAGGATGAACTCCACCATTAGAAGTAAAAGAACCAACTGATTTTCTGTGAGACAAAGAGAAGTGAAGGAGAACAGAAGAAACAGAGGTTCAAGGCAACTTCAAACTTTTATTAGTGAGAATGTACATAAAGCCATAGCTCTCCCCTCTGGGTTTGACTAAAGTGAACCAACTCTTAGATACAAATGTGCTGCCCCAGATGGAGGGCCTTTCTCTAAAACACCAGCTTCATTATTTTTTTATACTTCTTTTACCATCAGCCATAATAATAAAACCTAATGACAATTTCAATAGTAAAAATTAGCATTTCCCATATTTGTTAGTTGCTACTATCTCCTATATTTGCTAAGAATTCTGGTAAACAGTATACTTTTGAAGCATCCTATGGGCAGATAATATAGTCATTCCACTTTGCAGATCTTTTCAAAAAAATGTATCAAATGCCTGTTATATGTTGAGTACTATTCTAGACACTAAAAACACAACATCAAATTAAAAAAAAAACACAAAAAAACTCCAACTCTGATGGAATGTATGATATGATGGAGTAAACTGAGCTAGAGAGAAGTAAAAGATATTTTCCTGGTATTGCACACCAAGTAAGTGACAAGGTCAGTGTCAAGCAGTCTGATTCCAGGACAGCTTCCCTTACACCATGTGGTTTGCTGCCATGGAAGCTAATGCATACTTGCCAGGGGTTATCCACGGCATTCTGCTTTTCAGATTTTAATTTTAACGCTTTGTATTATATTAGTAGTAATTCAACGTAATGTAGTTACATATTTAAAAACCCTCTAAGCGCATGTCTCATATAAGCATGTAAGGCACTTCAATTACTATAATTATTTCATTTAAATTCATTGATAAAATGTGTATTCTAAAAGTGACTGAGGAACTGAATTGAATATTATGCTGTTCATGGATATGAACAATAGCTGAGCACAATTAATAGTCTATTTGGGTACAATTAATAGTCTGAAGGAAGTTGGACTAACAGGCATGCCTACCTGCATTTATAATACAACACTTCAGACCATGGTCAATGTTTAGTATTATAGTAAGTATGTATTTTCTCAGCCTATATGCTAGAAATATTTTCTAGCATAAAGAACACAATAATTGGAATCAAGCAGACTGCTCATTTAACTACTTTGAGTCCCAATCATTGGCATAAAAAAAATAAAATGGGCATAAAACACATTCCCAACATTTGTTTGATAGGCTTAAGGGAGATGATATATGTGAAAATCCTATGCAGACTACAGAATGCAGCATCCTTTATAATTTTCTCTTTTCAGCATTACAGAATTGTTTGGACTTTCTAATATATTTTATTACTTTTAGTAATTACCAGTTAAAATGTTCCTATGCATAACTCAAGATAAAAATAATTCGCCCTTAAACCAACCTCAAGGTTTAGTAGCCACTTTTTTCTGAGTTGAAATTACCTTTTCAGCTTTCATAGAGGCCTTTTATTCTCTCAGCTTTCTCTTTCCAGGCTGGGTGCAGTAGTTCACACCTGTAATCCCAGCACTTTGGGAGGCTGAGGCAGGAGGATCGCCTGAGCCCAGGAGTTTGAGACTAGCCTGGGCAACACAGCGAGACCCCATCTCTATAAGAAATAAAAAATTAAAAAATACATAAATAAGATTTCTCTTTCCAAATCCAGGTTTTGTGTAATTTCAAGCAATGTGGAATTCCAGATATAATCATATAGTTCCATAATCTGGCTCTTTAAAAATGAAGGAGAATATTTGGATAGTCTTAAATCACCTAAGGTTTCTTAATACTAGTATCTGTCAAGGTTAATTCACCACTCTGTGGCTACACAATATATGTCTGCCCTAGGGACTCCTTGTACTAGCTACTTCTTTACGTCTAAATAGCTATTGCTCAATTTGTAATACTGCCCCTCACTTCTATTCACTGTCTGTACCCTTTTACATGAAGCTCATTATTATCTTGAAGCTTGACTTTCCTGGCAGTAGTCCTTCTACTTCTTATATCCAAATAATGAAGGAAATCTAACTATAATGAAACCAAGGCCTAAATTACTACTCAAAATATTAAAGTGTCTGGACCCACATTGGCAACATAATAAGCATGGAAGAAATCAAGTATATGTAGACACAAAAGTTTGCTACCTCCTCATTGAAAAGAACTAAGGTTCCTTTCCATTCATATTCCTTAACTGAAAACAAAAGTCTAACAGAATTCCAAACTAGAGATTAAAGTCCAGTCACATCTTTCCAACCAATTTCTGACACTGTGAATTGAAATGCGTTTCTTTTTGAACTTATGCATTGATTTCTTCATGTCTTTCACCTGTTTCTAGGTTTTTCATAAAAGTTGCATGGTCCTCCCCACCCCACCTCCATTCCACACCGAGTACCAACCAAAATCATTTGGTCTTGGAACCAAAATCCAGGAGGCTTTCATCACTAACTCGCTTTCCCCAAAAGGATTCTGGCTTTTGTTTATCATCAGTACTTGGTCTTTCTCCAACTAACAAGCTCCCTGCCCTCACATGTATAACCTGTATCATTGTATTTGTACTTATAACCTGTATCATTGTATTTGTACTTAAAATAAAAAAATTGAATATTCTTATATGAATCTAAAAATATATTTTTATTTTAATATACCTATACTTGGTATATTTCAGTCTTCTCTTAGCTCTTTATTCTTCTGACATTCTTTTGGTCCTTCGTTTTTTTTCTTTGAATATACTTATCTAACATATATTTGTGTTTATGAAAGTATTTTTATATTGCAAGTGATTATTCTTAACAATATTCATTTTGCCTAGAATTGAGCATTTAAAAATACAGAAGTCTATGCTGACAGAGTACACAAAACAGTGAAGAAATACAAAGGCAAATCAGTGATTAAAATATAATGCAATAAGGATTTTCATGAGGTATCTGCACAAGGAGCAATATCAGTATAGAAAGTAGCAACTGATTCCTTCTGACAGCCAAATGTATTGAGCATATATTGCCATATTAACGAATGTGCTAAGCACATATGACCCATTTAATCATCGTTACCATGCTCTGTGATAGGCGCTGTTATAATCATGAGACACAGAGAGGCCAAAAAACAGAGCTAACACCGTAGCAGAGTCAACATTCACACTGCTTATTAGATAAAACTTACTAGATAAAACTCTGAAAGACTAAATGGCTCTTATTAGACAATAAAAGGGGAAAAGAGCAAACTGGGTGCTGGAACAGAATGGCCAACACCCAACAGTCATGAGTATATTAAGAACCTGGTGAGAGATACCAGTGGGATAGGATTAGATAGATGAAGAGAGTGGCTAAGAATGAGGCTTCATAGACAGGCTATGTCCAACTACTCTTTCGTCTGAATATCTAAAGATGAAGTCACTCCTTAAACATTTAGACTGTATGATGCTAAGATTAAACTACAACTATTAAAGAAGGAAGGGCTCAATAGCCTTAGAGCCCCAGTCCTAACATTTAGGGGAGAGACTAAAAAAGTAAGGAAGAAAGAACACAGCTGGAAGAGAAAGATCTCAATTTCTTCATGATTTTTATTGCAGCAAATCAACAACTTTACTACTCCCTATAATTTAACAGTCTTTGCCACAGTGAAGACAAACATCATTCCATTCAGGAATGTGTAGCAACAGAATTCTCAAATCAGAAAAAAGAATGAGTTTTATCTTTGAAATTCTTAATTATGTGGTGAGTAAATACATATGTGTGTATGTGTATACTCACACTAACATATCCACAGAATTGAAATGCTGTTGTTACACACAACAAAAAATAAGTATCAGTTTACAGATGCTTTGTTCATTTCTGAGCGAGGTCTCACTACACTACCACTTCAGTTTCTTTTCTTTCTCCTTTTTTTTTTTTTCAGATAGGGTCTTGCTCAGTTGTCCAGGCTGAAGTGCAATGGCATAATCATAGCTCACTGCAGCCTCAAACCCCTTTGCTAAAGGGGCCCTCCCACTTCAGCCTCCCGAGTAGCTGGGACTACAGGCGTGCACCACCATGCTGGCTATTTTTTAAAATTTTTTGTAGAGATGGTGGTCTCAACATGTTGCCTAGGCTGGTGTCAAATTCCTGACCTCAAGAGATTCTCCTGCCTCACCCTCCTAAAGTGCTAGGATTACAGGCATGAGCCACCACACCCGGCCCCATTCTCCCCTTTTTTTTTCCTTCCTTCTACCCTTCTTTCCTTCCTTCCATCCTTCTTTCCTTTTGATATTCCTTTTACTCTTTCATTCTTTCTTTTAATTATAAGCTGAGGTGATTTTTATAAGGGAACAGAGAACCTTCTACATTTGAATCACCAATTCAAAGTAGATCAACACACTCACCAAAATCTGGCTGGTTTGTGATTAGTATGAGATGAAGTTTAAAGTCTCATAAAAATCAGAGTCAGCACTAAAAGGAACTCTTGTTTCCACTCAATTCTATTTCTGTATTGTAACTTAGCAAAAACTCTGTTTTATTGGGAGGCCAAGGTGGGCGCATCGCCTGAGGTCAAGAGCTCAAGACCAGCCTGGTCCACATGACAAAACCCTGTCTCTACAAAAAATACGAAAATTAGCCAGGCGTGGTGGGGGATGACTGTAATCCCAGCTACTCGAGAGGCTCAGGCAGGAGAATCACTTGAACCCAGGAGGCGGAGGCTGCAGTGAGCCGAGATCGCTCCACTGCACTCCAGCCTGGACAACAGAGCAAGACTCCATCTCAAAAAAAAAAACAAAAAAACTCTGTTTTAAATAGCTATGTAGAAATTCAACTATTTTCACAAGATAGTAAAACAATTTAGAAAAAAAGTTCTTAACAATGATAAAACAATGATGAAACATCGTTTACATTTCCCATTTATAAACAAGCAGACAGGGAGACTGGCGAATCTTGTATTTACAGTTTTAAATCACTTCCTTTTTATAAACAGATAAAAACTAATTAGAAGATTCCATCTCCCTCCCACTCCCCACCCCCCCAGCCCCCACCCCCACCCCATACACACACCTTCGTTCTTTCAATTTTATACCTTCCATCCCAGAAAAAAAACTAAACAGTTCAAAATGGGGCACTTGGGAGACATCACTGCAACTGACCCCTACCTTCACTACATTAAAGGTGCCTAAACTATAATAGGAAATCTTCTACATTTAAGTCGCTAATTCAAATTCTTCCAGATTTCCAGGTTTGTAGCATCACACATTCATTTATTCAGCCAAATTTGTTTAGCACCTACCACAGGCAAGCTACTCCATTAGGCATTAGAAATAAAAAGATAAGATCAGATAGTTGTAGATATGCGGCGTTATTTCTGAGGGCTCTGTTCTGTTCCATTGATCTATATCTCTGTTTTGGTACCAGTACCATGCTGTTTTGGTTACTGTAGCCTTGTAGTATAGTTTGAAGTCAGGTAGTGTGATGCCTCCAGCTTTGTTCTTTTGGCTTAGGATTGACTTGGCGATGCGGGCTCTTTTTTGGTTCCATATGAACTTTAAAGTAGTTTTTTCCAATTCTGTGAAGCAAGGCATTGGTAGCTTGATGGGGATGGCATTGAATCTGTAAATTACCTTGGGCAGTATGGCCATTTTCACGATATTGATTCTTCCTACCCATGAGCATGGAATGTTCTTCCATTTGTTTGTATCCTCTTTTATTTCCTTGAGCAGTGATTTGTAGTTCTCCTTGAAGAGGTCCTTCACATCCCTTGTAAGTTGGATTAAAAACAAGCAATGGGGAAACGATTCCCTATTTAATAAATGGTGCTGGGAAAACTGGCTAGCCATATGTAGAAAGCTAAAACTGGATCCCTTCCTTACACCTTATACAAAAATCAATTCAAGATGGATTAAAGACTTAAACGTTAGACCTAAAACCATAAAAACCCTAGAAGAAAACCTAGGCAATACCATTCAGGACACAGGCATGGGCAAGGACTTCATGCCTAAAACACCAAAAGCAATGGCAACAAAAGACAAAATTGACAAATGGGATCTAATTAAACTAAAGAGCTTCTGCACAGCAAAAGAAACTACCATCAGAGTGAACAGGCAACCTACAAAATGGGAGAAAATTTTTGCAACCTACTCATCTGACAAAGGGCTAATATCCAGAATCTACAATGAACTCAAACAAATTTACAAGAAAAAAACAAACAACCCCATCAAAAAGTGGGTGAAGGACATGAACAGACACTTCTCAAAAGAAGACATTTATGAAGCCAAAAAACACATGAAAAAATGCTCATCATCACTGGCCGTCAGAGAAATGCAAATCAAAACCACAATGAGATACCATCTCACACCAGTTAGAATGGCAATCGTTAAAAAGTCAGGAAACAACAGGTGCTGGAGAGGATGTGGAGAAATAGTAACACTTTTACACTGTTGGTGGGACTGTAAACTAGTTCAACCATTGTGGAAGTCAGTGTGGCGATTCCTCAGGGATCTAGAACTAGAAATACCATTTGACGAAGCCATCCCATTACTGGGTATATACCCAAAGGACTATAAATCATGCTGCTATAAAGACACATGTACACGTATGTTTATTGCAGCACTATTCACAATAGCAAAGACTTGGAACCAACCCAAATGTCCAACAATGATAGACTGGATTAAGAAAATGTGGCACATATACACCATGGAATACTATGCAGCCATAAAAAATGATGAGTTCATGTCCTTTGTAGGGACATGGATGAAATTGGAAATCATCATTCTCAGTAAACTATCGCAAGAACAAAAAACCAAACACCGCATATTCTCACTCATAGGTGGGAATTGAACAATGAGATCACATGGACACAGGAAGGGGAACATCACACTCTGGAGACTGTTGTGGGGTGAGGGGAGGGGGGAGGGATAGCATTAGGAGATATACCTAATGCTAGATGACGAGTTAGTGGGTGCAGCGCACCAGCGTGGCACATGTATACATATGTAACTAACCTGCACAATGTGCATATGTACCCTAAAACTTGAAGTATAATAATAAAAGAAAAAAAAAGAAATGAAAAGATAAATAAGACATTCATTTATTCCCTCAAAATGCTGACTTCTAGAGACTGGAACTACATCAGTGAATAAAAAGGCAAAAGTTTCCATCCTAGTAAAACACACATTTTAATGGGGAAGACAGAAAATGTGACAAATAGGTAAACCATATAGTGTTTAGTATTTACATGCATAAGAAAAAAAATAAAATTGGGAAATGGGATAGAAAGCGCGAAAGCAGAGTTGTAATTTTAGAGAGGTAGACAGGGTTTAGTTTCTTTTTTCACAGAACTCAGTAAAGAAAGGCTATCTTTTCCTAAAAACTATGGCAATACGATGTGATAAATGCTACTAACTGATTGACAAAATGTGAAGATTACATGATAGAGCTATTGATTGCTGGAGAAATCACAGAGGGAAGAAATCATCTGAATTCTGAAAGAGAAGATGACATTCACAAGGAGGCTGGGAAAGAATAGGCAAAGGAACAGCATATGCAAAGTCAGAGAGGCAGCATTTGGCAAATAATTGCTATTTATCAGCAGATAGTAGCAATTACCATAAAATTCAGAACGTACCATGTTCCAGATACTTTCACACATCATCTTTATTAACCCTCACAATAAATCTGTGGGCTTATTAATATTATTCCTATTTTTAAAATAAGAGCAAGACCAGAATGAAGATAGAAGGAGAGACTTGAAAAAATCTGTTGAAGTGGGCCAGGTGCAGTGGCCCATGCCTGTAATCCCAGCACTTTGGGAGGCTGAGGCAGGTGGATCACAAGATCAGGAGATCGAGACCATCCTGGCTAACATGGTGAAACCCCATCTCTACTAAAAATACAAAAATTAGCCAGACGTGATGGCGGGTGCCTGTAGTCCCAGCTATTCGGGAGGCTGAGGCAGGAGAATCGCTTGAACCCAGGAGGCGGAGGTTGCAGTGAGCCCAGATCACTGCACTTCAGCCAGGGCAATACAGCAAGACTCTGTCTCAAAAAAAAAAAAAAAAAAAAAAAAAAAGAAGAAGAAGTAAAATAGGTTGAGGTTAAAGAGTTTGAATATTATCCTTTAAACAAGTCAACTGAATGTTTTAAAATAAAGAGGGGACATGATCAGAAGTTACGGGTTTTTTTAAATTGTAGACTGTAGTGTGGAGAACAGATCATTGGGGTTGGGAGGCAGAATGATAATAGATTATTATTTATAATAACGAAAGGCTATAATTTAGTTAAAATGTGGCAAAGGCTTGACCTTAGCCAGTAACAGTGGAAAAATTAAAAGTAGGATAAGAAAAACCTGGTAGCCAACTAAATTTGGGTGGAAGGGGAATGGAAGGGCATAAAAAGGGGAGTATTCAGCGAATTCTAAATGTTCTAACTTAGAATATCTAGAGGGTGACACTATTAGCAAAGAAAAGAAAGGTAAGGGGAGAAGACTGGGAGAAGAGAGGACGGAGATAAAAAGGGGTCTAAGTTTGAACTTCTTAAATACATCTTGGTGATACTGAAGTCAAGAAACCCAGTGGGCCTGAAATGATGACCAGACTGATTAGAGAAAGATTTTGGAGGTAATACATTTGAGAATTGTTAGCAAGTATATCTTTGTATTAGTTAGAATTTTTTTGGTAGCAAAAGACAAAAAACTCAAATTGCTTATACAAGTAATGTAAACTCTTTTTGGTCGGTTGTAAAGTCTCTAAAAGTAAGGTGGACTTTCAAGTGTAGTTTAGTTAGGACTCCAGTTCTCTTTCTCTCCAATTGTTCTCAACTTGTCTTCTTCCTTGTATCATGTCATCATGGTTTCACTTAGGGTAGCAAAATCATGTAGCAATCCCCAATTTTATATCTGCATCCCACAAAACCCAGAAAAGAAATATTCTCTTTGCTACTTACTGAACAATAGTGCTAGGCATCTTTCTAGAAGCACTTGGGTGTCACACCCACCACTGTCAAGGTTGAAGAGATTTCACTGATTAACATGGAATCAGCACCCCTACCCCAAACTATATGGATACTACATCATGGGGGAAGACCGGAATTAATGCTGGGGAAGCAATCCCAGTGTCCTCCTCAATCTCCTTCCAAGGCTGACAGTGGCTAATTGTTCCACTACGTAGCAGGATGAAGTTTTTATGAAGTCACATCTGAAAGACAAAAGTATTTTTCTACAATGGACAAACTTTTTAGGATTGAGCTTCCAATATCATCCAAATCCAACTACACTTCCTTACCAGAGGTAATGACAAAGTAAATATTCAGGCTATATGAGAAACTATATTTAAAATGTAAGTAGTGAATAGTTTTCATAAATGTGAACGAAGAAAATCTAGCAGTGTTAACTAAGAATTCACTTTCCTCTTCCTCTATCTGCCTCTCACCCCAATCTCTACAGCAACTCAGTAGCCAAAGGACGACACCAAGGAACACAGACCAAAGAGTCAAAATCTTGGATGGGAGTTCTAAATAAGTTCTGGAAACTCTGGAGCCAAAAGAAAGACAGGGAAAGAGCCGATAAAGCCCTATCACCTGCAGGAAACTTCTGGTTGCAATGAGGACACAGAGTGACATGTGCATCCAAGAGGGCACGGCAGGAACATGGAGAGCGAGGGATCTGTAGTAGGGACAAAGGTCAGAACAGATTGGCTTCATTTCAAAGGATGCTAGATGAACCCTTTCTTTCCGAAGCCTGGAACTGTTTAGGCCTTCCCCAGATCTTAATTGACACCCCTGGTTCAAATAAGTTAGGGAAGAATCCTTAAATGAGTTTAGGTGAATTGTTAACTAGCTTAAGTTTTCTTCTGAGATGGTTAAGAAGGGGTCAAGGTTGAAATGAAGCTCAACTGTGGGGGAATAAATTTAGTTACATTTCTTGCACACTTGTTTTTGTAATGCATTAAAGAATTTTGTTTAAAGCAAAACTCTAATTCCACACTTGGCACCATTTGGTAACTTTTTAAAACTAACTCATTATTTCAGACCCCAGTCAATACTATTAATTTTACAACTGCAGAAAAGAAAATCATAAAACTGTACCCTGTGTCTCATGCAGTGTCACTCTGTAGTCAACAAAAAAGATATTTGCTGGATCAGTGAGTCGAGAGAGAGAAGTGATTTGCCAAATATGGCCCATTAGAGTACTAAGAATTTAGGGTTAGGTTTCAGCATTTGTTGCTGTCATTCAAGTACTAAATTTATATTTACTTGGGACAGTGCGTAGAGTTTGAATAGCAGAATCTAAAGCATGTAAGACACTTTCCTGATTTAGCTCATTTTGAGAGTTATTCTCATTGAGCTAGAATGTTTCAAAAATGGTTAAATACAACTTTTTTGGTACTATGATAACTTTTGTTGAGGTAAAATGAGTTAGCAAATAATACTGATATTCTCTTTATCATTTTTAAAATTATCTAATTACTCATTTAGAAGTCACTGTTCTTGGGATTTCTGGACACAAAACATGCTCAGTAATGGAGGACAATAAATGCTCTCAATTTACAAGTGAAGATGTATGCCTAATTAGACAATAGTAGTAACATAAAAAAATAGATGGTTAACACACTTTCTTTTTAAATGTATGTATCAAATCTGTTAATAGCCTTAGAATGGTCTTTTACTAATAAAAGGACATAAAATTAAGGTTTAAAAATGTAGATATCTAACTAAATTAAGGCATTCAAATGAGCTAAATTTATACCAATGGGATCACACTTACAAATCTGGGAGAAATTACTTTACTTCTAAGTAAAGACATTGCAACATCCCTGGGAAAAATTAACACTGATCTTACAGGAGGCTACTGAGTAGGAAAATGAATGACAAAGTCTAGGAAATCATACTGTGGCTGAATGATTAACAGAAATGCATCTGTGAAAGTTAGAAGGAGATTCCGAGGAATGACAAGTATACATAATATATGTACTTACATATTAAAAAAATGCAAATTATCATGACTGTACAATTGGAACTACTTTTCAAGTGTGGGGATTATAGTTTGAGTGGTGTCTGGTGGAATACATTCTCCAACCCATCATCAAAGTGTGTCACATCCTCACTCTTTCCACTTTGGGTTTATAGTTTAGATGCCTGTGCTACATACAAAAAGAAAAGAATGTATTTTTGAGGAGCCCTGGCTCAGAAATCATAGCTTTGGTGTTCATTTTACTGCTTTTGGGGGACAAATCTTTTTTTATATATATACTTTAAGTTCTAGGGTACCTGCGCACAACGTGCAGGTTTGTTACATATGTATCCACGTGCCATGTTGGTGTGCTGCACCCATTAACTCGTCATTTAACATTAGGTGTATCTCCTAATGCTATCCCTCCCCCTCCCCCAACCCTACGACAGGCCCCGGTGTGTGGTATTCCCCACCCTGTGTCCAAGTGTTCTCACTGTTCAACTCCCACCTATGAGTGAGAACATGCGGTGTTTGGTTTTCTGTCCTTGCAATAGTTTGCTCAGAATGATGGTTTCCAGCTTCATCCATGTCCCTACAAAGTAGGACATGAACTCATCATTTTTTATGGCTGCATAGTATTCCATGGTGTATATGTGCCACATTTTCTTAATCCAGTCTATCACTGATGGACATTTGGGTTGGTTCCAAGACTTTGCTATTGTGAATAGTGCCACAATAAACATACATGTGCATGTGTCTTTATAGCAGCATGATTTATAATCCTTTGGGTATATACCCAGTAATGGGATGGCTGGGTCAAATGGCATTTCTAGTTCTAGATCCCTGAGGAATCGCCACACTGTCTTCCACAATGGTTGAACTAGTTTACAGTCCCACCAACAGTGCAAAAGTGTTCCTATTTCTCCACATCCTCTCCAGTACCTGTTGTTTGCTGACTTTTTAATGATTGCCATTCTAACTGGTGTGAGATGGTATCTCATTGTGGTTTTGATTTGCATTTCTTTAATGGCCAGTGATGATGAGCATTTTTTCATGTGTCTGTTGGCTGCATAAATGTCTTCTTTTGAGAAGTGTCTGTTCATATCCTTCACCCACTTTTTGATCGGGTTGATTTTTTCTTGTCAGTTTTTCTTGTTTAAGTTCTTTGTAGATTCTGGATATTAGTTTTGGGGACAAGTCTTTATCTGTTTCAATCTTAGAATTTTTTTGTCTCATTAATTTGTTAATTTTATGCTTTCCACTTTCTTTTCAACTTTATCCAGATAATTCCTCCCAAAAAATAAATATTCAATAACTATAATGAATCAATGTATGTTTTAGTAATTTCATATGATAGGTCCACATATATAAACACTATCATAACAATTAATTACCCTACTTACTACCCCTCTATAAATATGATAAAGAGGCCTTACTGGCAGATCTGTTAATGACAGTTTTCTGTCCCACCAAAGAATGTGATTGATATAGACAAAGAGTTGCAGCACGGCTCAAATTAACAACTGCCTGACAGGTGTCTTCAACTCTGCTCAAGTGAATTCTGTGACATCTGCTTACCAGAGAGCACACATATAAGGTGTGTGAGCTCACTTTGCTAGACTATGAAAATGCATTTGAAATCCAAAGAGGAAGTAGAAAATGAATTTGACAACCATATTTGAATATCTTTCCTTGGGTTAGAGCTTCTCATATCACTAAATAAGCAAAGTAAGATATGAGTACACCAAATGACTCATAATATTTCTTTACTTCTATAAAATGTAATCCTCTATCTCTCAAATATTGAAAGACTACTACTGTTATTTATTAATTGATTTTTTTCTTGATGGTCTGCACATTGGTCACAAAAATGTCTAGTAAGAGCAATGCTTGCTAAAATTTTTGAATGAAGATTCCTTTTAACAATGATACCAATTTATGCTATTATAAATTCATGAAGATTTCCAAATACAATTTATTAGTAACAACAGCATTGACATACAGTTGGAAAATTGCAAAAATTATTATTTTTAGACAATTTAGGTGGGAGAAAGATAAATAAGACACAGCATCTGCACTTTACATACTATAGTGTATTAAATAAGAGTTCTCTGGATAAGTGTTAATTAATGCAACTCTATTCCTGGGGACTAGACACTGTAGAACATAGTATTTGTTCAATAAATCATTTTTGAACAAATAATCATTTCTATTGAACTGATATAGCCCATCTATCCCTGATAGATTAGGGATTCTATGCCTAATAGATATAGCCCATCTATCCCTGATAGATTATCTTCTAAAATACCTAGAAGATATTCCTCCTTCAATAATCTTCAATGGCTCCCAACTTCCATCAGAATAAAATATATTCTTTGCATTAAAAGGACTACACAACCCGGCTTGTACTTTCTTTTTTTTTTTTTTTTGAGACTGAGTCTCACTTTGTTGCCCAGGCTGGAGTGCAGTGGCATGATCTTGGCTCACTGCAACCTCCGCCTCCCAGGTTCAAGCAATTCTTGTGCCTCAGCCTTCTGAGTAGCTGGGATTACAGGCACCCACCACCATGCCCAGCTAATTTTTTTTTATTTTTAGTAGAGGCGGGGTTTCACCATATTCGCCAGGTTGGTCTCGAACTCCTGACCTCAAGTGGTCTGCCATCTCGGCCTCCCAAACTGCTGGGATTACAGGTATGTGACTCAGTGCCTGGCCTTTCCTTTTACTTTCTTTTTATCTCCTCTCATATCCCTTTACACAAGGCAGCACAGCAGAGTGAGAAGAACAATGCTTTTGAGACCAGAATGGCTGCTGGGACAGTACACGAAACCTGACTTACTAATGTATGATACTTTGTATGACATCTGAATATATGAAACTCTTTGAACCTCTCTTTTTACTAAATAAAGGTAATTAATACCTGGGGGAAGTTGTAAACATAATAATAAAGATACACTTAGCACATACGGCACAGAACAGATCCTGGACATGTACTCTGATACTGTTGAGATAACTTTCTCTCTTTTTTCAATCAAGTTGTATACTTTCTACTTTTGTTTAGTGTTTTCTTCCTTCTAACCTTGGACTGGAAAATCCACCCTATTGTACTTGGGCCTAAATCCTATTCCATTCTGTAAGTCAAATTGAAAGCTACCATTTTACATAAGCACCGTATTCAGGTACCAGGCAGTTGTAAACACAGCGTAGTCAACTAATTACAGATGGTCCCAAGAAATTTTATGTACACAGAGAAGACAATTTAAGGCAATTTTAAGCTACCAACAAAGCTTCAAAGATACTAAAGCTTTAAGAGAAAAGACGTGATGGGGAGGATGGCAAACCAACAACACGGTTAACTTCATAAATGTCATAGCTTCTGTGAAGGCTCTGTGACCTCATGAGCCCAGAGTTGTCACTCTTTTTTTTTTTGCATTCATTATTGAACTATTGTACCTAGCTGTGAGGCACACACAGCTTTGAAATATTAATTATTTCTTTGGCTATATCTATAAGTTCCCCAGCTTGTAATTACTTGAGAACAAATAAAAGGCCAAAATCCATAGTCTTTCCAGTGCCTTCTATATAGTAGGTATTCAACCAACATTTGAGTGACTATTACTTGTAGATTATCAGATACTGAAAGTCTTGTGACTTTTTTTCAATTATGTTAGTACATTTTAAAATGTTTTTTCTGCAAGTCATGCAAGCCAAATATATGTGGATGTAAATAATTCTGAATGCACCTTACAGAGTTCCCCAATTTTTTAAAGGTCTATTTCTTCTGGTAGCCTCTTAATACAGGAAACTGAAATATGAAGAAATAAAGTGTGGTACCCAACATGATGCAAGTATTGGCAAAAGCAGAAACTAGTTACTGTTAGGTTCTCCTATTCAGTGATTCTCAACTTTGGCTACACACTAAAATCATCTGGGTAAATTCTTAAAAATACCAATGCCAGGCCAATTATCCTCATCTCTAGGGTAGGGCCAAGGCGCTGGTAACTTTTTTAAATTCCCCAGGCGATTCAAATGTGTATCTGTGGTATAAAGCCACTGTACCTCTCGTAATTCCAATGTACAATGTGATTGCTGAGAGTTCCTGAGAAAATCATTGCCTAAGGTCTCTTTCGCACACTATCGTTTTCTGGGTTTTAAATACAGTCATGCAACACTTAATGATAGGGATACATTCTGAGATATGCATTGTTAGGCGATTTTGTCATTGTGCAAATATCATAGAGTGTACTTATACAAACCTAGATAGCATAGCCTACTACACATCTAAGTTGTATGGTATAGCCTACTGCTCCTAGGCTACAAACAACACGCTACGGTACTGAATACTGTAGGCAACTGTAACATAATGATAAGTGTCTGTATATTTAAACATATGTCAACATAGAAAGCTACAGAAAAATAAAGTATTATAATCTCATGGGACCACTGCCATATATGGGGCCCATCATTGAATAAAATGTCATTATTTGGTGCATGTATTTGAAACCGTGCATCTTAAACTATTACACTTACTTTTCTCCTGAGTAGCATGCTTTAGATAAACCTCTAAGTAATAGTTCCTCTAGTTTCTTCAGAAACATAAACACACATGCAGAATTTTAGTAGAAAAAAAGATGCTCTACTTTATTACAAGAAAAGGTATGTTTGTGTGATTTGAGACTTTTACAATATCTGCTTAGGTTGTGTAGGGGAGGCCCTAAAATATACCTTTTCATCCTTTCCTTATGAATCAATCCATCATAGCGGTTTACCTAATCCATTTTTATTAAATATTGTTTATCACTTCTGTACTGCTATCTATCCAACATCTTTCATTCTGATTGGCTTAGCCTTAAGAAAAAACTAACGCATGTTAACAGGCAGTAGAAAAATTACCTCTTTCATGAGCTCAGTGGTCTGAAGGTGCACGCTACATCAGGGGTGGCTGATGCCAGGTGGCTGGCTTGCGACACTTAGGAAGTCCCTCACACCTGTCAAGGGAGGCAGACTGCAAGAGAGAAGGCGAGTCTGACTGAGCAGGCGCGTAAGGGCAAATCCTGCTCCCAACTGCTGCTAGCAGAGCTCTAAAAATAAAGCGACAAAAGCACGGGGAAGGCAGAATGAATTCTTAACACTTGTACTCTTCTATTTCTGTCTGTTACGAAGCAGGTGATCTCAGTACCAAGCGATGAGTCTTTTAACTTTCTATATCCCTCACTTTCAGAAATGATCCTCATGACTGCATTCATTCCAGCTGTTTCAAATTCATAATCATAAAAGGAATCTTTTTTAATCTTTCGAGACTGCCCTCTCTCTCATAGGATTACATTCTAAAATAAGCTTCTTTGATATTCATTTGCCTATTTCACTTTGAAGATATTTTTTCACATGTATTATTCTGGAAAACAAAATGTTTATTCCTTTAATACTTTATATATTCTTTGAGAGAAGCAAGAGTTTTAAAAGCCATTCCTTTATCTAGAGAGTGTCTTCCAGGTAACAATCACTAGCCTAGAGAAAGTGAAAGTATGAACTTGTTAGCAACATCTTTTAATGGCCCTCCAAGTAAGGCCATATTTATTATAAATGTTATTTTAAATAATCTGGTGCCTGAGCAGCTCTGCGTGAGAGGGGAATGCAATGTAGTGGTTGAGAGAAAGTTTGAAATCAGATAGACCTGAGTTATAGCCCTGCCCCACTATTACTGTCTATATAGTCCAGAACAGGTGATTTATTAACTGCTCAATACTTCAGTGTCTTCATTTATAAAAACGAAAATAACATATTTCCCTGTTTTATAGAATTGAGACCAGAATTAAATAATATAAGCAAAACACTACCATACTGCTTGGTATCTAGTACTCAATAGATGACACCAATTATTATTATTGCTAACAACAAATTGTTAACCAAATAAACAGCTGATGATTCAAAAGATAAAGAAGTAATATTATTTAAAATATATTGCTGACATTTTAAAATAAGCACCTATATGTACATCCAAGAATCTAAAACCTCAAAGCCTATTCTCCATACAGGTATGCGGACACCTTGCCTCTTCCCATTCTTTCTGGTATATGGAGCAGAAGAACTAGAAGTAGAAAATATCTTGGGGAATTTTTCCTGAGTAGCAGTCTTCACTGGAGACACTTCTGCATTTTAAGGCATTTCTCGCAATAGGCATGCACAGGACATGTCTAAATTTGCTGAGAAGTAAAAAAAAAATTCACAGCAATTCAGAGTACCTCAGGATGTTAAACTCCTTACCTCAAGCCAAACGAAAACTAAATCTCACACACACACACACACACACACACACACACTCCCCATTATCTGGATTTGCAAATCCCCAAAAAACCCTCTTTCATAGTTAATCATTACCACTTTACCTAAATCTCAAATGGTGCTGCTGAGCTGCCATCCACATAGGTGTCACCAAACACATGACAAGTCATTTTTAAATATAAACTTTGATCAAGACACCAGGCCTGTATATATACTTCAAAACATCAGGTACATAATAAATATATACAATGTTATCTGTGCATTAAAAACACAAAAAACAGGCCATATCTCACATGTATTTGTATCTAGACACTTTGATCAGTCTTCCAAAAACTGTTCAGGGCTTCACTTACATATTTGTAACTGTGTTCAAAGCTATCAGTGCTTGTAACTTTTTTTTTTTTTTTTTTTTGAGACACAGCCTTGCTTTGTCACCCAGGCTGGAGTGCAAAGACACAACCTCAGCTCACTGCAACCTTTGCCTCCAGGGTTCAAGCGATTCTCCTCCTTCAGACTCCCGAGTAGCTGAGATTACAGGCACGGGCCACTAGCCCATCTAATTTTTTGTATGTTTAGTAGAGATGCGGTTTCAGCATGCTGGTCAGGCTGGTCTCGAACTCCTGACCTCAAGTAATCTGCCCGCCTCAGCCTCCCAAAGTTCTGGGATTACAGGCGTGAGCCACTGTGCCCGGCCTAGTGCTTGTAACTATTTAAACCATTTCCTCTGATTTGGTTCTCAAAGAATGTGGAAATCATTTGTTAGTCTCTTGGTAACTGCTCAGTTTATTTCTGAAAGATATACCAAGAATTGATGATTTTCTAATCAGAAAATATCACGATCTGATCAGAAAATCATCAATTCTTGGTCTAAGTGGTGAAAATTATGCAGAAATCTATGTTAAAAAGTACTTGATATTCAAAAAGTCTATTTAGAGTGAACATTATACATCTCCCTTGAAATTATCAAAACATTTTGTTAAATTCAGAATTAATTCAGAATTAATAACAGAAACATTTCCCGTTATTTTTCTCAAATGACAAAAGGAGAAAGCTCTAAAGTGTTTATAAGCCATTCAAATAAGCATTAACAGTTTGTTAAAAGTATTTAGTTTGCTAAATTCTCTTAACTGTAATAATTTAATCTTAAAAATTAGAGAAGTACTATTATTTGAATTAGTCCCATATCTATATATTATTTCTATGTTTTCATGTCGAACAGATTTTGATAAGACTACCTCAGTATTTCTCATATAACATCTCCAAGTAGTTCGTAATTGAACATTTCTTAGTCAATCGCTTTTAATCTTTTATATTTTGTCTGAGGAACAATTTTTATATCTGTGCAAAAGAAACTTCATATTAATTTATTAATTTTTCATCTCTAATATTTAACATTTACCCAAGGAAAATGGGTTATCAGCAAGTTTATTTCTACTCATGCCCTGGTTTCTCTGCCAAAGAATTGTTGTGTCTGCATTTTCAGGCCAGGGCTGTGAAGTGCCTCTTCAGAGTCTTCCCACCTCTGCCTGGCTGCAGAGCTTCACTCTCATGACCCACATCTCCCTGGGGAGCCCCAGGACAATGGCTGACATTGGGTTTGGCTCTCAAGCCCCATCATTCCTTAGGAAAATAAATGGACTTGTTCTATTATTCATACTTGGCAGAAAAACATTTGTTGAGATATTACCATTCTTTCCCAAACAGCTCCATTATAAACAATGAGTCTTAATTGCAGTCAAATCCTTTGTAAAGACAAAGTAATTTAGGAAAAATATAAAGCTTTTAAGGTGGTAGATGTAAATACTTAATGTGTTAATTATTGTTAAAATGAGCCTATAAGTGATCTAAGAAACAATCTTGTTCTATTGGCTTTGTTTCTTCAGAGACTAAATACTGCTTGAACTATGATGGGAAATGCTTATTAAATTATTTGATTAATATATACACACATATATACTCACTAATACAGAATGTAATATATATATAAAATGAAAATATACCATGAATTATTTTATTAATGATATACTATCCTGAATAAAAGTTTAACTAATGAAGTACTAGAATAATAATCTGAGATGTAATAATAATACAGTCAAAATTTTATTTAGTTGGTCAACAAATAAACCTGGAGGCTATTTATGTAGCAAAATCATAGCATGCAATTACTGGTGTCTGCACTTCATCACTTCTAATGATGTCCAAACTTCATTTCAATTACAAGATGAGCTCAGAAAAAGCAGTCCTCAAGCAGCCCATTCACCAACCTAAAGGCAAGATTAATGGTATAAATTCCAAGATGATGGCTTACTGAAAAAGATGAATAGCCTGATATCACATGTAAACATTGTGCTCTACAGTCTTCAAAGTATTCACATATACATTGCCTCATTTGAAAGTCACAACAACACATGGTGCTAGAGAAGAGAGTGAATTTGAATGCATTTTACTGATGAGGAATAGAGACTCAGAGATGTTTATTGCTGTACCCAAGGACCCCTGGCTAGTATGAAATGCCACAATCACATCTGACCCCACACACATATTACAGAAGTGGTTAAGGAAACATGAAACAAACGTGGCGAAAGAAATAAATAGTGGGAAGACCTACTAAACCTAACTATGGACAATAATCTATTGCATACTAATTTGTGGGAAGCAAGAGCAGCAGTGAGTATTAAAAGCATGTATAGAGCATTCCATCCAGGGAGGCCAGGGTAAACATAGTGTCAAGTCCTGAAAGAGAAGGCACACCACATTGATTCAGGCTACAAGTGATTCTGATCCATTCGAAGGAGGTGTATGTGTCCAGAATGTTTATTGTAAAAATATCTTCTTCAAGAAGTTGAACTTAACACTCAACAGCCAGCACTAACAGCTCAAAGTGAGCCTGGACTTTGATTCTACATGTCCATACACCCTAGAAGTGGACACCTCCGTAAAATTGACTGTTTAGTGCACTGGTTATAGCTACTCATTCATACTTATAATCACATCATTATCATTCTGACAATGCACATATTAACAAATTCATATTATCTTAACTTAAAATGTCCCAAAATAGAAGGAACTATTCTCACATTACCTTATTTAGGGGAAGAAGAAAAACAACTTTCTAAATTAGCTCCCTTTTTTATTAAACAAGTCTTTAAAAGCCTAACGTTTCTCTTTATTTCTTGGGAAATCTGTCTGACAAGAATTATCCTATTCACCCATTACACATTTTCCAAACCTGGAGCAGATCCCCTGTGGTTGCACCACAGAAGAGTACAGGAAGACACATCAGATACAAATCTCTTTGTCCAAGAATGCTAGAAAAAATCCCTAGGCATGAAGTCTGCAAGTTGCATAAAAATACCTGAAAATGGCCTGGCATGGTGGCTCACATCTGTAATCCCAGCACTTTGGGAGGCCGAGATGGGCGGATCACCTGAGGTCAGGAGTTCCAGACCAGCCTGGCCAACATGATGAAACCCCGTCTCTACTAAAAACACAAAAATTAGCTGGGCATGGTGGTGGGTGCCTGTGGTCCCTGCTACTTGGGAGGCTGGGGCAGGAGAATCACTTGAACCCAGGAGGCATTGCAATGAGCTGAGATCACGCCACTGCACTCTAGCCTGGGCGACAAGAGTGAAACTCCATCTAAAAAAAAACAAAAAAAAACCCTGAAATTTTGGTCTGTAGGACCTAATAAACAGGCAACATTGCATGTATTCTCGCTCTGGTCAGGTAGGTTATGTATGACTCTTACCCAGTCATAGGCTGTGTGCCACATAAGACTTTGAATTTTGTCTTTAGCTTAATGCACTGCATCTTTTTTTTTTCTTTAATCAGGCTTACTGCTTTAGATTTAGATTAATCTTAATTTAATTAATGTATATTTTCTTATAAGAGAAAAAAATGCCCAGAAGAAAAGCAAGATGGATGAATCAGTGTGTGTAGATCAGTATGTGTACACATAGCCAGTAAAAGATCATATTTTGGAATCCAAACACAGGAAAGATTGAATACTAAATAAAGGAATTATTTTAGAATTCCTTTAGAATTACAGGTGTGAGGTGGCTCACACCTGTAATCCCAGCTCTTTGGGAGGCCAAGACGGGTGGATTGCTTGAGGTCAAGAATTCAAGACCAGTCTGACCAACATGGTGAAACCTCATCTCTACTAAAAATACAAAAATTAGCTGGTCGTGATGGCGGGCACCTGTAATCCCAGCTACTCGGGAGGGTGAAGTAGGAGAATCACTTCAACCTGGGAGGCAGAGGTTGCAGTTAGCTGAGATCGTGCCACTGCACTCCAACATGGGTAACAGCGCGAGACTCTGTCTCAAAAAATAATAATAATAATAATAATAAAGAATTTAAAAATCTCATTTAAAATGTAATCATTGTAATAATTGTGGTATATGACAGTATGCTCCACCAGTCCTTAAATGACTGAATAGTGATGTCATGAGCATCCCAACAGAGCAGCAAAAAGAAGGTAATGATGTCTGGATTCGTTTGCTCAGGCTACCATAACAAACTATTGTCAACCAGGTGGCTTAAAACAACATAAATGTATTGTCTCAGGGTTCAGGACACTAGAAGTCTGAAATTAAGGTGTCGGCAGGGTCATACTCCCTCTGAGAGCTCTCAGGGAAGATCTGTTCAAGTTCTCTCCCCTTGCTACTAGTAATTCTTTGGTGTATGGCAGCATAACTCCAGCCTTCACATGCACTCTCTATTTATAGCAATGATCCTGTGTACATGTCTGTGTCCAAATTCTTCCTTTTTATAAGGACATGCATCATATTGAATTAAGGGCCCACCCTACTCTAATATGATCTGATCCTAACTAGTTACATCTGCAAAGACCCAATTTCAAAATAAGGTCACATTCTGAAGTACTGGGGGTTAGAAATTCAACACAGGAATTTTGGGGGAGCACAAGTCAACCCATGTGGGTACTCGACAGCAGTCTCATATGTAATGCCTAAATTAGGATTGTTCTTGATATTAACGGTTTGCATAACTTGGCTACTTACAGCTGTTTAAAACTCTTAAACTGCTATTGTGGAATATAATACATAGTAATTATCCCATTTCTTAATGCACGTAAAGGAAAGAGTGATCCAGCATATGAAGAGGCAAGAAGTGTTTCTCAGTCATTGTGGTTTATTCAAGTTAATACATCTACAATCTACATATATGTATAGAAGTTGATAAATATATAGTTTCACTACATGTTACATATACACATTAGTAATATATAATCCAAATTTCCTAAAGATCACACCATATGGCAGATGTATTAGTGAGATAGCCTCAGCATAGGGCCACCACAAAATCTGTTGTCTGACCTGAACAGTTTTGAGAGTGAAAGGGCACTATTAACAATTAGGCTAGACTACAGGCAAAAACCAGAGGATTCACAGATCTCCAGGAACAAGGGAAATTTACCCCTGGACATTTGACTGTACATTACATAATTACACTTCCTGCTTTACCAAGCACTAAATTTAACAGCTTAATTTAGAAAATAATTTGAACTACCCAATTTACCTGTTTTAATAGCATACTCGTTATCAGGAATTAATGAATAAAACTCACTGATGTGACAAAACTTTAGCAAAATGCAAACACCACATCAGGATTATGAGAATCAGCCAGAATTGGACACCACTGGCCACGGAAACATGTATCATGGGTCAATTTACTATGCAGATTCAACTAGATATCTGCATTAAAGTAAAACCTTAGATCAGTGGTTTTCAACCCAGGGTGATTTTGCCCCTCACATCCAACATGACAGTAAACAAAGGGGAAGAGCCGAATTCAAATAAAATGATAGTAGGTATAGAATACACGTTTACCAAATTTGTCTGTAGTAGGAAAGGTAAAGGCAAAGATCCTTCTGCCCATTTATAAATATTGAGTACCTATAAAAAGGGGGAGATCAGTGTGTGAAAAATGCATTAGATTTTGCATATAGTGAGAATGTAACATATTTACGTTTTGTAAATAAAATGACATACAAAAAAAGTATTATGGAGAGGACAATATTAAAAGGAGACACTAACCACATCAACATGAGTCTTTCTAGTCTTTCCTAAGACAATGTATTAGACTGTTCTCAAGCTGCTATAAAGAACTGCCCAGGACTGGGTAATTTATAAAGGAAAGAGGTTTAATTAACTCACAGTTCCACAGGGCCAGGAGGCCTCAGAAAACTTACAATCATGGTGGAAATGGAATCAAACACATCCTTCTTCACATGGCAGCAGGAGAGAGAAATGAGTGCCCAGCAAAGGAGGAAGTTCCTTATAAAACCATCAAATCTCATGAGAACGAACTGAGTATCATTAGAATAGGATGGGAGAAACCAGCCCCCTGATTCAATTATCTCCACCTGGTCCCCCCTACCACAACACATGGGGATTATGGGAACTACAATTCAAGATGAGATTTGGGTGGGGACACAGCCAAACCATATTAGACAATAAGAGTAGAATGCATCTGAAATATTTAAGAGCCTCATTAATGCCAATCAACTAAAGAAGTTAAATATTGTATTATTTCTTCTTTGTAGAAAGAAGAAAAAGAAGCAGAGATACTACTTTTTGATAGAATAAAGCAAAAGATATTACTTTTTGATAGAATAAAGCAAAAATAAATAAATAAATAAAGTAACAGAGATTCTGGGCTTCCATTTTCCCTCATGTAATAGCATTCCCTCCTCACCAATGTAGACAGTGACCACTGGGATTTCTGTTTCTATAATACACCACTTTGTGGTGTCATTCTTGTAAGTGCACTGTCCTATAAGACAACAAGCATTATCCATTTACAGAAAAAGTAGACCAACAGAAACACCTGGTATTCTTTTCATACTCACCAAGATGTTTTTGGTGTATCAGAGTTCAGGCCAGCCCTATAAAATTTCAGAGCCACATATAAGACTAAACATTAGGCTGGGCACGGTGGCTCACGCCTGTAATCCCAGCACTTTGGGAGGCCGAGGCAGGCGGATCACGAGGTCAGGAGATCGAGATCACGGTGAAACCCCGTCTCTACTAAAAATACAAAAAAAAAATTAGCTGGGCGCGGTGGCGGGCACCTGTAGTCCCAGCTACTTGGGAGGCTGAGGCAGGAGAATGGCGTGAACCCGAGAGGCGGAGCTTGCAGTGAGCCGAGCTCGCGCCACTGCACTCCAACCAGGGTGACAGAGCAAGACTCCATCTCAAAAAAAAAAAAAAAGACTAAACATTACATGCCTAAAAGTAAAGCGTCACACTGTCATGAGCCTGTCCCCAAAGTAATTTTACTGTTTTGGGGTCTCTGTAATTGTACCTCTCTGAAAAAAGCCAAGCACTTTCAGCCAAGAAAAAAAAATCTTCATTAGTTTACTATGCAGCTTTCCCAGGTGAAACAAATACCCTTAGCAAGAGTGTGTGTCCATGTTAATTACAGCTTGCCCACAGGCCACCCTGGCAACTGTCCAGCCTTCCTGATATCTACAAAGCATTTTATGCACTATGCACATGGGCAGGATAGATAGCCTAATTTCCGCTCCAGACCCAGCAGGAAAGAACAGACACTAGTACCTTTCTGCTAAAGACATGTTTCACTGCAAAATTTTCCTTCAGGAAATTCACAGATCTCCAGGAACAAGGGAAATTTACCCCTGGACATTTGACTGTACATTACATAATTACACTTCCTGCTTTACCAAGCACTAAATTTAACAGCTTAATTTAGAAAATAATTTGAACTACCCAATTTACCTGTTTTAATAGCATATTCGTTATTGGGAATTAATGAATAAAACTCACTGATGTGACAAAACTTTAGCAAAATGCAAACACCACATCAGGATTATGAGAATCAGCCAGAATTGGACACCACTGGCCACGGAAACATGTATCATGGGTCAATTTACTATGCAGATTCAACTAGATATCTGCATTAAAGTAAAACCTTAGATCAGTGGTTTTCAACCCCGGGTGATTTTGCCCCTCAGGAGACATCTGATGATATCTGGTGACATTTTTTATTGTCATGACTTGAGGAGGGATTGCTTACTGGCATTTACTATGTAGAGAGAGGCCAAGGACGCTGCTAAAATCCTACATTGCACAGGACAGCGCCCCCCGCCCTTCCACTTCAAAGAACTGTCTGATCCAAAATGTCAATAGTCCTGAGGTTGAGAAATTCTGCCTTAGGTTATGTGAGAAAAATTAGTGGTTTTGCATTAATTGTGTGTTAATACTATGTTCCATAGATGCATTTTAATAGACATTAATAGTTATGTTCAGTCAAGTTTCTCTGATACGATTCTCCTACCTTGTCAAAATTATGAATTGTCACCAAATACTACACAATGAAGTACAAACAAGTTCTATAAAATTAAAATAAAATAGTCTAACATTCATCATGCTGTGTCTGAATTTAGGAGAGATGAAGGACTGGTCAGAAATATAAATGACCAGCATTCCTGATATTTTCCTGGCATCTACAAAATGCAAAACTAAATTACATGTAATGTTAATTGAGGATTCCAAAGATCTTTTAATTTCCAGTTTTCATGCATTACCAACTCATGATTTTTTTTCCACCCTTAAATATGAAACTTGCACTGCTTTTAACCTACCACATTACCAAGGTCAGAAACAGAACCACTCTCATTGTCAGATAAAAGCATGAGAAAAGTATTCACAAATGTACTTAACTAGACATAAGGTGGAAATCCAGTTCTGTCTCTTATAAAATGCTAAAAATCTTCTCTATGATACACTTTAAAAGGAATAATTGCTTTAAATGTTTTGAAGTCCTTGCCGCATTATTTATAAACAACAACTTTGCAGAGTACTTGCCTGTGATAAATTTGTATTATGTTTTACGTGGATCAAATTTTTGACCTTCAATTCAGAATGACAAAAAATAGAAAAATCATAGCGAGCAGGAAAAAAAAAAAAATAAGGCCACACCTTTCTCTAACATTGGTTGTTATTATTTAGTCCTTTATGGATAACACATAACCATCTTTTACACTTCTTCAAGTCCATATCCTTCAAAACATCTTTATTCTTCTTATCCTAATGTTCCATCCCTCAATCTAACACACGGGTATTCAGGTATCTACAATTTTATTAAAAAGCCCTTGTGCTTTATTATTACAAAATACAACATACAGGGCAGTTTTTTCCTGACCATGCTCAGCTTATCAGAACTACTTTATTATGCACCACTGATCTCTATTTAAAATGATGACTTTGTTTTATAACAGAATCTAATGTTCTAAGGAGACAGTTTCTGATGTTAGAAAGGGGAAAACCTCAGGAAGCATTCTTTCAAAACCTGCTCCATGACTTTATGCCAAGACATTGGTAAGCAAACTTTCAGAAGCAGATATCCCAGAAGCTCCTCTTCTGAAACAGTGTTTGACAGTAGCAATCACAAGTCAGAACAGAACTACGAAATAATTACCTTTTAAAAAATACAGTCTGCATTTAAATGGTCTACACAGCAGAGATTTATCTGTGCTAATAAACTCTCTTTAAAATGACATCACTAGGAAGATTCTGCTTATCCAATGGTTTGAGACAGAAGGGTTCCTTTGAATTTTAGAGGGGAGAGGGCTCAAATCATGGGTGATACATAAAAACAAGAATTTGAATTTGATCAATCAAGGAAGAGCGTTTGGGCACTGATACTCCAAAAAAGAATAAACATCATGGGAGAAGGGCAGGGAAAGAGAGGCAGATGAATACAAAGCCACATTTCATCACAGTTGATGATTGCCTCCTGCACTATGAAGAATGCTTATATCCCTTTCAAGGTGCTTACCTCCATACAGGGCTTGCTCAGAACTCATCAGACCACAGATGCGCCTTAATTCACCATCTCATTGCAAATGAGGATGGTCAGGGAAGATAAAGAGAAACACACAGAATCTTATTTCAGGACTATCTGAAGTCTACAGAATGATCTTACAGATAATTTGGAATCAACAATTCTGGTCTCCAAAAATTTCCCATGATGCAATAAATGTTTTGGTGGTTTCATCCATTTATATTCCTTAAACATACTTCGTCTTTTATTCCATGGATCCTTGAGAAAAGGCCTAACCATCCCCTAAGTGAAGCTGTTCACAAAGAAGAGAATACTTAATTTTTAAATGTGAGGTTTATGAGGCAACATCTGGCTTTAAATGCCCATCCCATATTTTTACCCAAATGGCAAATAAAGTAATTAAAATATTCATGTTTAAGGGTCATCTTGCCAAGATACATTAAATGATGTGCACATAAAATGTAATAATAATTAATATCTTACTGCAATAATTAACTATAATGGTCACCAAGGTGTTGGACAATTTCTATTGGTAAGATTTCAGCAGCTATCTCTTAGAATCATGGCCTCTGAATTCTCTTTCTTGAAGATTTTCATCCTTGATGAATAACCTCCATGATGTTATTTATAAGGAAATTTATCAATAACGTATTTGTTGTGAGCTTTATCCAGAAAATCACTTAAAAGGGAAAAGCTACTCTAGGAAGTTTAGCAAGAGTATGTCTAGCACTATTTATATTGGTATTCTTCTTGACCTGACATTGTAACTATTATCTGGGAGATGCAGCATCTTTGTAAAAAGATCTAGTTCAATTCAATTCGTTTTAAGTGACCTACTGGAAAGCAGAATAAGGACCCCTCAAGAGAGTCTTGAAACACATAACTCTGATTTTCTAGGAAACTAGTTTATCTCAACAGTCTGGAAAAACTCCATAGAAGTTCTTGAGACAGCTGTTCCGGAAGAAGTGTATAGTGACAGATATAATGTAGTAAGGACTGCATGGAAAGGCATTTAAAAAAATAGATAACCTTGTACTAGTCTTTTGATATAATTTATGCCTTGGTTTCATTAGGTAAAATCCTACGTGCAACACAGAACATCATTGGCAACAGGCTGTCAGAAAAATCTCCAATAGAACAGAAAATAAGCAAAAGATGCTTTGTCAAGAAAAAAAAAAAATTTCCATGCATTTTAATTCCAGTGTGCACAGATGCCTGGAAAGAAACTAAGGTCCACAAAATGAAAAAGCTCTGCAATTCTCACTATTTGCTAACTGAACATCTGAACCAAACTTAAATGACACACTCCATTCCTTGAAAACTTTTAATTGCCTTTTGCAAGAATATATTGTTTAATTCTGGATGTGTTTCAATACAGGGAGAATTATTTATACTTTTGTACTTTCGCAGACACTCTGAGATCTGAGTTATCAATGGAGACTTTTATATAGCCTCAGCCCCATAGGCCAAATATATTTTAAACAGATATATATATATACATATATATACACTTTCTTTAACGTAGAGAGAACTCAACCTGCCCCAGGCATGCATTAATGTTTTTATCTTCATTCTTGGAAATAAAATCTTTGTGGATTAACAATTTTACATACATCTGCTTCTTGACTATATACAAATAATCTCAGAAGCCATCAAAAGGGAATAGCTACCTTCAGATTAGCTGATTTACTGAAACTATGAACAAAGAGTATGCAGTCCTCCTTTTCACTGCAGTATCAAAATAGTTGGTTTGCTGAAAGCAAGTGTTTGAATTCATGGCAAATAGTAAATGTTCTAAAGAGAACACATTAAAAGCCAAATTTGCTTATGAGCAACAAAATTCTGGCAAGGAACTACAGAGCTTGTAGTTCCTCGTCAAATAGCAGGCTTCCTTCAAACCAAAGCATTACGATTACTTTGAGGAAAAGGCCATTGCGATCCATAGCTAAAATAGAAAGTAAGTGTTAAAGTAGAGCCTATCACTTTCATGTAAAATCATTTAATGTGAAAATCTTCTATTGTAGTTTTTGTAACGCCATTTTCAAACTGAAAACGGTAATTTAGTTATGTCCTAAATACTCAAAGTAAACTAGAGCTATTCAGATTATGCTACTCTGAGGCTGCTAATCTGGGAACTGTGTCTACCAGTCCACAAGAAAAGTGCACAAACTGGGAGTGTTTACACACTTTTAAAACAGTTTGGAAAGAGTAATTTTATGGCTGTGGAATTTAAGTAAAAGAAGGTTTATAATATGTATATCTTTTTAAATTTCATTTTTCTATTAATTGATTTTCATTCCATTTCACAAAAATATACCTTTGCAATGGATATAAAATTTACAAAATAAATAAATCAGCCCTACCCCTTTAGCACAGTTAGTGTGAAAAGCACTAAATTAGACACTTACTCTGACCAGTGTTCCCTGGTGCTAGCAAATTAATTATTGCTAGACTTATAACAAGAAAAATCCTGAACAAATCAGACAACCAGCAGCACTCTGAAAATAAAATGACTTAGGACATGCACAGGCTGAGCAGGGAAGCACCTGTATGGAGTATATGAAGGACCTACTTTTTAAAGGAAATTTACTGAGCACCCAGTACATAAGCAGTATTAAAAAGCACGTCATCGTTATTTTTTTCTTTGAAAAACAGAACTCATAGCTATTCACCTAAATCTACTCACTGAAATGAAGAAATCATTAATACTTTATAACTGGGGCGTTAGAGGACATTACCATTACATACTGATTCAAATGAAAAATCAGATGTTGTTTAGGACTGTAGAGTATTGGCTAGTTTATGCAGGCAAATAAATGGATATTTTTCAGGAAAGACCCAAGTATAAACCTTAATTTGGAAGGATCATAATCCTTTACATTTCAAAAGAATTGTTTTATAATTTTTCTACATATTTATTGACAATAATGGTATAAATTGGCTTAAACCATAGCAAAGAGAATTCTTCTTTGCAGAAAGTGAAAAGTTCAGCTAACTAATGATGACAGCACCCTTAATGACTAGTTAATGAGCTACTGGAGTTTACTTTCCTTATAGGATGGATCAGAACTAATGTGACCCAACACAGTTTGCCTGAAGGCAAAAGAGTGATGGGTCATCTGATGCTTCACAGCATTTCCCAAATCTGTGAGCACGTAAAGTAGGAAAGAAATGAGCATTCACATCTTTTAGTTTTTGGTGTATTTGTGATTGCTGTCTAATATAACACTTGTGGTAGGCAGGATTCTGAGATGATTCTCATAATTCCCACTCCTGCAGAACCCATTCTCCTTGAGTGTGAGTGGGGACCATGATATGAAGGGATGTCACTCCCTTAATTATGTGACGTTATGTGGTAAAGGTAACACGATTCTGCAGATGGAATTCCGATCTCACATCACTTGATTTTCAATGAATCAAAAAAGGGAGTATAATGAATGATCTAACTTAATCAGCTGAATGCCCTTCAAAGGGGTATTGAGCCCCCTTTCTGAATGAAGAGAGTTTCCCTCTAGTCTACAAGAAATAAACTGCCATGTTGTAAGAGGACCTTTAATAGGGCCTCAACAACCACACGATTTTGAAAGAGGAGCAGGAAGTAGCCCCATACGGGAATGCAGTCCAGGCAACACCTTACTGCAGCCTTGTGAGACTGAACAAGGGGCCACCACGACTCCTCAGCATTGAAACTGTTAGATAATAAATGTATATTGTTTTAAACCATTCAGTTTGTGGCAGTATGCTACACAGAATAGAAAATACCAAACCAAAATAAATAAATAAATAAATTTACATTACCAAATTTTAAACATGAGATTCAATTTTTTTTTTTTTTTTTAAGAGACAGAGTCTTGCTCTGTTGCCGAGGCTGGAGTGCGGCTGCTGGATCATAGCTCACTGCAGCCCCAACGTTCAGGCTCAAGTGATCCTCTCACCCGCATAGCTGGGACTAATAGGTGCATGCCAGCACACCCAGACAATTATTTAATTTTCAGTAAAGGGAGGTCTCAAACTCATCCTCCCGCCTCAGCCTCCCAAATTGCTGGGATTACAAGTGTGAGCCACCGCGCCCAACCCAGGATTCATTTTATCTTTGCATAAAATGCCTTTATGAAGATTCTGTTTGGGGCTGGGCGTGGTGGCTCACTCCTGTAATCCCTGCAATTTGGGAGGCTGAGGCAGGTGGATCACCTGAGGTCGGGAGTTCAAAACCAGCCTAGCCAAGATGGCGAAACCCCGTCTCTTACTAAAAATACAAAAATTAGCCGAGCATGGTGGCACATGCCTGTAATCCCAGCTAGTAGGGAGGCTGAGGCACGAGAATCCACTCAAACCTGGGAGGCGGAGGCTGCAATGAGCCAAGATTGCACCACTGCACTCCAGCCTGGGTGACAGAGCGAGACTCTGCTTCAAAAATATATAAATAAATAAATAAATAAATAAATAAATAAATAAATAAATACATAAATTCTATTTGGTTTGTTTAGATTCACTGAACCTTAAATTAGTCATCAGTCTTTGATTTCCTCTGTATAATCTGATTCACATCTTTTTTGTATCCACGTTGAGGATCTAACATGTATTTCTAACTCTTCTCATTTATTCATGCCTCTACACTAGGAGGAAAACTCATCAACTGGCACAATAAACGGCCGCACATAAAAGACTGCACACACCCCTCTTCTATACTTTAAAATGCCTTATGAGCTCAGATACAAATTCTTGAAAAATTAGAATTGATACTTTAAACAGCATAATGTAATTGATTTTTACTTTTCTGAAAATATTTCATAATATACATTTATTACTCAAGGTAAACCATGATGATATGTGTGTTGCTCATCTTAGCAGGAAAAAAAAGTGCCATTCTATATTACAAGTAGTATGGTAATTATTGCTTATGTATCTTTAACGTTACAATTTTCCGTTTGCAAAGATTACTAGAACTAATATTGTCAAGGGAGAACACCTAGGGCCTCTTTCACAGAACTAAAATCATCAGGGACAATGGGCCACTAAAATTATTTTTCTGCACACAAGGCCAATTTTTCTGAAAGGTCAATGACTTCATTATATACTACAATATACCCCCCTACCCTTATTCAAGGTTTTGCTCTCTCTCTTTCTGGGGTTTCAGTTACCCGCAGTCGACCAAAGTCCAAAAGTGCTACAGAATTAGAGAGGGAGAGAGACCACCTCCACACAACTTTTATTACAGTGTATTGTTATAACTGTTCCATTTTATTAGTTGTTTTAATCACCTTTCTGTGCCTAATTTATAAACTGTATCATAGGTAATGTATACATAGGCAAAAACATAGTATATATTTTTAATCAGTAATATACGCAGTTTCAGGCATCCACTGGGGGGTCTGGAAATGTGTCCCTAGTGGATAAGGGGGAACTTATCTGTACTTGATAAGTCCTTCAATCAGATACAAAAAGAAGCTTGGTGCCATACTATGCCTTAGCACAATTTGGATGGTAGCAAAATGTTTAAAAGAGAGGAAAACATCAAACTTCATGATTTTTGCTTTCAGAAAGGAGAAACTTAAAACAGTGGGAAAATAAACTTTTCAGGAGCATAACCACAAGCATGGGAGTGCTCAAGTACCAAGAAAGATCTAATTTATGGTCAATAGATACATGAATGACAATTCTGTAACAACTAAAACCAAGTTTTTAAGAAATAGGAGGTGAGCAATTATGTGTTGGATAGTGCTAAAGCCAGAAATTCTTCCTTACAAGATGTTACGAAGGTAGGTCTTACATCTAGTTAATGGTGGAAGCAAACAGGAACCCATGTCACCTGATTAGACTGTTATCCTGCTTCTAATCAGAGTATATTTGTTCAGTGCTTTCTACATGCAGTGTTTTACATGAATATTTTTAATCCTTACAAGAACCCTATGAAGTTTTATCAATGGGAAGGTTGACTTGTTCAAGTTACCCAGCTAGTTGTAGAGCTGAGCTTTGAATCTGCACTTTTAACCAACCATGCAAGTTCCATGAAATAATTAAACTCTGATGTTCAAAAGCATCAATTTTTTAATGCAATGACTTCTCTTCTATGCCATTAATATGGTACTAGTTATGAACCATTTTGAGGAGAATTAAAAAGTCACTCAAATGAATATCTGTCCTCTGTTTCAGATGAGGAAACCTGATTAGAAAGGCAGCAACCCAAGGCCAGATGCAATGGCTCACGCCTGTATTCCCAGCACTTTGGGAGGCTGAAGCAGGAGGATCACCTGAGGTCAGGAGTTTGAGACGAGCCTGGCCAACATAGTGAGATACCAAGACTCCGTCTCTCCAAAATATTTTTTTAAAACTAGCTAGGCATGGACAACAGAGCAAGATCTTGTCTTTAAAAAAATAAAAAATAAATAAAAAAAAAACAAACAAAAAACAGAAAGGCTGCAACCACACCATATATGATCACTTTTTAGAATTGTAATTACTTGATAGTCACATACAAGAATGAAGCTTTAATGATATTCAGCATAGATCCAACATCTAAATCCATTTAAATTATAGGAGACCTGTGTAACTTGACAGGAATCTGTACTGATTTAGTGAACAGAAAGGATATGGAGCAAACAGCCATCTTCAGCTTCAGACAAAAGCCATGACACAAGCATAAAAAATCTTAAACATAACCTCAGGACGATAAGCAAGGAACCATCTGTTGCATTTTATTTATTTATTTTATGACTTGGACCTCCCTTTCCCACTCCCATTCCAGAGATTTTCCCCTAGTGTTCTAATCAGATAAATGTGAAAAGCATAAGAGAAAACAGTAGTCTTTACTAATCTCCATAGATGCCTCCAGGAGTAGATTAGAAAATCAAGAAAAATGTCTAGTTCTCATGGCTCCACATTAGAATCAGAAAAGATGAAAGAACTAACACTTTTCACCCTTTGCTCAATAAATTCAGTGGAATATACATAGACAAGTACTTGATGGCCTCTCATTTAAGCCTTACCATTTCCCCTAAAAGGTCCGGTATGTGATACTCTTTTACAGAATATGAAATGAAACTGAAAGAAAATTAACTTTCCAAGATCACACAGGCTATACCAGAAGCAGGGTTCAACCTTGGGATTCTCTGACTCAAAATCCTGAATATTCCCACCATACCAGATTGCCTACCTTGAGTCCTCTGAACTACCATAGCATAGACTCATATGGTTCTGGCTTTACTTAAGTATCTATCAACTTAGCAATTTTTGGGAGTTAGTAGAGCAATACAGAACCACTGTGGGTTTGAAGATGTGAAAGAGTAGGATCACAGGATTCCGACTGGACAAAAAAGTAAAATAATCAGCAGTTATATATCACATCCACTTTGATGTTTCAGTTACTCCTAATAAATTTACAATCTTTTCCATGGATGATGGCATTTCTGGATACTACAAAGCATTTTCAGGTTTTATAATGTTTTCTAAATGTATATATTCTATGTACATGTAGCATATCTGAATCTGCATGTATATTTTCTTCATATCTTATAACTTTCACTTGATATAAATCATTATAATATATATTTGATGTTTATTGTGTAATGTGTATTATATGTATGCACACATCATATAAATATGTACATATCTGTGTATGTGACTGATGTATGTGTTTCTCTGCAATTAGGGTAGATATATAGAGGCAACAGAAGGAAGAAGGAAAAAAAAATCGATTCTGAGTAGCCTGCTGACCCCAGGTTTTGGCTCCCTGTGCATATTACAAGAATAGAGTCCAGGAGCCAATTTACTTCACATGTGGAAAAACCCAAAAGCGGTAGGACCAAATCCAAGACTTGCAACCTTCAAATGGCTCCTCTGTCACAGTCATGTACAGCCGGGACTCAGCTGGCCTTTAGATGCCACACAGACAGGTTGTGTCACATCTGATAAGTTAAGGAGATGAATGACCTCATATAATTATCACGCATGATTTGGTCTGTGATGAGTTACCATTCCCCTATGTTTATTCATTACCATCGAGCAAAAATATAAATTTTAAACAATTACTCACCAATAGACCTTGACACCCATGTATCAATCCTCTGGGAACTAAGCTACCCATTCACAATAAAATTTTGCCTCATAAAAATTAATGCCAATTTCTACACTTATATCGACAGGAAAATCAGGTGTTTGGACTGACAGCCAAGCAGCTAATATGTTTAATTTAGAGCAGTCTGCACAGCCTCCATTGTGCCCATCTTCCTGAGGCTTCATATGGCCCATTTGTTTAAGTCCCCCAACATTTTTGCAGATGTAAATTTAAGTCAATTCTAATAAAATGTCATGACAAAGACAGGGTGGTATTTTTAAAGTGACAAACTTCATAAAAATTTTACACATTCTTTTCTATGGCAAATGTCAAAATGACTGCTATAAAAAGGCCATGTTGGCTGGGCGCAGTGGCTCACACCTGTAGTAATCCTAACACTTTGGGAAGCCGAGGCAGGCAGATCACCTGAGGTCAGGAGCCCGAGACCAGCCTGGCCAATATGGTGAACCCCGTCTCTACTCAGAATATAAAAAAATTAGCCAGGCATGGTGGTTGGCACCTGTAATCCCAGCTACTCAGGAGGCTGAGGCAGGAGAATTGCTTGAACCCAGGAGGCGGAGGTTGCAGTGAGCTAAGATCAGGCAGTTGCACTCCAGCCTGGGTGATAGAGACAGACTCCATCTCAAAAAAAAAAAAAAACCAGATTCCTGGCATTGAAAGCTTGCTGCTTCAATGGTTATCATCAAGTTGTAATCATTAATCATTAGTCATGGTATTAATGTATTGGTTAATCTAAAACATCTTTTATCCATAAATCAACTCCAAATTTGCACCAGAAATTTTATTTCAGTGTTTGATTTCTACCAACAAGAGAACAGTGTTTATGAGAGGCTCAACTCCATTTATATTGCAAAGTGAAGGGCTGGAGTTAGATGAGTGTAACTAACCATCAGCTGGATGAGTCAAGTAAACGCTGGCCTTTTTCAGTACGCTCTTGGCAGATTTTTGCCAACTTCTGTATTGGTTGCGAAAAACGCAACTGGTCTTGATTTTACTATCCTGCACTTGCTCAATTTGTAGGGTAGTCTGGAATCATTTCTATAAACATCCTGGATAGATTGCATTATTAACTTTCAGATATTCTGTTTTGGGGCTAAAAACTCACATCTTTGACAATGAGAGGATATTGGTGGTAAAGCTATGACTTTTAAAAATAGATTCACTCTCTGTGGCACAGTTCTCCTACAACAGGTGCTGACTGAAATGTCACAACAAAGCACATCAAATGCTTTGTGGTTCTGCTTTCTTCACGGTCTCTTTTAGGACACTGGTTTTGTCCTTAACCTAGGGATGGAACAGTTCACCCACCCTATTCCACTTACACTCCACCGCATCTCTTTCCCTTTCCCTTTTATGATGAAAGACTGCACAGGTTTTAGGAGGAGACATTTTTAAGACCTGCTAAGCATCCCTTTTTCCATTCATTTTAAGTTTTTCTCATGGCCCAAATGGTTATATATTAGCACAATAATCTAGCTCACTAATCCATAGTCATCAATTCGTGATCTCTTAAAGGCAGAAAAACCACATAAGGCACACATAATGAAGCCTGGCTATTAAACAGTCCTTCAAAGTTCCCCACGCATTCTTTCATTTAATCCTCACGATAACATTGGATGCAGGAAGCAAAAATACTATCTTTGTTCTACAGATGGAGAAATCAAGGCTGAGAGTTAGTTATGTTCTACTTTACATGACTCCTCTCTCTCAATCTTATTGCTGGAATATGCAGCCAGGCGAGATAATAGATGCTAAGACCTCAAAGCTTCTGCAAAGGGCAGCAAAGTTCAGCAGGTAAGTGTAGGAATCTAGAATTGAGCTGCTTGAGATCAAATCTGAACTCCTAAGGAAATTCAAAAAAGTTCTTCATACCCTAAACTTGTTCCCGCATTTACAAAACAAAGATAATAATAATACTTATCTCCGAGGATTGCCTTGAAGGTTAGATGGATTAAAAAACATGAGGCCAGGCGCAGTGGCTCACGCCTGTAACCCCAGCACTTTGGAGGTTGAGGTGGGTGGATTACTGAGGTCAGGTGTTGGAGACCAGCCTGGCCAACATGGTGAAACCCTATCTCTACTAAAAATACAAAAATTAGCCGGGCATGGTGGCACGCACCTGTAATCCCAGCTACTAGGGAGGCTGAGGCAGGAGAATCACTTGAACCCAGGAGGTGGAGGTTGCAGTGAGCCGAGATCACGCCACTCCACTCCAGCCTGGGCAACAGAACAAGACTCTGTCTTAAAAAAAAAAAAAAAAAAAAATTGGAGAGTACTAATTAATAGTGCCTGGCATACAGAAGGAGCTCAAAAATGTCAGAAAACAATATTATTGTAATTGAAGAATGATTGTTAGTAATTATTACTGTTCAGACACTGCAGGTGGAGACACCAAAATTAGTTCAAACTGTGAATATCTATGGGAGAGAAAAAAGAGCAAAGTCACAAAAGGGAAATAAATAGCCCACCCTAACTCTTCTTATCTCTTGCCACAAACCGCAAGCATGGTTTTTCCACACTGCAATGGTACCAATGAGATGAAGACTGATTCTTAGATCCACTGGCATTTGCAATCCTAACCATTCATTCATTCATCTTGGAAACTCAGGAACTGCCGTGATGGCAAGTGCCAGTAATTTCCAGACCTTCAAGAGACCTGGGATGCCTCAGTGAGGTTTAACCAAGGATATGCTTTGCAGGGATATTCTGTCAGTTTTTTGTTTGTTTATTTGTTTAGAGATGAGCCTATGTTGCCCAGGCAAGATTTGAACTCCTGGGCTCAAGCGATCTTCCTGCCTCAGCCTCCCCAACAGCTGAGCCTACAAGCGAGCCCTCGCCCAAATTCCAGTGGTTTTTTAATCTTCTAGAGTTTACTGTTTTCTTTTCTTGACAAGGATCTGTTTCGACCAAAACTTCTCCCTTCTACTGGGGGCAGGAAGCACCAATAGAGTGGGGCAGTAAACCACTACTATCTGCTTAAAATTAATGAATAAGTAATGCTCAATTGCCAAAGGAAAGAACTATTTGTTCTTTTATCTGTTTCTTTTTCAATGATATTACTGGAAGATCTTTCTACCACAAGCACCACACACTTAAAATCTAATGACATCGGCTGGGTGTCGCGGCTCACGCCTGTAATCCTAGCACTTTGGGAGGCCAAGGCAGGTGGATTGCTTGAGGTCAGGAGTTCGAGACCAGCCTGACCAATATGGTGAAGCCCCATCTCTACTAAATATACAAAAAAGTTAGCCGGGTGTGGTGGCGTGCGCCTGTAGTCCCAGCTACTCAGGAGGCTGAGACAAAAAAATCACTTGAAGCCGGAAGGCAGAGATTGCAGTGAGCTGAGATCACACCACTGCACTCCAGCCTGAGTGACACAGTGAGACTCCATCTCAAAAAAAAAAAAAAATTCTAACGACATGTTATAAAACTACATGAATCTTTAAGATGATAATCTCTCCTAGGAAAGAAGTAAATGAAAAATAAAGACAAGTGAGAACCAAATGTTGCTGTGTCCAAAGGTAATATAGTGGCAAACTGGAGTCTTGTTACTACCACTGAAAGAAAAACTCTAGTCCATTCCTCTCAAAATTTGAATATTACTAATGTGTATGTATTACATTTCTGAATTATGTCATTCCTTCTTGAGAATGGAATATGTAATTTAAATCATTCCTCTAAAAACATCTCCAGTAAATTAAAATTATATCTATCCTGTATTCCAACCATCTGCTTTAATTCTCAAGGCTGTTTCATATTTCAAAAGTTACTTTGTAAGACATTGTGTTTAGTCTTGATCCCTTCCTCACCTGCCTCTATCAGAACATTCATCCATCAATCATGGCATCTCATTGCTTTCATCTCTCTGACATTTGGTCTTCTCCCTCTGAGATACTGGAATCTCCCTTCTGGTAACACTATTTAGTTGTCTGTACAGCCTTCCACACCTTCCCCACCCTTCTCACCAGAGCCTTTTTCTGAGAATCGGCTCTTCCCCTATCCAGGGTAATAGCAACTGGCCTTTTACCATGTAATACCTCCTAAGAAGACTGGACCAGATATGGTGAACTAACCCAAGCTCAGGCAACCAGAGTCTCTTTTCCAAATCCCATCTCCTGGTCACAATTAAATGGACTGTAAGTGGCCATCTGGCCCACATTCAGACTGTCAACACATCTTCTTTGGGAGGTTATCTTTAGGACTAGAATTCTACACTCAAGCTGGTTCAAGGCTTCAAAGGAGAAAGCATAATCCCTCGCAACCATTCAACACCATGAGCACTGGAGGCAGATAATGCCAATTTATAGAGAAAGAGAAGAAAGAAGTGACACAAAGAAAAGCAGAAAATGACTTGAGAGATTATCATGATAGCAGTCTCACCTTTTTCTGCAGTTGTTGGAACATCCTTGACCTGAACTCCCATGATGGATCATCCAGCTCCACTACCATTTAAAAATATTTCTCTTTTTGGTTTAAGATAGTCCTATGGTTTTGTACAATCTACAATCCCAAACGGCCTAATATTAACTTACTATTTATTGTTTTTTCTTAACTTTTATTTTTAAGTTGAGGGGTAAAAGTGGAGGTATGTAACATAGGTAAACTTGTGTCATAGGGGTTTGTTGTACAGATGATTTCATCAGCCAGGCATTAAGTCTACTTAATTAGTTATTAATTAAGTACTTAATTAAGTACTCATTAGTTATTTTTTCTGATCCTCTCACTCCTCCCACTCTCCACCCTCTGAAAGGTCCCAGTGTGTGTTGATCCCCTCTATGTGTCCACGTGTTCTCATTATGTTGTTCCACTTTATAAGTGAGAACATGCAGTATTTGGTTTTCTGTTCCTGTGTTAGTTTGCTAAGGATAATGTCTTCCTCTGAATTTACTCTATTATCTCTCACTTTCCTCATGTCACCGAATTCCTGGAAGAAACAATCTGCACTTGTCTCCATATTCTCAACTTGACCAACTCCTCAAGCCACTGAAACCATGCTTCTGTCCCTGACACGCTACTTAGACTTCTTTCTTTCATCAGTGGCCTGATGACTTCCTTTAAGGGGTCATCTAGTTTGACCTCTCCACAAAATGAAACTGTAAATCAAGGCCCTTCTTTTGAAACTCAGTGTCTATCTTAGTAGATTATAGATAAATATGAGTTAAATAAATGAAAAAAATCCTTCTTCTGCCTTCAAAAGTATTGCTCTCTGAATTTGTCTCCAAACTCTCTTCAGATACTTTTTTTTTTTTTTTTTTTTTTTGAGACGGAGTCTCACTCTGTCACCCAGGCTGGAATGCAGTGGCACAATCTTGGCTCACTGCAACATCCGCCTCCCGGGTTCAAGTGATTCCCCTGCCTCAGCCTCCTCAGCAGCTGGGACTACAGGCGCATGCCATCACACCCGGCTAATTTTTTGTATTTTTAGTAGAGATGGGGTTTCACCGTGTTAGCCAGGATTGTCTCGATCTCTCCTGACCTCATGATCTGCCCACCTCGGCCTCCCAAAGTGCTGGGATTACAGGTGTGAGCCACCATGCCCGGCCCAGATACATATTTCTAAGGGCCTAACAGACATCTAAAAGACACTGCAAACTCCAAATGTCCAACGATCAACCTACTCCCACTCTCACAACATCAACCTGCATTCCTCCTGTGTTCTCTAGCCTACAAAATTTAATGACACATGATCTACATGTTAGAGATCTAAAAGTCATCTCCAATTCTTCTTCCTTTCCTGATTCCCCAAATCTCACAACCACCAAGTCCTGAAATTGTACTTCTACTTCATACCTGCTTCACCTTCTCACTGCCACTAATCTTTTTGAAACCTCGGGCATCATCTCTGGTTCAGTGAATGCTGCAATGGTATACTAACTAGTCTCATTGCCTCTGCCTAATATACTGGCCCGCCTTAATCCATCTTCTACATATTATGATTCAAACCTATTACTTTTTTTTTTTAATTTAAAAATCTCAACAGCAACACAGGATAGAAGACCAAATTTGTGTTGGTACACCAAACAGGGCTATTGCAAATGTCGATGTAATATGAGCACTGCTCATCCCCTCCTTGGGTCAGGATGCAAGAAATTTATAACCAGACTTAAGCCAATAGCTACCAACATCACTTCCAATTGACAAGTCCAATGCCTAACAAAGAACAGACCACGTTTCTTTAGACCATGCCCCTTCAGTATGCAATGTACTTTTTCCTTGGTCATGCTCTGATGTATCCCAGTGTTCCATAGTCAGCTTGGAGTTGCTAATGTTTTCCTTAGGGACTCTCTTCCCTCAGTTTGTATTCTCAACATGTAGCTCAGCGCAGTACGTAATTTGCACTGAATAATAATCATCATCACGTTAATTGTTGAATTAAATTATATTTGGTGTTAAAAAATATTTGAAACAAGAAATATTTAAAAAGGCAATATAAATTAAAACAACTTCAAAAATAAAATGTACTATTTATTTAGAAGCCTAGTTTTAAGTATACTACCTAGAAGGCTGCTTACCTGCAAGTTATTTCTTTCTTGTAATCTAATGAAAAAAATTTTCTAACAGAATTTCTTTCTTGTTGATTAGCACTTAAGCTCTTAATTAAATGTTATACTAGTGTTTCTTATCCAATAAACCATTTCCCAGAATTTCATAAAAACTAAGAATTTTTAAGTACTTATGTTCTGAGATCTAGATAATTTTATTGTCTTTGGTCTCTAAGGTGAATTTCCAAATGTGAATATTTAAGTCTCTAAAAATGATTATTATGTTTAGGAAGCAGCATTTCCAATATAACCAAGCTCATATGGGAAATGAAGAAAACAGAAGCATTAAGAAAAATAACCAACTGCTACCTTTAGTATCTTTAATGTAATTTTGCACCTCATAAATCTGAGGGCTCTTCTCTCTGCCCCACTTACACATCCATCACTCCTCAGAGTATTTTCACCACAATGCCTGTTGCTCACTTTTTAAAAACAAGAGATTTTTGCAGTCTGCCTGAGCCCATTTATTTCATTGCACCATCCCTCTTGTAACTCTCAAAATATGGCATTATTAATATTTAACCATCCCTTCACATAGTTTGACAGTATGCACCTTAGAAAAATTTTATTAGCTCTTTCCCCTCTTTTCCCTAATTATCCCTAAGGTATTGGGCAAATATCAAAAGAAACAATTCTCTAGACTTGCTTGACAACTTTGGTATGTGTTGATTACATATTACAGGTTTATCTGTATATCAAAATCCCTCAACAATTTCTCTTAGAGAGAAATGTCTGGTGATAACAGGAAATCTGAAACAGGGAGCACAGATTGAAGTGAAAAGGACCTGAAATTGAGGTCTGATCATGGGTAACTTAAGAGAAACACATTTTAAAATTTTTCATTTGATTTGATGTTATATACAAATAATAATGTTATGGTTAATAGTAATTATATGCATGTGTATGAAAGAGAGAGAAACCAGAATTTATTATTTGAATAAAATAACATTGGAATTGCTTTCCATCATTTGCCAGAAGACCACCATAGCGTATTTTTAATTACACAGAAAAAAAGAGCTTCAAATAGACAGTAAGATTATCCCCAAATCTGAAGCATTTAAAATGGCCAGCACCATTATTTTCTACTGCCACCAGTTCAAGTTTTTCTTCCATTTATGATACAGAATTTTAAATGTATCCTAATTTTTTAAATCCACAGAGCATATGGTTAAAAAAAATCAGCAGAAGCAAATGTTAAAATAACATTTAGCCAGAAATATCCCACATTCATATTCAAAGAGAACTTCAAATATTGCTTTATATATAACAGCCTAATTCTGAATTATTGAAATTAACTATAAAAAGTGTGCCGGTTTGTTGAGGCCACAAAGTCAATCTTTTCCTCGTTCATAACCTGTACAAACAAGTGGCAAAATATAAAGGAGCAATGACCGCTTTCTTTACTCATTTTTAAAAACTGCTAAGAGTAGCTGATTCTATGTACTGAATTACTACAAAAGATGTAAAGCCTACAAAGAAGGGATATTTAAGAGCTTATATTTTACAAATAAAAATTTTAAACCTGTGCACATTTGCCTTCATTCCTAAAATATCACACCACCAAATATGTTTAATTCTAAATTTCAAAGTATATCTTATCTAAATGAAAGAAATAAAACTGCTTAGTATGTAAAGAACTTTTAATAGGTGCCAACATTTCAAATGGTATAGTTTCTTTCTCACACTTGTTTAAAAGACAGCAAAACTGTCTTTAGAATCACTTTTTTAATTACTTGTCAATTATGTTAGTAACCCGTCTCTATAGGACTTGAGCATTTTCAGGCTGCTTGTGTATGCAATATCTCATTTAATTGTCTTGGCAAATCATTCTTAAATGCTGGTGTTATTAAGTTAGATTTAATCCCTGAAAACAGTTGTGGACTGACAGAAGACCTAAGGTATGCACACTTGTTAATAAACTTACCTTACTGAGGTTTTTCTACTCTGTCAATCCACTTAAAGTTTTAAAAATATGTATGGACATACACACGTATATATGTGTATTTGCATATACATAAAATACTATCTATTAAATAGAATACTATATAGTGACACAAACTAGGAAAGTTATCTAATTATACGATGTTAATATTTTGGACTCTCAAGGAAAAGGTAGTAACATAGTATTTTTTCACAAAGTGCTGCCACTTTTACTTAATTGACATTGAGGTCAATTGCCTTTTTCTTTCAACTCTGTAAACAACACTACGCAATCGTTTACATGTTTCAGTGCACATACAAAAAAATGAATCCTGTGTAAGCTACATGGTTGGCCATCACAGCCCATTCCTAGTTTACTGGAAAGCAACTGTATGAAAGCCTTGGGAACAGTCGTGGTACTGCTCACAGATAGTTCATGAAAAGAAAGACTGGTTGACACAGTTAGTGACACAGTGCTTGATGCACACTGTAAGCCTTAAGTAAATGTGGAGGCGATATAATAGAACAAAGTTTGTTCCCCATGGAAAGCAGCTGACCTGCTTTTTGAAACACTACCACAGACAGCTCTTTTAATAGAAATAATGGACCGTTGTCATTTTAATAACAATAAAATGTTACTTTTTTGAAATACTGAAATTCTGATTTTTTTCCCAAAATGTTATGTATACTTACGTTAGAAATGCTTATGTCCATACATATAAGACATTAAATGAGATCAACAAATTGCATGATTTGCCTAAGATATGTTTCATTTTACCCATTTAAATCTCCAATTTAAAGTTATAAATAGCTTGAAGACATGTGCTAGGAAATTCTTGGAAACTTGCATCTATATTGAGAAATAGGGAAATCAAGAGAAACCTTAAGAGGTGCTTTATATAATGATACTCCAGAGAATATGTAAATTATATAGTTTGTTATGAGCACTATTGTAAAAATTATTTGTAAAATTTCTCAATGCATTATTGTTTATGAATATATACTCCTATATATACTAAATTTTAGCACAATAATAATTTCCATATGTTATGTTTTTGTAAAAATTTACTATGTGTAAACCCTAGAAAGAAGAGTATTTTATTGTTAGTTTTATCAATGTTGGAGAAATAACAGAAAGATGTCTACACAGTCAGTTTGTTGTGAAGAAAACAACTGTAAAGCTCTTATCTATTGTCAAAATGAACCACCTACTTTATATTCAAATTTTATGTATATTTATTAAATTAAATTAATGAAAGCCATGGGAGGGGGAGATAATAAAGGCACATTTCATTTCCCTTTAATAAACCATAATATGCTTAGATTCTTGTATTTTCTTACATTTTTTTCAAAAATTATATCCATTTCAGTCTGCTTAATTTTCATTCAAATGCCAATCCAAATAGCTACACATATAGCTATGTGTAACATTAATAAATTTAACATAATATTACTACTTACGTGGAAAAATATATCTATTGTTGCATATTTTAAAACATACATCTGTGGAATAGTAAATGTTATATGGTTAAGCCGATGAGAACAAAATTAAAGACTTGAGAAAAGTTTATTAATGTTCACTGTTTCAGGTTTTATTTTACATTTAATATTTTATCTCATAATTGATCATATGGCACATTTCCTTGTGTATGTAAAATGTAAACAGAAACTGCTGACTTCAAGTGAGAATAATTATGTCACTTATAATGCATGGAACAGATATCCATTACAATATCCTGACATACAAAATTTCTCCTTTATAGCCTTAAATACAAATTTCTCTAATAACAGGAAAAAAAAATATCCTAAGTAATTAAAGCCAAAAGTACTATACTTCTATGAGAATTTATGCTTATTTCCTGTGGATATCCACAATTCTTAGTTTTATATTTATACCATTGTACACTTTATATTAAAATCCCTGTATACCAATAGGCTCTCAGCCAATTATTGTAGACTGACTGGCATTTTGATGTGACTGAGATAAAAGTTTGATATTAACAGTTATAACTATATATTTTTTAATTGCATTTGTAAATAGATTCTAAAATTAAGGACAAATTTAAATTACCATTATAATACTGGCTATCACACATGTAATTCTAAATATTAAAATAGAAGTCTTTTAACATGTGACAAGAAATTATTTCTAGAAAAACGGACAACTACCCTTTTTGAAAGCTACATTTTAAAAATACCAATACGACATGTGCATACTATAGCATAAAAATGATATATTTTCCATTTATATATCAACCAATACACATTATGTGGCTGCTACCATATCATGTATTTATGTTTCACACCTTAGGGAGACAAACATTTCCAAAAGAAACACCTAACCCAGAGAAATAATCATATCAAAATTTCCTTGTCTGAAAAACATCTATTTTAGTGTTAACTCTTAGAACAGGTTAACTACTACTTTAATCCAAAAGAAAATTTATATTAGAATGTATGTTAAACAGGAGAGCAAAAAATGAAAGAAGATACTTAACTGACACATCATTTGTTTTACCATAATAGAATTTAAGCCCTTCACACAAATGTAAACACTCTATATTTTTAAAAAAAAACTTTGAACTACTAATTCTAATTGAAGTCCAACTCCAATTAGTGCATAATTAATTTTATAGTGTGTGATGGCATGCTCTTCCTCTTCAGCTGATAAAAACTTCTTACATTACTTTTTCTGTGAAAAATGAAACTGGCAAAAAAAAAAACCCAAAAATATTTACTAATGATTCCGAGAGAAATTTACATACAGAAGCATAATAATTTGCCTTTATTGACACTACAGTCTTTGCACTCAGTTTTTATAAATTTGAAATTTTCCCCCAAAGATTTGAGATTTGTCCTGATTAAACAGTGCATATGAATTCTTTTCTCGAAAGAAAAGCAAATGGCACATCTTTATGAAAAATATTGCATTTTTTAATTTCATAAAGTTTATTCAGAAATCTAACATGAAGTACAAATGTCAACCATCAGTTCTTTCCTCAGAAGACAGTGTTACTAACTTTTCAAATGAAAAACTGAAGATGCAGAAGGCTTCCAAAAATATTGTTAAGATTACCTACAGGAGATTGACTTCGCTCCACAAAACCTTTTATTAAGTATTTCATTCATTAAATAATCAATGTCTTATATAATTTGAAAATATCTTGAATTTTCATCGTTAAAAAAAATTTCAGATCCTTCCAAAGAAAAGAAATTGTGATGTCCTACTTCCCATTTTAACCCACTATATATACTCTTTCTTGTGTCTAGTAAATTTCTGACCATGAAAATTGATTTACTTATAATTTTAGGAAAGCATTATTGCAGATGTTCTTCTTAACAATAAGGATTTTTACATTAATATTTTACCACAGTATGTTGAGGAATAAAAGGTTGTATTTTGTTGTAGTTTTCCCCAATGGTATGATGATGTATCCCCTCCCATGATAAAAATATTGATAAATTGTCAGTTAAAAACAACACTGTAAAAATGAGTAATCGGAACACATTTAGGAAGTGATTGTTTTTTAAAGAGCCACTTATTTATTTGACACAGAATGCAAGCGACTCATTTGAGTTCTCACTTTACAGGCCAAGCAACAAACAGACTTAAAAAATTAAATGGAAGTGTGATGCCTTAATAAGAGTAAATAATTCTGAAGCATCCTTAGGGTGATTCTTACTCTTTTTATGTTTAAAAATATCTGACTGGAACATCCTGCCAATTAAACGAAGATCTCCAGATGGCATTTACCCTTTTGCTTCATAACAAAAAGGATCTGCAATCAGTTTTATGGAAGATTATCTAAAGAGGAACATTACTGTAACTCAATGACAACAAAAATTAGACACTCCCCTTCTCCGGGATAGAATGTGCATCCTCCAGATTCTTGCACTGACACCTAAGGTAATAAATACTTAAAACTGAATCTTAAATAATAGCCGCAGGATTTCAACCGCTAAAGATTCACTGTTACTTTCCACCAAAAACTCCTGTATTCAGCACTCAGCCAACAAAGGACAGCAAGTAATTCCCAGCAGCATAAATACCGGGAAAGCTACCTTGGGCTTTGTTTTTGTTATGTAAAATGCATTAAAGTGACTCATCCACTTAAGATTACCTACCTTTAGAAGCTTTAAAGAAGCTCCAAGAACCAAAATAAATGCTTTCCCAGAATGCCGGATAGGCTATTCGGTGCATTAAAAAATATGTATATATTTATATGTGCCATTGAGTTTGATTCTATTTTGCTAAGAAAGGAGAGAATTATTATTTTTCATTCCCTTCCTGTGGTGTGACTATAGCTACCTATAAGCCCTCTATTTCCAGAACAGCAGCGAGGTTTTTAAAAGTTATTTTAGAAATGGTAAAAATAAAAGAAAATTTGTAGGAGACTGGAAATAGTCCCTCCTTCAAAGAATAGGCTCTATTCATTTGAAGAACAGGGACCGCGTGTCTGCCGACACTTAGATGTTTCAAATAATGGGTTGGGGAGGTTGGATCGCGTGGTCCCAGTACCTGCGAGCCCCCTGCGTGGACAGCACGCTCGGCCGCGGGGAGCCAGCACGCGTCTAATCGGAAGGCTGTCAAGTGCATCCAGTAACGTGGGATAAAACGAGTTTGGGCACTACAGCAATTAAAGAGCATCTCCGAGGCCAAGTGCGGGGGAAGTCCACGCTACCTCGGCAAGCCTGAAATTACCTGTTTGTAAATTACCCAACCAAAACATAACTTTTTATTGAACTGGGTTGAATCAGAGCGGGTGAGCTGGCTGGAAACTTTTTTCCCCAGTACGGCTGCACTCTGAAGTCTAGAGAATCCCGTTAGAGACGGGCTGAGACGCCGCGAGTCGTCGGCGGGCGCTTCCCGGGACAGTCGGCCCCCAGTGCCCGGCCCCGTGGAGGCGCCCGAGACGCCGGTTCGGGACGCATTCCAGCGGCGAGCGGCGCGCACCGCCTGCCCGGCGTCTCCGCATCCGAGCCTGGCTCCCCGGCCGCTCGCTCCCCACCCCCACGGGCGGAAAAGCCCCGCGACTCGGGAACCGACCCCCACCCCCAACTCCCGCGGCGCCCCTCGGCCGGCGCTCCCTGCCCGGCCCGCCGACTTACGTGACGGCCGAAGGGAACGGCTCCTCCGACGAGGGGCCGATGAGCAAAGATTGGAAAAGTGTCAGAGTCAAGGCCAGCAGGCAGCCAGCAGCCATCTTCGCGATCGAAGATCAATGCCCCCTCCCTGCCCAAGCGGGGGAAGGAGCGGCGCTGGAAACCGCGGGCGGAGGAAGAGCAGCACACGCCGCCGGGACCGCGGGCGTCTGGAGGGCTGGCTGCGCCCGGGGCCCGAGGCGCGGAGCCGCGCGGGGGACGGCAAGGGCGGGAGCGGACGCCGAGGAAGGGGCGGTGGCGGGCGGACCCACTAGCGTGCGTCGGCTGCTCCGCGCCGCGGCCGCCTTGCCTCCGCCGCCATCAAGGGCGACTTTGGAAACAGACCTCGGCGAGCCCGCCGGCGCTCGCGCGCTCTCGCTCTCCCTCTCGGTTTCCTCCCTGATTTATTCCCCCGATTGCCGAGGCGAAGGCGGAGGCGGGGGCGGGGGCGGAGGAGGGGTGACGGCGCTGGAGGGTGGGGGTGGCTGCAGGAATCGGGGAATGGCAGGCAGAGAGACTTGTGGAAGCGAGAGGCTCCGTCTGGCTTCTTAGGCAAGTCAGAGGGAGGCGGCTGGGGGTGGGCAGCGGGAGGGCTGGGCGTCAGAGCAGTCGGGCGGAGACGGGCCGGGAGCAGCCCTCCATACAAGGCAGCCAGGAACTCCCAAAGTCGGCGCCGGCTCGCTCCCGCCGCCCGGCGTGCGCAGGCGGAGCGGACCAGCCCCGCGGGGCTCCCGGGGGACGGCCAGCCGCCCAGCGGGCATCCACAGGCTGCAGAGGCTCCAACCCAGGACTTGGCTCGCGTCTTCGGGGGTTATTTTTGCACATGCAGGCAGCGTTCCCCCCCAGCCCTACTCCCAGGCGCAGAATCCAGTGCCTGCCTGGGAATCGTGAAGTGATTTGACAACAAATGTAGGAGGGGTTTGTATTGCATTTTAAAGCACCACTGTTGACTCTCTACCAGGTGGCACTATATGCCCGCGTGTGCCATAGGTTAGAGCCTCTGCCGGGGCTGGGTGCCCTTTGTGCCAGCGGTCCCACGCCCAGGTACTGCTCGGCTCACCTGGCGAGGACAGAGCCTCAGGGACCGGGCTGTGGACGGACAGAGAAGTACTGACGCTGTAAAATCTTCCCAGCCCTGTGGTTCCATTGGACAGAGGGGTGGAGGGACGAATTCTGCATCTAGGGAGGACAGTAGTAAGAGAAGCGCTTTGCAGCATCCCAGTTGGGACTACCTCCAAAAGGGTCCTAACGCCCTGCTCTGGCCACTGGCCTGCCCTGCCTGACAAGGTTACCGCAGGGTGAGCTCACTTTTGTCAATGCGAAGGCATGAAAAGGGTAAGCAGCAGGAACAGGTGGCACTCTGAGAAATGCGCCTGAAATGTAGAGGAGGAATTAAGGGAGGGGGAGAGAGCTAGGGAGTAGCAATGCCGGACTGGTTTTATCTCCAGACTCAGAGGAAGCAGTGGCGGGCTTTCTCCTTGAAAAGACAGGGTCTGCGACTAGGCCTCTCCCGCCCAACACAGGCCTCCTACAAGAGGGCCCTGGTGGGCCAAAGATAGAAATATATTCTTGCACACCTTAAATTCTTAAGCTCCCTCTAGTAGTGTATGAGAATACTTTTGACATGACGTGCAGAGAATACAATTTGTGATGACTATCCTGCATATGCAAAAATTCTGTAAGTATCGGGGTGGCTGTCAGATTTTTAATTAGCCCGTTCTTATTTTTAGGAGATGCTTCTGAAAGAAAAAGACCCTTATTAATTCGAAATGAATTTTCCAGCTCTCTGAAGGCAATCTCCCAAAACAAAGACTAATAATAATACTACTACTATTAATTACTGGCCAAATTTTAAGAGCGTGTGTGATTTTATGATGCTTAGCCTGGTGAATTTATTTTTCCTTCCCACTTATTTCTCCTTTTTTTAATGCCTTATTTGTTTTCTTTATGTTCTTCGCATCTCTGTCTTGCTCTTTGTTTCTTTCTACTCTGAGTGGCCTCACAAAAGGCACCCCACCGTGACTTAACTTAGTTTGTTTTATGCTAGGCATGGATACTGTGGCAGCAGGAGCTGCGCAAATGAGGGATGAAGTGGGATGTAATGGGATTGAGAACTACAGCTCAGGAGGGATATTTTATATAACTGAAGATAGCATTCCACTCCAAAATTAGATAAGTAAATAGTCAAATCCATCATTTCTTCCATTTTTAATAATTCAAAAGCAGACTTTCTTCCCCAGCATGAGGACTAAGAAGAGCAGAATTAGAGATGCCCATTATTGTCTATGTGATATGTTGGTATCAATAGCCTCACTACCTAAAAATACCATTGTTATATATTCTGTCAATTATTTCAACATCAACTCCAGACTTCCCACTATGGTACACTGTTTCCAATTTTATATCTTTAGGAGAAAGGGCTTAAAGAATAAAAGAATGTAATAAGCTTGTAGAGAAGGTAAGTCAGCCTTTATTATTAACTTTGTTGGCCTTTGAGCCAAATCTCAATTTCTTTGGATCACTCTGTTGAAGCACTGAGTTCTCCAATATGTGAAGCTGTTGAGGAAAGATATTGCTTCTACAATTCTTACTGAAAGGGTTGGTTATCATCTGTGAGCCTAAATCATTGTTTAATACTCTGTTGCGAGGTTTGCTATTAATTGCTTTTTACCAATCTAAACCTTCTTATTGAGGATATTCAAAATGTGGTTTTTTTTTAAATGTATGACAGCTAAAAGAAGACCATTTCCATAACATAGCATTAGGTTTCTGTTGGATTAACTATACCCATAACAATGCATTTTTTCAGCTCAGTTCTGTTATTTTGGAAAATTCCCTTAAAATCAGATTATATCCCATTAATCTTAATAAAATTTTGCTTAATCACGATAAATTTGCTGTTCAACATGTTGACAAATCATAAGGATTGTTGTTAAGCTGTTATAGTAAATGATGTAAATGTGCAGTAAATACAGTTAATATATTACAGGTTATAAATGAGCAAGAAGTCGCAAATCAGTATCTACTATTCATTTAAGAAGAAATATTTTAATTAGTAAGTTAGTGAAGTATTGCAGGAGATTTTTGCATTTAATCATTTCTAGAACAAAGTTTAAAGAGATTTAATTCATGCAAATCACTGACCTTTACCTACAACAAACTTGCGATTGGCACCTTTTGGCTAAATCTCAGTTTTTAATTCATATATTTAATTTGTTCATATACATTTCATTTTTTAGTAACTAAAAGTGAATAAAGAACAATAAAAACTTGATTGCCATGAAATGTTTATTCTTCCTTTTTTTAGGTGATACTGTGAATGTTGGCAGCATAAAATTATGTTTTTGTTGTAGTTTTTATATGAGTATATGTATGTACAAACATTTTTCTGTGATTTTTTTCAGTAAATCAAATCTAATTTCTTCAACATTTTGCCTGAAAAAATGAGACAGAGTAACCTAATTGAAATTATTTAATCTTTCTCTCTTTTTGTTCTCATGTACAAACAGGCAAACCCAAACACTGAAAAGGAAAATAATTATCCTTAGCCAAAAAAATTTAAAGGAAATAATTAACTTTCATATTACTTTCCACATCTTAAGAAAACTAAGGTGAAAACCTTGACAAAGGGCCTTATTTGCTTGTATGCATATAGGTGTATATGACTCATCTCTGAGATAGACATACTGTTAAGAGTCATAATCAGAAAAACTTGTGATTTGAGATGGTACTATGCTTCCATGCACACAAAGATGTGTGCCAGAGAAAGTGAAAAGTAAAGACAAATGGAAAGAAAGCTTCAACAATCTTACTTCTTTGGGGAATACTTTCAAGAGACAGGAATAAGAAAGCAAGCAATTCAGAAGTATCAATGCTCAGGAGAATGGTTAAAAGAGTGTGTAGTGATTTTTAAGTCAAGAGTTTATATTTGGCATTTTTAAAGTGAAGTGGCACATTGAAGCCTGCATAAAAAATAAAAAGCATAGAAAAGGAACTATCCTAAACTAATAAACAAGGTAAAATATTTTCTACAAACAAGACAACTATTTAGAAAAAAATTTGCCTTGACCCAAGTAATACAGCTATTGAAATGATAGGGCATTGAATTTCTGATGAAAGAAATACCTTTTCTAAAGAGATGCATAGTAACATTAAACAAGTATTTATTGGAAGTTTATTATTTGTCCATCAGAGTCCCCATATTGGCAAACTTATGCTAGTTTAAATATTTAGAAAAAAGTAGCTGTTATATTTTAAAATACCATCATGTCTTCAAGCAATAACTTCAATATTATTTTATTTTGAATCTCTAATCATAGAATTTTTCTTTCAATTTCTTTTTCTTGTTTTATTTTACTCTTTCTCTCCCGTTTCCTCCATTAAACAAACACATTCAGAAAAAATCAGGGCCTACAACATGACTTCCTATTTAAACAAAACAAAACTATTCATCTCTAAAATCTGAATTTCATAGCAAGATCTTTCTTCACCCCATAGAGTTGGAGTCGTGTTTTTTTGTTGTTGTTGTTTGACTGTGACAGCACAAAAGTATATGGAATCCATTTATGTAGGCCTACATAGACTAAGGGAAGTAGAGAATTCAGTTATTTATCCAAATATTCACTAACAATGAAAATGCAATAGGAAGTAATTAATAAGCAGTAGATGGTGAAAACTGAAATAGGAAAAACTAATAACCCTTTACAGTTTTTTTAATTTTATGGATGCAGCCTGCCATGAGAGGGGAAGAGAAAGATCTATTTATATTATTCTTCTGATACTAGGGTTTTTATTTTGTTTTGTTTTGTTTTTAGACAGGGTCTCACTCTGTCGCCCAGGCTAGAGTGCAATGGCATGATCTCTGCTCACTGCAACCTCTGCCTTCCGGGTTCAAGTGATCTCATGCCTCAGCCCCCCAAGTAGCTGGGATTACAGGTGCCTGCCATAACACTCGGCTAATTTTTGTGTGTGTGTGTGTATTTTTGTATTTTTAGTAGAGACGGGGTTTCACCATGTTGGTCAGGCTGGTCTTGAACTCCTGACTTCAAGTGATCATCCCACCTCAGCCTCCCAAAGTGCTGGGATTACAGGCGTGAGACACCGCACCCAGCCAATACTAGGTTTTTTATATTCTTTAAACACAGTAAAACACCTTTGTAAGCTAGCATTTTTCTATAAAATTTGGATATGTTTTGGATCAAACTGACTTCCTGAATAATATAACTCATTATAGTAGGCTACAGATAACATAGTCTATTAGATGAGTGTCCATAGAAGCACCACAATATGATGTTGCTAGGGGTTTCTCCCTCTGAAGTAATGAGCATGGGAGAGAAAATAAGACAGCAGTTGGCCAGATGCGGTGGCTCACCCCTGTAATCCCAGCACTTTGGGAGACCGAGGCAGGCAGATCACGAGGTCAGGAGATCGAGACCACGGTGAAACCCTGTCTCTACTAAAAATACAAAAAATTAGCTGGGCGTGGTGGCGGGTGCCTGTAGTCCCAGTACTCTGGAGGCTGGGGCAGGAGAATGGCATGAACCCGGGAGGTGGAGCTTGCAGTGAGCTGAGATCACGACACTGCACTCCAGCCTGGGCAACAGAGTGAGACTCTGTCTCAAAAAACAACAACAAAAAAGACAGCATTTTATTTTTGTGGCCACATATTTTAGAATGATAGAATTTAAATGCCTACCATTATCACAAAGAATACATGACTGGATGGACATACTAGTGAACTTACAATTAAAATACTATATTCTTTTGATAGGTGAATAAAATAGAGATCATGTTGTCTATCACACATGGGAGATACAAACTTTTTAAGTTTTGCATTTGGGAATATTTGACAATCAACATACAGCAAATATTATCCAGTCATAGTATTTTCTTCAAGATGTAGAAGGTAGTGGAGTATAATTCCTAAGGATTCCTGGTAATTTAGGAAAAAAAAAATACTGTGATACCTAATCACCTGAAGAATATTGTTGTTATCTATCTCATGCTTTATCACGTTTTTGTAATCAAATTAATAGTATTTCAACATTTCATGCCTTTAAAATTAAGGACAGGGATTTTAAACCATTTTGTTGTAAGGATAGCTTGTGTTGTATAGTTGGAATTCATATATATTGATTTTCTTTTTCTTATCCACAATTCTTGAAGTTTTACTCTAGGGTGACCCATTCTTTAATAATACAGTTCTCTGAGAATGTCCATAGCTATCTAGAAAAAAAGAATTGATTTAATAAATTTGCCAACCTGGGTAAAGATGATCCAAACAAAAACAGTAAACTGGGTCTTGAGTTTCAAGTGGAGTGTTTTTATTACGTGGGTGTTGCTACAAGCCTTTCTGTTACACAGAGATTAATCTATCTTTTGCCAAGATGTTCACTTTTGTGGATATATTTTATACTATCAAGATACTGGCAGATTAATATTCAGTTAGTTTAAACCAAACAACCAAATGCATAACTTTAAAATGTCACCTAACTCCAAAGAGAGGATATTTATTATATTGAATAACATTTAATCATTTAGCTGTCATTAATAATGATCTTAACTTTAATTGTATCATTTCACATATGATTAGCAGTCATTATTTGTAACAAGGGCAAGCATGTTTTGGCTGGGAAGACTGTGTGTATATTCAGTCACCTTTGTGTTTTTCTCTGTTAGTATCAGAAAATTCCTCATATTCAAGACCTAATGCTTTCCAGATGACTTGAGTACTTTCAGATTTCGTATGTTTTAGATTAAATATACATTTCCTTTAAATTTCATTTATATTTCTCAAAATATATAAAACTTTCCCCTTTCAGCAACAACAATACTTATCAAAAATGAGCTGTCACGGTAAACCTAGTTACAACACCATATCCACACCTCAATTAAAGCCTTGACATCAATGTTCAGGAACAGAACCCAGTTCTGCTGTTTCTCCTTTTCTTCCCAGTTAACCAGCCAACTCACTCCACCCCTTCTCCACCCCTTCTTTTTATCTTTTTCTTCTTCAACAGGCAATAGTTGATTGTCTTTAACATATTACCATAGAAGAGACTTCTTTTTTTTGGTTTTTTTTTTTTAAGTAGTAAAGAGAAAAGGAAGTAGAAAAGTAGGGAAAGCAAAGAGAAATTATCTAGAGGAGAGAAAAATGGAAACATGAAGGAGGGAACAATATGAAACAAAGGATGACTTTGTTCATATAACACAGACAAACACAATGCAAAGAAGAAAGAAACCAGAGATGGAAATGTCAAGGCCAAAATTGCTTGAAAGAAACTGGAAGCATAAATGAGACAAAAGAGTAGGGCAACTCAATTTACTTCAGTATTCAATCAACTGAAATTTTTATTGCTAAGCAAATACATAATCTTCAAATCTCATGATTTTACAAGAAATATAAATAATCATTCAACGTTTTTGTTCTAATTTAAAAGTAAAACAGGTTACATGACGTTAATATTTAACACACCTCCTTTGTATGTGTGGCGGGGGGAGGGGGCATGATTTACGCTCACTGCAGCCTTGACCTCCTGTGCTCAAGCCATCCCCTCGCCTCAACCTCTCGAGTAGCTGAGACTACAGGCATACGCCACTATGCCCAGCTAATTTTTGGTTTGTTCTGTAGAGACTGGGTTTTGCCATGTTGGCCAGGCTGGTCTCAAACTCCAGGCTTCAAGTGATCCACCTGCCTTGGTCCCCCAAAGTGCTAGGATTACAGGTGTGAGTCACCATGCCTGGCCTTTAAGCACTTTTTTAAGTAAAAAAGTAAATGATATTTAAAGCATTACATAGATCCAACTACTGTAACATAAGTTTGCAAATTCCCTATGCGTTCAATGTTAGTTGCAAATCTATATCACTTGACATGTAGAATATTTATATGAACTAGGAAAAACATCATACTCTATTACATATCAAGTGCTGATTTGTATATAACAATTTTTTAAATACATTACTCGTGAACTTTAACCTACATTTTTATAATTTTCAACTTTCAGAATCACTTTTGTCTCCCTATACCTTCTTCAGAAAAATTCATAAACAATAGGAAAGTGTAAATGGAATTACAAGAAAGGGCAACAGTGACTTAGCTGCTTCAATGATTTTGTTCTCACCTGAAAAACTGTTCACATTTAAAAATGTTCAGGATCCCCAGACTGTGTCATCTGTCTTGGGCTCCTTCCCATGTCTTATATCAGTTTGTTCTTAATAAGAAAACTTGAACTTATTCATGTATTAGGCTTGTGTCAAATACTCAAATTACTGATCTCAGATTTTCTCTTGGCTCTTAAAATTAATCATTACACAAACTCCTCTGTAACTAAGGATAACTATGTTAACATACAGTGGTGTGTTAGACACAGGCATATCTCTTAGCTATGGTATTTATCAAAGAGCAGACCTAGGATGTTAGCCCAGGCACACTTCCTTGGGTAGCCTGACTGTTAACCTCTGTGCCATATGGTCTTTCTGCTCTGAATATTTAGTAGTTCAGACATTTAGGCAGAGTTACTCAGTCTTCCTGAGCCTCAGTTTTTAATTTTTTTTAAATGGGAATAATGCTGTGATACAGTTTTTTTAATTTGTTCTTTTTAACAGCTTTATTGTTTTTTATATATAATTAACATATTATATATCAATTCACCCATTTAAAGTGTACATTCTAATGCCTTTTAATATTATAGAAAGATTTTCACTCCTATTTGAAAAGATCAACCATTAAATATTTGAACTGGGATTGGATTTGATGAGACCTACATGTATTGGCTATATAGACATGTGCCAAATAGAAATTCAATTTAACATTAATGTTAGACAAACTTTAATGACTTTGACCCTTAAGTCTTTCTAATTCCTAATGACAGGGTTTTTCCATATATAAAACCTTAGTCTCTCTTCTCCACATTGTCCATCTTGAGCACGTAATCACTATTTAAAAACTTGTATTTAAACTTACATGAAAAAAATACTAATCATTAGATCCCACATGATAGATTCATATAAACATAAAATTATAATTTAGATTGGCACATGTACCTATGTTTTTATTTGTGCCATTTTTATCATTTATGTATATATATGGAGTTTATGTTGTCATCTTTTTACTTGTGCAATGAAAATAGTATTTATGACATTGAAGTATGTGAAGCTGTAAATGGCATTTGTATTCATAAGATACATCGACTGTGTTTCTACATTTAATCACTGGCTAGAGCTATTTATTGCTTCGTGTACTGTTCTTCCATAAACAGCAGTACCTCAGTAGGACACCTTCATCTACTGACTCTTTTTCCCTTTCAGTGTAGATCAGAAAAACAGAAACATTTTATAGAAATAAAATATTGTCACCTTAATCAAGTAAATAAGCTTTAAAAATCTAAATATGGAAATACCAGGAAAATCAAATCAATAAAATCTATAACTAAATACATTTCATTGTGGCATTTTCTATTAGATCCTCACATATACAGATAGGTGAAGAATGTGTCATTTTATTTCTCAATGAGATATTAAAACAACTACCTGATTTTTGTGCTTTCTCTCAAGAGAATTCTTTAAAATTTAAGTAAAATAAATTTTAAAAACTACAATAGTAACAGTAATCCACAGGCAATCAACAACTTATAAGATCTGTTTCAAATGACTATTTTTATATCTGTGTTTTGAGACATATGATGTATTTTCTCATGTAGATTTTAATTAGGAACCTGAGCATGCATTTAAATTTCTACTTAGTTTCAGTCACTGGTTCTAGAATCACCACCTGTAGTCATGGTGTCTAGTGGACTTCAAATAATATGTAAATTAATAACCTTGGAAATATCACTTGATTGATGTGGGCTGGCGGTCATTTATTTTCATTAATAGCATAAGGGTGATTTACTGTATTTCACTGAGAAAAAAAAAGCCAAGTCTGTTTCACACATGTAGCACATTTGTAAATGCATAGCGGAAACCTAAAGAACTCATCATATTGCCTGATGCAAACTAGAAATTTAGTTGTGTATCTTCCTTTTTTTTTTTTTTTTTTTTTTGAGACAGAATCTTGCTCTATTGCCCAGGTTGGAGTGCCGTGGCATGATTTTGGCTCACTGCAACCTCTGCCTCCCGCGGGTTCAAGCAATTCTCCCACCTCGGCCTCTCAAGTAGCTGGTTTTACAGTTACCTGCCACCATACTCAGCTAATTTTTGTATTTTTAGTAGAAACAGGGTTCTGCCATGTTGGCCAGGCTGGTCTTGAACTCCTGGCCTCAAGTGATCCACCCATCTTGGTATCCCAAAGTGCTGGGATTATAGGCGTGAGCCACCATACCAAGCCTTCGTTGTATGTCTTTATTCATTCATTTATACATTTACTCTTTCAGTCAGCCACCTATTCACTTTGGATTAATTATATAGTCATTTGTTGCTAACTTACTAAGAGCCAAACATTATGATAGGAATCATGTGCTTCATAAAGTTATATATATATATTTGTACTTACTACCCACAAATTGGGTTACATTTGTGTGTTTGTATATTATATATAAATGTTATATGAGACAACTTATTTTCCAGTCTTAGGATGTGATGCCCTTTGCTATTTAAAAAAATGTTTTAAACTTGAAACTTGTGTCTAGAATTCCAAGTCAAGAACCCTTGTAAGTTACATTGCTTGGGAGAATGTAAAATGGGATAGCTGCTTTGGAATAGCTTAAATGTAGAGTTATCATTTGACTCAGCAACTGAACTCCTCGATATTGACCCAGGAAAGAGAAAAACACGGGTTTACACAAAAACATGTACATGAAATGTTAATAGTGGCAATATTCATAATAGTAGAAACAGGCCAAATGTTCATCAGTTGATGAGCAGATGAATAAAATTGGTGTATTCATTCAATAGAATATTATTTGTCAATAAAAATGAGTAAGTTACTGATACATGCTACAACATGAATAAACCTTCGAAACATGTCAAGTGAAAGAAGCCACTCATGAAAGATCACATATTGTATAATTCTATTTATATGAAATATCCAAATTAGGCAAATCCATAGAGAAGAAAGTCAATGAGTGTTTGCCTAGGACGGGAGTAAGGTGTTAGGGGAAATGGGGAGTAACTGCTAATAGGTATGGGGTTTCTTTTGGGAGTAATAATATGTTCTAAGATTGATAGTGGTGATGGTTGCATAACTTTGTAAATACACTAAAAGCCATTGAATCATACACTTTAAATGCATAGTGCAATTACTAGACTGCAAATCTAGACAATGTTGCCTTTATTCAAGTACCTGGGCCATAGTAGGCACACAATAAATATATAATGAAAGAAAAAAGGTAAGTAAACAAGCCAGAAGCATTACACACAAGAAAAATTAACCAAAATTTGGTATTGGATCTGTTTAAACTCAATATAACTGAAATGAATTCTAATTACCCTGCTAAGAGCCAAGATTGATTCCTGGGAGGGGTAGATTTGTAGAGATGGGGGCTTGTCTTCTTCTATTGTTTCAAAGGACATATTCAGCCCAGGAAAATGAGACAGAGGCTGGACTGAGTGCTGCTGGTAGAAGATGACAGGAAAAGGCTTTAGTTGTAACTTTGAAGCTACAGTCCCACTCATACATATTAGTGGTTCTCCAGCTTGAACATGCACCATAAACACCTGGAAGACCTGTGAAAACACAGATGACTAGTGCCCGAACCCTGAATCCCTGATTCAGTAGGTCTGGGTGGGGCCCAAGAATTTACATGTCTGATATATTTGAAAGTGATACTGATTCTGCTGGTAAACGGACTACACTTTAAGAACCACTTGCATATATGTATGTTATTAATAAAATAAATGTTTACGAATGGGATATGATGGGAGGTGAGCTAGAAAAAAGGAGAAAAATATATAAAAGGAAATAATACACTGAAAACAAATTTGTAATTCAATAAACAAACTCAGAGCAAAGCTTCTAACACTGCAGATCATCTTGGCACATGGTGGGAACGGGGATTCAGTGAAGTGAGCTTTAGCATCAGGTGTTCCTGTTAACACCACTTTCTGAGTTAAATCCCGTCAGGTCTGCTGCTCACTTTCATGTATAAAGGCCACTGATGCTGACATATACCAAAAATAGCTCCAGCAACATGAGAAGCAAAGTTGGAAGTCCCTCTTCAGTGTTAGAATCAGGGTGTCAAAGACCACATTCTTCCCAAGACATGTACCGTCAAGGCCATCTTCTTCCCCACTTGGTTTAAAACTCTATTATCAATGTTATTATGTTGGGTTGGTAATCTTATTATGTTGAATATTATGTTACTCTATTACCAACGTTATTTTATTGGGTGCATTCAAATGCACAAACCATCTGGGCAGAAGCATCTCTCCCATAAATACAAATATCCATTTGCCATTATCAAGTATCAGTTTATCACCTGGGAAGGAGATTTCCACGCTCTATTAAGCCAAAAGTTATTTTGGTTTGGGTAAGAAAATCAGTATAGATTTGATTTAATGCAAATATTTCACTCTAAAATGGAATGATTAAGATATTTTATTTAACTTACCACGCAAATCATTTAGCAAGAAAAAATAATCAGCAAGAAAATATTATGAGTACTTTAAAAACAGTCTTAGATGTTTCCAAGGCTACTTTATGAGATATTAAAAGACAATTTCATCCATTTTGATAATTTCCAGTAGGACTGAGCTTCATATGGGTTGCAGAATCCTTTCCGGGAACAAAAGCAAAAAATAAGCAAAACTATTTTAGTTAAAAATAGGAAATGGTTTTAGGGCTTTTTGGGCAGAAAAGTAATCTGGGTACTCCAAAGAAAATGTGGTATGGAAAGAAAAATAATTCAATACAGAAAGTGTAGAAGTGTAATTCAGTCTTCCTCTTCTTTTTATTTTTTACTTTTTTTTTTTTTTTTTTTGCCGTAGGGTCTCCCTGTGTTGCCCAGATTAGAGTGCAGTGTCACGAACACAGTTCATTGCAGCTTCAACCTCCTGTGCTCAAGGGATCCTCCGGCCTCAGGCCCTCAAGTAGCTGGGACTACAAGTGCGCAGCACCATGCCTGGCTAATTTTGGAGTATTGTTTTAGTAGAGACAGCGTTTCGCCATTTTGTTCAGGCAGTCTCAAACTCCTTAGCTCAAGAGATCCACCAGCCTCAGACTCCCAGAGTGCTGGGATTACAGGCATGAGCCACTGCGCTTAGCCCTTCTTCTTCTTTTAACTCTCTAAATTTCCCAAGGAAATCTGTATCATCTGGAGACAGATGCTTTAATTCTGTATTTCTGTTATGTCAACTAATATGCATAAACGGATAGGAGCACTAGTGCAAACACTGCCACTGGTAAATACATGAATTGGGTTACTGTAACATTTGTGATTTCCAATTAGAATTTTGTAAACGTAATGACTTTTGAAAACCATTTCCAAAGCCACATATATGCAATATTTTACTTTACAAGAAACATTGCATCATGACTGTAAATATTAGATAATTCTCTGTTAACTTTCAGAATCAGATTATGTGAACTGGCAAGCCAATTATTGGGTTTAAATTAAAGTATAATCAACATTATTAAACTACCTTGATACTGTTAAGGAAATCAAGCCTCTGAAATACATACCTACTTTAGTAATAATTTATAAAATGAAATAGGTTAATTCTTGTCATCATATGCTCAATATTTTCAAGTGTTATCACCCATAGAATTTGGTTCTAATTATACCACTCTTATATAAAACTGTTGCAAACAGTCATATGTTTTTACATTTTTTCTCATTAATACAAAAATAGTTCCATTCTTGGAGGTAATTTGACGAGATTAAATTCACACATGCTTTAATGTAACCAAGACCCTTAAAAATAAAAATGGATTGAGGATCATGCTAAATTATATCTAACAATGTATTTTACCTAGTACTTACCTTTAAAGGAATATTCAACAAACTGCTGAACAAAATAGGCAAATAATGTTTCTGTACCTAAATAACTACAAATTTTAGCACTGATTAATATAGTCTCAGAATGAATTATAAGCATTAACGCTATGGTTTTTATAAATTTTGGTATCTTAATAGGGGAAAAATGAACACATTCTACAGTATTAAAATTTTTTTTTAAGATTGAGATTTTTCTTCTGATTATATAAGTAATTCTTTATTAGGTTAGCATTGACTTATTTGACAAATAAACCCTTAAACATGAATGGTTTAACACAGAAAAAAAAAATAGGTTTTGCTTACTATAATGTAGTCCAATGCAGGCTTGCTTGACAGCAGGCAGATTTCTCCTAGTGGTAATTCAAGGACCCAGGCTCTTTCCTCCTTCTGGCTCCTCTGTCTCTAGGGCCTTAACGTTCTTTGCATCCAGATAAAAGGAGAATGGGGGACTGGACAAGGAATATCCACTTTTTAAATTGTTATTATTATACTTTAAGTTTTAGGGTACATGTGCACAACATGCAGGCTTCCTACATATGTATACATGTGCCACACCGGTGCACTGCACCCATCAGCTCGTCATCCACACTAGGTACATCTCCCAATGCCATCCCTAACTTCTTAATGGCTTGAAACCTGTCACTTCTACTCTCATTCTCTAGAGGTAAACTACTCAGTCATATAGCCTCACCTAGATGCAAATAGAGGTTGACAAATGAAGTTCCTGCCTAGGCAGTAACTTCCCATAAATTTGACGACTCTGCCACAGACTATCCTCTGACAACCAAATGTTGGTGCTTCTTTCTTCCCACACGTAGAACATTCTTCTTCCTTCTAAGCTAAGTTCCTATCCCATCTGTATTATGTTAGTCCATTCTCACATTGCTATAAAGAACTACCCAAGACAGGGTAATTTATAAAGAAAAAAGGTCTAATTGACTTGCAGTTCCACAGGGTATACAGGAAGCATGGCTGAGAAGGCTCATGAAACTTACAATCATGGTGGAAGGTGAAGGGGAAGCAAGCACATCTTACCAAAGTGCTATACAATCCCAGCACTTTGGGAGGCCGAGGCAGGAGGATTGTCTGAGCTTAGGAGTTCGAGACCAGCCTGGGCAACACGGTGAAACCCTGTCTCTACTAACATACAAAAAATTAGCCAGGCATCGTGTTGTGCGCCTGTAGTCCCAGCTACTCGGGAGGCTGAGGCAGAAGAATTGCTTGAACCCGGGAGGTGGGGGTTGCAGTGAGCCAAGATCGTGCCACTGCACTCCAGCCTGGGTGATGGAGTGAGACTCCGTCTCAAAAAAAACAAAACAAAACAGATCTTGTGAGAACTCATTCACTGTCTCAAGAACAGCAAGGGGGAAATCTACCCCCATGATCCAATCACCTCCCACCAAGCCCCTCCCCCAACAATGGTAATTATAATTGGACATGATTTATAATTTGAGTGGGGACATAGAGCCAAACCATATCACCATCATTTTATCCAGCTCCATGTCCAGGATCTCTACACAATGCACAGTTCTCTCTACTTCATTCACATAGGGCCCCGCATGTTCCTGTGATAGCTAAAGAACAAGTTTCCTGCCCATCCCCTTACTACACACCTGCAGTATAAAATTTGGACAGTGTAAGGATTGCTGCCACAATTCTCATTTGCAAAAGAACCAATGGTATATAAATACAAAATTTACTGTTTCTCAGCAATGACAAAATTTTGCTGTTCAGATGTGATGACGAAAACTTAATTTTGAAGAAGTTCTACAAAGCCTTGACTTATCTCTCTGAGATTAACTTTCTTATCTATTACCTTTGATGGCCTCTGGTTCCAATTTATGGGAGTTTTGTCTTTGTCTGTTATCCTCCGTGACTGCTTCTAAAGTGCACAGTGAAGAATATTCCCACTCTAGTGAGCAGAACAGTAGTCCCCTCATAAAAGTTTACATCTGAATCCTTAGTACCGGTGAATGTGTCATAATATAGCAAGGGAAAATTAGGATTGTAGATGAAATTAAGGTTGCTACCTGACCTTGAGATGGGAATATTATTCTGGATTATCTGGCTGGGGTGGGGGCCTGATATAATCAGAAGGTGGAAAAGAGAGGCAGGAAAGTCAGTGTAGAATGATGCAGCTTGAAAAAGACTGGACCTCCATCTCTGGCTTCTAAGATGAAAAGGTCACAAGCTAAGAAATGCAATGTTGTCTAGATGCTGTGAAAAGCAAGGAAACAGATTCTCTCCTAGAGCCTCCAGAAGGTATGCAGCCCTGCTGACATTTTGATTTTAGCTCAGTGAGACCTATTTTGGATTTCTGACCTCTGGAACTAAAAGATAATACATTTGAGTTGTTTTAAGTCACTATACTTTCAGTGATTTATAATAGCAGCAGCAATAGGAAACTAATGCAACCTCCTTGGAAGCTACACAGATTTTTGGATTATAATCTCTATTATTGCAAATTTGTGGGGATAGAGACATATATATGTGTGTGTGTGTGTGTGTGTGTGTGTGTGTGTGTGCGTGTGTGTATATATATATATAAAGTTGTAGTCTTTTTTTTAAGGCCAGACTCATGTTTTGTTTAGTTCTTAACAATAGGATTATCTTAAAATTTAAAGCAGGGATGTCCAATCTTTTGGCTTCCCTGGGCCACATTGGAAGAAGAAGAATTGTCTTCTTGGGCCACAGATAAAATACAGTAACAGTAACAATAGCTGATGAGCTAAAACAAAAAATCGCAAAAAAACTCATAATGTTTTTAAAAAGTTTATTCATTTGTGTTAGGCTGCATTCAAAGCCGTCCTGAGCCACATGCAGCCCACAGGCCATAGGTTAAACAGGCTTGATTTAGAGGCTTCTAATTACTTTTGTCAGTACCAACTTACAATAACTATACTCAAAAGTTTTTTCCTAGACGTAATACTCAACTTGTCTTCAGGATTTTTTTTCTTGCGATCCTCTCTCTCTCTCTCTTTAATATTAGCTGCTTTAGAACCATCTGAAAGTATAAGCTTATTTGGGAATGAAACCCTCTTAAACTGATGTTTATCATAGGCCTGAACTTTTCATCCCATTCTTACATGAGCCCTTCTCTTGTAACACTTCATTAAGTCAAACAAGAATGAAGCAACTCACAGCATCTTCATTATAGATTTTTTTAAATATCTCTTTCTTTATACAGAGTTATAGGTTTGGTAGTGATGTAGTTGGCTTATTAAGTTCTGCTGGTGACAATTTGACCAAATGTTTTGACACTCCATAACATGCATCCCTAACTTTCTAGTCTGTTACATCAATTTATTTGCAGACAGTCTCCTAACCATTGAACCAGTACCACATGCTTTAGGTTTTTGTTCTGGTAGCAGTCAGTTCAAAGAATTAATTTCTGTATGAGTTTGAGAATGTTAACTGTTGTTACAAATAAACCGATGTGTTTCAACGGCTCAACGAAATGGGCATTTACTTCTCACTCTATGAATAGTACGATGTGGAGATTCATCCAGATGTTTGTTATGCTAAAAGCATAGCAAAGTTTTCAATAGTTTCTCCATGCTGCAGGGACAAGGAGTAGAGTTCTGGAACTTTCATGAAAGACATACATTTAAGAACCCTAGAGTGGCCGACTGTAGCGGCTCACGCCTGTAATCCCAGCAATTTGAGGAGGGTTGATCACTTGAGACCAGGAGTTCAAGACCAGTTTGGCCAACATGGCAGAACACTGTCTTTTCTAAAAATACAAAGATTAGCCAGGCTTGGTGTCATGTGCCTGTAGTCCCAGCTACTTGGGAGACTGAGGCACAAGAATCACATGAACCCAGGAGGCAGAGATTGCAGTGAGCCGAGATCGTGCCACTGCACTGAAACACGGACAATATAATGAGACTGTCTCAAAAAATAAAATAAAATAAAATAAAATAAAAGCCCTATACTGTATGCCCTCAGCAAAGGGGAAATCCAAAAATAGACAAAATATTATCGAAACCTTAACCCAGAAGTCACTGCTCATGGAAAAAAGATTCCATCAATCCTGTGGCCCTAAGTTCCCTGAATCTCAGAGTGATCTGCAGAAGAGGGCAGAGAAGAGAAGAAATGCCTTCTTTGTAAGTGACTTTGCATAAAAGCAACTCACAGAATTTTTGCTCACATTTCAATGGAGGAAGTAGTCACATGGCGCTGTCTGTTTGCATGGGTTTGCCAAAGTCAATTCTATACTATGGGAAGAGAGCTACACTTCTGTTGTTCAACAGTTAGCTGTCTTTGCTGCTAATACATACTTATCATATACGGGAAATAATGTTTTTAAATTTTTCTTACTTATAAAGGATTTGCTTACTAGAACTATATCCTCAACCAAGATAGGAAACCAGTGCTTTTGAGGTAAGACGCTACCTCCTGGCAGGTGGAGTATCAAGCACAAAATGTTGATTAGTTAGAGAACTGAATGCTTGAATACGTGACCAAGATAAAGGTCAGGATCACAAACCTACCATTTACCAAGATCTGCAACAGACCCTAGGAAATAGCACACACACACAAGCACACACATGCACACGCACATGTACACCTAGTACAATGTTCCCTATCTTCAAGGACTTTAAGATTTGGTTGAGGAAAAGGATTAAGCAAATAACCCAATTAAGTACAGAAATTGAGAAGTGCTATAGATGAAAAGTATAAGGTACTAGGAAACAGTTAAACAGCAAAACTTAATATTGATTGAAGAATTAGTAAATAGTTTCCTGAATGAAGATATCCAGAAGAGGAAAAACAGCGAGGTGAAGAGTGCGGTAAAAAACATTCCAATAAAAGAAAAAACTGTGGCACATGCCTGTAATCCCAGCACTTTGGGAGGCTGAGGTGGGTGGATCACGAGGTCAGGAGATGGAGACCATCCTGGCTAACATGGTGAAACCCCGTGTCTACTAAAAATACAAAAAAAAAAAAAAATCCAGGTGTGGTGGCGGGTGCCTGTAGTCCCAGCTACTCGGGAGGCTGAGGCAGGAGCATGGCGTGAAACCTAGAGGCGGAGCTTGCAGTGAGCCGAGATCGCGCCACTGCACTCCAGGCTGGGTGACAGAGTGAGATTCCATCTCAAAAAAAAGAAAGAAAGAAAAAGAAAAAGAAAAAAGAGAAAAAAAAGAAAAAGAAAAAAGAAAGAAAGAAAAATGTGAAGCTGAAGCAGATTTTTTATTATGATCGAATGAGTTAGCTTGCAGCAGACCGAAGTTTATTTTGAGAACAACTAGAAAAGTTACATAAATATTAAAAGGCATCAAAGTTCTGTTAAATCAATCAGGGTAAAGGGTCCAGAGGTTTGGAGAAAGAACTATAAAGAAGTGCACTAACATTCCTAAGCAAAGGTCTGAGAATATGGCTTTGCCTGGGCAAAAAGATCACCGCTGGAGGAAAGAGATATCTGGAGAGATTTCAGTGGTCTTGCAAGGCTGAAGTAAAAGAAAAAAGCAAAATAAAGAAACGGTGGTACAAAGATCCTGAGAGAAGAGAGACTTGGAGAATTGTACCGGACACATGGTCAGTTTAACAGGTTATGAAGAAAGTTTCTGAAAAGCATAGCAAAGTTTTCAAGAGTTTCACCATGCTGGGGTGTACAAGGATTAAAGTTATAGACCTTTCATGAAAAGGGCTAAGACATAATTTTAAGAGCCCTAGTGTTGGCCTGGCGCAGTGGCTCACACCTGTAATCCCATCACTTTGGGAGGCCAAGGTGGGCGGATTACGAGGTTAGGAAATCGAGACCATCCTGGCTAACAGGGTGAAACCAGGTCTCTACTAAAAATACAAAAAAAATTAGCCAGGCGTAGTGGCGGGCGCCTGCAATCCCAGCTACTCCAGAGGCTGAGGCAGGAGAATGGGCTGAACCCAGGAGGTGGAGCTTGCCATGAGCTAAGATCACGCCACTGCACTCCAGCCTGGGCGACAGAGCGAGACTCTGTCTCAAAAAGAAAAAAAAAGGGGGGGGAAAAAAAAAGGCCCTAGTGTTACCAGTGGGGGTTGGGTGGGGGTCTTACTAGGAGTTGTCCAGGTTCTTGGCATTTTGAACAAGGAATTGGACAAAATGCACAAACAAAGCAATGACAGAATAAAACAATGAAAGCACAGATTTATTTAAACAAAAGAACACTCCACAGGGTACGAGTCAGTTTGAGCAAGAGGCTCAAGAGCACTGGTTACAGAATTTTCTGGGGCTTAAATATGCTCTAGAGGTTTCCCAATGGTTACTTGGTTTACACCCTATGTAAATGAAGGAGTGGCCCCACAACCAGTCTGATTGGTTGTGGAAGGCATCCAATCAGAGGCTGAAATGAAGTTACAAAGTTATAAGCTATGCAAACATCTGATTGCTTGTGGGAGGGGACCAATCAGAGGCTGAAGTGAAGTTACAAAGTTACACCCCTATGCAAATAAACAATAGGCCCCTGACCAGACTGATTGGTTGTGGGAGGGGACCAGTGAGAGGTGCTTTCCATTTCTCATCTGCCATGCAGAAAGGAGAGGGCTGCAAAGGGAGTACCCTCTGTTCTTTTGTTCCTTGGGTGTGGAAAGTTGGGGTTTTCCTTTTGATTTAGTTCTAGGAAGTCAGAATGAATCGGCCTTAGGTTCCCTGCTTCCAGATTTCATTCTTCTGTATGCCCTCAGCAAAAAAGAAATCCAGAAGTAGACTAAATATTATCAAAACCTTAACTTAGAAGTCACTGATCATATTAAGGACACAAGCCTCAGTATATCTTCCTTGAGAAAGAAAGGGGAGGATAATATAATTTGAAATTTCTATTGATTTTTATGCCTAATGTCTAGCAGTTAGTCACATATTCTAAACATGCCAAAAAACAGAATTATATGATCAAACATTTAGAAAACATAAGAAATCAAAAATGGACTTACAGAAATCCAATTAGTGGAAATAGCAGATAAGGACATCAAAATAATTATTATTAAGATATTCAAGAAAAGAGATAAAAATATGGACAAAAAAATTAAAAAGGTGGAAAATTTAGCCAGAGAGTTGAAAACAATTTTAAAAAATCTAATAGAACTTTTAGGGCTAAAGAATAGCTATATTTAACAGCAGATTTTCCTTGCGAAAGAGTAGGGAATTTGAATATAGTTCTATGAAAAACATACTATACTATAATAAAGAGAGAAAAAAAGAAAATTACAGAAAAGTATGTGATAAACCTGTTGGAAAGAATGAAAAGCTCTAACATATGTGTAATTGGTGTCTTGAAAGGAGATGAGAGAGAATGGCGCAACAGTGGAGAAAATGGTGGAGAATTTCTAAAACTGATGAAAGAGGCCAGGTCAGAAATTTGGGAAGTACAGTAAAATTCAGTATAAATAAAAAGTAAACCATAATGACATGATCAAATTAAGCCCATTATAATTAACTGCTGAATACCAGAGACAATGAGACAATTTTGAAAACAGTCCCATAAAAAAAATAAAGAGCCAGACAAGTAAGAATTTGTCAAGTTCCAGAAAAACATATTTAAAAATCATTGTTCTTAGACTTTAGTTAATTAAAAAAATGATAATTATAATAATAAGAGGAATGATTCAAAACCAAGCTGCAAAAGGAAGAAATAGGCAAAGTTATTCAGAATCTTGGAGACCATATTTAGGATTTTAGATTTTATCTTCAGGTAATGAAAGCCTTTGGAAGACTTAATAGGGGAATGACATGATCAAATATGCATAATTAAAAGCTTACCTTTGCAGTTCTGAGGAGAATGGATGGGGATGGGGGAAGAAAAGGAGTGGGAGACCAGGAATCTGGTCACCATAACTAGGAGTAAAAGGTAATAAAACAAACAGAAGAACATTTGGCATAGCTATGACTCAAGTTTAGAGAACAACAACAAGCAAGGCTGATTTGATACTTGGTCTCTACGTGTTGAGTGAGACCTTGTAAAATATAATACCTCCAACCAATGATTGTTGGAATATAGACAAGACTGAAATTACTGGACGGGGTCCAATGATCGGTGGTCAAATCTAGAGTCTCCACTCTACTGCCCAGGCTGGAATGCACTGGCACAATTATAGCTCAGTGCAGCCTTGAACTCCTGGGCTCAAGTGATCCTCCTGCCACGGCCTCCTGAGTAGCTGGGACTGTAGGCATGCACCACCTCACCCGGCTAATTTTTTGATTGTAGAGATCAGGTCTTGCTATATTGCCTAGGTTGGTCTGGAAGTCATAGGCTCAAGTGATTCTCCCACCTTGACCTTCCAAAGTGCTGAGATTACAGGTATGAGCCACCACACCCAACCTTCAGTTATCAAATCTGTGGATACCTAAAGTTTGCCAAGGTGAGGACCTGGGAATTTGATACTGCTCATATACACTGAAACAATATTTTGTCCTTTGTTGTGTTTTTATCCAGATAATTTTAGAGATGTTGATGCTGCATATAGTCATAATAGGGATAAAAATTCTAACTGTGGTCATGGAAGAGAAGGAAACTAAGATTTGCCAAGCACTTACTAGTGTCAGGCACTGTATTATATGTTTTATATATTTCATCTCATTGAATTGTCACAATGACCTTGTAAAGCAGTCTTGTTCCCTTTATACAAGTGAGAAAATTGAAGCTAAATTTAAGTAATTTGATGAGAGTGAAAGAGTAGTTAAGAAAATTGTTTAGGAAGGCACAGCTACCAAATGGCAGCTGGAAATAAACCGTGTTCACTGACTTTGAAGTCTGTGATGCTTCCACCATAGCCTTGCTCTGCAAAACCCTTTAGATCTTTTTACATCATCACTCACACTTTCAGGTAAGGATTTCGGTTTTACAAAAAGTTGAGCAGGGAAGAAAGTAACCAGTACTGTCCCAGGAAGTGGGATCAAGGTGCAGAGTAATAAAAGGAAGGCAACTCAGTTTCAATGATTATTCTGATCTTTTTTTTCCCAACTTGGTGAGTCATAGATAACTTTGTTTTACAATGACTTCTATTAACTGGAACAATAAAATATTAATAAGCATATATAATTCCATAGAATAAGATCATCACAATGATATGAGAAAAAAGAGATAGTTACAATATCTAATGACATTTTGGAGAAACATAGTTTCTTAAAATTTTTCTTTGTAAGTATGTAATTTTCTCTGTGTACAAATATCTAACCTTGGCACTGCCCCCCATCAGTTTTCAATTAAGACTGAGCTGAAAAATATGGAACATGGTATTACCCAATTTTATTCTTTAATGAAATATTACATGATGCATGGAAAATCCTATGCATCACATAAGACTTATTGTTTCTTTGGAAAGAATATGAAGGAACTGAAGAACAGTAATGCGTGAAAATGCATTTAATAAAAGTGACCCGATACCTCTGCTACAGGTTCCAAGCTCAGTATCTCATAAAGGATGACTACTACTCTTGAGAAGAAGCAGAAAACTGCAGAATTTCTTAAAAAGTAAAAGTAGAGAATCAGATAGACTTTTAATTACATAGCTCCTGAAACAACAGCAAAATCCCCATAAACAATGTAGTTGTACTTTAGGAAAGACTGAGGGTGGTTCATGGAGGCTTTGAGAGATAGGGTCAGAAGAATCAGCCACTCATTATCTGGGGACCATGATTCTTGAACACTTTAGATAGCATGGTGTTAAGCAATCAGCCTGCCTGGAATGGAATTAATATTTCTGCTCTGCTACCTACCAAATGTGTAACATTTTCAAGTTTATTGGAATTTTATATGCTTCAGTTTAGTAACGTAAAAAATAAAAATAGTGGTGAAACCTATCCCATGAAGTTACTGTAATGTTTAAATGAGTTAATAGATGTAAACTAAAAATATTATCTGGAAAATAACAACCACTCCATAATTGTTAGATACTATGACATCACCACCACCACCACCACCACCACCATCATCATCATCATCATCATTTTAATCTTATGGTTAATGTATCTTTATGATCAACATTTCTCTGTTTTCTGCAACTTTATCTTTGAGATGTCCATTTTGCTCAGACCACTTAACCATTTCATTTTGTCTTAGTCATTATTTTCCCTTTTAATTTTTCCATGTTTTTCCTTTCTTTCGCCCTCCCTTCCTTCCTTTCTCTTCTTTATAACTCTGTTATTAATTATTTTAAGTGTAATATTTGATACATATAAAATAATACTTATAACAGATTATAAAGTATAATAAATAGTCATAAATCAACCACTCCCATATCTACCACACAGATGAGGAAATAAAGCATCACCAGCACTACTTGGAAGCCCCTGCTTGCCTTGTCCTTGTTCCATCATCTCCCTTCATTTCCCATAAATTCACTAATATCTTGAACTTTCTCATTATCAGTATTTTTAAAATATATAACCATTTTTATCTCCTATGTCTGTATTCTTAATCAATGAATTGTTCAATGTTGCATGTCTTAAAACTTTATGTACATAAAATTTTTCTTTTATAGTCTTCCATGTCGCATTTTCACCTCTATCTTGTGATTCCAAGGTAGATCCATGCCAATTTTAGCTGTAGCTCTTTCATTTTTATTGCTTACTAGGATTCTAACATATAAATTCACCACAATTCTTTTTATCAATTTTATTGCTAACAGGTCTTGGTGTAGTCCCTAATTCTATGCTGTCATCAACAGTATTTCTGTGAACATTCTTATGCCTACTTGTTGGTTTGCATGTTTGAGATTTTCCTTAGGATACAATCCTATGAATGAATTGTTGGATAGTTAAGCATTCTCATCTTTACTAAATATTAATACCATTAGACTATTTTCTATGGTAACTATCATGCTCTACATCCCAACTAGCAATGTATATGAATTTGGTTACTCCAGAGACTCATTTGCACTAAATAGTAACTCTCTTTCTTTTTCTGCCTAGCAAAAACTTAAAATGAAATCTACTTGGAATTCAGGACATAAGGGCCTATAACATTTTGCTGGTCCTGAAAACATTTATTTTTGGGTTTTGTTTGTTTTGTTTTTTTATCACAGTCAGTGAACAGTTTCTTCTTTAAAGCTTCCAATCTTATTACAACTTTAGTAGATGAGAATATTGAAAGTAATAATTTGAAAAAAGTTCCAGCAACATAATTGGCCCTTACATGCTGAACACCTTAAAAAAAAAAAGTTATAACAGAGTGGGCTATTATAGCTAAATGATTGAAAACATATCATCTCTGTTGACCTGATTAATCCGTGAAGATGTTGACAAGCTGAAAGAGATTCTCTTCGGGAAGGTTAGAGACCAAGGATACAGAGATTAAATTCCTCCAGCTTGATATCTTGGGAATGGTATTGAGTCATGCTGGCAGAGCTTGGTGTGGAGGCTGACTTGTCTCAGGCAGTTCGTGTTCTATGGCTGTGCAATTCCAATGGCAAGAGCTAAAAAAATCAGATTAAATAATTTGCACTTTCTTTTTTTAAAAAACTATATGTACATACTTATATGTTTCTAATAATTAAATGCACAATGAAAAACAAATGTATTTCACTGTATTTAAGATCACTTGTGACAGAAATTCCCTTAGCTTTCTATGTTAGAAATATAGTTTGATTCCATATGCAAAATTTTGAGAGAGACTCTTTTCGTCTTTGATAATTGCAGTATACAAAATTCCCAATGGAGAGGGTTAAAGTCTTTCTCTTTCTCTTTTCTCTCTTTCTATATATACATATTTTATATATATCATATATATTTATATATGTACACACAAGTATATACACACTAGAATATACTTATATATATACTAGTATACGTATATTTATATATACATGTATATATAAGTTTATATGTATACTTATATATATACATAAATATAAGTATACATATATTAGTATAAGTATATATACACTTATATATACACATATATACATACACTTATATATGTATATATATACGTATATATACACACACACACAAATATAAATAAATATATATATAAAAACGTGGGGGGTGGATAGATGTAGATTGCTTGGGAAGCAAGAAGTCTTGCAAAAATTGTCGGGCCCACAGAAATTCCATTTGGGCTGCCAAATTTGCATTAGTCCCGCCCACAGTTTGAAATGTCACCCCACCCTCTCTTTGCCATCTGCACCACCACCTACTGAATCCTATGTCTCTAGTCTTAGAGAACAGAAGCATCTGCCTATGACAGGCACATTCAGAATTGCCCCCCAAACAGATTCAAATGAAAATCCAAAAGATTTATTAAAGCAGAGTCAGAATATATATATGTTTTTAGAGTCAAAGCTTTACAATTATAAGGTTTTCAGTCTGGTTTATTATTTCCTGATTTCTTCTACGTTATAAGCGTACAAATAGAGGATATTTTTATGACAGATCTAAAATCACTTTGATAAATTAGTAACATACAACCTCTGTAAATTTCTTCACTTGTTGCTAATTAAATGATGCAGCTATTTTTCTGCTGAGTACTTGCCATTTATTAATTTATTCATCTAGTACACATTTTTGAGACCATAAAGTGTTAGTTAGAGAATCAATACAGTATGTTCGCACTACTTCTGAAGACCATGACCTAGTGCAGTGCTGTCTAATAAAAATATGATGTGTGGCACATATGAAACATTTAATTTTCTAATGTCATGTTAAAAAGAGTAAACAGGAAAAAGTAAAATTAATTTTACTAATATACAGTTAGTTGTCCCTCAGTATCCATGGGAGTTTAATTCCAGGACTTCCCGCAGACACCAAAATCCACAGACGCTCAAGTCCCGAAGTATTTGCATATAACTTATGCATATCCTCCTATATACTTTATTTATTTGTTTTTTTGATTGTTTGTTTTGTTTTGTTTTATTTGACAGAGTCTTGCTCTGTCTTCCAGGCTAGAGTGCAGTGGTGCGATTTCGGCTCACTGCAACCTCTACCACCTGGGCTCAAGTGATTGTCCTGCCTCAGCCACCCAAGTAGTTGGGATTACAGGCATGTACCACCACATCTGGCTAATTTTTGTATTTTTAATAGAGACGGGATTTTGCCATGTTCGCCAGGCTGGTCTTGAACTCTTGGCCTCAAGTGATCCACCCGCCTTCACCTCTCAAAGTGCTGAGATTACAGGCCTGAGCCATTATGCCCAGCCTCCTCCTATACACTTTAAATTATCTCTAGTTACTTATAATACCTAACACAATGTAAATGCTACGTAAATAGTTGCTATACTGTGTTGTTTAAATAATAATGTTAAGGAAAAAAGGTTTGGATGTGTTCAATACAGATATTTTAGATCCACAGTTCATTAAATCCATGGATGCAGAACCCACGAATATAGAAGACTGACTGTACTTTATCTCAATATATCCAAGATTCTATCATTTCAACATGGAACCAATATAAAAATTATTATTGTGATGCTTTATGTTCTTTCTTTCTGGCACTGTTTTGGAAATCCTTTTCATATTTTACAGTTACAGCACATCTCAGTTTGGATGTGTTCCTTGCAAGTGCTCATTACCCAGATGTGGTTAGTGACTGCTACGTTGGACAGCACAGGCCTAGCAGATAGATGATATTCATTCACTCTTTCAGAGCGAGGCAAATGGCATGCAAATAAGTACTCAATCAAAGTGTGATGAGGGGCTGTTTACAGGGACACTAGTTAATCTTACGAGACTAGAAAAGCTTTTCAGAAGAATTTTAGGCCAAGGATTAATTGAGAAATAGGAGTTATATTCGCACAATAAAGAAGCATCAGAGAGAAAAAGGCAGTTTTCCAGACCAAGCAAACAATATGTGCCACTTTAAGGCGCTGAAATAAGTCCAATATAGGAACATGTGCAATAGATCTAGCAACTAATTATATATAATGGATTGACGTTCAAGATGCAATGGGAATATGGAGAATCAAGGATGCTGGAGTTAGGAAAGAAGGTAAAAATTTAACCAGGACTTGAAGAATGAATGGGAGTTTGTGAAAAGGATTAACAGGATTGGGAAGGAGAGAGGGTTTCCCAGGTAAAGCTTAAAGTTATAAATGAGCAAGGCAACATGGAAAATTTGAGATCGCTCCTTTAGGATGAAGATGAGAATATTTGTGGTAGTAGCAGGAAATGAAACAAAAGAGCAACACTGGGGCCAAATCACGAAGGGTCTTCTTTGCCAGGATCATATGAACTTTATGTCACAGATGACGAGCTCCTATTGAAGAGTAAAGCAATGCTGTGATCAGGCTGGTGCAGCAGAGCCTTCTCTCTGCATTGGAGAGTCATTATCATATTCTTGCCGTGGTACCCTGTTACGTCTAGGACTGTCATCTTGTTTTTACTCACTGTCTTCTTGCTTTTTCTCACTGTCATCTTGCTTTTTAAATTCCTATGGAAACCTGCCTTTTGACAATAGAAACCAGTACCCTGGGAGCTGGACATCTATGATAGCATCGCATCATGTTTGCAACCTATTGCTTGGATCTGATCAACTTTCAAGTTCTCCTGTTAAAGGTAAACCCTTTCTTTACCTTGCTGCAGCTCTGAGCACTCCAGGTGGGAAGGTTGGGATCTTAGTATGCTAATGACAGTTTAAAGAATTTGGAACAGTCTTTTCTTTTTCAAAATTACCTGGAGTTTAGACAATTGTCTCACAAGACACTAAAAAATATCCTGCTTTTGTTCTGTAGGACACTTCTGAGCAGGTACTTCTTTCTCTTTCTTTAACAACCCTAAGCCCCTATAAAGAAAATAGTATTGGGAGAAGATTATAGAGCATAGAAAGATAAAAGAGAAAAGTGTATTAACATAGTTTAAAGGATTATTTTACCTATTGCTTGTGCAAGGATGTGTGAAAAAATTAAATTCTTTTAAATACACTGTAGGCTGCTTTGAACATTGATTTTTGTCTCATTTATTCATTGATTTAAAAATATCTACAGGCCAGGTGCAGTGGCTAATGCATGTGATCCCAGCACTTTCGGAGGCTGAGGCGGGCAGATCACCAGAGGTCAGGAGTTCGAGACCATCTCTACAAAAAATACAAAACAAAACAAAACAAAACAAAAAAATTAGCTGGGCACGGTCATGGGCACCTATAACACCAACTACTCAGGAGGCTGAGGCAGAAAAATTGCTTGAACCCAGGAGGCAGAGGTTTCAGTGAACTGAGATCATGCCACTGTACTCCAGCCTGGGTGACAAGAGTGAAACTCCATCCCAAAGAAAAATAAATAAAAATATCTACTAAGTTCCTACTAGGCCCAAGTGCTATATTCTGAGTGCTGTATATATAGTGATAGACAAGACAGATAAGATCCCTGGCCTCAATGAGAAAGGTGCTAAGAAGAAAAAATAAGACAATGGGATATTGAATAGAGCAGTAAGGATGCTTCCTTTCCCAAGTTATAGAAAAAAATAACAAAAATTTTAGTCAATAAGGATATTGATTATCTCATACAACATAAAGTTAGGGGTTAGAAGAGTTCCAGGGTAAATAATTCAAGAACTCACTTACTTCATCATTTACAGGAATTCTTTATGCTTTGCCATTTCCAACATGTTGGCCAGTCCTTTTTGCCCGCATATCCTGAGGACTCCAAAATAGCAGTCTCACGGGTCATTTTCAGACAATGATACCCTGGTAATAGGAAAGGCAGCATTCTTTTTAAGCAGTGAGATACATTTTTCTAGAAGTGCAATGCCCTGGCCCCCACTCAAAACATCCTCTGTATTATATAACATGTTTATTCCTAAACCAATCAATTGTTAATAGTCTGAGACAATGATGAATGCCTTAAAATAATCAAGTATCTTGGCCGGGCGTGGGTGGCTCATGACTGTAGTCCCAGCACTTTGGGTGGCCGAAGCAGGCGAGTCACTTGAGGTTGGGAGTTGGAGACCAGCCTGGCCAACATGATGAAACCCCATCTCTACTAAAAATAGGAAAATTAGCCAGTCATGGTAGCACTTGTTTGTAGTCCCAGCTACTCAGGAGGCAGAAGCAGGAGAATCGCTTGAACCCGGGAAGCGGGGGGTTGCGGTGAGCTGAAATCACGCCACTGTACTCCAACTTGGTGACAGAGCAAGACTCAGTCTAAAACAACAACAACAACAACAAACAAAAACTATCAAGCATCTTGCTTTGGGGTTAGAAAGGGTCCAGTCTCCCTTGAAGATCTTGTTCTTCTAGGGGATGTGAATAATATCAAGGTCCTATCATCAAAGAGTGGCTGTAGAATAAGCAACGAAAAGTCTTTGCTACAGTGAGTGGTTGAATTGGAAGGAGTGGGAGATCTGAGAAATCTTTCTGAGATAAAATTGAACCAAGATCTAACTGATGAGAAAGACACAGCCATACAGCAATCTGGGGGAAGAATATTCCAGGCAAAGTGAAGAGCAAATGAAATGGATCCAAGATGGGGAAAAGTCTGATGTGCTTGAGGAAATAAAAAAGACAGTGTGGATGAAGTTCAGAGAATATTTGGGAAAGTGGAATTAAAAAAAAAAAAAAAAAAAAAAAAAAGGACCCAGAAGCAAGTACTAGCTCAATCTACACAGTCTTGTGAGCGACTGTAGGACGCTGAGTTTTATTCTGTTGAAACTTAGAAGTCATTGGAAAATTTTTAAGCTGGAGATCTTTTTTTTTTTGAAACAGAATCTCACTGTTACCCAGACTGAAGTGCAGTATTGAAATCATAGCTCACTGCAGCCTTGAACTCCTGGGCTCAAGCAATCCACCTGTTTCAGCCTCACAAATGGCTGGTATTACAGGCATGAGCCACCATGCCCGCCCAAGCCAGAAAAAAATGTTAAGCCATTTAAAAACAGTCACTTTGGTTGCCATGTAGGAATGAGCCACAGTGAGGCAAAAGTAAAAACATTTAAGAAACAAATGTAGCAGAACAGGCAAAAAATCATCATAGCTAGTACAAAAACACTGTATTAAAGATGGCAAGGAGATGCCAGTTATATTTTGGGGTATTGCTGACATGACCTACCAATGGTTTGTTTGTCAAGGATATGAAAAGAGACAGAAATAAAATATAAGTTTTGGGTTTAGAGCCTGAGCAATTGAGTTGATATTTGCACCATTAACTGAAATGGAAAGTTCTTGAGGAGAAACTGGTTTTGTTGGGCTGAAGAAAATCAATAATTCTGTTTTGGACATGTTGAGTTTGACATTCCGATTACATCCTAGGAGAAATATGAATACAGAATTGGCCAGCGATCTGGACAGGGTTTTCAGCCAGAGACAATTTGGGTAATTATAATATGGATTAGATTTTAATTTGTGGGACTAGATGAGATCATCTAGAAAAAGGGAGATGGAGAAGAATTTCATCTGAGAACATACTAAAATTTACAGTTTTGTCCTATGAATCAAGATTAGCAAAGCATCCTAAAGAGGAACTACCAATAAGGTAAGAGAAAAGCCAGGATACTGGAGCATCTTGGAAATCAAGAGAAGGAAGTGTTATATGATTGAGAGGTAGTCAACTGGTCAGTGCTGCTGAGTGATAGAGTGAGAGAAAGACATAGGCTTTGGAAAATGGAAGTTGTTGAAGACTTAGATAATAGCCTTTAACTTAGCGAACTCTGTGTAAATAGTTGTTGAGTTAAAATGCTATTCTGGTCTGTCTTATTTTTTTATCTCAACACTGTCCCAAATTCCAATTATGATAAATATCTAAAATATAAACATTTTTAATACAGCATAATACATATTTTGCTTTAATGTGGCCTTGATGATTAGCCATTCTTAAAAAGACTTGATTAAACATATTGTTGGGCATAATTCTCCGAAGTTCTCTTAGATTTCTGTACATCTTGCTAGTGGAGGAACTTATAGCCTTTGTTCTGAACTCTTCCTAAAAATGTTTGTATAGGGAACAACCCTGAAAGATGAAGATGGTGTCTTCTTCTGGAGAAAAAACATGTTTGTTTATTGTTGTGTATAAATATATCTGATGTATTCTATATATGGGGGAAAGGCCAGTCATGCTTATTGTCCATTAGAAAGGATCTGTTTCCTAAGCTCAGAATTTCTCTCCAATAACGTAACCCACTACATGTATGGATAGCATCTATCCCATTTCTTTTTTTTTCTTTTTTTTTTTTTTTTTTTTTGAGACAGAGTCTTGCACTGTTGCCCAGGCTGGAGTGCAGTGGCACCATCTCGGCTCACTGCAACCTCCGCCTCCTGGGTTCAAGCAATTCTCCTGCCTCAGCCTCTCGAGTAGCTGGGATTACAGGTGCACGCCACCAGGCCCAGCTAATTTTTGTATTTTTAATAGAGACGGGGTTTCACAATGTTGGCCAGGATGGTCTCGATCTCTTGAGCTTGTGATCTGCCCACCTCGGCCTCCCAAAGTGCTGGGATTACAGGCATGAGCCGCTGGCACCCAGCCCATCTGTCCCTTTTCTAATCTGCCTGTGGGAATTGGCGTATAGGCCTAAAATGATAATACTCTGGTATCAGCTAATACAATGAGTAATAAAGTTCTTTTTTTTGGACCTAGGAGTCTCATGTCTTCCGTTAGCAACCAAAAATTGTGGCAAGCCAACATGATAGCTTGCAAGTACAGTAAAATTTCCCATCCTTGGCAGTACTTGACACATAAATGTATCTCAGTGATCTAAGCTAATGAAAACAATTATTTATTTTCAGCTTATAATATTTAGTCTCCATAATTATTCCATTACATAGTTGTTGCTGTTGTTTTTTTGCCCTGTGACAACTTAAAACATTGTACACTTTCAAGCCTTACCTATATGACTTTGGCTGCTATTTCCACTAGGAAAGGAACTGTTCCTTGTGGACATTTGGTATAAAGAGGTATCTTGAACAGACATAGAGTGAATATTATAATAATATATCTAAAGATCTCCACAGTTTCTATCAAACTTTACAGCTCATATTCTACTTTTTTGTAACTAGAAATAGAAATGGAATTATGATGTTTTGAAATTGATACACTAGTTTCTGTGAAAAAGAAAAAATAAGTACTGCCATTGTGTTGTAACAAATATTGCTTCTGTAATACATGATAGTTTATTTTCTCCTTCACACACTCAGAATAATAAATTACAGAGCTAGAAGAATCTCAGAGAGCATGATTTCTAATGCCTACTTTTACATATGAAGAAAGGAAAACTGAAGCATTAGTTGCTTAGTTAGTTATATTACCAGATTGAATTTAGACTTCTGATTGTCAGCTAATTTTTCCTGTCACAGTGTTTTATATACCTATTCCCTCTGAATTCTGTCCTCTGTTAATCCCTTAGTGTGAAGAAGGAGGAATGTTCTGAAAAACAATGTATAGTGGCAAGAGAAATAATGTGGCAGATAAATGAGCCAAAAAGGGTCAAGTTTATGGCTGAGGTTCCTCAGTCACCAATGGCCAGCTATCACCAGCAAATTCTACTAAAAACAAAATGAACAGCCCAAACTGGAATTTGTAAATTTGATCACTTAAAACAAATCCCATTGACCAGAAATTCAGAGAAATTGTTACGAGCAAGTCATCAACAAATTAGCAATGCCAGACACAATTTCAACATCCATTTATTCCTTTAATTAATTCCCCAGGCAGGTCAACTGAAAGAATAAATCACATGAGTCATTTGTCATTAAGTAGGACAAAAGCTCAGGATTTTGATTATTTATATACATACGTAGTTTTTTCCTTTGCAACATATTTTTTAGGCATTACATACATAGAATAAGAATCCTTCTGCAACTAGACATACAGCAATACTTTTTAATAGATTATAAATCAATTTTAGATTTCATCCAGTTTGTCTATGTTTAATTTTCCCTGCAGAGAAGGTACAAATTTAAAATTTATATCTTATACAGAGTAACATTCTTATTTGTTTATTTAATGGTCTAAGATTGATTATATTTCTTCTTTTGAATCTATTAAAAAGTGAACAAACCTCCATTTCATTTTTTCCTTTTATGTGTAATCTTGTTTACAACTCTATGTTTGTTGAGCCCACTTGATTTTAAGAATGATTGATTCCCTATCTCCAACGAACCTTGAGAATTTTGTTTAAATCAACTCCAATGAGCTTCTGATTTTCCTCTTACTTAAGGGCTATAAAGCTGCACTGTCTAATCAGCAACACGATTTATATCTAACAAGTTCTTGATATTTAGCTGGTAACTGGGAAGTTTATTCACTGCCATCTAAGTGGTGAGAATTATTTTTACTACATCAATCATTTCTATGGTTAAATGAGAAGCAACAGCATGGCGAGTCTGAGCACAGCAGTTAACCGCTGTTAAGACAGAGACATTTTTTTTTCCTTTATATTTGCCTCAGCATTATGTCCTAGTGCTGGTTAAGCCACTTCTGGTGTTCTGGAGGGTTATAAGACTTTTACATGGACTTAAATTTGTGTACTTAAGAAATCATTGGCAAAGGAAAAAAACTTTTTTATTGAAACCAACATATACTTAAACTTATCCTCATTTGTATAAACAGTTTATCTTTTAAAAATATGCAGAAAAAATTGCCACGTTGCCTGTAACTGAAACTGAGTATATTAACATGCTTTTTCCTAAATATGCCAATAGATGCCAGTTATTATTTAATATGTGGGTTTCAGTTTCATGGCACAGCTATCTTCAGCTAAATATAGCTGTGCCATGAAACTGAATCCCATGTATTTATGAGGAGACAAACATGCCAAAATGGACTTCTTATGAAGAGGTAGTCCATTAAAATGAATCTCTGTAAGGTTACTATACATTATCTTTATATCTTAAAAGCTGTGACAAAAAGTACAGTGTTCTGTTTTGTGAGCTTAATTCAAAGGCTTGTTCATTCTATTATTGGTCTTGTAATGTCTCCTGCTTTTATGATTGTATTTTGGTGCCTCTCTCCAATGTAGTCTTGCCTGTTTGTCATTTCTTTGTTACTGAATATAAGTGAAAATGCCATAATATTGTTCTTCTGATTTTATTTAGGGAAATTTTGACTCACTGCTTCAGATTTTATATCCTTACTCCCCTCTCAGCTGCTGTGGTTCACTCATGTTGGCTTTATGCCATTACAGTACCAATAAAAAAATTGTGACAGCATTATCACGAAGTGATGTTGTGTATTTGTATTTATATTTTTATATTTCTTGATATTACTTGCTGTTGTTACATTGAAGTCAAGCCAAGAAGGGTATTGGATTGTTAAATTATGGCTAATCATATTACTAAAATGTTAATAAGTAGATAAATATATAGCACTTAATCAAAACATCATTATTCACTTATGGAAATTTATGTAAGTGCTTTTTCAAAATTAAATGATCAAAGGAATTCACTAAAGTGGGGGTTGTGAAGTTATCTTAGTAAACCTGTTTATAATTGAGCAGGACCTTTTAATAGATTAACTGTCCTCAACAACTTGCTTTATAAACATAGCTTAATTTATTTGCAATAAACTATAGACAAAAATCACATTTACCTATTTTATTTGAATTTACTCACCAATATGAATTTCTTTTCAAATGTAAAGCAATTTATCATTACAATCTATAATTTGCATGCAGACATTCTATTTGTTACCTATCCTGTTACAAATGGCCTTCTTCTCTTCAATTCTCACTTAATAGTCTGTCTTCAACAGAGCCGTAAAAAGAATTTTCTTAAATTGCAGGTCTTATATCATTATTCTATTGCAAAACATTCAGTGGGCCCCAATTTTCCTTTAGAGCAAGGATAAACAGGTATTCAGAACACTTCACATTCTGGATACAACCTTCTTTGCAAAACTTATCCCTCTCTTTATGCGTTCATGGATTTAACACTTAGCAGAATTAAATTGTATGATATTTATTTGTTTTTTTAGACAAAAATACATTTAACTATTTTAATTATAATTCATCTTATTTAATAGTAACTTTTAAAGTTTTTGATGATGTTATGGACTTATAAGTTATCACATAGTCCTTTTTAATTGGTACATATTTTTTGATTACTAAGAAATTTTGATCTGAGCTCAGAAAGTTGTCACTTACTTGATATGACGTAAGTGGCAAAGTCAGAAATAGAATCTCCATCTTCTGATATTTAGTCCATTGGGTTTGGTTTCCAGTGGCTTTGGTTTCTTTCATATTACCAAGCTGCTTCAATATCAGGTTATCATTCAGCAACATCAATATTATTGTTACTACATAAAAAGCAAAGCAAAGCAAATAATAAAACTATAATGCAAGTTATTACATAAATATTAAATATTATTAAATCATTAAATAATAATTATATAATAACTATATTAATATAACTTTTATAAAATAGAAAAAGCAAATATGAAAACTGAGATAAAATATATGAGTCAATTCTTTTCGTACCTGGGACAATATTATATACACCATTTAGACATGATAAAAAATTGAAAATATTGTGATATGTTGTAACAGTTTAGGAAAAAGGATATTCATACATGTCATATCATTGGAGAATTTTAAGATTGTATGAATCTAAGATAGCATCTAGAAATGAATAATAGTAACCAAAAATGGGTATAAATTGCAAGATTGCTTTTTTTTTTTTTTTTTTTTTTTGAGACAGGCTCTTGCTTTGTCACCCAGCATGGAGCATAATGGAATAATCACAGTTCACTGCAGCCTCTACCTCCTGGGCTCAAACAATCCTCCCTCCTCGGCCTCTCAAGAAGCTGAGACTACAGGTGCATGCCACCACACCCCACTAATTTATATATATATTTTTTATAGAGATGGAGTCTCACTATGTCGCCCAGGCTGGTCTCCAACTCCAGAGCGCTGGGATTACAGGTTTGAGCAACTGTGCCCGGCCCCAAGATAGCATCTTAGTAGATGAGAGCTTGATAACATTAAACTATCTCTTGTTTCCAGGTAGCAGAATTAAACTACTTCTAAATAATTGAAGTAAAAAGTCTTCTAGTATAGCAGACCCTCTGTAGTGGGAGTTTCCATATCTGTGGATATGGAGGGCTGAGTCTACCAGGCAATTTTATATGAGAAACTGGAGTATCTGTGGATTTTGAACTCTGCAAGAGTCCTGGAACTAATCCCCTTCAGATACCAAGGGATGATTGTGTCTATACTGCAAGACTTGAAATCCTGCCTGCACCACTTATTGGCATGAGATCTTGAGCAAGTTACTAAACCTTTCTATTCCTCAGTTTCCTTATCTATAGAATTAAGATAATAATAGAACTTACCTCATAGAATTGTTTTGAGGATTGGATGATTTTATTCATGGTATACACTCAAAATAGTTCTGGACACATTTAAGGAGTTCATTTATGTTAAGTACTCTGAACAGTACCTGGTTCAGTAATATTAGCCATCACCATCATCATCATCAATATGTTCATCATCGAAAACAATAATAAAGAGCCTATGAAGTAAATACTTGTAAAATTTGGAAAGGAAGCATATTCATGGAATGGTATACATTTTCCGACAGCAGTTTCAGGTTAAAAGTAAAAGAGCCAAGGGATATCCAGCTGCATCAGTTTAATTAAGTCGGTTTAAATAAATCTGATATAAATTAGCCATAAGTCTAAAATGGAGACACCAAAGAAGTCAATGAGCATTTGTGACACTTACAACAGTGAACTTGGGATTTATTATGAATTATAATCAACTTAAACATTCTTCATAAGTGAATTGCCAGAAAATTTCTATTCTGTCACCAAGTGTGTGGTTCTGCTTAAGAGTTTTTTTTGAGATGGAGTTTTGCTCTGTCACCCAGGAAGAGTGCAGTGGTGCAATCTTGGCTCACTGCAACCTCCACCTCTCGAGTTCAAGCAACTCTCCCTGCCTCAGCCTCCCAAGTAGCTGGGATTACAGGTGGGTGCAACCACACCTGGCTAATTTTTGTATTTTTTTGTAGAGACGGGGTTTCACCATGTTGGCCAGACTGGTCTCGAACTCCTGACCTAAGGTGATCCACCCTCCTCAGCCTCCCAAAGTGCTGGGATTACAGGCATGAGCCACCGCACCTGGTCCTGGTTATGCTTAAATTAACAGACATCATACATTTAAAATAAGTATTATTTTTAAAATTAAATCTATTAGATTCATCTAAGTAATAATAAATAATCACATTAACTGAATGTTAAAGTCTTAGCTTTTGGGTTATTTTCAAATAACTTGCTTTAAATGTAGGTAGCAAAATGGTTGCCACATTAAACATGTAGAAGAGCTGTGATTTCTGGTTAGCTGGCTGAAATCAAATCATCAACTCATCTCTGTTTATAAATTGTCTCAAGTATAAGTATGGATATTTTTCTTATAGTAAAATTCTGTGAAGATAAATAATGGTTTTAAATGTAATAAATTGTCATATATTGATTAAATGAAGTCTTTTGCAGAAATATTTTCACATGAAATTGTGGCTATGGTTCTCATTTCACCCTCTAGTGGTCTTATGACAATACTGCATTTTCCCTTTTTAGTCATCTCATAGTTGGTTGTACTTTCTTTGGTTAACACTTGTTTTACAGCTCAATGCTAAATGACTTAATCACATCTCTATATTAATGCATTGCTGTTGTTGAGTCTGTGCTAAAATACTGCTCTTAATACAATAGAGAATAATGGGTTTATTTTATTGTTTTCATGATGTTAATAGAATCAAGTCACACGTCCTGTCATCTACTTACTCTTTTCTATTAAGGTACTTTGGTTAAATGTTCGATATCTCCAAAATACGCTCTAAAAATCCTCATGGAGGGAAAAAGTAATTGGCAGTCTTCAGAATCTCATTGATTTACACTCTTCCCTCATCTGCAAACCAATTTAAAAATCATAATAAAGTGGTAAAAGATTATGGACCTGACAAAAGAAGGATAAACTTACACATTTTACTAATCCTATCTGGAAGCTTGAAATATACATCAGATTTCTACAAGATGGTGAAAGAGGAAAAACATGCTATGTTTGTTTTTTTAAAAATGTTGTTCTAAAGCTCAATCATATGTGTTAATATGATACTGCATATTTTTCACCAAAAAGTGAGGTAAGCAAACAATAAGTAGTCTTACCTGAATTACATGGATCACTGACAACAGCAATGAATACTTGTAAAGGTTTGCAAACAACCACACAAGTTAACTTTTCACTAAGACCCTTTGAGGAGAATATCAGTCTGTAAGAAAATTTTTTATTTTGCAAGTAACACTTTTTTTCCCCAATAATATTTTGGGAAGTCTGAATTTAAGCATTTACTATTTGTTATTTATTTATTTTAGAGACAGGGTCTTGCTCTGTCACCCAGGTTGGAGTGCAGTGGTACCATCATAGCTCACTGTAGCCTTGAACACCTGGGTTTAAGTGATTCCTCTGCCTCAGCCTCCCAAAGTGCTGGGATTACAGGCATGAGCCACTGCACCTGGTCACATTTACTATTTGGTAGTATCATTGATAACTACATTTTTGGATCACTTTATCTTCTATCATGCATATACATATTTGTTATTTTCCCAGTAAGACTAAAGTTTGCCCTGTCTTCAGTTATCAGATGGTAAGTGATAGGTTTGAGGTTTTCTTGGTTTTCTTATGATGTGTTTGCTATTCTGATTGAAGGAAAATTAACTATTGCCTACAGATTGTACAGTTACTGCACAATGATAATACTTGGAAACTACACGTATTTAATCACATAGAAAACTATATGTATTATTCCATTTTATGTGCCACAGAATTAACATATGGCCAAAAAAAAATTTTTTTTTGAAATTAGTTGGATTTTTCATTCATTTGGATGTTTATTTATTTATTTATTTTTATTTTTATTTTTATTTTTTGAGACGGAGTCTTGCTGTGTCGCCAGGCTGGAGTGCAGTGGTGCGATCTCGGCTCACTGCAACCTCTGCCTCCCGGGTTCAAGCAATTCTCCTGCCTCAGCCTTCCAAGTAGCTGGGACTACAGGCGAGCGCGACCATGCCCAGCTAATTTTTGTACTTTTAGTAGAGACGGGGCTTCACCATGTTGGCCAGAATGGTCTCGATCTCTTGACCTCGTGATCCACCCGCCTCGGCCTCCCAAAGTGCTGGGATAACAGGCATGAGCCACCACGCCCAGCCTGGATGTATATTTAATAAGAGTTAAAACAGATAAGACCTTTGCCCCCAGGAATCTTCTTTCTAGTCTTCTAGAAAGATGTAAAATAAATAATAATACACATAAATATATGACTACAAATATCTTCAGTGAAGAAAAAATAAGAATATAGTGAAGATCAGAACAGGAGTATGTGATTTAGATTTTGGCATGTAGGAAACACTTTGCTGAGGAAATAATATTTAAGCTGAAACCTGAAAGATAATTCAGAGTTAGCCATATGGAAAGTTGGGAACAAGCTTCCCAGGCAGCAGAACTGTATGCTTAAAAATTCTAAGGTAGAAAACAGCTAAAAAGTGAATTACCAAGTAGCATTTACTATAATTCTGTATACTACAAAACTATACTTATATTCTGGTTCTTTTCCTTTGGTCATTTTTTGGTCTACGGAAAAACTTGTTATTATCAAATAATTTATTCATAATAAATATCTGTGTTAACTGGGTATCTCAGTAAATGAAAATTAAGATCAGCACACATCTATGTATATATACATATATATGGAATAGGCATGGCTAAGTACTCTAAGAACGATTTCAACAATTTTTTTATTCCTTAGAAAAAGAATGAGTGGTATTGACCTATTTTGCATATAATAACATTCAAAAGGATCTCAGCAGTAGGCGTCTCTCTCTCTCTCTCTCTTTTCTTTTTTTTTTCTGTTTTTGAGACAGGACAGCTCTGTTGTCCAGGCTGAAGTGCAGTAGCCCAAACCATGGCTTACTGCCACCTTGAACTGCTGGACTCAACCTATCCTCCCACCTCAGCCTCTCAAGTAGCTGGGACTATAGGTGTGTGACACCACGCCTGGCTAATTTCTGTATTTTTTGTAGAGACGGGGTTTCACCACGTTGCCCAGGCTGGTCTCCAACTTCTAAGCTCAAGGGATCTGCCTGCCTCGGCCTCCTAAAGTGCTGAGATTACAGGTGTGAACCACCACGCTGGCCAAGGCAACATCTTATAGATAGTAGTTTTTTTGTTTTGTTTTGTTTTTTACAGGGTCTCACTCTGTCACCCAGGGTTGAATGCAATGGCACAATCATAGTTCACTTTAACCTTGAACTCTTGGGCTCAAGCAATACTCCCACCTCACGCTTCCCAGTAGCTAGGACTCTGGGCATGTTCCACTACTCCCAGGTAAATTTTAAATTCTTGGTAGAGACGGGAGTCTCATTACATTGCTCAGGCTGATCTCAAAGGCTTCGCTTCAAGTAGTGACGTTCCTGCCTTGTCCTCCAAAGGACTGGGATTAGAGGGATGAGTTGCCCCCTGAACCTAGATTGTGCTCTAGATTGTCCAGAGCATTAATCTGTTATTTTTCTTTTTGTTGGGTTTTGTTGTTTATTTTTTTCCCCTCTGTTCACTATTAAAGTATAGGACATTAATGATTCAGTAAAAATGTAAAGAAATGCCTATATCTTTATTACCTGGTGTGATGGTTAATACTGAGTGTCAATTTGATGGGATTGAAGGATGCAAAGTATTGTTCCCAGGTGTGTCTGTGAAGGTGTTGCCAAAGGAGATTAACATTTGAGTCAGTGGGCTGGGAAAGGCAGACCCACCCTTAATCTGGGTGGGTACCATCTAATCAGCTGCAGGTGCAACCAGAATAAAAGGAGGCAGAAGAATGTGAAAAGACTACAGTGGCTTAGCCTCCCAGCCTACATCTTTCTCCCATGCTGGATGCTTCTGCCCTCAAACACTGGACTCCAAGTTCTTCAGCTTTGGGACTTGGACTGGTTTCCTTGCTCCTTAGCTTGCAGACAGCCTGTTGTGGGAACTTGTGATTATGTGAGATAGTACTCTTTAATAAACTCCCCTTTATATATACATCTATCCTATTAGTTCTGTCCCTCTAGAGAACCCTGACTAATACATCTGGCTAAAGTAACAACCTCAGCTATTATTTTTTAACACTTCCCTGTAAGACTTGAACTATAAGGCCAGGTAAATTCCCAAGATGGCAAACCGCCATCTTGGAATCTTAGGAGCGACATCCTCAAAATTTTTTAGAAGCAGATGATTGTTCAGTGACCAGCCCATTCCTTCTCACTTCTTAAAAATAAAGGAATCAAAATATAAACAAGAGCTTGTTTATCTGATCCTTTATACAAGATACACTATGAGTAAGGGTAAAACCTATGTCCTGGTCTTATTTTACACCTGTTGTCATAGCTTAATTTTTAGTGATATTCACTTTGACTTTCAAAAGTGTTCCAGTTTAAGACAATAAATTATATTGTCATTTTGCCTATTAGATCTTCAGTATAATCCATTAACAATAGCATGTCATACTGAAACCACCTAACCACTATTAGAAGTTGCCCAGTACCAGACAGAATTCTTAGTTGCAAGACTTGGAAACTCTTTGTGGAAAACATAAGCAAAAAATGAATTTCTTGGAGGCATATGGGACAACTCGCTGTATGCAGAGAAAACTGAAAAACTAGTGTCCCTTTGCACCAAAACTAGAACAGCTCCTGGAGATGAGCTAAGAGAAACTGTTGAACAGCCTATTTAGGGTGCCACGAATTGAGACATTGTGCCTCAGAGTTTCATTGTTTGTGACATTCTGCTAAGGTATCAGATTTAAAGACAGGGCATCTGATTGGTCTTGGGTCAAGTGTTCCTTTTTTTTTCTTATTTATTTATTTATTTATTTATACTTTAAGTTCTGGGGTACATATGCAGAACACGCAGTTTTGTTACACAGTTATACATGTGCCAAGGTGGTTCGCTGCACCCATCAAACCATCACCTGCATTAGGTATTTCTTCTAATGCTATCCCTCCCCTAGCCCCCCACCTCCAACAGGCCTTGGAGTATGCTCTTCCACTCTCTGTGTCCATGTGTTCTCATTGTTCAACTCCCACTCATGAGTGAGAACATGCGGTGTTTGGTTTTCTGCTCTTGTGTTAGTTGGCTGAGAATGATGGTTTCCAGCTTCATCCATCTCCCTGCAAAGGACATGAACTCATCCTTTTTTATGGCTGCATAGTATTCCATGGTATATATGTGCCACATTTTCTTAACCCAGTCTATCATTGATGGACATTTGGGTTGGTTCCAAGTCTTTGCTATTGTGAATAGTGCCATAATAAATATATGTGTGCATGTGTCTTTATAGTAGAATGAGTTATAATCCTTTGGGTATATACACAGTAATGGGATTGCTGGGTCAAATGGTATTTCTACCTCTAGATCCTTGAGGAATTGCCACACTATCTTCCACAGTGGTTGAACTAATTTACACTACTAACAACAGTGTAAAGGCATTCCTATTCTCACACATCCTCTCCAGCATCTGTTGTTTCCTGACTTTTTAATGATCGTCATTGTAACTGGTGTGAGATGGTATCTCACTGTGGTTTTGATTTGTATTTCTCTAATGACCAGTGATGATGAGCTTTTTTTCATATATCTGTTGGCTGCATAAATGCCTTCTTTTGAGAAGTGTCTGTTCATATACTTTGTCCACTTTTTGATGGAGTTGTTTATTTTTTTCTTGTAAATTTGTTTAAGTTCTTTGTAGATTCTGGATATTACCCCTTAGTCAGATGGGTAGATTGCAAAAATTTTCTCCCATTCTGTATGTTGCCTGTTCACTCTGATGATAGTTTCTTTTGGTGTGCAGAAGCTCTTTAGTTTAATTAGATTCCATTTGTCAATTTTGTCTTTTGTTGCCGTTGCTTTTGGTGTTTTTAGACATGAAGTCTTTGCCCATGTCTATGTCCTGAATGGTATTACCTAGGTTTTCTTCTAGGCTTTTTATGGTTTTAGGTCTTATGTTTAAGTCTTTAATCCATCTTGAGCTAATTTTTGTATAAGGTGTAAGGAAGGGGCACAGTTTCAGTTTTCTGCCTATGGCTAGCCAGTTTTCCCAACACCATTTATTAAATAGAGAGTCCCTTGCTCATTGCTTGTTTTTGTCATATTTGTCAAAGATCAGATGGTTGTAGATGTGTGGTGTTATTTCTGAGGCCTCTGTTCTGTTCCATTGGTCTATATATCTGGTTTGGTACAAGGACCATGCTGTTTTGGTTACTGTGGCTTTGTAGTATAGTTTGAGGTCTGGTAGCATGATGCCTCCAGCTTTGTTCTTTTTGCTTAGGATTGTCTTGGCTATACAGGCTCTTTCTTGGTTCCGTATGAAGTTTAAAGTAGTTTTTTCCAATTCTGGGAAGAAAGTCAATGGTAACTTGATGGGAATAGCATTAAATCTATATATTGTTCTGGGCAGTATGGCCATTTTCAAGATATTGATTCTTCCTATCCATGAGCATGGAATGTTTTTCCATTTGTTTGTGTCCTCTCTTATTTCCTTGAGCAGTGGTTTGTAGTTCTCTTTGAAGAGGTCCTTCACACTCCTTGTAAGTTGTATTCCTAGGTATTTTTTTCTCTTTGTAGCAATTGTGAATGGGAGTTCCCTCATAATTTGGCTCTCTGTCTGTTATTGGTGTATAGAAATGCTTGTGATTTTGCACATTGATTTTGTATCCTGAGACTGCTGAAGTTGCTTATGAGCTTAAGGAGATTTTCGGCTGAGATGATGGGGTTTTCTAAATATACAATCATGTCATCTGCAAACAGAGACAATTTAACTTTCTCTTTTCGTTTTTGAATACCCTTTATTTCTTTCTCTTGCCTGATTGCCCTGGCCAGAAACCCCCAATACCATGTTGAATAGAAGTGGTAAGAGAGGGCATCCTTGTCTTGTCTTCTGCCAGTTTTCTTTCTTTTTTTTTTTGAGATGGAGTCTCGCTCTGTTGCCCAGGCTGGAGTGCAGTGGTGTGATCTTGGCTCACTGCAAGCTCTGCCTCCTGGGTTCATGACATTCTCCTGCCTCCTCAAGTAGCTGGAACTTCAGGTGCCCACCACCATGCCCGGCTAATTTTTTGTATTTTAATAGAGATGGGTTTTCTTTTTTTTTTTTTAGCCATTTTTTATACTTTTTATTATTTTATCATATACAGGTAGAGAGAAGAATGTAAGTAATTCCCATAATAGTGCCGTAAGATTGTAATGGAGTGATTAATTTTATTTGGTATAATGAGTAATGGAACACATTTGGATCTTGATCTTAAAGAATGAGTAGGACTTTGTCAGTTAGGTTGGAAAAGGACAATTCTAGTTAAACAAAAAGTTCATTCTGCATTTCTACTTCAACAAAAGTAGGTCATCGCTTTTCAAGCTCCCAAGGCTAACATGACAGCAGGTTAGCACCATCTCACAAGTCCTTGTCAAGAATTTGCTACCATGGGAAAGAATCTTCATGTCAAGAAACTCTCCCTTAGTCAATTTCTTTTTTTTTTCTTTTTTTTTTTTTTTTTTTGCAGGATGGTCTCAATCTCCTGACCTTTTGATCTGCCTGCCTCAGCCTCCCGAAGTGCTGGGATTACAGGCGTGAGCCACCGCATCCAGCTATTGTACTGGTTTTCAAAGGGAATGCTTCCAGTTTTTGCCCATTCAGTATGATATTGGCTGTGGGTTTGTCATAAATAATTCTTATTATTTTGAGACACATTCCATCAATACCTAGTTTATTGAAAGTTTTTAGCATGAAGGCCTGTTGAATTTTGTCAAAGGGCTTTCCTGCATCTATTGAGGTAACCATGTGGTTTTTGTCATTGGTTCTGTTTATGTGATGGATTATGTTTATGTATTTGCATGTGTTGAATGAGACTTGCATCCCAGGGATGTCGTCGACTTGATCACGATGGATAAGCTTTCTGATGCGCTGCTGGATTTGGTTTACCAGTGTTTTACTGAGGATTTTTGCATCGATGTTCATCAGAGATATTGGTCTAAAAATTTTGTGTTGTTGTGTCTCTGCCAGGTTTTGGTATCAGGATGATGCTGGCCTTATTAAATGAGTTAGAGAGGAGTCTCTCTTTTTCTATTGTTTGGAATAGTTTCAGAAGGAATCGTACCAGCTTCTCTTTGTACCACTGGTAGAATTCGATTGTGAATCCATCTGGTTCTGGACTTTTTTTGGCTGGTAGTCTATTAATTACTGCCTCAATTTCAGAACTTGTTATTGGTCTATTCAGGGATTTGACCTCTTCGTGCTTTAGACTTAGGAGGGTGTATGTGTCCAGGAATTTATCCATTTCTTCTAGATTTTCTAGTTTATTTGCGTATCGGTGTTTATAGTATTCTCTGATGGTAGTTTGTATTTCTATGAGATCAGTGGTGATATCCCCTATATCATTTTTTCATTGCGTCTATTTGATTCTTCTCTTTTTTCTTCTTTTTTATTCTGGCTAACAGTCTACCTATTTTGTTGATCTTTTCAAAACACCAACTCCTGGATTCATTTATTTTTTGAAGGGTTTTTCGTATCTCTATCTCCTTCAGTTCTGCTCTGATCTTAGTTATTTCTTGCCTTCTGCTAGCTTTTAAATTTGTTTGTTCTTGCTTCTCTAGTTCTTTTAATTTTGATGTTAGGGTGTCAATTTTAGATCTTTCCTACTTTCTCTTGTGGGCATTTAGTGCCATAAATTTCCCTCTACACACTGCTTTAAATGTATCCCAGAGATTCCGGTACATTGTGTCTTTGTTCTCATTGGTTTCAAAAAACATCTTTATTTCTGCCTTCATTTTGTTATTTACCCAGTAGTCATTCAGGAGCAGGTTGTTCAGTTTCCATGTAGTTGTGCAGTTTTGAGTGAGTTTCTTAATCTTGAGTTCTAATTTGATTGTGCTGTAGTCTGAGAGAGTGTTATGATTTCTGTTCTTTTGCATTTGCTGAGGAGTGTTTTACTTCCAATTATGTGGTCAATTTTAGAATAAGTGAGATGAGGTGGCTTGAAGAGTGTATACTTTGTTGATTTTGGGTGAAGAGTTCTGTAGATGTCTTTTAGGTCCACTTGGTCCAGAGCTGAGTTCAAGTCCTGAATAGCCTTGTTAATTTTTTGTCTCGTTGATGTGTCTAATATTGACAGTGGGGTGTTAAAGTCTTCACTATTATTATGTGGGAGTCTAAGTCTCTTTGTAATTCTCTAAGAACTTGCTTTATGAACCTGGGTGCTCCTGTATTGGGTGACTATATATTTAGGATAGTTAGCTCTTCTTGATGCATTTATCCCTTTACCATTATGTAATGCCCTTCTTTGTCGCTTTTGATCTTTATTAGTTTAAAGTCTGCTTTATCAGAAATTAGGATTGCAACTCCTGCTCTTTTTTGCTTTCCATTTGCTTGGTAAATATTCCTCCATCCCTTTATTTTGAGCCTACGTGTGTCTTTGCATGTGAGATGGGTCTCCTGAATACAGCACACTGATGGGTCTTGACTTTTTATCCAATATGCCAGTCTGTCTTTTAATTGGGGCATTTAGCCCATTTACATGTAAGGTTAATATTGTTATGTGTGAATTTGACCTTTTCATTATGATGCTAGCTGATTATTTTGTCTGTTATTTGATGCAGTTTCTTCATAGTGTTGAAGGTCTTTACAATTTCATATGTTTTTGCAGTGGCTGGTACCAGTTGTTCCTTCCATGTTTAGTGTTTGCTTCAGGAGCTCTTGTAAGGCAGACCTGGTCGTGACAAAATTTCGCAGCATTTGCTTGTCTGTAAAGAATTTTGTTTGTCCTTCACTTATGAAGCTTAGTTTGGCTGGATATGAAATTCTGGGTTGAAAATTCTTTCCTTTAAGAATGTTGAATTTTGGCCCCCATTCTCTTCTGGCTTGCAGGGTTTCTGCTGAGAGATCCACCATTAGTCTGATGGGCTTCCCTTTGTGGGTAACCTGACCTTTCTCTCTGGCTGCCCTTAAAATTTCTTCCGTCATTTCAACCTTGGTGAATCTGACGATTATGTGTCTTGGGGTTGCTCTTCTTGAGCAGTATCTTTGTGGTGTTCTCTGTATTTCCTGAATTTGAATGTTGGTCTGTCTTGCTAGGTTGGGGAAGTTCTCCTGAATAATATCCTGAAGAGTGTTTTCCGACTTGGTTCCATTCTCTCTGTCACTTTCAGGTACACCAATCAAAAGTATATTTGGTCTTTTCACAAAGTCCCATATTTCTTGGTGGCTTTTTTCATCGCTTTTTATTTTTTTTTCTCTAATCTTGTCTTCTCACTTTATTTCATTAAGTTGATTTTCAATCTCTGATACCCTTTCTTCCACTTGATCGATTCAGCTATTGATACTTGTGTATACTTCACGAAGTTCTTGTGCTGTGTTTTTCAGCTCCATCAGGTCATTTATGTTCTTCTCTAAACTGGTTATTCTAGTTAGCAATTCATCTAAACTTTTTTCAAGGCTGTTAGCTTCCCTGCATTGGGTTAGAACTTGCTCCTTCTGCTCAGAGGAGTTTGTTATTACCCACCTTCTGAAGCCTACTTCTGGCAATTCGTCAAACTCATTCTCCATCCAGTTTTGTTCCCTTGCTGGCAAGGAGTTATGATCCTTTGGAGGGGAAGAGGCATGGTGGTTTTCCGAATTTTCAGCCTTTTTGCACTGGTTTCTCCCCATCTTTGTGGATTTATCTACCTTTGGTCTTTGATGTTGGTGACCTTCGGATGGGGTCTCTGAGTGGTGTGCTATTCCTTTCTGTTTGTTAGTTTTCCTTCTAGCAGTCAGGCCCCTCTGCTGCAGATCCGCCAGAGTTTGCTGGAGGTCCACTCTAGAACCTGTTGGCCTGGGTATCACCAGCGGAGGCTGCAAAACAGCAAAGATTGCTGCCTGTTCCTTCCTCTGGAAGCTTCGTCCCAGAGGGGCACCTGCCAGATGCCAACCAGAACTCTCCTGTATGAGGTGTCTGTCAGCCCCTACTGGGAGGTGCCTCCCAGTTAGGATACACAGGGGTCAGGGACCAACTTAAGGAGGCAATCTGACCCTTAGCGGAGCTTGAACGCTGATCTGGGAGGTCCACTGCACTTTTAAGAACTGTCAGGCAGGGACGTTTAATTCTGCTGAAGCTGCACCCACAGCTGCCCCTTCCCCTAAGTGTTCAGTTCCAGGGAGACGGGGGTTTTATCTACAAGTACCTTACTGGGGCTGCTGCCTGTTTTTCAGAGATGCCCTGCCCAGAGAGGAGAAATCTGGCAGTCTGGCCACAGTGGCCATGCTGAGCTGCGGTGGGCTCCGCCAAGACAGAAATTCCTGGTGGCTTTGTTTACACTGAGAGGATAAAACCACCTACTCAAACCTCAGCAATGGCGGACGCCCCTCCCTCAACCAAGGTCGAGGGTCCCAGGTCAATCTCAGACTGCTGCTGTGCTGGCAGCGAGAATTTCAACCCAGTGGATCTTAGTTTGCTGGGTTCTCTGGGGGTGGGACACATCAAGCCCGACCACTTGGCTCCCTGGCTTCAGCCCCCTTTCCCGGGGAGTGAAGAGTTCTGTTTTGTTGGCGTTCCAGGTGCCACTGGGATATGGGAAAACAGTCCAAAGGGCCACCCAGTTTTGTACTTGAAACCCATGGCCCTGGTGGTGTAGGCACTGGAGGGAATCTCCTGGTCTATCCGTTGCGAAGACTGTGGGAAAAGCACAGTATCTGGGTTGGAGTTCACCCTTTCTCCTGGTGCAGTTTCTCAAGGCTTCCCTTGGCTGGGGGAATGAAATCCCTGACCACTTGCACTTCCCAGGTGAGGCGATGCCCCACCCTGCTTCGGCTCGCCCTCCATGGGCTGCACCCACTGTCCAAACCAGTCCCTATGAGATGAACCAAGTACCTCAGTTGGAAATGCAGAAATCACTCATCTGCGTCAATCTTGCTGTGAGCTGCAGAGACTGGAGCTGTTCCTATTCAGCCACCTTGCCAGTGTCCTTTTTTTTTTTTTTTTTTAGATGGAGTCTCACCCTGTCACCCAGGCTGGAATGCAGTGGTGTGTGATCTCAGCTCACTGCAACCTCCACCTCCTGGGTTCAAATGATCCTCCTGTCTCAGCCTCCCGAGTAGCTGGGATTACAGGCACCTGCCATCATGCCCAGCTAATTTTTTTATTTTTAGTAGAGACGGGGTTTCACCATGTTGGCCAGGCTGGTCTAGAACTCCTGACCTCGTGATCCGCCCACCTCGGACTCCTAAAGTGCTGGGATTACAGGCTTGAGCCACCACACCTGGCCAAGTGTTCCTCTTAATGATAGGGAAGGTCGAGCACTTTAATTGGCAATTCTGCCAAATGATATACAATGGGAAAAGTGAAACAGAATTGAGATAGAAGGAAAGGTTGCTGGGCAGGAAAATCACAAAGTTTCACCACCTATCATCAGGTAATATTGAGGATTTATCTCAGGGGAGGTTTCAACTGACATGTATGATGCCGTACAGTTGAGAAATCCTCTTTTAGAGACTTGAGTTCATTCTTAAGACATAGGAAGACTTTTATATTATCATTTTAACCAATTGTTTAAAATTTCTACTCAACTTACTTTCACAAAATCCTCAGGTAAAAGTAAAGAGGCATATGATGAACAACTGCTCTTTGCAGGTAAACAAGTTCATCTACTTTTAACTCCTCCACATCTTGTTTCTGTTTGGATTTGTAGAAGTAGTAACTGAGGAAACACACAAAAATATTAAAACAATGTTTGAGATCCATATTTCTCAATCTGGCATTTAATATTCTTCACAACTAAACCCAATCCTATTTTTCCAGCTCTATCACACCTACTCAGATATCCTGGGAAATATATCTACTCATCAATTCCAAACATCCACAATGTTTTCGTGATCCACCCGCCTTGGCCTCCCAAAGTGCTGGGATTACAAGCATGAGCCACCGCGCCTGGCCCAACAATGATTTCTTGATCCTTTGCTTTGTCAAAACCACCTTCTCCTTATCATATGCAATTGTGACATATCCTTCAAGGGCCAGCTCATCTTATACTTACAGTGAATAAATTTATCTTGCTTTCATAGGTCAGAAATATCGATCTTATGTTGTAACTTTTCTGGCAATTTCACTGTTTTGCATAAATTGTATTTCATGTGAATATGTCTTATACTTCCAACAACATCATACACTTCTTAAGAAGCAGAAATTATTTATCATAATTTTTTATATCCATAGCAGTGTGCCTTGAGATTTGTTAATTGAATATGAGTGTAAGTTTTAAGTAGCAATGACCAACTTCCACAGATAAACCCAAATAATTGCTATGCCCTCTGCTTTAAAAAAATGTTAAAAATAACTTTCTTACTATCTTTAATACGTTTATTCAAGAAAGTTTCCACACCTTTAAATAGCACTGGGTTCTTAGCCAGTTAGACCAATTAGCTCATATCCATTTATAGATTCAAAATGAGTGCACTCTTCTTGCATGACTCTAGTTGATGTAATTAAATGTCCTTTTATGACCTGAAAACCAAAGTGATGGTAATTTAAACAACTACAAATCTTGAAAATTCATACATTGGTATCATTCAATTAATTTCAATGTTTACATTAAACATAATACAAAATAACACATTCCTTTAGTTCCTTTATATTAAACTCTGTATATTGGTCCTGATTTTCGTACAATATAGACTTGCTGACAGATCATCAAGCTTTTGGCTGGTTTTATATAAATCTTTGAAAGAGTTTGAAAAAAATTCAACAGCAACATACAATTCCTTTACTAAAAACATCTATTGCTCTTTCAAATTTACTCATATAATTACCGCCATGTTAGCCTCATGTTCTATGACTTTTGCTAAAAGATGGTATTATAGTTTTATAATTACTGATTTCTTTCTGTCACCTGTAATGGAGTTGTTTTGTGCCGGAAAAACCATTAAACACAGACTGTTAAAGGATTTAACTAAGCTGGCTTTAAAAATATATATACGTCACCACTTGTCTTTTGCTCTTAATTGGTAAGTCCAAACCTTTACAGTAGTAACTTTAAAATGACATTAAAAATTCTTTAAGTTTTTACCACTAGTGACTAGTGTTTGTTTACACATGCCATTTCCATCCCTTCAAGAATTTTTCAGTTAAAGTTTATAATTTTTCTGTCTAAATTAAGATCTACAGATTTTTTGAAGCCGTATGCACTTATTTGAACATCTAGTCTAACCAATCACTTCACATAAGCATAGCTCTTTGTGAGTTGACATATACACATGAAACTGTTCCAAGCTGTGGCATTGTCAGGTCAGGACTGCATCCAATTCTCTGAATTTAAGTGACAATGTAGTTATTGAAAGCATAGTGTTCATTTAGTCTTCTATAAACGCTAACAAATATGCTTTAAAAGTCCAAGGTACCATAATGCCCAGAAGTGTGACCAGGATCACACTGTAACTACCCCAGTATTTATCAAGTGTAAATATTAATACATTGTAGAAAGTTTCTATATCCACAAACATGTTTAAAAAATCTGTGTTTATCTTTTTTCATGGTCAACAACCTCTCAAATATAATGTCTTGTTTTAAGGGAAAAAAGCATTATAATATCAAAAATAAATATAACTCTCTGTCTTGGTTCATTTTGTGTTGCTATAAGAGAATACCACAGACTGGATAATTTACAAAGCAAATACATTTATTCCTCTTAGTTCTGAAGGCTGAGAAGTCTACTATTAAAGTGCTAGCATCTGGTGAGGGCCTCCTTGCTGTATCAACCTATGGTGGAGGGAGAGAGGGTGAGAGAGCACAAGAGAGATCAAGAGAAGAGGCCTCAGAACTCATTTTTATCAGGGACCCACTCCTGGTATAACAAAATTGATCTATTCATGAGGATAATTGCCTGTGAATGATCTCACTTCTAAATATTGTCACAGTGGGAACTACATTTCAACATGAGTTTTGGAGGGGATATTTAAACCACAGCACTCTCTAAACATGACAGTATCCTTGCTAAGTCTCCCGAAGTTTGTCCAAGTGGACTTTGTGCTCCTTTCATGATACCTTTCTGCACACATCTCTATGACAGTATAATTGGTTATGACTTTACAGTAATAACAGTAAATCATGGATTTGATAAGTATGTACCAGACAGTTTTGTTCAGTTCCAAACCAACAAACACACTTCTAAATGGACTTGATCTTTACATATTGTATTAGTTGGTAGGGCTGTAATAACAAAGTGCCACAGACTGGGCGGCTTAAACCAAAGAAATTTATTTATTTATTTATTTATTTATTTTTTGAGACAGAGTTTCACTCTGTCACCCAGGCTGGAGTGTAGTGGCAAGATCTTGGCTCACTGCAAGCTCCACCTCCTGGGTTCACGTCATTCTCCTGCCTCAGCCTCCCGAGTAGCTGGGACTACAGGCGCCTGCCACCACGCCCGGCTAATTTTTTGTATTTTTTAGTAGAGAGGGGGTTTCACCATGTTAGCCAGGATGGTCTCGATCTCCTGACCTCGTGATCCACCCGCCTCCGCCTCCCAAAGTGCTGGGATTACAGGCGTGAGCCACCACACCCGGCCAGATATTTATTTTCTCACAGTTCTGGAGGCTGGAAGTTCAAGATCAAGGTGTTGGCAGGTTTGGACTTACCTGAGGCCTCAGTAATGTTAGATTAGGACTCACCTCAATGAACTCACTTAATCTTAACTCTTTAAAGGGATTATTTCCAAATCTAGTCATATTTTGAGGTACTGGGAATGAGGGCTTCAACATATAAAAATTTGGGGGAGTAGGGGTGGGAGGGGAACAATTCAGTCCATAATACACTGTGTCACTAAGCAAGAACAGTGGGCAAGAAAGCAAAGGCAAGTTATTTTGAAATCATCACACCCATGTGTGAAAATTTCCACTACACCATGGCTGAAGATGATGCAAAGTTTATGGCATGTAAAAGAAAATAAGTTTTCCCATATAATTGGAATTTATCACCCATCCATACTTGCTTCATCAACTTTTTACCAGTAGATCCTTTTACTCTTTAGCATAGGGGTGCTCCAGGTGCATCACCTAGCATAGGCGTTTCCAAACTGTTTTGTGGAATGCTCTGTGATTCACAAATTCTTGACGTATATTTCACTTTGAATATATTTAAATTTGCACACAAATGCATTACAGTTATAAAATAAAACTAAAAACAGCTCCAATTGGAACAACAGTGGAAGCCAATCATACATATAATGGGTGCTGCTGGGCTCAAGTCATCCTGCCACCTCAGCCTCCCAAGCAGTTAGGATTACAGGCAGGTGCCATCACACATGGCTATTTTTTTTTTTTTTTGTAGAGACAGGGTCCTGGTATGTTGCCCGGGCTAGTCTTGATCTCCTGCCCTCAAGCTACCCTTCTGCCTCAGCCTCCTAGGGTTGCTGGGATTACAGGTATGAGCGACCATGCCCAGCTACTTTGCATGGTTTTTTAAAAATAGTTCAGACACTGTGCACTTTTACTCATGTAAAATCACATAAGGAGGCACCATCCACGCCAGGCAAGTTGTGGGTACATTTGCCCGAGGCTTATTCTCATGACAGCACTCCAGACAATTTTGACTGCATTTAATAAGTGAATATCTTCATGATTTGATACTTTGGTTATTTTCAGTGTTAACTGTCATTTGGAGGGAATCTCGTATGACATGTATACTCATATTTTCTTCTGATTGGACAAATCCCAAATCCTTCTGCTTTCTGGGATCAGCATTAATTTTAATACTTATAGAATAGCAGAATGAGTCCCATCTCTCGTATTATGACTAGCATCCCAGTATTTCAGGGGAGAATGGATAGGAATTAGGTTACTTTTATTTTATACCTTAACTTTGGGCTTCACTTCACCTGCTCCACCATTTTTTGGATCTCATCTTGCTCTACCCACTTTGCCTCAGGCTGAATACTACTTCAGTTCTTTATTTCTCCAAAGCACTGCTTAAAAAAATTTTCTTGTAAATAATTTTACTAAAGTCTTGCTGATATAGATTGGCAATCAGAAGCCTGCTTGGAACACAAACACAAAAAAGCAAAAACTTCAAATGCAATGCTAGACTTCATTATTTTTGGATACTTAATCAGTTCTTTCTATGTAATTTCTTATTGGTCTTGGAGCTCTGTGTACCCACAGCCTTCTGCTGTGCGCCTGGGGCTTTTGTCTCTTTTCTCCTCATAGCTGTACTCCCCTGACTCTATTTCAAATTCCCTCAGCTGGACACCCTCAGTCCCTTGAGTTATAATTAAACAATTTCTCTTACTTTCTTGGCAGAGGAGTAGTTCCCTCTTTACTTTGTTCATTCCTTCCCAAACATACTCTTGGTGGATCTTGGCTTTAATGCCCAAAGGGGTTCTTTACTTCAAATAGGGAATAGAAATTGCCCCAATTTAAACTATGCCATATTTTTTATAAGGCGGAAAGAACTTGCCTATTGTTTGCTATAAAGAGAGTTCTTCTTTTTCTTTTTTCTATTCATTCTTTTTGGTGATGTTGAAAAAATTACCTATAAAAACAAGCTCTATATTAAGAATAGAAAAACGCAGGCTGGGTGCTGTGGCTCACGCCTGTAATCCCAGCACTTCGGGAAGCCAAGGCAGGTGTATCACCTGAGGCCAGGAGTTCAAGACCAGTCTGGCCAACGTGGCAAAACCCCGTCTCTACTAAAAATAGAAAAAATTAGCCGGGCGTGGTGGCACGCTCCTGTAGTCCCAGCTACTCAGGAGGCTGAGGCAGAACTACACAGAAGGTGGAGGGTGCAGTGAGCCGAGATGGCACCACTGTACTGCAGCCTGGGAGACAGAGTGAGAGTCCATCTCAAAAAAAAAAAAAAATGCAGAAAATATAACAATGTATATAGTTAAATATTAACCTCAAGATAAGTCATATTATACTATATTATCTCAACCTTCAAGTAGTTATTGAACATATTGAAAGCAGTATATGAAATTTATGATTTGTGATTAACAGAAAAAAAGCATTTGCGTAAGGTAATTCAGAAAGAGGAAATCAAAATGGTTATAATTTGGTATGGGCATTTTCCTTTTATGTTAGAAAAATTATATATAATTATATACATAAAATATATACAAATTATAAAAATATTTTAATATGTATATGTGATATAAATTTATATTTGTTAATTATATTGATGTTATACAAGTTTATATTTACATTATACAAGTTATATAGTAAATTATATAATTGTTATGATTATATATGTATATGAGAGGTGACAGCGTGCTGGCAGCCCTTGCTCGCTCTCGGCACCTCCTCAGCCTTGGCGCCCACTCTGGCCTGTTTGAGGAGCCCTTCAGCCCACCCCTGCACTGTGGGAGCCCCTTTCTGGGCTGGCCAAGGCCAGAGCTGGCTCCCTCAGCTTGCGGGGAGGTGTGGAGGGAGAGGTGCGGGTGGGAACCAGGGCTGCGCGCAGTGCTTGCGGGCCAGCGCGAGTTCTGGGTAGGCGTGGGCTCCGCTGGCCCTGCACTGGGAGTGACCGGCCGGCCCGCAAGCCCCGGGCAGTGAGGGGCTTAGCACCTGGGCCAGCAGCTGCTGTGCTCGATTTCTCGCAGGGCCTTAGCTGCCTCCCCGCAGGGCAGGGCTTGGGACCTGCAGCCTGCCATGCCTGAGCCTCCCCCCACCTACCGTGGGCTCCTGCACAGCCCGAGCCTCCCCGATGAGCACCGCCCCCTGCTCCAAGGCGCCCAGTCCCAATGACCACCCAAGGGCTGAGGAGTGTAGGTGCATGGCACGGACCAGGCAGGCAGCTCCACCTGCAGCCCCAGTGTGGGATCCACTGGGTGAAGCCAGCTGGGCTCCTGAGTCTAGTGGGGACTTGGAGAACCTTTATGTCTAGCTAAGGGATTGTAAATACACCAATCACCACTCTGTATCTAGCTCAAGGTTTGTAAACACACCAATCAGCACTCTGTGTCTAGCTCAGGGTTGGTGAATGCACCAGTTGGCACTTTGTATCTAGTTAATTTGGTGGGGACTTGGAGAATCTTTATGTCCAGCTAAGGGATCGTGAATGCACCAATCGGCACTCTGTATCTAGCTCAAGGTTTGTAAATGCACCAATCAGCACTCTGTGTCTAGCTCAGGGTTTGTAAATGCACCAATCAGCACCCTGTCAAAACGGACCAATCAGCTCTCTGTAAAACAGACCAATCAGCAGGATGTGGGTGGGGCCAGATAAGAGAATAAAAGCAGGTTGCCTGAGCCAGCAATGGCAACCAGCTCAGGTCCCCTTCCAGAAGGTGGAAGCTGTGTTTTTTCACTCTTTGCAATAAATCTTTCTGCTGCTCACTCTTTGGGTCCACACTACCTTTAAGAGCTGTAACTCTCACCACGAAGGTCTGCAGCTTCACTCCTGAGGAAGCGAAACCACGAACCCATCAGAAGGAAGAAACTCTGAACACATCTGAACATCAGAACGAACAAACTCCGGACACGCCACCTTTAAGAACTGTAACACTCACTGCGAGGGTCCGCAGCTTCATTCTTGAAGTCAGTGAGACCAAGAACCCACAAATTCCGGACTCATATATACATACAAAATATACAGAGAAAGCCATATAGCTATAGAAATATATACATTTTTTATATTTCATTGTAAAAAATATGAATAAAACCTTTGTATGTTTTATTGAGCAAAATTAAGTAGTTTAAAAACATTGGAATTATTCTTCATGTCTCTATTTCACATTGCTAAGCCTACTCCTCAGTAAATTATTCATCTCTAGCTAAAAAATATTTCTGGAATCTGCTCCTTAACATGATCTCTACTGCTACCACCTGCAGTGGCTCTTGACACTACCTGCAGTTAGGCCAAACTTTACAGGCTCAGGGCCGAGTTCTCCACAAGACTTTCGTTATTTCAGACACCAGCCACACGCTCAGAGGTTCTTAGGTTCACCCTCACTTCTGACCAACTAGCAACACATTTGAAGATTTCTACACTACCTTTTCAGGCTTCATAATTTACTGGAACATATTCAGGAAAGGACTATACTTCAAATTGCAGTGTTATGATGGCAAAAATAATATAAATTGGACCAGCCAAAAGAAAAGACAGACAGGGTAAGATCTGGGAGGATCCCAGATTAAAGCTTCCTATGTCTTCTTCCTGTGAGTCAGTACACGTCACCTTCCTAGCACATCAATGGGTAAAAATATGTACAGAATATTGTCAACCAGGGAAACTCGCCTGAGTTTTGGTGTCCAGAGTTTTTACTGGGGTTTCGCAATAGGCATGGATAATTGAATTGTTGACCACATGATTGAATTCAACCTTCAGCCCTCCCTTCCTCTAAACGTTTAATGGTAGTTTAATGGTAGGCCCCTAGATAGTTTAAATCAGCAAGAATGAGTCATCCCTGAAATTGGAGTTAGACATCTATTGTTTTCCTTAATTGACAGTATTAAATGTGTCAGATTAAGAAGAAACAGTCTGAAATATTTTTTCACCAATTAATGAACATATAAATGGCCATGGACCCAATTATTGACTAAAATAACACATTATTAAAACAGTAATTTATCTTTGAGATAAAATATTTCTCATTTCAACTGCTGGATTGAATTATCACAATAGTGTCATGAGATGATAAGGTGAAACATTTAAAACGTTTGTTTTTGTAAAAGAGTAGACAGTAAGTACTTTCAGCTTTATGAGCCATAAATTCTCTGTTACAACTATTCAACTATGTCACTGCACTGGAAAAGTAGCCATTAGCAACATGTAAATAAACAGGTGTGATTATCATTCAATACAACTTTGTTTACCAAAATAAGCAGCAGGTAGGATCTGGCTTATGGGTGATAGGCCAATAAAAAAGGATATGGTGGTAACTGTTATTTATGTCAAGCAGAATTTTCCCAATGCAATGCTGAAAAAACTACTAAAACAAATTGGATGCTAAAGGTTATATTGTTACCAAAACACCAGGTATTCGACCCAGGTCCTGCTGCTCACGGCACAGAAAGCCAATAACTAACACAACAAGTATTGTCAGGGAAAAAGGCTTTAATGAGATCACCTCGAATCCATCTCCCTGACCAACTAAAATTGGGGGTTTCTATAGCAGGGAAAAAAGTGTAATTATGTGTGGGAAAACTGGAGCTAGGAAGGGTAAGGAAGAGGAGTTGGTTAACACAAAGCAAGTGGTCAGTTAGGAAAGCAGGAATTAGGGAAGGGTAAGAAAGCAATCACGGGCCGGGCACAGTGGCTCACGCCTGTAATCCCAGCACTTTGGGAGGCCGAGGTGGGCGGATCACGAGGTCAGGAGATCGAGACCATCCTGGCTAACACAGTGAAACCCCGTCTCTACTAAAAAACACAAAAAATTAGCCGGGCGTGGTGGCGGGCGCCTGTAGTCCCAGCTACGCGGGAGGCTGAGGCAGGAGAATGGCGTGAACCCGGGAGGCGGAGCTTGCAGTGAGCCGAGATCGCGCCACTGCACTCCAGCCTGGGCGACAGAGCGAGACTCCGTCTCAAAAAAAAAAAAAAAAAAAAAGAAAGCAATCACGACTAATGAGGGGTCCAGCATCTCATTGTCTAGATGTAGCAATCTGGTGCCTTGCAGTTCTTTGATACATTTTGAGAACTCCAAAGGTCATTTCCTGAGGAAGAAACTCAGATAACACAAAATGTAAGTTTCAAGCTTTAAAACCTGAAAGGTCAATTTCTATGTTTATCCAAAAAAAAACTGTCTATGGGATTATTGAGTTGGTTTCAATGAGACTTCCATCTACTCATCAAAGAGTCTCACTGTCCTCATGGATACAATTTTATAGTAAATACAAGTTACATATTAGAACACATAAAATAAATTTGTTTTTGGACTTCTGTTTCTAGTAAAATGGAATAGATTTTTAAAATATATTTCTTCCACTAATTACAGCTAAAAATTCTAGACATTATATATAAAATAAATAATAAGACTCTGAAAGGTAGAGAAAAAAAGGCAGACAACTTAGAGGTGCTGAAACCAGAGAAAAAACATGATAGTAAATTCCCTGAGTTTTCTTTTGGCCTCATGTATCCCAGACAAAATGCTGGAAAAGTGACAAACTGGAAATATAAATAGGGGCAGACAAAAATACCCAATGAAAGCCTGACCTCTGTAGCCAATTGATCAGGAAATGGGAGGTTTAGCAAGAAGGAAATATTTTACACAATAAATAACTGCTCTACTCTGGCTAAACACCAGAGAAATAACTGTGGCCCCAATCCTGCCCTCCTTGACAGCAAAGGCTAAGTGGGAAGCCTAGAATTATGCCGTTCCTTACCCACCTTCCTGGACAGTGTCAGAGAAGGCCAAGTAGGGAGCTAGGATGTTCTTCCCCACTGGGCAATAAGAAGTGCCCATTCTCACAGTGTCAGTGGAAATCAAGTGGGGTACACGGTCTTCCACCTCATGCAGTGACTAGGTGGCCTTTCCCCTCTTCACCAGGGTGGGGTCAGAGGAGGACTAATGAAGAATCAGGACATATTCCCTGACACCAGAGATAATGAGGCCACTTCTGCCCTGCTGTCAGTGGTGGGCAGAACTCCTACCCTGACCAGCAGTAAGAAAGCACTCCTACCCCTCCCAGTCACTGTGGTATCAGCAGAGGGATCATGCAACATGGTATCAGTAGAAGGGAGCCAGTATTCCACCTATACCCGGCAGAGCAAAAAAATGTGTCTTCTTTAATCTCAATGAAGGCTGAGAGAGAACTTGGACTTCCACCCCTACCCGGCAGTAACAAGGTAGCACCCCTCTCTTCCTCTGCTGCAGCAGTATCAGAGAAAGCCAGCTATGAGAGATTTACATAAAATCCAGAGTCTCATAATGTGACTCACAAAATATCCAGGTTTTAATTAAAAATATTATGTTATCATTCCAAGAAAAAGGAAAACCACAATTTGAATAAAAAGGAAAAATCAATACATACAAACATTGAGATGACAAACATGTTAGGAATATCTGACCAATATTTTAAAGCAGAAATTTAAAACATGTTTTAACAAGCATTACAAATATGCTTGAACCAAATGAAAATAGGAAGTCTCAGAAAAGAAATAGAATATGACGGCAACAAAATACAATGAAAAAAAAAGAACCAAAGGGAAATTCCAGAACTCAAGCATGCAATAACTGCAATAAAAACTCAGTGAGCAGAATCAACAGCAGAATGGAAACAACAGAGAGAAAATAGATTTTTTAAAAATTGACAAGACTGCAGAGACCTGTGGGACAATAATAAAAGAGCTAACATTCCTATCATCACTCTCCAGGAAGGAGTATACAAAGAGGGCAGGACTGTGAAAGTACTCAACAATATGATGACTGAAACTAGTATAGGTACCTAGAATAATATGAAACTCTGAAGATTCAACAGTATAAACAAAACGAAACAATTGGAAAATGAACGAAAGGCATGAAGGCTAAATTAAGGTAAACTTCAGGAAGTTTAATGCCCTGACTATTGGAAACAGAATGACCATAAACCAGAAAGAACTCTTTAACTTATTCAGGTTAATTGGAATTTTTCGAGCTTACGGAAAATTTACTGAGTGAACTGTACCTCCATGGAGCAACTAATAAGGAGAATGTGCTTGTGATGCAAATGGCTATTTTTCTGCATAACAATTACTTCTGTTAACAATACATTTAAATGGTGTGTTTTTCCTGGGAATGATTTCCTTTCAGAGGAGGATCGTATTTATTGAATATAAAAGGCTGATGACAATAGCAAAAAGAACAGTGGTTCCAACCATCACATCTTTTTTTTTTTTTTTTTTTTGAGACAGAGTCTCGCTGTCTCCCAGGCTGGAGTTCAGTGGCACAATCTTGGCTCACTGCAAGCTCTGCCTCTCGGGTTCTTGCCATTCTCCTGCCTCAGCCTCCCCAGTAGCTGGGACTACAGGTGCCTGCCACCACGCCCTGCTAATTTTTTGTATTTTTAGTGGAGACGGGGTTTCACCGTGTTAGCCAGGATGGTCTCGATCTCCTGACCTCGTGATCCGCCCACCTCGGCCTCCCAAAGTGCTGGGAATACAGGCGTGAGCCACCGCGCCCGGCCCAACCATCACATCTTGATATGACTTAATGGGGAAAAATTTACCAAGACATATTTATTTTATACATGAATTTCCAAGATTGCATGGCACAATTCTGGTTTTATACCATCCATCAATCAATGTAAATGCACACCATTGCTAACGCCTACATGGCTGGGTAATACTTATGGGGAGTAGCTACTAGTAATGTTTTATTTAACCCTGACTTCTTCGGTTAGATTCAGCCATATATTTATTTCTACTGGCAACTCTGTATAGCAGCCTTAAGAGTCTATGGGAAATAAGTATTTGAATTTCACAATATGTATATATGAAGCTAAAAAATTCCTCAAAGCTTCTCTGACAATGTTCTCAAGGTTAGGTTACCACGTGGTTATTTATAATTCAGCATTTTTTTATTTTGACAGGGTCTCACTCCATTGCCCAGGTTGGAGTGCAGAGGTGGGCTCACAGCTCACTGCAGTCTTGACCTCCTGGGCTTAGGTGATCCTCCCATCTCAGCCTCCTGGAGAGCTAGGACAACAGGCACACACCACCATACCTAGCTAAATTTTTGTAGAGATGGGGTTTCACCGTGTTGCCCAGGCTGGTCTTGAACTCTTGGACTCAAGTGATCTGCCTGCCTCGGCCTCCCAAAGCACTGAGATTAGGCATGGGCCACTGTGCTCAGCCCTAGAATTCAACTTTAAACGAAGAATTAGTTAATAAATATGCTGATAGTCATTATTTATAATAAATGGTGGAAGTTGGAAATATCTATCATATGTATGACCAAAGTGTATGTTTTTTAAAGACAATCACTATCCTTTACTCATCTCTATATTTCCCTCAGGGCTACTTATAGAATTCTATATTTACTAGACCTTCAATATATTTGTCAAATGAATGCGTGAGTGTGAATGATGTTTATTTTCCTGAAAATATTTGTCCCAGACTCAGCTACCATTTTTCAGACTATATTCTGCTTTAACATTTACTATTGAATTTAAAAATAACTCACTGATTACTATATTTTGAGTCTTGATTTAAAAACACACACACACAATTGGGAAAGCAAAAAGCAACCCTTGACGTCCTGAAACCAGCGTGCCACTCACAAGAACTCTTGTCAGAAGCTGACCTGGTGCTCACAGCTAGGCTGTGCTGCTGTTCTGTTGAATGTAAACATTCTCAGATTATCAACATCAAAGAAGTTTACTCTGAGACCATGATAAAGTGTGGCAAAACAAGGCCTCTTCACAATTTTATCTAAATAGACAAAAAGGTCACTGTGTCACCCACAAACTACCAAACACTTCCATTTCCCAGTAAATATAAGCAAATACAAATGACTGTTTTTTAAAAAATCAATTACAGCTTTATTCTCATTCTAGTTGCTTTTTCTATTTCTCTAAAATTTATTGAGATACTGTTATGGGGATCTCTGGGGTGTCGCTTTTCTGGCTGGAAACCTGTGGCTGGTGGCGCCTTTGACTGAGTTTTGCTCGGGCCAGC